>NC_000006.12:136320790-137570790 GCF_000001405.40 Homo sapiens | reverse complement strand
TAGTATTTGAGGTGTGTGTGTGCAGTTTTTCTACTCGGTGTATCGTTTTACTTAAGAGCATTTTAAAGAGTCCAATATGTATGTAACAGAAAGCAAACATTTTGTGTCAACACGTTCAAGTGAAGCTGCCTCTGCAAAAGGCATTGCTACGTGTATTTATTTCATTCTGAGCTGACACTAATCGAGTACTATAAACATCAGCACACTGAGAGGTTTCATTTAGTTAGGCTGCTTGCCAAACTTGGGGGGAAAAATATACCAAACATGCCCGTGATCATCGTCTTAACAACTAAGCTTGGAGGTCGTTAACTGCATTTCCCTGACATTGCAGGATGGCTCCTGGCTCCAGGGCCACACCTTAGGACATATTCATTTCTGTTCCCAGAACACATCTCCACTGTCTATTTAAAAAATTTTTCCTTTTTGCACCGATTGTAGCTACCCTGAACATGTGCTAGAATAAACGCCTGAAGCATTCATAGTTTGGGAAGCCTTGCTAGTCAACCTATAAGGAAAGCTCATGCCTGATCTCAGTTTTTTCCTATTCTTATTTTTTTTTAACCCAAAGGAGTTTCCAAAAATGGCTATGTATCGACTCAGTCCATTGCTCAATAGAAATGTCATAGTTACCAAGGAATGCCAAATGAAGCTTTATTTTTCATTTCAATGTTTTACTTGTAGATCGATAAAAATGTAAAGATTTTTGAGCCAAATCAGTGAGTTATTTTCTGTATTTCACTTTCATCTTTCCTTATTGTGTGACCTTTTATTTAGAAACATTGATTGCTTCCTACCATTTGCTTAATGATTTTGACTTCATCTCTTTGGGTATCAGATTGGAGTAATAAAAGGAACAAAAAGTCACACTGCCCTATTTCTAGTGCTATAAACAAAATTGCATGAAAATGAAGGCCAAAATAAGTACTTGAAATGCAAATGCATTTTAGAATGGAAAATAAATTTCAGAAAAGCTGCTGTGTTGTTATCAATGTGTGCTGGCGTTAAATTTTGACTCCATAGGAAAAGGGTAGGAATAGAAGCAGAGAACACCAAACAACTGCTTTATGGCTCAGCTAGCCTCAGTACTCCTGTGCTGTGTGTACGAACTCCCATATACTTTAATTAATTAGCATAGGGTGTGTGGCACACAGATGGGATAAAAGAATTAATTCCTTTATTAAGAACTTGGATAAAGGAATTAAACTTTGATACAGACGAGATAGACAAGATGAAGTACTCATCGTAAGACAGTCCCTGCAAAGTCAATCTTGTTCGTCACATTTCTCATGGGAGGTTTTCTGATAGGATTTTGCAGATAGCTTGATGAGTAAGCACTTGACCTATCACTATGCCCAAGGCTTTGGTGCACATTACCATATACTTTCTATGCTGTCCTGTCCTGGCTCTTCTTTTCTCTGAACTTCTAACATTTATTTAAAAGAAAGCAAGAGAAAGAAGGCACAAAACATATTTCTTTACATATCCCAAATTACCACTCCATGTGTAATGAAAACCACCCATTTAAAATACAAGAACTTTTGTATGTTATATGCTAAGACCTATTAACCTTCCCAGAAGAGTGGAGAACAGGGGAACAGTTACTTTCACCAAATTGTCTATGGGTAGACTCAGGCTTCCATCCTATCGCCAAAGGGTAAAACCCAGTGAAGCTTCCTAAACTGGAAATCTTCTCCTGCCCCTGCAAATCCCTCTCGAGACCTCTCTGTATCCTGAAAGGTAGACTTTACAAACTGCTTCAGCCGGCAGCCTTGCCCTCTGACTTCTGGTTGAGTTGGCCACTGGGGGGTAATGGCAGATCAGAGGGAGGAAAGAAAGTGAAGTTGGGGTATTATGGGCTCCTTGTGACCTTTCTGGAGGGGATCTTTGTAGGTGGCTGATTTCCTAAGGGCACAGCCCCTGTTAGGTAGCCCTCTCCATACCGATCTCTCTCTCTCTCCCCCCTCCTCCCCCTCCCCTCCTTCTCCTCCTCCTTTTCTGGGTTCTGACAACTGTCCGGGTTTTGGCAACCTCTCCTTTGCCTTCTCCATCAAAAGTGAGTATTTAATGGAGCCCCAGATGTTATTATTCATCCTTGGACATTGCAGTATCCCTTGTTGTTTTCTGATACTTTACCCACACTTTTGCTAATTGCCCCTTTGTTAAACTCTCTTCAAACTACCCCATTTTCGTATGCTAACGCTTTCCTGCCAGACCGTGTTTGATAGATCTAATGTATACATTAGTGCAAAGTTGCACACTAATGTACAGGATCCTTGAAAATATCATCAATCAGAAGCAGAAAAATAAAATATCAGAAAATCTCTTTGTAATAAAGAGTCTGACTCCATTTTTGATGTTTGCAAACAACTTTCAATCCCCAGTCTTCCCCCTTCCCCTCTTGCCCCATATCTGGACAAGCTGGTAAGAAAGCCTGGGTGATCTCTCTTTTGGTTCAAATCACACAAGCTTCAGCTGCACCCAAGATCCGTTATGCCAACCCCATCCCCTAACCACAAGAAAAGCCAAGTCATTTGCTTTCACTGCTCTCTCAAGCCATTTGTGGACCTGCTTGGGAGCCTACCCACTCTCCCCAGAAAGCCTCATTCTGTAAGTCATAACCTTTTCATTCCCTCTGGTACATGTGTGGCATCAGCAGTCTTGCCATCCAAACCAAATTTGTGTGTGTGTGTGTGTGTCCACTCTGTCTCTAACCACAACAGTCTCCATCTATTCACTATCAATGAATTCCCATTCAACTTACATAAATACATTCGACACAAATTCAGCAATATACCATTGGCTAATGGAAGAAGCACAAATGTAAACTGTCAGTCCCCTGACATTCCAACCACAATCTGCGCCCTGGGGTGAGCAGGACAGGGAGCTAGGCCTCTCTTCTCCAGGCTGTCTCCCTCCTGAATGCCTCTCAGTGGATGCCTTGGCAGATCATCCAAGAGATTGTTCAAAGAAAACTTTAACAATGGGAGATTTTTCTCATTGTAAATTAACTCTATAATCTGACCACTCCTCTCTCCAGAAGAGCAGAATCTCCACCACTTATGCTCACTGCATTATTTACTAAGTGGTAACTTTTATTGATTAGGATTGTTTCTACTTATAAATCATTAAAAGGCACTCAGGCTGGCTTAAGTCAAAGAAGGAGAGGGCTGGGAGAATAAGGCAGAAACAGAAGGAATCAGGGACTGGTATGCAGCCGAGCCTCCTGAGGTACCCTCCCCTCACCCTTATGTAAATTGTTCAATTTTGCAGCAATCTAACAAAATTGCCAAACCATTTTCTACCTCAGAACCTTCCTAAAGACTGATCCTTTTGCCTGAAACCTTTCACAGGCAGAATATTTGCTTGGCTAACTCCTACTCACCTGCACATCTCAGCTTAGACACCACTTTTCTGGGATACATTTCTCCACTTTGGACTCACTTATGGCTCTCACCAGTGTGTTGTGATCACCTGAAGGATACTTGACTGTGTCCTTTATTGACTCAGTGAAAACCATGGGAAGACAAAGACCATGATTTAGAGATGCCAGATAAGAAGCAGATGCCCAGATCGATTTGCATTTCAAAGAAACAACAAATACCTTTTTAGTATAATTATGTCCTGTGCAATATTTTTATGTGCTAAATCTGACAACCTTTACATGGTTTTCTTTAACACCTAGCACAGAGTCAGCACATAGTGAGCACTCCACAAATATTTGCCAAATAAATGGATGAAGAAAATCTAGGCAATACCATTGGGGACATAGGCATGGGCAAAGATTTCATGACAAAAATGTCAAAAGCAATTGCAACAAAAGCAAAAACTGACAAATGGGATGAAATTAAACTAAAGAGCTTCTACACAGCAACAGAAGCTATCATCAGAGTGAACAGACAACCTACAGAATGGGGAAAAGTTTGTGTAATCTATCAATTTAACAGAGAGGTCTAATATCCAGAATCTACAAGGAACTTAAAGAAATTTACAAGAAAAAAAAACCTCATTAAAAAGTGGGCAAAGGATATGGACAGACACTTCTCAAAAGAAGACATTTATGTGGCCAACAAACATATGAAACATATGAAAAAAGCTCAACATCACTGATCATTAGAGAAATACAAATCAAAAGCACAATGAGATACCATCTCATGCCAGTCAGAATGGCAATTATTAAAAAGTCAAGAAACAACAGATGCTGGTGAGGCTGTGGAGAACAGGAACGCTTTACACTGTTGGTGGGAATGTAAATTAGTTCAGCCACTATAGAAGACCTATAGAACCAGAAATACCATTTGATCCAGCAATCCATTATTGGGTATATACCCAAAGGAATATAAACCATCCTATTATAAAGATAGACGCAGGTGTATGTTCATCGCCGCACTATTCACAATAGCAAAGACATGGAATCAACCCAAATGCCCATCAATGATAGACTGGATAAAGAAAATATGGTACATATACAGCATGGAATACCATGTAGCCATAAAAAGGAACGAGATCATGTCCTTTGCAGGGACATGGATGGAGCTGGAGGCCATTATCCTCAGCAATCTAACACATGAACAGAAAACCAAATACCACATGTTCTCACTTATAAGTGGGAGCTGAACAATGAGAACACACGGACATAGGGAGGGGACCAACACACACTGGGGCCTGTAGGGGGGGTGGGGGAAGGAGAGCATCAAGATAAATAGCTAATGCACGCAGGGCTTAATACCTAGGTAATGAGTTGATAGGTGCAGCAAACCACCATTGCATACGTTTACCTGTGTAACAAACCTGCATGTCCTGCACATGTATCCCAGAACTTAAAGGAAAATAAAATCAAATTAAAAATTTAAATAAATGAATGTAGATCTGGTGAATCACCTGCTGATACAAAATGGGTGAAATACAATCAGTGGATGGGAATAGTACCTGGGAAAAAAAGAGCAACTTCTCCCACACATTCTGTCTACTCATAGAAAATTCATGAGTTATAAATTGAGTAGCGATTAATAGATGTAAATTTCACCAGAAAAATTAAACAGAGAACAAATTACAAAGCTTTTCAAAGACAAAGTCCAATTACCTAATGGTAATGAAGAAACCCTTATTCCAGATAGACTGTATGATGATGCTCCCAATAATCATAAATCCTCCCCAGATGAGATTTGGACAAACGCATTCTTTTTTAAAAAAAATTCAACTTTGGCCGGGTGCGGTGGCTCACGCCTGTAATCCCAACACTTTGGGAGGCCAAGGTGGGTGGATCGCCTGAGGTTGGAATTTCGAGACCAGTCTGACCAACATGGAGAAATCCCGTGTCTACTAAAAATACAAAAATTAGGCTGGGTGCAGTGGCTCACACCTGTAATCCCAGCACTTTGGGAGGCCACCGCAGGCAGATCATGAGGTCAGGAGACCAAGACCATCCTGGCTAACATAGTGAAACCCCGTCTCTACTAAAAATACAAAAAAATTAGCCGCGCGTGGTGGTGGGCCCCTGTGGTCCCAGCTACTCAGAGGCTGAGGAAGGAGAATGGTGTGAACCCGGGAGGCGGAGCTTGCAGTGAGCCGAGATTGCGCCACTGCACTCCAGCCTGGGTGACAGAGCAAGACTCCGTCTCAAAAAAAAAAAAAAAAAAAAAAAAATTAGCCTGGCGTGGTGGCGCATGCCTGTAATCCCAGCTACTCGGAAGGCTGAGGCAGAAGAATCGCTTGAACTTGGGAGGCCAAGGATCCTGTGAGCCGAGATCACGCCATTGCACTCCAGCCTGGGCAATGAAAGCAAAACTCTGTCTCAAAAAAAAAAAAATTAAAATAAAAAAAAATCAACTTTTGTTTTAGATTAAGGGGTTACATGTGTAGGTTTATTACATGGATATATTGCATGATGCTGAGGTTTGGAATATGAATGATCCTGTCACCCACATAGTGAGTATATCACTCAGCAGTTAGTTTTTCAACCCTTTTCCCCTTCCCTCCCCACTCTACTAAGCCCCAGTGTCTATTATTGCCATCTTTATGTCCATGAGTACCCAATGTTAAGCTCCTACTTGGAAGTGAGAACATGTGATATTTGATTTTCTGTTCCTGCATTAATTTGCTTAGGATAATGGTCTCCAGCTGCATCCATGTTGCTGTAAAAGGACAAGATTTAATTACTTTTTATGGCTGTATAGTATTCCATGGTGTATATATTCACTACATTTTCTTTATC
Source organism: Homo sapiens (assembly GCF_000001405.40). Lineage (NCBI taxonomy): Eukaryota > Metazoa > Chordata > Mammalia > Primates > Hominidae > Homo > Homo sapiens. The sequence goes on along the minus strand of NC_000006.12, from coordinate 137,564,579 downwards.
CAATCCACTGTTGATGGGCACCTGGGTTGATTTCACATCTTCGCTATTGTGAATAGTGCTGTGATAAACACGTGAGTGCATGTGTCTTTTTGGTAGAATGATTTATTTTCTTTGGGACATATATCCAGTAATAAGACTGCTGGGTCAAATGGTAGTTCCATTTTAAATTATTTGAGAAATCTCCAAATGGCTTTCCACAGTGGCTGAACTAATTTACATTCCCACCAACAGTGTGTAAGTGTTCCCTTTTCTCCACAGCCTCTTCAGCACAAGTCATTTTTTGACTTTTTAATAATAGCCATTCTGACTGGTGTGAGATGGTATCTCACTGTGGTTTTGATATGCATTTCTCTGATGATTAGTGATGTTGATCTTTTTTTATGTTTATTAGCTGCTTATATGCCTTCTTTTGAGAAATGTCTATTCATTTCTTTTGCTCATTTGTAATGGGATTGTGTGGTTTTTGCTTATTCAATTGTTTAAGTTTCTTATAGATTCTGAATATTAGACCTTTGTTGTGTGCATAGTTTGCTAATATTTTCTCCCATTCTGTAGGTTGTTTACTCTGTTGATAGTTTCTTTTGCTCTGCAGAAACTCTTCAGTTTAATTAGGTCCTACTTGTCAATTTATGTTTTTGTTGCAATTGCTTTTGAAGACTTAGTCACAAATTCTTCCCCAAGTCCAGAATGGAGTTTCCTAGGTTTTCCTGTAGGAGTCTTATAGTTTGAGGCCTTACATTTAAGTCCTTTTTTTTTTTTTTTTTTTTTTTTTTAGTAGAGACGGGTTTTCACTATGTTGGCCAGGTTGGTCTTGAACTCCTGACCTCAGGTGATCCACCCGCCTCAGCCTCCCAAAGTGCTGGGATTACAGGCGTGAACCACCATGCCCAGCACATTTAAATTTTTAATTGATCTTCTGTTAATTTTTGTATATGTTAAAATGTAGGTATCCCATTTCATTCTTCTGCATATAGCTAGCTAGCTATCCCAGCATCATTTATTGAATAGGGAGTTTTTTCCCCATTGTTTATTTTTGTTGACTTTGTCAAAGATCAATGTGTGGCTTTATTTCTAGGTGCTCTATTCTGTTCCATTGGTCTACATGTCTGGTTTGTACCAGAACCATGCTGTTTTGGTTACTGTAGGCTTATAGTATAGTTTGAAGTTGGGTAATACGATGCCTCCAGCTTTGTTTTTGTGGGGTTTTTGTTGTTGTTGTTGTTGTTGCTTATGATTGCCTTGGCTATTTGGACTCTTTTTTGATTCCACATGAATTTTAGAATAGGTTTTTCTAATTCTGTGAAAAGAAGGATGCACTTTCCTCACACTCCTTAGGTAATGACTGGGTGAAACTGAAGGAGGAGTGGAGACAGTGTAGGCTTCAACATCAGAGATGTTATGCCTCACACATGACTGAGCTTGATGACTGTTCAGTGAATGGGAGAATGTGGCTGAGGGACTGAAAGTCCTTGCTATGAAATCAGAAAGAGTTGGGTCCAGTACTGTCTCCACCCAGTAGACCTGGTTTGTACTAACTTGTGAGACGCACTTGTTAAATTTTCAGGAATTTTGTATGCTGGTTGTTAAACTTGGACTTCATTAAATATATTCTATAAACTTACAAATAAGTGATATTTAAAAAGACAATATAAATTCAAAAGTCACCATTCCCAATTCTATCACTATTGTCTGTGCTCTCAAGGTGATTTGTCTTATGGGGTGGAAATGCTACATCACGGTGTGTGATTGTGCATCTCTTCCTTACTCCACGTTCTATGAGCTGGCAGCTCAAAACTTGCCACAGTGGAAGCATTTAATCTACAGAAATAGGCAAATACTATAAATTGGGGCTTAATTTGTTGTTTTATTTACTGATAGGCTAAACTTTAAAAAGTGGTGAAAAGAATGTTAATAATGCATGTTAAACACAAAAGTATATCATGTCTAACCACTTTTACTGTGAATAGAAGAAACCAATTGAGAAAACATTTTTTCTGTATTCAAAAACTTTCATACAATTCAGCAGAGTTGGCTCATGGCACTGATGGAAACCTTGACATTCCAACAAGTGTCTACAATGTTTCATTTCTGTCTGACTTGTCATAAACAAAAATATCAACCAACATTTATCTCAGATATACATGATATACACTTGGTTCTGATTGTTAGAATTTTTTTTCTTTTTCTTTTTTTTTTTTTTTTTTTTTGAGACAGAGTCTCACTCACTATTTTGCCCAAACTGGAGAGCAATGGTGTGATCTTGGCTTACCGCAACCTCCACCCTTTGGGTTCAAGCAATTCTCCTGCCTCAGCCTCCTGAGCAGTTGGGACTACAGGCATGTGCCACTATGCCCAGCTAATTTTTGTATTTTTGTAGAGATGGGGTTTCACCATGTTGGCCAGGCTTCTCTCAAACTCCTGACCTCAAGTGATCTGCCTGCCTCGGTCTCCCAAAATGCTGGGATTACAGGTGTGAGAGACCACGCTCTGGTTGATAAAAATTTACCAGCACACCATTGTCTCCACTTCATGTTAGCTGTGAGTCCTTGGGAAAATTACTCACTCCCCCTCATGGTACTGTTGTGGGGAAGAACCCTCAGTAATAACACATATTTAGTACTTAGTCCAGGTTCGGCCCCCTGATGAGATTTTCATGTGTATACTAGTTATCTCCTCCTGCCCAGCAACAATACTGCTGCCACTCACTCTTTCTTAAATTTGCACTCAATTTTTGGAACAGATTATACTTGCATATGGGGAAAATTCAAAAGGTAAAAAATGGTATAGAGTGAAAAATCAGATCTTCCCACCAAACTGTCCCCAGACATCCAGTTCCCTTCTGTAAAGGAAAACACTGTTACATTTTGTTGTTTATCCTTCCAGAGACAGTCTATGAATTTAGAAAACACACATGCATGTATATATATTATTTTTAAAACATACATGATGGTATACTATATATACTATTTCCTATCTTGCTTTATTCATTTAATAAAGTATCTTGCAGAGCTTTCCAGAACAATGTGGATAGTTCCGTGCAGACTGGGCACAGTGGCACAGTATGCTAATGAATAGACAGTGTCTTTGTAACCAGTTCCCTATTCTTGGACGTTTAGGTTGTTTCTAATCCTTTTCTGTAACAGTGCTGCAAAGAGGATTCTTGTACGTGTCATTTTGTACCTATCTTTATTGGTTTTCTGATATTTTGTTTTAAAAAATATTTGTTGAAGGTGATAAGCTCAGTGTGATACTTGCACATGATCACAGCTAGTTCAAAAAAATCACTAAAATATTTACTGAGTGTTTACTCTATGAACAACATTATCATTTTATCTAGAAGTGTTAAATATTAATCAAGGGCATCACCATTTTATCTAGAAGTATTGAATATTAATTAAAGATATATATTGAGGGAGGGAAGAAGAGTGTTGATTTTACTTAAAAAGAGCATTAATAATCTGAGAGAGAAGATTTTTTTTCAACTCTCATGAAACAAGAAAAAGAGGCTACATGACAAAGTAAAATTAAGAAGCAGAAATAAGGAAATAAAAATTTCACTTGGACTATCACGTGTGACATGGCTGGCTACTATCTGCCTCTTAAAATTCTCTTCCCTGGGACAGAGCAGCATGCGGAGGCTCGCATCATGAATTTTAGCTTCAGAAAGACTGCAGGAATCAGTCAGGAATCCCAAGAGGACCCACAGACCCTCTGAAGGAAGTGAACTGCTCCTGCAGGACCCAGGAGGCACCCCAAATACTATGAGTGCTCAAACTGCAGAAGTGGGAAAGGGAGTTCCTCCCCACCACTGCCCCGCACCGAACACACACCCCAACTGGGGAAAATGAAGGTTTAGTTTGCGGGAGAAAACTCCAACCTTACCTGGAGCTGAGTCACTTTAGAGAGTTGAGTGAAATACAAGGGCAGAGAAGGCAGCGGGAAAGGCCCTGGGAGCCTGCTGGGTCCCCAGGCAAGCCATTCCTGCCTGGCCTCACAGGGATCCTTCAGGAGGGCAGCCAGCAGTGGGGAGAAAACACCACAGAGAGAAGGAAGTCTCCAGCTGAACTTTGTAACAGTTTGAACCCATGGAGGAGCCTCCTGGCCAGAACCTGGTGGGGAGGGTGTGAATCCTGCCTGCAGACTCCACAAGTTGGGGAAGAACTAAAGCCCTTCTCTTTTGCAGCTGGGAGGTGGGTAGTCTAGGGCAAGATCTCAGCCCTGATTGCCCACTGCCTGGAAACAGACTCTGTGCTGTTAGGTGGGGGCACAGTGGGAGTGAGATCAGCCCTTTGGATTGCATGGGAGCTGGGTGAGGCCTGTGACTGCCGGCTTTCCCCCACTTCCCTGACAACCTGTGTTATTCAGTAGAGGCAGCCATAATCCTCCTAGGTACACAACTCCACTGACCTGGGAACCTCACCCCCATTCCCCACAGCAACCACAGCAAGACCTGCCCAAGGAGAGTCTAAGTTCAGACACACTTACCCTGCCACCACCTGAAGCTCATTCCCTACCCGCCCTGGTAGCTGAAGACAAAGGGCATATACATTCTTAGGAATTCTATGGCCCTGCCCACCACCGATTCCTCCCCATACTAGCACAGCTGATGCTCTCTGGAAAGCGCCACCTCCTGGCAGGAGGCCAACCATCACAAAAACAGGGCATGAAATCACCAAAACTAAGAACCCTCACAGAGTCCATTTCACCCCCTGCCACCTCCACTGGAATAGGTGCTGGTATCCACAGCTGAGAGACCCATAGATGGTTCACATCACAGGACTCTGTGCAGACAACCCCCAGTACCAGCCTGGAGCCTGGTAGACTTGCTGGGTGGCTAGACCCAGAAGAGAGATAACAATCTCTACAGCTTGGCTCTCAGGAAGCCACACTCACAGGAAGAGGAGGAGAGTACTACATCAAAGGAACACCCTGTGGGACACAAGAACCTGAACAACAGACTTCAGCCCTAGACCTTCCCTCTGATAGAGCCTACCTAAATGAGAAGGAACCAGAAAACCAACTCTGGTAATATGAGAAAACAAGACTCTTTAACTCTCCCCAAAAATCACACTAGTTCAGCAGCAATGGATCCAAACCAAGAAGTAATCCCTGATTTACCTGAAAAAGAATTCAGGAGGTTAGTTATTAAGCTAATCAGGGAGGCACTAGAGAAAGGCAAAGCCCAATGCAAGGAAATCCAAAAAACGATACAAGAAGTGAAGGGAGAAATATTCAAGGAAATAGATAGCATAGAGAGAAAACAATCAAAACTTCAGGAAACATTGGGCACTTTTATAGAAATGCAAAATACTCTGGAAGTCTCAGGAATAGAATTGAACAAGTGGAAGAAAGAAACTCAGAGCTCAAAGACAAGATCTAATTAACCCAATCCAACAAAGACAAAGAAAAAAGAATAAGAAAATATGAACAAAGCCTCCAAGAAGTCTGAGATTATGTTAAATGGCCAAACCTAAGAATAATTGGTGTTCCTGAGGAAGAAGAGAAATCCAAAAGCTTGGAAAACATATTTGGGATAATAATTGAAAAAAAATTCCCTGGCCTTGCTAAAGACCTAGACTTCCAAATAAAGGAAGCACAAAGAACATGTCGGAAATTCATTGCAAAAAGATCATCACCTAGGCACACTATCATCAGGTTATCTAAAGTTAAGACAAAGGAAAGAATCTTAAGAGCTGTAAGACAAATGCACCAAGTAACCTATAAAGGAAAACCTATCAGATTAACAGTAGATTTCTCAACAGAAATCCTACAATCTAGAAGGGATTGGGTTCCTATCTTCAGCCTCCTCAAACAAAATAATTATCAGCCAAGAATTTTGTATCCAGTGAAACTAAGCATCATGTATGAAGAAAAGATACAGTCTTTTTCAGACAAACAAATGCTGAGCAAATTCGCCATTAGCAAGCCACCACTATAAGAACTGCTAAAAGGAGCTCTAAATCTTGAAACAAATTGTGAAAACACATTAAAACAGAACCTCTTTAGAGCATACATCTCACAGGATGTATAAAACGAAAATACAATTTAAAAAGCAAAAACAAAAAAGCAAGGTATACAGGCAACAAATAGCACAATGAACAGAATGGTACCTCACATCTCAATACTAACACTGAATGTAAATGGTCTAAATGCTCCACTTAAAAGATACAGAACTGAAAAATGGGTAAGAATTCACCAACCAAGTACCTGCTGCCTTCAAGAGACACACTTAACACATAAGGACTCACATAAACTTAAAGGGGTGGGAAAAAAGGCATTCTATGCAAATGGACACCTAAAGCAAGCAGGGGTAGCTATTCTTAGATCAAACAAAACAAACTTTAAAGCAACAGCAGTGAGGCCGGGCATGGTGTCTCACGCCTGTAATCCCAGCGCGTTGGGAGGCCAAGGCGGGTAGATCACCTGAAGTCAGGAGTTCGAGACCAGCCTAGTCAACATGGTGAAACCCTGTCTCTACTAAAAACACAAAAATTGGCCAGGCATCTTGGCACGTGCCTATAGTCCTAGCTACTTGCAAGTCTGAGGCAAGAGAATCACTTGAACCTGGGAGGTGGAGGTTACAGTGAGCTGAGATTGCACCACTGCACTCTAGCCTGGGTGACAGAATGAGACTCTGTCTCAAAAAAAAAAAAAAAAAAGCAACAGCAGTGAAAAAAGACAAAGAAGGACTTTATATAATAGTAAAAGGCCTTGTCCAACAGGAAAATATCAGAATCCTAAACATATATGCACCTAACACTGGAGCCTTCAAATTTATAAAACAATTACTAATGGACCTACAAAATGAGATAGACAGTAACACAATAATAGTGGGGGACTTCAATACTCCACTGACAGCACTAAACAGATCATCAAGACAGAAAGTCAACAAAGAAACAATGGATTTAAACTACACCTTGGAACAAATGGACTTAACAGATCTATACAGAACATTCCATCCATACAACAACCATAGAATACACATTCTATTCAACAGTGCTTGGAACTTTCTCCAAGATAGACCATACAATAGGCCACAAAATGAGCCTCAATAAATTTTGAAAAATTGAAATTATATCAAGCACTCTCTCAGACCACAATGGAATAAAACTGGAAATTGGCCGGGTGTGGTGGCTCACGCCTATAATCCCAGCACTTTGGGAGGCCAAGGTGGGTGGATCACCTGAGGTCAGGAGTTTGAGACCAGCCTGGCCAAAATGGTGAAACCCAGTCTCTACTAAAAATACAAAAATTAGCCGAGTGTGGTGGCACATGCCTGTAATCCCAGCTACTCAGGAGGCTGAGGCAGGAGAATCGCTTGAACCCGGGAGGTGGAGATTGCAGTGAGCTGACATTGTGCCATTGCGCTCTAGCCTGGGTAACAAGAGAGAAACTCCATCTCAAAAACAAAAACAAAAACAAAACTGGAAATCAACTCCAAAAGGAACCTTCAAAACCATGCAAATACATGGAAATTAAATAACCTGCTCCTGAATGATCACTGGGTTAAAAATGAAATCAAGATGGAAATTAAAAAAGTATTTGAACTGAACGACAATGGTGATACAACCTATCAAAACCTCTGGGATACAGCAAAGGCGGTGCTAAGAGGAAAGTTCATGGCCCTAAATGCCTGCATCAAGAAGACTGAAAGAGCACAAACTGACACTCTAAGGTCACACCTCAAGGAACTAGAGAAACAAGAACAAACCAAACTCAAACCCAGCAGAAGTAAGGAAATAACCAAGATCAGAGCAGAACTACATGGAACTGAAACAAACAAAAAAATACAAAAGATAAATGAAACAAAACCTGGTTCTTTGAAAAGATAAATAAAATTGATAGACCATTAGCAAGACTAACCAAGGAAAAAAGAGAGAAAATCCAAATAACCGCAATAAGAAATGAAATGGGAGATATTATAACTGACACCACAGAAATACACAAGATCATTCAAGGCTACTATGACGCACCTTTATGCGTATAAACTTGAAAACCTAGAAGAGGTGGATAAATTCCTGGAAAAATACAGCCCTCCTAGCTTAAATCAGGAAGAATTAGATACCATAAACAGACCAATAACAAGCAACAAGATTGAAATGGTAATTTAAAAATTACCAACAAGAAAAAAGTCCAGGACCAGAAGGAGTCACAGCAGAATTCTAGCAGACATTCAAAGAAGAATTGGTACCAATCCTATTGACACTATTCCACAAGACACAGAAAGAGGGAACGCTCCCTAATTCATTCCATGAAGCCAGCATCACCCTAATACCAAAACCAGGAAAGGACATACCAAAAAAGAAAACTGCAGACTCATATTCCTGATGAACATAGATGCTAAAATCCTTAACAAAATACTAGCTGACCAAATCTAATGACATATCTAAAAGATAATCCACCATGATCAAGTGGGTTTCATATCCGGGATGCAGGGATGGCTTAACATATGCAAGTCAATAAATGTGATACATCACATGAACAGAATTAAAAACAAAAAAATATGATCATCTCAATAGATGCAAAGAAGCATTCGACAAAATCCAGCATCCCTTTATGATTAAAACTCTCAGCAAAATCAGCATATAAGGGACATACCTCAATGTAATAAAAGCCATCTAGGATAAACTCACAGCCAACATAATACTGAATGGGAAAACGTTGAAAGCATTCCTTCTGAGAGCTGGAACAAGACAAGGATGCCCACTCTCACCACTCCTCTTCAACATAGTACTGGAAGTCCTAGCCAGAGTTATCAGACAAGAGAAAGAAATAAAGCGCATCCAAATCAGTAAAGAAGAAGTGAAACTATCAATTTTTGCTGATGAAAGAATCGTTTATCTCGAAAACCCTAAAAACTCCTCCAAAAAGCTCCTAGAACTGACAAAAGAATCAGCAAAGTTTCTGGATACCGGATTAATGTACACAAATCAGTAGCTCTCCTACTCTGCACCAATAGCAACCAAGCGGAGAATCAAATCAAGAACTCAGCCCCTTTTACAATAGCTGCAAAAATATAAAATACTTAGGAATATACCTAACCAAGGAATTGAAAGACCTCTACAAGGAAAACTACAAAACACTGCTGAAAGAAATCATAGATGACACAAACAAATGGAAACACATCCCATGCTCATGGGTAGAATCAATATTGTGAAAATGTCCATACTGCCAAAAGTAATCTGCAAATTCAATGTAATCCCCATCAAAATACCACCATCATTCTTCAAAGAATTAGAAAAAACAATTCTAAAATTCATATGGAAGCAAAAAAGAGCCCACATAGCCAAAGCAAGACTAAGCAAAAAGAACAAATCTGGAGGCATCACACTACCTGATTTTAAACTATACTATACGGCCATAGTCACCAAAAGAACATGGTACTGGTATAAAAATAGGCACATAGACCAATGGAACAGAATAGAGAGCCTAGGGCCAGGCACAATGGCTCATGCCTATAATCCCAGCACTGTGGGAGGCCGAAGCGACAGATCACCTGAGGTCACGGGTTCACGACCAGCCTGGCCAACACGGTGAAACCATGTGTCTACTAAAAATACAAAAATTAGCCAGGCATTGTGGCCTACGCCTGTAATTCCAGCCACTTGGGAGGTTAAGGTAGGAGAATCACTTGAACCCAGGAGGTGGAGGTTGCAGTGAGCCGAGATTGCACCACTGCACTCCAGCCTGGATGACAGAGCAAGATTCTGTCTCAAAAAAAAAAAAAAAGAAAAGAAAAAAAGAATAGAGAATGCAGAAATAAACTCAAATATTTATAGCCAACCAATCTTTGACAAAGCAAACAAAAACATAAAGTGGGGAAAGGACACTCTTTTCAACAAACGGTGCTGGGATAATTGGCTAGCCACATGTAGAATGAAAGTGGATCCTCATCTCTCACCTTACATGAAAATCAACTCAAGATCGATAAAGGACTTAAATCTAAGCCATGAAACTATAAAAATTCTAGAAGTTAACGTGGGAAAAACCCTTCTAGTCATTGGCTTAGGCATGGATTTCATGACCAAGAACCCAAAAGCAAATACAATAAAAACAAAGATAAATAGCTGGGACTTAATTAAACTAAAGAGCTTTTGCACTCAGCAGATTAAATAGACAACCCACAGAGTGGGAAAAATCTTCACAATCTATACATCTGACAAAGGACTAATATCCAGAATCTACAACAAACTCAAACAAATCAGCAAAACAAAACAAAACAAACTCATCAAAAAGTGGGCTAAAGACATGAATAGACAATTCTCAAAAGAAGATATACAAATGGCCAACAAACATGTGAAAAATTGCTCAACATCACTAATGATCAGGGAAATGCAAATCAAAAACCACAATGCGATAGCATCTTATTCCTGCAAGAATGGCCATAATCAAAAAATCAAAAAACAGATGTTGACGTGGATGTGGTGATCAGGGAACACTTCTACACTGCTGGTGGGAATGTAAACTAGTACAGCCACTATGGAAAACAGTGTGGAGATTCCTTAAAGAGCTAAAAGTTGAACTATCATTTGACTCAGCAATCCCACTACTCAGCCATACTGAGTAGTACAGGAATACTACTCAGCCATAAGAAGGAATGAATTAATGGTATTTGCAGTGACCTGGATGAGATTAGAGACTATTATTCCAAGTGAAGTAACACTGATATGTGGGAGCTAAGCTATGAGGACACAAAGGCATAAGAATGATACAATGGACTTTGGGGACTTGGGGCGAAGGGTGAAAGGGGGTCACGGGATAAAAGACTACAAACAGGGTGCAGTGTATACTGCCCGGGTAATCAGTGCACCAAAATCTCACAAATCACCACTAAAGAACTTACTCATGTAACCAAACACCACCTCTACCCCAATAACCTATGGAAAAATCAAAAAAAAATACAAATAAAAAATTAAAATAAATAAATTTTCTGGTAACAAAAAAAATAAAATAAAATAAAATTCTCTTCCCCACTTTGCTTCCAGGAAACCCCTCTTTCCAGACTTTCCTGGGTCTGCTTTCACTGTTCCTTCTGATTTTCTTTGTAGTCTCTTTCTTCACCTCTTACTCCTTCACCACCTGTGTTGGACAGAGCTGTCCTCAGACCTCAGGCCAAACACTTGACTTCAGTGTCCCCATCCACAATGGCTTCCATCACCAGCATCCCAGACCAGGTCACTCTGCTCATATAGCAATTGATTTGCTGAATGGATTCACTTTCCTGTCCTTCAAGGTCAGTATGGGCCAATGGGAAGTAAGCATCTTTCCTTTAAAATTTGTTCCATCTCTTGTAGTCTGGAGGCCTCCATCCATCTGCCCAGTTGCCCAAGCCAGTAACTTGACAGTCACTTTAATGCTCTTCCTGCCCTCTTCCTCTAGCATCCAGTCACCAAGGCCTGACAATTCCACAACTTTATATTGCTTTTTTCTGTCCTCTTCTCCCACAGTCACTTGTTTCAACACTTGTCATCTGCAACCAGTACAAGGACTCAGCCTACAAATATGGCCTTGTTTCCTCCTCACCCTGCACACTGCTACCACTTCATTTCCCTCCAGGTCGCTATGTAGCTTACAAGGTCAAATTCCAGTGTGTGACTGGAACTTCCAATTCATTGCAGGAAGCCTGTCATGACTGGCCCCTGGCAGCCTCTCTAGCCTCTACTGTCCCACATGGGCTTCCCTCTCTACTGCAGAATCAAAATGCATGCAGATCCTAGAACAGGTTAAATCCTTTCATACGTGCTATATCACCTGCTTGAAATTTTCTTCCCTTCTTCTTTTGTCCACGTCAAATCCAGAATTTAACCCAAATTTTGCATTCTCCAGGAAGTCTTCCTAGACCTTCAGTCTGATCACATATTCCTCTCCTGTTTTCCTACAATGCCAGGTGTGGCATTGCTAATAGACTTATATGTATTTCCTGCCAATTTTTGAGAGACAATGATTTATCAAACTTGTATTTTCTCGAGTGTATTCATAGCTTCCCTTAAGCTGATGTATCCTATGTGCACACTCACGTATGCTCAAGTGTATGCATGCACGTTTGTGTGTGTGTGAAAGACAGAGAAGGAGAAGGAGAGAGAGAGAAGAGAGGGAAGGGAGGAAAAAGAAGGGGGGTTGAGAAGGGAAGGGGAGGGGAGGGGAGGGAAGGGAAGGAAGGGGGAGGAAGGGGGAGGAGAAGGACAAGGAAAAAAGTCACCCTCTTTACTAAGATGGAAGATCTGTCATAAAGCTGGCTGTGGATGTAGATAAGCTTGTTGATATAGCTTGCAGCCAAAGGTTTGTAGAGTTTATCTTTGGCACCCCATTTCCTCTATGAAATGCAAAATGGAGTTGTCTTCTGAGTAGGGTGCTAGAAGAAAGGGATAAAAGCTTGAAATAGTTACAGTGAGGAAAGGGGGAAGGTGTCAATTCAGAACATGAGATAGATTTTCGGGCAGCATCAATGCCTGGCTGAGGTTGCAGAGCCTGAATTTAGAGTAGCTCCAGCCACCAAGCTTTTCTGTGGAATCTATATCGGGTCTCCGTTGTGACCAAAAGCCCTTCTTTATTGCCGTGAGAAACTCTATGGCACGTTGGGAAATCCAGACCTAACCGAAATCAGTCAGGAAACTTATCTATAGGATTTTCTACAGCCTTTGCCCTTCAAGGCAGAGATACCCATAAAACTCAGTAGCCTCCAAGGCCTGGCTTCCTTGCCTCCCTTAGGGCTTTCCCAGGAGGCAGTGCACCTGGACATACCCCAGAGAGAATGCCACAGCTTAGGACATTCCATTTGCCGGGTGACCGGAACATTACCTGCCTGACTTTGAGCCTCCTTTCTAAATGACTGTGACATCCATTCTAAAATTTATGTTGATACAAGAATAAACATCGCCTAGCCTAAAATAATCATCCATTCAACAAAAATTGGCCATTAAAAAATGTAAGCAGCCTGGCCCACGTGTTCTCCATTTCTCTAAGAGCAGTCAGTGCTGGAGCATTTGGCGCTTAGCCCCAAGTCCCTTTATGGCGGCTGTGTAAGGTCACAGAAAGCCATATCCAAAAGGATCCCAGAGAAACTGAATCTGGCAATTTTGTACATCCATAGGGTTAAGAGCTGGGAAGAAATAGCTCTCAATTTTATTGGCTTCCCTCATTGAGGGGATAGCCACCTCTCTCTAATTGCATCTCATAGTTTCCCACTAAAATATTCATCAATCTTCTCCTGGCAGGGCATCAATTCCTCAACTATGCCTAAGATTCCAACAATTTGTAAAAAGTATCGCTGGAAGAAGTACTGCTGGAGTATGATCCTTTATAGTCAGGAGTTAAGATTGCTTTTGATCATTTAGGAGACAGAACTGGAAATATTATTCAGAGCTCTAAAACAGACCTCTGTCTCATAAATGAGGGTGGTACCTGCAGGTTCTCCTAAAGATACATAGTGATTCCAAAAGGCAAAGAAGGTGGTAAAAATGCTTATGAAAAATAACACTAACTACTACAGTGAAATAATATACAGAGGGTGTTCTTAAAGGAGAAAGTATCAGGCGTTTCAGCCATCTCTCTCTCTCTCTCCTAGTGTGGGATGGGTTGGCTATATAGAAGATTATTCAGAGAAAACTCTGAAGCCCAAAGGCTGCCTTTCCCAGCAGGTTCACCATGGACTTGGTGCTTACCCCAGAGCAGCATTTACAGCATCCCCACATTTACTGCAAATCTAGTTTGGAGCTGCCAGTAGGGGGTTAATATAAGCCCCAGTCGACACAATACTAGAGGCATTCACATATGAAGCCTACAGTTGCTGCATGGGCACATTTGGCCCACGTTTCCAAAGAGGCAGTAGCTGTTACTGCAGAGAGCACACTGCCTGCCACTGCTGGACCATTAGTATGGAAATGAGGCATGTGTGTGACAGGTGGCCTTACAACCAACACAATTAACTTTCTCCATTAGCTGACGCTCTGACAAAACAGATGCAGCATCAATAAGTACCCCCCTTCCCTACAGAAAAGGAACGACACATTGCAAACCCCTTATTTATAAGGAGGAGCAGGATAATTTCTTCTGTACACACAGAGTGGACGGCACTGGAGTTTGCTTTTGTCTTCTTGAGGTGGTTGTTTATTTTTTATATTTGCCCTATATTAATATTGCAATGCCTCCATAGGTTAATTAGGGTTCCTGAAGTTTTCAAAAAGGAAGTCATCATAGAAGAAGGAAGGGGAAAGTTGGAAAAACCAAATGGGAATTCTTTGCTTTGGAAAGGAAATATACAGATGATTATCTGATGTAGCTGCCAAGGGAATGGAGCAGATTTCAGAGTTTTGCACTAGTTCTTACCAGAAGCATCAATACTAATTAGTAGAATCTTAGAACCTGGAATGTTGAAGAACCATGTGCCTTAACAGGAAATGTTGAAAGTAAAATGGAATACTATAATCTGGGTAGAGAAATTGCTTTCAGAAATTTTCTCTGTATTTTACAAAGGACAACAAAGGGAAATTTAAGACTTGGGACTTCTTGGATTCTTGACTCATGAAAATTACTTAGCAGTGATGTATATTTTTCTAATTATGTTCACATATTTTATTTTATTTTATTTGAGACAGAGTCTTACTCTGTTGCCCAGGCTGGAGTGCAGTGACACAATCTTAGCTCACTACAACCTCTCCCTCCCGGGTTCAAGCAATTCTCTTGCCTCAGACTCCTGAGTAGCTGGGATTACAGTCACCCACCACCATGCCCGGGTAATTTTTGTATTTTTTTAGTAAAGACGGGGTTTCACCATGTTGGCCAGGCTGGTCTCGAACTCCTGACCTCAGGTCAGGCCCGCCTTGGCCTCGTCTAATGTTTTGAAGTACCTTTGGATACAAAGCTGCATTTCAGCAGAAGCAATGAAACTCTAATAACTTTGTTGTCATTTCAAAAATAGAAATGTGGATATTTAATCACCATTGCATATATAAGGGAGAAATTCGTTCTCCAAAATATAGCCTATAAAAGAGTTCAAATTTTCATTATAACATTCTTTTAGAATCTATAATATTTATTATCTCTCTTGTGTTACTGATCTCACATGTACTAGATCAATCATCTAGAAAAAGTCTTTTTTACCCACCTCAATGGAAGGTCATTAATGTTTTCTGCTGTGTGGTCTGAGGCTTCTTTGTAGAAGCTTGACTATGAAAAATTTATCAAATGTCTCCTGGTAGATGAGGAGCTCAGTCCTGCCCCTTGTTCTGATGTTGAGAAAGGTCAGAAAGTGAACTTTGCCTTCCTTTGTGAACTGCCGTAGGCTCTCAGAACAAACAGACATTGATGATTCAGGCTCTTAACCTCACTCAATGAGCCTCTTTAAGCCTCAGTTCCATCACCTGTAAGATGAAAATAAAATCACACCTTATGGGATAGTTAAGAGGAGAAATTCTATGTGATGACGCATGTAAACTGATTGGTTCATTTCAAATATTCAGTGACTAGATAATTTTGAAGGAGGGGTGGGAGAGTCTCAGACACTAGACACTTCAAATAGCCACTCTTGGGCCGGACTCCATGGCTCACGCCTGTAATCCCAGCTCTTTGGGAGACGAAGGTGGGTGGATCACCTGAAGTCGGGAGTTCGAGACCAGCCTGATCAACATGGAGAAACCCCATCTCTACTAAAAATACAAAATTAGCAGGGCATGGTGGCGCATGCCTGTAATCCCCGCTACTCGGGAGGCTGAGGCAGGAGAATCTCTTGAACCTGGAAGGCGGAGGTTGTAGTGAGCCGAGATTGCACCATTGCACTCCAGCCTCGGTGACAGAGCAAGACTCCATCTAAAAAAAAAATAAAAAAAAATAAAACAACAACAACAACAACAACAAACACTCTTCCTCCATAGTAGAATCACCTGGGGAGCATTTTTAAATTGCCCTTATCTGGGTCCCTACAAATGGGTGAAATCACGAACTTAGGAAGGGGGCCCAGGTATCAGCATTAAAGACAAAATCTTTCCCAGATGATTCTTATCTGCATTTAGTCTTGAGAAGCACTGCCTTAAGTGGTTGAAATTTCTCCCTCTCTTTCCTATCCTCAGTCCAACAGCAACCATTTCCTACTCGTTTTTCTCCTGCATGTCTTCATCTGCCTTATCCCAGCCAGCAGCCCCACTTCAGGTCTCTCATAGCTGAACTGCTGCAATCCACAGCCTCCTCACTGGTTTTGTTGACCCTAAGCATTCCCATAATAATTATACACATTGCAAGATAAATATTCCTACAAGACATCTTTGATCTTGTTACAACCCTGTTAACAAATGTCAGTGGCTCGCTGTTGCCTAACAACTGTCGTCCAAACTAGGGATCCAAAAATATGATGGAAATAAGCATGAATACATAGAAATTAGACACTGATCAGAGGTCATACTGTGTGGGCTGAGGAAATGCAGACTTTAATGTCCTTCTACTGATCACTCCTTGACTTTGGAAATCCAGTCCATCCTTTACTGCCTAGCTCCTCCACAATGCCTTCCCAGCCATCGTCACTCTTGGCTGGAACAGGAGGACCAGCCTTCCTGGTTTGCTCCATACTGAAGGTTTTCCCAGGATGTAAAACTTCCAATGCTAAAACCAAGAAAATTCCAGGCAAAGTGGCATGAGTTGGTTACTCCAGGCTGAAATTCTATCAAACTAGTGCAATAACTTGTGGGTTGTGAACTCCTTGTCACAGAAAGCATATAACCATTTGTGCAATGGTCAACTGTCCTTGTTAGAGCACATTCCTATATGAATAACAGGTCAGCCTGGTTGACTTTCCCACTCCAATGTTCTAGATATTTAAAAGGCCTGAAATTGCAATTGAGAAATTATTCTGCAATACCCACTTAAATGACAAAGCTTAGAATGAAAGCTATTCAGTTACAATTTTTTTCAGAATTGTTCTGGACTTCCACACGTCCTTATCTATGACAGAAATTCCTTTCTCTGGGCCCTCCATGGTTTGCTAGGTGGGATCTATATAATAGTGCTGTTTTTCTGATCTACTATGTTACATGCAAGGTGATGGAACCAAGAAATGGCTTTGGTACCAAGGGAAGTAGGGGCCTTTGGCTTATAGACAGTTTCACAAGCTACTGAGATTCACAATAAAATAACAAAAGTGCATTGCTCATGACAAATATCTGCAAGTTAATGGCAAAAGTCACTCAAGGCAAAACTAAATTCTCCAAATCTGCCCCTTCTCCCGCAGTGTGTATTGTTATGGTGATGAGAAAGGCTCAGACTGGAAAAGGATTAGGACATGTTGCTTAGGGAAAGGGTATTTTTCTCATCCTTCATAAGTCCTGTTTAGAATGTCCACTTCTGAAATAGGCTGGAAGTTTCCTTTATTTTAGCTC
The DNA here is from genome assembly GCF_000001405.40 of Homo sapiens. Taxonomy (NCBI): domain Eukaryota; kingdom Metazoa; phylum Chordata; class Mammalia; order Primates; family Hominidae; genus Homo; species Homo sapiens. Next base: position 137,547,216 of record NC_000006.12, on the reverse strand, counting down.
CTGTGGTGTTCAGCAATAAAAGTTTTACTTTTAATTTTTTAGTTTTTGCCTATGAAATACTCTAACATAGTTCACTTTTCAAAAATACAAAAAAAATTAAATAAATAGTCTCGAAAACATGCTAAGTAAAAGAAACCAGATACAAATGGTCACATATTATAGGATTTTTTAATATTAATTATCCAGAACAGATAAATCCATACAGACAGAATAAGAATGGGTGATGGCCAGAAGCTGGGGGAGGGGCAAATGGGTAGAAACCAATTAATGAGTAAGGGGATTTATTTTGGTGGGATGAAAATGTTTTGGAACTAGATAGAGGAGGTGGTTGCACACACTGTGAACATACTAAATGCCCCTGAATTGTTCACTTTAAAATGGTTAATTCTACATTATGTGGATTCCACTTCAATACATTACTTTTTAAATTAATAGAGTAAATGTCTCTCTCCTTCATTTATCTACCAGCCACTCAGCCTCCCCTCTCCAGAGGTAATCAACGCACCCAATTTCTTGTGTTTTCTTTCAGAAATATTTTATGCATAATCAAACAAATTCTGACAAGTCTTGTCTGTCTTTCTTTTTATGTGAATAGTAGCATACAGTGCATACTATTCTGCACTTGGTGATTTTGTTTGTTTGCTTACGTAACTATAAAGCTTGGAGCTCAATATTTAATACCGTCCTCACTTCTTTTTAACAGCTGCATGATGTTCTAGCATACGTGCATATTAACTGAGCCCCCACTGCTGAACATTTAGACTATTTCCAACATTTGCTCTTCAAAACAACGAAGCAATGAGGAGCTTTGTGCATGTCGTTCTGCACATGAGTGAGTATATCTGTAGGATAAGTTCTCAGAAACAAACATACTGTTTGAGAGATATATGCACTTGTAATTTTGGTACATAAAACCAAATTGCCTGGCTTAAAGTTTGTACCATTTATTCTCCCAGCAGTAACTTATAAGAATGTCTGTTTTCTCACAATTACTGGCAAAACCGATAATTCTCTTTAGGACCAGAAATTTGCTATAGCAATATAGAAGACTGCGCATCCTTTAGTTTTCACAAATCCAGGCTTAGCTTAGCTTCTCTTTGTTTTGCTTTACTTTGCTTTGCTCATGGACACACCCTAGACTGGAACCTTCCTCTCTCTCTCTCTCTTTTATTTTTTTAAATGAATCCACTTCCTAAATGGTTATTGCTTTGAAATCCAGATGGTTTGGCCAACCTTCCTGAATATTAAATTTGTGAACAGTTTTTGCATGACTTTATTTTCCGGAAACAAAATTTTTAAGTACTGTTAGCCCTCTCTATAGGTCGATTTCATATACCCAAATTCAACCAACCTTGGATAAAAACATTTGAAAAAATAAAAATAAAAAAAGAAGATAATATAATTTTTAAAAACAGGTATTTACATAGCATTTACATTATATTAAGTATTATAAGTTATCTAGAAATGACTTATAGGACATGGGAGGATGTGTGTAGGTTTTACGTAAGTACCACACCATTTTCTATCAGGGACTTGAGCATCTGTAGATTTTGGTATCCATGGGAAGTCCTGGAACCAATTTCCCATGGACACCGAGAGACAACTGTAATTGTTAATAAAAATAATCACAGATGTGTTTTCAGTCTAGCAATGGTAATGTAGTCTTATTAGTACAGCAAACAGTCAAAAATTTCAGTCCTACACAAACTTAACCCAATAAATATATATTAAGCATCTTCTTCTTTGCAAGTTTTTGTGTCGTGTCCTATGGATGATACGTGAGGAACAAAACATAGCACAAAGCAGGAATATGAAACAGAACATGGCAAACAATCTAGGAGGAAAAATGGTCTCAGAGGAAAATTGTTCCACATTCATGACAGGGAAAGATATCTGGGTGGAGTAATGAGTGTCATGACTCATGACACCCTCAATGGGTGAAGATGGGGAATGAGTGAACGAATGAATGACTTATCCCTAGAAAACATTTTATTGCCTTTTTGTTGACTTTATTTGTGGTGACGAATTTTATAATTTTTGTTCCTGATTCTAATATCTAGGTTTTATCCAACATTCCTATTTGCTTCCTTCTCCTACCTGAGGGACTCTCAACATGTAGGTATTGATGAGATGACTTTAATTGAATCTAGAAAAACAGATCTAGCCTTCCATTTATTAACTCATGATTAGGTAGACTCTTAAAACCTAACAGTCACCTGTGACTTTAGAACATTTCTGCCAAGCATGATATGAAGGTCAACATCTTAAAAACAGCCTTTAAAAATATTTCAGTTTAAAATATTTTAATCCTTGTGTTTCATGAAATCATTACCTGCTTTCAGAAAATGTGCTAAAAAGCCTAATTAATTATTGTGTCAAACTTTTGAATGGGCTAAAAATGAGTGCAAAAGTTAAATAGCAAAGTCAATGGTGTTCTACAGAAAATTTTTGGAAATATAGAGTCATGACAGGAATTTAGTTAAAAATAAATGTAATCCTGGTTGGATTTAAGTAAAGTTTATTGAGTTTTAAAGCAAAATGCCAGTGTGCTCAGCATTGTGTTAGTTTCTAGAGCTAAAAAAAATAATTCAAAGCCACTCATATTAGAAAGATATGATAGTCTCTAAATTCAAGGAAAACCCACTGTTTTTCTTTAGATTAAGACTAGGGACTTAATCTAAACTTATCAGACACCTTATACAGATAGAAAAATTGATATTGCGGAAAATCACTCAAATGATTGTATGCTTTGTTCACAGTTTAGAAGAAAAGATGAGGCAGCCATCTTGCTCTTGCCATGTGCTGGTATTGGAGGACCCTCCGTGCTTCAGATTTACCAACAGCATGAATCAAGAAAAGTTAGCCAAACTTCAGGCTCAGGTCCGGAAAGGGGGCAAGGGTACACCTCACAGAAAGAAGGTGGTACGTAGAACAGCTATAGCTAATGACAAAAAGCTTCAGAATTATCTAAAAAAAACCTGGCTGTGAATAATATAGCTGGTATTGAAGAGGTGAACATGATTAAAGATGATAGGACAGTTATTCATTTCAACAATCCCAAAGTCCAAGCTTCCCTTTCTGCTAATACCTTTGCAATTACTGGTCATGCAGAAGCCAAACCAATCACAGAAATGCTTCCTGGAATATTAAGTCAGCTTGGTGCTGACAGCTTAACAATCCTTAAGAAGTTAGCTGAACAGTTCCCATGGCAAGTCTTGGACAGTAAAGCACCAAAACCAGAAGACATTGATGAGGAGGAGGAGGATGTTCTAGATCCTGTAGAAAAATCTGATAAGGCATCAAAGAATGAAGCTAAATAAAATTTTGGTTTTTGGAAGCTGGCATGGACTAGATTTAACAAATCAGCTACGTGATTCCAAAGTTTTACAAACACGGAGAACATCACCTGTTACTAGTTCAGTAATAAAACTATTTTGTATATTAATAATGCTGTTTGTTCAGGATTTTTCAGTCATCTAATTTTGCATTTTGTACTACCTCCCAGGATTTTTTTTGGTCAAAATAGGAAGTATTGGTGCAGTTTAAGGGTGCTTTGGGTTTTGATTCCTGGTGTTTTTGTTTTTTGTTTGGGGTATTTTTGGTGTATGTATGTTTATGTATGTGTGTGGGTATGTGTGTATACAGTGCAAGAGTAAATTGGAAAACAGTTCTATTCATCCTCCTCCCTCCCCAGTAGAAATAAAAAAATCTTTACCAAAAAAAAAAAAGAAAAAGAAAAAGAAAAGAAAAGGGCACAAATGTTTTATCTGACCAAAGCTTTTTCAAAAACAATGATTAACTAGAGGATTAAGTCTCCTGCCTCCAGAACATGTGTGGGATTATATTTTAAATATTCATTTTTGCAGATGTGCAGGTGGTATGGCAGGGCAGTGACAGCAGGGGACCCGGGTTTGGTGCTTCCACCAGCAGGGTGTCCTTCTCACCTGACAACAGGAAAAGCTAGCATTTTGCCAGACCTGTTCTGCTTCCTTTCACATTTAGCAAACCTGGTCTGTTTCTCTTTGGAGGTTGTATACGTGAATACCTTTCTTTTATTTTCTTCAAAGGGGGGCTATGCCTACCTTTCCTCTAAGTCTACCATTTTTTTAAGTTGTGTTAAAATATACATAACAAAATTTACTATCTTAACTATTTTACGTGTATAGTTTAATCATGTTCAGTACATTTACATTGTTATGCAACCAATCTCCAGTGTGTTTTATCTTGTAAAACTGAAACTCTATGCCCATTAAACAACTTCTCATCCCCTCCTCCTCCCAGCCTGTGACAGTCACCATACTACTTTTTGTTTCTATGAATCTGCTACTTTTGATTTCTATCAGTTGGACTGCTTTAGGTACCTCATGTAGGTGAAATCATAAGGTATTAATCTGTGTGTGACTGGTTTATTTCACTCAACATAATGTCCTCAAGGTTCATCTATGTTGTAGCATGTCAGAATTTCCTTCCTTTTTAATGTTGAAAAATATTCCATTGTATGTCTATACCACATTTTGTTTACCTGTCCATCCAACAATGAACACTTGGGTTGCATCCATCCTTAGGCTATTGTGACTAATGCTTCAATGAACATGGGTATGTTGAATCTATTCTTGACTTCAGGTTTGGTCATCCTCTTGAATATATGTTTATTTTGTCTTCTGGCTATAGTAAACTTAGGAGCTCCTCCACTTTAGAAGGGGTAATGTTTCAGGGATTGGTGATGACTAAATTCACGTATCCATTTTATCTCCTTTTGGCCCTGATCTGATCTCCCAGGCTGTACTGGCAGCACAGGATGGCAGTCAGTGTCTTCTCTGTTTCAGGACAAGTTGCCCGGGAGTCTTCAGTCCCTTCCCTTTTGTCTCTGTCTTCTTTGTGCACTAAGGGAACATAGGTTTAAACCTCAGAAAACAAACAGCTCTTCAGGAAAAATGTTCATCTTCATATTGCTATTACACAATGTCCAAGTCTACAAAACATTTTGCATTTTGGCAACATCAACTTCTTAGGCCTCACAACCATATTAATGAGGGATTCCTCTCAATGGGTTGGTTGGCATAACTCAACTCTACCGTTTTAACATGCATGACTCAATTACATAAGAGTTAGCTAATGAGCAATGGGGAAGAAGTTACAGGTTAAAACAAATGGCGCCTAAATCAATGGGGAAGAAGTTACAGGTTAAAACAAATGGCGCCTAAATGAATCAAGTACTGCCTTTCAGATGCCCACCATTCAACAAAGACCTGGCAAGACATTTTCTCCACTGGGCATGAATCATCCAGATAAAAAGGGCAAACCAGGGCCACCTACGTTCAGAGCTTGTACAGTATGACCTCGAGGCCCAACACCTACCAGAAGCTTCCTAGCAAAAGGCCAAGCTCCAAAGAATAAAAGGGCTTACACATCAGCATTAAATAATTCTCTTAGAGATGCAAATTTCTAATTAGTTACTGTGGCAACTGTAGAAGCCTAGAAGTAAGCCCCTTACACAATGAACCTGAGAGTTTACTTTTTTGATTTACTACAGGCCTGCAAGAAGCAAGGAGGAGGAAAATAAATATTGCTTTAACTGTGACAAGAGAATAAAGTGCAACAAGTGAAGGGATTTCATCCTTTTGTTGAAATTCCTACAGGTCTAAGAGGGACATTATACTTGACACACAGTCTTGCTGCAAAAAGAAGCCAAATTCTCAAAGGCTTTACAAAATCATCACTATTATAAACTGACCCAAACACAGACTATGTGTTAACTTATACTGACATTTTTACTTCTTTAAAGTGAATATGGTTTAAGACTGTTTCAAAACAGCAAGTTTTGATGGAGTGTTTTTGGTTTGTTTGTTTTATTTTGTGTGATTGGTCTTTGTTCTTTTTAAAGTTATATATGGTTCTTTAAATTTTTTATTTAATATAGAGAAAACAAAATCTATATGTGGCTGGGATACTTATTGGAGAGTAAACTATTTCCTACTTATTAGAGTAATACATGAAAAGAAAGGACAAAAGTACTCACAAGAAAGTATGAGAATATTAATTTTATGAAGAGAGTTTCTCTTTGGTTTATAAAGAGGAAGAGAAAGTTTGTCCCAATGCAATTTTTTTCTTAATTTTAGGACTAATTATTTAAATTAAAATTCACAGATAAACATGTAAATGTCTTCCTCCATCTTTCCAGAAGCAAAAAAGAAAAGGATTATTGTTAACAAACTTGAGTAATATTTTCTGTGTGGAATATGTTACTTTCATCTATTTTCTTTCCTAAATGTTGTAAATCAAATTAAGAGTCCTAATAATTGCTCAATAATTTAAATAAAATCCTGCAATCTTCTGGTTATGTTTGTTTAGATTGTGAACTCCCGCATTCAGTAAGTAAGTAAGTAACTGAGATACTAAATGCACCGAGAGAGGGTGAGGTTTAGATCGGAAACAAAGGCAAAGGAATCCTGCATGGCTTTAAAAATCTCACTAACACTCGATGCTCCCCTCCTCTCCTTCCTACACACAGAAGTTCACCCCTTCACCTTCTTACGGGATCTTCCCAAGCTCCGAACCTTTCCATTCTTTTTCCTCATCAAACTTTGTATAGTGTCTCACTCTTAGTATCTTACTCTGTGCTAGAATATTCTAGCTTACATACACTTTTGTGTTAAGGGAATGATAATGGCTTGGTGACTAATCCTCAGATTAGATATTTAGTGTTTAATAGAAGTTTCTAGATACACAGAAGCTTAGCCCAAAGAAGTGACTTTATTTTATATAGAACAGGAACAGACACATATTTGGTTCATGACACATTCTTGTCATTAGTCCATGCAAGTCTCTCTTGTATGTATATATTTGTTTATTTTTATTGAATAGTTTAATAATGACCATGAACCTATCATCCAACATGGAACTAGAATTTTGTCAAAAATTTCTATGTATATAGAACATTCTACGAATGTAGCTCTTTGTCCTATCCTCCTCCCTCCTCAAACTATGTCAATCACTATCCTGAATTTTGTTGGATGATTGTAATACTCTTATCACATCTATGTGTATTCCTAAAAAGTATATATTTTTTTAACTTTACAACTCTGTATGTCATCTCTGGAAACCTATTTCCCATTCAGTGTTATCTTGCTAAGATTTATACATATTACTGCAATACTGTAATCCACTCATTTGGCTTATCTAATATTGTATTGTATAAATGTGCCACATTTAATTTGTATAAACTATTTGCTATTATGAAAAACGCTAAAACCTTTTTCTACATGTTTCCAGGTGTGCATGACACCTTACTGGGATAGGAAGTGCCAAGTCCAAAGATATGTGACATTCTTTACAAAATAACTTTACAAATTAATGGCAAAAGCTTTCCAAATTGCCTGTCCAATTTACACTCTAATGAAAAACATATAAGAGATATATATCTTACATCCACTGCACCATTAGGTATTGCCAGACTTTTTTTTTCCTTGCAAAAAGTAATGTTAGTATAAGGAACTATAATGTTAGCTACCTACGTTACCAAAATGGGATTGTTCCTCCACAATTTAAAGATGTAGATCAAGTAAATACAATGCTTCTTTGTTAGTGGCAGGAGATATGAGGCACAACTACTGATACTCTATCTTACAGGGATTATCCCAGCATATCCAAGAGCCCTTGACCACTAATATTAAAATATTATATTACATGTCAGCCCCTGAAGCTTCATTGGATTTATCTTCTATTCTATAACTTTACTAGGATATATCTGGCATTTGCCACTCTCTTCTTAACAGGTCCAATTTGCAGTATGTCATCAGTATAATGGCCTAACATAATACTATGTGGACTGTGAAGGACTGGGGGCCTTGAAGACTGTATCATGATGGCAAGCAGGAGAATTAACTGTGCCCTGGAAAAACAGAGTGAACATGTACGGCTGCCATTGTTAGAGAAAGGTCAACTTTTTTTGATCCTCCCTGCTGATAAAATAAAAAATAATGCATTCAACAGGTCAATATGCTGTGTTGATCTATTGCTCTAAAAATACCACGTTTGTAATAGCATCTGCATTGTCCCCTTCAAAAATCAGATAGATCATAGCAAATTATCATAGTGATCCACCATCATTTGCTATGAGCTATCTGTTGTTTTTTTTTTTTGACGGAGTCTCGCTCTGTTGCCCAGGCTGGAGTACAGTGGCATGATCTCGGCTCACCATAACCTCTGCCTCCCGGGTTCAAGCGATTCTCCTGCCTCAGCCTCCCAAGTAGCTGGGACTACAGATGCACACCACCATGCTTGGCTAATTTTTGTATTTTTAGTAGAGATTTGTATTTTTAGTAGAGATGGGGTTTCACCATGTTGGCCAGGCTGGTCTCATGATCCGCCCGCCTCAGCCTCCCAAAGTGCTGGGATTACAGGCGTGAGCCACCGCTCCCAGCAGATACATCTGATTTTTGAAGGAGACAGAGTGACTACCAGCATTCCTTGACTTGTAGCTGCATCATTCCAATCTCTGCCTTTGTAATCACATTGCCTCTTCCTTTTATATGTGTAATCTGAAGTGCTACCTAAAAGTGGCTGGTAAGCTGGAAAATACTAAGTACTATATAAATGAAAGTTGCTACTATTATAAATATTTGGTGCTCAGGATACAGCAGATAAGCTGGCAGTCAAAAAGATCAGCCCTCATGTTCACATTCTAGTAGGAGAAATAGCTATGAGCAGATAAATAAGGTAATCTACACTGTAAAAGATTGGCTGGGCACGGTGGCTCATGCCCATAATCCCAGCACTTTGGGAGGCCAAGGCGGGTAGATCACTTGAGGTTAGGAGTTCAAGACCAGCCTGGCCAAAATGGTGAAAGTCCATCTCTACTAAAAATACAAAAATTAGTTGGGGATGGTGGCGCACGCCTGTAATCTCAGCTACTCAGGAGGCTGAGACATGAGAATTGCCTTGAATCTGAGAGGCGAAGGTTGCAGTGAGCCAAGACTGTGCCACTGCACTCCAGCCTGGGTGACAGAGCGAGACCCTGTCTTAAAAAACAAACAAACAAACAAACAAAAACTTGTGATAAGTGGGAAGGAGGAAAAAAATCAGATAAGGAAAATACAAAAATGTCCAGGAGGAATGTGTTAAAATGATAGACTTGATAGCCAGAGAAGCTCTCATAGACAAGACCAGTTTTGAATAAAAATCTGAAGGAAGTAAAGAAATCAACCCATGCAGACATATGGGAGAAAAGAGCTCTGGGAAGAGAAACTGCAAGTACAATGGCTGTGATGCAGAAGTGTGCCTGATACAACTTAGGAATAGCAAGGAGGACAATGTGACTGGAGCTGAGTGAATAAGGGCAAATATAGCAAGAGGAGAGTTCAGAGATGTCATGTGGTAGAGTAGAGATAGGTCAGTTGTAGAGAAATTGTTTTTAATTCTGAATCGGATGGGAAGCCACTAAAAGGTTTTTAGAAATCTCTCTTTATTAAAATGTAATCTATATAAAGAGAAACACACAGATCATGGTATGAGTTTTGGAGGGAGAAAACTCATTACTTATATTTTAACAGGTTCACTGTGATTGGTATGTTGACAATAAATAGTCCAAGGGGAAATGGTGGCTTGCACTAGGGCAGTAAGAGGGCAACAGTACGAAGGGGTCGCATTCTGGATGGACTGAAGCAGAGCTTACATGATTTGCTAATAAATTGGATGTGGGAAGAGAGAAATCAGAGACAATTCCAAGTTATGACTTAAGTAACTAGAGGAATAAAGTTTCTATTATTTACAAAATAGAAGTTTTTCCTTATTGAGAAGGGGACAAATGACAAGGAACAGGTTTTGAGTTGAAGTCAAGGATTGCATCTGGGGCATATTAAATTTGCAATGTCTATGACACATCCAGGGCAGATGTCAAATAGGCAGATGTGCTTACAGCTCTGCAGCTAAAGAACCGCGAAGCAACTGAGGTGATGAATGAAACAAGCTTGGATGGCCTAAACCAGTAATCCAAGGAATGCCTCCAGGTTCTTTGAAATTTTAGAGGGAGGAATGGTGAACAGGAACCAGGGAAATGACCTGAGAAGGAGCAACTAATGAGGTGGGAGAAAAACCCAGGAGATGGTGGTATCCTGAAGCCAACTTTGAAATGCATTTCAGTGAAAGAGGGTGATCAGCTTGGTTAAAGGTTGCTTATGAGGTCAGGAAAGGTTAAGATTAAGAATAGACCATGGATGTAGCAATGTAAAAGGCATTGTGATATTGATAACAGTACTTTTGGTGAAGCTGAAGGACAAAAACTTGACTGGAGTGTATTAAAGAGAAAAATTGATGTTGGGGAGAGAGGAGACAACAACGACAGAACGATCTTTCAAGGATTTTCGCTGTAAGGAAAAGAAAAAATCAACAGGCAGTAACTGAAAGAGGGAATGGGTCAAAGAGGGTCTTTTTTTCCCTGAAAGAAAAGAGAAATAATAATGTGTTTGCTCCTCATGGAGTGATTCAGTAGAGAGAAAAACAAGGATGAAGAGGAAGGGGAGAAGATTGCAGGAGTAATATTCCAAGCAGATAAGAGCAGATGAGATCTCGTGCCCCTGTGGAAGGGTTAGCCTAAGACAGGAAAGAGCAGACAGAATCTACCCTTCATAACAGGAAGGATGGGAGGGCACTTGGGCCCACAGACACGCAAATGGGTAGAGGTTATGGTGAGGGCTTTGCAGCCTTCTTTTCTGAATGTTTCGTTTTAGCTCAGTGAAGAAAGCTGAGAGTGAAGATGAGAAAAATGAAGATGTTGGAGATCTGAGGACAGTTGAGAAAATATGTGATAAAGGTCTAGGAAAGCTGAATAGACTAAAGAAAAATAGACTTGCCAGGCTACCTTAAAGTCTCCTGTAAGATTGGCAATTACTACTGCCTGGAAGAGTCCTCATTATGGCTGAGGCGTCTTCGCCAGTCACGCTGAACTTCACTGGTCTCTGATGAAGCCACAGAACAGGCAACACATTTTAGTCATTGCAGAATATTTCTGATATTCATTCCCAGTTTCTTTTCTGGTTATTAGAAGTTAAAAATTTGTAACAGGCTGGGCACTGTGGCTTATGTTTATAATCCCAGCACTTTGTGAGGCCAAGGTGGGAGGATAACTTGAGGCCAGGAGATCAAGACCCAGGCTGGGTAACATAGTGAGACCCGGTCTCTGCTTAAAATATATATATTTTAAATAGCCAGTCGTGGTGGTGTGTGCCTGTAGTCCCAGCTATCTGGGAGGCTGAGGTATATCTTGAGTTCAGGAGTTCAAGGCTGCAGTGAGCTATGATTATTACGCAACTGCACTCCAGCCTGGGAGACAGAACAAGACCCAGAAAAAGTCTCAACAAAAGCCCAAAACCAAAAAACCCTTTTAGCCAATTCTATAAACACTAGTTGGTCAGAATTTCTCTCTCATTCTCATTTCTGAAGTTCTCCTGACTGTCTTAAGTGTGTCCCTACAATTTTATCCCACTGTGAACTTCCTTAGAGTTGCATCTTTAGGTGATCCACAGATGGTAATGTACTAAGAAGGAAGACAGGAGAGGGACTGAGGAGACAATGACATAGTAAGTTTTGGAAATGGTAAATTTGAGATGCCTATGAAATATCTAGCTGGAGATGCTGATGAGATAACAGGATAGATGAATTCAAAGTTCAGGAGAAAGTCCTGGGGCGGAGAGAAAAGTTAAAATATTTCCCTGGTACCTATTTGCGGTAGTTGAATCCATGAGACTATACTCACAGTTGCTGAAGGCAACAGGTCCATGAGAAAAATAAAGAAGCCACGGCTGGGGATGTCTCTTGGGGATACTACTATGATAGGGGGAGATAAGGAAGGAGAAGAGCTCAAGGAGAAGAGATGGAATAATTAGAGCACCATGAGAAGAGTGGTGAAGAGTTTTGCAGAAGGGGGTGAAGTAAAGAGTTTCAAAGGGAGGGAGAAATCAACAGTCCAAACACAGCAGAAGACCCATGCAAAAGGTGGAGAAATGTTCACAGCATTCAGCTTGATTTCTGCTTATAAGAGTAGCTTTCAGATTGGCCTGAGCTCAAAATGGCATCTTCTACTCGGGAGGCTAAGGTGGGAGGATCGTTTAAGCCCAGTAGTTCAAATCAAGCCTTTGCAATATAGTGAGTCCCTGTCTCTAAAAAACATTTAAAAATTTTTAAAAAGTAACCTCAGTTCTATGAAATATATCTGTTTTTTTCATTCATTCATTCAATAAATATGTATTAAGTAATTAAGTGCATACTAAGTACCAAGCACTGGTCTAGGTGTGTGTTTAATTATAATTAAACTTTATGTTCCATGAGAAGGGAACACATCAGGGGTGTTATGGGAGTAGGGCCAGCATGCAAGGGTGCACTCCAGGGAAAAGCTGTGATTTGGAACTTGGAGCAGGTGAGAAGGGCTCTATGAGAATGAGACCCTGGGGCAGAAGCAGACCCTGCCAGTTTTAAAGAGCAGCAGGAAGGGAGAGAGGGCCAGGTCATTTAGGATTGCATGGGCCTTTTCCAGGATGTAGACTTTTACACCAAGTGATGATTGCAAGCTTTTATGTAGAAATTTTCTGATTTTAGAAATACCAGCTGGTGTGTTGAACATTCAGCATTTTGCCCCTTTACAAGCTAGACAAATGATCTTTCCTGATGGGCGGTTTCCTTGTGTGCACCACTCTTTTTTCCAAGTCTATTCTCAACCATTTCCTAGTTTCCTTTGGGCATCTTCCTCCAGAGCCTGGTTGGCCCTGATGTCTCACTGCTCTGGAACTTGGTTCTCAGGCTCACCTTACTTAAACTCAGTGTCTCCCTTTTTGGCTCAGCCCAATGACAGTTCTACTTTTGCTCAGTCTTAAGATAGATGGAAAAACTATAAAATACTCAGATTCTCCTGAGTCTCTTGAGCATTTAGTTTTTGTTGACCTGTGTCACACAGAGACGCTATAGTAGCACAAATTAGGTCAATGGCTTTCTTTCAGAAGTGCTTGTGTTAATTTCCACATATAAAAATGCGCATTGTGTGGTCATATAGCCCACATTTTATTACAACAATCTTATAGCAGTTTGCAAATATTAGGTGCACCAAAGTTTTATTTGACTTACAACCTGTACAAAGTTATGTACTGATTGAATACTCTCCCCTACATAAATATCCTCAACAACTTCTCTATTTTTCATAAATACATAGATAGAATGCTCTGTTCCCACAGTTCTGGCGAATATTATTTAGACTTTTGGGAATTACAATGGCAGAAAATATTGCTGATAACCTATTTCTACCGTGGCAGAAGACTGAAGTATGTTTTACTGGAAATACTCAGCTTGCGGGTCTGAAGTCTCACTTTTATGTTCCTTTTCCTATATTTAAAAGTTACATTTAAGCAGTATTAGTAAAATGTAAAATAAAGTGTGAGTGATGTTATTCTTTTCTTTAAAACAAAACACATGATAAGTTATAGCATCTTTCAGCTATAAAATATTGGGACCCCCCATAGGTATATCTATTTTTACATAAATTGAAGACACAAATATTTGAACAATTGATTTATTCAATAAACTTTTTTTTTTTTTTTGAGATGGAGTCTCACTCTGTTGCCCAGGCTGGAGTGCAGTGGTGCGGTCTCGGCTCACTGCAACCTCTGCCTCCTGGGTTCAAACGATTATCCTGCCTCAGCCTCCTGAGTAGCTGGGATTACAGGCACCTACCACCACATCTGGCTAATTTTTTGTATTTTTAGTAGAGACAGGGTTTCACCATGTTGGCCAGGCTGGTCTCAAACTCCTGACATCGTGATCAGCCCGCCTTGGCCTCCCAAAGTGCTGGGATTACAGGTGTGAGCCACCGCACCCGGCCTCAATAAACATTTTTAAAGTAGCAACATGTCTAAAGCAATGTGTTGGACATCACAAGGGACACAAAGATAGATAGGATATAAGATTTTTCCCTTAAGAGCTCATAATACAGTAGATTCATGTACAAACACAAATAACATGCAAAAGTAAAAATAAAATGGACACATTGTAAATACTCAATTCAAGAAAATGCCCTAACTTGGGTTTAGGAAGTCAGAGAGATATCTCAGATATCTCTTTCTCACACACAACGTAATGATATGAACAACCACAACAACAACAAAAAATAGATAAAGTCCATAGAAAAGTAGACCATCAGAGATCAAACCTTCGGAGAAGGTCCTGGTAACCAACAAAATTGTGAGATAGAACTTTCCAGAAATGTACCCTGCTAGGCTTGTTACTGTCTCATTAACAACAAACTTCATCAATCACAGGATTGGGATTAAGAGCTCTGATTTGTTGAAATCTAGACAAATCTTACTAATAACCTACAACTTAGAGAAAGCTAGGAAAGAGAAAGTAGGCCACCAAAGAAGAAGGTTTAGAAATTGCTAGTAGACGTATAGGACCCTCTCCCCAGCCACCTTTATGTTTGCTTGGAGACAGAAAAGAAAAGGAAAAAACAACAACAACAAACAAACAAAAAACAAAACACTGCAGTTCAACATTTTGTTACTTTGTGGAGGGAAGGCAGAGGGTTAATATTATTCACTGTTTGGGGCAATGAGTAGAAATTTAGTTTAAAAAAAGACACAATTTGAGGGAACAGATATTGGGAAAACTGTCCCTGTCCTGTTAATCCTATAAATAGGAACTGCCCCCTACCCCCTACCCTACCCCCGCCACACACACACCATTACCACCACTAATTACCTTTTCTAGACCCTTTCTTGGGGCTGGAGAGTAGGTAGTTGGGGAAAAAGAGATGAAACCAAGAAAGTGAAAAGCTTAGATTCTTCCCCAGAGCCACCCGCACCATCTCAGAGTAAAGGCACCAAGCCATATGACTTGAGAGAGTGAGCTAAAGACTGACAAAGACCCTGGGCTCATATGGCATCTTCTCTATGCAAGAAAATTTAACAAAACTTCAGAGGAGGAAATGCAATCACCTTTGCAAAAATTATGACAATGAGAAAAATTAGACATAGGAAAATTACGACAGTGAAAGAAATCTGACCTAACCACCACACCTTGCTTTTAACTGCCAAGCTGCCCTTGTTCATTTCTAGGCATAGGCTGAGCTAACTTTAGTAGGAATTTAGTTTACAGTTTAACTTTGAAACTAAGATGATAACAGCCCCTTCCCCAAACAAATCCTCTTCTTGCCTAGGGACCAGACCACCTTCGTACAACTAACAAATTAGCCACAAGATTAGAAACTATGGTGCAGAAGTGATGCAGCCAGAGGCCCCGAGATTCCTACGGATAACATCCATAGGATTGCTCCCCAATTGTGCATATGGATGACATCACCATTGTTAAACCTAAGATTGGTGTTCGAGATATTTTTCAGACTTTGCTTTCTGATAGACCATCTGGTGCCACCCAGACCAGTAGATGAGCTCAACTAGTTCTGTGATCCCACTCAGGAACTGAAGACAGCAAGAAGAACTCACTTTCACCCTCTGTGATTTCATCCCAGACAGAATCAATCATCATTCCCCACTCCCTAGTCCCCTGTCCACCAAACTATCCTTGACAAACTCTAACCTCTGAGCCTTCAGGGGGATTGATTTGAGTGATAACTTCAGTTCTCCCACGTGGCCAGCCTTTTTCTTTACTGAAATACCACGTTGTCAGTGAATTGATTTTGCCTCTGCAGCAAGCGGGAAGAACCTGTCTGGTGATCAAAGAAAACCCAGGCCTACCAACCAGATGAGGTGAAAAGGAATTCAAGCAGAAGATCAGAACTGTGTTGTCAATATTAAGAACTGGCAAGTAAAGAAAAAAGACAGACATGGCCTCCTTGTATCCATGTATTCACTTTTTGCTTCTGGTAGCAGGAGACAGAGAATACACTGACAGATAAATATAATCCAAGTCAGCCAGGAATAAGTGAGATGGAGAAAAGTGAAGCAGACCCCAAGGAATATAAATCATTCTATTATAAAGATACATGCACACATATGTTCATTGCAGCACTATTCACAATAGCAAAGACATGGAATCAACCCACATGCCCATCAATGATAGATTGGATAAACAAAATGTGGTACATATACATTGTGGAATACCATGCAGCCATAAAAAGTAATGAGATCATGTCCTTTGCAGGGACATGGATGGAGCTAGAAGCCATTATCCTCGGAAAACTAACACAGGAACAGAAAACCAAACACCACATGTTCTCACTTGTAAGTGGGAGCTGAATGATGAGAATGCATGGACACAGGGAGGGGGACAATACACACTGGGGTCTGTCAGGGGAATGGGGGGTGGGAGAGCATCAGAATAAATTGCTAATGCATGCTGGGTTTACTATCTAGGTGATGGATTGATAGCAAACCACCATGGCACAGGTTTACCTATGTAACAAACCTGCATATCCTGCACATGTATCCCAGAACATAAAATAAAATTAAATTTAATTGAAAAAAAAAAAAGTGAAGCAGAGGAGATGGATGGAGAAGATGGAGTAAAGTGCTGCTTCGTGAAGAGTTTTCAGGGAAGGCCTCTCTGCAAGGTGACTTTGGAAGAGACTGGGCCATGCAGCCACCTGGGAGGAAGAGCACTCCTGGTGGAGGAAACAGCAGGTGAAGAGGGAACATGCTAGACATGTTTCCAAGAACTGCCATGGGGAGCAGAATTAGCAAGAGGAGAGTGGGAGAGAATGAGCTGGGAGGTATCAGGCAATCAGCTCTACTAGTGATGGGAGGGATACTGGTTAAGGACCTTGCCTTTTACTCTGAGAAGCCACTGAGGGTTGCACAGAGGAATACCATGACCTGTTTCCAGCTGCTCTATTAAAGGAGCAGGAGTGGAAGCAAGAAGACAAATTTATGAAGCCACTGCAATAGT
Source organism: Homo sapiens (assembly GCF_000001405.40). Lineage (NCBI taxonomy): Eukaryota > Metazoa > Chordata > Mammalia > Primates > Hominidae > Homo > Homo sapiens. The sequence continues at coordinate 137,530,332 of NC_000006.12, read as the reverse complement.
CTAGGTCAGAGGTCAGCAAACCTTTTCTTTAAAGAGCCAGCTAGTAAATATTTTTGGCTTTGCAAACCATGTGGTTGCTGTGACAAATACTCAACTCTTCCATTGTAGCAGGAAAGCAGCCACAGACAATAAGTAAACAAATGGGTGTCGCCAGACTTGTCTCTCCTATGGCCCTGGCTATATAGTTTGCAGACTCCCAATCCAAATGATGGGGGCTTAGAACAGAATGGTAGCTATACAGGTGTTAAGATGTAGTTGGATCCTGGGTATTTTTGAAATAACAACAAACAGGATCTAACAATAGGTCCCATTTAGGACATGAAAGAATGAAAAATGTCATGGATGATTCCAAGATTTTTGCCCTAAGACAACAAACAAACAAAGAATAGAGCTATCTTAGTACAGTTGTTCAGGCTGTATGCTGCACAGAGCAACACATTAAAGAGGACCCTGATTACATTATAGACACGCTCATTTGTATATTTATTATTATATTTTTCTATCAAATAGCACTAAAGTGTTTTTTCTAATAAAATATATATCACAATAATTTTCTAAAAGATGGAAATAAAGTACCTTGAGGTACACTACTACTACGGCAGCCAGAAAGTGTTAATACTCACTTTAGAAGTGAGGATACTAAAAAGCACATGTGCCACGGACTAATGTGGAACCAAACTTTTCACTTTAATACATTTTCTTTTCAAATTAAAATTAAAAAAACAAAATGAGTTGTATCATTCTATAACTTATGGAACTTAATTCTTGGGCGACCAGAGAAACCAAACTCTTTCTCTGTTCCTGTTTGCTGAGTTTTCTTTGTGTGTTTTTGTTTTTTGTTTCCTTTGTAGTGTCAAGTCAACAAGGTTGTATCTTTAGGATAATGTATATCTATCTGGAGTTTTATAAAATTATTTAGCACGTAGTACTACTAAAATCTGTTTCTATAGCCTCTTTTAAAGAAGAACACTTGTAAAAAATTTTTTTAAAGAAAGCATGTTATCTCATAAAAGGGAAAATGTGAGAGTGTAAACATATAAAGTATTATCAATAAACCAAAGACAAAAATGCTTGACTGATTCATTTTTCATCTAATATTTAAATTTAGCGAGAGTTGGTATGACTAGGTTATGTCACTATCTACAAAATAGAAGAAAATGTCTTTCTGCAAAACACACACACATCACACACATCCTCTTATTCTGCATGTCATGAAATGTTCTTGTTTTCTTGAGAGGGGGAAATTATTGCCTTAATGTGGTGTATGAAATCTGTATACATTATATGACACCCTCCCCCTAAAAAATCTAGAAAAAAGATGCCGTTTATGTGACTAATAGCTTTCAAATGGAAGTATGAAATCAGTGAGCTACTTATTTTTATACTTATTTGCAAGTTATATTAGCATTCATCGAAATATTTGGGTAGGTAAATCAGTTTTCTTCGAAAACGTTACTTGGAAACTTCCTGACTTCAGAATGTTTCATTTTCAAGATTAATGGTGGATTTCTAACCTATTAAATGGTGTAAATAAAAACTGCTTTCTGACATAACAATGATATCTTAATATTGTCATACTTGAAAAAAATTCCAGGGCAAGGCACAGTGAGTGGCTCACACCTGTAATGGAGGCCAAGGTGGGTGAATCACTTAAGTCCAGCCTGGCCAACATGGCAAAACCCTGTCTTTACTAAAAATACAAAAATTAGCTGGGCATGGTGGCACACACATGCCCGTAGTCTCAGCTACTTGGGAAGGTGGCTTAAACCTGGGAGGCAGAGGTTGCAGTGATCTGAGATTATGTGACTGCACTCCAGCCTGGGAGACAGCATGAAGCTCTGTCGAAAGAGAGCAAGAGAGAAAGAAAGAGAGAGAGACAGAGAGAGAAAGAAAAAAAGAAAGAAAGAAGGAAAGAGAGAGGAAAGAAAGAGAGAGAGAAAGAAAGAGAAAGAAAGAAAGAAAAAGAAAGAAAGAGAAAGAAAGAGAAAGAAAGAAAGAAAGAAAGAAAGAAAGAAAGAAAGAAAGAAAGAGAGAGAAAGAACGAAAGATTCCATTGGACTTTGTATTTCCACTAGTGGCTTCCTGCCAGGAAGAGCAGGGCATGACCTGGGAAAGCAGGTCATGGCTTTCCCTGGCTGGGAAAGCAGGAGTTGGGAAGTAGTTTCTGGTCAGCCTCTACACACTTCATTGTACCAATTTCTTTGGGATGAGATTCAGGTGGGAATTTGGTAAAAGTTCTATATTTTTCCTGATTAAAAACTAAATTAGATGAATATCCTAAAAGAGAGATTAAGAAAATTCCATTTATGTTAGTATAAAAAGAATTAAATACTTAGCAATAAATTTAACAAGGAGGTGAGACTTGTGCAACTACAGAATATTGCTGAAAGAAAACGAAGGTACCAATAAATGGAAAGACATTCCATGTTCATAGATTGGAAGAAATATTGTTGTCACTACTACCCAAAATGATCTAAAAATTCAATGCAATCCTTATCAAAATCCCAATTATGTTTTCTGTAAAAAATAGAAAAATCCAATCTAAAATTCATGTGGAATCTCAAGGGATCTCAAATAGTCAAAACTATCTAGAAAAAAAAAAACAGAGATTTCACACTTTCTGAGTTCAAAACTTACTACAAAGCTATGGTTATCAAAACAATGTGGTACTGGCATAAAGACAGACATATAGACCAATGTAATAGGATAGAAATCCCAGAAATAAACCCTTGTATATATGGCTGAATAATTTTTGACAAGGGTGCCAAGGTCATTCAATAGAAAAAGAATAGTCTTCAAAACTGGTATTGGGAAAACTGGATATCTACATGCCCCTGTCCCCCTGCCAAATAAAAAAAAAAATGAAGTTGGACCCTTACCTTATACCACATAGAAAAATTAACTCAAAATAAATCAAAGATCTAAATGTAAGTGCTAAACTATAAAACTCTTAAAAGAAAATATAGGGGGAAAGCTTTATGACAGTGAATTTGGTAATTATTTCTTGGATATGACATCAAAAGCAGAGACAATAAAAGAAAACTAGAAAAATTGGACTTCATCAAAATTAAAATATTTTGTGTATCAAAAGACAGTATCAACAGAATGAAAAGGAAACCCATGAAATGGGAGAAGTCATATGCAAATTACGTATCTAAGAAGGGGTTAATATTCAGAATATTTAAGGAACTCCTATAACTTAACAAAAGAAAAACAACTCAATTCAAAAATGGACAAAGGACTTGAATAGATATTTCTCCAAAGAAGATATATAGATGGCCAATAAATACATGAAAAGATACTCAACATCACCAATTATCTGGCAAACGCATTTTTTTCTTTTTTAAATTTTACCTTAGGTTCTGGGATACATGCACAGAACGTGCAGCTTTGTTACATTGTATACATGTGCCATGGTGGTTTGCTGCACCTATCAACCTGTCATCTAGGTTTTTAAGCCCTACAAGCATTAGGTATTTGTCCTAATGCTCTTGCTCCCCTTGCGCCCCACCCCCCAAGAGGCCCTGGTGTGTGATGTTCCCCTCCCTGTGTCCATGTGTTCTCATTGTTCAACTCCCACTTATGAGTGAGAACATGTGGTGTATTGTTTTCTGTTCCTGTGTTAGTTTGCTGAGAATGATGGCTTCCCGCTTTATCCATGTCCCTGCAAAGGACATGATTTTTGATGACTACATAGTATTCCATAGTGTATATGTGCCATATTTTCTTTATGGGAAACGCATATTAAAACCACAGTGAGATACCATTCACACCTATTAGGATGGTTAGCTTCAAAAAAGTGTTGGCAAGAATAAGGAGAAATTGGAACCCTTGTACATTGCTGGTCAGAATGTGAGACCACTGTGAAAAACAGTATTTTAGTACCACAAAAGATTAAACATAGAATTATGGTATGATCTAGCAATTCCCCTCTGGATATATACCCAGAAGAAAAGAAAGTATAAACTCAAAGAGATATTTGTGCATCCATGTTTATAGCAGCATAATTCACAAGAATCAAAAGATGGAAGCAACCCTATTGTCCATTAATAGATCAACGAATAAACAAAATCTGGTACATAAATACTATATTAGTCCATTATAATGCTGCTATAAAGAACTATCTGAGGCTGGGTAATTTATAAAGAGGCTTAATTGGCTCACAGTTCTGCAGTCTGCACAGCAAGCATGGCTGGGGAGGCCTCAGGAAATTTACAATCAAGGTGGAATATGAAGGGGAAGCAAGCATATCTTCAAATGACCAGTAGGAGAGAGAGAGTGAAGAAGGAGGTGCTACACACTTTTAAACAACCAGAACTCATTCAAGAGATCAGCAAGGGGGAACTCAGCCCCCATGATCCCAGGTCCTTCCACCACCAGGTCCCTCCCACCAGGTCCTTCCCACAACATTAAAGATTACAATTCAATCTGAGATTTGGTTGGAGACACAGAGCCAAGCCATATCACATATAGATAAATACTTTTGAGCCTTAAAAGGGAAGGAAATTCTGACATACACTACAACATGGATAAACCCTGAGGACATTGTGCTAAGTGAAATTAGCCAGTCAGAAAAGGATAAATATTGTATAATTCTACTTATTTAAGGTATCTAGAGTAGTCAAGTTTATAATGTTGGGGCTAGAGCATGATACCCCAAAGTATGGCACCTTGGCATGCTGAATGCTTTGAACAAAAGGAGGTTGAAAGGTCTCAGAAACAGTCTCTCTGACCCTCTCCCATCCTCCTGTTTCTCGCCTCTCTTTCTCCCATAAAGTGAGTCATAGAAACCAGAATTCCTCTTTCCCAAGGTGGGTCATAGAAACTAGAACCTCTTTTCCCCCAAGCAAGCCATAACCTAGAAAGGTCACTCTCTCTTAAAGACCTTCATTCCACAGGGGTCCTACCCAAGCCCAGGATGAAGGCAGACTACACAGAGAGACCAAGAAGAATCTGAACAGGCAGGCCTTGCTGGGTTTCCCCCTCAGCCTATCACCATTAGATCATACCCTTTGGTCCAGTGACATTTCTACATGGCTGTTCATTCTTCATTGATCCTAAGCATAAAAATAGGCAGTTTTTCCTGGATCTTTGGGTCTTCATTTCTGATGTTTCTCATGTCACATAAAACTTTGATTAAATAAATTTGTTGTACTTTTCTCTTGTTAACCTATCTTTTGTTACAGGAGTGTTGACGGTGACTCTTATGATGGGTGAGAAAAGGTACCACACTTTTCTGCCCCTTCAATAGATATAGAAGGTAGAATGGTGGTTGCCAGGAGCTGGGGGGAGGGGGGAACAAGAATTATTATTATTATTTTTTAGACAGAGTTTCACTCTTGTTGCCCAGGCTGGAGTGCAATGGCATGATCTCAGCTCACTGCAACTTCTGCCTCCCCAGTTCAAGCAATTCTCCTGCCTCAGCCTCCCAAGTAGCTGGGGTTACAGGTGTCCACCACCACACCCAGCTAATGTTTTGTATTTTTAGTAGAGATGGGGTTTCACGATGTTGGCCAGGCTGGTCTCGAACTCCTGACCTCAGGTAATCCACTGGCCTTGGCCTACCAGAGTGCTGGGATTACAGCATGAGCTGCCATGCCCAGCCAAGAAATTGTTTAATGGAGACAGAGTTTCAGATGAGGAAGATGAAAAAGTTCTGGAGATAAATAGTGGTGATAGTTCTACAATGATATGAATGTACTTAATACCATTGAGCTGTACATTTAAAAATGGTTAAAGTGGTAAGTTTCATGCCATGTAAACATGCCACTTAAAAATGGCTAAAATGGCCAGGAACAGTGGCTCACCCCTGTAATCCCAGCACTTTGGGAGGCCGAGGCGGGTGGATCACCTGAGATCAGGAGTTCGAGACGAGCCTGATCAACATGGAGAAACCCCGTCTCTACTAAAAATACAAAATTAGCCAGGCGCGGTGGCACATGCCTGTAATCCCAGCTACCCAGGAGGCTGAGACAGGAGAATCGTTTAAACCCGGGAGGCAGAGGTTGCGGTAAGCCGAGATCACGCCATTGCACTCCAGCCTGGGCAAGAGAGCAAAACTCTGTCTCAAAAAAAAAAAGGGCTAAAATGTGGCTGGGCAGAAGGCTCACACCTGTAATCCCAGCACTTTGAGACAGAAGTATCCCCTGAGCCCAGGAGTTCAACCAGTCCAGGCAACATGGTGAGACCTTGTCTCCACAAAATTTAAAAAAATTAGCTGGGCATGGTGGTGTGCACTTGTCCCCAGGAGTTAGAGGCTGTTGTAAGCCGTGATCGCACCACTGCACTCCAGCTTGGATGACAGAGTGAGATCTTGTCTCTAAGAAAAAAATTAAAAATAAAAATAAGAAAATGGCAAAAGTTTCATGCCAATGTATATTTTACTACAATAAAAAGAAAATGAAAAAAGCTGTATTAAAAGATCGAGTGTTTCTCTTTCTTAGCTGAAAACTGTAGGAGAAAAGAATGGTGGAACTTAGAAGTCACAAGAAATGTTCAGGAAAAAAATATGACTAAAAGCCTATGGTTTTGAAGCCAGCCAAAATGCAGGCTCCTTTCCAAGATTGGAGTTAGAGATAATTTCTTCCATAACTCTTGCTTCCTGGCATAGACTGCATAGTTGGGCCAAGTGCAGGAGATGGGGGCGGGGGGATGCAACTTCTTTCTTCTGCCAATGCTAATGGCTCTCCCACAGCTGTAGAAAAGTGATTAAGAATATAATACCATTTCCAATCAGCTTTCCTAAGTAACCTGCACTTAAAGAACAGTAAAAATTAAACGGAGCCAGTAAAACACTGGCTGAAAACAAAAGAGGGGAGCTGGTGTTTGGCTGGTAAGAAAGTGTTGCAGCCAAAAGCAATTTGACCAAACTAACCTGAGCCAGTCTTTTCTTTGTGATTCATTTTTGTTGTTATCTTCTGAATTCCACAGAACTGTGAGCCTGTCCCCTTCTTTCATTGCGCTCCCACCATATAGCAAAGCCCTCCCTTTTTGCCAGGTTGGATGGCCTCATTGGTGTGGCCATGACAATGGATGTTCATTTCACCACTATAAAAGGGTTTAATGATTAAAAGGCCACACCATAGCACTGGACCACAAAACTCTCTGGATCCCATGAAGCCCCTTTGATTCAAAATGTTCTTTTGACAGGATCAAGAGCAGTTCTCATTCTACTGGGCTGCAGAAACATCTGCATTTTTTATCTGCTACCTTCTACTCAGTGCACATAGTTAATGTGTAATTGATGAAACACCCTTTCTCCGAGTGACATACAATCAAGCCAGAGCTCCCACCAACCTCGCGCTGGCTCCAATAGAGCGGGCTGCCTTTGTATCCTTGTACCCTCATTCAGAGCTGGTAAGAAAACCGGTCACAGGCTTATCTAGCCAGCTTACGTCTTAATCTTTTTTTTTTTCCCCTCTCTTTCTCCTCCCTCTTCTGTTTCCTGGTGGTGGTAAGGTGGGGGCGGGGGTAGGGGGGCAGCAAGGGAATGACCAAAAAAAGTGAGTTTGGGGGAACAGAAGAAAAAAAACCCACACAGGAACAACTACTGACCTTTTCTTTCTCTGACATTATTGGGAGGGGGTGAACCAAACACATAAAAATATCAAAGCTGGATGAGGAGAGAGCTGAAACACAGCAGAGGAAAGAGAGAGAGAAGGAGGAAGAGAAGGAGGGATTAAAGGAGGGAGGGGGAAGGAAGGAAGGGAGGGAGGGAGGCAGGAAGGAAGGAAGGAAAGAAAGATGGCAGGGAGGGAGGGAGGAGATAGGGAAGGAAGGAAGGGAGGGATGAAAAGGAAAAGGAAACCCATTCTAACATTTATTTGATTTAAAAAGAGTAGAAAGAATTTTAAGGCCGACGTAGGCAGACAGCTAGTACAGGCAGCCAGTGTGGCTCAGGGTTATGCAACCATTGCAATATTTCTATTGTGTTACCAGACCAGGGGCTCTAGCAGTGACTGGTGACTCAAGAGATCTGATGACAAAATTATATTAGAGCCTCTTTAAGCATTTGCACAGACTTGACAGTAGGTAGAATTGGAAAGGAGGTATCCCACTGAACATCCTTACTGGAATGCACCTGAATTAGTGCTTCCCTTGAGTGTGACAGGTTTGTTATCTTAGCCCATGTGCACTGTGTCTCTTTTAAGCAGCTTTAAATTTGGATTATTTGAGAATATTCACAATTATCTCCTAGAAGTTGTTGAATAACAGCCTTTGAAAGTTAAATGCTTTTCTAAGATACATTGTGTAACCCTGTTTTGTGACAGGCTAGTCAAATGAACATGTTTTCATTTGGAAATGCTGAGGGAATTGTATGTGAAAATAAATGAGTTTGACTTTATTTCTAGGTCACATAGCAATTTAAAACCCAGCCCCTGCAACTGTAAAGAGCTTTCTTTTTGACTCTTCTGACCTAGACTGAGAGAATCTCATTAAACACTGAGTACTTAGAATATTCAATTGAACTAGAAAGAGTTGCAGTGTCTTGATATTCCATTTAATATTTAAATATTTCCTCCACTTAAATATTTTTATTTTGAAGTGAACCAACAATCAGAAAACAACATAAATGAGTCATGTATATATTTGATTCTGCAGTAGGGCTTAAGGGCTATCCATGCCTTCATTTTTTCTATAACTTAGCTGAGACTGGGTACCATTTGCTATTCTACTGTCTGAGAAGCTTCCAGCAAGTCCGTATGCCAAGGGGCAAATGGGAATCCCTTAAGTTCTACGGTCCTTAAATGGCTTTACAACACCAGCAAATGCCTCTACTAGAAACTGCAACCTAAAAAAAAAAATCACCAATCTCCCTTTAATTATAACGAAATATGATGGCAAATGCTGTGTATGTTCTCTTTACCAGTTGTGAAATCTCAGTAAACATCTTTCTGAAATAAGGCTGTTTCACCTGCAAAGTGAGACTAATAGCATTCGTAAAGGATTTAGGTGGTATTATACAAATGCAAAATATTGTTGAGTCTTTTCCTTAGTAAGGAAAACCTCCAAAGAATACCCTGGAAGAATGGAGCATTATTGCTATTTGATCTGAATATTTTTTAACACCAGGGCTCAGCAAAGGTTTATAACAGTCTGTATTTAATGGTCAGTGCTCTATTTGACTCTGGAATAGCGTTTAGTCTAAATTTCTTTTGTGACCGGGTAGGAATTTTTCTTTCTTTGAATCAAGTAACTTGCCTAAATTTCCTGGGCTAGGGTTTTCTCATCTGATACCTAGTTGATAAAAAATGGTTGACGTCCATCAGAATATACTCACTGTGTTTTAACAGTGGGTTCAAATTACTACAATGGAGCTATGAAGACATCAAAATCTACATACATTCATCCTACAGCTTAGACAATAGTAAATGATTCCTTATTCCACAAATATACTTTACACATCCAGAGCCACAAAAGTTATTGTCAACTTCCTGTTTATGACTTGCAAAGAAAAAAGGAATCGCCAGGGACCTTATATTATATTAATCCCTGAGCAATGTCATAAGTAAATTGTATTGATATATTGAAAAGCAAATTGCTTTGGGGATAAGGCACTTTTTTTTTTTTTAGTTGAAAGTGCTGTGACTAGCTTTGGAAAATGAATAATCAGCAGAATTTATTGGTGTGCTTTAAAATAATTGATGATGGTCACTCCACGAGTAACCGGATTTCTTAAAATACTGGGAAGCTTTTACTCCCATGGTTCTAATCTAAGCACTGCCTGCGAGAAAATAAAAATAGACTCACTAATTTAATATTCTAGTATGCTTGATATGAAGAAACTCTGTCTCCACAAGTCACCTGTCAGACTATTACTTGTTTATTTAATATGTTAATTAAGATAATTTGATATTATTTAGGCCTGATGTCAACCTTATCTAAACCAGCCTTCTTTGGCTGGGCCCGGTGGCTCATGCCTGTAATCCCAGCACTTTGGGAGGCCAAGGCGAGCAGATCACGAGGTCAGGAGATCGAGACAAGCCTGGCTAACATGGTGAAACCCCGTCTGTACTAAAAAAATACAAAACATTATCCTGGCGTGGTGGTGGGCGCCTGTATTCCCAGCTACTCGGGAGGCTGAGGCAGGAGAATGGCGTGAACCCAGGAGGCGGAGCTTGCAGTGAACCGAGATGCGCCACTGCACTCCAGCCTGGGCGACAGAGCGAGACTCCGTCTCAAATAAATAAATAAATAAATAAACCAGCCTTCTTATTTTTCAACCAAAACCAAAAAAAGGAGAGTTGGGTGGGGACATACAATCCCAGATTTCAGGCTCTTGTAAACTCACACACAACTGACACCCTCATGCTATCTGGGGAGAGCTGATACTGAAACCTTCTTGAATCACAGAGCATCTTCCCAGTTGGCCAAACTGAAACTCCTCATTGCCAAGCCGAGATTAGCCTACATTCTGAGGTACCCAAATAAAGAACGAAAGGAAAGCTTCAAAAGAAACTTCTTACCCTTGATTCCAATGCATACGAAGGTCAGGAGAGGATACAATGTTTGTAGAGGGGATTAACCCCCTGCTGGTTTCTCTACATCTGAGAACACTGAGCCCCACACCCCCACTCCCACCATGGCAGGGGCGGGGGGGCGGGGGTGGACAGGACCCTTCCAGAGCTGAAATTTTGCCAGAATAATTCAGAATAATTTCCTGGCAACAAATGCTGAAAGCACAGAAGTACCGTTGAGGTGTAATGTCTGTAAGCTCTACGTTCCTCCAAAGGTTTCTTCTCAGACAGAAAAATAAAAGCAGAGGTTGGGGTGGATAGGGCAGGGGGTGTTTCTCTGAGAAAGTAAAACGGTCAGGACAGTGCAGCCTTTAAAACAAAACTAATGACAAAACAACTTCACCCTTATATAAATCTTATAGTCATTGACTTATGGGTTCGTCTAGATAAAATGATAAAACAACTTCACCCTTATATAAATCTTACAGTCATTGACTTATGGGTTTGTTTAGATAAAACTGTGGTCTCAGAGCCTAGGATCCCTGGAATTAACTAAATACAATTGATAAAAACTGAATTCTTCAATTCTTCCTCTAGAAAAGGGGGGAGGGGTGCAGAAATATGCTTCTTTTTGGTCTTTTTTAAAAAAACAAACCAAAAAACCCAACCAAACAAACAACAAAAAACAGCGGTAGAAACTGACTTCAGGTGCTTGATGAATATTAAAAGGGCTTCTCCTGTACCACTGTCTGCAAAGCACTGGAACTACAGTGAGCTAGTTTAACTCACTATATATATAGTTTAACTAGTAATATGTTTGTCTCTGCTGCCCCTTCCTTTTAGGTTATAAAACCTCAGAAGGTCAAAGACTGTGTCTGTTTACCATGCTTGGTGTTGTATTAAACACAGCACTATACACAGATGAATGCCAGGTAAGTGCTTGCACACAGTTGAGATGTGGCGCTGATGGAGGTGGCTGAAGTTTGTTTTGTTCCAGTTGGCCAGTCTTGTGTTGAGTAGGCCATGCCTAAGCAACCACCAGCTTAAACCTAAAGCTGATCAACTTACAAGTTTCCCCTAAGGTGAGCTAGTTACTTGCTTTTCAGGCCCCCAACGACGTCATAGGTTTGGCTCTTGCATACGAAAGCCAGAGAGAGTCAATCATTAGCAAGTGTGAATGATGCCCAAATAACACCACCAGATTGTGTTTATCTAAAGTGCCAAAGTGAATTGTTCATTAGCATTTCTGAGAAATACCCGAATAACACCAACAAGGGGTGTTAAACCATTCCAGATTGCTGGTGAGTTTTTGCTTAAGGAGAAAAAAAAAGTGGGGGGGGTTTCTTGGATGACGGCCAGTGTCTCCTTCATTCTTACAGGCACAACCAAAACAAAATGTTGGAAAGAGAGCAACGGGATTAGGAGAGCCTCAACTTCCCTGTGAGTTCATTTTCTTCTGTCTACATGTAAGGAGCTTGGAGGAGGGAAAATGAATGCCCAGTGGCTTTTAATTTCATTTCCTTCATTAAAATGTCATATTTTTCTTCCTTTAGATGTATTTTTACATAGGTAATGATGAGCTTTCAGCTTTACGTTATTTGTATTAAGTCTCTTAATTTGCCAAAGAATTTTGTTCCCTAAATTGTACATTATTAATAATGTAAAACACAAAAAATGTACTTCCTTGATACATTCTGAAGGAAAAAAGGCCAAGTATGTAGTATTAGAGCCACAAATTGGGAACTTATTTTGCTTCAAGGTGCTTTGAAACATATGATTATGAACGTAACTCTGCTTTTGAACTTGTCCTCATGAACTCAGTAATTAGCAAGATATTGTTTGATCTTGGAATTTATTAGCATTGCAGCTGGAAAACTGCTTCACTTCTAACACAACCACAATCACTTTTAACACAGCAGAATCAACAATTAAGGTGATAACAAACAAATCAATGTAACTTTCCTGCTTATTACATCTTTCCAAGGCTGCACTGTGCCCAATTAGACAGTGTTTTATATTAGAAATGCTTTTGTTTTTAAGATAGCATTATCACATTTATTTTAACATAAAGGCAGAGTAAACTTCAGCTTAGAAAAATTCTGTCACCACTTAAGTTATAGGGAGGGTTCTAGAGCTAAGGTCCTTTCCTCATCTGCTCAACATGCAGTGCTGCTTGCAAAGTGCAAGGATGAGAAAAAGTTGGGAGCCGGCAGGTGGATTTCAGAGAGCTCCTTCCCGCCTTTAAATTCTCAAAGCAACTCCTCCATATTCTAGAATTCCATTCAAAACACCACGTGCAGTCGGGTGCGTCTCAGTTCTAGTCTAGTACTTGGCAAATAACTTCAACTCCAAAACTCCTCTCATTAATGGAACAACTTTGACGATTCTTGCCGCTTCCGCTATTTGTTGCAAGAGTGAATTTAGCTCATTCAGAAACTCATTTTCTCGTTTTGTTTCAGGGTCAATTTTTTTTTTCATTTTACTCATTTTTGTTTGTCAATTTCTGGCACTGTTAAAAACCTCATGTATGTTCTGTGAAAGAATGTTAGAACTCAGGCCAGATTTCCATCAGGAAAGCCGAGTTTTGAGTTAAAGCTACAATGTACTTTCTTCTGAAAGTCAAGTTCGGCCCATCAAAGGGTTCCCTCTGTGAGCTCTGTGCCAAGAATTGTTCAGTTCTTTCTGATTGAGAAAGCATGCTACCTGCCACAGCAATTTTCCTTTTTATCTTTTTTAAGTTTTGAGCTGTTAAACATTTCTTCTAAAATTGACTTGATAAAGTTGTTTTTTTCCACCCATTGTACGCAGATTCTTCTAATATTTAATGATATAAATTATGCTCTCTGATGAATACTATTCTGCAGAGTACTATCTGCTGGGTTCCGTGACATAGCTTTCAGTTTTTCCAAATTCTGGAGGCTCCCTCCTGGGCCAGTTCTGCCTGTCAATGCCTTCTTCAGATGCGGTGGCAATGCTAAGCATAGAGTTTTACCCTGGGGCTGATCAGTTTATGAAGGAAGTTACTATCCCCTCCCTAGTTCTGAACATCATATACATCTATTGATAGAGTCTGACTGCACTTGTTTTAAGGAATGTCTTAGCCAAGATTGTCCTAGGAAACAGATCTGAGATAAGAGCTTGTACATAGATAAGAGGTTGTGTGCAGATGTTGTATTTGGGGGAAGTAGAACCAAAACAAAATGGGAATAAGCAATGAAAAGAATAAAACAGAATAAAGAACAGCCAATACAGGTGTAGGAGAGGAAAAAAAAATGCTTCTTTCTACCCTTCTACGTTGTTTGGCTGATTTGTGATTAAATTAATATGAGACAGGTTAACAGGAGAAAAACCCAAAAATAAGACGCTGAAAGAAGTAGCTGGATGATTGAGGCTCAAATATTATCCTGAGCTACCGAAAGGAATTGGGGCTTAGGCTTCTAAGACGTGGTGGGGGCAAATTATGGGAGGATGAGGGAGGAAATATAGGATAAATAAAGGTTGCCTGGTTACAAAGACAAAAGTCTCTCAGATGATAAAAGTTGTCTTGGAGCAGCTCTCTTCCTGGTAGATATTTTTACTAACAAAAGTTTCCTTATAGATGTGTTAAATCAAGTTTAGCCTAAAGCTGCCTCCTTACATATTTTAAGCTTGGCATAAAGGTTTCTCTGTACATCATGAACTATAACAAGTGGAGATGTAAACAGACCTTAGCCTACACTTGTGCCAATCACCAAATTTTGGCCAATCAAATGTAGCCAACTGTTCTAACCATGTTCAAATTGCCAAGTTATAACCAATCCAGCTGTTTCTGTATCTCACTTCCATTTTCCGTTTGTCATTTTCCTCTTTCTGTCCATAAATCTTCCACCACATGGCTGCACTGGAGTCTCTGAGCCTACTCGGGCTTGGGAGCTGCTCAATTCACAAATCGTTCATTTCTCAGTTAAATTCTTTTGAACATAATTCGGCTGAAGTTTTCTTTTATCAGATATAAATTTCTCTTATGAAAGGGTAACTTTTCAGTTACTCTTGTGTCTGCAGTTCCTCCAAATAGCCAGCTCAAAATAATCAATATGTCTAAGAGGTATATTTTGAGGTAGCCTATTCTGGTCTTCTGCAGCCATATTTTGGGGTGGTAAGTCCTGAGCTCCAACACAAGGATGCAAAGTCCAGCTGGCCACTACTGTGGATCCCAGGGGTTCTGTCTGGCCAGGATCCTCTGAAGAGTTGTATAGAATGCACCTCGAAATCCTTTGCCAGGGAACAGAAGAGGAGCACAGGTATCCACTGGATCCCACACCTCATTGATCCAGGGTTAGCCCAGGGGGTGTCAAGTCCCTTCCATGTCCATGCATGAGCAAAACCATTTCTGCCATTACAGGAGCTTTGGTGCAAAACACAAGATATGAGAGGTATGGGATACCCCAGGTGTGAAGCTGCCTACCAACAGCAACAGCTTAAGGAGAAGGTGGCCTGAGAGGAGGTGAAGAAGGACAAAAGGTGTCAGGCTGAGGTAACTGAATCCCGAGGATAAGTCATATTTAACTTGCTGTATACACTAACCCCATGAGCTCTTTATTTATGGACTGCTTGGTTTATTGTTGTTATCTGAAATTACATAAGTTCTAGAATCACAAATATTTTTGGGATAGACTGGACCTTCAAGATTATTTTAGACATGAGGAAACTGAGGCACAGACTGAGGAAACAGCTCTCCCAAGGTCACAAATCTATTCTAAATAACTACCTCAATTTTCTACTCTGCTTTGTGGAAATCTTTCATAATACTCATTGAGAAATATTCATTAGGTCTGTCGGACATACAGCACTAAACGGGATTTAAATTTCATCAATCTTATTAGAAATTTCTTCTTGGAGTTTTGTTCTGCCAAATCAGGTAGAAAGCTTTCTAGCTCACTGAATTTCATGTTTGTGCTCGAATTTGCTGCCAGGAGATGCAAGCCAATCATTGTCTTGATTCTGCTTTTCTTTATCTCTCAACAAACTACCTTAAAAATGCATTTTACGTTCGTTTGGGTTTTCTCATTGCTGTAAATTTGACATCTAGCAACCTAGATAGCCACGTCTTCAGAGTGGGTGTCTCAAGAACAGAGGCAGCTGGGAGAGAGGCCAGGAGTGAGGACTGTAGACGCTGGGATGCCTTCCAGTGTGGCTCAGGGGCCACGTGCCTGGGGCAAGTAACCAAGTCCCTTCAAGTCCCTTTTTCCTCATCTGTAAATGGAGGCAATGACAGCACCCACCCTATAGGGCTATTATGATGCTTCAATATTTGTAAGTTCCTTAGAATAGTGCCTGATACATAACAAGTTTCGTTAAGTAAAATAATTAGGATCCTTAATATCTGTCTTTTTGAGGGAGGGTTGTTTGTTTGTTTCACATCAACAAAGCAACGTTTTTCATTCAAAACTTTGTTCTCTCAGGTGTGGAAGGAGGATACTTTTGTGGTTGCTTATTTTATATATTTAGATTGTATTATATTGCATACTCTATTTCATTTACATTTATGGCACCACTAACCTTCTAGTTCAGTATTAAGTACAGTCAGGCTATTTCCCTAAGAGGACCTGGGTTTTGAAAATAATGTTTGCCTAAAATGTTTTGCATAGTTTTAAATAGCAATTAATATTTTATAAAACAAACAAATAACAAATGAACAACGAACATGAGTTGAACAAAATAGAAGAAATAAATATGTTTGAATTGTAGCACCTGATACAACTTTAAGTTGTACTAACCACCTGGATGGGGTATTGTGTTGATGGTTCTTTTAAAATATGTCAGGCATATTTGGGTTGAAAAATGTATGCTTTCAGATCAGTGAACTTTCTTTAATATAATTATGATATCTTTTCCATCAAATGGAGATTGCAGTATTTACATCATCTTTTTCACAGGGCTTGTAAAACTGGAAATGCTTTTTGAAAAATGTAACTCTTATACTGTTAATCAGCACTCAGCCCTTGTAACATGATTCAAAAACCGGTATTAAATATTCCACAAACTTTAAAATACTCTGTTTGCAAAAGTTATTATTTGTGAATGGATGGATTCACGCATTCTTCACTAGGAGGAGAATGCGGCCACATTTCCTTTAGAAAGTTCAAAAGCTGCGGTGCCTCCTTACGGACAATTGCAACCAGGATGGTCAGAGTCTCACAAGTTGCCTCAGCAAAACGGAGTAATTTAGAAACTCACTGTGTATCTCCTGCTTCTATTTGAAAAGTCTTGACAAGATAGAGTCTGTAGGATTATTTTATGTCTTGGTTTTTCTACTGAAATTTCCGCCACTCTTTCCCTTCCTGTTTGAGAGGGAGCAACGGCTCAGAAATCCGTAAACAGGCCGGCTGTCTTAAAGGAAATTCTGCAGCATAATGAAGCCCTCACGTCGTCGGGCCCCGGCCTGCTGGGCTCAGGCCACTGAAAGCAGCCGCTGGGTGAATTTCCCAGCCTTTGGAAACTGTCTCAGTTCTGTTAAGTTTGCTCAAGTGTACCAAGGCTGTTTGCAAGGGAGGACTCCAGCTGGGTGGGTTTGTTCTCCTCCCAGGAGCTCAGAAAAGGTGAGAGGGCTCCTTCATATGTTCCCTTGAGCCTCGGTCCCCCCTCTTTTTCCTTGAACTGACACAATAGCTTCTTCAGCAGGTCCCTCTGCCAGGGAGCTCTCCCTCTCGCATCTCTCACACTGGGACATTTTTCCACATTTCCAGGATTATGGCCACTTTTACTTAGATCTATGTGTGCTGCCTCCACATACAAAGAAGCACTTGGGGACAGGATTAGTAGGATTAGAAGAGATTCACATATGTCCAGTTCAAGCAATTGGTATTCAAAGCTTTACACGTTCAAATGCCACCAAGAGAGAGAAAAGGAGTAGGGAGCTTGCTTTGCATTTCAGCACCTTCAAGAGAGGAACAGTGCTTTTTATTGGTGTTTAAAGCAGAGGGGATAAACAGATTCCTCTTCTGGTTTAATCCAGTCCAACATACCACTGCCTGTAATCTGGGTAACCAAATAGCGGTGCTCCCAGGCTCTAAAATCACAAACTTCTGCATTTTGGTGATTGCTATTGTTCCAAATGACATAAAACAGAGCACACGTCTCCAGCAAGTTTCTTTCCCAGTTGTGATTTACTATTTTGTATACAGACATTCTTGCAGGATCTCCCTTGCAAAATATTCACAACTTGATTTGCATGGGAGAAACAATGAAACTCAGCTTCTTGGCACTGACTTAGAACAGAGGTTTGATTTGGTAGTGGTGGAGGGGGCGTGTTAAGGGGCTTAATGGGTAATAAAAAGTGAAGGAAAATATAGTAGCATTACACTTGAAATCTGAAAAACAGTTGTTGAAATAGTGGAATTGCTTTTTACACTTGATGTAGAGGCATAAGTACACACCTTCTTCTTATTCATGCAACATAATTATTTTTCTTATCAATCACTTCTGTTCTCAGGTTATGAAGCAACCCATTTCTTTCTCCCTTAATCTCCCATTTCTATAAAGGCCTATTTTCCTTCATCAAGCAACAGAGCATCTATGGAAAACAATGGCTGTATTTTTAGGTCATATTGTATTACCACTGATTCCATAACTCCCATTAGCTAACACATAAGAGAAGTTTTGCTAGAGATGATAACAAATTTTTTATTTTATTAATATTTAGCAACAGGAAACCTTAATTATAAAGTTATATTTTGATGTATTTTGATTGTTTTTTGTCATCTTTCCCAATGCTGTGGATTTTTTTGAAGTTAACTTCTCATAAACTCCAGAATATTACCTTCAGTAAAAAGATGGTGCTAAAAATTTTATTGTTTCTTATGGTTAAGTGTCTCTTTTAAAATTCTTTTGATTAATGAAAAAGATATTTACATGAGTTGTTATTGGACTGGAGGCCCAGTCCCTCTGTCATTAACTAGCTGTTAACCTTAAGTGAGTCACTCATTTTCTCTTGGCCTGAAATTCCTCACGTATGAAATAAAGGGGTTGGAGTAAAATATTAATAGCTTCGGCCGGGTGCGGTGGCTCACGCCTGTAATCCCAGCACTCTGGGAGGCCGAGGTGGGCGGATCACGAGGTCAGGAGATCGAGACCATCCTGGCTAACACGGTGAAACCCCATCTCTACTAAAAATACAAAAAATTAGCTGGGCGTGGTGGCGGGCGCCTGTAGTCCCAGCTACTCGGCAGGCTGAGGCAGGAGAATGGCGTGAATCCGGGAGGCAGAGCTTGCAGTGAGCCGAGATAGTGCTGCTGCACTCCAGCCTGGGCGACACAGCAAGACCCCATCTCAAAAAAAAAAAAAAAATAATAGCTTCCATTCCTAGCACTGTACAATTTACAAACTGCTTTTACATACTTTTAAAAAGTATTTTAGAACCTAAACATTCTGTTTCACTTTGTAATCATTTTGAAGGAAAGACATTTATATTATGTCTTCCATAGAACAGTCACACCTTTACAAGAAAAAAAAATGTTACCATTAAACAATTTAACTGCAATAGCTCTGGAACAGGAATTATTTAGGAAGTGACATTTTATGATGAGGCACCATCCCTATAAGATGTGATCTCAAGTGTTTGGTGCCAAATTACATTTCACCCAATGTAATCATTGTTTGCTCAGTCTGTTTTCTCTCTTCAGTTCAGACTGGGTAAATTCTATTGTTTTATCTTCGGGTTCACCGCTTCTTCCTTCTGTCTCCTCCTTTCTTCTATTGAGACCCTCTAGTGAGATTTTTATTTTGGTTACTGTATTTTTCATCTCTAAAATTTCCATTTGGGCTGGGTATGATGGCTCATGCTTATAATCTCAGCATTTTGAGAGGCTGAGGTGGGAGGATTGCTTGAGCCATGGAGTTTGAAGCCAGCCTGGGCAACATAGGGAGACCTTATCTCTACAATAAAACAAAAATGAGGCTGGAGGATTGTTTGAGTCCAGGAGGTCGAGGCTGCAGTGAGCCATAATTGTGCCACTGCATTGAGCCATAATTGTGCCACTGCACTCCCACCTGGGTGACAGAATGAGACCCTGCCTCAAAAAAATAAAATAAAATACAAAATTAAAATTCCCATTTGGTTATTTGTTTCTTTGCTGAGGTTTTCTATTTTTCTCATTGGCTTCAAATGTGTTCATAATTGCTCATTGAAAAAGATATTTTTTTAAATGTTTTTAGAGAAGGGATTCACCCTGTTCTCCAGGTCAGAGTGCAGTGGAGTGATCAGAGCTCACTGCAGCCTCAAACTCCTGGGCTGAAGCAATCCATTCTCCTCAACCTCCTGAGTAGCTGGGACTACAGGCATGAGCCACCACACCCGGCCAATCACTGAAGCATTTTTTTTGATGGTTGTCTTAAAGTCCTTATCAGTTAATTCCAACATCTGTGACATCTTGGTGTTGTTGTCTGTGGATTGCCTTTTCCTCATTCGAATTGAAGTTGTCCTGGTTATTGTTATGAAGAATCTTTTTTCATGTGTTCTGGGCATTTGGGGTATTATGTTATGAGACTCTGGATCTTACATAAGTCTCCTGTATTAGCTGGTCTCTGTGGAAATCATTCTGGCAGGGGGAAGAAAGGCACCATCTCTTTACTCCTGGGTGAAGGTATAAGCCCATGATCCTGGTTCCCAGAATCACACTTTGATGACAATTATTTAGAATTGTGTGGGAGATAAGATATAGGTTTTGGAGTCAGACAATGCCGAATTGAATCCTGGCTCCCATTTACTTACTATGTGTCCTAGGATATGCTACATAAACTTGCTGAGCCTCAGTTTCCACATCTCTAAAGTAGGGATAATCATACCTTGGCAGGCTGTTTCTGGGATTAGCAGTACTACTTGTGAAGTACCTAGCACGCAGTAGGTGTTCAACACATATAAAGTGCCTCCAGTTATAAAGTAAGTATCAGTGTATTGAAAGAGGACAAGCTGAAGAGGACACCACTCTGTGAGTCTCCTAATGGATAAAAATCTCACAGCTCTATCTTCTATCTCTCTTTTTCCCCAAGCAATCCTGTTTTCTAAAAATTGTGGAGTCATTTTGTTTGGTTTAGTTTTGTTTTTCGAGGCAGGGTCTTGCTCTATCGCCCAGGCTGGAGTGCAGTGGCATTATCATGGTTCACTAGAGCCTTGACCTCCTGAGCTCAAGTGATCCTCCCACCTTAGCAACTGGGATCACCAGCACATGCCACTGTGACTGGCTTTTTTATTTTTTGTAGAGATGAGGTCTTGCTAAGTAACCCAGGCTGGTCTCAAACTCCTGAGCTCAAACAGTCCTCCCAATTTGGCCTCTCATAATGCTGGAATTACAGGTATGAGCCACTGTGCCCAGCCCTAAAAATTGTTTTACATGCGGTACTAATATGATATTTGTAAAAGCCTCTTCCTAGTGTCAGTGGCAACACTCTGCAGGTCAACAGGCTTTCAGATTGACTTGTTCTTCCCTTTGCTTCCTCCTTGAAGTTCTCCAACTTTTTCACACAATTGAGTGATTGGAAGAAAGAAAAGACTTCCAATGAAAACTAGTCATAGTAAAAATCTCCCTGTAGTGTGTTTGATTTTCATAGATGCTATATTTCTTCATAAGACTTAGGGATTTTTTGTGTGTGTGAGTTAGCCTTATCTTGTTTCTCAGTAGTATTTCTATTGTTACATTAATTGTGCTAAAATACACATAACAAAAATTTACCCTCTTAAGTGTACAGTTCATTAGTGTTAAGTATATTCTCATTGCTGTGCAACTGATATTCAGTACTTCTTTGTCGGGCAAAACTGAAACTCTTTAACCA
Organism: Homo sapiens; assembly: GCF_000001405.40. Taxonomy (NCBI): domain Eukaryota; kingdom Metazoa; phylum Chordata; class Mammalia; order Primates; family Hominidae; genus Homo; species Homo sapiens. Next base: position 137,509,069 of record NC_000006.12, on the reverse strand, counting down.
TTTAACAACTCCCCATTTCTCCCTTCTCTGAGCTCTCAGCAGCCACCAGTCTACTTTCTATGAGTTTGACAAGTCTAGATACCTGACTGATTGATTGACTTAGACAGGCTGTCACTTTGTCACTCAGGCTGGAGTGCAGTGGCAGGAACATGGCTCACTGCAGCCTCAACCTCCTGACTCAAGTGATCTTCCCACCTCAACCCCCTAAATAGCTGGGATAATGGGCGTACACCTTCACACCTGGCTAACTTTTTTGCTTTTTTTGTAGAGATGGTCTCAAACTCCTGAGCTCAAGGGATCCACCCACCTTGGCCTCCCAAACTACTGTGATTATAGGCATGAGCCACTGTGCCCGGCCTCTCTAGATATCTTATATAAGCAGAGTCATATAGTATCTGTCCTTTTGTGACTGGCTTATTTCACTTCTTTCGTGTCTTTCCCTGAATGGCTGATATGGATAGAAAAATGTTTATATTTTCATTTGGACAGGCATCTCAAACTTACCCTATGCAAAATATCTCCTCGCTCAGTTTTTCCCATCTCAATTGCCAAAAGATAAGTGGCAAAAATAAAAAACAATAAAAACCACGACTCCAATACAGATATAAAATAAAATCAAGTCAAATATTTTATTTAACTCATTAATTTATGAGAGAAACCAGTAATATGTTACAACCAATTCAAAGAAGCACTCAAAGAGTAGAAACACATATAGAGAACGAAACATTCTGAAACAAATTTACAAATAACATGCAAAATGGTCTACCAATAGGCAGTCATCAATTAAATTCTACTAAACACACTCCATATGCTCTTCTATGGACAAGAATAATTTTCTACAATTTACAGAGCTACAAAACACCTTCAAGACAACGAAAGGCAAGATAACCTGAATGAGTGAGTTAGATAGGACACTCATTCTTCTTTTAATCTCTTCTTTTCCCACTTCAGAGTCCTCCACTGTTTTTCTTGACACAGTTGATTGCATCTATATCCTTCTAGATATCAATTCAAAAACTTTGAGGTCATCTTTAACCTCTTTTTCTCATACTCATGTCCAATCTCAGCAAATCCTGTTGGCTCGTCCTTCAAATTACATTCAGAATCTGACCACCTCTCACCACCTCCACCAAACAAGTGGTACAAGGCACCATCACTTATTTCCTGACCTGTTGCTTGCAATGGCTTCCTAATTGATCTCCCTGACTTTAACCTTGCCCCTTTCTGTCTCTTCTCAATAAAACAGAATGATTTTTCTAAAGTATAAGTAGGCTGAAGCCACTCCTCTGCTCAAAACCCTCTCAGGGGTGCCATACTTACTCAGAGTGGAAGCCAACGCGCTCACTAAAGAGCAGAACTTAAAATTTCCTGCAAAGCGCTGTACATTCTGCACCTTCGATTGCTGTCCCCAACGCAAGAGCAGTTTCTCTCTGATATTTTTTACTCTTTCTTTCTTTTCTTTCTTTTTTTTTTTTGAGACAGAGTCTCTCTCTGTCGCCCAGGCTGGAGTGCAGTGGCGCGATCTCGGCTCACTGCAAGCTCCGCCTCCCGGGTTCAAGCCATTCTCCTGGCTCAGCCACCCAAGTAGCTGGGACTATAGGAGCCCACCACCACGCCCGGCTAATTTTTTTTGTATTTTTTAGTAGAGACAAGGTTTCACCATGTTAGCCAGGATGGTCTCGATCTCCTGACCTCGCGATCCACCCGCCTCGTCCTCCCAAAGTGCTGGGATTACAGGCGTGAGCCACCGCGCCCAGGCTACTCTTTCTTTCACCCTACTTCAGCCACATTGGCCTCACTATTTCTCTAACATGCAGGATTGCACCTACTTCAGAGCCTCTTTGTATCCGCTGACCTCTCTGCCGGAAACATTTTTTCTCTGGGTCTCTAAATTACTTGGTCTTTTGCCTCCTGCAGGTTTTAATGAAAAATCGACTTCCTGGACATCTTCCTCTCCATTATTTACTGTTGTCACTACCAGCATCCCATTTCTCCTTCCTCAGTACCCTCTACTTCCTTCCTTCCTTCCTTCCTTATTTTTTCTGTAACAATTGTCATCATCTGATACAACGTGCATTTTGCTCATTTATGTGTTTCCCTTATAATTCAAGGCAATCAAGGGAAGGAATGAGGTTATTTTGCTCATTTAAAAACTCTCTGTGCCTATAATAATACCTGGCATGATGCAGTTGCTTAATAAATATTTTTAGTGAATGAGTTATTTCTAGCCCTTATGAAATAACCTGTGAACATTGTATCAGGATGATACTGGTAGTCCAGTAAGAAACTGGATCCAAAACCCAGATATTAGGTGCAAGATGAGACAACGCACATCACGTCAATATCCTGAAGTTTCAAGGTGCTGTGGTCAAAGGTATGAGGCTAAGTAAACCTCTGCTTGGGGCTTAAAGACAAGACAAGGGCCGTTCCCTGTACAGGCTGAATATTATCACCACCAATCTTAGCATGTCACCTGTGAAGAACAGAGGAGACAAAAGAAGCCATGTTCACCAAACATTCCTCAGCCTGTCTCTTTCTGCTAAGGTTTGTTGACAATATGTGACAAGCTAATCATAGTAGGGTATATGTGCTACTCACATTTTATTCAGAGTGCTTATTGGTGCCAAGCCTTAAACCTAGTCATCTGCAGACTACTTCACACTTGGGACTAGAATGACCTTGCCAAACTTCTTGGAAGTATAACCATTTCCACATGTTATATCTCATAGTAGCATAACAGTGTGGCCTTTCCACTGGTCTTAATAATGGTTATCAATTTTGTAAATTTTTTTTAAATCCAACTAAGCAGAGAACACAGTTTACTTTCACCTGAAAAAGGCAGAAGTCCACATTTGTGGAAAAGGCAGAAGTTCACATTTGCCTAGATTATTTAGCTCTCTGACATGATTTAGTCCATCTAGCATGTCTCATTATTATATTTAGTGACCCACTTGAAAATGTTTGATGTGTATCTACATAAGGTAAGATTGCTTAAAAAAAAAGCAAAAGAAAACAAAAAATAAAATAGGATAAGATTGTTATATAGGCAAGGTTGCTCTAATGAAGAAAGCCAAAAATAAAATGACTTACAGAACAAGGGAATTTCATTCTTGTCCATGTGATAGTTTCAACAGTAAAAGTCCAAGTCTTGAAGGCAGTTCTGCTCTACACTATAAGTGGGGAGCCTAGAATCTAAGTTATTGTTTTCCGAAGACCTAACGTGTCCTCATGATCTGCATGGTTCAAGTGTGATCAGATAGTAGACAGAAGGAAGAAAATGTGAAAGAGGCATGCCCTGTATCTTAACTCCTAGACTGCTTAGAACTTCCACTCACATCTATCACCAATAACTCACAGGGCTGCTTCTAAGAGTAAGAACATCTGGAAGCCAGGAAGGGGTGAAAAGGTTTTGGTAGCCTGCTATCGGTCTCTGTCACACCATCCTCATTGCTAGTTTCCAGTACTAGTTTCCATTACTAGTTAACAGTCCTAGTTACCAAGGAAGAAATGCTTCCACAGGAAGACACACATTTACTTCTAATAAACTGGAAGTTGAGACTACCATCTGGCCATTTTGGGTTTTTCACACCACTCAACCAAAAGGAGAAAAAAAGTATATTGTTATGTTGGCTGAAGTTATTTTTATACTAAATATCAAGAAAAAATAGTTTTGCTACAGAAAAGTGGGTAAAGGAGAGTATATCTGCAATACAGGAGCTCATCTGGGGACATGCTACTACTTTCTAATCACTAGTAAAAGTTCCTGGATGATCATAGCAACATTTTACATGCAGGACTACCACGGAATGTTAGCTTGACTTACTTCACCGAGAAGCCTGGTCAGTTGAGATGTTAGCAAAAGACAAAGGGAATAGGAAACAGATAGTAGAGCAAAGAAATTTAAAACTATAACTATACATTCATTAACAGTTGCCCATACTTTTTCATACTGTGTTAAATATATATGATATATATGAATATATATTAACCCATTTCCTTTTTTCTCTTCTGTTGTTCATCCACTATTTCGCATAAGTTGTCTTCATGTGTGTGTGTGTGTATTTTTAAAATTTCTTTTAGAGATGAAATCTGGCTTTGTGACTCAGGCTGGAGTACACTGCTGTGATCACACATAGCTCACTGCGGCCTCAAACTCCTGGACTCAAGGGATCCTGCCACCTTAGCTTCTCAACTAGCTGGGACTACAGGTGTGCACTGCCATTCCTGGTTGTATCTAAATGAATAACTTAATCTATAGAATGCCTTATATGAAGTAGAATTGACTAAATTAGAAGAAGAATAAAAATTACTCAGTGATAGACTTAGTGAGTGGTAGAATATTAAGTTTCCCAGTAAGTATATTTTTGTTACTGTTGTTCATTTATTTTTATGAGTGGTAATTGAGTTATGTCAGATGCAAGTGTGTTTTTATTGTAATAGTTGCTATTTGGAAGTTCAGCTATGGATAGGAGGTGTACACAGATATCAGATAACCAAAGGAGTAAACTGTGGTGGGCATGATGGATTAGCTTTTTCAACTTCTATCCTCTATCTAATTAGAGAGAACAAAGAGTTCTCTTCATTTCATTGATTATTTTACAAGTGAACACATATTAGACCTCCCCCCGCCTTTTTTTTTCTTTTTGAGACAGAGTCTCACTCTGTTGCCCAGACTGGAGTGCAGTGGTGCAATCTCGGCTCACCGCAACCTCCGTCTCCCAGGTTCAAGCAATTGTCCTGCCTCAGCCTCTTGAATAGCTGAGATTACAGAAGGGTGCCACCATGCTGGGCTAATTTTTGTATTTTTAATAGAGATGGGGTTTTACAATATTGGTCAGACTGGTCTCGAACTCCTGACCTCGTGATCCACCCGCCTTGTCCTCCCAAAGTGCTGGGATTACAGGCGTGAGCTACTGTACTCGGCCCTAGAAAGTACTTTTATCATTGGTCCATTCATGTTTGTGTCTATTTTGAATAATATAATGAACACCTGTGAACGCCCATCCCAATCCAGAAACTGAAGCCTTGATTATAACTTTTATAACTCTGTGTGGTTCTCTCCCATCCTATACCCCTCCTCCTTCACTTGAAGTAGCTCCTATCCTGAATCTATGCTGATTCTTCTCTTCCTTGCTTGCTTTTTCTTTTTTAAATGTAGCTTTTCCACTTCTCTGTGTAATCTTAATAAGTATATTAAGTATATGCTTAATATGCATTATACAGTTTAGCTCTGTGTCCCCACCCAAATCTCACCTTGAATTGGAATTCCCTCATAATCCCCATGTGTCAAGGGCGGGACCAGGTGGAGGTACGTGAGTCATGGAGCCGGTTTCTCCCATGCTGTTCTTGTGATAATGAGTGAATCTCACAAGATCTGATGGTTTTATATGCGTCTGGCGTTTCTCCCGCTTGCGCTCATTCTCTCTCCTGCCGCCCGGTGAAGAGGTAACTTCCACCGTGGTTGCAAGGTTCCTGAGGCCTCCCCAGCAGAGCTGTGAATCAATTAAACCTCTTTTCTTTATAAATTATCCAGCCTCAGGTATATCTTCACAGCAGCATGAGAATGGACTAATACAGTAATATATTAATAAGTATATTGCTTTGTTTTAGTTGCTTTTAACCTTACAAAATTTGTTATCATTCTCCATGTAACCTTTTGGGACTCTCATTATTTCTCTTAATTTTTTCTTAATAGGATTTATTCATATTTTTGCATGGAGCTATGGTTCATTCACTTAATCTGCTGAATAATTCTGTGCATGTGCTTTAATTTACTTATGTATTTCCCTGTCAACAACTATTTATTATTGTGAATAGTGATACTATGAACATTCTATTGCAGTATATGTCTTTAGGTATGTAGATTCAAGAGTTTGAGGTGGAGGCGTACAAGCTAGGAGTAGAATTTTGGGGTCATATAGTACATGAATGTTAAATTTTACAAGACAATATCAAGCTGTTTTCCAAACTGGCTATGACAGTTTATATTCCTACTAGAAAGGCCTATGGAATACTGTTGTGCTACAAAGATAATTTCCAAGTTTAAAAATAACTATTCACTATTCACAGTCTTTCAGTGTGTTTTGATAAAGTATCATTATTTTATGTAGTCACACTCGTCAATCTTTTTCTCTTATAGATAGTTCTGGTTTTGCCTAATTGAATAAATCCATCTCTATTTCAAGATTATAAATAAATTTATTTTTTATTAAATGTTTTAAAATTTTGCTCTTGAAATTTATGTCTGATCCATCTAGGTGAATAGCTTACAAACACCTTGCAAAACTCTTTTATTTAATCCTCACAATGGTATATGTCACAAGTATCATTACTTTCATTGTGCAGATGACAAAGCGAAGATTCAGAAATGGCAAGAAACTTGTGAAAGTGTGCATACCTGGTAACTAGTAAATCCTATCTGGAAATTCTGATGGGTTGTGAAGTCTTTCTTTCTCTAATATCTGCCTCTGCCCTTCATACTATAGGGAGGGTGCTCCTCCAGTGCAGAAGTGACATCTCTATGTTTACAACATAGGAGTTATCAAAAAAATAGTTTATATCTCTCCAAGAGCTCATCTTTTCTATGATCCCAGGGTATTTGTAAGCTTTAGCCAGCAGACAACTTATTAAAGAAACATATGCAATATTTTTGTGCTGATGTTAATTTTGTTCCCATGGTTGTTGGTGTCTTTCCCAAACAGGGACATGTGAGACACCACAACAGAGAGGAACTATGCCCTTGTTACTATAGACCTATCTTTAAAATGTTTACAACTCCAAGCTGCGTAGGCCTATGCTTACTAGTTTTTAGTTCCTACAGCTACTTAAACTTTTGAGTTGAGTTTGTTATATGCTCTTGGCCCATATCTTTCCTCCCATACATACCTTTGGCAACACTTTTCTATTGGGTGTCTGTTCTTGGCATTACCTTCCCAAAGGCATTACTTCTCATTTAATGCAATTACTTCAATTAATATGTCTAATGGGAGCAAAAGAGCTATTATCCCCTGCTTTACTTTCATGAGAGGTAAAACTTTGACGCAGATGAAGAGATAGAACAATTGTAGCGAGTATACTTGAAATTATACACATAACAGCATCTGATTTCCTCTCAGGCAAATAAATCACATATAAAAGCTTTCCCCAGAGAAAACAAATTTTTCTCTGGAAATAATTAATAATAGGCTTAGAGATCTATGTCAATCAAATGAGAGTTGTCTTTTTCTGAATACAGATTTCTAGTATTGCATTCTTATTTAAGTAGATGCATTTTTGCATGATGAACAACTATGAGGCCACTTTAATTGTCCCTCAATATAGAGTTAAAGCTTTCTTTTTTCTTTTTAGCAACAGAGGAAATTAAGAACTTATTTGAGAACACTGTTCCACAACATTAGGCTATCCACAGTATTCACTTTAAAAATTCTATTTCTATTCTATTGTATTTCTTCTATTTTATTTCTTTTATTCTGATTCTATTTCTAGCAGAGTTTCAGTCTGATGGTATTCTCAGTTTTTCACTTTGCCTCTGCAGCACAGTTTCTGAGCTGTCCTTATACTCAGGAGTACCATCCCTGAAGGATTACTCAGTGTTTTCATTCTTCTCACAGCTTTATCTCAGGCTATTTGACTGGTTCAACATATTGGAGGGTGTATGAATGGTGAATGACAGTGCCACAGAATCCATAGGGTATTTAAACATGATTGACAAACTTGCTATACATTTGCCTTTGGAAAACGGCCACAAATGGGTTCTTTATTAAAATGTTAGAATCAACATTACAATTTCCATGCATCTATAAAGTTAACATATATTTTGCAAGTGCTTTTGCACAAACAACTCCATAAAATGCACTTAAGGGTAGGATTAAATTTATATATTACAAGCTAAGGATACGTGCATAGTGTTTTCTATTCCTCCTTCTTTCTTTTCACCCTCATTATAAAGTTTTATTTTTCTAAAAGTCTACTCAAATGTATCACACTTGCCATAATAAAATGAAGAAAAAAACCAAAGTTCTTTTAAGGTTATCTAACTGAAATATTCACTTCCGTGGACAAATGCTCCAGTATTCTGCTATTTCTTTACTACCAAGCATTATAGGATGGAACGATCACAATCACTAGAAAAAAAAGACCTGGAAAATTATCAACTTTCTTTCATGAATACCTTAAATGATATCATATTATGTAAAAATATTAATTTCCATTATTATTTTGTTCTAAAAATTGACGTAGCTCAAATTTATAAGAAGCTTTTACTAACAGCTCTTGATAGTACTGTTGAGAATATATTTCAATTGTTAAACAGGAGATTCAGCCTGGTCTGCAAGTAAAATATAAAATGATAAATATCTAGAAATGTTAAGTGAAAATTTGTTTCCAGCCTGCTTCCTCTCTCCCTATCTTCCTCCTCCCCTCTGCCCTGCAAAATAAAAGAAAAACAGGACCTAACACTTAAATTACTTGGGCAATTGTTTTAATTTTAGTATATATTATAATATGATGTAAAAATGAAAATGAAAATTTAGTCAATATTGTAAACAGTGATAATTGGGTTTTATATCGTTTACATTCAGGCTGTTGGTGTTATGCAAACCAAAACCATATCTATAGATAGAAAAATACAATGCACTAATGAGAAAGTACAATTTATTACATTTTCATTTGTTTTCAGAAATGATGAAGCAAAATCCACCTGGTCCATACCACAAATGGTATATAAAATGAATCAACCATTGAAAGGCTGATTTTAGAAAATTGCCATTTTTATTTTTCAAGATTCAGTAGCAGAATCTTATTTACAATTTTCTCAAAATAAGATTTGTAAATCTATATTTGTTAGGAGTCAAGCCAATGTGAGAAGATTTCAAATCCAACGTTACTTATAAACAGATATTTAATATGTTTTCCATTGTCTTCATTAGACAGCATCTGAAAATAATTTATTTATTTTTATTTAGAACCCAAAGACTTCAAGGAAATATTTTAATGTATTTGACTCTATGCTAATATACATATAAACTTCAGAACTTACATGTATAGGTACCTATAATAAAAAAGCAGTGTAATAAATTGTTGTCATAGGTGTAAACATTCATTTTATCTGCTGTTCCTTTATAGTTAGATGCTATACCTATATTCTAATCTCTTTGTGGTATCTATTTACTTATATACTTTGTGTGTGCATAAATCTGAATATTACTGAAGTCAAAATGAGGTATACATATGCTACATAAGATAACTCTAAAATAAAACTAAATTCCTTAAGCACTTCAGCAAAGAATACAGCAATATGTGTTTAACTATCTAATAGAATATAGCCAGGAGATGATCAAATAACCTCCAAAAGCAAAAAGTAGAATTAGTATTCTGTGTTTTTATATTGAGATATCAAATTGTATACGGTGGCTGTAACTATCAATTCATAAAAGAAATAAGTTAATAACAATAACATACTGTTAAAAAATCATCTGCTTAGTGGTTCTTAAAGTATTGGTATTAATGGAGCCACAAATCCAGAATGTCAGGGCACATGCCAAGAATGTGCATATAAGTATGCAAAGTTTAATATAACTCATCAGTTTATGTAATTGATCACCAGTGATATTTAAATCAACCCAAACATTTCAATCTTGAGAAAAAAATTATTTTCCATTTATTGGCTTTCTACAGGAGGAAAACTCGGTTGAGGTTTTGGCAATTGAGCAGATGTTACTAGAAAGGAAAAAAAAAAAGAGTACTGAAGGATGCTCACTAATTGAGCTAAATCCTATAAATGAAGCCCAGAACTTCATATTTCCTTTGACTTTCGTGAGTCTTTAAATAATTATAATGAATTTGTAAGTTCTAGCCAGCCTTGGTGCTTATGCATCATTAAAATCAAACTTCTAGTTCTGCCAGTGTATTAACTTGTCTATATATTCACATAATTAGCACCTCATCATTTTGTGCTATTCTGGGACTGCCTGGCATCTTCCAGCCTCACATCCAATATTGTGAAAAGCAGTTACTACCAGCTCATAAAATTCTGCTGCCCTTCCACTTCTGCTATTTTCCCCGTATGAAAACTGGATTTTAATAAGATGAGGAGGAAGACTGGACAGATCAGTAAGTTTTCAAGATGTTATTTAAAATATGGGGAAACCCAGAAAATGGAATCGCTTTAGTCAGTCTGTCCAGATCCATCTTCTCTGGCCCTTGTATCACCTATTTAATTGCTGGAATTCTGATTTTGGCATCTCCCAATCTAGGGGCTCAGGGTTCCGTGCCCTAAGCCAAACACTATCACTCGGGATGCGCTGCTGCAGGAAGAGATTATTCCTGCTTGACTGCGATTTATGTTGATATTTAAATTTTTTTGGTCTTATTATTTATTTATTTATTTATTTATTTATTTATTTATTTATTTTCTTTTTTGGTACTGGCTTCTTTGATCAACCTAACGGCCCTGGTGACCGGACCCCCACTGCTATTGTTGTGAAGTTATCGTTCTACTCTGCTAAAGAATGCACTTTTTGAGAAGTTTCTCCGCGTGGTCAACTAATTTTTAGGCTATTCCTTGTTTGCACATGAGGAAACATAGTTAGAAATGTTTAGGTTTCCTTTTTTTGTTCTGTTTTGTCTTGGAGGGTGGTTGGGTTGAAAGGTGAAGCCCACAGGGCAGCCTCCCGCCTTTCGGTCTCGGCCAAAGTTTCTGCTGGTCAAGTTTGCTGCTTGATGAGCGAGAGGAGCCCCTGGACGTTGCTGATTGACCTGCCTCTCACAGTAGCTCTTCGGCAGGTCAGCTAGCGACATTTGCTACTGGACTCTTGCGGGGGTGGGGGTGGGGGTTCGCTCCTGAGCCAAAATCGCCGCGGCCTCAGGCAGAGCCGGCAGCTGCTGGAGAGGAACTCGGTGGCTAAGGCTGCGGAGCAGTGGGCGTCGGGCACCGAGCGGCGCGCACTGGGTGTCAGGTAAGAGACGATCCCTGGTGATCTGGGAGGCACAGGGGGGTGTTGAGCACAGCACAGCTTCCCGAGTGCGCGGTCCCCGCGGAGCGCCCTGGGCGCGCGGGTACAGCAGGACGGCTCTTCTGCCCCGGTCCACGCGCCGACCCGCTGTTTTCATATGTTGTAGGAAGGCTGAGAAACTCCAGGCTCTTCTCAGAGCCAAGACAGGCTTGGAGGGAAGTAGCCTGCCTGCCTTGGGACGCACCTGTTGCCGGAGAACGATCCCCGCCTCCGCGGCGCAGCCCGCCCCAGCCGCGAGGGCGCGGGGTGTGGCCCGAGAGAGCGCAGCCCGAGCCACCGCAGCAGGGTCGCTCGCTCCGGCTCCTCGCCGGTCTGAGCCCTCCGAAAGGGGTCTCGGCCAGGGCCAAGGTCATGGTGCGTCTCCGGCTGAGCCTCTGTAGGCTGCTGCAGCCTTGGCCAGGCGGCGACTCCTTTACTCTCTCCTTCCGTACAAGTCTGGGGTGGGCGTTGGTAGTCAGCCCTCAGAAAGAAATCCGTGTGCCTGCCCTCCTGAGCTCCGGGCCTGCTCCTTCTCGGGTTCAGGGCTCAATCCGAGGAACTGAGCTGCGGTGGCGGGGGTCGAAAAGAGACTCCACGAAGCAAGACGTGCGGGGCGACTCAGCCTTTTGGGCCCCGGCGAGTATTAACCCATTTTACGGTAAGCAAAGTTGTGGCACCTTTACTCACTCCCCTCGTCTAGTTGTCAAGCCCCGCAACGGATGGGAAGTGGGGGAACTAGCTTCTAAAAGTACTTACTGGAAGGAGGCCCTGAACCTTGGACCACCCACACTCACGCATTACGGACCTTCGAAAAAGCAGAGGGTGACCGAGGAGCGGAGGGCGCGCCACGTCCCGGCCTCGGAGCCAGGGAGTCCCGGCCTGGTCCCCGCAGATCTCCCATTTCAGGCACCTCTGTTACTGGAGCTGAAAACCCTTAGGGAAGAAGGAAGGGAATGTCCTGGTCTGTTCGGGCAAAGGCCCAGTCGCCCCTTCCCGGCCCATCGCAGCCCCCTCGGAACCGGCTGCGGCAGGCGTCAGCCCCCTCTCGGCTGAAAGGCTGTGCTGAAGGAGAGTGGCTTCTGGTTTGGACTCCCAGAACCCTGGCCCCGGACTTCCAGCCCCGCAAGCTTGTATTTCGAGGGCTGCTCTACCCTCCTTCCCTCCCCTCCCCCCGCCCACGGCTTGCCACCTTCGTTACTAATTTGGGGGAGATTTTAAAACTTTATTTTACATTGTCCACTGGGAAAATCAAGACTTTTTTTAAAGGGTAAAATATCTTGTAGCAACATGATTTTTCCACTCCTTCATTTGCAACCCTTCTGCTCTGACCAGACAATTCTACTTCCCCAAATCAAAACTCAGGTGCAGCGTTTTCAGTCTGGGTGTGGGAAGGACAGACGCCGCCGACGACCTAGGGTCAGGGAGGTGGCTCAGGAGGACGGCGGGGGCCAGACCTGTGCACCGTCCGCAGGGCGGGGAAGCTGCTCTTCGTCCAGTCCAGTGCTCGCTCCCAATGCCCTCCCCCGTCCGCCTCTCTCTCCTCACCCCATTTGATCAGCAGGGGAGTCGCAGAGGGTTGTCGTTAGGACTAGCCACTAGCTTCCTCCCATCACCTGGGACTGCACAAGTTCTGGAGCACTTCCCCCCTCCCCTCCTTTTTTAAATAACCAGGAAGACTTAGTGTATGTCACTATCTTATTGGCGAGTCTGGTGAATTAAGAAACATTCTTTATGCTTGGTATTAGGAATGCTTTTGGACATTAGTCTTTCCACATCCAATCTAACCTCTTGAATTAAGAAACTTTCCTTCCACCGAGATGAAGGTGGTAGAAGAGGCTCCTGTCCAATCTGCAAGAGCACTAACTTCCTGGCCTTGACGAAGGGCTGTTGGCCATTTTTCCCCCATTACAGAAAAACAAAATTCGGTGTAGCAAAAGCATCCATGCCAATGTTGCGTTTGCCCATCCTTCTGGTATTGGCCAGAGCTGCCTTCGCAGCGTGACTGTCAGTGGGGCACAGCCTCAGAGCGTGCAAACTCCGGACCTGGGCGCGCATCCCTCTCCCACTGACCGCTCGGTTTGAGTCAAGGGAAAGGGGGGCATCCTGTTCTTCGAAGTGACTCAGCGGCGCAAGAGGCCCCAAGTGCCCGAGGTTCCGCGATTGATTCGATTTCACACTTCCACCGAGACTCTCAGTCACTAGCTAGCGTTTGTTTCCCGTTCCACCAAGCCGGGAGAGGGGCGGTGTCCGGGTTCTTCTAGAGACCACTCCTGGGGCTCTCTCCCTTCCCGGGATTTCTGCCTTCCCGCCCCTCGTGCTGCTGAGCTAAAGTCTTGATCACAAAAACACAGCAAGGGGGAAGAAAGATCTACGCCCACCTCCGCACTCGCACCGAAGGCTCCAAACTCCGACCTCCTCTTTATTCCCAGAAACGACTCTGCGCTGAACCGCAGTGCCCGGGCACGCACAAGGGGCTTTCTAGGTCCTTTCGTTGTTTCCCTTCCCCCGTGCTTCTTTGCCCACGCACCCCACCCCCCCGCCCCACCACCCCGACATCAGATAGTTTATTATGAGCTTCTGATTTCCCTGTCCGACGCCGTACGGCGGCCCCAGCCTGGTGGACCCACCCGCGCAGGCCGGGGTGCCGCTGAGTTCCCGGAGCTCGGGGCACGTCAGCACAGCGGCCAGAGGAGGCCCGGCGGAGCTTCGGGCGCGGACCGTCCCACCGTTTTGCGCCAGCGCCAAGGTCCAGGAAGCCTGGAGTGGGAACAATCTCTCTGGAGCTCTCAGGAACCTAACAATCTCTCTCTCTGCCTCCTTGGCTCCTTTTCCTTCCCATCCTCCCAAGTTGCTTTTCTTGTGACATTAACATTTTTTTTTCGCAGTTTTTGGTCTAGGAAGTTAAAGAATTGTGCAAAACTGAAATTCTTTTAGAAATCCATGTTTTAAAACGAAAGAGAGGACACAGAAAATAAGAGACCTCTCCGCCACAATACTGCCAGGAGCAAAGCCATCACCGAACATGGACATCCCGTTGAAACCACACCAGAAGGGCCCAATAAACAAAATTGACAGAATGGAAGTGTTTAGGAAAAGAGATCTAATGAAAAAAAAATATTGAGACAGAGAAAGTCGGCATGCAGTCTTCCCACCACCCCCAGCCCCCGCTGGCAGCACCTTCCCTCCGACCGCACCTCTGTCCCTCAAACCTTTCCACTGAGACCTATTTTTGCCCATATTTCTCTAAACTTGGGAGCAGCCAGGAAAGAAAGGAGAGCGAATGTTTCAATTCCTCTCTCCAAACTCAGAGGAACCTCCACCAACCGCCTGGCCACCTTCTCTTGCCTTCCTTCCGTTCCTGATGTGTGATTTGGTTAGAGAAATTGGGAAGGGGGGTGGGGTGGAAGAAAGTTAAAAAAAAAATCAGGAAGGCGTAAGCTGGAGCGGTGAGTGTGTCAATCAGAGGGTTTTGTGCCTGGGGGCTCCTAGCGGTTCGGAGCAGAGGTGTCCCAGGGCGGCCCCACAATGAATATGAATAGGAATCCTTGCTAAATGGGACAGCAAAGCGCACCGCCCTGAATGATGGCACGTCATCCTAACCAGCCCAGGATAGATAGGAGGGCTCCTTTTGTCTCTTTTCTCCGCCGCAGCTCTATAAAAGCCCCTCTTTTTCAGCGTGAGGTTAGTTCAAGCACACACCAACTAGCTGTCCAGGAAGCAGCCTAACCAGAGAGAGGGGCGTGGGAGGGAGAGAGGCGGGGAAAAGCAGCGTCTCCGCTTTTCTTCTCACGTCTTGCCGCGGAGAAGTGGGTTCCTGGGCAGTGCAGATTTTTTTTTTTTAATTCAAGATTTTCTTTAATTTCCCGCCTAAAGCCTCCCCACGGTAGGGCCGCATCCCCTGTAATAAAATGAATTCTGATTCGAGCTCTGTCTCCAGCAGAGCTTCATCTCCGGACATGGATGAGATGTACCTGAGGGACCACCACCACCGCCACCACCACCACCAGGAGAGCCGTCTCAACTCGGTCTCGTCCACGCAGGGCGATATGATGCAGAAGATGCCCGGGGAAAGCCTCTCGCGGGCTGGCGCCAAGGCCGCGGGAGAGAGCAGCAAGTACAAAATCAAGAAGCAGCTGTCGGAGCAGGACCTACAGCAGTTGAGGCTGAAGATCAACGGACGCGAACGCAAGCGGATGCACGACCTGAACCTAGCCATGGACGGGCTGCGCGAAGTCATGCCCTACGCGCATGGGCCGTCGGTGCGCAAGCTCTCCAAGATCGCCACACTCCTGCTCGCCAGAAACTACATCCTCATGCTCACCAGCTCCCTGGAGGAGATGAAGAGGCTGGTTGGCGAGATCTATGGGGGCCACCACTCGGCCTTTCACTGCGGGACCGTGGGCCACTCGGCCGGCCACCCCGCGCACGCGGCCAACTCCGTGCACCCGGTGCACCCCATCTTGGGCGGCGCGCTCTCATCTGGCAACGCCTCGTCACCGCTGTCCGCCGCCTCACTTCCCGCCATCGGCACCATCCGGCCTCCCCACTCGCTACTCAAGGCGCCCTCCACGCCGCCCGCGCTGCAGCTGGGCAGCGGCTTCCAGCACTGGGCTGGTCTGCCCTGCCCCTGCACCATCTGCCAGATGCCGCCGCCGCCGCACCTGTCCGCTCTCTCCACAGCCAACATGGCCCGGCTGTCGGCCGAGTCCAAGGACTTGCTCAAGTGAGCAGCGGGCGGGCCCGGCTGCCAAGGAGGAGGGAGAGCGGCGGGAGGGGCCGCGGTGCCGGGCCGGGAGGGAAGAGGGAGGCTGCACGCTCGGCCCACGGGAGGGCAGGCTCCGGGGCCCGCAGCCTCCCACGCTGTCTGAGAGATCTCAGACTCCACTTGACCCCCGGAGGGAAAGGACCAAAATCAAACCGCAATTTCTAGGTGGTAGCAAAGGGGGACTCGAACCAGATGTCGTGTGTTTTGCATGCATGCTTCTTTTCCCCATGCCGCGCCAGTATTTTTCACTGCCATATGCTCTTGTCAAAACTGCATTTGTTGTATAAAGATGGGATCGGTGTAGTTAAAAACTTGCGAAGGGACTTTTGAGTTGGCTTTCTCTGACTCTGTGTTCTCGCTTTGGAAAAAGACGGCCATCCCTTTTGTGCAAAACAAATGTAAATATTTTCTTGAGATGGATGCGATTATGATTGTCTCTGTCCTTGCCACAGTTTTTCTAGAGACAATGGAGAGAGAAAGAGAGAGAGAGCGCGAGAGAGATCAAGACCCAAGTTTTGAATCTCAACCGAGGTCCAGGGCATGACACCTCCTATGTGGGTTTTCCTTTCGACGCAGTGTAGGTCAAAAGAATGCATGCACGCTTCTAAATGAATCTTGTCTGAATATGTCGTGCAGGCTGTGGTGCCGTTTTCCTTGTAACAAGGATTTATTAGTGAATTATCCCAAGTACTCCATATATCTGTCTGTGGTTGTATGAAATGAAAAAAGGGGCAGAGTGCAAAGACCCACACTCACGCACACGCGCTTCTTCTCCCACCCCCACCCCCTTCAAACTTTATTCGGAACCTTCCTTTGCTGTTCTGGGGCCGCTATTGTAAAAGCCTGGGCTCCCTCTAGTAGCTTGCGCCACCCCCCCTCGCTCAGTTATTCTGCATGCGGGGTTGGCTCTCTCTATTATCAGCTTTGAAAACTTATCCTGGTTTTGGGAGGGGTGCCGTTTTTATTTTCCTGAACATTTGCTTGAAATATTTTGTTAGGGCCTCAAAGACGATACCTGTCTTTATTTTTTATATATTCTTGATAACTATGATATATTTATTAATAACCAGTGTTTCTGGATGAGATTTCAAATAAAAAAGAACCTTTAAATCGTGGCTTTGCCTTTGCCTAAAATCTTAGCAGATGGGGGTAGTGGGATAGGAAACACGTGGACCAGGTAAGGTGTATCTGGGTGAGGAATTTGGATGGGTGGGCAGATGTGAAGGTTTTCCGTGATTACGTACAAGTAAACAGGATGGGTAAATTGGTGCTGATTTTTGGAACTAAATGTCCTTCAAGCGGGCATTGCCCACATTCATAGTATTATGCTATTTGAGCTCATTTCTCTGCAGTAATCAGACCCTCATAAACTCGAGAATTGAATTTTAAAAAGTAATCTGGAAACTTAAAGTGGCAGGAAATGAGAGGTGGAGTGTCACTACGATGACTGTGTTGGCAACAAACAAGGATGAAGCAGTACGTTAACTTCTTTTCACTTTAAATTGAACTTGTGCTTTTCCCCCCATGTTAAAATCTAGTATACATTTTAAAAGTCAACAAAGAGTGGTCTTAGAAAATAGTCAAATACTCACCCTGCTTGCCTGCACCCTCGGAAGCATGGCCTACAGAGAAAGGGAAGGCTTCTCTGCTTTGTAAGGTGAGCTCCGGGTGAGTCAAACCACCACCCAAGTCTCAGAATCTTGCAGATTTATAGCGAGAATCCTCCCTTCTTTCTTCCCTTAGAAGATTGCTGGTCTGATTAGCTATATACATTGGGCATCTTCTACAAAAAAGTCAGCTAAAACGGGAGTCATTTTAATAAACTACTTTTCTCTTTTCACCTCCCGCCATAACACTTCTAAATGGTTTGTCTAAGCAGGAGTAATCCAGCAAGACAGTTTTGTCTATTTGTTTAAAGGGGACAATAAATCGAGCTGTAGTGAGGATAGCCCCAACAACACAAGCCTCCATTTCCCTCTGAAGAAAATAGAACCCTGATTGAAATGCAACACCCCAGGATTTGCTTCTGAATAAGTTGTAACATCACCTAGATGTTGGTTGAGGCCAAAGCTCCTCTCCAATGGGGGGAGGCTTGTGGTCTCTTTCTAGAATCCAGCAAGGAGAGCACGTCTAGGAAGCATTTGCGTTTGCCCTGTCTTTCCTGGGTCCCTGATGCCTACCCAGTACTGCCTCTGTCAGGCAGAGCATCTCTGTGGGTTTCTCTTCTATGCAAATCATCCCCCTCCATCCCTTTTTACCCTCCCATCGCTACCCCACTCTCAGCCAGGCGAAAGACCTAAGTTAGCATCTACAGTGGAGGGTACTTGTTTCCACTGGTTTTAGGCAGACAAATGGGGGAATAATCGTCTGTTTCCCAGGGGTGATTCATTTCTCTGGGTGAGGAAAGAGCCTATTGAAGATTTATTTGAAACCAACACAAGGCAGCCCTCCAGTCTTTCCCCAGAGTTTATTATTTAGAAAGGGGAGGGGTGGGAGAAGTTTCATCAATCAGGAAAACGACTTTCTCCTTAGCCACTTGCTTCTTTTGAGTCCTGTTTCCAAAGGCCTGGTTCTGGGGAAAGACTCAGTGCCTTACAGTTGGCCTAGTGGTGGGCCTCATGCCTTCTCTAAAACTGAGTCTTAAATTGGGTTATGCAAAGGAATAAAGCCACATTCTTTACACTAGGACAGTCGTGGATTTTGTGATTGTGCTGCTGAGACAGGAAATCCTTGATTTACAGCAGTGGTCAGTTTAAAGAGCTGTGATGTCCACTCACATAAGCTGAAAGGAAGCTTGAGCACAGGGAACTCTATTGCAAATTTTGCAACTAAAATGGGAAATAGACACCACTTCCAATATCGAGAAGATCTCTTAAGTGAGCAGAGCTCTTTTCTGGGATACAAAAATTCTTTTGGCTTCGAGACCAGAAGAGAGGATTTCTTTAAGTACAGGACAGGAACCCAGTGAGGAAGGTGATTTGAGAGCCACGTCATCTGAGGTTTCTGGATTTATTGGGAAGAAATAATCTCCATTCGCTCTCCGGGAAGGCCCTTCCCTTGATGCCTAGGCGGGTCTGCTGGGCATGTGAGTTTGCAGGCAGACTTTTACTGTCATTGCACTTCCCTTTAAATACTCGAATTATCGACGCCAGAAAAAAGATTTCATGACCGCAAAGGTGAAAATGGGTTTCGGCCGGGATTTTTTTTCGTTGTAAACTTGTCACTTTCTCGAAATTTTGCAAGTTTAGTTTTTCATTCAATCTGGAAACACCACGACGATCCTTTCATTCCAGATTAAACCCCGCCTTACGTTTAAATGGATGGCGAAATCCTCCTGGGCGGAGACACCTTGAGAAGCCCACACTAGAAACCTCTCGGCGCTTTCCCAGGCGATGACCTAATTTAGAGGGCGGAAGAAAGTGACCCTTAGAAAGGGAAAATGAGGCCGGCGTCGGCTGGGCTCACTAGATCTTTGTTTCTGGGACCGCTGAGGCCGACAGCCCGCAAACGGGCAGGGAGAAGCGGCCCGAGCTGGCCAAGCCCAGGGTTTCCTCGCTCCAGCAGCAGGGGGCCTTGTGTCCCCTCGAACTTCTTTTTTTCCCAGCTGCTAGGTCAAGCAAGGTTTTGTGCCTCCACTGACGCATTCAGCAGAAATTGCAAAAGCCTCCTCACTCTGGGAGGACGCTGGAACCCCCTCTGCCCCACCAGCACATCGCTCAGACACCAACATTTAACTTCGCGTTCCACGTCCCTTCCAGAGACTCCGGGGCCCTCTGTTCCCCTTTTCTCACCCTCCACTGGGGAGGAGGAGTGACTGCTAAGGGTGGGCTCCCAAGTCTCCGCACCCAGGCTAGATATCTTAAGGCCACCCCAGGTCCACCCCTCCCTGCACCGCTCCAGGCCGAAGCCGAGAAAGGGGAGCTGTGAAGAGAAGACAGCGGGGCCAGGTGTCCTCCCGGCCGTGCAGGATCTGGGCCTGTCCTCCCGAGTGCAGCCCCGCTGGGTCCAAGCTCTTCACGTGTAGGCAGGAATCGAGTGGAGGAGCCGCCGCTCGAGGGCTGGGAAGTGTCTTTGGACAGAACTAGGCCAAGGGAGGGGCCGTGCGGGAGGGAGGTGGCCTGCATCTTCAGCTCGCCTCTAGGAAAACTTGCGGGAGAGTGAGTGCCCTTCCCTCCCCGTCCCTGCAGAGAGTTGGGGCCTCTCCTGTACCCAGTGCCCGTTTAAGGGGCCCACAGAAATCAAACTCCGAAAGCTCGGGCCTGCAGAGTCAGTTTTCCGTCGAGCGTCTGTTTTCAGTGAAGCCTTCCCTGGGACACTGCGGGGCGGGAGAGGATGGGGTGCGTTGGACGACGAAGGAGCCCGCCAGCAGCCGCAGTCCGCGCTCGCGGTGGCCCCGGAGCCCCTGTGAGCGATCCCCGCCGAGCGGCGCGGGTGCGCGACCTCTCCCGCCCTCTTCCTGTATCCAGGGCGGAGAGCTGGGAGCCGGAAGCCCAAACTCCAGCTCCGCGACGGGCTAGGGGGTCCCCGGGTTGCGGATGGGTCAAGTGGCAAGCATGAGTCTCTACGCCCTGACCCCGGACTGTCTCGGGGTCCCCGCAGGACACAGTCAGACAGGCTGGCGCGCAGAAAACAAAAGGATGCGTGGGAGGCAGAGTCCAACGAGGCCCATCATCACCTGCGCCAACACCTGCAAAGTGCCTCGAAATACTAAGCGTTTATGGAAACTGGGAGGAAAAACAAAAACGGTAACAACAAACAAATTCAAAGTCGGGCTGAGCGCGGCAGGTGCTCTTTCCTCCCCGGTCCCAGCGCCCTCACGCGCAGCCCTGGGCTGACACTCTCAAGAATTTGTCAACTTTGCTAAGGAGAGGCCCGGTTAGGGTGGCGCAGGGGGCCCGGGGGCGGCGCCTTCCCCAGCTGCGTCTCTTCGCTGGGGACCTCACAGAGGACCCCGGGGCCTCGCTCTCCCTGGCCGACCCGGATCACAGCCCCTGGAAGAGAGCCGTTGCTTCTAACCCAAGCCCCTGGACTGCCCGTGGCTCCCGAACGAAAGTACGGACGTTTGTCCTCGCAGCCAGGCACCGGCAAAAGGAATTTAACTCGCCTCGGTTAAATTGCAGCCCCCATTGCAGGCCATCGTGCCTGGCACCCTGGGACGCCCAGGGTAGTGGGTCCCTCTGGGGATGGGTACTGGACCTGCTGGGGCCAAGACCCCAGGGAGCCAGGAGGGAGGGATGCGCAGACCTGGGAGTTCAACGACGGGCCTTGATTTTACTGTTGCGTCCTGGGGTTCGGGTAGAAGCAGAGTGGTCGGGTTTCTCGCACCGCAGGAGGACAGGGGCAAAGAGGGGGCAGCGCCTAAGGGTCTGTGAGGCAGTGTTGGATAGCTGTCCTCGTAAGTTTTGGAGTTCTGTCCGGCCCTGACTTGAGTAAGACCCCTCTTTTCCTCGTGGTCTGCAACAGACACCTCCGAAAGTGCAGGAGCCAGGGCCTGATTCTGGGGGTTGCCACAGTTTACACGCAAGCACCCCTCACCTCCACGCCTGGAAAATTGCGGAAGCCGGGTACTGAGGCCCCCCTCCCCAGCTGCGGGGCTGTGGTGCCAAGAACGCACTTTTGCCACAAGCAAGATCCTCAATTCCACTGGGGGACATGGAGGGTGGCGCGGGTGCATTTTATGGCGACTCCTTTCTCCTCCTGGTTATTCAGCCTCCCACCATCTCGCCTCCCTTCCGTCTACTCCGGGAAAGGACAAGGAAATCCACACCATCATTTGAAACCAAATGTAAACATATAGCGTTCTAGTGGACTCCTAGCAACACAAGCCTTGGCATTACTTCTTTTGGAGTTTCTCTCAATCTTCCCCCAATTCAGCAACGAACATTTTCTGAATGCTTCCGATGTGCCAGGTGCTAGGAGCGACAACAGAGGGGAAAAAAAAAAGTAAAACAGTAAGAGAAATAAGGCATTCACATGCATAAGAAATAGCTCCTGTCCTCTGTGCCCTCAGAGCCTAGAGGGAAAACATCGGTTACCTAAGTCACCTAAGTCCTAGGGTAAAAATTCTACTGGCCGCACAAAACACAAGTGCTGTAAACACGTCCTTCCAGGCGCTTTTTCAGATGCTAGAAAACTCACTGCCCATTCCCTCTACTGGAAAGGACAGGAGCAGATGCTTTTGATTAATATGGAAATAAAAAGAAGCAATGGTGGCAGTACTTGGTTTCGTGGCAGTTGTTTAGAGATTTATTGACACAGAGATAAATTTCAGTCTGGGGCATCTCTGTATTTCATGTCCCTATTAGTTATTAGCAAATGAGCAAATCGTTTTTCTTTTAACTGTTTTTTTAAAGAAAAAAAATAAAAGAAGAGGAGTTGGGGGAGATATTTTTTTAATGGGATTACTGTCATTATCCTCCTTGTCTCTGTAGTTCCCCCAGCTACAGAAATTTGCCTCTGGACTCCAGAGTACACCAGGCTGTGGTTCTGAACATAAAACAATCCTGTAATTTCCTTCAAGAACAAAAGTTTTCAAAGAAATGACCTGCACAGTATCCCCTTCAATAAAGCAGAAGTGACTTAATGGTCTGTTAATTACTCCATCCCTGCAGGGGGAGGGAAGCTTCCGAATGGATCGCTACAAACCCTCTGTTGACTGAAGCTGTGGTCTGTCCCCAAATGTACAGCTGGGGCCGGGCCATTGAAAACCCAGACAAAACAAAATCCCTGATAAATAATCCCACCTAGAACACAAAGATTCAGCACTCAATTGTTGGATCTGCGCTGGATCCTCAGAGAAGACCGGAGGGAGCTCCTTTGGGGCTTCCGGTAATCTTTAAAGCTTGAGGCCAGGGGTTCTTGGACAAAAGTTAAAAAAAGAGCTTGTTTGACTTCTCTGTCCCCTTATCCTTCTGTGTTGAATTTCTTTCTCTTTAATTTGGGGCTTTGACTATATTTTATTTATCCAATCTTCTTTTGTATTAATTAGTTTGTTCCATCACGTAATAAATTTTTGGTTTGGTTATTTCTCCAGTTGTTTCTCTATTAATAATTTAAATCTAAGAAGACAGGATTTGAGTGTCATAAGAAAGACAAAGAAGAGAATAAAAATATAGGAGGCAGGTTTGGGTTGTTAGTCTCTGTGTCTTTTCACACCTGTAAGGTGAAAACTGCATGATGTAATTAAATATATTTCTAAAATAGAACAGTTAATCAGATATACTGGAGCCCAAGCAAACTAGCAGTCATTCAGTTAACTTTGCATCAGAGATGGTTAATTGGAAAAATTGAATTTTCAAAGCATCTCTTTAAGAAAAAAATATAAACATGTCCTACACTAATTAAAAAGATAATAGTTTCAATTTGGTATCAGTTTGGTCATTGTGGGTCCATTTAAATAAAACATTGCAGAAAGGTGAAATCTAGCATCTATAGAGATGAGTATTATGAAGGTGATCAAGATGTGGATATTAACTGTTTTAGAAATTAGTTGTTTGCTTGAACTAGGCAATGGCAGGAAGAGTCTATGGAGCCACACAGTTTGCCAAGTCCACTATTACTTCTTAAGGAAGTGATGCTGAAGGGTCAGGCACTGGTTAAAGCCATCCTTTGCCTTTCGTGCCACAGTTGACTGGACCAGATAGTGGTATACGAGCTAGTCAATATAAGGTAAACACATGAGGGAGGCCGGCTCATAGGCAATTGGCATTAAATGGTGCTTCATGTAGAACGGTGGCACTTTTCTCACTGGGAAAATATAAAAATCTAGTGAATCAAAAGGGACTCACCATTTAAACTAAGTTTGACCATAGTCAATGCTGGACTCTTGTTCTGGTTTTCTGTATAGCTAACTGTTCATTCCAGTCATGCGAAAAATGGGATCCAGACAGATGGACAGACATTGTGACCTGTGTAACGCAAAGAGTTGCCCCTTTTGATACTAAAGGCAAATCTATGCAATGATGTTCTCAAAATCTGACTTCCCTACAGTGCTGTAGAGACACAAACATGAAAAATTAGAAGCCATTCCCTCTTGCTAAATAGTCCATGGGGAAATAGAAGAAAGGGAAGCAATTTGTTTCCCATTTTTACTAAATTATATTATTAATAAGTCAGAGTGAATTAAGTACAGTTTTAGAAATTCTACTGTCTGACCAGGTAGAGGTGGGTTAGTTTCTTCCTCTCTCCTTTGCAGAGACTAATGTGCAACGTCTCTTCCCAAAGAGCATTTTGATATAGACATTTTTTTTTTTCATTTTTTACCCTTAGGTACTTGGTTCTCCAGCATTTTCTTCATCCTGTGGAGTGTTTGCCAGGCTCTTAATTGAAACATGTGATCTCTTCAGGGCCAGAGAGTATATTAACTTGACTAGTAACTTTTCTTTTTTTTTTTTTTTCAATTTTTATTTTAGTTTCGGGTGGTACGTGTGCACCTTTGTCGCATGGGTGAATTGCGTGTTGCTGAGGTTTGGTGTACGAATGATCTTGTCACCCAGGTAGCGAGCATAGTACTCAAAAGGTAGCTTTTCAGCCCTCGCCCCACTCCCACCCTCCCCTCACTGGTAGTCCCCAGTGTTTGATGTTCCCATCTTTATTTGACTAGTAACTTTTCATCATTATTGCTATCAGCAGGTTTTTAAGTAGAAAATACTAAGAAACATTTAGTGTATTTTTCACAGTAAATACTAGATCTCAACACAAGAAATTACATTAAAAATGGAGAGACCTAATATTTTTTAGAAATAATTTTATTTAAACCTCAGCCAGGTTTCATACTAATTTGGCCCTGAAGTGGCTGATGCTGACAGTGCTGGAATACCTGGAGGAAGGGGTAGAAGAGATCAGCAGGACAGTGCTAAATTTTCTAAATTTTGGTTCCTATGAACTCTCACTGCAGAGAACCTAGACTTCATCTGAGGGAACATTGAGAGGTGAGATGTTTTTCTTATAATTATTTACTTGACCATTATAGATTCTTTTCTTTTTCTAGAATTAACTTCCTTTGAAATTTTATATAAAGGTTGCTCATCTAAAATACATACCATTATGGTATGCAAGGATGTTCTACTTTGTTGACTCTAGAATATTCAATGAAACATTCCATGTTTCCCTATACTTTAGGCTTGAAAGAAAGAGGTCAGAAGTAAGCAATGGCAAGGCAGAATCTGCAGGGCAGGGATGAAAAGGATTAAGTGGGGCAGGTAAGGCAAGGAACGTGGTGGCCACTTTTTAAAAATGGAAAACATTTCTGGTGGTAACTTGGCATCAAGAATTACTCTTATTGGTTTATTCTTCACTTATATAGGCTTTAGGTCATTACAATAGTACTTAGAAAAAGGACCATGCCTACGTACTTCCAAGAGATAAAAGATTTATGGGAGATTCCCTTTTTCTCCTTGTTCTTCCTCCTCAGTTTTCCTTTCTTCCTCTATTCCTCTATCTTGCTTCTCAATTATCTAGTCATCTTTTTGCTATCTTCTCTACCTCTCTGCTTCCAGCCTTTATTTTCATTCCATGTGATCACGCCCCTCTATTTGCCCACTTCCACTGGCTACTTCATTGCTTTAGGGAAACATAGGGTTTACATTCTCCTGGCCTTCTTGCAAAGTCCTTGCACACACAATCTGCCTGCTCTTCCAACTAGTTTTGGTTTCTAGGAAGCCCCCAACCCTCTTTTCATATCTTCATTTCCAGCCTGTATTGTTACAAAAAAATGAGCTATGCAGAAGTGTGTTCCAGAACCAAAGCCATTCAGAGGTGCTTTAGCTTTCAAAAGCAGCATTGTCATAAGAGTGCTTTCCTAGGTGATAGGGGTATTATGGTAGAGGCTATTTATGCTTTACCAGCTTGTGTCGACTTAAGGAATGTATTTATATAGATAATCACAGCAAACACAAAGTGCTTAGTATGTGCCAGTCATGGTTTTAAACCCTTGACACATATTAGCTCATTTAATTCTCACTGCAAGCCTGTGAAGTTGGTATCATTATTCTCATTTTTTCAGATAAAGAAACTGAGGCACAGAAAGTTAAGTAACTTCCCCAGGCCACACATTTGGTATGACTTAGACCAGTGGTTATCATGTTCTCTGGCCCAACAGCATCAACATCATCTGAGACCTTGTTAGAAATACAGATTCTGAGATTTTACCTTACTTGCAGGTTCAAAAGACGACTGCTGTGGTTTCACAGATGCTGGCAGAAGACATGAGACTCCTGGGTCAGAAACAAAGGACTTGATTTCTCATGGCACAGAAAGTATCATGAGCTTCATGTTTACACTCCTCTTGCTCCTTAATTCCCAGGAAGGCAGTACAGAGGGAGATGCTGCACATGCAGTGGATTGAGTTGCATCTGAGAAAGCTTGAGCTTAGAAAACCCCAAGCTTTTATAATGGGCTTCCAACAAATCTGCCCAACATTTGCTTTGGAATGAGACATTATCTTTAGTATCCCATGTAGCAAACAAACATGCCTTCTACCCCAGAGGGAGACACTGTCTCCATCTTCTAAGGCTATTTCCTATACAAGCACCTATGAGTAGACAGTCCAGAATGAAATTTGTCAGTGTCTCTGATCACAATATTCACAGAAATGCAAGAGACCTTTGGAGGGTTGTCTCCTGACAGAGGGCTGAGATAAGTGCGTTCATCTCAGTGTTTGGCACCCTGTCATCATCATTTAGGACAAGGCCACTCTCTAGTCCCATTGCCCTCTCCCCCAGACATGCTTCAAATATGTTTAATATATATCCATGAATGTGTATGAAATGTAGGAATCTTTATAAAATAAGCAGTGTTGTTTTGTGTGTGTATCTATTTTTAATTTATACATGAGTTGTGGTATAGCCCTTCATCTGTTTAATACTTTTTTTTTCCACTCAGCGTTATGTTTTAAGATCCATCCACTTTGCCTTTCGTTAATCTTGTCCCTAACTCTTGACTTCTGCAGAATGCTTCATACTGTGTTTCCATCACATTTCATTTACTTTTTCCCTAAGGATGAAACTTACCTTCCCTCTAGCATCCTGTAATGATAACACTGCAATGAACATCTATATATATATGTCTCCTCTTGTATCTGCCCAAGTTGCTCATCTTTCTATCAGGTCACCCATCTTTTTCTGTTGTTTTTTTTTTTTTTCAAGAGTTTATTGTATAGTTCATATATTGAAAGTTTTAGATGTAACAACTGTCTTCTCCCAGCCTAATATCTGTACACCAATTTTCCCAACTACTGACTACTGCACAATATGTCATTTCCCTATTAATTTGTGATGGCATCTTTATCCTATATCAAGTTCCTGTATTCATGGGTCATTTCTGAACTCTCTATTCTGTATCACTGGTATATTAATCTATTTCTATGCCACTATCAGTATATTGTTATTGCTATGCCTTAGTATTATATCTTAATATCTGGTAAAGTGGGTCTAAGGAGGATACATTTTTACTTTTTAAAAATATGATCATATTTGTCTTCTAATTGAATACATTCTAAGTTAACTAGAATAATTTTTTTGAATTGCATACTAATATTATTACAAGATTTTCTTTTTCTTCTCTTTTTTTTGAGACGGAGTCTTGCTCTGTCGCCCAGGCTGGAGTGCAGTGGCACGATCTCAGCTCACTGCAAGCTCTGCCTTCCGGGTTCATGCCATTCTCCTGCCTCAGCCTCCCAAGTAGCTGGGACTACAGGTGCCCGCCACCACATCCGGCTAATTTTTTGTATTTTTAGTAGAGACGGGGTTTCACCATGTTAGCCAGGATGGTCTCGATCTCCTGACCCCGTGATAGATGGAGTCTTGCTCTGTCATCCAGGCTGGAGTGCAGTGGCGCAGTCTCGGCTCACTGCAGCGTCCACCTCCTGGGTTCAAGCAATTCTCCTGCCTCAGCCTCCTGAGTAGCTGGGATTACAAATGCCTGCCACCATGACTGGCTAATTTTTGTATTTTTAGTAGAGACGGGGTTTCACCATTTTGGCCAGGCTGGTCTCAAACTCCTGACCTCAAGCAATTTGCCCACCTTAGCCTCCCAAAGTGTTGGGATTACAGGCATGAGCCACTGTGCCCAGCCTATTACAAGATTTTCATCACCTTTCTCTTAGGTGGTAGAGTGTTGGTAGGAGAAGAGATATGTGTATATGCAGGCCTCTTGGAGTTGCTATAATATTATCTTTTTACTCTATTTCTTCAACCTTGAAATTATGAAACATAAGTTGGAATTCCCAAGCTTTCTGACTCCTGACTTGAAGAAATTTAGTGCTTGATTACTCTGGGCTGAGAAGCAAGTTCCCCCCAATCATAAAGCCCCAGAAATAGTGCTCATCATTACATTTTACTACATTATATATTCTACAACATTACATACCTACCGTTCAGGGTCTTAAACAGTAGGTAGTAGGAAATCTCTTCAAGAAGGAGCTTTTTGATTATCCTGAAAGAACATTTTGCAGATGGATTCAAATTTAAATGGAAGCCTTTCCGGCATCAGTACCCTCTTCCAAACCTTCAGGCCTGTGCACATGCCGTGCCCATTATGGAAAGTGCTTGTTCCCACCCCATGCCTCTCCCTTGCCCAGCCTATTCTTAGTCAGACTTCACTTCCCAGCTTACTCTCACTTCACTGGGAAGCCTGGGCCAGTGGCAGTTTCCCATCCTGTGTGCTCCCCCAGCAAGACGTACTTCCCCTCACAGCACCCACCACCTGGGCCAATTGCCTGTCCCTCTCCCACTGGAATGTAAACCCCTTACAGCAGGTCCAAGACGGTAGAGTCTGGAACATGATAGGTGCATAAAGAGCATTTTGCAAATCAATGAATGAGAACTGCTCTAGAGAAGAGTCAAGCTCTGGATGGGTGGTTGCATAAGATGACCTGTAGTTAGCCTTCCATCTATGAGATTTCAAAACCATGTAATACAAAAATCACAAAGTCTGTATACATTTATTTCTGTTTTTTAAAAAAACATAGCTACATTGAATACGGTTTTTTTTTTAACACATGTGACTCTAGACACATTTTGGAGTGGAAAGTAACTTTGTGACTTAATCACATCATTAAGAGGAGTCACCCTATTACCCTGAATGCTCTATTTCCATGTGTTATGTTGTTTGAGAGTAGCTGCCATTGATGAGAAACACCCATTGTTATATCACTGGTTTCTCGCAACAGTTTGGCAAGATAGCATAAGTAGGTCCCTTCCATAGGTCATGAGGGTGAGGAGTAGGGAGGTTAAGTAACTCGGAAAAGGTGTACAGCCAGTAAATGGTAGAGCTGAATTTTGAACCCCGTGCTGTCTCACTCCAAATCTGTTGTTCCTAACAGATGTCCTAAATCTTCATGAATATCCTTTTAACCTTTTTCCTTGACTTCTCCCTCTCCTTTCTCTAGGTGGCCATGTCCTGTTGCTGGTCACTTTCATAATGCTGTGGCAGTGTCCACTGCCTCCATGGTGAGCTCTTGTTTCCAAAGGGTCATCAGGTGTCCTAGCAATTTTTTTCCTACAGTTGTTCACCCATTTGATGAAACTTGCCCTGCTCTGGGCACTGTGTTAAGTCCTGAGGGTGCAGTTGGGAATGAGGAAGATGTGATATCAGCACTCAAAAAACTAAGGTCCCACAGAGGGAAATAATCAAGCAAATGGCAAAGCAGTGTAATAAACTCTATGATAGAGGTTACAACATCAGCATCCGTGCGTATTTAACCCTGTCTAGAGGGATTTCAGTGGAGCTGTTAGTCAGGTCAGGAAGCAGGGTACCAAATAACAATATAGAAAAAGGCCTAGAAGCAGAAAGAGCAAAGGGGATTCGAAAGATGATTTAGTACAATGGGAGTGTAGAATTCTCATGTTTGAGTGGAGTTCGAGTGGAGCAAAGCAAGATATGGTGATGCACTGGTTACCCAGTTGCCAAGAGGCATTGCAATCCATTCACTTACCTTTTTGAACATATATTTACTAAAGTCCTACTATCATAGTAAGTAGATTGCTCATGTAGCACTCAACCTTATGCCATGCCCTCTTCTATATCCCTCAACTCATTTAATCATTGCAACAATCCTTTGTGATACCATTATTATTCCAGGTTTTTTTGTTTGTTTGTTTTGACAGGCTCTCACTCCTTCATCCAGGTTCTAGTATAGTGGCGCAATCACGGCTCACTGCAGCCTCAACTTCTGGGGCTCAGGTGATCCTCCCACCTTAGTTTCCCAAGTAGCTGGGACTACAGTCATGCACCACACTCAGCTAATTTTTTGTAGAGTTGACGTTTCGCTATGTTACCCAAGCTGGTCTCAAACTCCTGGGCTCAAACAATCCTCCAACCTTGGCCTCCTAAAGTCCATGGATTACAGGTATGAGCCACCGCACCTGGCCCCCTGTTGCAGTTTTAAGGATGACAAAGCCAAGGCCCAGAGGTTGAGTAACTTTCCCAAAGTCGCACAGCTATTTTAAGGGGCAAATGTAAGATTCACACTCATGCAGCCCACCTTCACTATCCATGCTCTTAACCACTAGAGTAAACTGCCTCTGGGGATAAAGTGATGAGCGAGACAAATAAGGCTCCCTGTCCTTGTTCTAGGGAGGAGATAGAAAGTGAGCATGTGAACAATAAATAAACTGCAGAGGCAGCAGTAAGAGGTATGAAGAAAGCCAAACAGCATGACAACTTGAGTTTGACTTGGTTGACTAAATTTAGTCATGGAAGTCAGGGAGGGCTCCACTGAGGGGTGGCACTGAGCTATGACTAAAAGGACAAATGGAGGTCAGAGAAATCCAGGTTGTGGGAACCAGCATAGATGGATTTAGATGCTGGAGATGTGTGATAGTTAATTTTATAGTGGCTAAACACTACATTGAGGTTGCTGTGAAAATATTTTGCAGACTTGATTAATATTTGCAATCAGTTGACTTTAAGTAAAGGAGATGATTACTCCCATCATTACAGGTGGATCCCATCCAATCAGTTGAAGTCCTTAAGAGCAAAATCTGACGGTTCCTAGAGAAGAAGGAATTCTGCCTCGAGACTGTAACACAGAAATCCAGTCAGTCGGCCCTGCAGATTTCTGACCTACCAGTCCCCACAATAGTATGAGCCAATTTTTTAAAATAAATGTCTCTCTCTTGTTCTTTCTCCTTATATATCCTGACTGATATGGGATGATCAGCAAAGACTCAACCCCTTCCCTCACAAAGCTTCATTATAGGGAAGGTAATAAATGTTGAAACAACTGATTACATAATGCAGAATTCAATTCCAAAGGCAGAGACTGTCTCTTTATTCTTCCTGTATTTCCTTAAGTGCTGGGATCAGAGCCCCAAACAATAGAGACACAAGGAAAATGTTTGCTGACTGAGGGAATATTTGCTGTCAGAAGAACAAGTTACCAGTGCTAGTTCTGCCCCAACACAGCTATGTGACCTGGGTTGACACACTTCATTCTTCTGAACCTGTTTCCTTCTCTGTGCAATGAGGGCATTGAAATAAATGTTCCTAAGGTTCTGTTTTCTAATCGCCTGTGATTCTTTGAGAGCAAGCAGAAGACAGATAAGGATAAATGGGTAGCTACTGATCTATTGATGAAAGCAGCAAATGTCAGAAATACAACTCTAGAAGATGATTTTTGTTAGTCATGCAACACGTGAAAGACTGCTAGGATTTGTTTCTTGCCTCCATTCCCTTGAGACCCACTGCACTAGTTTCTGTACTAGTACTAGTACTAGCTGTTGTAACAAAGTGTCACACACTGGGTGGCTTTAAAAAACCATAAATTTATTTTCTCATGGCTCTGGAAACTAGAAATCTGAAACCAAGATATGGGCAGGGCAGTGCTTCCTCTGATGGCTTCAGGGAGGAATCTGAATCCTTCCTTGTTTTGTCCAGTTTGTGGTGGCCCCAGGTATTCCATGTTTAATGGCAGGGCGACTTCAATCTCTGTCTCCATCTTCACATGGCTTTCTTCTCTCTGTGTGTCTGTGTGTGCAAATTTCCCTCTTGTTTTAAGGACACCAGTCATTGATTTAGAGCTCACTCTAATGCAGTGTGACCTCATCTTAACTTGATTACATCTGCAAATACCCTATTTCCAAACAGAATCATATTCACAGGATCTAGGTGGAAACAAATTCTGAAGGAGGATACTATTTGTCTAGTCCTTTTGTGCTGCTGTAACAAATATTTGAATCTGGTTAGTTTATAAAGAACGGAAATTTATTTCTCAGTTCTGGAGGCTGGGAAGTCCAAGATCAAGGTACCAGTATTTGGTGTCTGGTGAGGGCCTGGTCTCTGCTTTCAGGATGGTGCCTTGTTGTCGTGTTCTGTAGAGGAGACGAACACTGTGTCTTCACATGGCAGAAGGAACGACAGGGCAAAAAGGGACCTAAGCCCGTTCCCTCCAGTCCTTTTATAAGGCATGAACCCATTCACAAGGGCACAGCCCTCATGCCTTAATCACTTCCCAAAAGGCCCCATTCATAATACGATCACAATGGGGATCAAGTTTAAACACGAATTTTGGAGGGGACCCCTTAAACCATAGCACTACTCAACTCAGTACACCCACCCTACCATCATTTCACCTCCTGGGCAGGCCCAGGCTTGTTCCACTAACTGCTCAGGAAGGGAAGATGTGGAAGAGAACTTGAGTGGAGAACCATTGCTGTGTGAGAGCACAGAACGTCGTTCCATTCTGTCCTGGTCATAAGTCCTTTAATATTTTTATGGACAAGTCAGCCTCATTTTCTGTGAACTGATTTCTATACACTCTTGCTTGTTCCAGATAAAAGCTTGCTTGCTTGCTTGCTTATTTATTTGTTGCGGGGAGTATTGGGTGAGTGGGAAGGAGTGATGGAAAAGATGAGGAGGGTGGTAAACAAGGGAGGGGAAAATGTTAATGCTCCTTGGTATGATCACAAGTGAGGAACAGTTCTGACCTACTCTTGAGATAGGAAAGGATTAGAAAAAAAAAAGTTGACAATTAAGTGCCTGACTGACATCTCTTTAGTTTCACTCTAAATCTAATTCTTATGAAAATAGCAAAGCTGCCCAGTATAGAGTGTTTTATACCTTTAGGTTTATAAAAGTTCAAACAGAATGTGTAAAATTAGATTTTTTGGATCTCTCTTTAAAATAAATGTTAGAGAAAAATTAGAATGTTTCTTCCCATTACAAGATGAAAACTTGCCATTTGTCTGTATTTGTATATTTTAATCTTTCTCAGAGTTTCACTATTATAAATCAGCTAGAATAAACAATTGTGTGTATGTTGATTTTTTTTTTAAGTAACAACTACTGTTTTCTTATCCACTTGTTTAAAATTGTATTTCTTTGATAGCAAAGAGGAATGATTTTGAGGGGTATGTTGCTATGCAATAGATTCTTTCCTAGATTTCACAGTAAAAAAGGTTGACAGAATTCCAGTGCCATGTAGAAGTTAGACTCTGGTGTTACGATGATCAAAAAAAAATTTCCTTTTGTGGGAATTACAGATTTATGTTTTTTACTGAATTATTGGTTGGAACCTTAGTATTTTACTAATTAATTTGTGAGATGTCCAAGTAAAAGGTGGCAAATCTTAAAAATATCTTGTTAAGTTTGTTCTTGTCTTAATTTTGGTTACTTTGTTTAATGCATAGAGGACTTACAGTTATATGTAGTTATATAAGTTATATATAGTTATAGTTATATGTAGTTATATCCATAAATTCCTTTCATTCTGATTACTTTCATGCTTTTAGCAAGGGCTCCCATACCCAGATAAATGATATTCATTAATCTTTTATATTAGTAATTATATAATGTGACTCCATTATAAGTACTATTACTAACCAAGGGCCAAACTTACTTTAAAAAAATTATCATATTTCAACCTTAAAACACTCCCTTTCTGTAACTAAAATACTTGTCCCCATTTTTGTGAATGAGCAACAGAACAAATGATGCTTAGAGAAGCAAATAATCTTGCCCAAATTTAAACAGCCTCAGATCAGATTCAAGCTACAGCGCCTCCACCTGGGGAATTATTAATGAGGATGGTGCAGGGTGGGAATTGAAACTGACTTTTTCCCTACATAGCTAACTGCATTCCCCCAAAATGATGTATTGATTTTCCCGTCCCTTTCCCATTGATTGAGAATGTCTCTATAACCTATTAAACACTTATATGTAGTAAGAACTTTCTTGTATGTAGTTAAGGAGTTTTTTACTTCTAAACACATTGTGCGCCTTCCGTTTTGTTTTGTTTTGCTTTGTTTGGGGGTGTGGGGAATAAGAAATATGTTTAAAAATATAAATTTCCTACTTTCTTTGTTAACTCCTTCTTTTAGAGATCGTTAAAGAAACTTCTTTTAGGTATAGTAGGTGCATTCAGACTTAACGTTTTAGGAAGAAAACAAACATTTAGGTTAATTTTGTTGCCTCCTTCCTTCAGAGATGGTTTTGGACTAAAAAGATACTGTTGGGCTCTTTAATTGTAATCCGACTTCTGACTTAACCTATAAATATCTAGCAAGTTTGGTGTTTGATGGAAGGCATTTTGCCAGGGTCTCAGAGAAGAGTTAAGACTCACTCTGATTTCTGTCCTTTTTCAAAGAGAGTTTGGTGAACTTGAGGCAGCTTTATGCAGATGAATAGTGTAAATGACTCAATTGTGTCCCCTGGTTCAAGCCCCACCTTTTTCTTTAGCCCCATTAATCTTCAGCCAAAACAAAATGACTGCCACAGAGGAGAGGGGGAAGACTGCTTGTGATAGATTTGAAAAGAGGCAGCTGAGGGTGCATTTTGCCCCCAGATAAATATAAGGGTGTTTCTGAAACTAATAGGAAGAAATAATTTGGCTCCCAAAGAGAACTTCTGTAATATCTTAGTTTTTCTGGTACTAGAGTTTGGAAAAGGAGAACATTTTCAACTGCATGTATGCCTATCACCTTCTGCTGGCATGTTGCTGTTTCCGGAAATTAGAAGCCTTTCAGAGTTTCAGGTGTAATTGGTTGACTATTGGCGGACCACGGGCTTTTCTGTGCGCGTGCAGTGGCTTCTCACACCTCTGGTATGTACTGAACTTTGACCCTAATTCTATACAAATCTACATACGAATATATTTAACACTTGATTTGATTTAAAAACAAAACAAAACAAAAACAAACATGTCTCTTAAATCTCTCACTCAAAAAGGTTGCTTGTTGCAGTAAACCCAAGGAAGTCAAGACATTAAATCTCACTTTCTTGTTTTAAAAGTACTTTATATATATCACCACCAACCAGCTTGTAAATTTTGGTCAGTCCTCAAACTAGTCTTTTAAAGGAGCTGAAAAATATCCCTGTGCCCTCAAAGGACACACCTGTTATCTGAAACAGTTTTTAACCAGCTTGTTAAGCAGCTTTGACAGATCAAAGACCCCAGACAATGGACACAAACTTTAACAATAGTGTAGCCTTGAGCAAAAGGTCCTGTCAAAGCCAGGCTTGTGTCCATGGCATTATGGCCGGCAATTGAAAATAAATTTTACTTGAATAAGTACCTCAGCCTGATCAGAGGCACTGCCGCTGCTGAAACAAAAGCAGTTGGGGATAAGTTATTGACTCCACTGACAGCCTGAATGAACTTCATTATGCCAGCCCACTCTTGGTAAATGTGTCAGGTTTTAAACTGAATTAGGTGGCAGGTGCATGGACTATTTCCCTGCTCCCCCTGAGACAGCCGACAGCCAATCATCACCTGATTCTACAGACAAATGTTTAGAT
Organism: Homo sapiens; assembly: GCF_000001405.40. NCBI lineage: Eukaryota > Metazoa > Chordata > Mammalia > Primates > Hominidae > Homo > Homo sapiens. The sequence continues at coordinate 137,473,579 of NC_000006.12, read as the reverse complement.
TTGTTTTTCATATTGCACGGCCATAAGTGAAAGCACATTTAAATCTTTTTTCCTTATCCTCCATCACTGATGTGTTATGTTCCCATGAGCAGGTCATACCCACGCTTTGGTGTAATGGGATTCATAGAGGCCTGGCCTGCCACCTCCGCCCCTCCCCTCCCTCTGAGGCACAGATTTCAGGGACAATCTGGGATCTTCACTGGAAGGTTATTGGATTTTAGCTTTAGAACAGCAGCTCCTCTTCTGCTGTAGGAAACAGAAATGCAAGGACAGACATTCACCATCTCTTTCATCTTAAAAACTTCAAAAAGACCTAAGAATGAACATTACAATAGGTTTTAACCTATTAAATTTTTAGTTGGGACTGAATTTTTACTTGGGAACTAGATTACATAAAGCAGATATTGTAATCTGTATTAAGTATTTGCCTCCAGCAAACCTTGTAACCCCTGCCAGGTGCCCTGTGTTCAAGCAAAGAATCAGTAACTCTGGCATTTTTCTGCTGTGAAAACATGTATGTATGTATGTATGTATGTATGTATCTATCTATCATCTATCTACCATCTATCTAATTTGCTTGTATATTTGACTTTAAAACATTTGCTTTATGATCTTCCTTAGGCCTATAAGGATAAATGCAAGATCAGCTAAACTTCAGATACACTGATGCCAGCTCTCATTACTTAATCATGAGACAAGACTATTAAGACTCCTAAAAGTGAAAGCCCAGACTTCCACCCAGAGAGAGAGAGGGTTGGCATACACTTTTGGCTGTATGCCTTATTAAAGTTAATGAGCAAGAAGATTCTTTTCTCCTAAGTATCTTGAAGACCTTAACCCTCCCAGTAAAGTGTCTTTTTGCTTCTGAATAATGTTTCCATTATTCACGATGAAGCACCGTACATTTCTCGACATATATCTTGAATTGTAAAGTAGAACTCTTTTCACCTCCATCCCTAGTGAGGGAATAATATAATTTTTTAAGTCCCATATTAAAACATCAAAGACCTATCAGTTCAGCCTTTGTTGTTCTTTTAATGATGTCTAAGCACAATTTGGTTCAGATCTCCAGTGGAACTTTATTCAGTTCTGGACTGTATTCACTTCCAGATAATATTGTTTTACTGGATACAGTGGATTCATGTGTGCATTTGAATGTAAAGATGGATTTGAATATTTGCACTTCTAGAAACACATCAACATTCTAAAATTTATATATGTACAAATCTGCATGATCTATGCTATTCAGGAGTACAAAATTGCTTTTCATGTAGGACTACCTAAAGTCTGCCCTGAGTTAACACAGGAAAAAGGCTCTACAATGTCTTTCACTTGCTGGAGCTGTTCCTCCCCCCAGCCACAGCAGATGGTGTTTCATAGTTGGTCACAAATGGCTGTCAGTGAGTGTTTGTCTGCCTGCCAGTAACCTGTGGCTCAGGGACTCCCTCAGAGAGTGTACCAGCTCTGACTTCGCTGATAACAGCATCTGAGAAAATGATCCGTCCTTTCTTGTCATGCACAAAATTAGCCATCTCACTTTCAAACTGTTGACAAGGGGGATATGAAAGAAATAAGAACTGTGCCAGCCCAGCTGATGTTTCCTCAGCTCTGGTTCTGTGGGCCTCATGCAGACGAATCCAGAAGCAGACTTGACGAGAATGGTGTTGTCACCGAATAGATGGTCTTGGAGCAACCCCAGTTCTGGTACCAGCATTTCCTGCAGGGACTTGCTTGAACTCTCCATTGGACTAGTACTGATCTTTAGAGCAACAGCTATTTTCTCACCCCAGGACCTCAATCAGACTTCATACTGAAATGACCTTTGGCGGCATTGCCTTGGATGAAGCGGTGGGGAAGAGCTGAGTGTGGCAAAGACTCTGAGCACTGTTCTCGAAGCTCTTGGCACCACCCCCAGCTGGAAGGCAGGGTGCCAGCCCTGATGCCTTTGTGGATGCAAATGGCCCCAGAGCGCATGAGGCAGCCACTAATGAACCAAAGTGGGGGAGGATAAGAGAAGAGAAAGCAAGAATGACAGAGAAAGGACGGGGAGAAACAAGAGGGGAAATAGCAAGGAATTTGGAAGGAAATGGCATTTGCTGAGAACCAATTATGGGGGAGGCAGCAAACATGTCGTTCTTGCAGCAATTTCATAAGTTTTGTATCATCATCCCTATCTTACAGATGAGAAAAATATGACTCTGAAAAAGTAAGTAACGTCTTTTGGGTCACAAAATTAGAAAGTGGCAGAAACAGGATTACAACTCTGGCCAGTACATCCAAGATGAAGGGGCTGGGCTCTCATGCTAAGCTCCTGGCTCTAAGTCTGGCTTCACAACCTACTGGCAGGGTAAACTTAGGCACATTGCTTCACCCCTCAATGCCTCAGTTTCCCTATTTGTAAGATGGGTCTATTAATAATACCTCTCTCATGGCGTCATTGAGAAGGATGAAATAAGTTAACATAGAAGTACTTTAAAGAGTCCTGGACAATAGCTAACATTCTGCTAGAGTACTTTTTTATTCTTTATCATTCTTGTGTTTTTCAAGTATTTATTTCACTGTTAGATCACTGTCTCCTTACTTGTAAATAACCCTTTAAGAACTCTTATTATAGCAAATTATTTTTCTTCCAGTACTCTTACATTTCTATTTTATTGTTTATTTCCTTGTTTGATTTTTTAAAGTAGGTGACATCTATTCCTATATTATCAATGTAGTGTATAGATGTGAACAAGGTAGCCATTTTGGCGTCATAAATTGGTTGAATCCTATTTACAATGTTTCCTAACTGTGTCATCCTGGTCAGCCTGCTAAATCTTTCTAAGCCTCAGTTTGCCCATCTATATAATAAAAAATATTTAACAATTTATAGAACTGCTCCAATGATTAAATGAAAAAAATTATACAGAGTGCCTATCACACGATAGACATTCTGCCATTTATAGTTGTTGCTAGTTTCCTAAATAACTAAAAATGGGTTTGCATTGTGCAGCTACACGTGTCAACTCAAATGTGAGTCACAGATGTTGTACCGGAATGTCTGGGGTATGTGCGCAGATAGATGAAGCTGATGACTGAAGCTGACCTAAACGTATCTCTTTCTCCTTCTATGACATTGCTGACATTTAATTCCCCTGAAGCAATATTCTGGGTAATAATCACCAACTGCCATAACCATTTTATCTGGCAAAAGAATTTCATTTCTCCACCATAGACTACACCCCTGCTGCTCAGAGCAAAGGGGTGCTTGGGCATCAGGGAGCTGAGAAGGGGGCTTCCTTCCAGATAGCATGAGCCTTTCAGGTGAGGTCAGCATGACGATTAAAGGAAACATCTTTCAATCCCTTCTCTCCAGGAGAAAAGAGAGGAGGCTCCTGCCAATTGTTAATGATAATGGCCTTATAATTCGAACACCACGTTTTACCCAGGAGGATCTCAAATGCTTTATAGATCTACAAATAGCTTCACCCACTCTGCCCAGTAGGCATTAGGTGGACTAAGCTTGGAATGCAGCCACTGTGGGGAGGATTCCCCTCGTAGTTTAAAAAATCTGCAAAACCAAAATGTATCCTAGTACCTATAAAAAATACACATGGAAATGCTTTACTTGGTAGATAAAATGAGTGAGAACAAGAGAGAAGAAGATTTCTATATTACTTTTAATAAAAAATCATTCATTTTGTTGCTTTTTTAGAGTGAAACTCCCAAATGAGCATAAGCTTATGTTTCCAGCTCATCAGTTCCTTAACAGGGGGGCTTAAGGGACAGCAATTCTTAAGGTTAAAGTACTCACCAAAAAGAACAGAAGGCAGCTCTGAAATCATGAAGCAAATTAAGGAGAAATTATGACAGACTTATAAAAATAGTATTTATCAGCAGCTTTTCAGCCATACTTCTTATTCTGATGACCTATGGCTGTGTAACAAACTATCCTAAAATTTGGTGGCTTAAAACTACAACTACATAATTATAGTCATGCATCACTTAACAATGGGGTTATGTTCTGAAAAATACATCATTAGGCGATTTCATTGTTGTGCAGAGATCATGGAGTGTACCTACATATACCTAGATCGTATAGCCTACCACACACCTAGGCTCTAAGTTATAGCCTATTGCTCCTAGGCTGCTTACCTGTCCAGCAGGCACAGAATACCGTAGGCAGTTGTAACGTAATGGCAAGTATTTGTGTATCTAATGTATTGTAGATACACAAATACTTGCCTAATGTAATGCAGGCAAGTATTTGTGTATCTAAATGAAGAAAACGTACAATAAGAATAGGGGATAAAAGATTTAAAATGGTATACCTCTAGAGAGTACTTATCATGAATGAAGTTTGCAGGACTGGAAGTTGCTCTGGGTGAGTGACTGAGTGAGTGAATGGTGAGTGAGGGAGAAGGCCTAGGACATTACTGTACACTACGGTAGATTTTATAAGCACTGTATGCTTTAGACTACACTAAATTTATTTTTTGAATTTTTCTTTCTTAATAATAAATTAACCTTAGCTTACTGTAACATTTCTACTTTATACACTTTTCAACTTTTTAAACTTTTTGACTTTTGTAGTAACGCTTAGCTTAAAACACAAACACATTGTACAGCTGCACAAAAATATTTTTTCTTTCTATCCTTGTTCTATAAGTTTCTTCCATCTTTAAAATGATTTGTTTATTTATTTATTTTTGAGATGGAGCCTCACTCTGTCACCCAGGCTGGAGTGCAGTGGTGTGATCTAGGCTCACTGCAACCTTTGCTTCCCGGGTTCAAGGGATTCTCCTGCCTCAGCCTCCCGAGCAGCTAGAACTACAGCACGCACCACCATGCCCAGCTAATTTTTGTATTTTTAGTAGAGACGGGGTTTCACCATATTGGCTAGGCTGGTCTCGAACTCCTGACTTTGTGATCCACCCACCTCGGCCTCCCAAAGAACTGAGATTACAGGCATGAGCCACCGTGCCTGGCCTAAAATGATTTATTTATTTTACTTTATAAGGTTTTTGTTAAAAACCAAGACACAAACACACACAGTAGCCTAGGCCTACCCAGGATCAGGATCATCAATGTCACTGTCTTCCACTCCCATATATTGTCCCACTGGAAGGTCCTCGGGGGCAATAACATGCATGGAGCTGCCCTTTCCTATGATAGCAATGCCTTCTTCTGGATACCTCCTGAAGGACCTGCCTGAGATTCTTCTTGGGAAGATATCATTCATTCCAGAAATATATCCATGTGGTTTGTTTGGTTTGTTTCATTTTTTATCATAGATTTGTGTGAGTAATGCCTTGTGCTGTATTATGACAGCTACAGTATCACTAGGTGATAGGAATTTTTCAGCTCCATTATAATTTTATGAGACCACCATTGTATATGTGGTCTGTCATTGAAGCATCAGTGTGGTGCATGATAGCATATCCATAATTTTGTGTTTCGGGCATTTGATCAGAACATGGTTGGTTAGTCATTTGCTTGTGGTGCTGACTGGGGGTCATTCAGTGGTATTCAGCTGATGGCTCGGTCTGGTCTAGAGGGTCAAAGACAGCCTCATACATATACCTGGAGTCTTGGAAGGAAAGGCTGGGAAACTGGGCCCACCTGGACCCCACTCCATGTAGTGGCAGTGCAGGGCAGTTCTTCAGGGGCCTTTGGATGGGCCTGGTTCTCCCCCATTCTTGCTTGCTGTTCTAGAGAGTAACTGCAGAATGTGCTGGGAATGCAGCATCCTGGGATGGGGAGGAACTGCCTGAAACTCCCCAGTTCCTGTTCCTGTCCCTCCTAAAAAAGGTAACATCTTGAGTTAGCAAGGATCTGCCTGGGCAAGACTGAGCTTTTTCCTCTCCCCCCGAAAGCCGAATGTTCTTCCCAACTTCAGCCCAGTGAGTGACACTTTCCCTGAGGGAGATAACCTGAGGTGGGCTGCCTTTCCCGAGGGCCCCTCAGCTGTGATGCAAGTTGAGTGCTCACAGTTGAGACTTCATCTATTTCGGGGAGCTTTCTTGAGCACTGGCTCACAATGGATCCTAAGCTTCTATGTTTCTTGCTACCTGTCTGTCCATAAAAAACCTGCTTTATGTAAGTCGTTGCATGTGAGCGTGTTCTGATTCACCAGACTCAGATAAGTCAGTAGGCAGAGCACAGTGAGTCTGCCTCATGGTCAGGGCCTCACCATGTGGTTTCTCCAGTAGAATACTTGAACTACTTATACAGAGATTCAAGTGGCCAATAGCAGCCAAGACCAAGTGATCCAAGAAAGAGGAATGGAAGCTGTCAGCTTCTTAAAGTCTGGGCCTAGAACTACCACTTTCGCTCTATTCTATTGATCAAAAAGCGGTGACACAAATCGCTTAGATATCAAGGAAGATGACATAGATCCCAACTCTCCTTGGGAAAAGTGTCTTTAAAAAAATTGGCCAAGTTTTTGTTGAATTAAAGCAGTTTGGGGAAGAAAGAAATTAGGACAATCTTTGTACTTTGTTCTGATCTTATTCTAAGATGGCATTCTGTTAACCTAAACACCTTTGCACTTCAACCATTATACAATGCCATGTTCCATGTGAACACCACAAAAACTGGGAGCATGAATTCTTGGGGGCTTTTCTAGGAATCCACTAGCTGAAGCCAGCTACTGCAAGGGACATGTCCTCAGTAGTCTTTGGTCAATTTAAACTTCAATATGCAAAAGGAGGAGAAAACAATGGGCAAAAGTTTCCCTCAGAAATGATAAAAGAGATAGTTTCAAAATGAGAACGGAAAAGGAACATTTTGCCATTGAATTTCTTTTCATTCCCAGGGCTGATCTGGCCCTGAGGGTATGAATTTCGGGTCCCATTGGCCATAATAGCAAAGAAGTGGACAACAGATGGAAGGTTAATCATCAAAATTGGGGTGTCATTAAAACAAGCTTTGTGCAGCATTTGTATTTCTGTGTATGTGTTTCTCTTGTTTTATATTTTTTCCCTCTCACAGTGTTTGCTTATCATTCTAAGCTTTCCTAAGCCCCTCACCATTCCATTTCTTTCTAGCTTTCTAGACCATAAGTTTATCCTATAACCTATAAATAAATAATTTAAATTGCTTTCCTAGAGCCCTAGACTTATTTTCTTACTGATTTTCTGCCTTGTCTATCTCATTAATCTCCAGCTTGGAGTAATCGCCATCGTATGAATCAATAGTGTGAATTTCAAACAAGGGATCACTGAGATGATTCTACATCCAAAGAAATGGGGTTTCATTCTTTAGCATGGCTCTGAAAATTATATCAGTTTTACTGATATGGACAGGAGGCAAGGAAATGCCGGGTAGAAGAGGGTGTTTCCCCCGCAAAGGCCCTACTCTCAAGCCTGGAAACCTAAAGCCTAAATGGGAACAGGCATTCCTGTTTTCCCACCCAAATGTTGCTTTTTGGCCTGCCATGCCTCCCTATCTTGTAACCATACAAACCCCAAATCCCAGGCTCCGCAAGCAGAAGAGCAGAGGAGCAAAAGACCAGCAGAGCAGAGAAAGAGAGAAGAGAAGAGGAGTGTCTGAATATTGAAAGGAGTTTGGCTGGGGACGGTCAGAGGGGAGATTGGCCGCAGGATGACTGAGCTCCAGGGAAAGATCATCTTCCCACTCTATTCGCTTTCCAGCTCCCCATCCATCTTGCTGAGAGCCACCTCTATCCAGCAATAAAATCCCCTGGATTCACCACCCTTCAATTTGTCCACGTGAACTGATTCTTTCTGGACGCCGGACAAGGACCTGGGTACAAAGAGGGCACTGAGCTGGTTAATGCTTAAGCTGTCTGTGGATGGCAGAGCAAAAAGAGCACTGTAACAAAAAGAGCACTGTAACAAAAAGAGCACTGTAACAGAAAGAGCACTGTAGTAAAAAGAGCACTGGGGCTTCGGGAGTCACAGGTACCCACCCCTAGATGCTACTGTGGAGCAGGAGCCCAGAAGCGCTCACCCTGGTTCCCACACCTGCCAGTCTGAGTACTCCCAATCTCATAAGGGGTTTGAGCATGTGGTGACTTAATAGACAAGCCACACCCTTGTCACACATCCTGCAAAGGGGGTCAAGGAACTCTCCTGTTTCATTACTGCTTGTAATTTACAGTATTTTTCCCTTACTACATAAGTTGTTTGAGTTTTGTTTTCTCTCCTCTAACCTCCCTGTTTCTTGATGCATCATATCATCTTCTCAGTGGAAGCCTGTCTACTCTCAAGTGCTTGGAAAGTGTCATTTTAGTGTATCACCTGAAAAAGGCAGGATTTACAATAACTGGAAAAGCAAATGATTTTAGACATATTCATATGACTGATGTCCAGGGTAGTCCACTTACGGACTGCTCAACAACATTTACTCTTCTTCCATATTCAGTCTTCCAAGTTCAACAACATCAACTACACACACCAGTGTAACATAACACAACTATGCCACGTAAATGAGAACACCTCACATTCTTTCCAAATGGACAGACTTGGTCTCTTCTACTGGCTGAGTCCAGTATTTCTGGGTGATGTTTATTCCTTCTCCATTACAGTAACAATTCCATCTTGATTTTCTGTAATTTTTTATACTAGGTTATAAACTTAACCACTGCCAATACACTTTATTTAATGAATTTGAAAAAATTTAAGACACTATCATTTGTAAGATGCATCATTATCAATGTTATTACACATAAAAAAATTAAAAACACTATCTCTAAACCATAGCATGCCATTACTTGTAAGATGCATTTACAACTGTAAGATTCAATTTCTGAGAGGTCAATGTGAAAAAATGTACATACACATATTTCATGGATGTTAACATATGAAGAATTAACATAGAGTAAAAAGTGAACAAAAAGGAAAAACAAAAGCAAATGAATATAAAAATATATTCCTGAATAATGGGTTCCTTAAATTAATGAATATATATACATGACATAGCAAGAAAGAAAGCAAATACTGTTGGATGTCACAGTCCTCATTTCTGCAAAAGATCAAAGGCCATGGTTAGTATCCATAGTTACTTCTTCGATTTCTCATTCCATGATTTTTGTACATAGTAAATACCTTACCTGGGAAAGATTTTTTTACCTAGTGTGATGATGCAAATCTTCATTCTTGAGGCATCTTAACTCAGAATGGTTCTGCCTGTATGGCACTAGAGTTTTCTATTAATTTTTATCACTGGGAGCATCTGTCAGTTGTAGATATTCTCCCTGGATGCACTATTGAGCACCAATTTTATTTACTCCTGAGAGCCTGAATTATTACCATAACCAACTTAGAACCTTCTTTTTTTCCTATTTGTCCTTTGGTGTGAAGATTCAAAATGTCCAACTTCTAATTTAATGGGACTGTTACAAGTGAAAATATTCTTTCTTTAGAAACTAAGATTTATTAACATGAAGTGCCCAGAGATGGAGGAAGGGTTGCAAGAAGGGCATCACTGGATGTCATGGTGAGGAAGTTAGTCCTATTTTCACATTTTGGTGAAATTTTCGCCCTCCACAATTGAATTCTGCCTATTTGAGAAACAGCACTGTATATTGTTCATTCATTCAGAGCATACACTGCATCCTGTAAGTGAGTACCTCAACTTTGCTAAGTGCTGTCTCACAGATGATGCTAATACTGAATCTTCAATAGGACATTCCATTGTTACATAAAGCCAGCTACTTCTAAGTAATGGGTGCATGTTATTATTAGTAAATTTCATGGGCATTAACCTATTTCCCCTTATTTTTTTCTTTAAGAATTTCTTTTTCAGAGCAATATTGAGTGAGACACAGTTATAGTTTTAAATGGGCAATTTATTAGTCCCACAGATGGTATTTTTGGGAAGGAAAGTGGGTACTCACACTAAGTATTCCAGGAAGAAAAACATCACTGACCTCTCCATGCTGCAAGGGGTCCAATATACTCAGTCTGTCCTCAGATTGAGGCTAATATGCCTGGAGCATGGTGCTATGTATGGGGCTCAGTGTGGGCTTCTGCTGGCCATTTGGGTACACAGCATGGTCTTATCCAGGTCAGCCTCCTGAGGCAAAGTCTTTGTGTTGAGTAGATGTGTGGTCTCCATCCCTGCCATTGTAAGAATTTTGTTCAGGAGCCCATTGAGTCCATTCTGGAATAGATGGAGAAGAGACTGATTGACATCTACAGAACAGGTCATCTGTTTATTATTGAGAGCCTTTCTCAATTAGTAGTTTGGGTGAGCATTCCAATGGCAAATAAACATAATTGCACACTGATCGAATTCTGACAGGCTCATCCTCTACCCCTTCCTCAAATGTTGTCATGAATGATTTAATCTTTTCTTTCCAAGTTCCAAGTGATTGGCCAAATCATAAGCCAGTAGTTAAAACACATGAATATTATTGCTTATTTTTAGTGGTCTTCTAGATAAACAGTTTCAATTCCTTCCAGTGAGGATTTTCCTCCCCCATTGTCCTTAAAGAACAACTCTTAAAAAAATCGGGGTGCCCCGGCAGCCTACTTTAAGTGACAATCAGTAAAAGATGCAGATCCCTCTGTAATCAAGTCTAAAACTATTTTCTCTTTAGTCAGTTCATTTAAAGAGAACTTCTCCATGAAACTACACATATGTTTTATGGTTCAGAAGGTGATCTATGGTGAATGTTCTGTGTACACTTGAAAAGACAGTGAATTTTGCTGTTAGTGTGTGGAAAGTTCTATAAAATTTAATGAGGTCAAATTGGTTGATAATGTTGTCCAAGTATTATAAACCTTTATTTATTTTCTATTTGTTCTATCAATTATTGAAAGAGTGATGTCCAACCATAGCTGTGCATTTGTCCTTTTATTTTTGCAGTCCTATAAAAGTTTTTTTTTTTGTATTTTGGAATTCTATTTTTAAGAGCATAAATATTTGGGTTTGTTATGCCTTCTTCATTAATTGGTCCTTTTGTCATGAAATGAACCTCTTTAACCTTGGAAGTTTTCTTTGTTCTGAAATATACTTTTATATTTATATAATCACACTAGGTTTCTTTTGATTAGTATTATCACTGTATATATTTTTCAACTTTCTACTGTTAATCTACTTAAGATTTATTATTAAAAGTGAGTTTTTATAGGCAGTGTAAAGTGGGGTCTTGCCTTTTTTAAGCAATCACAGTTGACAATTTCTCCCTCTTAATAGGGGTGTGTAGGCCATTCATATTTAATGTGATTTCTAATATGGTTTGATTTATGTGTACCACCTTGCTGGTTTTATTTATTTATTTATTTATTTTGAGATGGAGTCTTGCTCTTTCACCCAGGCTGGAGTACAGAGGTGCAATCTTATCCCTCTGCAACCTCCGTCTCCTGGGTTCAAACACTTCTCCTGCCTCAGCCTCCTGAGTAGCTGGGACTACAGGCACTTGCCACCATGCCCGGTTAATTTTTGTATTTTTAGTAGAGGTGGGGTTTCCCCATGTTGGCCAAGCTGGTCTCGAATCCCTGATCTCAAGTGATACACCCACCACGGTCTCCCAAAGTGCTAGGATTACAGGCAGGAGCCACTGTGCCCAGCCTCACTTAGCTATTTGTTTTTATTTGTACTATATGTTCTTTGTTCCATTTTTGTGTGTGTGCCTTCTTTTGGATTGAATTTTTTAATGATGATTTTTTATCTTCCTTGTTTTCTTGTTAGTTACAACTTTGCTGTGTTCTTTTAGTGGTTGTTTTAGCGTTTACAGAATTTTTTTCTTATTACTTAAATCTATTAAATCATGCTGTGATTTGGATATTTGACCCATCCCAAACTCATGTTGAAGTTTTGGTCTCCAGTGTTAGAGGTGGGGCCTAATGGGAGGTGTTTGGGTCATGCAGGCAGATCCCTCATGAATGGTTTGATCTTGCTACCGTGTCTTCTGGGTAAGGAGTGAGTTTTTGCTCTATTAGTTCCCAGGAGAGCTAGTTGTTGAAAAGAACCTGGTACCTCCTTTACCTCTCTCTCTTGCTTCCTCTCTCACCACCACGTGATCTCAGCACACACTGCTCCCCTTCATTTTGTGCTGTGAATGAAGTAGCCTGAAGTCCTCCCCAGATGCAGATGTTGGTGCCGTGTCTCTTGTACAGCCTGCAGAACTATTACCCAAACAAATCTCTTTTTGTTATAAGTCACCCTGCCTTAGGTATTACTTTATAACAACATGAATAGACTAACACAAATAATTAAATATTTAAAGTAAAAATAATAACAGTGAATTGCAAGTTTTTAAACAGAAATAAAATATGAGACAATAACACAATAGCTGAGGGAAAAGAAATGGAAGTACTAGAAGTGAAGTAGTGTAATATCACTAACTGGGGTTGCTGGCCACTTCAATCGTCAACTTAGTTGAATCAAGACTGAATTACAGCTCTAGAAAGGCTCAGTTTATATCTGGTTCACCCCTATCCTCCCTAAGTTTCAATTAGAATATTGGTGTATTCTATGTGGCCTCTTATCCTGGTGAACCAAATTCTAATCTTTGGCTTATAAGATACAGAAGAATCTTGTTTTGAATTTAGTAAGTTTGTTATGAAAGCTTTTAGAACCCTTTGGGTTTTTTGTTTTTTTGAGATGGAGTCGTGCTCTCTCCCCAGACTGGAATGCAGTGGTGTGATCTCAGCTCACTGCAACCTACATCTAGGTTCAAGCAATTCTTCTGCCTCAGCTTCCTGAGTAGCTGGGATTACAGGCACGCACCACCATGCCAGGCTAATTTTTATATTTTTGGTAGGGACGGGGTTTCACCATGTTGGCCAGGCTGGTCTTGAACTCCTGACCTCACGTGTTCCAACTGCCTTGGCCTCCCAAAGTGCTGGGATTACAGGCATGCACCAACATGCCAGGCTAATTTTTATATTTTTGGTAGGGACGGGGTTTCACCATGTTGGCCAGGCTGGTCTTGAACTCCTGACCTCACGTGTTCCAACTGCCTTGGCCTCCCAAAGTGCTGGGATTACAGGCGTGAGCCACCGCACCTGGCCAGAACCCTTCTTAATGCAGCTTCAGTATTTAGCAAATGTCTTCAGAAAACAAACAAACAAACAAACAAAAAACAGCCATGGGCCTGAGGCCTTGTTATGAACCTGTGTTAAGGCCCCAGCATAAGGCCCCCAAAATTCATATGTTGGAGTGCTATTCCACAGTACTTTCGAACATGACCCTATTTGGAAATAATATTGCAGATGTAATTAGTTAAAATGAGGCCATACTACAGTCACGTCAGCCCCTAATCCAGTATGACTTGTGTCCATGTAAAAAGTAGAAATTTGGAGACAGACATGCACACGTGGAGAATGCCATGTGAATATGAAGGCAGGAATTTGGGCGAAGCCTTCTACAAAGCAAGAAATGCTACAGATAATAAGCAAATCACCAAAAGCTAGAGGAGAGGCATGAAATGCTTTCTCCCTAAGAGCCATCAGAAGGACTCAATCCTGCTAACACTTTGATCTTGGACTTTAGTCTCCAGAACCCTTAGACAAAAAATTTCTGCCTTAAAGCCATGCAGTTTGTAGTACTTTGTTGCAGTAGCTCTAGCAAACTAATACAGGCCTTAATATGGTTTGGCTGTGTCCTCACCCATATCTCATCATGAACTGTGGCTCCCACAATCCCCATGTGTCATGGGAGCAACCTGGTGGTAGCTAATTGAATCATGGGGGCAGTTACCTCCATGCTATTCATGTGATAGTGAGTTCTCACAAGATCTGATGGTTTTATAAGGAGCTTTCCCCCTCTTTCGCTCCACATTTCTCCTTGCTGCCACAATGTGAAGAAAAACATGTTTGTTTCTCCTTCTGCCATGATTGTAAGTTTCCTGAGGCCTCCCCAACCATGCTGAACTGTGAGTCAATTAAACCTCTTTCCTTTATAAATTACCCAGTCTTGGGTATGTCTTTATTAGCAGCATGAGGATGAACTAATACAGGCCCTCATTCTCTAAAATCTCAATTTGTTTTTTTGATCCCCTCAGGGGGTACCCATCAGGCTTTTCTTTTGATTATCATTCTTCTGCATGTGCCCAGAATCATCAAATGGCCCAAGGACAGAAGCAGCTCCAGAAGCCCAGCTCACCACCCTGATTCTTCTCCCACTGGAACCTTAACCTCTTCATTTCTTGTGGCTTCAGAAGGTCTTAGCTTCCTCAAGAAAGTTGATTGTTATATTTTCTTTGGTTTTTCTACTTGTTCTAAATCAGAGTGCTTCCCTACTTACAGTTACTCCATCAGACCCACAGAAGTAGTTCTCCCCCGTTCATTTTATAAAACACAATTTCCCCACATCTTTCTCAGTCCTTCTGATTGTGAACCACTGATCTAAATTATACCAACAAATTTCTGGCATCTCAAATCATTTTAGCATACGCTACAATAATCTTAAGTTTCAAACAACTGAACACACACTTAGAATCACTTCCAGCTACCTTGAGCCAGTTTTGTGAATATAAATCACTGGTAAATATATTCAGGCAATTTGTACTATGTGCAGCAATCTGTGATAGGAACTGTTGGTGGAAAATTTTAAACACTTCTTTCAGTAATTGTTATAACTTGGGAAAACAAATTATTGAATAACCAAATTAACAACTTCTGAACACAGCACAATTAAATTGGAAAATAAAAAATAATGACTAAAAATAGCTGAAAATACCCCTTAAACACTTTGGATTATAAGATATCCCTTTATATATTTCATGGAACAAAAAATATCATAATGGAAATTTTAAAAAATGAACACTAAATTATTATAAAATAACATATATCTTAAAATGTTACAAAAGTAGTATATTTATACCAAAATTATAGACTTTAGTGCCCAAATTGAAAAAAGAGACATAAACCAAGAAGAATAAAAAGTGAATTCCAAGAAGGAAAAAATGCAAAAATTAATGAATTAGAAAACATATAAATAGGAGATCAAGAACAAAAACAAAAACAAAAACAAAAACTTTGGTTCTTTAAAAATACTAATTAAATAGGCGATTTTTTATGAAGACTACATAAAAAAAGAGAATAAAAATATTCTTTTAAAATGTTCTGAAAGAGAATATAACAGAGCATGAGATTAAAACATAACATGAGATTAATATAAAAATTTCATTGCAATAAACTTGAAAACTTGGACAAATGGTTAATTTTGTAGAAAGTATAATTTACCACAGCTTACTCAAAAAGTATAAATGACTAGCCTTATAATCACTATTTCAATCAATAGTTAAAATATACTTACAAAATAATTCAATCATAATGCTTTTACTGGAAAATTGTTCCAAATATTCAAATAACATATATTTTTAGTTGTATACAACTCTTTCACAACTAGAGTGAAATGTAATCCTCCCCCATTAATTCTATGATGGAGGTAAGTCTTGATGGCAAAACCAGATTATAACAGTCTTAGAAAGAAAAAGTGTAGATTTATTTCACTTACGAATTTAGATGTAAAATACTGAATAAAATACTAGCAAGCTGAATTTACTGATAAATATACATATATATCTATTATACTTAAAATACATATATTTGTTATATATGCATTATATACTTTTACTGATACATATACATACGTATATTTATGTATAAGACTGGTGTATTCTGTGACTCCATATCCTGGTGAGAACCAAATTCTAATCTTTGTCCTACAAGGTACAGAAGAATCTTGTTTTGAATTTAATAAGTGTGTTACTAAAGTTTTTAGAACCCTTCTTAATGCAGCCTCAGTATTCAGCAAATGTCTTCAGGAAAAAAAAAAAAAAAAAAAACATGGGCTTGAGGCCCAGTTATGAACCCATGTTAAGACCCTGGCATAAGGCCCCCAAAATTCATATGTTGGAGCGCTTGTCCACAGTACCTTTGAATGTGACCCTATTTGGAAATAAGGATATTGCAGATGAAATTAGTTAACATAAGGCCATACTGGAGTCATGAGGGCTCCTAATCTAGTTTGACCTGTGTCATGTAAAAAGTAGAAATTTGGAGACAGACATGCACACATGGAGAATGCCATGTGAATATGAAGGCAGGATACATATGCATATGTATCAGTAAATATAGATGATAAATATAAACATCACTGAACTAGCTAGCTTCCTAGAATCTCGTGCTCTCTTCCAATTCAGTCACAGATATATAAATTCTGGAAATAAATAAATATTTATTTGTATTTCATCTAAAACAAAACAATTCAAATTCTTCCCAGGCATACAAGAATGGTTTAACCTAGTAAGTACTCAGTTGACTGACAGCAGCTCTACCTCTCCCTTGGAACCAGTGAAAGGCCAGCTATTAACCAACCTTGCCCTGTGAATCTTGCTTAAGAGAGGATTGTGACAGCTCTAATCTGGGGTGTTGGGGTGATTTTTTTGCTTGACCCACCTCTGCCTGGCTCTCTTGGTTACTCAGCAAAAGCTGATTTGGCAATCACAGTCAGCCAGTCCTGTCTCCCACCTTTGGGAGCCACTCTTGTTCTCCCTTGTTTGTCCTCCAGCTTTTTCCTGATGAAATGTGTCATATGCTATTTCACATTATTTTTACTGCCTTCAAATCTGGTGATTTAGTTATCAAAATTTTAATCAGCTCAAATATGAATATTTTCAGTTTGTGATATTGAACAGTGCCGAGACCACCTCGGTCGGGGAGACCCTAACCCAGCGGCACTAGAGAAATTAAAGACACACACACAGAAATATAGAGGTGTGAAGTGGGAAATCAGGGGTCTCACAGCCTTCAGAGCTGAGAGCCCCAAACAGAGATTTATCCAAGTATTTATTAACAGCAAGCCAGTCATTAGCATTGTTTCTATAGATACTAAATTAACTAAAAGTATCCCTTATGGGAAACCAAGGGATGGGCCAAATTAAAGGAATAGGTTGGGCTAGTTAACTGCAGCAGGAGCATATTCTTAAGGCACAGATCGCTCATGCTATTGTTTGTGGCTTAAGAATGCCTTTAAGTGGTTTTCCGCCCTGGGCGGGCCAGGTGTTCCTTGCCCTCATTCCCGTAAACCCACAACCTTCCAGCTTGGGCGTTAGGGCCATTATGAACCTGTTACAGTGCTGCAGAGATTTTGTTTATGGCCAGTTTTGGGGCCAGTTTATGGCCAGATTTTGGGGGGCCTGCTCCCAACAGAACAGCAAAAGCATATCAATTATAGTATTCAAAATCTTCTAGATTATATCTACATGTTGTAAGTCATTTTAATAAAATGATGCATAAATGAAGTTTGTTTCCTAAGACTTCACATCTTTACTTCACTGCCAATGATCAAAAAAGGTGAAGAATTTCAAGTGTTTATCTTTGTATATCCTATTGACATACCAATTTAGCAAGTCTAAATCTCAGGTTTCTCTCCCTCTTGCTGTCAACCTTACCTCTTCTGCATTTCTGCATAAATGGGTAACACACCATTTAACCAGTCCAGAAAGCCACAACTCATCCAAGGCCATACTCTCTTCCTCAGCCTCCGATATCACATTAGTCACGAAATCCTATACATTCTATCTACTAAACATCACTGAAATTCCTTTCTCTCTTCTTTAGTATCACTGCCACTATTTCAGATCAGGGGGAACTATAGCCATAAGCCAAATCTGGCCTACTGCTCATTTTTGTATGGCCTGAAAGCTTAAATTTTACATTTTAAGTGGTTGAAAAAAATTTTTTGAATAATATTTTGTGACACATACAATTATATGAAATTCAAATTTCAGGGTCTGTAAATACAGTTTTATTGAAACATATCCATGCTCATTCATTTATATGTTTCTGTGGCTATGTTCACACTACAATGGTAGAATTGGCAGCAGAGACTCTAAGGCCTGCAAAATCTAGAACATTTACTCTATCTGCCTCTTTACAGAAAAGTATGCCAACTCTGCTTTTGGGTGATGATCCAAGCATTTCTTGTCTGGGCAGTCTTTAAGAATCACCTAATTGCTTTCTTTCTCTCTAGAACTGGCCTTTCAATGATCCATCTCCCACCTTCAAGAACAATTTTCTTAAGGTGTATATTTGGAGAGACTATTCCCTTTTATATAATTCTTCAATCACTTTCCAACATCTCTGTGAGAATTAATCTAATTAAATGATCAGTTTAGTCTATCTTTTCCATCAGGTTATTATGAAAAATAAGATGTACTCAGTGTCTGATGTCCTTCTAAACAGCTTTCCGTTGGAAAGCTTAGATATTTGCTAATGTCAAGGTACTATTGTTATCTAGCTGTCATGGTTAATTTTATGTGTCAACTTGACTAAGCCATGCAGCGCCCAGCTATTTGGCTAAACATTATTTCTGGGTGTCTCTAGATGAGAGTAACATTTGAATTGGTAGACAGAGTAAAGCAGTTTGCCCTCCTCAGTGTGGGTAGGTGCTATCCAATCCCTTAAGGGCTGGAACACAACAAAAAGGCAGAGGAAGGAACAATTTGCTCTCTGCTTGATAGTGTAAGCTGGGACATTGAGCTTCTTCTGCCATTGAACTGGGACTTTTATCATCTATGTTCCTTGTTCTCAGGCCTTTGGACTTGGACTGGAACTACACCACTGGCTTTCTTGGGTCTTCATCTTACATATGGTAGACTTCTCAGCCTTCGTAATTGTGTGAACAAATACCTTATAATAAATCCCTTTCCTTCTCTCTCCACACACACACACACACACACACACACACACACACACACACACACATTTAGATAGATAGATAGGTAGATAGATAGATAGATAGATAGATAGATAGATAGATAGATAGATGATAGATGATAGATAGATAATCCTTCTGGTTCTGTCTTTCTGGAGAACCCTGACAAATACATTACTGACCTTAAACTATTCTTCAAAAAGTAAAACTCTTTAGTCAGCCAAATCTAACACCATGTTTATTAGTTGGCTGAATGTTTGAGACAGAATCATGGCGTACCTCCATGAAAATAGTAATGAATACCTCAGCATGATGGCAATTGTTATTCATGATGTCTCTACCAATATTTTAATAAGAAAATTGGGAAGGTTCACACAGACCTGCTCTACAGTGTAACTTACTAGCTAGCAAGACCCTTGACAAATATGACTACATTTTAGAATATAACATGAAGGATGAGTGGAATAAACTATTATAGTATCAGTCTGGTATTAGTTGGCTCTTTAGAATGTTCCTGAATTATTGTCTTTGGTTTACTCTATAGTTCAAAGTATACCACTGGGTGTCCAATTGAGTGACATAGATTTTAAGTTTATTTTCAAATTAAGAAGCATTTATCAAAATGGAATCTCCTTGATGCCAAATATACTAAAAAGTTATCTAGATGTTTCAAAATCATAGCAAAAGAAAAAAGGAAATGAGAGAGAACAAAGCCAAAGATGGCAACAATAATGTTCTTGGATGATGTTTTTGAATACTTTATTGGATCATGGCTGGATTACTCTCCTGCTAAAAGAACTGTCAATGTAGTCTTCCAATTAATATTCCAGCATACCATTTGTATATTTTGTCATAGCCTGAAATTTAATAAATTACACACAGAAGCAATACAATACAGCAATACAAACCTGTTGTGACATGGTTACCCTTGAGGCCGGTGATATCCCTTCTTCCTCCTCACACCTGTATTGTGATAAAGAAGTTCCACTCTTTAAAGAAAATGTGCTCCATATACAGCATGGAATATTATGCAGCCATAAAAAAGAACAAAATAAAATCATGTCCTTTGCAGGGACATGGATGGAGCTGGAGGCCATTATCCTTAGCAAACTAACACAGGAACAGAAAATCAAATACATGTTCTCACTTGTAAGTGGGAGCTAAATGATGAGAATACATGGATACATAGAGGGGAGCAGCACACACTGGGTCCTTTTGGAGGGTGGCTGGTGGGAGGAGGGAGAGGATCAAGGAAAGTAACTAATGGGTACTAGGCTTCATAGCTGAGTATTTAAAGAATCTGTACAACAAACCCCCATGATACAAGTTTATCTATGTAACAAACCTGCACTTGTACCCCTGAACTTAATATAAAAGTTAAAAAAAAAGAAAAGAAATTCCACTCTATCAGGAAGCCAAAACCTTCAATAGCTTAAGCTTATTCTCTGGCAAGTAAATTTTTATCTGCTCATTTAAATCGTAGAGTGGATTGAGGCACTTACCTTATTAACTCAAGAATAAAGAAATTAAAGAAATACACAATCTAGTAGAAAAAAGTGATGAAAAAATTCTCACGTAAAACAAATCCATGCATATTGGGTTTTGCCATGTTGGTTTTGAACTCCTGGGCCTCAGCCTCCCAAAGTGCTGGGATTACAGGCGAAAATGACATTATCATCGTAACTACTAGCATATTGGTAAAGACAGATGAATTCATGTGGGAAATACAACATGAGAATGATTAATAATTACAGTGAAATATTGATAAAGCTTACAATGTAGAGAGAAGATTAAAAATAGCTTTGAAAGTTTGAATTACTCTTTTACTGAATACTGAATACTAAGTTCTATGTCAGTCTACGTTACTTAACACATGTCGTAATTGCTAATATTTATTAAGCGCTTACAATGCGACAGGCTGACACTGACAGGCTATGGCAGACTAAGCACTTCACATTATGAACTCATGGATAACGGTACTATTATTTCCCCATTATTAATTTCCAAGACATCTTCATTTTACAGATGAGGACATTGAGACACAACGCTATTAAGTGGTAGAGGCAGAATGTAAACCCAGGTTGTCTTATTCAATGGTGCATGTTCTTAGCCATTTGAAAATATTACCTCTTGAGTAAATTTTCATTATATATTTATTCATCAAGTGAACGAATGAATCAATCTCTGTCCTTTTCATAAGATTACTGCCCTTACAAAAGGTCAGAGAAGCTAGCTGCCTCCCAGTGCTTGCTTCTCTTTGCAAGATGAATTTGTAATCTTGTGGTTATTCAGAATTATTTGTCATTCTTAAGCCAAACGCTATAAAGGGGAATAGTATTTTTGTCTTTGAGACTTGATACCCTTTATAATTAACATGACTACATATAGGGATACTAATTAGATTGCTATAAAACCGACGGCAATGCCAATGAGCATACGTATTGATACTTAATAGCATGGAATGACAGAAACTAATGAGTCAGAATGATTCCCAACGCAGAGAACGTAGAGCTATTGAAAAACTTAATCAAGTAAATGAGGTACTGATTAAGCCATTGTTATAAAGTTTGGAATGATTCATTTACATTAATCTAACTTCTCATTTTTTTTGTAATATATAGAATAATTTTGTGTTTAGTTTTAAAAAAATTTCATTTTTTTACTTATGATTTTTTCATTTTTATAAGCGAGGTGGAAAGAAGACCCTTGTGAAGTAAATTTTTTTGGCATTCACTAAAAAAACTGTAAAACTTAAGGTTTATTTTATTAAGACTGGGAGCCAGATGTTCTTGGCTGCTTACCAGCGTTCCAAGTTATGTTTATTCATAGAAGTTTAATACCAGGAAGAGCAATCAAGTGACTCATGAGGTGGGAGTTCTGAGTTAGCAATATTCTTAAATGTAAATTAGGCAGTTTATTTATTGGAAAATAAGAAATCTTAAAATACTTAAATTAAAAATTAAAACATAGGCCAGGTGCAGTGGCTCACGCCTGTAATCCTAGCACTTTGGGAGGCTGAGGTGGACGGATCACTTGAGGTCAGGAGTTCAAGACCAGCCTGGCCAGCATGTTGAATCCCAGTCACTACTAAAAATACAAAAATTAGCCAGGCGGTGGCATATGCCTGTAATCCCAGTGACTCTGGAGGCTGAGGCAGGAGAATCGTTTGAGCCTGGGAGGCAGAAGTTAGAGTGAGCTGAGATCGCGCCACTGCACTCCAGCCTGGGCAACAGAGCAAGACTCCATCTCAAAAAAAAAATTATACAAGTAGACATTAGGCAAACACTGAGAGTAAAGTAAATATGGAAATAACATTTCATTTGGTGCCTTTATCTCAAAGCATATCTTTAAAGTAACTACTAGCTTAAATCCTTTAACTAAACTTGTCTTTTTTTTTAGTCATTTCCACCAAGAAATAAAAAGTCTACTTTTATTTAAGTTATTTAGATTTTCAACAAAAGTTTTTTGAATAATTGGATGATTCTTTAATATTCAAAAAGGTTAAAAAACTGCTCAAAATTAAATATTAATGAATGAAATAGTAGTTTGAGTTTATAACATCAAGTAATTATCCTGATAGTTTTTTTTTTGTCACTATTTAGAAGCTTGTGTAGTAGACACTAACATTAACTTGTAGGTACATGTTTGTATTTTACTCTCTGTCAGCTTTAAACAGTTTAAGTAGAAGTATAATTTTTAAAAAATGATCATATAAAGTGTTTTTAAAGTTCTGAATATAAAGTTAATCTATATATTTAGAAAACTAAATGACACAGAAATATTTTTATTTATTTCATTTTTTTTCTTTTTTTTGGAGACAAGGTCTCACTCTTTCACCCAGGCTGGAGTGCAGTGGTACAAACACAGCTCCCTGCAGTCTCAACCTCCTGGGCTCAAACGATCCTCCCACCTCAGCCTCCCAAGTATCTGGGACTACAGGTGCACACCACCACATCCAGCTAATTTTTGTATCTTTGTAGAGACAGGGTTTTGCCATGTTGGTCTTGAATTCCTGGGCCTCAGCCTCCCAAAGTGCTGGGATTACAGGTGAGAATGACATTATCACTGTGGGAAAGAAACAAGAGCAGAATTCAGGGTTGCCAAGGTTTCTAGGATTTAAGGCAGAGTCCCTTATAGGAAGGAGCTGCACATAAGGAGTCTCAAATATGCATTCAGCTACACATGCCCAGAGCTAGATTCTGGCAGAACTAGCAGGGTATAGCTACATGAGGTTGGAGTGCTTGGCAGAGATTTTAGGGGCCTCAAAGTTGCAGGAGATTTTGAAGTTTGGGCTCAGAAGAGAGAGACCTAGGTAAACACCTTGTACAAGAGTAATGCTTCTAGAAGAGAGAGCAAAACTAATATAGAACCTTCCTAGTAAAGGCTGACAACAATATCTGACAGATGAAGATAATAAAACAATAATTTAATTGCCTGTCAAATTTTAAAAATTATAATACTCCTTATAGGAAGGTGAAATAATCTAGAGTCTCTACAATGTATCATTCAAATTCCCTAGTGTACAATCCTAAAAATAGAAAAATTCAAAGAAACAGGAAAATTTACTAATAATGAAGACATAAAATAGAAGTAGACACAGAAATGACCAAGATATTGGAGTTAACAGAGAAGGACTGGAAAATATTTGTGATTAATATGTTAAAGAAAATAGAGTAAAATATGGACAAAATGAATAAGTGTTGGAGGATTTCAAGAGAAAATTAGAATATATTAAAAACCAGGCTGGGCGTGGTGGCTTACCCCTGTAACCCCAGCACTTTGGGAGGCTGAAGCGGGCGGATTGCCTGAGGTCAGGAGTTTGAGACCAGCCTGACCAAAATGGTGAAACCTCGTCTCTACTAAAAATACAAAAATTAGCCAGGCATGGTAGCAGGCACCTGTAATCCCAGCTACTTGGGAGGCTGAGGCAGGAAAATCGCTTGAACCCGGGAGGCAGAGGTTGCAGTGAGCTGAGACCGGGCCATTGCACTCCAGCATGGGCAACAAGAGCGAAACTCTGTCTCCAAAAAACAAACAAACAAACAAAAACCAAATAAGTATCCCAAAACTTAAAATGCAGTATATTTAATTAAGACCTTATTATTTGAGTTTTAACAGTAGACTGGAGAAAACTGAGGACAGAAAGAACAAGAAGATAATCAACAGAAATTATTTAACGAAAGTATTGAAAGGAGAAAATAAAGAAATTGACAAAACAGAACAAATAGAGTGTAAGAAACATGAGAGGTGCTAAAAATGTCTAACATGTAATTAGAGTCCCAATAGAAAAGAAGACAGAAAATAGAATCAAAGCAATAGTTGAAAAATGACTTGAGAATGGTGACATAATTGAATGGACAGATGTAAAAAAAATTTTTTAACAACTGCCAAGTAAGAAGGATTCAAAGAGAACCATATCAGGCATATTATAGCCAAAGAAAAACTCTTCAAATAGATACAGAATAAAAATGACTTATTACCTTCAAAGCCACAAGATAAGATTGATAGCAGACTCCTCATCAGGAATTCTGGAAGCCGTAAGACAAAGGAAAGACTTCTTTAAAGTGCTGAAAGAGAAAAACCTGCAATCTTAGAAAAGGATTTTTTCTTCCAAGAAAGAAAGATCTTTTTGGATCACCTGGTTAGGGGAAAGCTATGTGCCATGTCATGAATATGCTCCAATTTTCTTATGAAGAGGCCCATGTGGAAAAGAATGGAAGCCTCTGGCCAACAGCCAGTAAGGACTGAGGCCTTTTTGCAGCAGTCATGAAGATCCTCCAGCCCCAGCGAAACCTTTGGATGACGATTGCCTTGGCTGAAAGCTTGGTTGCAACTTATAAGAGACCCTGAGCCATATCACTGAACTTTCAAATTTCTGACTCACAGAAAATATGAGATAATAAATGCTCATAATTTTTAAACCAAAAAACATAATACACACATGCACAAAATCAACGTTTTTTTTAGAAAAAAAATGATAAAATTGGTCATCAGTAGACCTGTACTTCAAGAAATACTAAAAGAGAGTTTTTCTGGGTGAGAAAAATGAGCATTATATATTCTAGACCTAAAAATGCCTCTATACTTTATTTGGGAAGATTAAATTTGTAAATTAAGCATAAAGCTTTAAGATGTTGATTTATCTAGGCAGAGAATTCCAGATGACTACTATTGACCAGTGAAGTGACAGATATTACAGTCACATCAGTCTTGTTTTCCATCTAAATACTGAACATGTATCCCAACATCTGGACTGCTGTCTTTGTCATAACTATTTTTTATTTGCCTCGCAATTAAGCACATACAGCAGACTAGAAGGTTATAGTCAACTCTTGATTATTCTCAAGTTATCGGCCTAATTTGATTTACCCATGTTAAATCTTTCTGTAACATTCTGTTGACACAGAAATGTGCCGTGATTATAACCTACAGTCCTTGAGTAGGGGATATGTTTACTTACTTAAAAAAAAAAATGTGAGTGTTCATGAGAAGGTAAGCCAGAGGGAAATAAGTTTTACAGGAAGATAGCTCTGTAGTCTTTTGCCTGCAGGAAGTATCCAGGAAAAAGAGGGCAAAATACATTGCTGAAAACTTTTCAATGCATTGTTATTTAAGATCTCACCATGGTACTTCATTATTTGGTATTAAATATTAATCCCAAGAACAATAAAACTATCCACAGTTTTAATTTAATATTATAAACGTTTCTGTTTTTCCACATGAAGGTGAATAACTGAATGTGATCATGTACATACATCATCTTCGTTTGTCTCTTCGTTATTTCTGGTCTCCAGATATTCAGGGATCGAAGAAATAATCTACAATTTAATGAGTTGAGTCTATTCCAAGAATAAGAATCAATAAGACAATTTTACATTTATTTTGTAGATGTGTCCATGAAGAAAAGTTAGAGTTATCCTTTCCTCCTCTATCCCCTCAGTTGCCTCACTTTGTTCATTTGTTCCTCCATCAAGCACCCAAAACTGATTTACTGTGCTGATTTCTCAAGATTCTTCACCGTGGAGTCCCACTTGGGTCTGTTCCTCCCTCATAAGTTCCCCTATACTATACTTATCCTTCAATCATCTGATCAAAGAACTATTTCTGTTATCTATAGACTAACTAGGCCCTGAAAAAAAATCACTTAATGTGTTGCTTCTCCCAACTAAAATATAAATTAGCAAAGACTTTCTTTAGACCATTTATTAGCCCTCAGTAATAGAGGGACTTTCCAAAGATAATATAGTAGTGAGAAAGATATTAGGGAACAAATGGGTGTTTGGGGGCTTTGAATCACACAGGTTAATGACATTTTTTCTAAGTGAATGGAACGTCTGAAAATTTTTGTATTACCAATGAAAAAAGAAATTAAAATTAAGAAAATAATATTTTACATCCAAAAATATGAAATATATGTAAATAAACTAAACAAAATATGTTCACAAGCTGCACCTAAAACTATATAATTTTAAAATATCACTGAAAGCAAATAAAATAAATGGAGAGCTACATAAAGTTTATGAATTAGAAGACTCATTGTTATGATGTCAATTCTATCCAAATCGATTTACAGGTTCAACGTCATCCTAATCAATATCTGTACAGAATTTCCTTTGTAAAAATTGACAAGCTCATTCTAAGATGTATACGGAAATGCAAAGGACTTAGAATAACCAAAACAAATTTGAACGAGAATGAAGTGCAAGGCTAATACTATCTGATTTCAAGAATTATTCTAAAGCTAGAGTAATAAGAACAGTTTGAAGTGCCAAGGCAATTTGATCGTAAAAGGATGGACTTTTCCCACATGAAAAAAATAAATTTTAATGGTCACCTCACATCATACACAAAAACTAACTCTAATGTATTATATACCTGAATGTAAGAGCTAAAACTATGGAACTGCTTGAAGAAAACACAGGAGGAAATCTTTGTGCCCTTGAATTAATTACCAATTTTTATTTTTGAAAAATCAGCTGACATTTCAAATTGGACTGCACTGAATCTGTAGATCAATTGGGCAGAAATGGCATCTTAATAATGTTTACTCTTCCAATCTATGATCTCACTATGTCTTCATTTACTTTACTTCTTCAGTAGAACACAAAACGGACAGATCATTTAGAAAAATGGATAAATCGAACTGCATCAAAATTTAGAACATTTGTTATTCTAAAAACACGATTAAGAAAATGAAAAGACAAACCAAATACTAGGAGAAAATATTGGCAGAATACATATATGATAAAGAACTTCTCTTCATAATATATAAAGAATTATTACTACTCAATTACAAGAAGACAAACAACTGAAATTTTTAAATGGGCAAAAGTTTGAATAGACACTTCACCAAAAAAGATATATAGTTGACTACATGAAAAAATGTTCCACATAAGTAGTCTTCAGGCAAATTTAAATTAAAACCATCATGAGACACTACTACACACTTACACTACAATGGCTGAAATAAAAAATTCTGACAATAAGTAATAAGTGTTGGTGAGGATGTGAAGCAACTGGAATTCTGATAACATTTCTTGTGGAAAGGTACAATAGTACAACCAGTGGAAACTAGTTTGGCACTTTCTTATCATGTCAAATATATACTTGTCACATGACCCAGCAATTCTACTCCTAGATATTTACCCAATCTGAACAGGAACACATGTCCACACAAAGCTTAGTATGCACATGTTCATAGTAGCTTTATTCATTAATATCTCCAAACTGGAAACACCAAGTGTCCATCATATGGTGATTGTATAAGTTGCAATATATTCAAATAAAGAAGTATTATTCAATAGTAAAAGAAATCTGAAGAGCAGTATATTAAATAAAAGGAGTTGGACACAAAGACTACATGCTCTATTAATCATTTGTGTGAATTTCTAGAACAGATAAAACTATAAAAAATAGAAAACAGATCAGTGGCTGACAGGGAGTGGGGGTGAAAAGACGGGATACACTGAAAAGTGGTATGAAGAAATGTTCAGGGTTATAGGAATGTTCTATATCTTGATGATGATTTGTAAAAAGACATTAAATGTAAAAGACATTCGATGTTTGTTTGTTTTGTTTTGAGACAGAATCTCACTCTGTCACCCAGGCTGGAGTGCAGTGGTACCATCTTGGCTCACAGCAACCTGAGCCTCCTGGGTTCAAGTGATTCTCTTGCCTCAGCCTCCCAAGTATATGGGATTACAGGCGTAAGCCACCTCACCCAGCTAATTGTTGTAATTTTAGTAGAGATGGGGCGTTTCTCCGTGTTGGCCAGGCTGGTCTCGACCTCCTGACCTCAGGTGATCCACTCGCCTTGGCCTCCCAAAGTGCTGGGATTATAGACATGAGCCACCGCATTGGGCCATAAAAGACATTAAATATTGAAAGACATTAAATACCTACTTAAATGGAGGTAAATTTTACTGTATATAAATTATCTCAATAAAGAAAAAACTTTACAGACAGAATAAATTGTTGGGAAAAGTATGTATAACTGATGAATCTTTGAGGACTAGAGAGTGTGTTTAAGATATGGAATGTAATGGCTAGGATGGCCTGGAGAGGATGGTTAGGGTCAGGTTGCAAAGACGTTTGAACTTTTTTCTGTAGTAGCCGGTGAGAAACCAATGGTAATTATGAAAGAGTATTATAAGCCTAGGAATGACATGACCATATATTTATATTTGACTGTGGTTAAAGTATACATAATGTAAAACTTATCATTTCAACCCCTTTTAAGTGGCATTAAATAAATTCACATTGTTCTGCAACCATCACCACCATCTATCTCCAGAACTTACTCATCTTCCCCACGTGAAACTTCTACATCTGCTTTTTTTTTTTTTTTTTTTTGTAATGAAGTTTGACGGTAGTATAGGGATTGTGTTAAGTAGGGGGATCATAGATACAGACCAGTTTGGAAGTTTATATGAGAGCTGGGACAATGAGTAATGAGCATTGGTACAGGGTAACAAATAATCAGATAAGGGGAGGAGAATGAGACATATTTTTGAGGTGGAATTGACATGATGTTGCTACTGATAGTAGTGAATAAAGAAGCAGCAGTGGTCAAAGATATCTGTGATATTTTTAATCATAGGTTGGACAACTGGGTAGAAGGCAGAGTCATTAAGTCAGATACTCAGAATGCAGAAAGATGGGTAATAGGATAAAAATAATGAGTGTAGGATACACTGAATTTCCGGGGCCTTAAAGCCATCAAGGTAGAGAGGCCATCTAGGTAGAGAGGTAAAGGATGATGATGGATTTAAGAGCCATTACCATAAATACGATGGATTGGATCTTTTGGAGGATTCTATCATTATTTAATATATGGAAATGGATATAAATTAAGAAAAATAACAACAAAAAAAGAAATATAATGAAGGAGGGGCTTTAAGGTGGCTGACTAGAGGCATCTAGTCCTCACCTCTTTCACAAAGAAGAACCAAAATAGTCAGTAGATAATCACATTTCAAATAGATCAACTAAGAGAAAGCATGTAATTCAACAGGGAAGTGACAGGAAACACCAAAATCAGGGAAGGAGAGAGATGTAAGGCAGTCTCCACAGCCTGGAGCAGCTGGGAGCTTGGAAAAGCTCCCTAATGTAAGGGAAAGGTAAGTGGGTGACTCCCAGTGGTCCACATTTCCACCATAGACTCCTGAGATTCTAGCCACGGGAGAGCCTCTTGATCACATTGGCCCTAAGACTAACACAGCCACCACCACCACCAGTGAAAACTGCTTAGGTCCTGGAGAGTTGTTCAACCAATGCTACTGCCATTAGTCATGCCAGAGCTCTGACCAGGGACCTGAGAACCTGCCCATTTTCCCAGCCCACCACTGCCATTCCCAGTACCCAAGTCAGCCACTTGGAGGCCCAAGAATTGACCTATCTAGACCAGCTAACACTGGTGCCAGCACATGGGACCCTGGGGCCCAAGGACAGACATTCTCAGCCTGCTGCTGCCACCACTAAATCCCAAAGACTGGGCCACCTGGCATTCCAGTCACTAGCAAAATATTATCACAGGCCTCCACTAACAACCACACCCCAAACCACCAAGAAAATCATAGACATCACTAATGCAGTTTATGGCTGAATAAATTGTGCAGAGACTACAATACTACAGGCAACCAGAATAAAAGCCAAAGTGCCTTACCCAGCCACACCATAGACACATCTTCAGGGAAAAGTCCTCCCCTGTGAAAGCAAATTCAAAAAATTAGAAACAACTGTTACACCAGTCATGCAGATATCAACATCAGAACACAGGAAACATGAAAAAGCAAGAAAATATGATACCTCCAAAGAAACAAAATAATTCTCCAGTAACAGATTTCTATCAAAAAGAAATTTATAAAATCCCAGAAAAATTTCAAAATAATCATATTAAAGAAGCTTGGTGAGATACAAGAGAATTCCAAAAAAAAGTACAAAGAAATCAGAAAAACAATTCAGGGTATGAATGAGAAATTTATCTAAGAGATAAATATCATTAA
Source organism: Homo sapiens (assembly GCF_000001405.40). Lineage (NCBI taxonomy): Eukaryota > Metazoa > Chordata > Mammalia > Primates > Hominidae > Homo > Homo sapiens. Next base: position 137,443,457 of record NC_000006.12, on the reverse strand, counting down.
CAAACAAACAAACAAATAGGAATTCTGGACCTGAAGCATTCATTGAATGAAGTACAAAATACATTCAATAGCTGTAACAACAGATTAGACCAAGTGAAGAAAGAATCTCAGAACTTGAAGACGGGTCTTTTGAAATAAACCGTTCAGACAAAAAAATTTTAAAGAATAAAGAACAATGAGCAAAGCCTATGTGACATAAGGGGTACCATAAAGTGACCCAATTTTCAAATTCTCTGTGTCTCAGAAGGTAAAGAGAAAACAAAAGAGTTGGAAAACCTATTTAATGAAATAATAGATGAAAACTTCCCCAAGTCTAGCAAGATATTTATACATTCACATACAGGAGGCTCAGAGATCCCCAGATAGATACAATTCAAAAAGATCTTTTCTATGGCACATTACAGTAAAACTGTTAAAAATAAAAGACAAAAAGAATTATAAAAACAGCAAGAAAAAAAGAAAGTCTAGTCACTTGTAAAGAAACCTCCAACAGGCTAACAGTAAATTTCTCAGCAGAAAACTCACCAGGACAAGAGAGAATGGGATGATATATTTAAAGTGTTAAAAGGAAAAACTGTCAGCCGAGGATACCATACACAGTAAAATGAAGAAGAAATAAAGTCTTTCCCAAACAAGCAAAAGCTGAAGCAATTTATCATTACGAGACTGGCCCTAATGGTATCTATCATCATGAAAATGCATGAAAATATAAAAACCACTGGTGGAGCAAACACAGAAACAAGGAATAGACTCAAATATTACCACTACAAAAAGCCACCAAGCCACAATAATGAACAATCAGAGAGTAAGAAATGAACAATACAAACCCAAAATCAAATAATAGAAGGATAGCCCCTCACATATCAGTAATACCTTGAATATAACTGGATTAAACTTTTTCACTTAAAAGATATAGACTGGTTGAGTGGATTTTAAACTATATGCTGCCTACAAGATATTCATCTCACCTGCAAAGACACATATAGACTGAAAGTAAAGAGATGGAAAAATATATTCCATGCAAATAGAAACCGAAAGTTAGCAGGAGTATCTATACTTATATCAGATAAAGCAGACTTTAAGTCAAAAACAGTAAAAAGAGACAGTTATTATATAATGATAAAGGGATCAATTCAACAAGAGTTGAACATATATGCACCCAACACCAGAGCACCCAGATATATAAGGCAAATATTATTAGATCTAAAGAGAGAGATCGACTCCAATACAATAATAATTGGAGACTTTAACAACCCACTCTCAGTATTATACAGATCATCCAGGCAGAAAATCAACGAAGAAACACTGAATTTAAACTGCGCATTACACCAAATGGACCTAACAGACACTTACGGAACACATTGTCCAGTAGCTACAAAGTAGGCATTCTTCTAATCAGCACATGAAACATTCTCCAGAATAGATCACGTGTTACAACACAAAACAAATCTCAATAAATATTTTAAAAATGAAAATCCTATCAAGTATCTTCTCAGACCACAATAGAATAAAACTAGAAATCAATAACAAGAGGAACACTGAAAAGTGTACAAATGCATAAAAATTAAGCAACAAGCTTCTGAATGAATGAACACTGGGCCAAGAAGAAATTAAGCAGGAAATAAAAAAATTTATTGAAATGAGAAAACTGAAGCACCACATACCAAAACCTAAGCAATACAGCCAAAAGAGCACTAAGAGGGAAGTTTATAGCAGTAAACGCCTACATCAAAAATATGAAAAGATTTCAAATAAACAATCTAACAATGCACCTCAGGGAACTAGAAAGGCAAGAACAAACCAAATCCAAAATTAGTAGAAATAAAAAAATAATAAAGATCAGAGCAGAACTAAATGACATAAAGACTGAAAAACTATAAACAATCAACAAAAGAAATAGTTGATTTTTAGCAAAGATTAACAAAATCAATAAATCACTTGCTGGATTAACCAAGAAAAAAGAAAATAGACCAAAATAAATAAAATCAGAAATGAAAAAGACATTACAGCTGATACCACAGACATATGAAAGATAATCAGACTATTAAGAAGAACTATACACTAATGCATTGGAAATCCTAGAGGAAGTGGATAAATTCTTGAATACCTACAGCCTACCAAGATTGAATCAAGAAGAAATAGAAATAGAAAACTTGAACACACAAATAATGAGTAATGAGATTGAATTATTACTAAAAAGTATCCCAAGAAAAAGAGTCCAGATTATTTCACTGCCAAATTCTACCAGGGTTACAAACAAGCACTAACACCAATTCTCCTCAAACTATTCCAAAAAATTGAAGAAGGAGGAATGTTCCATAACTCATTCTATGAGGCCAGCATTACCCTGATACCAAAACCAGATAAAGACACAACAAACAACAAAACTAGAGATTGATGTCCCTGATGAACACAGATGCAAAAATTCTCAACAAAATGCTAACAAAATAAATCCAGCAGCACATCAAAATATTGATGTCATGTTCAAGTGGGATTTATTCCAGGGATGCAAGGATGGTTTAACATATTGAAATCAATAGGCCGGGTGCAGTGGCTCACTCCTGTAATCCCAACATTTTGGGAGGCCGAGGTGGGTGGATCACCTGAGGTCAGGAGTTCAAGACCAGCCTGGCCAACATGGTGAAACCCCATCTCTACTAAAAGTACAAAATTAGCAGGATGTGGAGGCTCACGCCTGTAGTCCCAGCTCCTCAGGAGGCTGAGGCAGAAGAATCGCTTGAACCCGGGAGGCAGAGGCTGCAGTGAGCCAAGATCATGCCACTGAACTCCATCCTGGGCAAGACAGAGTGAGACTCCATCTCAAAAAAAAAAAAAAAAAACCACAATAAATATGCTATATCACATCAACAGAATGAAGGACAAAAACCATGTAATCATCTCAATAGACACATGAAAAGCTTTGATAAAATTCAACGTCTCTTCATGATAAAAACTCTTAACAAACTAGACACAGAAGGAACATACATCAAAATAATAAAGTCCAAATATGGCCTTTATGTGACAGACCCACAGGCAGCATCATACTGTATGGGGAAAAGCTGAAAGCCTTTCCTTTAAAAACTGGAACAAGACAAGAATGCCCACATTTACCACTCCTATTCAGCATAGTAATGGAAGCCCTAGCCTAAGCAACCAGGCAAGAATAAGAAATAAAAGGCATCTAAAGTAGAAAAGAGAAAGTCAAATTATCCCTCTTTGCTGATAATATGATCTTATAACTACAAAAACCTAAAGATTCCCTTAAAAAACTCTTAAATCCCATAAATAAATTCAGTAAATTTATAGGATACACAATCAACATACAAAAATAGTACAGTGTTATTGGTGTACTTTTTCTATACACCAATAATGAACTAGCTGAGAAAGAAATCAAGAAGGCAATCCCATTTACAATAGCTACAAAAAATAGCTGGGAATAAATTTCACCAAGGAAGTAAAAGATCTATACAATAAAAACTATAAAACACTGAAGAAAGAAATAGGAGAGGACACACACAAAATGGAAAGATGAGAGGAGGTTGTAAAGCCTGTGACCCCTAGTTCAGGACACAATAAAGGGAAGACAAGGGTGAGGTGTATGGGGGGTTGTGGAAAGGAATGTGTGGAGATTCGAAGCTGCTGGAAGGCAAGGTGGGCCTAGGGCAGGGCAGGGTGGGGTAAGGCTGTGAAAGTTGCTTTCTGAGAGCAAATGGCCAGAGTAGAATGCCAGCTTCTGAGAGGGCACCTGGGGAAAGTGCACTGACACACACCCTGCATTTGGGAGGCAGGCTTTCCTTGGGCCTGATCCATATGGCCTGTGCCCAGTGAAATTTTGGCACAAAGACAGGATAAGCTACCCCAGGGATGGATTGCCTGTGGGAGGCATAGGAGATGACTTGAGTTTGGGGGCCAGGTGACTGAAATTTAAGTTGCATTCCACTAGAAGTAGGACAGTGAGATCTAAGAGAGAGATGATGATGAATTTTGTTTTGTATCTATTGATTTTAAGTACAGAACTGAGGTATTATTGCAGTGCAGTAAAGATTAAGTGAACCAGTTCTGGGCAAAAATGCCTAGGCTCAAGCGTTGGTTCCCTTTCTGACTAAATGTGTGAGTTTGGGCTACTTATTTAACTTTCATATATAAGATGAAGATAATAATAGTGCCATCCTCAGAGTTTTGTTTAAGATGGAACGAGTTAATACACAAAGTTAAAGTGCTTAGAACTGTTGGGCTCAGTAAAATTTAAATTGGATTATTTGTAGATAGTAGAACATCAGCTGGCAGTATCCAGTCAACAACTGGCGATACGGCACTGGAGTTTAGTGTAGAAATTAATGATGGAAATATGAACTGTTTTCATATAGCAATAGTAGTAGCCACACATTAGAAGAAATGACCAGTAAAATCAAAATGACGAAAAGGAGAAGCAGACCAAGGCTAGAACTTGGAAGAGAGAACTTAAGTTTCCATTTTCAGTGTCATCACAGTTTAATACTATTTTTTCCTCACAAATTAATAGGTGCATCAGTTGCCATGTTTGTCTCTAAAAAGTGATTTAATGTTGAGTTATTTTGTATCATAAGAGATATTTACCTAGTCCAATAATTTAATTTTACCTTTTATGATGTCATGTATTTTTAGTTCATTGTGAAAATTTGTCCTGTATGTATTTTATATAAGCCAATAACTAAGAAATTTGACTGGGTAGAAACTTGGGTTGGTTGGTGATTGTGATAACAAGAGAGTCTGTTATGTAACACTAGAGCTGACTTTTTCCATTTTAGGCTGTTCATAGGAGAAAACAAACAAAGGAAAGAAATTCCATGTTCATTGACTGGAATAATTTGTATTGTTAAAATACAAATTACCCAAAGTGATCTACACATTCCATGCAATTCCTATCAAAATTCCAATAACATTCTCACAGAAATAGAAAAAAAAATCCCAAAATTTGCATGAAACCACAAAAGAACAAAAAAAAGCCAATCAATCCTGAGCAAAAAAGAACAAAGCTGGAGGCATCACACTACCAGACTTCAAAATATACCACAAAGCCATAATAACCAGAACAGCATAGCACTAGCATAAAAAACAGACATATAAACCAATGAAACAAAATAGAAAACCCAGAAATAAATCCATGTATTTACAGCAAACTGATTTTTGACAAAGGCATTAAGAACATGCATTGTGAAAGAACAGTCTCTTCGGTAAATGGTGCTGGGGAAACTGGATGTTCATATGCAGAAGAATAAAACTAGACCCTTGTCTCTCAACATATAGAAAAATCAACTTAAAATTGATTGAAGGCTTAAATGTAAAATCCAAAATTGTGAAACTACTAGAAGAAAGCAAAGGGGAAACACTTCAAAACATTGGCCTGAGCAAAGATTTTTTGAATAAGTCCTCAAAAACACAGGCAACGAAAGCAAAAATAGATAAATGGGTTTATATCAAGCTAAAAACCTTCTGCATAGCAAAGGAAACAATCAACCAAGTGAAAAGACCACCTGCGGAATGGGGGAAAACATGTACAAACTATTCATTTGATAAGGGATTAATATCTAGAATATATAAGGAACTCAACAACAGCGAAAAATATTTAAAAATGGGCAAAAGATTTGAATAGACATTTATCAAAAGAAGACATATGAATGATCAACAGGTATATAAAAAAAAGTTCAACATCACTATCAGGGAAATAAAAATCAAAACCACAGTGAGATATCACCTTGCCTTAGAATGGCTATTATCAAAAAGACAAAAATAACAAATGTTGGTAAGGATGCAGCAAAAGGGGAATTCTTATGTACTGTTGGTGGGAATGTGAATTAGTCTAGCCATTATGAAAAACAGTATGGAGTTTCCTCAAAAGACTAAAAACAGAACTACCATGTGATCCAGCAATCCTACTACTGGGTATATACCCAAAGGAAAGAAAATCAGTATGTGGAAAGACATCTGCACCCCCATATTTATTGCAACACTATTCATAATCACCATGTTATGGAACCAACCTAAGTGCCCATCAACAAATGAATGGATAAAGAAAATGTGGTTTACATACACAAGGGAATACTATTCAGCCACACAAAGAATGAAATCCTGTCATTCACAGCAACGTGGATAAGCCTCGAGGACATTATGTTAAGTGAAATAAGACAGGCACAAAGTTAAATGCCGTATGTTCTCACTCACATGTGGGAGCTGAAAAAGGTGATCGCATGAAAGTAGAGAGAATAGTGGTTATTAGAAATTGGAAAGGGGAGAAGGGGGTGGGGTATAGAGAGAGGCTGGTTAATGGATACAAAATTACACCGAGATCGGAGGAATAAGCTCTAGTATTCTATAGTACTGCGCAGTGACTATAGTTACCAATAATTTTTTGTACATGTTCCAATAGCTAGAAGAGAGGATTTTAACTGTTCTCAACACAAAGAAATGATAAATGTTTGAGATAATGGATATGCTAAGTACCTTGATATGATTATTACACATTATATGCATGTATTGAAATGTCACACTCTACCTTATGAATATGTACAATTATGTGTCAATTAAAAATAATAACAAAAAATTTATTCTCTTGTCAGTTTTCAAATATATAACATGCTATTATTAACTATACTCACCTTGCTGTGCAATAGATCTCAAAAATTATTCTTTCTGTCTAAGTGGAACTTTGTATACTTTGAGTAGAAAAAACCAAATAGAAAAATGTGTGAAGAAGTGAAAAGGCATTTTACAGAATAGGAAACTAAAATGGTTAACAAGTATTTGAACAGATGCTCAAATTCACTAATAATGAGATAAGTACATGTTACTACAGTAATGAGAAGCGACATCACATTCATTAAAAGTTTTTAAGTGCCAAATGGAGTATGCAGAAAAACAGAAATCCTATCTTGCTAGGGACCACTGAGTAATCATCTGACTATGCCCTAGAACCTTTACTCCCGGTCTATAATCCAGAGAAATTCTCATTCGAGATGATAAGGCTCATGTACTAGAATGTTTTGGGCCTTCCCATTTCTTTTTTTAACATTTAAAAAATATCATTAAAGAACTACTACTATACGACATGAAAATATTTAAAATTCACAAAAACATATTATTAACATTTTGGGTTATCTTCTTTTAGAGTTCTCTGGTTACTTTCATACTATTTTAATTTTTAAAAGCAAATTTGCTATCAAAATTTGAAGACTGTTCTATATTCTATTTTACTTTACTTTTCCTATAGTAAAGTATATTTGGTATCTATATTTCTAGAATGAGATTTTTAATCATTACATATATCTTCATATTTTATTTTAACCATTAGATTACATTTCCATACATTGTAATTATATTTCTTCTTTTTATTTTTTCCAGCTTTACTGAAGTATAATTGACAAATCAAAATTTTATATATTTAAAGTATACAATGTGAATTTTTTTTTTTTGAGATGGAGTCTTGCTCTGCCATCCAGGCTGGAGTGCAATCGAGCAATCTCGGCTCACTGCAAACTCTGCCTCCGGGTTCAAGGGATTTGCCTGCCTCAGCCTCCCAACTAGCTGGGACTACACTAGCCCACCACCATGCCCGGCTAATTTTCGTATTTCTAGTAGAGACAGGGTTTCACCATGTTATATTGGTCAGGCTGGTCTAGAACTCCTGATCTCAAGTGATTGGGCTGCCTCGGCCTCCCAAAGTGCTGGGATTACAGGCCTGAGCCATGGCGCCGGGCCACAGTGTGATGTTTTAATGTCTGTATACATTATGAGATGATCACCACACTCAAGCTAATTAACATATCCATGCCTTCATATAGTCACCTTTTTGTGTGTATATGAGTGTGTGCAGTGAGAACACTTATACCTACTCTGCAAATTTCAAGTATACAATACAGTATTATTAACTAAAGTCATAGTCACTTGGTTGTATATTAGATCTGCAGAAATTATCATCCTGCCTATAAAAACTTTGTACGCTTCCACCAACATCTTCCCATTTTCCCCACCCTTAGTTGCTTGCAACCACCATCCTACTCTCTGCTTCTATGAATTCAACTTTTTTAGATTCCATATATGAGCGAGATCATGCACTACTTCCTTCTGTCTGTTTTGTTTCACTTACCATAATGACCTCTAAGTTCACTTTAGCGTTGTTTGTGATAGCAGAGAGGTGGAGGCAATCCAGCTCTCCATCACTGCAGGAATGGACAAAATAAGATGTGGTGGATGTGCATCAGATTCTACCATGCAGCCATTAGGGGCAATGAGCTAGATATAAGCAGGACTAAGATTTTTACCTTAGTACTCTGGAAGAAGAATAAAACACAGAAAGAAGTCCATAGCCCATTGTATTTTATACAAATAAATACATCCAAATCAATAACACTACACATTTCCCAAGGATATATACAAATTCAAGGTTATAGACCACGCATATTAGAAAAGTTTTCTGTGACAGGAGAAGAATGGAAAATGGAAAGGACAATCAAAAGAATAAATAAATAAATCATGAAAGGAGCCCAACAAGGGTGATAGTGTGACTTTCATAGAGAGATGTGGTTAATTCAACCCTTTTCACCCGAGTGGGATGTGTGGCATGCTAACAAACATGGGTGAGATAACGAGGGTTCAGGAAATCTTACTTTCCATTTCTGTCATTGTTGTTGCCTATGGTCTGATTCCTTTCTCTTAATGATGCAGTAAAGAGGTAGCAAATACAGCAAAGTGCTTCATAAGTCAGGCTCAGGCATTAGTCAGTCCTTGGTCAAAATTCTAACTCCAAATAATTATTAACTACCTTCTTTCGGGCAGTTATTTTCTTAGGCACCTATCCTCAGTTGTCTCATCTATAATCTGGTGTTAATGATACTGAATAAGAGTTTTGTGAGTACTAAATTGGAGAAGACATATAAAGCATTCATTCACTGTAGTCTCTGGTATCAATAATTGCCCAACACGTGTTGGTACTAGTTTTTTTTTTTTTTCATTCTAGAAAACTCAGTGACTTCTGGTTACCCATTTTTATTCTTCTCTCTTTTAACATTTTGATCAATGACTTGGATAAAGACAGTCATGCCATCCCTGTCGAACTGGGAGACAACACAAAATTGAAATGGCAGAATCAGATTTCAACCCACAAACTAAAATGATGAACTGATGTCAATAAGATAATACATAATAGGGATTAACATAAAGTTGAGTATTAGATCTAATCCAGAATGATGAGAACTGAATAAAAGCAACACTTAAAAAAATAAGTACTCAAGGGTTTTAGGACAACATGAATCCACAGAGCAATGAGGTTGCTGTTGAAAGAGTCCACATGTGCTTAGATTACATCCATAGAGTTAGGTAGAGTCCTGCTTTAATTTCCACATGTGAGGAATTTGTTCCAGGGATCACACTCTGAGAGGAAGGGTAACCAACGAAAGAATATTTGGAAGAAAGGGAGAAGGGAGGGTGGGAGGACTGGAAACCCCAAAATGAAGAAATGCTGAAAGAATCGAGGGTGCTGTGCTTGGTGAAGGAAAGCTGAGGTTAAGCACTAAAGGTGTCTTCAAAATTATTAAGACGGGATCAGACTTACTGCAGGGATCCACTCACTGGAGTCAGCGAATGGAGTTTTACAGGGGCAGATTTCAGCTCAGCGTAATAACTACATTTTCAGTTGCCAGCACTGACAGACTGGAGGGGGCAACTCAGCAGAACAGTGGAACCATTCGTGAAGGCACCTATACAGAATCTGACAATTCCCTTACCTAGGAATGTCATCCAGGAGATTCCCAGAAAAAGTAGAGGATGGCACTGGATAACTTCTAGGGCCCTCCAATTCCAATGCTGAATTTTCAATATTCATTTCCAAGTGTTTATCACCTGCCAGGACCCAAGAACCTTCTAGCATGATCCCTAGAACAACGTCCTGACTTGTGGAAATTGGAGCAGGACTCTGCCTGACTCTATGGATGTAATCTAAACACACGTTGACTCTTTTGACAACCTCATTGCTCTATGGATTCATGTTGTCCTAAAACCCTTGGGTTTTTTCTTCACATGTTGCTTTTATTCGGGTCTCATAAGTCTGTATTTGCCCTAATACCCACGGAGAATATGTTTCTGAGATTGCAATCTATTCAGCATAAGGTTTTGATATTGATTTTTACAAACACATGTATTTCATGAGCCAAGAATGCCTGTATATTTTTCAACTACACCCATTTTCAGATTAGTTTTATACTTTCATCTAAATTAAATGAATTACTTTTTCTCTCAACATTTTTATTTGTGCTCTACTACTGTTTAATAGTCTCTCTGTCAATATACTGAAGATATCAGGTTGAATACAACTAGTTTGATTTAATTAAGGAATAGCTTCAATCATGCATGAGATGCATTGAAATTTCATAACTGTGAAAGATCAAGTAATTTGTTAATTCCAATTCCTAAAACTCCTCCTTCCCATTGCCAATCATTGTCCAAGTTGGGAGTGGGAGGGGAGATTATTTCATGAAGCCATGACCACTTGCTTTAATGCCTTTATCTAAAAGCTTTCTTCAGCGAGTTGTTTGGTAGCCCAGCCAAATAGGCCATGTGTGACAGATATTAGGTAAACTGGCCTCAGGGAAGGAGTGTGCTTTGCACACTAGTTGGCGGTTTCCATAGTACTCTCCAGGGCTGAGATAATAAGCAATCCAAGAGCAGGAACCTTATCTTGTACACTTTGTATCCCTCCCACCTCCCACCACAGCCCCTGGTGCATAGTAGGCAGACAATATGTATACTGCCGGAATGAGTGAATGAGTGAATATGAATAAACGAGTGGATGGATGACGGCGGACAGATGGCACCAAGGAAGAATTTGCTCTCTGCTTTAAGTCAAGCATGTCAGGGTTCAGCTTCAGTTCCTGGGCTCCATTTCTGCCTCTCACCAGACCAACTCCCCTCTGCTGAGCTTGATGAGCATGATGCCTGTGGGTAGAATGTGTTCTGGGGGGGATGATAGCTGCCTGATATGAGAGATGATATCAGAGATTAGTTAACCATATGGGCTGAGTCCCAGGGGAGGTGTGTGAAATGAATCAGATTAAACAAAATTGATAATGTGAATGCTTAATCAAACAGACAAAGGTAGTCTGTGCAGCTAATTAGGGGCAAATAGAGCGTCCCTCTTGTACCTCATTTAACTGACAAATTGTGCAGACAGTTTTAATGGGAGTCTGTTTAGCAAAGAGAAGGCTGTATAGTTGACAGCTTGGCAAAATGTGGTTTCTGTAACACCACATGATGCTTATGGAAATTAGCCTGGTGCAGCTGAGCTCTGAGCAGTCCTGGGTTGTGCAAATCACAGCAAAACCGACCTTTCACAGCCTGCTGGTCACTGCAATCTTAAAGGCAACGAACTCGCTTTTTAGTATTTTGAAAGGTTGAAGGGTATAGACTCCAAACTTAAATGAAATCTGCTATTACCACATCCAATGCAGAAGTCAAGAAGTAATAAGAGAGAGACAGAGAGACGTCCTGATGAGAGAAGCAGAATCACCCTTCAGATGGATGCAAAGTGGTGGCATTTGCAGCTAGGTGCATTGACAGACCAAGCAAGGCAACTTCGGAAGAACAATGTAGGCTGCTGAAGCTTCAAAAGGTTTAGAGACATTGTACCAGAATCTTTTGGCATTTTCACCATGGTCTCACCAACATCTCAGCCTTTTGCTTCCTTTCTGCCTTCCAAACCTCAGTAGGCCCTATTCCTTCTCCTTTTGCAAATGACAGCACCTTCCTCTCTGATATTGTCATGTCTTTGGACTTCTGCTATTGGAGACTGTGAGAGAATTCCTGGGAGCAAGTGCTCTTTCAAGAGGAGACAGCACATGCAGCTTGTGTTGGTTTCGTAGGTTCACAGGGAACAGAGCTCTCGTGGGCCTGGTCAGAGAAGGAAAACTTGAAGCTCCATTGGCCATACCTGTCATGAACAGCACCATTTGCTGCTCCATGGAGAACTAGGGGAAAAGAAACCTAGCATTGGTGTGGGGACTTGGGGTTCTGGGGGGCTCTCCTGTGGATTTGGATCCCCTAATGTTGTGTGTAATGCTCAGTTGCATGGAATTAGGCATTCCAGGGATAAATGGAGTTGCAAGGTTTGCATTAGCCTGTGTGCCAGCGACAGGATGTCATTGTCTGAACACAGGGACTGGAACTCGGGGTTGGATTCACACTGTGGAGATGAGCTTCCCCTTTCTTGGGTACCCATGCATGGCTCACAGTTTCTGTCCCACTAAAGGGAGTAAGGCCATGCATGAAGAGTATTCTTTTAATGAAGTGATTTTTGTGAATCACTCCACCAGTCAAACATGGTCCCTTCCGGAAAATGAACAGTTTTGCATAAAACGGTCCATTAGTGTCAATGGAGAGGGTCTGACCTCTCACAGAGGAGAGGGCTCCTCTGTAAGCCTAGTCAAGTGGAACTTCTGGGTTTGTGCTTAGACTTGAAGACTATGCCTGCCTCTCTACCCCAGGAGATTTTACCCTATGTTATTATGCATTAAATGCAAAAGCAGGAGTAATTCTACTTTCAGTTCGGGATGAATACATTTAGCAAAGTTGAATAAGTACTTTAACACACCCAAATGCTCATGATTTTAAAAAATTGTTGTAAGTAGTCTATTTATTAATTTTCATTGTTTTAAACCAGAAGAATGACCATGTTTTTAATCACATCAAAGCTACACACATACTCAAAACTGTATTGGCACTAACACAAATCAAATTTATTCTTCACTTTTTGCCCTGAAGTTTAGGGGGTCTTTGCTTTCTTGATCAGTAGAGGCAATTGAAGTGGCAAAACACATTCACTGGAAAAATGGGAGATATTATTTGGAGTCATTATGAAAACAACTTGTAGGTTTTTAGATTTTTTACTCTGTTTAAATTTACTAAATTAATTGTTCTAAGGGAAAACTATGGGTAATAAAAGGAAAATATTAAAGAAAAGGAAAGAGATTTTGCAAAGCCAAAAACTTAACTACTGATAACATCCACAAGGAATTCATTCATCTCTAAGAGATTAGCATAGCCTTTTACTTTTGGAGGTTTGACCCTTACCAGACTTTGTTTTTTGATTATAAAAACTTACCAAATTTCTTATTCCTAGACTTTTAACTTCTGCAGGGATCATCAATCTTGTATGATGGATGAACTCTATTATTAAAAGACATAAATGTGACTGTACCTGCATAGAAAATCTGAAATGCAATATTGAAGCAGTAGTTATCAACTTTAGAAAAACATAAAGGAAATAAAATGAAGCATTTTCATTACATTATTACTGATATCATTTATATAGTTCTATAGATCAATTTTACACTTTGATTTACCCCTGTCAATAGCAAACTTTTTTTCCCAGATAGTTTCTCTTTGAAGGAAATGATTAATTAATATGTAATTCAAAAACAATTGAAGGAGGCTAATGATTGAGGGAAGACTTTTGGGCTTCCATTATCCAAAGTCATGGCCCAGGGTTGCATACTCACTGGACTTCAGCTTTGACCTAGATGGAGCCAAAGTCTGTCTTCTTAGATCTACCTGGGGGGCAAATTCATTAATGACAGATTTTTCATTCTGTTTTCTTCAGTGACTTGCCTATAGGAGACCTCTTGGTCAAGACACCAGCGTTCAAAGTGAAGTGACGAAGAGCTCATTACTGAGGGAATGCTGCTTGCACACAACTAATTGATAGCATTCAGGCCTTTCCAAATCCAGCTGGAGCCTAAATTATTAGGTACCACACTTCAGAGGATAACAGCTTCATCACTAGCTTGGTTGTCCTCACCAGGTAAACATGGTCCTTGTATGAGAAGGGATCTCTGAGCCCTGGAGACAGGCCAGGGACTGGGAGGGGAGAAGCAGAGCTCAGCTGGAAGTGGAACTAGGGGAATGAAAGTCTACTAAAGCCAGACCAGCATTCCATGGTTAAAGGTTCTCTGGGCAGCAGGAGCAAGATTAAAATGGGATTAATATAAAGAAGAAAAAGTAAAAAGGCTATTTTGACTCAGGCAGAGTAAGATTGGAAGACTGTTTGCATTTTTGCCTTAAATCAACATTTCTATTTTTTTTTTCTGTTAATAGAAAAAAAAGTTAGACAAAATTACTTGATAGTTCAGGACAAACCATTCCTTCTATCTTTACACCACTATTTTGTTTCACCCATATTTACATTTGCTGGAATGATTCTGGCTGTACAAATCTGATGTTTGCTTACAAAATTCAGCATCTGGATTTTGGCTATCTGGCTATCTGTTGCTTCTAACATCTTTGACTTTAGTCACAAAATAACCTTTCTCCATTCTGGATTTCAGGTCCATGTTTGCACAACAGCAAAACATCTAGATAACAGAGGAGAAATTCAGGCATCCATCACATGATCTTCTTCTCACATAGTAACTTCTCATGTAGTTAATAGTTAATTTTACTTCCTTTATGCAGATTTAAGTGGCAAGTTATTTATGACAACTTTTAGTCATAACACTTGACATGTGATTAGTAAGAAATTATAGGTTCAATTGAATAAGTGATAAATTATCATATATTTTAAATTCTGAATTATTTGCTGAAATTATTTTCCAAAGTATCAAAACAAGTATATGTTTCTAAGACTGTTTTTGAACCAAATAATTTTAAATGTTTATTAAAATCACAAAAAACATACAGAAAGCGCTAATTTGCTCTCTAACCTTTCAAATATCAATTTGGTAAAATGTCCCACATTTCATCTTCAGAAATTATTTAGTGACAAAATGCACATTAATTTCAGTAAAAAACATATTCAATGAATGTCAGTTCTTTAAAATTATAATTGTTTGATTGGCTGCATTTTTTTTTTTTTTTTACTTTTTGCCATCAGTGTATTGGTTGTTCCAAGTAAATCTGAAGAACTCTCATAAAAGTAAGCTCTAGGTCAGTTTTTAAAGGAACATAAAACATAATATCCAGCTCCAATATTAATGAGTCCTATCAGATAGTGCAACTGCCCTTTTTAGGGGCTTGAATCTTTTTCTACCATCTGAAATGACAAGCCATTCTGCCACCTGGATGGGTTCCAACTATTATCCTCATGTATCATAGTGTGAGAGGGAGGGGGAGGAATGGAGAAGGAAAAGGCATCTGGAAGGCCAGAAAATTCACTTTGGTCAAATAGTAAAGAGCTTCTAAACCATTTTTTTCTTCTAACTTTCAGATGCTTCACTGTTTCTGTCATCAGCAAATCTGAAGTTTTCCTGGACCATTTCATCAACCTGACACAACGGAAGTGGGAGTGGACCGCTGGTCACTGTCCACACAGTGCTGCTTGAGTTAATTGATAAACCTCGCCTCTTTATTATCAGCGCTGGCCTTCTGTCTACAGCCACACAGCCTATTGCCCCTCCAAGGCACTGAGATTTCCTTGTGGAATTCTAGCAGATATTGGAAATTTTGGTGGCAAATTAGCAGGGGCCACAAACCAGAAGTGACAGCTCCAGTACCCTGATGGGGAGAATGTAGCAATACCTTGCCCACAGCAATTGGCCAGGCTTATCATATGGACTAATCACAACAGATCTGGGGAAATAATGGGCACCAGATGTTATCGCTTTGTAGGCTGGAGCTCTCCAGAGACGACAGCCATGATAGGAAAGCTTCCTCAAAACAGGAACATGATTCTGTCGCTTATTAATCAAGCCAGGAGGCTGGGTGTGATCATCTACTCCTTCCTCAATGCCATGGTTTCCTTCTGCTCTGTTAATGAATAGGGAAACAGTTTCTGTGTGTGGTGTGTGTGTGTGTGTGTGTGTGTGTGTGTGAATCTGGATGTGTCTATCACACATGTACACATAAAATTCAATTTACTATCTATAAGCATGCTTCCCAGAATTAAATTTTTTTCTTGAATCAGTTATATTCAGCATTGGTATACTGAGGACTCTCTTAATTAAGTATTTATTTTATTTATCCTAATTACCCTCAACTTTAAGAAGATTGTATATTTTTAACACATTACGTGATACAAATGGAAAAAAGGACTGGCCGAGGCAACATGGCGAAACCCTGTCTCTACCAAATATATATATATACATATACGTGCATGTGTGTGTGTGTGTGTGTATGTGTGTGCATGTGTGTGTGTGTGTGTGTGTGTGTGTACATAAATTGGCCAGGCATGGTGACATGTGTCTATAGTCCCAGCTACTCAGGGACTGAGGTGTGAGGATTGCTGGAGCCTCAGATGCTTGAGGTTGCAGTGAGCTGAAATCACACCATTGCACTACTGCACTCCAGCCTGGTTGACAGAAGAAGACCCTGTCTCAAACAAAAAAAAGAAAAAAAAGAAAAATGATGAAACAAATTCTCATTTCTACCGGCCTTCCTGACTTCTCCATGGATATTTAGCACTACAAATTTAGCTTATTAGGAAAACTAAACCCATCTTTTCCCTTCAAGCCCTCCCAATTTCACTTACGGTCCTACTTACATGAAAGCCATCACCCCGCACCACCCCCCCATTTATCTAGACCTAAACTTGGAAGTCACCTTGTACTGCCCTTCGCTGAGTCTGTCTCCTAAAGGTAGAGTCCTTTCCCTTCTCACAGCCACTATCCAAGTTCAGTTTCTCTTCATCTCATTTGTAGGGTATTACTGTAACCTCCAAAATGGCCTTGATTCTGGTCTCTCTCCTGCCCTTGATTTTTGGATTTCTCATTAGCTTCGCATCCCTACATACATCCTCAGCTCCAGCCATGCCAACCTCATGAAGATATCTTCCTCATGGTGTTCTCTCAAGCTCTTTGCCTTGCACTTTCTGTCCTGCCTTGGCTGCATTAAAAGGGGTGCAATACAGGAGGCAGGGAAATAGTTTGGAAGCTAAGCAATTTGTCTGAGGTCACATAGAAAGTAACTGGTAGAGCTCAGATTTGAACCCATGGCTTGCTGCCAGTAGCTTTCTGAGTTTGTGCATTTATGCTGATACAGCAATTGGCATTTCTCCCCTCCTCTTGGATTGCACCAAGGGTCTCTATATGCTGTAGATCTAGGTGGGCCAAGCCAGGGAGACCCTCAGCAACAAATAACCAGTGAAATAAAGGATTATTTCTATGGGTTCCTTTCTTCAGGTTGTAAAATAAGAAAAGCCTTGAGTTCCTCCTTCTTACTCATGCCACATTCTTTCTGTGCCTTCCATTCTCATCTTCTACAATGACACCTGGGCATACTGAGTATTTACGGCTGAAAGAAATCGAGAAAACCACAAAAGCAGAAGAGCACTCTCTGACCCTCTTTCTTTATCTCTGACCTTATTCCACCTTCCTCCCCTGAAGAAGGTCACAAAAAAATTCTCTGGCCTACTCCCCTGAAAGTAGGTCATAAGACCCTCCATCCAGAGCAGTCCTGGAGGTCAAGAAGAATCTGAACAAACAGGCCTTGCTAAGTTCCCCCACGTTTATTACCATTAAATCATACCCCTTTGTCCTCCAATCACACTTCTGCAAGATTGTTCATAAAAATAGTTTTCCCTGGATCTTTGGGTCTTCATTTCTAAAGGTTCCGTGTCACAAAAAACTTATATGAATTAAATTTGGTTATGCTTTTCTCTTGTTGACTTTTGCTATAGCAGTGTCAGCCATGAACCTTGCAATGAGTAAGGAAAACAAGTTACTTTTTCTCTCCTACAACCAACAGGAAAGGGTTTAAAATTACCTCTCAAGGATCACAAGAAATCTTGTTGAAGTTGTCATTTCTTCCCTATCTGATGGCCCAATTAGAAATTGGCTTTCTGCTCTGGGTGTTCCGTGTTTCTTTCAGAGACTCCTAATAACTTGGTGGAGTGAGCTGGAGGTGAGGACTAGGGAGAAAAACCTCTATGGTCCAATGAAGAGTGGGCGTCTGATACTCAGACAAAAAGCCAGGTTGCTGGGTAGCCTCTCAGGACACAGCCAGTTGGTGGTGCTTTGCCAGTTATTCTGAAGGTGTAGCCCAACTCTTATGTTACACAGAGCAACAACTCAAATATGACTGTCAAGTAGATCATAATCAAGATGTTTAAAAGTATGGTACTGGTTCTTGTGAAATATTTGTAACATGTGGTTCCATTTGCTTCTCAGTAATTTAGAGCTGAGAAAGAAGTTACAGATATTTTCAACCAATGTTTCTGGTTCACAAGTATTTGTGCTGAAAGTTATTTAAAAATTGTAAAGCCTGGCTGGGTGCAGTGGCTCACACCTCTAATCTCAACATTTTGAGAGGCCTAGGTGGGAGGATCGCTTGAGCCCAGGAGTTTGAGACCAGCCTGGGCAACATGTAAAACCTGTTTCTACAAAAAACTTAAAAAAAAAAAATTAGCTGGGCATTGTGGGTGTGGTCCCAGATATGCAAGAGGCTGAGGTGGGAAGATCACTGGAGCCTGGGATGTCAAGCCTGCAGTGGAACCATGATTGTACCCCTGCACTCCAGCCTGGGGGAGAGAGTGAGACCTTGTCTCAAAAAAAAAAAAAAGTTAAAAAAGACTTATTAATATGGGCCTCACAAAATTAGAGTTTATGTTTGTTTGAAACAGTACCTGGGATAAAGCTTAACCTGACACTTCTCTGAAGGGAAAGTTTGCCAGATGCATTACTAGTGTCAGCAAAATTGAAAGAAGCATTTTTCAGTCAATTATGAAAGTAAACTGTTCTCAAACAATCTTAGCAGAAATGCTAATTTACATACAATTGATATGTCACAATCAGATTTCATCTATTGCTAACATATTACCCCCCAGCCAATAAAAGTAGTTTCTTAGAAGCTCCCAGGAGAGAAGCCTCTAGTTCTTTTACTGTGTATATTTGAAAGTAATAAAGGCTTATTTCTTTAGAAGTGCTTTCTTAATCAGACTTTTCCTTAGTTTAGCCAGAACTTCACAGAAAATTAGTCTTTTGCTAGCGAGGCTTCCTGTTACATGAGGTTTTCCATTTGAACACACGGGTGTTAGTGCAAGAAACATCCTGTCTTTCATGTCATTCAAGTGACTGATGAATGTGAAGGGGCTTCTTCCTCAAGTCTTCTAGGTAGACAGCAGAAAGCACAATACCGAGTAGCCAATCCTCTCTTCTCTCATTTCTCAAGGTGGCTTTTAAGGTTGAAAAAAATCCTTCCTTAATTTTCCTTGTTCTTTTATTCTCCAAATTTTCTGATTTTTATTTCCAGATACACACTTCCCCTGAAATCCTTACAAAAACGATAACAAAATAATAAAAAAAGGAAAAAAAACTCATGTGAGATTAAGAAATAGGGATTAAGAAACAGGGAGAGAGGAGTAGAGGAGACAAAAGGAGAGGAGAAGCAAGGGGAGAAAAGAATAGTGGAGGAGGGAAGGGAGAGAAAAAATGCACGAAAGAGGCAAAGAGAATTCAGCTCACATAAAAGGAAGAAAGAGGAGATAGTGAAAACACATGCTCAAAACAAGGTGGGCTGGGGTGAGAAGAGGAAGTAGAAAAATAAAGGAATGATGCCTCAGTAAACTCCTATCAACCTCTGACGGCAACTGTTTTGCATTTTCTGAAAGCTATTTTCTTTTTTCAGCAGAATCATTACCAGTTGTATGGCTTCCCTCTATGTGTCTTTATTCCAACAATTCAAAAGTCAGAAAAGAAAATTATTTTCACATTAGCAACTCATTAAATGCCTCCGTATTTGTAGCTGGCTCTGAATGCATTGTTTTTACACATCTACATGCCTACTTGGAGGTATTGTCAGCCAGGGCATGCAGGCTGGGAGCCCTTCTGTCATGCATATGGGTAAGTGGGTGGGGTGGGGCTATGTCAGAGTCATCCATCATCCTCCATCAATGTCACCACCACCTGCAGAGACCCAGCCAATGGGCAGTCAGTCACTCAGGCCTGACAGCTGGCCATCAGTCCCAGGTGGGGGATATGTCAAAGCTTTCAAGGTATTAGCTACTGGGGAGGCTCTTTTTGCTAAGACCTGTGGGTTCTAGGAAGGTCTCCACCTTCAGAATTATTAAACATATTTGTGATTTTACTCGCCTCTGTGACAACTGGTCAGAGTCAGGCGAGTCAATGGGAAGATTCGCTCTGTATTTACCTAAAATTATGGTGGATCATCACTTAAAATCAAATATTGGGCAGTTAAGGCAAGAACAGTAGGCACTTTCATGCATGGCAAACTATAATGTTTACTGTAGTGTTAGATTTTCATATTAAGCAAGTCTAGACTAAATCATGGCTGCCTAATTAGACAAGGTACTAATGAGTTAAGGCTTTCTCTTTGTCATAAACTGACTCTTCCTCTGAACCCCTAATTAGTGCCTCTTTTTTTAAGTTGAGGTTTATCAATTATACCTTAATATAAAATAAAGTTTATAATCTCAAGTGTACAGTGCTATGACTTTTTGCACATGTACACATCACTATAACCATCTCCCAGATCACAATATAGATTATATGCTTCTTTTCCAATCACATAACTCATAACACCTCACATTACAGTAACTTATGTATATTTTTATCTCTTTCATTGAATTGTAAACAAAAGACAAGGTCCTAGTCTTTTTCATACTTGTAGTTCCTGCAGTCCCTGGCATGACATATGGCTTATAGCAGGTGTTTCACTTTTTTAAAATTGATGAAAAATTATCTATGTAATTTTGAAGTCAGAGTAGGTCTTTAAAAATATCTCATGTACCTAGTATGGCCTTAACAAACAGGAAGCCAATGAAAGAAGAAAATACAAGAAAATGGAATAAAAGAAAGCCTCCCCACTTCCCAATTGCCAACATTTAGTTTCCATCAGCAAATATTTTTTGAGGAAGTGCTAGGTACAGGCTCTATGTTCTCACAATAATCAGTGAACAAATCTCTGCCCTCATGGAGTTTATATTCTAATGGAGAAATGATTGTCCAGTCTTACAGAGAGAGGAGTGTAAGAATTTATATGAGAGATTATTACAAGACAACAAAAAATCCTAGACATATTTGAATTGTGTGTTAGCCAAATTTTAATGGAGTCTGATTTACTCTTCTATTCCATAGAGAGGTCATTGCAATACAAATACTGCTAGCCCAACACTGAAGGAAAGGCAGAAGTAAGAAATCTGCATATTGATTTTAATTTTATGTATGAACACTTTGGTCATGGCATATCAAAACTTAGTCCCTGGATGGAGACTAGTAAATTTAAAATCATTGCCAGTAACGAGATGGACCCAAACCCCATAAAGTGTACTCAGTTGATTGCCAAATGTCCCTATTAATTGATTTTTAGGAAAGTTTTATATTTCTCCAGTAGAATAGTTCTTTTCTATCTCTGCTTTCATTTCTTCTTCCTTGGTCTTAACAAAGTTCCATAAAATGGTATCTACCCTCATAACTCCCATGTGGAAGGAGGCCCATCTTATTTTTCAAGCTAGTCTTGAAAGACATTGTTTAAAAAAAAACTTCAGACAAGTTAAATTTGAAGGAGTATAATTGAGCAAAAAAAAAAGAAATTATTTGCAAATCAGGCAGCCTCCAGAATCAAAGCAGATTCAGAGAGACTCCTGGGGAACCTTGTGGGCACAACAAATTTATAGACAAAAAAAGTAAAATGACGTAAGGAAATCAGCAGTGAGGTACAGAAACAGTGGGATTAGTTACAGCTCCCTGTTTGCCTTATTTGAACACTCAGCAGCCTATGAGTGGTTAAAGTATGGCTGCTGGGATTGGCCAACACTCAGCTATTGTTACAGAGGCATACTCCTAAGTTAGGTTTTCAATCTTGCCTATTAAGCTAGGTTACAGTTCCTCCACAAGAACTCAACTATAGAAGTACGGAGTCCTTCTCAGGCCATATTTAGTTCACTTTAACAACACTGCAGCACATGCAATAGCCTTCACTCCAGAGTCCAAAGGAGTCTGAATCAAGTTATATTTACCAGGTCCAATATTATAGATCCAAGCAGATCTGAGACACCTTCAGCACCGACTGGGCAATCCAGGTTTCCTAGAGGCGAGGCCTAGGACCCAACTGTCCCCAAATTGCTTTACTCCCAGTTCCTGGGTGGGTCCAGTCCTCATGTCTGGGCTTCTCTTTCGGGGGCCCAATTCAGTGGCCTGCTCAGTCTTCCTACAGGTCTGATTGCCCTACCTTGAACTACAATACATCTGTTTGAGATCTGGTTTTTGTCTTCATCTTTCCTAGGTCAGATCCTGTCTGCTGGTTGAAGTTAGGTCATATGTCTGCTGAACTGTCAGAGCACCTTGACTTCTGAATGTGTCTTTTGTCTAATTTTTCCTCTGCTGTTCTGAACCCAGGCAACCAGACCTCCTGGTAGGGACTAAATCACATTGAACAACTGCACCTGGACATACCCAATTGTCTCCCCAGGACAGGGTTTTGATCTGGCTCACAACCAGTGCTTCATCACCTCCAGTTATAGGTAGCTCACTACCTCACAAAGCAACAAATTCTAATTGTGATCTAATTTTAAGTCATTGTTTTCTTAGTATGAGTAGAAATAAACTTTGTTGTTTCCTTCATGCTTTAGTAAAAAATAACAAATGTGTTAGATGTTGAATATTTATATTGTAGTCATTCTGCTAGGCTAAAATTTATGGCAAAAAATAAACGTGTTCTTTGACCTCAAGTTACTCACAGTCATTAGGCCTTCTGAGGAAGATATACTCTTTTTAACAATTTTTTTTCTTTCTTTTTTTTTTTTTTGACATGGAGTCTTACTCTGTCACCCAGGCTGGAGGGCAGTGGCGCAATCTTGGCTCACTACAATCTCCACCTCCTGGGTTCAAGCAATTCTCCTGCCTCAGCCTCCCCAGTAGCTGGGATCACAGGCATGCACCACCATACTCAGCTAATTTTTGTATTTTTGTAAAGACAGGGTTTTACCTTGTTGGCCAGGCTGTTCTTGAACTCTTGACCTCAAGCGATCTGCCTGCCTTGGCCTCCCAAAGTGCTGGGATTGCAGGCATGAGCCACCGTGCCCGGCTTCTTTTTAACAATTATTATTTTTAATTGACACATAATAATTGCACATAATTATGGGGTACAGTGTGATATTTTGATACACGTATACAACGTGTGATGATCAAATCTGGGTAATTAGCAAATCCACCACCTCAAACATTTATCATTTCTTTGTGTTGAGAACACTCAAAACTCTCTCTTTCAGCTATTTGAAAATATACATGATCTACTATTACAACATGTAATAAAAATGATAAAATCTATGCAAAGCTTTTTAAGATCACTGAAAGAAGCAGCTAACTCTGGCTGAGGGATATGAGGTTGGCAGAATCATGCAAGGTTTTACAGGAAAGGTGAGAGATTGCCTAATACTTGAAGAATGAATAGGAGTTTTGCTGACATGGAAGAGTATTAAAAACAAATTGCTCCAAGGGAAGATCATCTCCAAAGCATGTTAGAATTCTTTATGATGAAGGTGACAGACTCCCCAACTCAAATTGGTTGAAGTCAAAATATGAGTAGGTTTGTCTTACATATAGTTCGACTTAAGATTCAAACAATCTTATCAGGATTCTGGCTCCATCTTTCTGTGTCTTTGTCAGTTCTACATTCCTTCGTCTTCAGGCAGGGTCTGCTCGTGGTAACAAAATGACCATCACAGTTCCAGAACTCACATCTGCATCCAACACTCTCCAGGGAAAATGTTGCAAAAGTCTTAGGATTCATTTTTGCTCATGAGATCTAACTGGGTTATGTACACATCTCTGAATTTATCACTGTAGTTAATGGGGGAGTATAAGGTCATAGTTGACACTCCTCTAATAAAAGACAGGTTAGCAAGAGAAAAAATAACAAATTTACTTGACAGAGTTCTTTGGTTTTTTTTGAGACAGAGTCTCGCTCTGTTGCCAAGGCTGGAGTGCAGTGGCACAATCTCGGCTCACTGCAAGCTCCACCTCCCCGGTTCATGCCATTCTCCTGCCTCAGTCTCCCGAGCAGCTGGGACCACAGGTGCCCTCCACCACACCCGGCTAATTTTTTTGTATTTTTAGTAGAGACGGGGTTTCACCAGATGGTCTCGATCTCCTGACCTCGTGATCAGATGGTCTCGATCTCCTGACCTCGTGATCTGCCCGCCCTGGCCTCCCAAAGTGCTGGGATTACAAGCGTGAGCCACCGCGCCCGGCCAACAGAGTTTTTTATGTGAGATGACAGCCTTCAGAAACAAAGACTCAAAGACCCAGGGAAAACTATTTTCATACTTAGGCTTGATGAACAATGGACAGCCATGTAGAAATATGATTGGACCAAAAAGGCGTGATCTAATGGTAAATAATTGAGAGGGAAACCCAGCAAGGCCTGTTTGTCCAGCTTCTTCTCAGCCTCTCTGTGTAGCAATTTCTTCCTCTGGGTATAGACAGGATACCTGTCACATGAGGGTCAGGGTCTTCAGGGAGAAGGTCAGAGAGTGACATTTCTAGGTTTTATGGCTTGCTTTGAGGGAGAGGAGTTCTAGTTTCTATGCCCTGTTTTGGGGAAGAAATGGGGGAAGGAAAAAAGAGGTGAGAAAGATCAGAGAGGATTTCCTGCTTCTGAGGCCCTTCCAATTTCCTTGAGTACAAAGTACTCACTTGGCAAAATGCAGTCCTTTGGAGTATTGTCTTCCGAGCCTCCACAGGAAAAAGCTATTTCAATGGCTTCAGCCAGTCAAGAACTATCCCCAGAACTGGAAGGGGTTCATTCCCATTCTAATCACATGGCAAAGAATGAGAGAGAGGTAAGTTCCTCCAAGGGGTATCAAAATATTGTTGCCAGGAGAAGGGAGAATGAATGGCGGGGAGGCAGTTAACAACACCATCTGTAAAAAGGCAGGAAAGTGTTTTTATGTGTGGTCTTACTACAGAATTGGAAGATTTATAATTTATATTTGGAGGACAGGGAGCATTTGGAGATGTGACTACTGATAAGATTGAAAGGGAGGCAGGAATGCTAATGAGAAGGGCGATGTCGCACTAGTTTAGGTAAACACTAACCTGTTAGAACAAAAAGCCTCCAAACTGAAGTGGCTTAAAGAAGACAGAGATGATCTCTGATTTAAGTAGTAGCCCTAAATAACAACGTGGCTTTGCTCCACGTGATTGTTCAATCAATTCCTTCCTTCCTGTTGCTCCAGCATCCCCTGGGTCATTGACGTTGCGTGGTTGGTTGAAGTTGGGTCACGGACGTATCTACGTTTTAGCTCATGGGAAGAAGAAAGAGACGAAGGTCAGAGTAGCAATTTCTTTTTAAATAAGCGTACATATTACATCGTCCCATTCCGTGGATGAGAACTTAGTCAATGGCCACCTAGCCACAAAGGAGGCTGAGAAATGTAGTCTCTAGCTGGGGGTGGAATGGGTATGTCCAGGATGAAGGGAAGAACAGATTTTAGGGCAAAGAGCAATTTGCCATGGATGATAAAACTCTGGTAGAATTATTCAGTAAACAAAGGAGTAGAATGAGATGATCCCATTTGAGTTTAAGAGATATTCCTTGAGTGTGAAAAGAAGCTAAAGTGAGACAGAATCACCACTTAAGAATCATTCAAATGTGAAATGTTGAAGGCCTGAACTAAGGTCTCCTTGGAGATAAAATAAAAGAGTTGAAATACGTGCCCTCTAAGACCTTTTTTCTCCTCTTCATATCAGACTTCTAAGTAGCTGCTCACTTCCATGGGTCACCAATTCTGGAAAGGTCTAGGCATGTTTCTAAAATGAGCCTACCCACACACATGGACTCAGTGGATGTTAGTAAAACACCAAATGCTGTCAGGAGCACGGACTGAGCTGTTTCTATCATACAACAGGGTAGAGAGCAACTCATTTCTGCTTATTACAATGCAATACATTATTAAATAGTGAGTCAGGGAGGGAAAAGCCGGAGTTCAGCCACTTACTAACTGTGTAGTTTTGGGGAGGATACTTGGGGCTCCCTCTGCCCTTCAGTTTCTTAGTATATAAACATGGAACTAATACTCTCTGAAAGTATTGTGAGAATTAATGAAATCATCTATGTGACAGGCAGGTGCTCAGCAAGGGACATTGGTGCTTGTCCCTTCCTGTCCAACATGTGCTTGTAAATTTACCTTTGTTCTTAAGAACATCTTCATGCCAATATCAGAGGGAAAGAGATTTTTTTTTTTTTTTAAACCTAGAGATGCTCTTCCTTGTCCTGGCCTTCCACCCTGATTCAGGCTGATTCCCCTCGGGGAGCCTAGTGACTGAAGATCCACAAGCTCCTTGCAGCTGGTAGAGGTAGCACATTAGAAATTCATTTTTTCCTGTCATAATAACAAAGTGCAGGGTGGCAGGCTGGGCACAGTTTCGTATGGGAAAACCCACAGAAGGGGACAGCTGAAGGGAGCTGTGCTTTTCTCCGGTATTTCTTGTCAGGGAGAACCATCCTCAAAAGGACAAAAAAAAAAAAAGTCCCTGTTGAATTTGGATGTCTCATTTCCAGGGGCAAAATAGTTCTGCGCTCACAGCCTCCTAGCCTGCTTTTGCTGAATCATCCAGGCTCTTGGGAGTACAATCACTTTACAGGCTTTCCCTTCAACCGTTATCATCCCTCCTCCTAGAACGTCAGTAGCTCAGGGAACTAGACAGGCTGCGTTCTTGATTTGCCTCTGGAAAAATTTCCCAAGAAATTAAATTCCTGGGTTTGTTTCTTAAGCCCTAGAAGTGGCAGTTTAATTGGGGGAAATTTTAAAAACATAAACTGGGTGGGTTTTTTTCTGAACAAATGAATAGATGAATGTAAGTTGGTGATGTATGGGCACTGGGTGTGAGCGTGCGAGTTGTGTCTGAGGCTTTGTCCAAATGTCTCCAGGTATGGTGAAATGCACTCAGGAAATTAAGCCTAGGCCTTCAAGAGGCAAGACGAAACCCAGCTGTGCACAAACAAACAACTGGCCTCTCAGTGGCTTCTTTGCCAGGAAGCAGTGTTTTGTTTAAAAGACATATGGCACGGTATATCAGAAAATAGATGTAAAGATATGTTAGGACCAGTATCTTAGCTAATGAGTAAAGCAGCACTAAAACATCTTCAAACTCAAAGGCAACTTGAAGAAGAAAAGTATTCCAGGCCCCTTAGGGGAACATTTCAGAGAGCAGAGCCGCCTTCTCCACTGGGCCCCAAGGCATGGTGCCCACGATAATTTTAAGGGCCCACAACAATCTGTTACACCTTATCTAAAAGAGGAAAAAAATGTTGACATATTTAAAATTATGTAATAATATGTTGTTATCGTTATGGTGGAAGGGGCCCACGAAGGCAAAAGTGCCCACAGTCCACCAAAGTAATAATGTGAAGAGAAGCCAAAGTTTAAAAACAGAAAGAATATACAAATGAAGAGAGAGAAAATTAGCAAACTTTAATTATTCAGTAGTCTGTCATCAATAATAAAATCTAATTACTTCTATGGAATACAGTATAGATTTCCCCCAATTGATAGACTATTATTTTCATCACTCCAAATATTGATATAAATCAAATCCGACCCTACTTTTCTTGCTGATGTAAGATGAACTGACACGAAATCACCTACCCGTTCAGGTGCTACCTGCTCTCCCTCAGCCTGACATTTTTTACTTCCCTCCAACGTGGGGATGAACTAATGCCTCTGGGTCAGTTTCTGGCATTTATTGTCAACCGGCAGGGGTTGCTAGAGAACAATCCCGGCCTCTCGTCTGTACCGACAGCCCTCAGAGAAAACCAAAGCTTTGGTTGGTAGTTTGGGCTTCTCAGCACCAAAGTAGGCAAAAAGTCTAATTTGCTGTAGAGAAACGGGGCACTTTGAGCTTAGAGATGGAGAAGCAAACACGTTGTAAGTGACGTTTCTTGTTGAAGAAGGTTCTGAGTCTTTGTGACTTGGATGTGAGATCTTCTGTCGGCCGATAGCCGACAGTGAGGAGCGTGAAGTCTCAGTGAGGGGAAGTCTCAGTGAGCAGCGTGAGGAATTCGGCTGATCCTCACTCTCAAGCGAACCTGCAGCCCTTTCCTTGGTGAGTGCTGGCTCACTCAGGCTGCTCTCACGGCGGCGAGGTTCGTGTTTCCTGTGCGCTTGCTTTTGAGTTGGGCAAGATTTAAATCTGAACTCCAGTCTGGCATAGAAAAGAACTCCCTGATATAACTCCAGTAACAACAAACAAACTGAAACTTCAGACGAGTTGCGAGTTTTCTTGTTGAGGATTTAGTAAAATGCTGCCAGGGCTGCTGCCTGGTAACAATGTTAGTAAACTAGTAAATCGCCCGCCCCGGCAAGGATGGCCACTCTCAGCTAAAGGGCCAGTTTCAGAAATTCAGTCTTGAAGTGGCGTTTGCTGTCTTGCTACTGCCTATTGTGTTAAAGAAAGGGTTTTTTTTTTTTTGGGTGAGTTTTTTTTTTTTTTTTTTGGCCTGATTGTAAGTGTTTTGAATGTAAAAGACACCCAAATTCATTAAATGTGTGAAATGATGGGAAAAAAGTGTGAAATTGTAACAGTCGGTTTGTAGTTGATTAATAGAAATCTCTTCTAACAATCCCCAGAACCTTCCGGGGGTCATTGGAACAGAGCAGCTGTAGAGACAGCAGGAGCGGTTTTGACACTGCCCAGTGAGGGCCATGCAGCGTTCCCAACAAGTGGGCAGAGTCCCATGCACTCTGCTCTCTCCTGGCCTCTCCCAGACGATTGGCTGCAAGGTCAAATGAACATGCAGATTAACCAGCAAGGTGCTGCTCTGCTTTTGGTCTTGAACAGGTTTGTCTTTAAGAGACATTATGGTTTCAAATGGATGAATCGCTTGGAGTTAAAAAGACCACTTTGGCCACGGTTAACTGCTTGCTCCTGGCCAGTCTGATTTCTTAGCTTGACCATCTGTGCCACAAGCAGAATAATTTGCATAATTTGGTGTGTGGCAGCAACTTTGGGGTGTTCTGGAAAGGGCTACTGAATGAGCACAAGACTTGGCAATTGGTTGGCATCTCCAGCTCCCCGTTTGCCACACCTCTTCGGATATAGACAAGCCTTGACAAGGGCAAGTAAAAAATGGCCCTTGAGGGAGCACATTTTTCCATATTTTTTGGCCTCTGCCCACCCCAAACCTGTAGTGTCTTTTCTTTCTGAAACTCTGCTGCAGGCTCCCGTCCTGAAGTTAAAGGATTTTGCCTTCGAAGAGGTACAAAGGAAACATCAAAGTAAATGTCCTCGCAGTGACATAAGGATAGAATAATGGTGACCTAGCAGCTAGAGACTTGGCCAAATGCTGAAAGTAATTCACGCCACTCACTAACAATGGGGGATGTGTGACAATGATGTATACCAGGAGACAAGGACAACCACTTTGCAGGGCTTCGATGCCCCACAAACCCAATTGTAGGCAGATCAATACTGTCATAAGACAATTATCAAAGACCATCAGCACATCATATTTTCATACCATAAACAGCTCAAGGCGCCAGGGATGGCTTTCCTACAGAAAGCACATAGCATAAATTTGAAGGGTGTGAAATTGACATGATTAATAATTATAGTTATTAGCACATGTGCCAGCTGCTCGTGTATGGTTTAATCCCTTGATTTATGGTGCCATAAATGCCCATCTCTCCCTCTGATGCCGAATCAAGGGGGCACACAACTGTGGGCAGAATGAGTCTCTCATTGCCAGAAGTTTCATCACAAATAAAAGAAAAAAGTGGGCTGAAAATCACCCTGGATCAGGAGACACCTCGGTGAGAGGGGAGCTGCCTTTTGTTTGCCTGGCTGCTTTATCGGCTGCTGAAACCTGTCTGCTCAGTGTTCTCAAAGCCTTTGAAGTTTGGACTGCAGCTAACAAGGGGCTATAGTTTTCTAGCCCCCCTCACTCCTTGGAGCTGTTGCCAGGCTGCAAACAGTCAGTATACATATTACAGAAGAAACCACTAGGACCAACAATGGAAGAAGCAAAAACTAATATTTGGGGTGCCAAAAGTTAAAGTTTTTGTTGTCAGATGCAATTTGAGAGAGGTTTTCTCGGAGTTTAATAATAAGTGTTTTGTTTCATATGATTATAAACCGATCTGAACATGGACAGTATATCAAAATACATTTTAGAATCCGATTCCTTAGCAATCATCATCCTTAGGACAGGAGACAACTCAGTAAAGACCCAAGTCTAAACACATGAATTTCCCTCACCTTTTACCTCCGCAAGTATGAGTAGATAATATAATTTGCTGTTCATGACTATGTAATGTTAGATTACATGTTTAGAAGAAAAATAATAAAGGATGGTAACAAACATGAGATCTGTTTTAGTCATTTGGAGAATGGCTTTCTTTACTTTTTGAGACCTGTTTTAAAAAAAGAACAAAACAGGTAGAGGATGCAGAAAAGCTTTTTTCTTTTTTTTTCATTTTAGGGTCATCATTATTCAAGTATGTTTACAGACATTGGAAAGGTAAACAAATATATTAGAAGGGAAAGCTTTTATAGAAGGCAAAACTTAAAACATGCATTCCAAATATGGATATTATAGGACACATTAAACTTTGCTAAAAATGAATGAAAAAGTCCTTTGTAGATCACCCCAACAGGTACCAGAAAATCTTGAAGACTTTTCCTCTCCTGCCGTGTTCCTCTGGTTCTGTTTCCTTGCCTCCTTTTCTGAGCCAGCAAGCCCCAGCCAGCCTGGAAGCCTGGCTTCAGGGCATTAGTCCAGTGGAAGTGAGGTCTGAGCCAGGGAGCCTGCGACATTTTCCTAAATCCACCTTCAGCAGCTCCCACTCCTGAACCAAGACCAAGATATGGGAATCATTGATACTGCTAAGAGATCAGCTTTGACAGAACGTGCATGTACTCATAGGCCTTCAAAACAATGCATGCTGACTTTTTAATAACACTGGAGAGAATTCACATTCCCGAGTATTACTCAGATGATGATTCTCCTCCATAGAAAACTAAACTAATGTAAAAGACCAGCAGACACTTCTACGGGCTTTTTGAAGACAACAGAATTCTCAGTAATATCTTTGGAAATAATTCAGGAAAGACTGTTACACTTTAGGCCGCTTAAGGCAGCTAACCACAAAACAATGAAGCCTAGGGAGCTTGAAAAAAGATGTTTTAAGCAAGTAGTGTTTCCAAAAACATCCGCTTTTTCTGACTAGTGAACATAGATAAAAATTAAAAAGTTCTTAATCCAAAACTCAGTAAACATAATGTAAGTGAAGTGCTTAATATTTTAATTAAAAGTAAATTTACAACAGGCGTGCTTTCTAAACAAGTTACTTGTTTTAAGAGTAACACTGTTACATAGATTAAAATAACATCATTGATAATGCTTTTGAAGCAAATCATCATAGACAGATTACAGAATTATATGTTATTGCTAACTTGAAGAAAAAAGAGGAATTTAAAAGTAAAAGACAGTTTTTAAAAGCTGGAATGAATAGTGGATTAAATAATGAAAACTTAGGTAATTCATGTTCTGAAAGAACCAGAGTTTTTAAAGAGGTATTTCTAAATAATGACAATGGAGCTGCATGTTTGAATTGTATGATTAAGAACTGATTTTAGCAATAGTAAAGAAAACTGTAAGAGAACTAAGTTAATAGATAATTTCTCATGTGGCATATAGCATAATTTTAATGCAGGAGGAGGAAATTTTAGGACTAAGACCAACAAAATGTTCTACAAAATACTATGCACATAGACTCCTTAAAGTATTATTGGTCAACAGTCCATTTCAGATCTTGCCAAAATACTTTACTCTGCAAACATAAGAACTAGAAGATACTTAATAAGTGCTTTGGAAAGAGTAGATGAATGAAGTAATAATCACATATTAAGAAAATAAAAAAATTTGATAAATTTGAAGAAAAATGTCTTTTTTCCCGAAGATTAAATTATGAGTGACTTTGCTTGGCAACATCTACAAGAAAATAAAGGAATATGTACCCCTAAGGAGATCAGAGAAAGAATTAGGATCCAAATGAATCTCTAAATTTGAGTATTGCACAGAAGAAAAAGAAGGGATATGAACAGAGAATTGGAAATATGTAAGATGACAAAGTCAATATGTGTGTCCACATTGACTAAGTACCTTTAATACTTTCCTTTTCATCCATGAATACATAACTGGGTACCCATAAAAGGTGCTTGGGTCTACATTCTAGAGTCTCAGGGAATGGCTCAAGCCCACTGCTACCCACTCATTAGTACCCGCTTGCTTTCCCCAATCCCCAGTTTCATTTTTTAATTTGATCTTTCCAAATTCACTTGACTCCACTATTCAACCTTAGAACCAGCAATGTTTTAATGCTAAAAACTGGCTGGTGGCTGCTTGCCCAAGAGGAGAACTTAGATCGTTTGTAGTTGTCAAAATCTTACAAAGTTTGTCCTTTGTAATAAGGTTGCTGGAACAATGTTTGCTAAAAGGTCCTCCCTATTTGCCCTCTCCTCACTTAGGGACCCCAGAAAATACTTCCTCGGGTTTCCTGCTATTACCTAGACACATTCAGGTTAGCAGCCATCACTTGAGTGTTGGTAGATTATATTCTTTGCCCTTCACATTGCAAGTTTCAGTTATGCATGACATTTTGGTAGATCTAAGACATGGTCTCCACAATAGAAAGAGGCCACTGCCATTGTTTGATATGTTTTTTTGTTCAGTCTATTGCTCGCTGTTCTATTTTTGTGAAGGAGTGAAAGAACCCCCTCCTTCACCTCTTGACGTTTGATATCTGAGTTTGAGAAATAGAGTGACAATAGATTGATTAACAAGAGAAAAAGTATATAAATTTATTTACATGCATGGGGGCATCATAAGAAAGTGAATGCCCAATACCCCATGAGGTCTAGAAGTTTATATACCCTTCTTCATAGGAGAGAAGGAAATGGAGGTGTAGGCAATTTTAGAGGGGTAGTAAATGATTTTTAGGGGAAAAGAATGGGCCCATAGAACAGACAATGGCCTGGGGTAATGTTTGTCTGGGCTCCAGTTATGGCATTTGATTTTTCAGTCTCTTCCTCTGTGATATAAATTTAATCTTCCTTGGTTAATGAAATTTCAGTTAGAAGACTGAAGTCTATTGTGTTCCTCTTTAGTGGATCCAATCTTTAGATAGGTAAAGAAACTTTAGAGAAAAGACTCTCCCTGTGCTTTGGAAGAGACAGAGGGCTGGGAGACAGGGGTTGGGAGAAGGTCAGAGAGAGACCTTGCTTGTAAGGCTGCTTCTTAGTTCAAAACACTCAACATGTAAAGCTCCATGCTTTGGAGTATTGCTTTCTGAGCCCTAACAGTTGCTTTGGCACTTGACCAAACCAAATGGCCTTACTTTGAATTTTGTTTCTTACTTGTTGGTTGATATTGGCATCATTTGGCAAATTACTGCCAAAGTAACAGGTTTAGTTCACTATTCCAAAGGTAAAACTTTTATTGAATAAAGGTTTCCCTAATTGCAGGCTAATTTATTTAGGTGAATCACCAGCTCATAACAGTTCTGGGTTTGAAACTTCTCTATAATCTCTAACATGACTTATTGACTGGGTCTTTAGAGAGTCCAGGAACTTTCCTGGAGGAGTTCAATACCAGCTTCCAGCTTCCAGCTTCCAGCTCCCTTGTCGTATCCTAGAGCCAGGCTTTGTAAAACAGATTTAATAAAACTGAATCTAATCCATAGCCCAGAAGTAATTTTTGGTGACAGAGAATGAATTAAATAGAACATCAATTCTGACACAATTGGCACATCATCGAAGGAACAGTCTTAGGCTCTGCATCAATCTCCTTGGGCTGCCAAATTTCCTTAAAAGCTGCCAGAGACCAACCTACTAATGTTATTAAATGCTTTTGGAAGTTGAACTATACACATGTGGCCATAGAAAATGCCAATCAACATGTAGTTTGAACTTTGCCTAGGGTGGAAGTTCTGTGGCAAGAGATAATCATTGCTCATGGAAAAAAGATACAGTAGATTTAGTCTCGACCTCAAAAAATTCACCATATTGTTGAGAAGAATAAGCACAAAACATAAAGCACTCTAGAAACCATAAATCATAAAAATGGTCAAAGGTTGTATGATAAGCATCAAATGGTAGCACAGAAACAACATGTCATGAGTTCTGAAAGGTGAGAGGTCTAGTGAGAGAGGCCAAGGAAATCTTCACAGAATAGGTGAGGTTTCAATTGGGTCCTGAATGGTGGAAGGGATTTGGTAGGTAGAGGAATATAGAGGGCCCTGCTGGTGAAAGAGTAGAGCTGTTTGGAAGATGATAGGCAAGATATAGAGAGAAGGGCAGAGAACTAAGGATTAAGACACAGGACTTGCCAACTCCAAAGCAGATCCACTGCTATCTACCTACATGGGATGCTAATTGGCAGAAACAACCTAGTTTTGGTTGCTCTCTGGCCTTAAGTGACCCAGCCATCCCATTACTGGGTATATACCCAAAGGATTATAAATCATGCTGCTATAAAGACACATGCACACATATGTGTATTGTGGCACTATTCACAATAGCAAAGACTTGGAACCAACCCAAATGTCCATCAGTGATAGACTGGATTAAGAAAATGTGGCACATATACACCACGGAATACTATGCAGCCATAAAAAAGGATGAGTTCATGTCCTTTGTAGGGACATGGATGAAGCTGGAAATCATCATTCTGAGCAAACTATCACAAGGACAGAAAACCAAACACCGCATGTTCACACTCATAGGTAGGAATTGAACAATGAGAACACTTGGACACAGGGTGGGGAACATCACACACTGGGGACTGTCATGGGGTGGGGGGAGGGGGGAGGGATAGCATTAAGCGATATACCTAATGTAAATGAAGAGTTAACGGGTGCAGCACACCAACATGGCACATGTATACGTATGTAACAAACCTGCACGTTGTGCACATGTACCCTAGAACTTAAAGTATAATAATAAAAAAAAGAACTGTGTGAATTAGAATCCATGCATCTTTTAATTGAACAACTCTTGCTGCTTTTTATTCTAGATCCTTTCCAACTGTCAAGATACTAGAGTTATTTCTCTGCAATACCCTAGGTACCCATGAATAATAAAGCTTGTGCCTGTACCATGTGCCATGTCTTGGGATTTGGAAGCAGACTCTTAGATGGGTTGAGCTGCTGCCCTTGATACAAGAGTATGATTATTTTGAGGTGACTATGTTCAGTCCTCTATCATTCTTCTGGGAAAGATAATGATCCTGATGTCTTTAAAATAGAGTGGTGGTAAGCATGACAGGACTATTCCATCATCAAGGAAGGAGTATTGATATAAGTTATAATGAATTAAACATTTATCTTACTCCAGGCAAGAGAAAGAAAGGGCATCCAAACAGAAAGAGAGGAAGTTAAATTAACCCTGTTTGCAGACAACATGATTCTGTGTCTAGAAAATCCCATAGCCTTGACTCAAATGCTCCTCCAGCTGATAAACAACTTCAGCAAAGTTTCAGATTCAAAATCAATGTGCAAAAATTACTAGTTCCTATACAACAACAACAGCCGAGACAAGAACCAAATCAGGAAGGCAACCCCCTTTACAACTGCCACAGAAAGAATAAATTACCTAGGAATACAGCTAACCAGGGAGGTGAAAGATCTCTACAATGAGAGTTACAAAACACTACTCAAAGAAATCAGAGAAGAAACAAACAATTGGAAAAACAGCCCATGCTCATTGATAGAAAGAATCAATATTATTAAAATGATCATACTGCCCAAAGCAATCTACAGATTCAAGGGCTATTCCTATCAAACTACCAACAATATTCTTCACAGAACTAGAAAAGGCTATTTTAAAATTGATACGAAACCAAAAAAGAGCCCAAACAGCCAAGGCAATCCTTAGCAAAAAGAACAAAGCTGAAGTCATCAAGGTACCTGACTTCAAACTATACTACAGGGCTATAGTAACCAAAAGAGCATGGTACAAAAACAGACACATAGACCAATGGAACAGAATAGAGAGCCCAGAAAGAAGGCCACACACCTATAACCGTCTGCTCTTTGACAAAGCTGACAAAAACAAGCAATGGGGAAAAGGCTCTATTCAATAGATGGTGCTGAGATAACTGGCTAGCCATATGCAGAAGATTGAGGTTGGGCCCCTTCTTCACACCATATACAAAAATCAACTCATGATGGATTAAAGACTTAAATGTAAAACCCCAAACTATAAAAACCCTGGAAGATAACCTAGGCAATACCATCCTGGACATATGAATGAGCAAAGATTTCATGACAAAGACACCAAAAGCAATAGCAACAAAAGCAAAAAATTGACAAATAAGGTTTAATTAAACTTAAGAGCTTCTGCTCAGCAAAAGAAGCTATCAACAAAGTGAACAGATAACATACAGAATGGGAGAAAATATTTGCCTACTATGCATCTGACAAAGGTCCAATACCCAGCATCCATAAGGAACTTAAACAAATTTTCAAGAGAAAAACAACCCCATTAAAAAATGGGCAAAGGACATGAACAGACACTTCTCAAAAGAAGACATACATGTGGCTAACAATCATATGAAAAAAAGCTCAATATCACTGATCATTAGAGAAATGCCAATCAAAACCACAATGAGAAATGCAAATCAAAACCGCAATCTCAAACCAGTCACAATGGCTATTACTAAAAAGTCAAAAAATAACAGATGCTTCTGAGGTTGCAGAGAAAAGGGAACACTTATACAATGTTGGCAGGAGTGTAAATTAGTTCAACCATTGTGAAAAGCAGTATGGCAATTCCTCAAAGAGCTAAAAGCAGAACTACCATTTGATCCAGCAATCCCATTACTGGGTATATACCCAGAGGAATATAAATCATTCTACCATAAATGCGAATATTCATTGCAATACTGTTCACAGTAGCAAAGACATGGAATCAACCTAAATGCCCGTAAATGATGGATTGAATAAAGAAAATGTGGTATATGTACATGATGGAATACTATGCAGCTCAAAAAAAGAATGAGATCATGTCTTCTGTGGGAACGTGGATGGAGCTGCAGGCCATTATCCTTAGCAAACTAATTCAGGAACAAAAAATCAAATACAGCATGTTCTCACTTATAAGTGGGAGCTAATTGATGAGAACTCATGAACACAAAGAAAGGAACTACAGACACTGGGGTCTACTTGAGGATGGGGGGTGGGAGGAGGGAGAGGAGGAGAAAAAATAACTATTGGGTACCAGGCTTAATATCTGGGTGATGAAATAATCTGTACAACAAACTCCCATGACATGAGTGTACCTGCATAACAAACCTTCACATGTACCCCCAAACCTAAAATAAAAGTTTTAAAAAAATTTATCTTACTCCAGTTACTTTCACTTAGATTTCCTTACTGGGTGGTCACAGGTGTGGGTGAACTACCACAAGTATGAAGAACTAAAGGAAACATCACCTCTTAGAGGCTTTAGCTTCTCATGAACTCTCCACTTCCTTGTTGATAAGGGAAATTTCCTCTTTTTTGTCCTCTAATCTTAGGCCATGATAGTGTCATATTTGCTCTGTCATCACAAAGCCTTTCTTGTGTGCTTGAGAGATTGCAAGATGCTATTTGCTTCTCTTAGGGGCCAGAGAACCCCTTTGCCACCTTTATGTTCCTGTAGGCTAGACACCCATCTTTAAGATGGTTGCTGATTATTCTTCAAGGAAATCCTAGGAGTCTTGCTGAGTTGGTTTATTTTTCAGGTTATTATTAGATTAGCTTTATCACATTTGCATACCACCTGCAGGCACAGCTATTCACTGATTCCAAAAACCTCACTGAGGTAGCTACACTATAAAGTGTTGAGGAACTGCCACTGTTAGAGATTAATCTGATGTCTCACTTAAGCTAAGGCAGTGGTAAATATTGGATTAGATCATTAAAGGCACAATGCATGAGAGTCCATTATTTAATCCATTATTCACCGTTGCCTTAGCTTAAGTGAGACATCAGATTACAACAGTGGCAGTCCCTTAATATTTCATAGTGTAGCTATCTCATTAGAGTGTTTGGAACCAGTGAATGTATCAGAAGATGGCAAGGTTTTCTCATTCTTGATTGGTACTGACTCTTGCCCAACTTTCCTTAGAATAATTGGTCTAAAGTCAATTTTTATGACATCTTGACAGATTGTTCTACTGCACTACAGATTTTAAGAAGAATTCAGGAGACCGAGGCAGGCAGATCACCTGAGGTCAGGAGTTTGAGACCAGCCTGGCCAACATGGTGAGACCAGTCTCTACTAAAAATACAAAAAAAAAAAAAAATTAGCTGGGCATGGTGGTGCATGCCTCTAATCCCAGTTACTTGGGAGGCTGAGGTAGGAGAATGGCTTGAACCTGGGAGGCGGAGGTTGCAGTGAGCAGAGATTGCGCCACTGCACTACAGCCTGGGGGACAAGAGTGAAACTCCATCTCAGAAAAATAAAATAGAAAAGAAGAATTCAATTTGATGTCCAGGTGAGATGAAAATGTGGTATATTATTTTAACCCTGATGATTGTATCTTTTGATGAAACATACGGAGTTAATCACATATATTATAAGTTATGGCATTTATCCCTTTATTTAAAAAGGAAGCAGCAGTTTCTTCATAACCCACTGATTCACAACCTACTAACTCTTCTAGCATGATTTTTTCCCTAGGTTATTAGACCTCTTACTTGTAACCATAGTACTTTAAATAAATGGGCTTCTAAAATGAAAAGAAATTTTTCACTTCAGTTTTCAATTTATTCTCACTGGGTCTACTTTAATTATGCCTTCTGTATAATTTAAGAGAAACAAAACTGGAAAATGCATTATCAATTTCAGGCCACTAAGATATCATTTAGTAAACTATTGTTCAGTTGTTTTAATAGGCTTATTCTAATCGTGAAGCATTGGGAACTCTTAGTCAAATCAGCGAGTTCCTATTAAGGCATAGTAAAGGGATTTGTAGGGTAAGTGAGACACTGAAGCCACAGTTCCCATCCTTGAGTTGTTACCTGGTTCATGGTATGGCAGCAAGCCTGTAAGCAAGCACTTCCCTGGTTCACTTTGCAGCATTGCTCTCAGCTTGTGAAGCATCATCAGCTTATACTCCCCAGGCAGGCCAGAGAGATAGATGCAGGCAAGAGCAGTCTATAAAAAGTGGGTTTTGACCATATCGTGCAACGTAAAGAACACATGTTAATATTGGATCAAGTCCCTCACTTCCCCAGAATCTCCAACTGTTTGACTGAATGAATTCAGATCTTCAAGTTTGTTTAGGGGAAAGGAGTGCTGAGGAATGGAATATCCTTTTTTGCCTTTCTTACTTGGAGAACTCCTACCCTACTCACTCTCCACCCAAAGGTACCTCCCCCAGGAAAAGTACCTTGTCTGCCAAAGAGAGTTGAATTTATTTGTTTTTCCCTTCCCCTAGCACCTGGCACACAACTCCGGTACAACATTGACCCCATTACAATATTTGCTTGCTTGTTAAGTTTCCTCCCAGCACGGAATCCTGGTAGGACAGAAACTGTGCCCTGTTCCTTTTTAAATCCCCAGTCCATAGCACAGTGCCTAATGCTTGGTTATTAGTTAAATGGATGACTAAATGACTGAATGAACATGAGACTGAAGATGTATTTGTAAGGATCCTCAGGAAACCAGAATAGGTTCCGCTTGATAAATGACCAAGTTCTTAAACCAGGGCCAGGTCACCCTGGAGAAGAACTTTTGGCTCCAGACCAATAGGGCACTAGAAGATGTACCCAAACCAGATCGACCACCTGAAGCAGTCATGAAAGTCTTAGAGGCTCTTGAGTGACCATGAGCAAGGACCGTGTCACACCCTATTCTATGATATTAACAGCCTGAGGGATCTTTGGCATGGCAACAGTCGCTGCTGTTAGTGACGTGGACCCTGGACCTCCACCCGCTGGAGACTTTACCTTGTGCATCAAATGTGTTTTCTGATATTCAAATATCCTTTGGAGAATTACCCCAAAACACTCACTGAGCATCTACTGTGGTCCACTACTGTACATGGATATACAAGAGATACAGGCCCATTGTCACAGAGGCATCCAAATGCGCCATCCAAATCAGGAAAGTGCCAAAGGCACCAATCTTCCAGAATTTTTCAGGAACTTGTTAATAACCTTAACAAATTAGAAAAAAAGGAAAACGTCATGATTCATAGTATATAGTAAGTAAAGTTTGCCATAGTATGCTGAGATGCTTCTTTCTGATGCACTGCGGCTGACTGTTAAGTCACTCATAATCCTCTAACCAACTCTTGAGGCTGCAACGCTCACAATATTGAATCAGCACTGCTTCTCAGAGAGATTGCTCAGCAGATGGCAAAGACACAACTTAATCAGATGCCTTCCTTAAAAATTTCGAGGAAAAATGGTAACTGTATGTAAGAATCAGATTTTAAACTCCCTTTCATTTAGGTTTCTCCTGCATGCCTTAAGTTTTGCTAAGCTTTTTGTAAAGCTTCCCTTTTTATGGGGTTGTGTTAACAACACACACAGATAAAACCATTTATGTATTAGTAAATTTATGTGGTAACAACTAAAAATAAAAAAAAAATCCAAGAAAATAAAAGAAAAACCAGTCAGCAGAGATGCCAGCCTTAGATAAAGATAATTTACTAGACAGCTGGGATCATATTGACTTAAGTGAAGGGAGGATTACAATAAATTAATAGGTTCAAAGATCCACCACAGTAGATTGGGTCTAGTCTGGAGTCTTGCTATTAAATGAGGAATTGAATTTCAGCATTTACCCTTATTAGAAAATGACCTTAGATTTTTCTCATAAGAGTGAAAAGATGTCTTTAACATTTTTGTTTGTGTGAAAACAAACATTCATCTTTATGTCCATTTAGGTATTTTTACAATAGTGCTTGTCTATTCAAACCTTTTTTTCTGAACTGTTTATGCTAAAATGGGCATCTGCTCAGCTCACCCAATTCAAAACAAAAATTTGCATAATCTGTATTTGCATAGCAGTAAGTGGGTGGAGTTTAGGCAAGTGCACAGATGAACATAAAAATCAAATATGTGCAGGAGGAAACTCAATTTCATTATTAAAAAAAACCGTGTTTGTTTAAACATAAAAAAAGCTGTGTAAACAATCCAAATGTGTTTACCATAGTTTAGCCTACAAGGCTCCCATTTTGTTCTCATCCTTTTAGCAGCCCTGTTGAATGAACGCAAATAAATGTGTGCTGCTCACAAGAGATTTCAATTAAAAATTTACTCCCAGAGAAGTCTAAGAAATAGGATAGAATAGCCATGAATGGAATGATGTGCACCATTTGGAAGAAAAAAATAAAGACAAGGATTATAAGAAGATATAATTAGAGATTTTTTTTGAAAATTATTCAAGCAGTCAAATAAATGAAAAATTTAAGAAAAAAACAGAAAAACTTTGTATACAGCAAAGATTTCAAGAATTTAGAGGTGGAAGCAAATAAGACTAGGACTGAAAAGACTGTGAATGAAACATAGCATTAACAAGAATAATTTAAGGCAACAACATTCCTGTAACAAAGAAAGGGATCATGAAAGGAACTTTAACTTAAAACAAAGTTTTGGCACAAATAGAGTGTTCACTGTGGTTGGGTCTAAATATACATACACTAGGACCAAGGAAGTAAAAATCTAACACTAGATGTACAGCTAATACTTTGCGGACCTGAATCTTACCAAGTGTATTGTCATCTGTGGTCAGCAAACAAGACTATAATATTAGGTCTATCATAACACAAACTGTGTATTAATGGAGCCATTAATCACCATCAAAACTGTATTAGGAGTGAAGATAGCCAAAGAGAGCTTAACTGACAGCAAGTGGCCATAAACCTGTCCAAAAACTAATTTGATTACCATCATACCAGCATCTGTGCCACTTATGAGGGTTCATTTTTTGATGAAATTAAGTAGACAAGTCATTCATGCGTATAATAGACATCTAAATCATGGTAAACATGTTGCTGGCAACAGAGTAGTTAAAGAAAGTGTGGGATCATTTTGGTGTCTGGATACAGAAGCAATTCAATGGAAAGCATCTTTTGCACAACAGTTGGGAACAAAATGCCATCAAAGAAGCTTCGGATGAAGCCAAATGCCAAGTGAGAAATGGATGGATTCAAAGTCAGCTG
The DNA here is from genome assembly GCF_000001405.40 of Homo sapiens. NCBI lineage: Eukaryota > Metazoa > Chordata > Mammalia > Primates > Hominidae > Homo > Homo sapiens. The sequence continues at coordinate 137,401,331 of NC_000006.12, read as the reverse complement.
GTGAGATTCAGGGAATGTTGGTTGTTTACAAGAAGAAATGTTTCGCCAGGATAAACTCTCACTCTTTATGGGTCATAAATGTTCCCAGCAAACAATCTGTTTTATTTGGAGACAGTTGGATCTGTTAGGTTTTAGTCCTGACAGACGGAATTGTGGGATGTCATCGTTAATGGCAGCCTAGAGAGAAAGCCTAGAATGTGCATCTTGAATAAGGGAAGGAATGGACTTTGCTATGAAGAATGACCTATTTCCTCGTTTTTTTGTTTGTTTGTTTGTTTTTGTTTTTGTTTTTGTTTTCCAGCTAGGTATTTTAAAAGAACATGGAATTCCTTATCCAATTTGTGCTTATATAATTTTATCTTGGAACAAATGTGGCATTCTATTCTGCTTATTTTAAATGTTCTATTCCTTTAGTGAAAGGCTATCCATTTCCAAAGATTTCAAATTATTAGAAGACCTATACTACTCACTGACCTGGTATTTAAAAAAGTGTATTCCAATATTTCCAACATTTAATTTACAGAAAAGAGAATTTATTTTAACATACATTTTATGCATGGAAATATGGATACATTTGAATATAACAAACAGCAGTTTAGGCACTGGAAATAAAAATGATCATATAGGTTCATGTACAAAGTCAAAACAGACCATGGTGTTATAAATCTAATTCCTGCTTGCTCAGTGATCTCGTCCTTTGAGACAAAGCCAAGTCTCTGTGTACATGTGTAAGTCTATTTGCTTGTTTTGCCACACATATGTGTGAAAGCTTTGAAGAGAGTAAATAAGCTTGAGGAACAGAAAATATATCTTTTAATACCAAGATGGAGAGCACCTCGCCCATGAACATCTCAGGGAAAAAACAGCAGGAGCGACACGTCTCCAGCGCCTCCTGAAACATTATCCTGCTAATTCTGAACACCTTGCCTTTGCAGTGTGGGAGCCTCGAGCTGCAGGAAGCTGCCTGCCGTTCACAAGCTGATGCCTTGTAGGCCTCTGCGTCTTACCTGAGTTTGCAGATGGGCCATTTCCCAGGTGGGCCTGGCCAAGCACTCCTCATTAATCATGGCTTAAACCTCTCTCAGTGGGGAGACCTCAGGTTAGACATCATTTGGAAACAAATTGGGTGAAAAATAGCTCTGACAATAAGGAGCCCACATGGAATTCCCCTGTGAGAGCTTCAGCAGTGTGAAAACAGTCTCTTCCAAGACACTAAATGATCTGTCATTTAGTGAATGACATTATAATCCAGTTTTGTGTCATACGCAGCTTTTAGCAGTGGCTGCCAGCCCCAGCCTTTTGCTGCTGTTGTGTTTCCAACTCTCTAGGCTCACTTAATTTACAAAGAAGGTTTGGATTTAGAACTGAAGAGATGAGTGTGTGCGTGCGCGCGTGTGTATTACGTATAGCAAACACACATATGCATAGGTGCACAACAGCAAACTAAGTGCCTTGCCATATGCTGCCTCACTAAAAATGATACTTGCTCAAATATCCTGGTGGAACCAGAAAAATCACCAGGATGTAAGCCCTAAACAGAACGATGCTGCGTGATATAAAAAACAAAACAAAGTGAAAACCTGGAATCATGACAACGTGATTTATTTTCTGGGTGAGAAAAACTCATCCACTTTTCTTCAAATGCATTCCAAGCTCAAGAGCCTTGGGATAAATTTACTCTTCCTGAGCTTCTTTTCTTAAAAGTAACTGCATTTTTGCCTTAAAGTGACAGATGGCTTTTCCACCACATTGTAGCCATTATTTATACTAACAGATTGCATCTGAATTGACTGTAAACCAATGTATTTTGTCTTCCATTTTTTATAATTTTCATCTTAGTTTTATCTGCTGGGACAAATTAGAAGACAAATGCTCACCTATGTACTCTTGGCACCAGGATTCCATTTGTAGTACTTACCAGGGCACAAACCTGGGTCACTCTAGTGTCCCAAGTAAGTCCAGGAAGGTGGTATCACTTCTTTTAGAAAGGGGCAGGGTCATATGACCTGGAAAAGGCCATGATGGCTTTGTCTGAGGACCCAGTTTGTTATGATCCAGAGACTCTTAGGCCACCCATCATATATGCATGTTTCTTAGTTTATGCACAACCTGCCCATTTCTTTGACCTACAGGTTTCAACTGAGTGGGACAGTTTTTGACCTTGTGCTGTGGGCTGTCGGGAGGATTTTTCTGAGTTTAACTCTTGAGGGGAGCCAGGCCCTGGGGGTTTAGAGGTTCCCTCCATTTTCTTCTCACTTTGACCTTCAGAGAACATGTGTGGAGGATAATTCCTGATTTACCCCTTTGAAGAGGGCCTAGCATAACAGACTTCAGTAATTTGGCATGTAAAAATTATAGCAATCTTTACGTTATTTGATTTGAGTGTCAGAGTATACATCAACATCACCAGCGACTGACTGCCCTCTGCCAGTTTTTGCACTCTGTAAGTCCTTCGGAATTTACAGACAGCCAAGGGGAAAAGGAGAGTTTAAAACCTCAGTTGACTGAGATAAATCTGTTACCTAGCAGAAATCTAGGCTCACAGCAAAAATTAAATTGAATTGTAAAAACTACGGTTATATCCTTGCATACTGAAACTTGTGGAATGAGGTTTATATTTACTACAAGAGCAACTTTGGGCTGTGGTGAGGGAGGAATACTTCCATTCCATGCTAAGCTATGAGGTTCACTGTGGGAAAAATCAAGAGAGAAGGTGGGAAAGAAACAAACATTTATTGAACAGCTGTTATGTGCTAGACACTGTTCTAGATCTTATAGCCATTTTCTTCTTTCATTTGTACGATACCACCATGAAGTCAGTGCTATTTATCCTTGTTTTACCAATGAAGAAACTGAAGAAGCTTAAGCAACCTGCCCAGGGTTTTATTCATTCATTCTTTTGTTAGTTTATTCACGAGTATTGATCCAGAGCCTGCTCCCTGTTGCATGGTTTTACCAAGCACTGGGGATAGAGAGGTGGACAAAGCTGACCAAGGCTCTGACCCCAGATAACATATTATAAAGGCAGGACCCAGACAATGCAGCTTATACATAAACATACATATGAAGTCATTTCAGAAAAGCAAATGCTGTGAAGAGAGTGTAGAAAGTTAACGAGATTGCTGGGAAGGGGTTGAAGGGGACGAGATACCTTACGTAGGTTGTTAGGGAAGGCCTCTCTGAGAGATATCAGAATGGTGAGGAAGAAGCAACCGTGTGACAATGTTGGGGGATGGTGTCCCAAGCAAGGGAAGAGCAGATGCAAAGGCTGTGGGTAGCACAAGTGCAGCATGTTAAAGTGACCTAAGGAAGACCAACATGACTGAAGCACCCTGAGTGATGGACAGTGTGATGCAAGATGAGGTCAGATGTTAAAGATATCTTACAGTTGGCCGGGTGTGGTGGCTCATGCCTGTAATCCCAGCACTTTGGGAGGCCAGGGCAGGCCTCCTGGTCAGGAGATCGAGACCATCCTGGGTAACACAGTGAAACCCTGTCTCTACTAAAAATAAAAAAAATTAGCTGGGCGTGGTGGCACATGCCTGTAGTCCCAGCTACTCAGGAGGCTGAGGTAGGAGAATCATTTGAATCCAGGAGGTGAAGGTTGTAGTGAGCCGAGATTGCACCACTGCACTCCAGCCTGGGCAACAGAGACTCTGTCTCGAAAAAAAAAAATTCTTACAGTCACCTTCAGTGGCAGGACCTAGGGAAATAAGTCATATTTTTTAGTAGCATTAAATAATAGCCAAAACTCATATTTGGTGAATTTTCTGTTAATGGAAAAGGGGATGTCTTATTTTCTCATTACTTACTTTCACAAATAATTATTCACTTTTACAAACAATTGACGGAGCTATGCATTACTCTTTCTAGACTCCTAGAATCTGAAATTCTTTTTTAAATTTAATGTTATGAAATTGCCCATGGAATTTTAACATGAAATTGCAGATAATTATTTGTGAAATGGCCTCTCCTGTTAGTGCCTGAACTCTGTGCTCCTCGGCCACCTCATTCCCTTCCATTTATTTACTTTCCCCTCCATTATTCACTTTCACAAATAATAATTAGATGAATTCTCCTATTCCAGTTGCCTTTTAAGGTCAGGGGGAACTAAGAGTAGACTAGAATTAAGGAAACCAGTTTTGCTATATTTAGATTTAGTAACAGACTTAAAGGGAAAGAAGGTTATGAACACTAGTTGCAATCAGAATTTGGAAAGATAATTGCTTTTGTCTCTTACTGTCTGCAGCAGCATGGAGAGGTGGCGTTCTCCATTAAAGCTTGCCACTTCTTGAGACCATATCTTCCTTTTACTTCTGATTTTCTCCAAAGACAAGAAGAGGACACAATGTGGAACAAACGAGAGTCCATAAAGTTATACGAGTCTGGGCAAGCCATCAAGGCTGAACTGGAACCAGAATTTGAAATTAAGTGACTTGTGGGTTGTTACATGCTTCCAAGTTGAATTTCCAAAGGAATGACATTGAATATACAGATATTTTCTCTATTTCTACCCTCTGAAGAAACAAGCATGCAGGAGAAGATAAAATGATTCCAATTTTAATATCTTTTACATTTTAAGTAAGAGAACTATGCATTATTCTTTGTGGACTCTTAGGCTCTGAAAATCTTTTTTTAAATTTAATATTATAAACTTGTCCATGGAATTTCACAAGGAATTGTAGATCGACAGGACTCTGGTCTCTACAAGTTTGCTGAAACCTGAATTGAAATCTGAAAATTTACATATCAACCAAAATCTGATCTTTCTTTAAAGAAAATTCCCATTGACTTTATTGTATATCACCAGTGGGTGAGAATTCACCATGCCACAATGCTGGGATAGCTTGTCATCTCACACCATGAAGTGGTGGAGCACTCTTGTGGGGCAGGGAAAAAAAGACAAAAAAACAAGAAATTTTGGCCAGATGCAGTGACTCACGCCTGTAATCCCAACACTTTGGGAGGCAGAGGCAGTGTATTGCTTGAGCTCAGGAGTTCGAAACCAGCCTGGGCAACATGGTGAAACCCTGTCTCTACCAAAAATACAAAAATTAGTTGGGCGTAGTGGCACATAACTGTAGTCCCAGCTACTTGGGAGGCTGAGGTGGTAGGATCGCTGGAGCCTGGGAGGTCAAGTCTGCAGTGACCTATGATCCCACCACTCACTGCACTCCAGTCTGGGTGACAAAACAAAACCCTGTCTCTAAAAAAAAAAGAAAAGAAATTTTTCCTCTGTGAAGAGTGGAGCAGTAGATATCCTTTAACTGGGTCTGGATTTTAAAATGGAAATTGTTGACATAATGACTACAACTTATGCTCACTTGAGTCTGGGCTTCTTCATCATCCCCTGAATCCTGAACTTGTTCTGAATTCCAGAATTAGAGGAAAATACTGTTACACCATCAACTCTTTAAAAAGTAGAATGGAAGGAGGGCTGCAGAGAATTGCAACCATTTGCTGGGAAAGTCCCTCTGAAGGCATGAGTACTACTGGGAGAATGTAGCCAGGCCTCATAGATGCTGTGGATCATGGAAAAAGGGAAAGTCAAGCCAGAGCCCAAGAGGGATGATGTCAAGCTAAAACTAGGTGGCTTAATTTATTTTTTAAAAATATATGGACTGAGCATTTGCTATGGCCTCTGGCAATACGAGAATGAAGCAAACAATCTTCATCCTGAAGACACTTACAGTCAAGAACAGACAGCAAAAGCCAGCCAGACTAGGCTCAGGATAATAACGTGGGTCAGATGGTTTAGTGGACTCACACTGGCTGATGTTTGCTCTTCCACCTCAGTTCTAAAGACTCATCGATTGTGTCTGCCAGTTTCTCTTTTGGTTTTAATTTATAAGAGTAACAGTGTTGGTGAGACTGATGTATAATTGGGGCACACTCCCTCCAAGCCAATATTGGCACTTTGATCATGTCCTCATGGACTGCACAGCTCAGTTATTTATAGACACAATTAATTGTCATAGTGTTTGACACTTTGTTCCAGCAATAGAAATCTTTCAGCACCTCTGTTTAAAGTTGTACGAATCATCAATTAATGTATTCTAAAAAATGACACACAATTTAGAATAAAATTTTAAAATATGTAGAAGTTCCTAAATACCATTTTTTCTTGAATTTTGAGAAAAAAATCCCTTCTTAAGTAGAATACATAACAATAATTCCCTGTAAAACTTTTCTTTTCTTTCTTTCTTTTTTTTTTAATGGAGACAGGGTCTCACTATGTTGCCCAGGCTGGTCTCGAACTCCTGGGCTCAAGCAATCCACCCACCTCTGCCTCCCAAAGTACTGGAATTACAGGCATGGGCCACTCTGCCTGGCCCTAAAACTTTTGTTTTGTGTTCAGGACTCATTTCTGGCCTCAGAGCTTAAGTTAGCTCTGCACGAGCTGGTTTTGAAATGGACATTTCTCTAGTTTTTAATTGTCTCTTTGTTCCGAAGATGGTCAGTGTTTTTCCTATGTCACTCTGTCCCCTACCTCCGATGGTCTAAAAAGCAGAAAGTAGAAGTTAAGCGGTTCTGCTCTGTGAGGAAATGTAACAATTATCTTTTTCTAATTCATATTCTTTACAAGTGGCTTGTAAATTGATCGCTTATATGGGTGACTGATTTCCTTGGACTTATTCTCCAGGAGTTATCTCACTACTGGTCCAGTAGAGATCTGTGGGAACGAGGAATGTGGAGTCCTAGAGAATGGGGACTTCTGTGGTCCTTGAGCTAGGAGTGCTGCCCTAGAAGGACAAGGACAGGAAGGTCTCCAATGTCAAGTAAGAGCTCTGGTGATATCTAGAGGTGATGCTGAGGGTCAAAAACACAAAAACAAAATAACAAATCTGTCTTCATTTGAAAATGGCAACCCCCAGAAGAAAAGCCAGGAGCTGAGAATAGACCAGAATTGAGAGGGATGGAAAGAACAAGAGTGAAAGCAAGGCAAATGTTCCCATCCAGCTGCTGTGAAACCAGCTGTCCATCACATGGGATAAGGTGGGGAATGAGTGTTTCTTGCATAGCCATATCCTTATCATGGACTTAAAGATGCACCTGAAATTTAAATGTCTAAAACAGGATTAAACAGAATATAACAGCTTTAAGCAGAAATAGGGTGTTATTTCAATCTCTAAAACAAATCTTCAAAAATAACCTAAAAACTATTATAAAAATTATTTCTTTTACTTCACGTCCTTAGTTTGTACATTTATTTGCACATCAAACCTTTCGTTTAAATAAACAAGATACTGGAAATATCAGCAAGGCCTGATTAATCACAGTCTCTATGACAGTCCTTCCTCCCTCTCCAGTGGTATCCAGTCTCCTAAAGTTGGGGAATGCCCTTCCCTGGGTGTTTTCATACTTTTACTACATCCATCAAGGTGTAGATTTTCTCTTTACTACATAATTATGCATCCGTAAATAAAACACAACCTTCTCTCTTTTAACCTTCATATGAACTGTAGTTTTCTTTACCTAGTATTATGCAACTTGCTCTATTCACTCAACGTATCTCTGAATGATACATGTAGATCTAGTTCATTCATTTTTTTTTTTTTAGACAGAGTTTTCACTCTTGTTGCCCAGGCTGGAGTGCAATGGTGCAATCTCAGCTTACTGTAACCTCTGCCTCCTGGGTTCAAGTGATTCTCTTTCCTCTGCCTCCCAAGTATCTGGGATTACAGGCACGTTCCACCATACCTGGTTAATTTTTTTTTCTATTTACTAGAGACGGGGTTTCACCATGTTGGCCAGGCTGATCTCAAACTCCTGACCTCAAGTAATCCACTCACTTCGGCCTCCCAAAGTGCTGGGATTACAGGCATGAGCCACCATGCCTGGTCTTAGTTCATTCACTTTTAACTGCTCTGTATTATTATACTGTATTACCAACCATAATTTATTTTTTCATTCTTTTTTGCTGGTGGACATTCATGTTGCTTCTGATATTTTGTTATTATCTTAAGATTCTGGTTTTGAGACAAGAAGTAAACTCATTAAGAAGTCCCCGTCTTCAAGTAAGTAGCTTCTAAAGATTTGGGGATCCTGACCTTGAAAAAAGGTATGTTGCTAAATGAAACATTTATGTTTTTTAATGCCTTTTCACTCTGATCAAATATGTTCAAGCCAGAGTCCCTACTCACACAAACCTTGTAACCTCCTGAAATAAGCGATCTACACATGCTTACTTGAACACTGAATAACTGAACGAATGAATGAATGAATTGCTTACAAGTAAGTCATTGCCTTGGTGTAACTTTTTCTGTCTCCAAAGTAACTATGTTTCACTGAATGATGACCCTCCTAATAGCTATTGTTGTTGAACTACTACCACATGCCCAGAAGTGATGCATATTTGATCAGCTTATCACCATATTTTCATCACCTTCTCATTTCACGGAGGTGGAGACTGAGATTCAGAGAGTTTAAGTGATCTCCTAGAGACCCACAGCAATAAGTAAAAGAGTCAAAACTCTTTCCTGTTACTATTTCAGGCCTCCTCTAGAAGAAGTCACACTGGTCGCTCTTTTGGTTAAGAATTCCATAATTCTATAAGCAGAAGCCACCCATGGACAAGCACCAGCACTGGCTTCCCCTTGGCATACAGTGAAAATGTGCTCTGAGCTAATGCATCTTTTGAAAAATTACTTTAACATAGGCTGTCATAATAGAACATCAGAAGGAAGGAGACAATAGGCTTTCAAGAAAAACACAAAGTACATGGATGTCTTTGGGATTTTGCATTTGAAATGGAAACTCTCAGATTCCATTGAGTAGTTAGTTCATTATGGAACCTACAGGAGGCATATTTTGGATTGTTAACTGTAGAGGAGCTTATGCGGGCAAATAAAATTTGGCATGGAGCAAGTAGTCTATGCTTTCAGAAGCAACACATTTAATAGTTGAGCTAGGGAGGGGGATATGTTGGCTTTCTAACAGTTTCTGTGTGAAAACTGAAGACTTTTACCTAAAGAGGACAAATTCTGAACCCAAGTACATAGTGAATGAATCACAAGATATTTGCCAGAAAGTCAAACTGGGAAGATTAAAACACATTTTCTGCCTCTAATCCCCATACTTTGGGAGGCCAAGGTGGGCGAATCTCTTGAGCCCAGGATTTTGAGACCAGCCTGGTCAACATGCAGAAACCTGGTCTCTACAAAAAATACAAAAATTAGCTGGGCATGATGGCATGTGCCTGTGGTCCCAGCTACTTGGGAGGCTGAGATGGGAAGATTGCTTGAGCCTGGGAGATTGAGTCTGCAGTGAGTTGTGATCAGGCCACTGCACTCCAGCCTGGGTGACAGAGGGAGCTCCTATCTAAAAAAAAAATTTTTTTTTTTTGCTTCATTTGTAGTAGCTTCTGTGGGACACAAATAAATTGTGAAATCCATGATTAGAAAAGTCTATACTTGGATGTTCTATTCCCTACCTACACAGAAACCTATATCTTACTAGAGGACATAAATATTAATATAGTAATGCCATTTCTAAAGATCCCTACCTGTATATCCTTCCCATGATGTGTATCTCTTCTTCTAGGACCTGAAGAAAAAACAAAATATCAAATATACTCTAAGGGTATAAAGGGATTTCTTCATACTTGCATCCAGCTAAATAATACCCAGACAAGCTGAATGTTAAAATCATTCAGTTTCTCCAAAAGAGCACAATCAAATCCCAATTTTACATTTCACAATTCTGATAGAAATGCTGATTTTACAAAACACTCCACCTCCCACATACACACATAGAGAAGTAGTAAATGATTGTTAATGGCAGAAGAATAAGTTGTAATGCAACAGTAAGCATTACACACTCAAATCCTGATCATCAATGTTATTATACTAATAATTCCAATCACATCCCGAACACTTACTGTATGCCAGACTTGGTACTAAACACTTTACATGCATTATGTCATTTGATATGTGATTTGGCTTTATGTAGTAAGAACTAATATTATGCCATAAAAACTAAGGTTCAGAGTGCGTCTTGTAGGAATTCCTCCCCAAGAATGCATTTTCTATGAGGAAGACACAGCGTAGCAGAGGCGGGATTCAAACCACAGCAGTCTGTCTAGAATTCCTTGCTCTTAGTCATTGAGTGGGGGACATTACATTACAGTCTTAGGGATGTTCATACAGGGCTCCAAATATTTCTGACAGCACAGATATGAACAGAATTCTGTTACCATGGTGGCCATATTCACTTATCGGCAAATATGGCAATTGATGACTTAGGCCTTTCTTTGCTGGAGACAGTCTCACCTAGGAAAATGCAACTGTATATTAATAGAAGGGCTGTGAAGCTAGGAATGTATTTGTCTGGATTCCATGAATCCATTTTATTCCATTCCCTAGACCTTATGAAAACCAACTCAGTGCTTTCTCTCCAGAGGATTGGCTAAGGGATCAAACCTAGTAGGAGAAAAGAGGAATCCCCAGTGTTCTGAATGGTGTCTCCCTAAGGGAGAGATACCAAAGAAAAGCTCCACTTCTTATCACTTAATAAAGAAAAATAAAGGAATCCCTGTGATAGAAAACAACCTCATACAACAATCCAAACCAGTAATTTGCCCGGACCGGGCTATTCTCTGAAAAAGTTGTCAGAATCTCAGGAAGGATAGAGATTCCAAAGAGGCATTCAGCCAACGTAATTAACAGAGCTTACATGGCAGGCTGCCTTTGGATTTCTAGTCATGAACTGAGGGGCTGGGAAAGCAGGATGGATCCAGCAATCATCCCATCTCAATATGTTTGCACCTTGATACCAGTCCCTGGAGGACACAGGGCTGCCGCCAGCCTCACTCATCACACAGAATTAGTGGGTATGTGAGTGCTGTGGCATGGCAGCTCTGCACAGCAGTCACTGAGCGAGAAGATTTATTGCTCTATTTGACAGTCTGTTATTCACTAACTGAGCATGACACATCTGGGATTTAGAATCATCAACTTGACATCTAACAGGAGAACAAACCTTTGGGAGAGGACCGAGTCGGGGGAGACAGCAGGGGAAAGAGGCAGTTTGCAGAATAGATCTTCCATTTCCCTGCTGACCCCGATTATGGGTCCAGGCTGGAGGTCATCGCCAGATAGAAGGGAAGAAGCAGAGGCACAGAAGGTCTTGGCCTGGAGGGATATAAAAAGCTGTAGATTCAGAGCAAGAAAAGGCACGCTGGGCCCTTGCAGGGGATGCACATCTTTCCTGGTCACATTGGGCAGGCCTTTGTTCTTCTTGTCTTGTAGGAATCCATATTCCATGAGGAACACACAACAGCCTCCCTCCAGGTCTCCCTCTCTTTGCATTGAAGCAGAGTCTTGCCGCTAGAGAAGAATGAGCATTACTGCTTGAAGCCACTCTTTCGGTGATCAGACCCCAGCTGGCAAGATGGCCCCTCATCCCCTTTTCCATGCCCTGGCCCTGCCCCACCAGCTGGGTGGGCTAGGGTTGGGCCTATGCACCTGTTTATCCTCTGCATAGCCCCCTTGCATTAAAACAAGGGTAAAGACAAAACCTTTTCTTGCCCAACTTAAAGCTAAGGTTCTGTCCACAGAATTACTGCAGGCTCCACCTTTGCCATGAATAAGATAGTGGGCTCACTAATGATCAGAAAGATAATTTATTTAATCTTCATGTATCCACTGGGAGCCATGGCTCAGAGGCCCATGAATAAAAATGGCAAGTTTGCTCAGAGCATTCAAGGCAGTTCAGACAATTTGTTTAGCCTGCTGCTAAGTGCTCCAAGGACTTATACTATCCCTGCTGAAAATAGCATGCATCCATGTGCACGTGCACAAACACACACACTCATTAAACCATCTAATCTCTATGCTTATATTCTAGCAAGTAAATACAAGATGACATAAAAGTTTTAATGCCTAACTTATGCCTCTTTCGGTTCTCATTTTTTACTCCCTTATAATATGCGTGTTCCCTCTCCATTTATCTGCTCTCTTTTTCTGTGTTTCTTTATCTGTTTCTCCTCTTCTCACCTCCACCCAACCCCTCCCCGGATTTCCCCTTCTGTCTCAGCAAGTCGAGGAGATAAATAAGACAGTGAAACCACAAGCGGGGGCTCTGATTCACCCTTCCTCCTAATCCCTATTGCAAAACTCTGTAAAGAAATAGCACCAGCAATGAAGAAGTGAATTCTCTCACCAGGGAGAATTGTTCCATTTTACTCTAAACATTTCTTAAAATTTTAACTTGCAGCTCCCGCTCAAAGGACAGACATTTTTAAAGTTGAAGACAAATATGACCCTCCTTTTTTTTTTTTTTTTTTTTGAGACAGGGTCTCACTCTGTTGCCCAGGCTACAGCGCAGTGGCACAGTCTTGGCTCCCTACATATTCAATCTCCCAGGCTCAAGCAATCCTCTCACCTCAGCCTCCTGATTAGCTGGGAACCACAGGAGTTAGCCATGCCTGGCTAATTTTTTAAATTTTTGTAGAGATGGGATCTCATCATGTTGCCCATGGTGGTCTTGAATTTCTGGACTCAGGCAATCCACCTGCCTTGGTGTCCCAACATGCTGGGATTACAGGCATGAGCCACCATGCCTGGCCTGACCCTCTTTTTTGCTGATTTACTGATTTGTTAGAAGTACTAGAAAGATTACAAGCATATCAATTAGTATATAAACTCTTAGATATGATATTATACACAGTACTGATGAGGAAGGTTTAAAACAATTTAACCAAATTAAGAACCGAAAAAGCTGAAGAGGGGAAAAAACCCAAGAGTTTTTCAACCAGGAACCAAGAGTACATGACAATGAGACAACTGCCAGAAGAAAAATACTTTAAAAACCTGCTTGGAATAAGAAATAGATCAATACTGAAAAACACAGAGACCTAGACATTCCTGACACTAGGAAATCTCTCATGTACCTTCCTTTCCTCTCCTGGGATTGAGCTTTTATAATGATATGGATACCCTGAGTGTGATACTTACAAGACTGTCATCATTGGTAGTTATATTTCCTCTATTAATTCAACCCCATTCAATACCTTTTATGTCACGGCATTGCAAGGGAGGAAATCCAAGGAGTTTCTGCTTAACATGCTATGTATTTGTAGGAGTGCTGGCAAGGGGTCACCAAGTGAGGGCAGTGACCCTTCCAATGCAAGTCTTCTGGGTTAGGTTCTTATGAAGGTGATGTGTAGTAAGTGCTTCTCCTCCCTGCTGGGATATAGGTCACCATGGATCAGGGTCCTGGACCAGGCTTGGCACCTTTATGGTCAGGTAAGCATGGGTGCTCAGGGGCATTTCAGGTCATGGTTTAGAGCAGCGGTCCCTATACTTTTGGCACCAGGGATCAGGGACCTGTTTCATGGAAGACAATTTTTCCACGGACCAGGGTGAGGGGGATGGTTTCGGGACGATCCAAGCACATTACATTTATTGTGCACTTCATTTCTATTATTATTGCATTTTAATATATAATGAAATGATTATACAACTCACCATAATCTAGAATCAGTGGGAACCGTGAGCTTGTCTTCTTGAAACTAGATGGTCCTATCTGGGGGTGATGGGAGACAGTGACAGATCATCAAGTATTAGATTCTCATAAAGAGCCTGCAACCTAGATCCGTCGCATGTGCAGTTCACAATAAGGTTCATGCTCCTATGATAATCTAATGCCTCCGCTGATCTGACAGGGGCGGAGCTCGGGCAGTAATGTGAGCAATGGGGAGTGGCTATAAATACAGATGAATCTTCTCTTGCTCACCTGCTGCTCACCTCCCGCTGTGCAGCCTGTTAGGAACCCCGCTGCACAGCAGAAGGTAACGGTGGCTGTGGCCCGGGGGTTAGAGACCTCTGGTTTAGAGCTCAAAGTCTACCATCAGGCAATTCCATGTTGGCAAGATTCTAGGCAGGGCAGGAACTGCAGGAACCACCACAGCTTTGGAAAGAACCCTTAAGTCTCCTGAATCAGAGAAGCTTTTATCCTCACTGGTTAGTCTTCCCATTTGGACCCAATATCTTACTCTGAGTCTCAGAAAGTTTTGCAAATTATGCAATCCTGTGTCTCCTGAGAATTAGGATATTTCTCTAAATACTCAGAAGTGCCACCCAAGGAACCAGCCTTCTGTTGCTCAGACCAGTGCCTACAACGGAGCAGCTCAGTCCTGCTTGGCCTCTTCCTCCCACAGAGCATGTTCCCTTTACAAAAGGACACAGAGAAGTCTGGCCTGGGACTATCAGTCCACCTGGTGGCTTTTTGTGTGGGCCTGCCCTCATGAGACGGATTTTACATCCTTCATTTCTTCTGTCCTAGCCAAACTCCCTATCCTTGGCTAACTCTATCTGTTTATTTTTGTGCGAACAGTGCCATAACAAAATACCACAGACTGGTGGTTTAAACAACAGAAATTTATTTTCACACTGATATAGTTTGGCTGTGTCCCCACTCGAATCTCATCTTGGATTGTAGCTCCCACAATTCCCACGTGTTGTGGGAGGGACCTGGTGGAATGTAATTGAATCCTGGGGGCAGGTCTTTCCTGTGCCATTCTCGTGATAGTGAGTAAGTCTCACAAGATCTGATGGTTTTATAAGGGGAGTTTCCTTGCACAAGCTCTCTTCTCTTGTCTGCCACCATGTGAGACATGCCTTTTGCCTTCCGCCATGATTGTGAGCCATGTGGAACTGTGAGTCCATTAAACCTCTTTTTCTTTATAAATTACCCAGTCTTGGTTATGTCTTTATCAGCAGTGTGAAAACAGACTGATACACTCACAATTCTGGATGCTAAAAGTCCAAGATCAAGACATCAATAAGTTTGGTTTCTTCTGAAGACTGCCCTTGGCTTGCAGACGGCCGCCTTCTCACCATGTCCTCCCTCACATGGTCATCCCTCTGTCTATGTCTTACTCGATGCTTAATGAATGCATTTTTAACGTAATCATCTTCTTATGGCCTGATCTCTGAATATAGGAGAGGTACTGGGGAGTTAGGGCATCAAAATACAGATTTTGGAGGGGCACAGTTCAGCCTACTCACTTGGACCGACTACACTATGCCAGCTGGACAGAGCTCTGAGGCCCTTCCTCAAGAACCTGCAACTGGAAGTGTAAACTCCACTACTTCAGGTCACTGTTACTTTATTTTTATGCAAAAATTCTTTCTCTTTTGCAGATCTTTTCAGCTGGTTGGACCACGGATGTCCTGGCTATTTTCACAGATTCTTCAGGACTTCGGCTCATTTTTATCACCCAGGGTCAGTTCAACTTCCACGTGTGTGGCCCATTTAAAATCACAGTTTCCCAATTCCTCTTTCTCCTCAATGGCAAGGACCTAATCTCCCCTTCCTTCACAGCTACACAACTTGAATAAGGATTCTATCTGTGCTGTTTCCACAGACTTCCCTCCCATTCAGTCCTCAACACACAACAACCTGGCGTATGCTCCTTCACTACCACCCCAGTAAAACTGCTCTTGCAAATAAAATCTCCACAAACCTCCATGTTTCTGAACTATGAGCATTTTAGAGTTAAAGAAGTCCCATGATTGGCCCAACCCTAGTCACTTGCTCATCCCCGGACCACAACTCTAAATTGTGTCCGCCCTGACCCACAGTCTCTCCCTTCTTCTTTTAGAGACCTGGATCTCTTCTGGTCATGTGGCTCTGATGAGAGCTGCCAATTTGGGCAGACATAATTGATAGTTTGGAAGGATATATCAGAGTTTAACAGGCAAGGACGGCAGGAAAGAAAGGGAGGTTATTATAAGAGAAATCACAAAATAATAGCACTACTACTAATAATCCTAATCATTGTTATTTTTGCCAACACATAAGGTATTTATTCTGGGCCAGGCATTTTTCTAAGTTTTTAGATTCACTTATTTAGTCCTTCCATAGGAGATAGGTGCTATCATCTTTCCCATTATGATTTTTAAAAAGGCCAAGGCACAGAGAGGTAAAGAATGTTTTCTAACATTCCCCAGCTAGTACAAGGTAAGGCTAGGAATTAGACTGGACATATTGACTCCACACTGATTCTTTTAATCATTACACTACACAGCCGATTATTACTTGTGTATCCTGAGCCAACAGGAGTCCCAAGGTAGCGTGTGCATAGTAATAACATAAGATGCATAGTGAGAAGAGATCACCCTGGGCCTTGTCCACGAGACTTTTCCGGGTCAACCAGCTCTCATCAGCTATTTCAGCCTCCTCTCAAAGGGACATAAGGATCTTTTCAATGCCCTCAGTGGGCTGTCTCAGGCTCTGTCTATCTAGACATAGCTTCTCTGCCTTCCTGCTATAGCACCATGGCAATGTAGAGGGACTCTGCTATGCTTACCAGCTTGGGTTCTTCTGATTTCAGAAATGGAGGCTCAGTTTGCCTTCACCATGGTACTTGACTTGTCCGGAGTTGAGTTCAAGGCATTATATGAAGGATGCTCACGATAGCCTCAATCTTGCTTTACCATTCTGCTTCTCTCTCTCCTCCAGCCCTGAGGATCTTCATCTCTTCTACCAAGGGAAGACACATGATCACATCATTTACATTTGTCTGACCCATTATTGATGGAAAAAATTTAAGTACTGGCTCTTTATGGCCTTGGTTTTTGTGTCTCCAAATCCTTTTCTCTCTTATTCTTGCCTCTGCTATGAGTTTCAAAAGTTCATACTGAAACTCAAAAGCTGAGAGTTGGCCAGGTGCAGTGGCTCATGCCTATAATCCCAACATTTGGGGAGGCTAAGGCAGGAAGATTGCTTGCAACCAGGAGTTCAAGACCAGCCTGGGTAACATAGCAAGACCTCATCACTACAAAAAATAAAAATAAATAAAATAAAAATTAAAAAAATTAGCCAGGTGTGGTGGCATGCACCTGTGGTCTCAGCTACTCAGAAGGCTGAGGCAGGATAATCACTTGAGCCCAGGAATTTAAGGCTGCAGTGAGCTATGATCACATCACTGCATTCCAGTGTGAGCAACAGAGTAAGATGCTGTCTACAAAAAAAAAAAAAAAAAAAAGAGTTGACTTTACTTTCTCTGTCCATTTTGGAATGCTATTTCCTTAAAAGAAGTAAATAAGAAATATCCTCAGTGCTGATAGGCGCTGGAGAGGGGAGGGCAAGATTAGTAAGAAAATTCTGAGGATATCAACAAATCAATATTTCAAAATTTATTTTAATTATAGGTGCATCATTTTACCCATGCTTTATATTATGTCCATTAACTAACGAGAAGACAAGTGCTTCCAGACTCTCACATCAAGGAGGCAGCATTCAAAATCATTTGTCTCTGAAACTACAATCTACTTTCTTTCTACAAGTGGACAGCAGTCCAATTTGTTGGATTTATGCCAATGATCACAAAAGATACCTGAGGCTCTGGCTTCTGCCCAGCGACTTAAGTAAAAACTTTATGTTAATAAATAAATGTTCATATATTTTTCATCTTCCCAAAAGATCAGAAGTATCTTATAAATAATTACAAAATATGTTAGAAAAAATTAATGGGGGGCTGGGCACGGTGGCTCATGCCTGTAATCCCAGCACATTGGGAGGCTGAGGCGGGGGGGTCAGCTGAGGTCAGGAGTTCAAGACCAGCATGGCCAACAAGGTGAAACCCCGTGTCTACTAAAAATACAAAAAATTAGCCAGGCGTGGTGGCAGGCACCTGTAATCCCAGCTACTCAGGAGGCTGAGGCAGGAGAATCGCTTGAACATGGGAAGCAGAGGTTATAATGAGCCAAGATCGTGCCGTTGCACTCCAGCCTGGGCGACAAGAGCAAAACTCTGAAAAAAAAAGAAAGAAAGAAAAAGAAGGAAGGAAAGAGGGAAGGAAGGAAGGAAGGAAGGAAGGAAGGAAGGAAGGAAGGAAGGAAGGGAAAGAAAAATGAATCAGCTAGGCTCAGTGTCTTGTGCCTGTAATTCCAGTGCTTTGGGAGGCCACGGCAGGAGGATCACTTGAGGAGTCCAGGAGTTCAAGACCAGCCTGGGCAATGTAACAAGACCCTATCGCTACAAAAACATTAAAAAATTAGCTGGGCTGTTGGCATGCACCTGTAGTCCTAGATATTCAGGAGGCTGAGGAAGGAGGATCATTTGAGCTGAGGAGTTGCAGGCGTCAATGAGCTATGAGTGCACCACTGCACTCCATCCTGGGTGACAGAATGAGACCCTGTCTCAAAAAAAAAAATTAATGGATTTATAAATCAAGGAAAAAGGAAAGAAGCTGTCCCTTGGTTGGGTTGTGGAAGTGCTATCACATGCAACTCTCTCAAAGATAGGAAGGGAGATGAGATATCCTGGTGGCACGTCAGTGAGATCTCAAGGACGGCATGAACGGCTGCTTCACTGTCTGGATTTGGTCAATATCGCCTGTGCTGGAGGAGGGGAGATTCAGGGCTTGGATAAATGGATGCAACTCCATAAGAAATAGAGCAGGGACTCCAAAAGGGGAGAGTATGCTGAGGACCCAGACCAAAAGGATGACCTTTGGAAGCTTTTTGAGTCAAAACATAGCCTTTCAGAAGTCAAGCATTCTCTGTGGTTTTGCATAGCCCATGCAAGAAAGAAATGAGCCATCTTAGGAAGCAATTTCTCCCCCAGGTTAACTGCTCTGTGTTCCATAGACCCCGATTCACTACTGCAATGCTCTTACAACAAAGGAACTGGTTGTGGGATGATAGGATCAGAGGTAAGTGAGAAAGACACTCTGATGGAGCAGCAGGCCATGACTTCAGGCTTTGCAAATGACACAAATTTTATAGACAGATAGATCCTGGGGCAGGGCCTATCTGATTTATGTTAAAAAATAAGAAGATTCTTATTTACACATAAAGTTAGTGGTAGAGAGGGGTAAAAATATTGAAACTTTTCTGTCTGGGATAGACATTTGCTTGTTGTCCTAAACATTCATGTCATGTAACCACAAAGTTAATCTGGAAGGAAAACAAGTTCTACCTGACTCAGTGGGGTGTCAAGCAATGGGGAGCATGAGTGCAGGTTCTTTCAGGACATGAGGGGATGCTCAGAAAGTCCCATGTTGTGTAGCTGTGGCTCAGTTTGTCCCCAAATCAAGTGAAAGGGAAATGAGCCTGTGCTGGGATGGTCTGTGATGACTTGACTAGAGTGTTATTTTTCTTCCAAAGACAGCACAGTTGTTTTACTTCTGTGGTTTGATGGAAATTTTAAAAAATATATGTGACACATACTAATCAAAACAAGATTTTTAAACATACAATATAATATTAAAAAGAAAAAAGAAGAAGAAATACATGCAGCCAACAATCATACGAAAAAAAGCTCTACATCACTGACCATTAGAGAAATGCATATCAAAGCCACCATGAGATACTATCTCACACCAGTCAGAAAGGCTATTACTAAGAAGTCAAAAAATTACAGATGCTGGTGAGGTTGCAGAGAAAAAGGAACACTATACACTGCTGGTCGGAGTGTAAATTAGTTCAACCATTGTGGAAGACAGGGTGGTAATCTTTCAAAGACCTAAAACCAGAAATGCCATTTGACCCAGCAATCTCATTACTGAGTATATACCCAAAGGAATATACCTTGTTCTATCATAAAGACACATGCATGTATATGTTCATTGCAGCACTATTCACACTAGCAAAGACATGGAATCAAGATAAATGCCCATCAATGGTAGACTGCATAAAGAAAATATGGTACATATACACCATGGACTACTATGCAGCCATTAAAAATAATGAGATCATGTCTTTTCCAGGAACATGGATGGAGTTGGAGGCCATTATCCTTAGCAAACTAATGCAGGAACAGAAAATCAGATGCTGTGTGTTCTCACTCATAAGTGGGAGCTAAATGATGAGAACATATGGATACATAGAGGGGAACAACACACACTGGGGCTTGTCAGAGGATAGAGGGTGGGAGGAGGAAGAGGATCAAGAAAACTAACTAGTGGATATTAGGCTTAATGCCTGGATGACAAAATATTCTGTACAACAACCCCCCATGACACAAGTTTATCTATACAACAAATTTGCACATGTAACCCTGAACTTAAAAGTTAAATTTAAAAACAACTAGAGTTTTAAAAAATGACTAACATATAATAATATGTAAGTGTATGCCTGTCTAGTTTTTTGTATGATTGTGTAATTATTTACTTACTCATTTTTGCACATGCCATTTTAACATGTTCTTTTTCTTGTTTAACATTTTACATGGATTTTTCTATGTCATTTGAACTTCTCTAGAAACATTTTACTGAACTGCATGGTATTTCACTATGTACATGTGCCACAATTGTTTTTCCAAAACTCCTCCCCCAGTCCCTGGGCAATCACCACTCTACTCTCTATTGCTATGAGTTTGATTACTTTAGATTCCTCATATATGTGGGAGCATGTAGTATTTTTTCTTCTGTTTTTGGCTTATTTCACTTACCACAATGTCCTCCTGGTTAATTCATTTTGTTAAAAATGGCAGAATCTCCTTCCTTTTTAAGCCTGAATAATCTTTTTTGGATGTATATCCCATATTTTTTTCATCCATTCATCAGTCAATGGACATTCAGGTTGCTCCCATGTCATGACTGTTGGAAAAAATGATGCAATTAAATGAGAGTGCAGATATCTCTTCAAGATTCTGATTTTATTTCCTTTGGATGTATACCCAGAAGTGAGATTGCTGGGTCATAGAGTAGTTCTATATTTAATGTTTTGAGAAATCTCAGTACTATTCTCCATAGTGGCTGCACCAATTTACATTCTTACCGGTAGTAAGAATGTACCCTTACTACCGGTTCCCTTTTCTTCACATTCTTGCCAACATTTATATTTTAAAGAATACATATATACATATATGTATTCTTGGTACTCTTGTGAAGATCAGTTGACAGAGTATGCATGGGTTTATTTCTGGGCTCTTTATTCTGTTATGTGTGTATAAATATATGTAATAGCCATCCTAACAGGTATGAGGTGATATCTCATTGTGATTTTGATTTGCATTTCTCTGATCATTAGTAGTGTTGAACACCTTTTCATATACCTGCTGGCCATCTGTATGTTTTCTTTAAGGTCATATCTATCCAGTTCCTTTGACCATATTTTAATTGAATTATTTGTGTTGTTTTGTTACTATCAAGTTGTATAAATTCCTTACATGTTTTGAATATTAACACTTTTTCAGATATCTGGTTTGCAAATATTTTCTTTCATTTTGGGAATTTACTTTTCATTTGTTGTTTCTTTTACTTTGCAGAAGCTTTTTGTTGATGTAATCCCATTCACCTATTTTTGCTTTTGTTGTCAGTGTTTTTGCTGTCATAGCCAAAACATCATGACCAATGTCAACAAGCTTTATCTTTATGCTTTCTTCTGGGAGCTTTACAGTTTCAAGTCTTACATTTAAGTCTTTAATACATTTTTATTGATTTTCATACATGGTGTAAGATAAGGGTCCAATTTTATTCTTTTGCATGTGGATATGCAGTTTTCTCATTTACTGAAGAGATTTTTCTTTCCCCATTATGTATACTTGGTCCCTTTAGGAAGATCAGTTGACAGTGTATGCATGGGTTTATTTCTGGGTTCTCTATTCTGTTCTATTGGTCTACATGTCTATTGTATATAGTACCATACTGTTTTTATTACTGTAGTTTTATAATATATTTTAAAATCAGGAAATGTTTTTGTCCAGTTTTTTTCTTCTTGCTCAAAATTGCTTTGACTATTTAGGGACTTTTGTGGTTCCAGCCATAATTTATTTAATCATAAAAGTGTTTCCTCTTTTTCACTTTACAAATAATATCATGATGAATATCTCTTTCACAAACACTTTCTGAATTTATGATTACCTTAAATTAGATTCTTTAGAGTAGAATAAGTGGGCCAAATGAAATGAACCATACATAGTGTTTGAGATTCAAATTCTCATAGTGTACTCTAAATTAGAAGGATTAATCAATCTAATCACAACTGTAATAAGTCAGTTTTACAAAACTGATCTCCCTGGCCAAAAATCAGTTTTCTTCTATTTAGGTCAAGTAATAGAATTGGAAAGTGTGTGGCTTTAGAAAGTGCCTGGGTTTAGTGCACTGGTATTATAAGATAATACCAGTGTTTATGTCTATACATATGGAAGTCCTCCATATATACAGAATATAGCAGACTATAAAACCAGGAAGGCAAAAAAGCCTGCTCACGTACCTTTGCTCCCTGCCTAATCTAGACCTCTACAATGACTGGGCTTTCTCTCTGTCTTTACTTTTAATTTTATATACATTCCACATATTATAGTTAACAAGTATCTTCAAATTCTCCAGCCTCCACTCAATGAATCCCTTTAATATTACTCACTTTTTTCTTAAACTATGGAACTTGTTCCATTGCTTCTTTTATATTTGTTTCTGTTCTTCCTTTAGAATGCATATCAGGTAGAGCTGATGGATCCATTCTCCAAGTCTCTCAGTATTTCTTTCATATAATGCATTCCTTTATCTTTTTATAGAGTATTCAGGAAGAATCCTTCATCTCAATGTTGACTCACTAACTCTTCAACTATTTTCATTGTGCTCTTTAGCCCTTCTGTTGGCTGTTAATTTCAACAATCAAATATTTAATTTTCCAAATATCTAGCTTATATTTTTGTTATTGTTTTGTTGTCATTGTTTTAAATTTTGTTAATGTGTTCTAAATATTCTCACATTAACTTTGGGGTTGAAATTATACTTATTCTAATATCTTGTTTGGTTTGCCCTACTCTTTACTGAGTGTGATGCCTCTCTTACCTGGTGTAAGTTTTATTCAAGCACTTGGTGAGTCTTGGTTGAATAATCATCTTTGCACTGGGGAGTTTTTCATGAGCAGTTAGACTTCTTGATGTGGGGGTTTCTTACCCATCTTGATTTTTACCAGTCACTTGGGGGTCCTACCCTGTCTCACTCCTCCAGCTCAGGGAGCCACAATCACGGATGCCACTTACAGAAAGTTTCTTTCCTGCTTGCTGCTTGAAACAAGCAAGGAGGAAAAAAGAGGCCAGTGCTAAATTCAGTTCAGCCTAAAGCTGCCTTTTTACATATTTTAGAGGTTTACCAAACATAGTGAACTGTAACCTAACTGAATGTGTAAACAAACTGTAACCTACTCTTGTGACAATCATTGTGTTTCGGTCAATCAAAGGCGGCCAACTGTTCAAACTGGGTCCAAGTAAGGCAAGTGCTGAGCTGTAACCAACTTGGCAGTTTCCACATCTCCCTTCCATTTTCTGTGAATAACTTTTCTTTTTCTGTCCATAAATCTTCTTCCACCATGTGACTGTTTGGAATCTCTCTGAATCTATTCAGGTTTGGGAGCTGTCCAATTCACAAATCATTCTTTGCTCAATTAAATTATGTTACATTTAATTTGTCTAAAGTTTTTCTTTTAGCAGATGGTATCAGAAGTGGGATCCAAGGTAGAGCTTCTAGCCACCCCAGGGAGCACCAGGTGACCAGGCGAGGTGCCTGCCAGGCGCATTGTGTTCATTGCTTTTTTTTTTTTTTTTTTTTTTTGAGACAGAGTCTTGCTCTTTCGCCCAGGCCGGAGTGTAGTGGCGCTATCTCGGCTCACTGCAAGCTCCGCCTCCCGGGTTCACGCCATTCTCCTGCCTCCGGCTTCCAAGTAGCTGGGAATACAGGCGCCCGCCACCACGCCCGGCTAATATTTTTGTATTTTTAGTATAGACAGGGTTTCACCGTGTTAGCCAGGATGGTCTTGATCTCCTGACCTCGTGATCCGCCCGCCTCGGCCTCCGAAAGCGCTGGGATTACAGGCGTGAGCCACCGCGCCCGGCCATTGCTTTCTTGCAGCAACTGGGGATTGTTGGTAAGTTCTCTCCCAGATTCCAAAGGTCTACTGATTTGTGTTTTGAGCTATCCAAGTTTCTTTGTGCAAATTTCGGATCCAAGTTGGGTTTGGAAGTGACGACAGAAACTGGACTGGGTCCAGGGTTGAATTGGATCTGATAATTAACTGCCTTGGATTCATTAGAGGCATCAGACTGGTAGTAAATGGCAATACTGCAGGGGGTACAAACTGCAACTTTCAAATATTTGCAGAGATTTTTGTGTTCTACCCCCCTTGTTTCTTTTTGTTGCATGCCTAGGTAGGGAAAAATCATTGGCTAGTTGATCAAGGGGATCTGAAAGCCAAAGCCAGGATTCAGGGTAAAAATGGGATCCTTAATTTCTGAAGACCTGAGTACGCTGCCTTCCAGTTTATACATGCATAAATATTAGGCCTCAGAAGCAGCAAGCACTCACAAAAATGATAAAATCTTACTAAGGGTAATTTAAAACTACAATGAAACATTCCAAGCTAACAACACTGTCCTTTAAGAAAGGCATTTGGAAGCGAGGGCTCCTGAATTAGTATCAGCCAGGGATGCCTCTTGATTTGCAGACACTTCTGAAAGATTTCAATAATTTTATTGCTTTTTTACTTTAAAGACTGTTTATAAAAGGCAAATAAAAAGCTTGAATGACTAATTGATAAGAAAAATTAAATCTGCTAACCTTTTAGCTTAGTTACTATCCCATCTCACAGGTAAAAAGAAAGCTCTCCTAGATAAAGTGATTCTAAAAAGTAGGCCCTAAGATAAAGTAGGCTTGCTTCGGTTTTCAGATCGAACCGTGCTGAGTCCAGGCAGAGAGAATGCTTTTTTGTCCTATTCCTTAATAGGATTCACCCCAAACTCAACAATTTCAGCTAATTTACAAAGATCACCTGTTGAACTAAAATATGCCTTTCTGGCATTTGACTGCTGTATTAGTCCATTTTCACGCTGCTGATAAAGACATACCCAAGACTGGGAAGAAAAACAGGTTTAATGGACTCACAGTTCCATGTGGCTGGGGAGGCCTCACAATGATGGCGGAAGGCGAAAGGCACTTCTTACATGGCAGCAGCAAAAGAAAAGAGTGAGAGCCAAGTGAAAGAGGTTTCCCCTTACAAAACCATCAGATCTCATGGGATTTATTCACTACCAGTGAGAACAGTATGGGAGAAACGACCCCCATGATTCAATTATCTCCCAGTGAGTCCCTTCCACAACACAAGGGAATTATGGGAGCTACAGTTCAAGATGAGATTTGGGTGGAGTCACAGTCAAACCACATCAACTGGCTATCTTAAAATCCTTTGTAAAAAAAATTTACATCTAGAAAGGAAATCTGTATTTGTAAGTATGACTGTGTACATTAGAAATGCTTACCATCATTCTAAAATTTACATAACAAGTCATATCTTTGTTTAAAATGCTTTCCTGGCCATCTTGTCTTAACTGAACTTTCACTTACATCATTTTTTCCTTGGTTTGGTGCAATATTTGGTGCAAATGGTGCCATATTTTGGACTAAAGTCTTAAGTTCTGTGCTTTTCAAATATAAATATTCTTATTTCACCTAACATTTTCCCTCTAGAAATGCAAATTTGTTGCCTAGTTAACAATTGCTTAGGGCAATGAAACAGGTAATTAGAAGAATGATAGTCTGAATGTGGAAAGGAAAAACTATTTAAAAGCTGGCCAATAAGAATCCTTTATGGAAGCTATAAGATCAGCTTCTGTCCATTTGTATGTCTATATGTGTATATGATAATATTTGATAAATATGACTAGCTTTTAAATTGTTGGTAACGTAGGAATGGTTTCAAAATTGTCAGTTAAATATAATTCAATACTTGCTTGAATTGACTGTGAGCTTATGTTTTTGGTTCTGAGCCTCTAGATACAGGGGTCTGGATAGGTTGCCATGGTAAGACCTAGCCCAATAGCTACAAGGTAGAATCAAGCCCAGTATGGCACCTTCTTTCCTGCCTTAGCTTTGCCTCTTGGCTACTCTGGGAGGGACTGGATCCTCCAGGCATCCTCTTCACAGCTCTGTCTTCTGCCCTGAGCTCTATTCCTGCAATGTACATTCAGGACTTAGACAGATCCTGCCTTCATAGCCCTCCTGGATGCCACGTGGCTACTTGAGACCCAGGGCAACTGGAGAAGACCATTAGGGAGGGGACCTGTGTCATAGCTTCAAAATTGTTTTCAGCAATTTAAAATATTTAAATTCGTGTTAAATTAAGTAATACATAATCATAAAATATCTGAGTAATTTGTAAATTAAAATATGGAAATACTAATTATTAAACATGAATTTAAGTTATATAACTTGACATGTCATTTTTATATGGTATAGAAAAGCTAAATATATTTAGATCTCTTACTAAACAATAATTGAAGGAAACATCTTTCTAAAAATTTATAATTGGTTTTTATCTGCAAATACTGATATAAAACAAAATTTCTTCCTAGGGTTTTCACTAGAAATTAGGGTTACTAAAAGTTAAAATTATAGTTAATATTAAAACTACTAGATATGAGAAAAACAATTCTGTATATAGGGCATAAACAAAAGCAAGATATGCTTTTGGTGAAAAGATGGTATAGGTATGACAATATAGGTGTTGAGAAAAATAATTTTGTCTAGTTTAGAAGTTACTTAAATGTTTTAAATTGAAGGAATAAAAAATAGATAGGACTAAATGAATATAAAGTTGGGGAAAAAATGTAAGATATAAAACTGTTTGGAAATCTTGTGTGGTCAAAAGGTGACAGATTTCTTTATAATTTTGCTCTTTAATATTGATAATACACTAATAGAAAAGTAAAATTTATTTTTTTCTTTTGAACAAGAGTTTCATGTAGTATTACTAAGACAGCAAATATTTTTGTTCACCTTTTGAGTAAACTGCAAAACAGAGAAGAGAGGAGAGGACAGAGATTTTGTCTCATGCTGTCCCTCTGAGGTCTTTTGACTGTTTGGAAAACTGTCTCCTCTCTATTGAAGAGTAAAGGTTTTTGCTTTTTAAAATCTTTTGTTTATTACTTTGTCTAAATAAATGACTTTTTTATAGTGACCTGTGATCTTATTTTGGTCTAGAGTGTTTAAACCTCTGACATATTTGACGAGCTTCTCAAAATCAAATTTGAACTTCAAAATTAACTTTTTTTCTTTTTAACCTCTAACTTTGGAATGCTTCAGAGAGCCCCTCCAGACCCTGTAGCATCCAAAGGAGAGATTAACAGGATTATTTGATATGTTAAATAACATGCGAAGCATTGTCAAATAAGAGATGATGTTTAACCTTCCAGTTACGTTTTTATGAATATATTATTAATATATGCTCCAAAATTGTATGGGTTTTCTATAATTCTGATATGTCTGGATATATAGTGTCACTCATAATTATGGTTATTATATTAAATTATTGTAGGCCACAGAAATAACTAAATTTTCTTGTCAATTGTGTTTTTATGACCATTTTAAGTCATCTCCACAGTTGATTGCTTAGTTCTGATGCAGTTTCTGAAAACTCTTCACAAGCATACAAAATCCTAGAGTCTGTGTTTTCAAGGAGGTTCATCAAACGATGGAAAGGACCTTGACAAGCACTCTTGAATGCCGGTTTCTGATAACTTTAGGATCATATCATTTGGACTGGGTAAGAATTCTCAAAAGTCTAATGAAAAGACTGACTGGCATATAAAACTGCTAACTCAAGCAGGACAAAAATTAATTAAATATCAAGCTTTCTTGTACATTGCCAGGTTTTCATGTTAAATCAGGCAGTACTTAAATTCTTTGGATATGCAATTTAAATAAACCCCATGCTTCAAGTCAAGTTACCTATGATAATCCATCCAGTAAACAGTGCTATGCACCTAAATTGAAGAAATAAAATGGGTATTTAGGAAGACATAAGTCCAATGTTAAGTGTGGACACATGGAGAGCCTGGACACCAGCCTGGCCCTTCCTGAGTCCTTATACCTTCCACTAGTGAAAGCTCTGCACTCTGTGACTCATCACGGAAGAAATAAAATAATTCAAAGTAAATATATGTTGACTGCTATAAATTGCTAAAATGGTTCATGACCAATATTTGGTTTGTAAAACCTACAATCCTGGGAAGACACTCACAACTTGAGTTACATTTCTGCTACCTGATGTGCCATTTAAACATTTATAGAGAGTTTTCATTCAATTGTCATTTTCAATGCATGTTTTCTGATTGTATAAAAGCTTTCTCATACAAGATGGTTGATGTTATAAAAGTAGCTAAAAGTTTTTTGAAAAGGTGTTTCTCATGGGACATTCTTAGAGAAATCTCCAGTAATAAAGGTATTTGTGACAGTGGACAAATCATAAAATAGTTAAATAAAGTATTACAGATACAATAGCATTAGGCAAAACTAGCTGAATTGACTGGGTTGCCTTGGAGAAAGGTATTGCCGACTGATGACAATCAGATCCATTTCCAGTGGAAGACATACGTTTGGCCCTAAATGATCACTGGAAGAGCTATGCACCTAATAATAGAACCTCATGTATCTTCTGCTACTGGACTCTGATATGACTAAATGCTGCGAGGTTTTAATGCGTTATGCCAAAGTGTATTTTCTTCAGGTAAAGAAAGCTTTTCATGCTCCACTGACTGTCCATACAATCAACCCTTTCACAGTCTAGAACCTGGAGACTGGGTCTTCTGAGAACATCAAACACTGCCCTTGCCACTCACACTGCAGGAAAACTTTGGGGCCTGGAACATTGAGTTCATAATCTCACTCAGAAGGGCCACTCCAAACTCTTGAAACTGTACACACTTTGGAGACCTTAAGATAAAGCTAGCCAGGGAAGTTTCTCCCCAGAAACAGGTGGCATCCAGACATGGACAGCTTTTCTCCAAGATCACAGATCAAAATTTTTCTGCTATCATAAGACTCTTATCTCTCATTGTTCTCCTTGCTTATGCCTCTATGAACAATGAACTGAAAAGGGGTCTTTTGTGTGCATTCATGAGGTATACTTTTATTCGTGGAGGATTTCTCAGCTAACCTTATACATGAACAAACTTACGCCTTGATGGAGGAAGAAAGGCCACTTTAGGTGAAAAATTTTAGTTGTACATTTGTTGCTTCATAGTTGATCAGAAACAGAATATTGGCCCACTCTTTTTAACTTACATCATAGGTTAAAGAGAACATTGCCAGCATAGGTTAAAGGGAACATTGGCAGGAGACCTTCAGTATTCTAGATGGGCATCATTTGTTAGGTTGCTTTTTCCATGGTTTGGAATAAATGAAGCAATGGTTAGAAATATATCCCTCATAATAGGCTCTATAGCAAATTCTACTGCAAAGGCTATGATTACACAACAGACTTTAAATTCTTTTGTGAAAGTTTTGCTAAATAATAGACTTGTTCTAAATTATTTACTGGCTAAACAGAGAAGTATCTGTGCAGTTCCTGACACTTCTAGTTGCACATAAAGGAATACATTGAGTATCACAGAGATTCAGTTGTAAAAAATTAATAAACAGAACAAGAGGTTTGTTTAAAACAAGTAGACTCTTTATCTAGCTCATTCTTTGATCTATTTGATTTTAGTTGGTTTGGTTCACGGGGATCCTGGCTAAGGAGCAGACTCCAAACTCCTGGCATCGCCCTTCTGATAAACATAATGGTAGTTTCCCTGGTACACTGTATTCTCTCAAATGTTTTAAATGTTTGCATGCAGCCGTCTCTAGAATGTCAAATAGTCTTTCATTGACTGGAGTGACAAAAACTCAAGGACTTGTGTGACCACGAGGACATCATAACCTATAAATGACATGCTAAGACTAGAAACCCAAAATGATGGTAAATGAGAGTGGTGCTAAGGCCCTAAGTTTTGATCACACAGTTGCCTAAATGAGAACCTGACCAAAAGGGGGCGCTTTTTAAACAAAATTTTGGAAGGTCATTGTTTTGGACTGAGCATGTGTACTAGGCCCCGACAGACCAGACCAAACCAAAATGGAGTCACTCATGCTAAATGTAACATAATCAAACTAAAACTTTAGGGAAAGAGATAAATCCTAAAACAAACCAGGTTTTGTTTTCTCCTATAAACAGGATATTCCAACACAAGGAGTTCCCCTCTACTCTTGCCCTCTAAAAAACAGTAAACCAAAGTCCTTATTTCCACCTCACAAAACCTACTGTTCTGCTATTTCCCAGTGGGATTTGAGACAAAATAAGTACATTTATCATGGTGACAGAGTGATATCAATGCCTAAAGTTTTGGTCTATCTCCCAAAATTGAGAGGATGACCAAAAGGTGAGAATTGTTAAATTCAGTCCAGCCTAAGAGTGCCTTTTTGGTTTCTCTGTACATAGTGAACTGTAACCTAATCAGATGTGTAAACAGACTGTAAGCTTTCAAAACAATCATCATGTTTTGGCCAAAGTCAGCCAACTGTTCAAACTGGGTTCAAAAAAGTCAAGCTCCACACTACAGCCAATCTAGCTGTTTCTGTTTCTCACTTCCATTTTCTGTACCTCATTTCCCTTTTTCTGTCCATGTGGCTGTGCTGGAGCCTCCTGAACCTGTTCTGGTTCCTGGCTATGCCTGATTCACAAATCATTCTTTGCTTAATTGAACTGTGTTAAATTTGATTTGTCTAAGGTTTCTTTTCTTTTAACACTGGTTTGCCTGGCTGCTTACACTGTGTTCCACAGCCAGCCATGCAAGGGCCCCAGTCTGCTCCCCATATCTGCTGGGTCCAAACTTGGAACACCTCCAAGGCTGCTCCTACATTACAGACAGATGCCTTCCTATGTGTATTTCAGCCTTCGCTTTTCTCCTTAAGTCCAATTTAATTTTAAAATTTCCAATTATTTCAGGGACTCTACAGAATTTCTGATCCACCTCGGACATCACTTCTTGTTTCTCAGATTTGTTAAAAAAAATTCTTAAATCTGTTATTTTTAGGGTTTAAGGAAGGAAAGGGTGTCTGGAGCTTGTGCTTAGTTGATGATTTTGATCCAATCACAAAGGATCTTTATTGAATAATTTGACAAGATCTAGTGTCTCTAAAGGTTTTTCCAAAAACAGTACATCTCCGTTAACATAATAGTCCCATAAATTAGCTAATTCAGGTGGGTCTGACCCTCATTGTGTGAAAGGAAAATTGGAGTTTCAGAGTGATTACTGCTGTAAAGCACATGGTAATAATACTGACCAGGCTTTATCCTGGGCTTTACAAATGACCCTCACGACAATCCTTTTAGGCATATGTTATTAGTTACAAAATTGAGGAGACAGAGACTCAGAGGCTGGGTAACTTGCCCTGTGGTTACAAAGAGGGTAAATGGCACAGCAGTGTCTCAAATTGGTCTCTTCTGACTCCAGATCTGTGGCTTCCACCCCAAACAGTTGCTTCCTACACAATGTACTGTGCCCAAACTCTGGGCTGCCCACCCAAAGCTCACCAGTTTCTTGCTTCGGAGACTCGGTGGGTATCCACAGCAAAAGACAATCAGATGCTTTGCATAAATCCTTTCTCTAAATACATGTCTTCCAGGCAGGTGGCTGTATTTGCATGGACTCCCTCTCTCCCTTCCAATTAACATCTAGGAGGCATCAAGCTTTAAATCTTCCTCTTGTTTTTAATTGCCTCTAGCCACATTTAGGAGAGATATGATTCCACCAGCTTAGCCCCAATTGTGAATGAGCATAAAACCTTTTCCCAGCTTTTGTACTCATCACTGCAAACTGCTAGGCTTATTGAAAAGGAGAGTGTTTTGTGTTTTGTTTCTGAATTCAGTCCGTTCATAGGCCTGTGAATGTGGCACCACAGCAATAGCGTCGTTCTGCACAGTCAGTGTGTCCATCTCCATCCTCCCCATTCCTTTTTGATGGTGCTGGATTACATCATATTTTTTTCTGTGGATGTCATAACTTACAGTGCTGCTACTAACAAGGTTACATGAAAAAAGCTAAGGTTTGCAGTGAAAATTGATATTGATGTTTCTCCCTACATGATAGTGGTTTTTCAGTTTTAGCTGGTGCTACAGTTTGGATGTGGGTTGTCCCTGCCAAAACTTAGCTGAAACTGAATTTCCAGTGTGGCAGTATTGGGAGATGGAGCCTAGTGAGAGGTGTTTGGGTCATAGGGGAGGATCCTTCATGAATATGTTAATGCTTTCCTGCTGGAGTCAATGAGTTTTGGCTCCCTCACTCCAGGAATGAAATCGTTCTCAAGAGAGTAGGTTGTTTGAAAGAATCTGGCTTCCTCAGTTTCCCTCTCTTGCTTCCTCTGCCTTTGCACACACCTGCTCCCCCAGCCCTCTGCCCTCTGCTGTGAGTGGAAGCAGCATGAAGCCCTCACCAGATGCAGCTGCACAATCTTGGATTTTTTAGCCACCAGAATTGTGAGTCAAATAAACCTCTTTTCTTTCTCAATTACCCTGCCTTAGGTCTTCTGTTAATAGCAATACAAAATGGACTAAGACGGTTGGCCATTGGAACAGAGCTTTAAAACACAGAGATGCCTGGTTTCATCCTGTTATAGATGGAATTGTTTCCCTTTCCCCAAATTCCTATGTTGAAGCCCTAACCCTCAAGGTGCCTGTATTTGGAGATAGGGTCTTAAGGAGATAATACATTTAAATGAAGTCATAAGAGTGGGGCCTTGATCCAATAAGACTTGTGTCCTTATAAAAAGAGAACCACCAGAGCTTGTTCTCTATTGCTGTCTGTGTGAGTGCACAGAGAAGAGGCTGTGTAAGGACACAGTGAGATGATGGCTGTCTACAAGCCAAGGAGATAGGCCTCACCAGAAACCAGCCCTGATGGTACATTCGATCCTGGATTTCTAGCTTCCAGAACTATGAGAAGATACATTTTGGTGTTTAAGCAACCCAGTCTGTGGTATTTTGTTCTGGCAGCATGAGTAGACTAATACACATCCTCTCTGATGTATTAATAATTTTTGGGGGGTTTGGTCTGTGCATTGAGATTTCTAAAAAGTTTCATAGGCGAGTCTAGTGTACAGCCAAGGCTTCTAGAATATGTTAAGGCCTTAGGTGGTGAACAAAAATATAGTCCCTACCCTTTTGGAAAAAACAACTTACTAAACAAGTTGAGATAGCTGAAATAGATGAGAGGGATAGAAAGAAAGAAAGATACATAGATGATAGATAGATAGGCAGACAGATAGATAGATAGGAGTTTTTGTGGTAAATGTTGTAAAGAGAAAGAACGGGATGCTGTGAGATAAAATCACAGGAATGTTGACAATTTACTTCAAATCAGGCAATACAGAAGCGTCTTTGAGGAGCTGAGACTTCAGCAAAGACTTGAAATAAGACAAGAGCAAACCTGAGAGGAGAAAGGAAGAGTATTCCAGGTGTTAGATATCCCAGTAGTCATATTTTGACTTATAGAGGAATATGCTATTTAGGAAAAACATTGAATAAGAGACTCAATAATATCTTTACCTTGTCTTCATGAAATCAATGTATTTAGAGAAGTATTCTTTGCCTATGAAACTCCACTTGTATTAAATCTCTGACTTATTATACATTTTAATTACCAATGATATTAGGAGTAATAGTTTCTTGAGGAGGCGAGGCAGCCATGATGGAATTCTAAAAATGGATAGGTCCTCAGATATTATGTGCAATTTAACTTATTTTTAGATGGACTTAACTGAAACTCTTCTCTATTGATATTATGTTTTATTTTTACTTTCCAAAAAAAGATATATATCATCATCCCTAGATAATCTATTCCAGAAATTCACAATCCTGTCTCCATACAGGACTCTAATCTTTGTGATCATTTCTCTAATAAAGAAACTAAGGCACAAGTAGATTAAGAAACCAGTCCAAGGGTGGCAAATAGAAGGTCATCCTATACGGCAGCTTGATTACATAGTGGTGATCCCTTGGAGTATTATTGAGATGGATTCTGAGTTGTAGCCAGCTACAAAATGTCAGGATTAATTATGATGCCTGTCATGAACGTGGGAGGGAGTACATGTATCCCATGCTTTGTATTTCTAAATTCATCCGCTATTACTTAATTGCATTCAGGAGCTGAATTGAGATTTATTTACCACTATCTTAAATGCTCTTTTGTTAACTAGAGTTGTTTGTTCTCTAAGAAGGAAAAAAAAATCCCCACAAAACCACTGTACTGCTGTGTAAGTTTCAGGATCATATATACATGTGGATGGGCATATAGGCCAATCCATAGTGAGAGTGTTATTTGTGTTTTCACTTTAGAACAAGGAAGCATTGATTCCCTTTAAAGAATTAATTTATTTCTAAATGGTAAGTTATTGACTACTCTTAAGAAACATCTGCATAAAATGACAGACTAATAATACCACCAGAAGTATCCGAAACTTGTATGATCATCCTACATTTAAAAATATAATACCCATGGGTCCTGCTTCATCAGAATATTAGTTAGACTTGTGTGTAATAAGGCAATATATATGATTGCCAGGTAATACTATAAAAATACTTCTTACACATTCTGGCATATATCAAATTTACTAATATTATCTGAGCTTTAGTTCTAATTTTCTTTTACATCAATGTGGGCTGAAGGCATCAGGAGCACTGAGATGCTCAACACGGAAATTCCAGGAACTCTCACTGACACAGATTTTAGCCATGGTTTGACCTCACCAAAAGAGTTCACACAGTTACTACTTATCTTAGAATCCTGGTAATGGGCTATCATTCTTTGTTATTTATTTATATATTTGTCATATGACTAGGCTGTACAAAATTGATTTTACCTCACAAAAAGGTAATATAAAAAAACAAACAAAAAAATCACTGTAAACCGTATTGCAGTATTTTTAAAGCAAATAGGAAAAGGGGAGGTGGGCCATCTTTAACAGTGAAATACACAATTTTGTTGCATTACATTAAAAGTAGTTACATAATTTTGGGGCCTAAGTCCTTTCAAATGCCTTCACCACCTACTTTCACATTTGCGGAAAACATCTAGTGTTTTGAAAACTTTTCATTGGTACTTTATGCACTCACTTCTGAGCCTTGCTTCCAAAACCCAGGACAGTGATATCCTGATGTGGGCAGGGACAGCAACCCCAGGGCACTTCCGCTCACCCAGAGTGAGGCAGAGGAAATCGTTCTCTGGAACATTTTTTTATCCCTTCATTTGCCTTTCCCATCCAGAAAAGACAGAAAATGGACTTGCAGATGGGGTAAAGAACAGCTTGTTGTCCCCCAGGCGGGAAAGGGAGGAACCATTTGCACAGAACAGCATCTGGAGGCCCTGCCCTCCAAGGAACAACGCTTCCAGGGGGAAGCCAGCTTTCCACATTCATTGCTGTTTCCTAAGGAAGGACAGAAAGCGAACAAGGGAGGAGAGAAAGGAGCGGGGGACTCCCTTTGTATCTGTGCCCAATATGGTTTCTTTTGATTTTTCATCCTCCATAGTCAAGGTCTCCCCAGGGGTTCTCATCTGTTAACTAGGCTGGCTGTACCTGCCTGCCTGTGTGAAAGTTGCTCAGCTGCTGCCCGGGATGAGGCGAGCACATCACATCTATCTCCCTGGCATCTACTGAGCTCTGGGCCGCAAAGATCAAGCCCCACACGGAGCACAAAGGCAGGTCTGTATAGAAAGAGGCGACCTTCTTTATTGTCCAAGGCTCTTTGTGTGACGCTGGGGTCAGCACTCCCTCCGCATTCCTGCCTAGACCATGGGAGAGAAGAGGTTCGAGGCTAAGTACAGTAAACAATCCCTGGACCCTCATGTGGGTAAAAATTTAGGATTATTAGTGGGTCCCGCATTTCCCCACCCCTTATGTCTCAATATAAAACCCAGGACATCAGTAGAACTGACATTTTTTGAGACCTGTTTTCCTGTTCTGAGACCAGATAGAACATTGGAAATTGTGATTGAAGGAATGAATGATAGACGTTTAGAGTTTGTTTCAGATTTAAACCAGCATCCACCGACCTCAGGAAACAAGACATTAAATATCCTATCATCTTCTTCGGCCTTGTTTTTATTATCATCATCATTTAAAAATCAATTTTTTAAAAAAGCATAATGATTGTTGGCTGAAGGTCAGAAAGGAGATGCACAGAGGAGAAAGGACTTTCCTATTCTGACAAAATCCTGGTCAATAAAAAGGAAGAAGTCAGAACAATTTAAGACCAGATAAGGAACGTTTAAAATTTTATGATGCCGTTTTTATTTAGTAAAAGAAAGGAAAACATTTCAATCAAAAGCATGTACTAAGCAATGAGTAATTACATCCAGGTATGAAACTCATTCTTAAACCTCTCACAATGGGTGGAAAAAAAAACACAGATTCACATAATCAAATATATCTAGGAAATGCTGGATCAAATACAGCCATAGTTGATCAATGCAGTTCTTTATTGTCACATTGATCTAGATCTTTATTAAGGTATTTAAATCTTTATCAGGTATTTAATGCATAGTGACACTTCAAAAATAGAATATAGAATGTAACAATTTCATTTGCATACCTTTTTTAACATTACATAGGATTCAGATTTTTTTGGAACGCCTTTGAGAAATTATGTGCTGTATATGACAAGTATTCTAAATAATAAAGTAATTTTATAATGCTAAAATAAATAAATAAATCTTTCGCAACGTCTTACGTACCCTTTTGGATAAAATTTTGGCCAACACAAAGAATCTTGTCTACTGGATCCTGGATCTTATCATGCTTGTGGGCAAGGATTTCTTTTCTTTTTTCTTCAAAATGTTATTTTACGGTTTAAAGAGCGAAATTTCCTATAATTAGAACCTCTTTTTTCCCAAAACTATGTGATGTATACTTCCTGAAAAGTATTTGCCATTGCAGAGTTAAAATGATAAAATATTGCTTCAGTCTGCTTTGCATACAACATACCATATGCTTCTCATTCATTTGCACTTTTCTCCTTCAATTAAAACATTGCAAATTTCAATCTCAGAAAAACATTTATCAATCACTATGTCCTACTGTATACCTTGGTCACCAGTAACAGAGGCCTATCTTTTCTCCTTGTGCCGTATCTTTCATAAGTACATTTCCAATATTTGTTTTCCTATTTCTATTTCCTGTCTTCCTGATTCCCCTATCAGTGTTTCTCTGAGAAGATTTGGAAAATGGGCAATCCAAAAAAAAAGGCGCTGCTGTTCCATTCGTTCCGCCCTGCCCCCATAAAAAGCTAATATTTTCAGGTTGACTGAAAGTTTAACTTTGTTATTTTTTTTTATTTTTCAAGAAAATCTAGCGTGACATGGCACGTGTTAGTGCCCTCTTACTTAATAAATTACAAGTTTTTTTGACCTAAGTTAAAAGCTGTGCAAATCTCCCGTGTCTGTGTTTTCATTGTGTATGGATTTTCCTGGTCCAGCCGCAGACCCGGACGTCGTGGTAGAACTCTGGAATTTAACCTCCATCTTTCTGCCTAGAACTCCTCTTTGTCCCTCAAAATTTCAGAGAAGGCATCATCCCCCAAGAATGCTGTATTTTCTGATGGTGAAACTTTCCTGCTAGTCATCAAAAAGCAGAGATGACTTGACAGGAAGTAAACCATGTTCATGCAAGAACCACATCAAAGAGGCCATCATTATCCTATTTTTTTTAAATAGCTGATCTTTTTTAGTAGTTAAAAGAATAATCAGGGTTTTCAAGATTCTAAGCAATTTCTTCAAGATTGGAAGAATCAAAAAGACCGCAAAAGACACAAAAACTTGTTCTCTCTTTATTGGGAGGATATTTTTAAATGGTATATAGAGTTCTTTTCCCAATTTTAGTATACTGCAGAGTAGGCCATAACGGGAGTGTTCCATGGTGGTATGATTTCTGGCCTGTGGTGGTGCTGGCCCCCAGGCAAAAACCATCTTTTGGGAAAAGATCATATGGGATAAGGCTTTTAAAAAATGGATCAAATAAGTCTTGAGGGAGCCTCTTCTCGTCTGTTACTAAACACACCCATCCTTTCTTTCCTCGGCAGACTGGCCTGGACCGACCCAAGCTGTTGCACTGGGTAATGAAGGTTGAACTTGTCATGCCTGGGGATAGGCCCTTTCAGCCAAGCCCCTCTCCCCAGCTAATGTGTCATTTCATTTTCAAAAGGGAGAGATATTCTAGAGCTATAAATCTCTTCTCTTTCTTCGCCAGCTTGCAGCCCCTGCCCTTATGTGGGGGACTACCTCTCGGAAGTTATTCACATTGGGTGGGAGAGGTCAGCCTGA
Source organism: Homo sapiens (assembly GCF_000001405.40). Lineage (NCBI taxonomy): Eukaryota > Metazoa > Chordata > Mammalia > Primates > Hominidae > Homo > Homo sapiens. The sequence goes on along the minus strand of NC_000006.12, from coordinate 137,363,249 downwards.
CGCAGAGTTCCTGGCAGGTGGTCCAACGTGGAAGCCCAGGGCCGTGCAGATCTTCGGCCCCAAGGTGCTTTAAAGGCTCTCTCTGGAAAATAATAGTCCGGCGTCTTTGTCTACATCTCCAGGGCTGTCTGTGACAGGCTTTGCTTCATGACAGATTGCTGTCCAGACACTGACCCCGTTGTATCTCCAATCAGCCTGCCTTCCAATCCCAGTGGAGAGCAACTTGACATACTTCCAGAAAATCAGCTCTTTTTACTCTCAAAGGAAAAAAGAAATAGAACACTCATTGTTGGAGGTAGCCTCTGAGCGGTCCTTTAGGAATGTCCACCGAGAAAGGAGAGGGAAAACAGTGGGCAATATTTGAATATTTGAATATGGACAGCAGTGGATAGTGTCACTGGCTGTTCTTATGTTTTCTCCACATATTACTTAGATTCCATCTCACTCTGCCTTACCTTTCGATTTCCTGCACAGTCTATCAAATTAGTGTATTGTCTTTCTTTTCTTTTTTCCTTCCGATTCCTCTGGTTTTGCCTTGATTTTGTTTGTTTGTTTTCTTTCCTTTATTTTCCTTTTTACTCATCTCTATATAAGACTTTATGTTAACTCTGTAGTGGATAAAAACATAAGCAAAGTTGATGACTCTTTCCTTTGCCCCGTTTCAGCTCTTTATATAGTATAACACCTATTGCATTCAGTGACCATATTTGGTGATGTTTGACGTCTTTATTTCTATCTCCTGTCTTTTTTTTTTTTTTTTTTTTGAGACGGAGTCTCGCTCTGTCACCCAGGATGGAGTGCAGTGGCACGATGTCGGCTCACAGCAAGCTACGCCTCCTGGGTTCACGCCATTCTCCTGCCTCAGCCTCCGGAGTAGCTGGGACTACAGGCGCCCGCCACCGCTCCCGGCTAATTTTTTTTGTATTTTTAGTAGAGACGGAGTTTCACTGTGGTCTCGATCTCCTGACCTCGTGATCCACCCGCCTCAGCCTCCCAAAGTGCTGGGATTACAGGCGCGAGCCACCGCGTCCGGCCTGACGTCTTTATTTCTAAAGCGCTAACGTAGTACCTGGCAGTATTTGAAACTTCACTGATATTTGTCGAGTGAGAGAAAGAGCTTTCACAAAAAATACAATATAATTTCTCATTAGCTCACTCAATTCTCTAGAGTAGGATTTCTTAACCTCAGCACTATTGACATTTGGGGCCAATTTTTTGTTCTTGTGGAGGCCATCCTATGCATCACAACTTCTTAGGATGTCTAGCCACATCCCTGGCTTCTACCCACTAGATGCCAGTAGCAGTCTCCCCTTCAACTGTGACAACCAAAAATCTCCCCAGACATTGCCAAATGTTTCCTAGGATGAAGAAATCAGCCCCAGTTAAGAACCATTGTTCTAAATCAATGTTGCCCAATAGAACATTCTGAAATGATGGATGTGTTCTATCTCTGATGTCTTATAGCCACTAACTAGCTACTGAGCACTTCAAATGTGGCTGGTTCCAATTAATATATGTTGTAAGTGTGAAATACACAGTAGATTTTGATTACTTAGTCCAAAAGGGAACATAAAATATCATATTAATAGTTTTTAATGTTGATTACATATTGAAATAATAATTTGAATATGTTGAGTTAAATAAATTATTTAAATTAATTTTCTGTTTATTTTTACTGTTTTTGGCCACTAGAAATTTATAATTACATCATGTGGCTTGCATTTGTAGCTCACAATATATTTCAATTAGAAAGCACTGCTCTAGATAGTCTGCTTGCTGTTGGTTTTACTTTCCCAATTTATTTTTTTATTTATGTTCTTCTCACCTGTTCCCCCAAAATGCCACTGTGAGTATTTTCTGCACTAAGTTATTTTTGTGCAGTTCCCTGTCTAGTTTATTATCTGTGTGATCTTGAGTATCTCCCTCTCTGACTCTTATTTCCTTCAAATGTAAAATCAGTGAATTATACTCAATGATTTTTAAGTCTCCTACGAGTCCAAAACCTTAAGTTGAATCAGCTGTGTTTAATAAAACATAGCTGCTCAACACAGGCCCTCTGAGGAGGATAAACCAGGCATCCCTCAGAAAGGCACCTATGGGTTCCAACACAAGAGTTTTGTAATCAGACCTGGCTGGCCATAGATCACCCAGTAGACTCTAGCATGTCCCAGAGGATGCTGGATTGGGGGATGCTGATAGGAATTATTAATGCTAGGAGGAAAAAATTCCATAGTTAAATGCATTTGAGATATACTGGGTTAAGCAAAACTAGAGAAGCCTATATAACTGCAGGTCATCTCAGAACATTTAATATACTAAAATGTAGTGTAAATCGAAGGAGGTATATAGAATGCAACATTTTCACATTTATGTGTTCATGGAACTTGTATACAGCTTTGGATTTTAAACTGATAGTAATGAGTATCCACTGAAGCCAGGAGTGACAAGAGCGATTGATGTTTTAGAGAGCTTCCTCCGGGCACTATAGATGTCAGAGGAGCGACAAGAACGATTGATGTTTTAGAGAGCTTCCTCTGGGCACTGTAGACGTCAGATTGGAAGTCAGAGATCAGGGGCAGTGTGGGGGACTGTCCAGAGAAGAAGCAAGTGAGGAGGCTGTAGTAATTGCCTGGATGAACATTTATAGGACCTGAAAAGGGATGATTTGAAAGTTGTTTGTGAAATTCAATCAACATGATTAGGTAGACCCAGGAAGGCCCAGTTTCTGGCTTGGCAACTCAATGGATTGTAGTGGATCTATCAATGAGTGAACAGCCTCGTTAAGGAGACAGACCTATAAGTGAGTAATTACACTGCATTTTGTTGCACAAAATTTAGAAGTAGGAGCTGGGCATGGTGGCTCACGCCTGTAATCCCAGCACTTTGGGAGGCCGAGGCGGGCGGATCACTGTGGGTCAGGAGTTCGAGATCAGCCTAGCCAAGATGGTGAAGCCCCGTCTCTACTAAAAATACAAAATTTAGCCGGGCTTGGTGGCAGGTGCCTGTAATCCCAGCTACTCAAGAGGCCGAGGCAGGAGAATTGCTTGAACCTGGAAGGTGGAGGGTGTAGTGAGCTGAGATCGTGCCACTGCACTCCAGCCTGGGTGACAGAGTGAGACTCTATCTCAAAACAAATAAGAAAAAAAAATTAGAAGTAGGTTTAAAGGCAGAAGCCATTAGCTTATACATATACATAGACATAAACATATTTTTATTGATAAAAGGTGTAAGATGCATGATCTTTCCAACGGGTAGCATTATTTACAAATACTCCATTTGTGCACATTTTTTAAAAGTTTGGATCAGGGTTCAAGATTCAGTTTTGTACTCAAAACTGAATTGGGGAGGGGGATCACAATGGAAAACACATCTAGTAGGAATAAAAAATCAATGCAGTCTGAAATCTCAATGAAGGCAAGGATTATGTGTGTATTGTTCACCCTATATTCCTGGCCCCTAGCTAAATGGCCTGCCATATAAATATCTATTCAATGATCTTAATTTCAAAGCATACTGCATCTGCCTCTGAAAACTAAATACAATATTAAGAAATGATATAATAGGATTATTTCATTTAACTAAAAGCATTGCTTTTTGCAGCAGCAACGGGAACTCTTGCTTCTTTGGAAATTGTTTTTCATATTAAATGTTCTCAATATTTTAAGTAATATTTGCTGTTGTTAGTGAAAAGCTCTTCCACTCTTGGCAGGGGGTGGTTAGCTAACTTGGCCTGTGTGGTCTTAAAAGGAGGCCCCTCAAGGGTACAATGAAATTCCCATAGCTGTACTCAGTTTCTTGATGACTTTGGTCCCAGTATGGTTTTTATTCATTCACAATTCCATTCTAAATTCTGTTAAGCAAACAATTATTTTTAAGAGAAGACTCTAGTACCTCATTCACAAATTACACTTTTGGAAATTATCTATATCTTACAAACTAAGGAAAACAAAAATCAAAATTAAGTTCACATTTAATTTAATTTATTTGGATAGTCTATTGATTTTAAGTTAATAAGAATTCCTAAAATATAATTGGAATTCCAGTAGTATAACTTATATTTCTACCAGATATTTATAAATTATCAGAAGAATCTGAATTATATTACCTTTGCCATATCTGTCCCCTCTTGCTCTTTGCTCTGCCAATCCTATAAAGTAACATGCATTACAGGTGCCCGCTGCTACACCCAGCTAATTTTTGTATTTTTAGTAGAGACAGGGTTTCACCATGTTGGCCAGGATGGTCTCGATCTTCTGACCTCGTGAACTGCCCGCCTTGGCCTCCCAAAGTGCTGGGATTACAGGCGTGAACCACTGCGCCTGGCCTATTTTTTTAAAAAAAAAAAAGAAATGCAGAATTTCAGTCCTGACCCTAGACGAATTGAATTAAAAATACTCAGGAAATTCATATACACATTTAAGTTACTGATAACTCTTGATTGGCCATGTTAATAGGAATGAAAATAGGAGAGACAAAATGCTTCATTTTTGACATAAAGTTTGATGTCATCTTGTTAATATTTTCAAGAACTGCTTATAAGTTACTACCCAGTGTGGCTGGCTTTTAGTTCCACTTCTCCCACTCACTAGTGACAATCAGTGGTATTTCTCAAAGGACAAGAAATGGCCAATGCATAAATTATATGGATAGAGTGAATGTCTCAGGATGCTACAATGACTTGACCAAATTGCCTGCATGGCGAAGATGCCAACTGAGAGGCCCTGGAATGCACATGTGGGATCTAGGAGGAATGGCTCTGAGAGTGGCAGCTGCAGAGGATGCAGGGAGGAATTTCAGCCTGGCCAGCAGGTGTGATATCAGAAGCCGGGAACAAGGGCCGACAGCTCACAATCCAAGTAAGCAGTGGCTTAGAGGGGTTGGGAAGGTGGTGCCTAAGAAGTGGGCTCTTTGAGGCAAACAGAGGCCAGTAATTGGAAGAGGGGAAAGAAAGATCATGCCCAGACAGGCTAGTGGTGCCAGGAAGCAAGGCAACAGCAGTACTACCAAATTATTAAACAAACAAACAAAGAAATGGCAGGAAAGGATGAGGCTGTTAGTAAAGATGAAGTTACCAGGAGTTTTGTTGATTACAAAAGGAAGCTCTAATTCCTGGCTTACTGAAAATATTTGATATATTGAGTAGATATGGACTTGGCATCCTGCCCTCTAAATATAGGAAGATATGGCATTTTAAGAAAAAAAAATTATGGTTAAATTTCAGATAAAAGGAATGTTTATAAAAACTAACAGCCAGTCTTAGGAATAAACTCCAAAAATGTGATCTCTACCTGCATTATGCCACTTGTCTGCAAAGGTGGAGAGAGGCACTTGAAAGGACTGTTCGTGCATAAACACATGATGGGCAAAGTCCAAAGATGACATTTCCTTTTCCAGATTCGGGACCCCTAGTCGGAGGGTGATTTACACGTCAGTTGCAGCGCGTTGGTCAATGTTCCAGGCTGTCAGCTCGGCACCGCCCTCAGGGCTCAAGCTACACAGGGCATTGAAAGGTTAGTCAAAGACCACATTGTGTTCCCCTTGCTGCAGGAGCGGCTGCGCTAATTTGGATTGTGACTTGGCTTGTCTCCCCCTACTCTTCCTGAGGCCTGAGCTGGGTTTGTGTCAATCAGTGGTGTCACAACATTCAAGCATTGGAGGGTGGTAGCCCTTCTCAACCCGCGGAGTCATTTTTAGGATACATTTTAGAAAGACATCTAGGATGCTGTGATTCAGCTCTACACACTCCATACCAATGACAGTCACCATTACATCTTTCTGCAGATTTATGGAAGGCATGTATCACATTCAGTGCATTTAATTTGTACAGTAGTTGGTGGTATAACTATTAGATTTGGAGTCAGAAAGCCTGGCTTTGATTATCTTTGTCACTTATTTTTGTGCCTCGGTTTACTTATCTATAAAATCAGTATATTACCTCTCGTTGTAAAAATAACACATGTGAGATCACTTTGTAAACTATAAAGAGGTATTATATGAAGTAAGATGTATTATGATGATTGTTACCCTATCAGAGGGAAGCCACATTGGAACCAAAGATGAAATCAAATATAATCAGCACAGCACTTAGGGGATGGAGGTCACAGTCAAATGTTTTAAATTCAAACATGATCTTACAAAGCCAGGATTATCAAGAATCATTGGAATCAGAGATTAGTTTATTATAATGTTTGCTTTAGCAGCAAATATTACTTAGGTTTCCATTAAGTATGAATGGTTGCCAATTAGTATAAATAGTGACTGTGATTGCCAAATAAAACTCTAATACAAATATTATCTGAGCTAATGAAACAGATGAACAAAAGTAAAACAAAATGGCTTTTTCATTTTTTATAGATAATGACTGGAACAAGTCACCACTGTGAGGTGGCCCTACCTGGCAGGGTACTCTCTCCTCTTTCCTCCTCCTGAAGAGACTTTCCCCATTTTTTAAATTTTTTTTTTATTTCTTGGTTTTAGGAGATGACAGCAAGCCTCATATTCCAAAAAATCTCTCTTCTAATTCCCCTTTCTTGTCTTCCTGAGAAGGAATTACTCCTTTGGGTCTCTTTCTTCTCATCCTTGCTTCGCCAGCGTTTTTCTCTAAACGTTCTGTTTTCATGAACTTACCCCACTCTAGTCTCTGCCAAATCAAGAGTTTCCTGAAATCTTCACTTCAACAGTAAAATGTGTAAAGGATGTTTTCTTCTGATTGTCTTACCTTTTCCTTCTGAACTTTTAATGGCAACTTGGAACATTTTTTTTTTTTTTTTTAAAAAAAGAAGTATCAGGGTAGAAGAAGAAACTAGACCCTTTTTAACATTCAGAAGTATGTAGATATAATGGACATTAAAAATAAAAGTATTATTCCCATCTTTAATGAATCAAAAGTTTTCTAATAGGGTTTTGTGAATTACAGACAGTATTTTTAATTCCGTAGAGGAAAGACTTAGGTTTGGCAGGAAGACAGTGTTAAGGCCCAAGATAATTAGTCTTTGACATGTTCCACATTCATGTGCTTGAAGGTATCCATTGGTTGGGATTAATTAGGACAAACTGACAAGCCGAAATGTAGGGAAGAGATCCTAGCAGCACTCATGGCATACACGTGCCATCGTGGCTTCACTTGGCATATTATTCTCAGAAAAAAATCTCGTTTCCTAAGTTTTCTCACCCTTCACAAATTCAATGTAAGAGTGCAGCTATTAACCCTTTCATCTAGGTCTCAGACTTTAGCCACCTCCTCTGCCAGCTCACACCTTGGTGGACTCAGAAGGACCAAACTTCAGCATCTAGATGGAAAGCATCTTGCCATATACATATATAAATCTTTTTCAGTAGCTATACGGTTATTTATAGTAATAATCCTTTGGGGACCTCAGACTCTCCTAGAGATTACTAAAAAAAAAAAAAAAATCTGTTTTCTTATAATGTGGACAAATCTTTCCATGTTTAGATAATAAAATTTGCTGGTGACTGCAGATTTGTTCTGCTTGGACATCCATTAAAAGCACCAGAGTCTAAGCCAGAAATGGCACCATAGGAGTAGTTTAGGCCTGAAGAATATTATGAATTGTAGATATCTACAGCACAGCAAAAGAGAATTTTCCCGTACTGGCTAGAGATTTCCTTTTCCTTCTGGATCAAACTAGGTAACAATTTAAACATTCTTGTTAGAATGGGATATGTTTGTTCTCATTGTAATTTAAGCCAATAATTATGTAGTCCTGCTCTTTTCATATCCCTTTTAAATTACTGTTCTAAAAAAAATCATCATCATCATTAATAGTACAAATTACCCATCCTAAGAAAAAATTAATTTTAAAATCATTTATGCACGTTTGCATTTATGATAAAAATTCCATGAAAACCGGAACTATAAAATATAATGTTGCCCCAGGACAAAATAGCACCAGTCTAAAGTAACTGACAGTAGAGCTGATGAAATCAGAAAATCAGCAAATAGAAATGCTGTAAAATTAACACTACCATTTTTGAACATCTAACTGCATAGCTTATCATTCGCTTTTTAAAATCTCTAATCTCCATAGCAACTCAGTAAGAAGTATTATGTTCCCAATTTTTATATGCTGAGACTAGGTTTAAAAGTGGGGCAACTGACCTAGGTCACTTATTAATTTTTGTCTGACCCTAAAGCCTATCTTTCCACTATGCCAACTATACTTCTGATCTCAAATATTTCCTTTCGTTTGGCTTCCAGAGTTAATCTATGTTTGTTTGAGAACGAAAAGCTAATTCCACAATGTGTAGCAGTAGGCAGTGAAGGAGAACATAAAGTAAGGAGAAAAATAAGTTAAGTCAAAATACATGAGTAAGACAGATGCACATTTTATAGTTAATTGAAACACAAAAAGCAAAGAAATGGGCTCTTGAATTATTTTTATTCCTCTGCTGAAGTGAAGGTAGGCAGAAATCCTAGTCTTTCCATAAATTATTTTTTTTCTTCTTATTCCAAAAGATGTTTGCATTCAGGGAAGCCTACCAAATTTAAGTATTTGTTAATTTTAACATTTTTAATATAATCAAGGAGAATTTAGTGAACTGCATTTGATTTTATGTGGTTCCTGAAATTTTGGGACATTAATTGTTTTTGTTTTATTCATAAACAGATAAATTGTGCCTTTGAAAATACATAAAGTGTTTGTTTTTTAAAAAAAGAAAGGTGTTTTGTGCTTACTAAAGAGCACTATGAAGAAGTCTAACATTCTGTGAATTAATTTAATTCATAGCTGATCTGTAGGGTTATGAAGTCTTATGGTATATTTTCTTTACTTCAAACGAAACCCCTTTCCATGCAAACCTCCCTGCATAGTGAGTTTCTGACTTGTTTTTCCAAGGCTAAAACCGCTCTGTGTATGGGTATCACCTGGGGCTCTCTCTGGCTGTGGAGCACAGGCTGAGTGTCCATATTGGAACTGCCAATTCTTTTGACGGCCCTGCCCGTTTCACTACTATTGGGCCACAACTCTTAATCAAAGTCACTTCAAAGACCCCAAACAGATTGATTCACATGTGAATGCTACCCAAACTGTCTTCAAAAGGAGGAGGGACTCTAGTCTTATGTTCCTTTGAACCTACTGTTGCTCATTTACTAGTATTTACTTTGCATGGCCTATGGCTGAACCATGGAAATTGGAAAACAAACTCCTATTCAGCAAGTCATGTCAAAGGTGACTGCAGAGCCAGAGAGTCAACTGTGGGACAGACATTCTTTCTGATCAGGAGGCCTCTTCTGCAGCGCTGCTGTCTCCACAGTTACATACCTGTCCATGGAAGCCTTTCGTTTATCTTGTCTATGTGGGAAGTCCTAGACGATGCCATCGATCTGGGAGATGAGAGAGATGCCCATATGACACTCCAACAATAGCTGTGGGGCAGGAAAAAAAGAAAAAGAAAAAGAAAATTAGCTGGACCCTGAACAAAGTTCTTTTGAGCTCTACTATGATTGTAGAGAAGATCCAATAGGCACTCTGTTCAGAAACATACTTCGTACACTTTCAGACACACAGTGAAGAAAGCATTTTCACTTAAGAACATAAAATGGGTACTGTCCAAGGATTCAGTGAAGAGGAAGACAGGAAATAACTACATCTCTGACTTTTCTTATGGTGGAAACTCAGACTCTCCCAGAAGAATGAAGCTGCAGCATGCATCACTGCCTCACAGTCATTTACGGTGAACATATTTCCTGTTGACTGTTCTTACAGTAGAATCAGGAAAGGGGTATGAAATGTGCCAGATGTGAATGGTTTGTGAGTTCTGTGATCCCCAAACCAGAGTTGCTGATATTATTATTAGTCTAGGTTGAACACTGAAAAATGTTAAGGTTATATTCCTCAGAGATATATCCAAGCATATTTTAAAGTTCATTTAGATCTGAAAAATTTAAGAACCCAGATTGAATTACATCTATTTTCTTTTCCTGGAAAAAAAAATACTTTGCATATATACATTTCTTATCTGATGGTGTTTTAAGGTTAAATGGTGAGAATTTTTCACAAGGCATGTGAAAGAGCCTCAGAAAAGTATAAAGGGCTTTGCACCATCTCAACCATCATCATCATCATTGCTAATAGAATCCTCTGGAAGCCTCGCTGACTGCCAAGTTTGTGATGGAAGCCAAGTCTCATTCATGTCACGAGAACTGAAATAAAGACGAAGTTTTTCTTATGGGAAGGTCCTTCTCTGACTAAGGGATTTGCTGCCAAACTCACAGTGCTGTCGTCAGCTGACCTTTGCGGCAAGGTGCAAAGTCCATCTGTTTACACAGACTTTTACTCCATAGGGGCTAATTTGAGATTAAATTTCTCGGACATGATAGAGAAGCAATGTGAATGTGAATGTTTATTTAGTGCTGGCTTTTCTGTCTAACATCACACTTTATAGATATTCCAAATGCCTCACAGAAATAGACCAATATATTCATTTAAAACACCATAAAATGTTATTTACAAGTCTAATTGAATAAATTATGTTAAATAAAAGGATAATAATTTTAAATACATACTGAGAATACAAATTCAAATACATTGTGGCAGAAATAGCACATTGTGTTTTAAATGATTGTGTTTTAATCACCATTTAGATATCAATATAGCTGAAATAAAAGCAGGTGAAGAGAAAAATATAGGAAAGTGTCCATTAAAAAGTCTTTTGGAGACCAGCCATGGCGGCTCATGCCTGCAATCCCAGCATTTTGAGAGGCCAAGGCAGGTGGATCGCTTGAGCCCAGGAGTTTGAGACCAGCCCGGGCAACATAGCAAAACCCCATCTGTACAAAAAATACAAAACATTAGTCAAGTATCATGATGCATGCCTGTAGTCCCAGCTACTCAGGAGGCTGAAGTGGGAGGATCACCTGAGCCTGGGAGGCAGAGGTTGCAGTGAGCCACAATCATGCCACTGCACCCCAGCCTGGGTGACAGAGTAAGACCTTGTCTCAAGAAAACAAAAAACAAAACAAAAAGTCCTATGGAGAGGCCAATGCCAATAACAGTGATTTCATGCATCTACTACACAGAATACTTCTCCACCCTTGGAGTTATTGCTATTGCAGAAGTCCTCTGCAAGGCTATCTCCATACGCAGCATCCTCAGATTCCACAACTCCAGTTAAAACCACAAACACATCACATCCTGACCTCATCAACCTTGGTTACGTCACTCTGGGGTGGTGTTTGCGGACACAAGGAAAGGAGAAGCAAGAAGCAAGCAGCTAGAGACATACCCGATAGAGGAGCTGGGTATCTCAGCCTCCACTCATTGTCTGTTTTCCACCCCGTCTTCCCCTCAAAGATCTGCTTTCTAGAATTTTCTCATTATACTATGAGTGAGAGACACTAGATTTGAAATATTTCCTTGTTATCATATCATTATCTAAAAATGTAAGTAAGCAGTAGTGACATGTATATTTTTACAGAATTAGTGGGAAATCTAGCCAAGAACACAACTTTTCTCTGTCTGTCAACCAAGTTTTTAATTCACCAGATCACATGAGCCCATGGACATATACCTGCCAGTGGGGGGACAGGTAATGGAAGTGATAAAGTGACTACTGGTATATAGAACTGAGGTAAATAACATTATGACTATATAATATTATAGGTCTTTAATTAGGTCTATTCAGCCTCAGGTTTAATTTTTAATCTACATTTTTCTTCTTCCTTTTTTTTTTTTTTTTTTTTTTTTTTTTTTTTTTTTTTTGAGACGGAGTTTCACTCTTGTTGCCCAGGCTGGAATGCAATGGCATGATCTCAGCTCACCGCAACCTCTGCCTCCCAGGTTCAAGCAATTCTCTTGCCTCAGCCTCCTGAGTAGCTGGGATTATAGGCATGCACCACCACACCCAGCTAATTTTATACTTTTAGTAGAGACGGAGTTTCTCCGTGTTGGTCAGGCTGGTCTTGAACTCCCGATCTCAGGTGATCCACCTGCCTCAGCCTCCCAAAGTGCTGAGATTACAGGTGTGAGCCACTGCACCTGGCCCATTTTTCTCCTTTTTAAGACAAATCTGTGCACTGAACTGCAGTTGTTATTTGCTGGAGATTGCTTGTTCAGTAATAATGAATAAAAATATTTGACATTTGGCCAGACATGGTAGCTCACACCTGTAATCCCAGTGCTTTAGGAGGTTGAGGCAGGAGGATTGCTTGAGGCCAGGAGTTCAAGACCAGCCTGGGCAACATAGCAAGACCCTACCTCTACAAAAAATTTAAAAATTAGCTGAGTGTGATGGCATGTGTCTGTAGTCCTAGCTACTTGGGAGGCTGAGGCAGTATTGCCTGTGCCTGGGAGTTCGAGGCTGCAGTGAGCTATGATCACACCACTTCACTCCAGCCTAGGCCACAAAGCAAGGTCCTGTCTCGAAAAAGAAATCTAACATTGATGGGCATTTCCACTTTGCCAAGTACAACTCTAAGCACTTGATAAGACTTGCTTCATTTAACTGGCACAAGAACCCTGTGAGGTGGTGCCACTGTTATTGCTACCTTACAGATGAGGAAACTGAGGCCTAAAGAACTGAGTAACTAGCTAGTAAACAAGGAGCTGGGATGACTCCAGAGACTGCATTATTAATCTCTGTGCCCTGCTGCTTCTTCAACGCAATTTGTATCCACTGAAAATCCAATGGACTGGGTGGAACATCAGTACCCGCTGAACTGGGGAGACTGTTAATTAGTGAGGAGACAAATCAAAGGAACAGCTTGGAACATAGCTACACACAAACTAAGGACTGACCCGTTGTGAGATAACCAAGGGAACATCTGCCAAAAACAGCCTGTTCTGATGTACAAAGATCATTTGTTATTTGCACAATAGACATTTGTATACAAATGAAGGCTGACATGAACTTAAACATTTTGCCCTGTGTTTGTCTTTGCCTTGTGTTCAAGCCAGCATTTAATCAGTTAAATGCTGTCTTTGAAATTTGGTTCACAGTGTTGGTTTCTAAAATCTACACGAACCAGAAGCCTACTGTCTCCGTCAGAATCGTGAGGAGCTCGGGAGAGGTGGTTTGGAGAATGGTGAAGTCTCAGTGTATCTGCTTTCAGTCTGTATTTGAGTCCCGAGTGTGGCTCTCTCATACCACTGATGTGCTTGTCTCTAAGTGAAGCCGACTGGAGCCTCGAATTTTTCTCCCTAGAACCCTTTTGACATTACGTGTGATAGAATGGAAATCTATCCCTGCTAGCAACAGGTGCAGCTTCAGGAAGAACACCATTCCACAGATAACAGGCATGCATATGTCTAGTGGATTTAATTAGACACAGTGCCCACTAGCAATTTCTGCAGATGTTCACATCAAATCACCTGAGCTAATTTTCTCATACTCTTCTGTTTAGCCTATTTTCTCACTCCCAAGTGTATGTACTCTCTCCTTAATCCTATGATGCCTACATGCAAACACACTTCCTTCTGCTCCTAGAATCCAGATACTTGATTCATTGTGTGATATTGAAGAGATTCCAATGCTGGTGGATGTTTAGTCTTCATTAAGAAATGCATATTATTCATGGTGAAGAGCTCTATCTGGAGGGTAGGGAAATAGTGGCTGTGTCTAGCTCGGAGTTCCAGTCTCTGATACAGAGAACGTGCACACTGGGTTCTCTGAGACATAGTCAGAAAGAACGGTGGCTGCATTTAACTGTCCTGCAGAAGCCCTTTGCTCAATCCAGTCCTTGTGGTCCCAGAAGTAAAGGCTTTTGCTAAAGAATGCAGCTTATTTCCCAAGGGTGTCTTACAGTATATGTACATAGCTAAATATACTGGATTAAAAAAACATAAGCATTTTCTAACAGAGTGAAAGAAGACTTGAACTAGTAAAGAGGCGATTTGGGAGCTTATCTCATGCCCATCCCTGTCTAGCTGGGTAATCTTCCTCTCTCGGCCTTAGTTTCTTTAGCTACAAAACAGTAAAGTAGAATGTTTTATTTTTAAGATTCCTTCTAACTTAAAAGCTGTATTTTAAATAGAGCCAAATTTCATTGTTTCTCTCTGCCCTAAAAGTGCAGCTCATGGCCCCACAATAACATTAGAGTAACAGACAGGCACTGAGGTTTACATAAATCCTTTAATCCACAACAGCTTTGTCAGACAGATATAGTTATTATCCCCATTTTACAAAGATTGTTCTCATGGGAAGATTTAAAATTAGTATCTCTAAAATAATAAAGAGAACTACAAGAAATCAGTAATGACACAAGCAGAGAAAAGGCCTAAAATGTGGTATGCGCCCACTCTGCTTCCTTTTGCTCTCTGTCTCCTTGAGCCTCAACTAAATCCATAAAATGGGTATATACGACCTCTCTGAGCAAAAAGCAGAAGCTGAAAACAGATGAATTCCTCGGAGTGCCTCCAGATCTAAAATAAATGCTCATGCCCCCATGGTCTCTTTTAATTGGCTGTGGAGGGGTTGGTTATTAGGAAGTCTAGGAAAATCTTCTTTAAAGAGCATTTGTAAACCAACTAAAAATAAGATGACAGCTGCATGGAAAATATCTGACCCTGAGTACAGTCGTCCCTTGGTATCTATGGGGAATTGGGTCTATCCTTGCCCTCCCCATACATACCAAAATCTGAGGATGCTCAAGTCCCTGATATAAAATGGTGTACTATTTGCATATAACCTACGTACATTCTCTTGTATATTTTTAATCATTTGTAGATTACTTATAATACCTAATGCAATGTAAATGCTAAGTAAATAGTTCTAGTGCTGTACTGATTTTTAAATTTATATTACTTTTATTGTTGTACTGTCATTTTAATTTTTTTTTTTTTTTTTGAGATGAAATTTTGCTCTGTCACCCAGGCTGGAGTGCAGCGGCATGATCTGAGCTCACTGCAACCTCCACCTCCTGAATTTAAGCAATCCTCCTGCCTCAGCCTCTCAAAATGCTGTGATTACAGGTGCACACCACCACACCTGGCTAATTTTTGTATTTTTAGTAGAGATAGGGTTTTGCCATGTTGGCCAGGCTGGTCTCAAACTCGTGGAGTCAAGTGACCCACCTGCTTCAGCCTCTCAAAATGCTGGGATTACAGGTGCACGCCACCACACCTGGCTAATTTTTGTATTTTTAGTAGAGACAGCGTTTTGCCATGTTGGCTAGGCTGGTCTCAAACTCGTGGAGTCAAGTGATCCACCTGCCTCCGCCTCTCAAAATGCTAGGATTACAAGCATGAGCCACCACACTCAGCCCTTGCGTTGTTTTTTTTCCAAATATTTTTGATCTGAGGTTGGTTCAGTTCACGGATGCAGAATCCTCAAATACAGAGGAACTATACCACACAGGTAATGAGAAAGTCTTAGGACCTGCCTTTATGACTGACATAAAGCAGAAGAGAGTGAGGAAAGACCCGATAAAGATGCAAACCAATAAGGTAACTTACATGGATTTGAAGCAAACCTAAGGATTTGATATGGTCTCCATGTTAAATATCATGTAGATTTATATTTTAGTTTATTCCTTCACTTTGCCTGCTTGTTTATATGCTAGCTTGTCACTTTCGTGCTGCTACTGTTTTCAAGATGCTATGTTCTAGTTACTATAAGTCAGAGTTTTTGATGTCTCAAATTTAGGTCACTCCTAGATGCAACTGATGCCCTCCTTTCCCTATACATTGTCTAGGATCACGCACAACAACCAGACTTCACATTTCAAACCGAGGGCTGGAATCAGTGGATGATTTTGACAGACGTAACACATCGACAGGACAAATGTGTCTTTATTTTGTGTGAATAAATATGCACATTGCACACTCAGTCTAGTAAACAGATTCTCAAAGTCCCATGGAAATCATCAGAATTAGAAGAGTAAATGTATGTTAAATGAGCCCACATAGGTAGATAAGCTCTACCAGGTGAACAGTATTTATGTAGTACAAGAACTTCCATGTCAAGTTCCAGGGCCTAAACAATGTGACTTGACTTAAAAAACAAACAAACAAAAAGTGCACCCTTAAAATCTCTGTCATATGTAAAACGTAGCTGGCCAAGAGATGTATGAGGGAATTTCATCTTCCTTTCATACACATTAGCCACTGCTGTTAACAAGATTAATAGAACAGTGATTTATATAAACATTTATTTCTCTAATGATTTTATTTTAAAATAGTGTACTTTGAAAAGGTCTTTTTCAAGTTTTGAGAACTAAAAATTGAAATTAGCCTTGGTTGGGGGAGCCTTTCATCCTGGAAGCCTTTCTTTTTGAGGCAGGGTTGGTACAGGGGCTCCCAAAGGCTCTTCAATGAGTAAGAAAGCCAAGCTCACTGTCACCCCCAGAAGACAAGCATTTGCTCTCATAAGAGGGGATAGATTCTCTCTGCTGTCTCATAAGAGCAGAGTTATCTGTACACTACTTAGTAGGCTGATGACTACCATTTTTAGTAACTTTATATATAATTTACTAAATGTACTATTTACTATAATTTAGTAACATTATATAATTCATTCTGAAAATAAGTAAGTAAACATAATAAGCAGTAAAAATTCCCAAGTATATATACCCAAGCCCAATGTTTTATTATCCATCCTTAGAGATTTATATATTCTACACAAGCACACTGTACAATAATGTAAATTTCACCACTTATGCAAAAAGCTGTTTTCCCCTTTTTCATGGAAATTTGCTTTAAATATATATTTTACACTCCTGCCTTCTTAAGCAGAGGATATTGGACATAGTGATATCATTTAAACTTATCCTGGTGACTTGGAAACTTGTATTTTTTAATGCAGGATAATAATTCTGTCCTGAATTTCCCCTTCTTTCTAACAGAATGTTGAATCAGTTGTCACATCACCTGTCCTTTAATAGTTTTCCTTACACTTCAGGTCTCTTTCTTTGGTGTTGCTTGTGACCAGGAAAATGTATCCAACCTAACAGGCAGTAAGCTTTGGGTATAGTTTTTATGAAACTACATAGCTCTAGTGCATAGATCTAGGGCAAGGGATTTATAAAAATCACTTTTGGAACACGTGGTCTCTTACTTTGATGCCATCCTGGAGCACAAGGTTTCCTTAAATCTGACCCCAGAAGAGTGACATATTAATGTCATGGTTTGCATATTCCTTAAGGTTTAGAATCCAGTGTATGCCAAATGGCTGAAATATAAAAGGCCGCAACATGGATGTGCAATCTGTGTGGCCCAGGGATCCCGTTCATGGGATGCATAAAGAAGGCATCCTTTATCTCAAACTCCTCCAGTAGGAATCCTAATTCCCATCAATGCTGTACCAGAGAGGAAGCCTGTCTTTTCCAGGCTTCTCGATGATTTGACAGTCTCTGCCCCAGCCTCCACTCCACAGTCATTTTTGTTTTTATGCTCCCCAGTATGATGCTACAAAGCAAGCCACAAAATGGGGCTGGGAACGCTTTCGGCAAAGAATTCCCTTCTTCTGCGGGATATCCCAGAGGTGTCCCAGAATGAGACCACAGGCGTCCTTAGGATGCTGACCCGACCCTGGGAACTCTAGAGGTTGACACGGGGGTCGAAAACCGATGTCCCTTGGATGCCTGCAGTGCTGTTATATGACCCCATCCCACTGGGCAGCTGTCAGCATCACAGCGGACAAACGTTTTGACTAGAAATCCTGCTTTATTGTGAGAGGTTGCATTGGTATGAAAGGAACACTTTCATAAAAAGAGCCAATAGAGGACAGCTTGGGAAATTATAGACTTGCTTAATTAGTATGCTCCAGGTATTCTCATCAAATTTATTTTTCATACCTTTCTATAAATTGGAATAAAAAGCTAATAAATCACTTTCTCTTTCTGCTGCAGACAAGGAACATCATAGGTGATTCATTTTCTGTTCCTTCTTCCCCTGTATAAAATACAGAAGGTATTTTCAAGGACATTTTGGCACAGCTAGTGTTCACCTCCACACTACAAAAGCAGAATCGCTTCCTCTTTGCTTTTGGGCCAGAAATTATGCCTTAAGGTTGTGTACACCACAGAGTCACATATCTAAGAGGAAAGAAATTGAACCTTGGAAGTTCCTTTGGCAGCTTTCTTTTCTACCCTACCAGACTCTTTTATCTGTTTCCTTTTGACTTTCAGTCTATCAAATGTTTTATGTATGGGCATCCTCAAAGTAGGTACTTCCAGCCTTCCTTGGCAATTCAGAAGAGAAAAGGCATGTGCCCAAAAGGAAAGAGAGGAGTCCCCTGACATGTGATTGGTTTCTGGTTGTGTTCTCGGGTTGGCCCAGTTATCCACCACCTGTGCAATCCCATCCCACAGAGAATACATGGGAATGTAAGTATGGATCTCCTGTTGAAACTCCAAGAAGGATCTCAGGGAAGTAAGTTTCCTTCCTGTAAGGTGCAAGGAGATTCAGCCTGCTATATGGGGCACTGTAGGAGAGGAGGATGCTCAGGAAGGACTAATCAGGAAAGCAAGGGTGCTCACCCTGTGCCTGAGCTGCCTTGATTTTAATCTTGGACCACCAACCCCAGACACACCAGGAAGAAGACTGTCCAGCCTCCCAGGTTCTGAGCGTTCCACAGAGCTGACCTGGATACTGACATGACCACTGCGGCACAACCAACATACCCCCAACCCCACTGGGTTCTGCTACCCCAAGCCCTGATCCCTACATTCAGCAAACCTCAACCACGCTGTTGGTGTCTGTTCTCTGCTTAGCCTGCTCAGTGGAAAGAAGGTTTCTGTCCTTGTCGTATATGGGTGGGCTTTGTCAGAGGTTTGAGAAATCTCAAGAAATCTGGAGAATACAAGTTGGAGTAAACATAAGCAGCAAAGACAATAACATAGGAATCTGATTTCCTTTATTTAAGCTAAGATTAAATAAGTATATATCCAAATAGGTGTCTTTTATAGGTAATAAGGAAGTAATAAAAAGAAAACTATTTTTATACACACATAAATAAGTTGCCCTGCACTTTCATGATTCCCGTGGCTTTAGATTTACTCTTTTAACTTTTCAGTTTATTCTCTTATACATATTTTATACAAATTATTACCAGCTCAGATGTAACAAAAACTATAAGTGGTTTAGTATCATTCTTTGACAAGCTAAAAGCATAATACTTGAGTCATATATATTAATCTGCATAGAGATGTGTCAAAAAAACTAATGCACCTACTACTGTATTTCTTATAGCTAAGACTTTGCCAGTGAAAATGTCAGCATAAGTGCATTTAACAATGATCTCAATTTAACAAATTAACAACTGGCTAATACAGTCCTTTTTATAATTAATTTTTTCTTGATACTTATTAGATGTACCCATCTTCAGGGTAAAATTCTCTTTTAAAATAGCCTTAAAAATACAATCATTCCTTCGGTGACTTCACACATTTGTATTCTTCAGTTAAGATCGAGTTTTCTGAGCTTCTTTTGAGATAAACATCTCTCTGCATGTATCGCCATCTTAGTAAAAATAATATAATGATAATAGCAATAAAAAATTATGTGCGCATTTCTCCTTCCCGCCACCATTTCCACCACAATTTTCTTAATAAGTTCTTTATTTTTTTCTCAGTAATTATCCACAAGAAACCTGGGTAAAGGTAATGAAAGGAGGACCCATTCTCAGTGAGGACATAGAAGTTATAAATTATTAAAGAGATCTAGAGACCATTTTTTGGTCATGTTATTATTACTCAGAGATCAAAGTATATAACAAAGCACCTTTAAGCAAATATCATATTAACTTCAGAAATGTTTAACTTTGTTATCTGAAAAGATAGCCCACCAGAAAGTAATTCTACAGTTTGAAAGTAGCATGAAAACATTTTATGGGTACATGAGTGACTCAGAGACAATATATCATGTGGCGTAAATACACTTCTTAGAAAAATACCTATTTTACATCAGTGTTGGAGTGAAGTTCTGGACCTTAAGAGAGATTTGAATATATGGACACTAGAAGCATGTTCTCGCCCTATTGTCTTCACCAACTCTTTATGTTTTTGGAGAGATGAAAATAAGAGTAGAGGGGAGCGGAGTTAAATAAAATAGTGAAATATGAGGGGAGCTTTCAAAAATAGTAGATCTTTTTTATTCTCTTTATTTTCTCCCCTTCTTGAATGATGTCAAGGCACAAAGGCTCGGCGGGCTTCCTTCAGTGGACGCTCAGCCAGGGTTCACCCCTGCTCTGCTGGGAGAACTCTACACTTCCCCCCTCCCCTCAGCCCCTCACCCGCACCCGTCCTCCAGGCTCCTTGCCAAAGGCAGTGTGCTCGCAAGTGTAACCCCAGCCTGCCTGCCTCCAGAGCTGGGCAAATGTGTGAAGTGGCCAGCTTCAGTTAAGACCAAGCCGCTCCATAAAGCAGATATGTGCATCTTTAAACGCAAGATGACATAAAACTATAAACATAAAACACGATTATCCGTTATGAAAATGAAAGTAACCTATAGCAAAGGATTTTGTTCGCTTTAGGATACTTTAATGAGGAACTGTTTTCTAGAGGACTATACTTATATCCTGTATCTGCATAACTCAGTGAGGCTGATCTTCCCTAACCTGAAGAAAGTTTCACAGATAAGGTGAAACTATCATTATTTAATGGAAAGGGAATTGATCAGAATGCAAAAAGCAAGAAACCAGTCACGAACAGACTCTTGCACTTGAATTACACTCTTCCCAAGTCTGCACTGATGCAAAAGGCTCTAGTACCTTATTTCTCTGCATTATTAAACATACAGACAATATTTTGTAGCTTTTTACAAATGGAAAAAAGTATGTTTTTATTCCAGTTCCCAGTTCAGAACTTGCAGATGCAGAATCTGAGCTCAGCCTGGAACCCAGGAAGTGCATCACTCTGTTAGCCATTAAGAAAGTCAACAGTTTACAATCACAGTCATTTATTAGAGGTGTGTTCCATGACAGATGGGTGTCCAATATCTATTATTATTAATTTATAGCCAGTTCTGTCCAGGGCACTTGGCCTTTGGCTTCTTGCCTGACAGCACAATAGCCAGTGAGAAAGCAATGCTATTTGCCATTCTCCTCACTGCTGTTTATGTGTATTAAAAGAATCAGCTTCATTAAGGTGTGAATTATTTCACGTGAATGTTTTTTCTGACTTCACCCTGATCTACCCGCAAAGCACATCACCTCCAAAGATAAACTAGCCCAGGGCCTCCGTCTGAAGTTGGCACCAATGATGCCACCTTGTGGGCATGAACCCCTCTCCTGAAAATACTGGCTCCTTCCAGCGGGCTGCATGCCAGCCTTCCAGTGGCTCTGGAAAACCTGCTCCCCCCTGCTTTGAAAGGTTATTGTCAGCTGCCCACCCTGCAGCCACATCGCACTCCCCCTGCAACACCCGGCCTGTTGGCCTTTGGAAGGTGGCACGCAGCTCGATGTGGTAGCTTGAGTTGAGCAATGCAGCCTCGTTCCAGGCTCTGCCCGGTTTCAGCCCGGAGAGGCACAAATCGCTTCCAGGAGGCCTCGCATATGATTAGCGGGAGCCAATGAGTATCCTCGAAAAAGGCAGCAGTTGCCAAAACAGCAGATGTGTGTGAAGGCTGCATTGGTTCATCTGGTGACCTCCAGAAATCAGTGCAAGATTTATATTCCTGATTATAGACTTTTCTCCTAATTTAGTCATCCTTCTCTCCATTAAAAAAATGAAGTTATGATTGCAATTTAAAATCCAATGTTACTTTACAAAGGGTGTCATCATTTTTGAGTTTTTGCAAACCACAATTTAGATGTTCTCGAGATAGGTTTGCAACATACACACACACACACACACATACACACACAATTTTACAGAGATATCCCAAATTATGGAGCTCAGAGCAATTTTTAAAAATGTACTTTGGTTGGAATTTGGTGCTCATTATAACTTAGAAGTTGTGAAAAAAAAAACTAGAGTCGACTGGAAATTTATGTGCTCATTGGATAATCAGCATCGAGACAAGAGACTATGAAAGAAATTGGATGAGTAGGCAGGCCATATTGCAGTGGTTAATTGTTGGAAGTATTTGGTTTTTACAGTAGAATATTGTTTGGGGCATGGGGATTTTCTTCTGTGACTTAAAAAAAAAATCCACAACGCTTTCTGAAACGCTGTAGTAAAGGGATAGGTTGTTCTCTCTTTTCCGTAACAATTCCCTGGCTTGCCTGTGGCACCCCTTCACATGAGTTCAAGATTTCTGTAGATGCTTTCATCAGCCCCATCAAAATGAAAACAATTCTTGTCAATTTGCCTTGACAAATGAAAACACAGGTTTCCTGTGTCTCTCAGATGGGTTTAGCCACAGCAATACATGCAAAAAAGAACGAGTGTCATTCACTGTCAGCCTAGGCATTTTCTCTTGCATTTAAACAACTTAAGATGGGCCCTAAATATACCTTCCCATGTTCTCTGCGGGGCTCTACGTCCAGAGATAGCAGGTGGTATGCGTGCATTTGTGCAAGAGGTCCATGTTGAATTAGGTCCATGTTGAAGTATTATGACACAGATTTTCTTGACGTGTCATGCCAGGAATTAAATCTGAGTTGTTTCTTTGGAACTTTTTAAAAAAAATGTTTAATGAGAAGCAAATGAACTAAGTGGAATGAGATTGTTTTTGATGTTAGCACTTAAGTTACTTTGATGTTACTGCCATTACTACAAAGTTCAGTAGATTTTAATCAGAAAGCCTACATAGCCCTTATGCAAAGAAAGCAGTATCTCCTTGCTAGGTCAAGGAAATAAACTAAAAATGCGTTTGGCAAGAATTCCCCTAGTAATGCCATATACGACTGTGGGTCCCAACACAAACCTAGTTATACAGAACACGAACCAAATGTCCACAAAGAGATAACTCCAAACCAGATATTTTCTGATCCAGAAAAATTTGTTGTCAGGGACTTGACTGTGTATGAAAGGAATGTTGTTTTGTTTCAGAACCAAAAATTTCCGACAAGATAGAGCATGAGCTTTCTGAAAAGAGAGAGCTTTTTGTTTTTTGCTCACAAACGTGCTCAGACATAGCTTTCCTTTCAGCTAATTAAGCTGTTTTAAAGCAAACTGGTCAAACAGTGACATCTTAGTGGGGAGCCTTGGAGTCAATTGCATGATATAGAAGGCAGGACACTTAAAGGGTGACTTCTGCTATTGTGTTCTCTAGCTGAATATTTTCTACTTGGTCAGTGCTGCCAGAGTGACCTCATACAATTGGGAGAATTCAAAGCCACTGACCTTAAGAGATGCCATTAAGAAGGCAACCACAGAAAGAAATTTCATGGTCAGGAGCCAGACTTACTCTCTCCTACCATGTCCTGATGCTTACAATATTTTATATGTATGTTTTCTTCCTGTCATTAGCATACTGTTAAAACAGCTAAATAAAAAGACAACAATGTAAATAATTATTCTTGTGTTAATATAAAACTCTCAGCCTTTTTCGTAAGAGTACTATTCAGAAAAAAGCCAACATCTCGAGTAATGATGGTTGCTTTAAGAGAATATAGTGGAATACCTATAACACATTTCTCTTAGCTAAGTGCACAGTAAGGAGGATGGACTCCTTCCACTGTTGAATGTTATTTAAATGATATGTAACACCCATTGTCTTTTGCAACCAATGGACATAAATTTGGTGTTTTTGCCATCTGTCATTTTCTCATGCTGAAGCAAAAAAAAATTAAATTTTCTATAAATAATTGCAAGATTATTAAAAATGCTTGTCCTTCTTATTTCTTCTATGGAACTCCAGCACATTGAATCAGTCAGTAGGCTAAAAACAGGTATTTTAAAATCCTGATGATGTTAAAGGAGGTTTTGTTTTCCCCATTAATAGCAAATGGCTCATTCTTTTTTGCCACGTAGCATGGTGTTTTTACTTTAGTAAAACTAATTGCAACTAAAATGCATTAAGATAAGTGTCTTCCCATAGAGATCAGATGCTACTTGTTTATGTAGGAGACTTGTGCAAAAGGAACTAAAGAAAATTGTTAAAAACAGAAGGAGGAATGATTAAGTAGTTACTTTTCAAGTCTTCTTCACAAGAGATGTCACACTCAAGCCAATAGTTTTTTAAAGGAGGTTCTGTGTTTTTCTTTGACTTTTAAACACCAACTATACCAAAAATGAATGATCCACAGAAACAGATCATCTGGCTAATAAGGAAAGGGGATGGTGTATACCAGCATTCACTAGGTGTCTATGGCTGAGAGGAATATTACCGAGAACAGTATCATTGAGAGCATTGTTGTATTGTGATTAAGGGAGAAGCTTCGAGAGCCAAATTACCTCCGTTCTGTTTCCACTCCACCACCTCTTGCTGCTTAGGCAACATAAGTGACCTCCTAGCTCCTTGGTTTCCAAACCTGAGAGAGGAGACTGACAAGGATTCCCTATAAAATAGGAACTCTTGTCTTATAAGTGAGCATTGAATGAGTTAAGTGTCTGGTACATAGGAATCACTCTGTAAGTATTGGTAATTATGATTAGTGTGTGCCAGGCATTATGCTAAGAACTTTACACACATTATTACCCTCAGTCTTCACAAAAATCCTATAAGGACTAGATCATTCTCTTCTTTTTAAAGCTGAGAGAACTGAGTTTCATAGAATCTAATGAATTGCTCTACTGTCATGGAGCTCAGATTTTAACCCAATTTGCCCGACTAAAGTGTGTATGATTCCATTATATTTTACTATTTCTCAAATATATATCAAAACAGATATTTGTGTGTTAGTGTGAAAATATAAAAAAGCAGAAAGAAGAAATAAACACCCAAAATTCTTTCTTCATTGAGCAGCACTGAACATTTTGACAGATTGCCTTTTATATGAATAAAAAGTGCATCATTTGTGTACAGCACAACCATCTTCATGTATAACGGAATCACTTGACCACATTTACACAGCTATGCTGTGGAAAGACGGAATCCAGTGATAAGACTACTGTACAACTGACATAAAGTTCAAGAAAATGAAGGCCTTTGACTAACTATTGACACTTCCCAGTGGTTTGAGTAAAAATCGGGTCCAGGAGGAGACAGCTATGGTGAGATGCACTGCCTGGCCCACGTTGTGCACTGGCCCCAGATCTCCATCTCGGTCCTGGGATCACACTGCAGATCCAATGGCATACAGCAAAGGAGAACCCTACCAGGCCCTCACGCTACCCAGAAACGGTGACAACACATCATTCTGGCAGACAGGCTGCTCAGATAAGGTGAACAGAGGGAAAAGCACAGTCCTTGGAACCAAGCAGACCCAAGGACAGGCTCCAGTTCTGCCATTGAATAGCCATGCATGTGACTTGCTTGTCGAGTCAGTTTTCCTATCAAAAAATGGAAATAATTTATATCTTGCAGGATGGTTAGGAAGATCAGAAAAAAAATTACACAGAGTTAGACTCAGGGAAACTGCTCTATAAGTAGCAATCAATAACAATAATTTGTAACAACCATTTAAAACATGCGTTGAGTGCCTACTTCCTGCCTACCCTATTCCAGGTGTTCCAGATGTTCTCACCCACTGTTCAGATGACCACAGTGATCTATCTGTCTCTGGAGAATGGTGTCATCTCCAAGTTTAGAGGCAAAGTCTTTTTTTTAAAAAAATTTTACTTTAAGTTCTGGGATACATGTGCAGAACATGCAGGTTTGTTGTATAGGCATACATGTGCCATGGTGGTTTGCTGCACCTATCATCCCATCATCTAGGTTTTAAGCTAGGGCAAAGTCTCTTATTCTTCTATAGATGCCCCAAACAGACAAGTAATCCAAGTGCATAGAGATGGTTAAAATGAAAAATACAAAATTAAAATATAAAAAAATAGCATTAAGATACTGATGTGTGGGCCAAAGAGTGGGACAAAGGAAACTGTGGCTTTAGAAAATTAAACACAGAAGACTTGCACACATAGAGGCTACCAAATCACTCAAGGAATCCGGGATTGTTATTGTATTTTTATATGCTTGAGTCAGGGCAGATAGAAGGTAAGAAGAATCTCACTATGAAAGTGTAGGAAGGTTGAAGATTTCAACATAATTTTTCCATATGCCCAAGAATATTTAAGTCTGACTTAAGGCATATGGTCAGTAAAATGTAGAAGACATGTTCATTCATATGCAAATTTCCCCAAATTGTAATGCCCTGAACACAATCAAGGGCAGGGCAAACTTCCTCACAATTTGTTTTATCAGTATTTGAAAATCTTAAGAAAAAAGCTGAGAATCTGATAGAAGCAAGTTTTTTTAGTGCAAGGAGTGGTCAGTTAAGTCCCTATGGTTTTCACTATGCTGAACAATTTGTGCCTGAATGTTGATAGTAGCTTTATGCATAATTGCCAAAACATATTTGAAGGGCGTCAACCAAGATGTCCTTCAAGAGGTAAATAGATAAACTGTGGTACACCCAGACAATGAAATGAACTATGGCAGCACAAAAGCACACAGAAATGCATATTAATAAGCAAAAGAAGCCAATCTGAAAAGGCCACATACTGTATGATTCCAACCACCACATATGATATTCTAGAAAAGGCAAACTATGGAGGCAGTAAAAAGACCAGTGGGCTGGGCACAGTGGCTCATGCCTGTAATCCCAACACCTTGGGAGGGCGAGGTGGGTGGATGATGAGGTCAGGAGTTCAAGACCAGCCTGGCCAACATGGTGAAACCCCATCTCTACTAAAAATACAAAAATTAGCTGGTTGTGGTGGTGGGTGCCTGTAATCCCAACTACTTGGGAGGCTGAGGCAGAAAATTGCTTCAACCCAGGAGGCAGAGGTTGCAGTGAGCCAAGACAGCCTGAGTGACTGAGGGAGATGCCATCTCAAAAAAAAAAAAAAAAATCAGTGGTTGCCAGGGGTTCGCGGAGGATGAGGGATGAACAACTTTAGCACAGGGGATTTTTAGGGGAGTGAAACTATTTTTTCTGTATGATCCTGTAATGGTGATACATGTCATCATACATTTGTCAAAATTCATAGAATGTACAGTACAAAGAGTGAGCCCTAATGTAAACCATGGACTTAATAAAATGCAACGTGAAAAATTTCTTAAACAAATCTATGTTTCAAAAAATGATCTGGGAACCTGACAGTACAGATGAAGAAACTGTGAAGAATTTCCATCTGTGTTAAAAAAATTTGGGTTCATAAGGAAATATCCATCTTGGGTCAGATTATTAATTTTGATGAGGTATTTCAAAGGAAGAAGCAGCAGCCTAGAGTGTAAGGCCACAGAAGATCAGCTGACGGTGACACAGTGTGGCCAGTGGACATTTAACTCCACTGGTTTTCTTGTTACAATTGTTATTGTGCTTGCTAACGCTCTGACTACAAATTCTACAGGTTTTGAGAAAGTGCCCCACACCTGTTTTTCCCATGAGCCCTGTTTTTTTTTTTCACATGTGTCTTGTAATTTTATAGTGCATGAGGCTCTTCAGGAACACATATATTGCATTTGAGCAGAAATCGTTGTATTTCTTTGCTACAGTTTCAATGCTAGACTCTTTCCTTCTTGTCCACTGACTAAATTTCTCTACTGTCTAATCTTCTGGATAGCTTAATGTTCTGAAAATATTAAATTGATGTATTTTTACCTTCTTTCTCATCAATCTCTAGCAGGAATTCTGTCATTACAGCCCCAGGAAAATGGAAGAAGAGGAAAATGAAAAAAGACAAAAGGGATATGATGCTGGGCAAAATCCCACCAAAATCAGACGTAGGAAGGAATCCAGCCCTTTTGCCCAGTAGAATTATGGGGGAAAAGGAGAAGCAAATGGCGAGACACTTGAATTCCAAGCTCTCCTCTTGAAGTGGAAGCCGTAGAGAAAGGAGGCATGTTAGGTTGAAGAAAGATGGTGAGGTTCCCAGAGACTAGCCACTTCAGGAAGCTCTTCTTACCCTTCGGGATAAAGGGAGCAGAGAAGGAAAAAGCAGAGTCCATGGAATCATGGGGACACACAGCAATGCCAGAGACTTCTTGCCAAAGCAAGGAGCGAGCAGGGAAGAAAAGCTCCCACCTCTCACCTTCCAAACCTCAGGCTCCTGCTGGTGTCTCCCATTAACCAAAACCACAGACACCAACCAGCAAGAAAGCCAGGGACCTAGAGTCAGTAGGGGTAAATAGAGCCTTTCAGGACACGGAGAAGGGCAGGCAAAGGCACAGATGGGTGTAGCCAGGGGCAGCAAGGGGAGAATAACCAGGCACCTCCTTCCATTCCAGCATGAGGGCCTGGAAGCCCCTCTTTCTTGCACATGCACATGCCATGCTGGGGAGCGGCAATGGGAGTTCCGAAATACTGAACATTTATCTAGAGACTGAGTCACTTAAAGCAACTGCTGAAATTATTGAAACAGACTGTTTTCTAATCTAGACTAAAATATACTATATTTTTCTCTCTATCCATCAGTCCATTGTAATGAAAATTTAATCAATTACTTAAAGCAATAAAAGAAACTACATTTTTATTGTACAACTTACTGAAGTGTGAGGAAATGGGTGGATCCTTCCCACTTTGTATCCTCTCTACCGTTCTCTACTTCCAAGGTAACTGAGGTGACTTAACAATGAAACAAGTCAGAAATGTCCTGATAGAGACCAAAGGAAGACAATATTTCAGACTCCTCTGGTGAGTATATAAATCTTGAGCAATAATTGGGTACTAAATTATTTGACATCTAAAATGGCAATAAAAGACATTGTGTTAAATCCTTATTTATTTAAAATAAAACAGATTTATTGAAAGAAATGAACTATTTCTGAAACTCAAAAAATATATAATAGTTTATCACAAGGGTGCTTCTGTAAAGTATATTGAGTGACATGCAGAAAAATAGATCAGATTTTCTGAGATAGCGAAATGGTGTTTAAGTGTGACCTAAAGTCTGTGTGACTTCACATTTCCTAGCTTTCTGCTTCTATCTCCTCCAAAATGTTGTACACTACAGCTTCACCTTGTGCCACACACCACTCATCCGTTTTTTTATTGCTTCTGGACGAACGATTATTTTTAGCAATGACCTGCAAGCCTTTTCGAGAATGCTTAGATCAACTTGCCAGAATGTCTTGCTTCATGCACAGACCCAGATTCTAGTCTCACCAGGCTTCTCTCTGAATATTTTGAACATTCAAATGCAACTTTAGATTTGTGTCCAACTCTTTCTTTCCTAAATCTAACTCTCCTGACAAGAATTCTCCCACAAAGGTGGTGTCAAATATTTTCCAATCTATCATCATAATCTTGAACTAAACTCTTTCATCAAATCTACTTGACAGCTGTCATTTTTTCTATATATATCCATATAACATTTATTTTTATCTGTCAATTCCCTATGTCATTAAAAATCAAAATATATGAGGATAGAGGTTGTGTCTAATTTTCATCGTATATTTCTAAGACAGCAAAAGTTAACCATTCAGGAGATGACCAAAAACTTTATTAAAATGGGGAAGAATGTAACACTAACAAATCTATTTAGAGGAGAATGTGTATTTTCTTATCACATTAAAATCTTTTTTTAATTCAAAGAAAATATCTGAATTTCAGCGAGTGATCTGATTAAGGCATGATTTTGTACCTATGTCTCTTTCTTTCATTTTAAAGTTTTTTTTCCCCAAGTCTCAATTAAGTATTAAATATTGTGATGTTAACACGTACTCTTTCCCTAACACACACTCTCTCTCTCTCTCTCTGTCTCTCTCAATCTCTCTCTCTCTCTCTCCCTCACAACAACAGCTTTTCTTGAGAAGTCACCTTAAACCAGTGGGCTTGGGAACCTGACTTAAATGAGCTTTTAGTGAGAAGTGGCATTTTTGGAAACTTTAGGCTTAATCTTTTTTGACTTGACAAAAGAACTTCTAAGGGTGGCTCCTGGTACTGTTTCCTGGCCACTTGCTTCTTTTCCTGTGTAGTTGCATGTTAAACATGATGACTTGCTGTATAGAAGCCATGTGTTGTCATAATGTAACATCATTAAACAAAGTGTTTAGAGCAGTTTTAGCTGAGCCAGAACATGAACAACAAAACCCGCCAATTACAGTGTCATTTTGTGTAGTTGTTAAGGTTTCAAATGTCTCCAACTTTTTCTGGTAGGCCATATTGAGCATGTCACAGTGAACATCTGAGATAACGATTTGCTAGGCAATGTGCAATTCTCGCTCCTTTTTTTAATATCAGAGAAGAAAGAGTTCTTTATAATAATTTGGCTCAAATGTCTACACACATTGCTCCAGCGTCTGTAGCAGCATGTGTTTCTAGGATTGTTCTGGAAGAGAAAATGCAGAAACAGCAGGGAGCAGAAGATAAACAGGCAATCCGTGACTCATTAAAACAAGCATTGGTCGCCAACATTGTGGAGTGTGTGAAGACCCCAGATCCAACTCGCCTATAAACTTTTTTTTACCAGCTGGACTTAGCATCTGCCAGAGTTTGGAAAGAGAGATAATCTGGTACAAATGATTTCAGTGTGTCGCATTTATTAACCTGCCACCTTACATAACTCTGCTGATTGGGAACTCAGGGAAATGTTTGAGCAATGACACAGCTTATTGTTGGAATGTTACAACTTTACTAATAAAGATGCAAGTTACTGTTTAAAAAAAAATACAAAGACCACAGAGCAATTGGAAAATAAAAATGAAGCAAAGCTAAAAAGCATCATGGTCTTGAGAAATGTACGTGCCAGAAAAATAATTGAAATTCAGTTTGAATTTTGATCATTTTCAGTGCTTTACATCAATTAGGCAGGAAAAGTATTTTATTTTTAAATAGTTGTCACATTAGTTTGTCTTAACAGCTTTGATGTAAATAAATGCCAAACTGGGAGCATTATCATGTCCTTTCCAAACTACTTACTGTTCTAAATGAATGATTCGCTTCTGTTGTTAAATCTCTGACAATTGCTAGAAGGGCATTTTCACAGTAGAACTGAAGGAAAAGTAAAATAGTGCCCATTTTTGTTTATATACAAAACCGTGTCCATTTTTGTCTTAAACAGCCTGCCTGGCTTCACAGTTTATTAAAGACAAAGAACATTACCCCAGGAATAAAATCAGTACCGATAACCTGCATACTTTTCATTCTTGGGCTTTGATTTACTTCCTTTTTTGCCTCAAAGTTTGCTTGGGATCATTTGGTCAAGAGGTGGAAACACCAAAGAGCAATTTTCTTTTTTCTATTTCTTATCCAGATCTCATGCCAGTAATTTCAAATTAATGAGGATGTTTACTCTCTGGTACAAAATTTGCACATACTAGCTTATAAAATATGGATAAGCTGGTTTCCTATAACAAAATATAGCCCTACCATTTCAAAAATGAAAACTGCAGAGACTTTGGAAAAAAATCAGCTGAAGGAATTCTTCACGTTTCACAATGGTTAGCCTATTATTTGTAGTTTTGAAACTTTATTGGTCCCCAATCTAATCTTTTCTGAGTATAAAAACATTAACATATGGTTTAACACAGCACAGGGCTGGAAAGTCCATATCCCAAATGCATATTGTATGCAGGGTGACATTCACACTAAATACCATCCCTCAGGGTCTGTACTCCATTTTACCTGGGATTGGAGAGCCATGAAATCCCTGGAAAAGTTGTTCATGAGTCTGAACCAAATGGTGTGCAGTGTACTGAGATACTAACAGTCTATGCTTCTGCCAAAGGTTGCGGCTCAAATGTCTCTCTAAGTAACATTAAAAATCTGCTGCTTCATGCCTATGAATTTCAATATTTATAGCATTCAATAAAACGGTCCACTGTCAGAGAGAGATGTGCCACTGTGCACTCTCTGAGCAGATGGGCGGCAATATGGCACATTTACATGGACCAGCTGTGGAGCGCAGAAATGGATGCTGGTCAGGGGCAAGGTGCAGGCCCCACATCTGGAATTCTAACCGACTGGCCTCGGTACCCATTGTAAACTTTCCTTCCACAGGGTGAGCTCTGATTTAGAGCTGCTCACTAGTGTGCCTTAAACTGCATCAAGAGTCCTCATTAACGCAAGAGACTAGAGGGAGGTTAGGGCCTGGAATCCCTCTGTCGGGCATCTGTTAGAGTCTGTGGATGGCACTCTGTAGTCGTTATAGATGCACCCAGGGGAAGATTCTCTCAGGCATGATGCAGTGTTCTCTATTTAACTGATTTTATACCCCCAAAAAAGAGGTTTTTATTATAAACAGAGCTACTTTTTCCATATCCCCTTTTCTAAATGGATCAGAATATACCTCAGAGAAAGGACAATTTCTAGAATATTTAAAAATTTCGTAGAAATGTCGAATTCTTTTTTCAAGTCTCAAATGGAACGTTGTCTTATTTTGGGTAGAATCAGAATGGTTCAAATGCAGTTAGAAGTTTCTAAAATATATGAAATTCTTAGACTAGCTGTTTTCATTGTAGTATCACTATTCAGACAATCAAAACAGCTTAGTTGTGTGTCATTTAAATAATTCAACTGACTTGATAGAAAGGTAAGCTGCTTTTGACATTTTAAATATGAACAAGAAATGGTTTGTTACATTCAAATACTCATCAGAAATAACATTCCTGTTTCATTTTCAATAAATACTTTTAAGAGAAAGTTCTACTCATTCTTTCATTTTGTAAAATAATCTTTCCCACATTTTCCAATTATTGACTAAGATGTATTTGGTCTTCAGTGGTCCCATCTCTTGAATAGTTGTTTATATCCTTACGTTACTGAGTATTCATTTTCTATGACAATCTCTCAAGATCTATTCCAGTCTCCTTTCACCCCCAAGAGAAACGCAGGTATTTTAAGCAAGTGAGACAATACAACTCGTTATCAAATGGGTTATGGTAACTCAATCATGTAATGTATGGATATTTTAGGGTCTCATCATTCAACACTCAACTTTAAAACTACTCTGAAATCTAAACATAGATATGTATTTATGCTATTTGGCCTCAATCTTCAAAAAGGAAAATTTTGGCCAGGCGCGTTGGCTCACGCCTGTAATTCCAGCACTTTGAGAGGCCGAGGGGGGCAGATCACCTGAGGTCAGGAGTTCGAGACCAGCCTGGCCAACACGGAGAAACCCCATCTCTACCAAAAGTACAAAACTAGCCAGGCGTGGTGGCACGTGCCTGTAATTCCAGCCACGCAGGAGGCTGAGGCAGGAGAATAGCTTGAACCCGAGAGG
Source organism: Homo sapiens (assembly GCF_000001405.40). Taxonomy (NCBI): domain Eukaryota; kingdom Metazoa; phylum Chordata; class Mammalia; order Primates; family Hominidae; genus Homo; species Homo sapiens. Next base: position 137,330,143 of record NC_000006.12, on the reverse strand, counting down.
CGGAGGTTGCGGTGAGCCAAGATCGCGCCATTGTACTCCAGCATGAGCAACAAAAGTGAAACTGGTGAAACTGTCTCAAAAAAAAAACAGGAAAATTTTGGTTAGAACTACAAAGAAGGCTTAGGGAATGGATAATTTCTACCTAATGAAAAGGTAAAAGGTGGCCAGCATGCTGGCTCATGCCCGTAATCCTAGCACTTTGGGAGGCCAAGGCGGCAGACTGCCTGAGCTCAGGAATTCGAGACCAGCCTGGGCAACATGGAGAAACCCCGTCTCTATTAAAGATACAAAAAAAAAAAAAATTAGCTGGGCAAGGTAGCCTATGCCTATAGTCCCAGCTACTCAGGAGGCTGAGGCATGAGAATCGCTTGAAGCCGGGAGGCAGAGGTTGCAGTGAATGGAGAGTGCACCACTTCACTCCAGCCTGGGCAACAGAGTGAGACTCTTCTCCAAAAAAAAAAAAAAAGAAGAAGAAGAGCTAAAAGGTTAAAAATGCTCGAATTGATTAATTAATAGACTGATTGATTGAATGGGATAGTAGGTTAGTAATTAATGCATGACTGAATGCCCAGCCAGGACATGGTGGCTAAAGCAATAGTTCTTTACATAAGATAGTATTGACTATGAATTACCCATGTGACATCAACTGTCCATAAGGAAAGAGAGTGAAGGGGAAAGACAGATATGGACCACACTGGATATTTGGGCTTGTTGCACTAAATGGTATGGAATTATTAAAGGTAAAGAGTGTTTAGGTAAGAAGAATAAACCAAAATTTGCAATCCAGGAAAATATGCATGATTGTAGCAGTTTCAAAGAATTCCATGAAAGAGAATTTTATTTTCAACCACGATTGTATTTTTCACTAGCAGTTCAGTATTCCAAAGATAGTATGTACTTACATCAACAGAAAAAGTCAATATTTAGATCATCCTAGACTGCCTTATAACTGTATGGATCATGAATATATTGTGAAGGAAATATGTGATACCTCTGAATGGAAATACAGTCTTCCAGCCAAAAGGAAGATTGAAAACAGGAAGGACATGTGAAGCAAAGTGCAACTAACATGATATAAGCCTTTCCAAATGGCTCTCATGATCCACAGCAGCCGCCTCCTCTCAATTGTGACTGATACAAGCTTTACCAACACAAACAATGCCATCTCTGGGTGTCCATCCGGCAAGCAGTGTTCCAGCACAGCGTTGTCTGGCTCAATACGTACTCATCACGGACTGCTGAATGCACAACTCTTCCCATCTTGTTGAGGGACTTCTACTCCCCCGATCCCAACACAAGACAAATCTATTTACGTATCCTGTTTCAGGTTTTAAAATGCAGAAAGATTATTATTCCTATATTTTTAAAAATGTCTCTATAAAGGCAATACCTTAATTATAATTAGATGGCTCTGAAGGATGACACGGTGCCATAAGCCTGTATAAAAGCAATATTAAAATGTGTTAGCTTTCAAAAGGTATGTAGGCGAGAGTTCGTGCACATGTGTATGTTTTTAAAAAAACTTAAGATGATAGGGCTTCAAAAAAGAGAGGCATCTCATTTAATAATTTTGTGATTTTTTTTAGCTTAGTGGGTGATGAAAGTGAAGAAAATTCTCCAGAGGATGTTTCTTGTTGATGTTTTTTTCAAATTCCAAAACTCCTAAAGATGAGAAGGAGTTATAAATATTGAAAGAGAGAAAATTAGAATAATCTTTGCAGTATTAGATTGGCATTGGAATTAGTGTGAACCCATAGTTTCAAAAATAGATAGTAACAAACATGAATATAAAAGTGATATATACACATATCAATATTCACATAATCCTTAAACCTGTCCACTGAGAGGGCCTAGAAGTCATGATAACCCGACAGTGATGAACACATCTAGTATGTGCTTCCCTCCACATACTATTCTCGGTGGGAGCCAGGGACCCTTGGAGAGATTGCCAATTCCAGGATTAGGGCAGGAAAAGTACCAGAGGATCCTGGGATATCTTGTGGTGCTAGACAGCAGGATGTATTCAAAGGATGATGGGGACATGTGAGAAGGATACAGGAGCTGGCCTGATGGGATTTCCACCAGCCAAACTGGGCACAATTTGAGCACCAAAATAAATAATGATAGTAATGGAATAAAACTAATTGAATAACATGGAAAATCATTAAAACATACAGATATAAATAAATTAATACATTTGACAGTTTGATAAGGCACAAAATATTACACAGTTCCAAAGTATCTTCCCATAAGATATTGATTAATTGCAAAGAGGGAAAAGATTATCTTTCCAGTTGAGAAGACTGGCAGACACTGCCTTTGTCAAGCCATCAAAGTGAACCTCATCAGTAATGGAACAAAATTCCTGGATAGGAAAAGCCAGCGTCACCTCTGTAATATTCTTGTCAATCATGGAACCTGAATCTAATTATGAGGAGGATTCAGACAAACCCAAAATGAAGGACATTCTACAAAATTAATGACCTGTAATCTTCAAAAGCATCGTCATGAAAACCGAGGAAACACTGAGGAACCATCTAGTCTAAAGGAGGCAAAAGAAACATGACAACTAAACATAAGGCATGATTCTGAAGAGGTTCCATTTCCAAAAGACAGTTGGTGAGATCTGAATAGGATTTGGGGCAATGGGTGAAACCTGAATAGGATCTTGAATGTATCCATGTTAGTCATCTGATTTTGATGGTGATGTTGCATATCTGTAGGATAATGTCCTTGTTTGTAGGAAATTCACACTAAAGTTTTCAGGGTAATATGTTACTGGGTGGGCAACTTACTCTAACTGGTTCAGAAAAAAAGTCTTTATTCTGTATTTCCAACTTTTCTGTAAGTTTGTAGTTGCTTCAAAATTAAAAACAAAGAATTTTAATACCGAGGCAAGAGCCTCACTGTCAGAGAATCTGGATGGATTTGAAGTGGGACTCAGGCATGTGCCTTTTTTTAAAAGCTCCCTTGGTCTTTCCAATGTGCAATCAGGGTTGAGATCCATTGTCTGAACTCTGGACAAATCCTCTCATTTTACAAGAAACTGAACATTATTCAGATGCCAGGCCAAAGGTCATACAGCTGGCAGAACAGACACCAGAACTCAGGTCTTCACGTTCCTAGTTTGTTCATGTATTCATTTTATTGATAGTATATTTAGGGCACAGTGCTGGGTGTTTTAGAAGAAACAGCAAAACATATGTGCTTGTAACAGAATTAATGCCTTCTCCTCTATAGCATTTTATTGCTTGTAAAGTGTTTTAACATTTCTTTTGGTTGTCAAAGCAGACCACTTGAGTATTATTACTTTGGTTTTACAGACAAGGAAACAAAGGTTACAGTGAGTGAGTGATATCCTGCTGTCAGGCCCAGGACTCAGGTCTACTGACACCTAGGCCAGAGTTTTTCTGCCACACTCTACTAGCTTAATAGAAGACAGCAAATGTGAAATGTCAAATGAGTAATAAAGAGAATAAGCATTCTGGGAACACACAGGAACTTGAGGTCATTCCAGGTGCAGTATTAGGAAGAACTTCTTAAAGGAAGAAAGATGTGAGTTGCAAATTGAAGGACAGTTCAGAAAGATTATTTAAGCAGAGAGAGATGTAGTCATTCTAAACAGACAGGGTATATGAGCAAAAGACAAGTAGAGAATGAAAGCTCAATGTCTTGTGGGAGAAGGTGAGTACAAGAAAGGCTTCACATCAATAAAAAATTCCTATCAGAAAGATTATATGAGAATACACAATCCTCAAGTCTCCCATGGAACCACAAGCTGGCTGAATAGCATGGGTTAGAAATCAGGGAAAACTGGACTGTGAATGTGAGTCTTATATTTTCATTATTATTGATTATATAATGAAAAAAATGGAAGCTTCTAGTACTCAGTGTTTCCAACAATGAAATGAGAAGGCCAAAGATAACCAATCTTAAAGGATTTTACTGAGCAAGAATCATTCATTAATCTGGCAGGAAGTAGGAAGTAGTATGCATTTATCTCATACTAACTGCCTGTCCCTTTGCAGGGCAGCTAACTTAGGGCATCTAATTTATACCACCTGGCAACATCATGAGGTAGGAATCACTGTCCCTCTTTCACAGATAAGGAAGCTGAGGATAGGAAGGATTCATTGAACTCTTCAAGGTCACCCACCTACCTGGTATGTTGCAGGACAGAAGTTTGAACTTGGAGCAACCACCGCTCAAGTCCATCCTCTCTCCTTATGTCCCTGCTCAAGGCCAGCAGGCAAGACCACTGTGTGCCCAGCTCTGAGGAAGGTGAACTAGAACTAGGCTTCTCTAAACCCTAAAGTAATATTTTGTTACAAAATTCACCCCCAAACTTGATAACATTTGTTTAATTGATACGTACTTATTTCTCCAAATTGACTTGTTAAGTAGAGCAAACATCTGTTTCTTTTGACTTTTATCAAAACAGTAGTTTATTGCTATGAAAAAGTTTATGGTGTAAAACTAGAAACATTACATCAATGAAAAGGTTTGAGATCAAGAAAAAGCTCTGACTCTCCTGGAGCTAGGGGGATTGCAGCGTCTAAGGATGAACTTGAAGACAGCAGTTTGAAAGGAGTAAGAAATTCCAGAATGAATGGGTTGTCTTAACTTCTGGTTCTAAATATTGAAAACAAAACATTACATCACGTCCTGTGGTCATCACATCATTGTGACATGGGAAAAGGCTCTAATGGATGCCTTTGTTGAAGATCAGTGGAAGTGAAGCATTAGTTCACACTACTAATGCCTGAGGATGGGAATGAAAAAATGTTTTATCCTGGGAAAGAGATTTGGGGCTGGGATTAGAAGAGAAGGTGGATCCTATGCCAGACCATCAAGGACAGTGGCATGAAAGCTCAGCAATGCTTTTTCTGCTCAGACTGATACCCATACATAAGTCCATACAGTCAACTGATGCAGTGGTCAGATGCCATCATTACTTACCCACATCAATTACCTACCACACATCATTTGTTGAACCTCTTTAATGGAGCAAATATGTTTACTGCTTAGACACTGGGTACAGTGGGGACAGAGAGTTTGTGGGGAGGAGATAGATGTGACATCTCCTCAAGGGCCTTCAGTCTGGGGAGATGCTTGCCGTCATGATTACAGTCATAGATCTTGATTTATTCTCATGTGCACTACCTTTAAAAAGTCTGCCATTTCAACTGGCCAATACCCACTTGACCCCTCGCTGCTTACCCTTTGCCACCTAAAATTAACCTGAGAAAAGACAATGAACTTGTGGGGACTCAAGGCATAAGAAAAGTGAGAAGAAACAAAAGTGTGTCTAAAATGATTGGTTTTATCCTCTTGATTCCTGAATGACTGGGTAGAAAACAAAAACAGTCTCTGTTGTGGAAAGAAAAATATTGCGGTGCATTTTTTCAACTTTTTGCCAGAGAAAAAAGCTACTTACTAAAAACAGCTGAGTAAATATGCTGTTTCTATTTGACAGAATCCTATGGAGAAATATTTTAAATAAATGATTAATTTTTACTAAACATAAAAAGATAGACATTATTACATTATAAAAGTTATGAGAAAACAAATTATAACTCATATTTGACAAACATTAGTTTAGACTCTGCATTTTGCAACAGATAGTTGCCCACTTACAGGATTTTGTCTTGTATGATAATGAAGGGGAACTGTGATATAGATAGGAACACATTATTTCTAATTTGGCTTTTAAATATATTTTTATAATTTTCTTTGAAAGACATGTATTTGAATGTATTCCTTGGAGTAATGCTAAGCTGCTGTAACAAAAAGATCCCCAAGACAGTGGCTTCAGAAATGCAGACATTTGTTTCTCTCTTTTAACCCATCTGCAGTGGGCAGTCCAGTTCTTGGGACAGTCCTGCTCCACACAGGCTGCAGACACTCAGGATCCTTTCACCGCCAGGGCATTGTTATCATGGTCCAAGTTGGCTTAACACTGTGTCTAAGTTCAGCCAGTAGGAAAAAGAAAGAAGATCTAGATGAACCAGCTCAGTGCCCAAAGCTCTGGGCCCAGGACACACACATCAGATCTTTACACATTCTACCAGAAAGGACTTGGTGTCATCTAATTGCAAGGAATGCTGGGAAATGTAGTCTCTAGCTACACAGTCATGAACCCAGGGAGAAGCAGAAAAGAGATTTAGAGGATTACCAGCAGTCTGTACCCTGCTGATGTAGGAGAGGAAATGAGTTCCCCTTTTCCCCCATCACCAGGTTCATAATGGAGGCCTGTATAACAAAAGGATGCAACCAACCTACTCCAACCTGGTGTTTATTTTCAATCATGATGACTGTTGTAGGGAAAGGAAGTTTATTAACTGTGGATTTCTTCATTTAATTTTTCTATTTTTTAACTTAACTTTTTCTATTTTTTAACTTCTTTATACTCTTTACTGATATTACCTCTACTAAGTAGTGAGTTGTCAATCTAAAACCTAGATTCGTCGAAACCGGTACTTCTCATCAATATTCAAGGTGATAGCTGTATCCATTGTAATGTAACATCAAGTAAAATGTCAGGACAAGAAACAAATTTGGGAAATTTGCTCAAGTAGAATACTATTTGAGCAAAAATACACTCTAAAGCCAGAGGCAAATAATTCGTGCCATTTAAGTCTTATTGGCCTCTCCATTATTGATTGGAATCAATTAGAAAAAAAAACCCCATAATCATCATGTTCTTGTAAGAATAGTTGTGTATACCCAAATAATCACTATGAGTGTTATTACTGGAAAACTAGAAATTAGGATTTTAAGATGATTCAAACTCAGCATAATTGGGAGGGTTGGTAAGAATAAATTATGTAACTGGTTAATTCAGTGTCATTAACTTGAAGAAATCTTCAGCAGCATGGGTAAAACATTGAGAAGAATGGAAGGATAACACATATTACCTGAAAATACATTTTAAAACATTTTTAGTGTTAGAAAAATCCAAGAGAGTTTTTTAAAAAATAAATTCACTGAAAAATTAATGATGAATTCAGAAATTCATGATGCAACTTGGATAGAAAAAGAATTGGAAATCTAGCAATAAGAATAAATATTGGGCAGGAGGGAACCAGACTGCATGCCTTAGAAGGTAAGCTTTTTCTTTTCTTTGCTGTCATTTTCTGTGAATAGTTTATCTAATTTTCTTCTGAGTGAAGTGGCAGGCTGGACTGTAACCTAAATCAATCAGCTGGTCAAAAAGTAGCATTAGAGGCCAAATCCTTGGAAAATGTACCATATGCATTAATTCTCTAGAGCTCAGTTCAGATCTCATTGGTTAGAAATTATGTTAGGGCATTGGTGGTTTGGTCTCCCTAGACTATCAGAACCCATGCTTTGTCCTTATAAATTTGAGCTGGTGTCTGGTTTTGTTTGGGAAGAGAAATAAATAATATAACAAAACACACACGGGGGAAATCCAAAAAGGCCATCATTAATGTGCTAAATTATTTCTAATATCTATCACCCTCCTAACTCCATGACTGCAAATGTTTTGCATAGCAGTAAAGCTCTCTTTCTCTACCAAAATGGAGCAGAGGGAGGAACATTTGCATTTGACTTCTGCTGATAAAAATGAAACATTAAAATGCTATTTGGCAAGTAAGCAAAAGCCCAGAGGAGCAAAGCCTGATTCTTTTTTAGACATAGTTCTTTGCAGAGTCCCCTTAAGAGTGCTCAGTAGGGTGTGACCATATTGCTCCCTGTGGTCATCATATGGTTTGCTCACGCAGACGTTGAATTGTTTTGTGAATGTGAAATATTGTATGTTACCCCGAGAGCTGTGGAGCCAGCAGATCCAGGAGCTGTTGTTGAGACTGACAGTTACATTGTGTTACTGAATAGTGAAACGGCAGAATCAAAAACACAAATGGGCCCAGACAGAATGTCCTGACCTTTCAGAAAAAGGCTGATTGGATATGGTGTAAGCTTGCCTTCATTTCCCTCCACAATCCATTACACCTTTCTCAGACCACTTTCTCAGAGTAGGCGGCTCATAGATGAGCTTCTCTTAGATTCTTTATGTGAAAATATTTATGGGGAAAAAAAAACCTAGGAGCACTGCAGCAAATAGCCACCTTCCCCCATATAATTTATTCTTGATAGTTATTTTATATTAACACAGCCAAAAGACAACATTAATAACAGTGTTATCCTTGTTGATCTAAGCGTATTGGTATTAATACTAGTATTTAAATTAAAAAATGAAGACAGATGACCAGATATGGGAATGAATTTGTAAACAATGCTTACAAACAAATGCCATTTAAATGTCTTTAAACTCATAAATTACTGTTTGCAATTACTATTCACTATATTGCTAATTTCTTCAAGCAACCTATATATAAAATATGGAAAGCACAGAAAGGTAGAAGCAATCAGTGTCTCATTTCTCTTTATACATTTTTCTATTAAAGAAGATTTTCTATTAAAGGAGATTTTTTAATAAAGTAATGGTTTTCTTTATAATAAAATTCATTCATTGGTGAGTTTATAATTAAAATATAGCATATATTTTTGTAAGCTTACATTGATATAGCATGTATTTTCATAAGTTTATATTACGTTTCTTTCACTTTATTTGTGAGACTATTAAATATCATCATTTTAAAGATTGATGCTGTTCATGTATGAAGATATATGTGATATATTATTAAATCCAGTGTCCTACGTTGTCGGACACAAGCACCATTATGGTAAGTTAGAACAAGACTATAAAATAACAACTAAGATCATTAACATGACAAAAAATTATAGCTTAAACTACATATTCATTTCTGCTACATTAGAGCTGGATAGTGAAGTGAAATTTTGACTGCCAGGAAAACTTGAATTCCAATACTCAAATAAAATAGTCAAGATGCATGTTCGTGGTAAAAAATATATATATATTAAATATTTATAAAAGTATATTTGAATATTTATAAAAAATATATTTTAATAAAAATTTATAAATATGTATATAATATATATAGCTCCTCTTTATCCTTACTAAGATAGATTTCTCCTTCGATTTCATTTCTAATAATTTTTTCCCCAGAGAACAAACCTGTGGACACACAGAAGTCTTTTTAAAGAGTTCTGTCTGTCTTTCTCTCCCTCTCTTTCCTGTTTAGGATTTCTAGGCTGCCCTTCTGCTTGACAAAATCTCTTTCATAAGTTAATACATTTGACTTCAACAGCTTCTTATTCTATGAACATTTACTACCACTAGACTTGTGATAGGTGATTTAAAAATATTTATAAGCTTATATTGTATTTACTTGAATATTTCATTTGTCTCATGAGATAGAGGGACTTAACTTCCCGTCAGATTTTTAAACTCTGAACTTCTGCTCCAAAAGTCTGATGATTCTACTGGTATTTCTTGCATCTCTGTTACAGGAGAGGAAAGCATCTTCTGGCTCAATTAGCATGCTAAAGAATGGGTTTGGTTTCGTGCTCCATTAAAGTCAACTAAATAGATGCGCTGCATGTCTTTATTTCAAAAATAAAGCTGAACAATTAAATCCCGTGTCTCTTTGCTCAGTTTTTGATCCCACACAAAGCTTTCCCACTTGCTGCCTTTGGATGTAATGTTAACAAAGTCAGTTAACATCAAGCACTGCAGTAACAGGCATGGCAGAATTCCTTGTTTTTGCTCAATCAGTCTGTGTTCAAACTATCAGTTTGATTTATTTGTCCACATTGACCCTTATTCACCACTTAATTATCCTCGTATAATGTTTCAAGAGGCTCCTGACACAAGGAGAAAGACAATCGCCGATGTTCTGTAAAACAACGGTTGACCTGATGGGCCCAGATGAAGACCGTGGGTCGGAGTTTGTTTGCTTTTGGAAGAACCCACTTCTCCTGTCCGAGAGCTGCATCCAGAGCCACTCGCTGTGGGTGCCACAGGCTGGCCGGTCAAGCTGTTCGTCAGGTTCTCAAACTGTGAGCTGACCATCACCACGGGATAGTCATGGCGTTTTGCTCTATTGGCCTCTCCAAATCCCCCGGTATGTTGGGTGTATTAGAGTTCAGAAAAAAACAAAACCCATGCACCCACTAACACACAAACACACACACACACACACACACACACACACTGAACCTCAATTTCAGCAATGTCTTTATTAGTATATGGTTACTGCTGTGATTAGAAATACATTTTCTCACTTTGTGTATGAACAGGAAAGGTTTTCGAATCACAGGTATGAAATGAGAAATAATATTTAAACATTGAACTGCTTCATATTGTAGTTGATCTCTAAGCTCCTGCTCATAAACCAGATGAATTATAATTTTATTGGAAAATAAACCAATGTCTTTTATACCTAGCCAGAAATACTATTTATTGTAATAGGTTTCATGTGAAATTAAGACAATTATTTTAGAACTGTTGAAATCTGACAACTATTCTATATTCATAGCCCTTAACATTCAAATATAAATTACTGATAGTTAAAAACAGATAATAAACATCAACATTTCTAGAAAAACAGCCCATATAAATATAAAATCATAATTTTATATTTTGAAGTGATTTTCTATAAAAATTTTAAATCTTTTATGGCAAGTTGAGCCCATATTTCATTTGGCTACACCTTAGTATGCATAAATGGTTTTTGCAACACCCTACTAACCTTGGTTTGTCATTTTAATTTTTTACACATTTTCCTCTCCTGTTTAGTACATTTTCCATCTTATTAAATTTTACTCTGCACAGTTACCAATGCAAATGACAGCCTAATTGTTTTTCATACATTAAAAATGTTCATCAATGTCGTTTGAACCTAAAATTAGAAAATCATACTCTAACATAGCCTCCATGTGTTGGTGACGTTTATTCTTTTGTGTCTTAGCCTTTCTCTGTGATGGACATATGATCACAAATGTTGCTGCACAGAAACAATAACACAAGAATTAGATAAATGACAGATGACAATTTCAAAATGAAAAATATCAAATATTTCTAAAAGCTACTTGGTAGGATTTTTTTTACTGCTGTAACTGTAACCAAAACTCTGAGAAGCATTTTTGGAAGCCCCAGTTACCAGTATGAAAGCCACCAGAATAGAGTCTTGTACATGCCACAACCCCGAACTCTCATTCCGTCATCCTGGGGAGGTCTGAGATCCCAGCAGAGATGGTCTGGTGGCCAGTGACCTTCTATTTGATTTGGTGCAGAGGGACTGAGCATCTGGAGGCCAACCACGTGGCCTGGGCGTCCCACTCAAACTTGCTAGCTGCAATTTCCTCATCATCGAGGACTTTCTATCTTCTGAGGTTGGATACAGAGTCCCCAGGAGTCCCGGTAGTGTTCAAGATGACACAAGTCTGAGAGGACATGAGCTGAGCCAGGCACACCAGTGACCTGCAGGCCTGCACACCCAGCTTTGACCAGGGTGGATCCACTTTTTTCAGTTCTTTTCCATATCAGATTTTTTTTTCCAGAATGAAGTGTCCTGTGGCCTTTAAAGAGTTTTGTTTTGTTTTGTTTTGTTTTGTTTTAAGACCTGAATATAGAGGCCTTCCAGCTCTGGGATTATGTAACTCTAGGAATAAAATCATAGTTCTTACAGCTGAAAGAATACAATAAGACAAAGTAGAATAGGCAAAAAACCTGAGGTGGAAAATCTGGCCTCCGTGTTGTCCCTTAAACAGGCTCACCGTCCTTCCAATGGGTTCAATTATTTGCTACTGAAGAAATCATTCCGTATGTTCCCCTGTCTGCAAACACACGGGCCTGAGATCCCCTAAGTAAGAACACCAGTGGCAAGATGAAGACACAATCAGGGACTTGTTCCAACATGGACTCCTGCTCTAAGAAAGCCCACAAAGCTGCTCTCTCTGTTCTGGCCTTGCTGTCTAATACCAAGGAATTTTCATGACATGTTCCAATAGAAATGACCAAAATAAAAATCTCTCTGAGAAAAATGCCGCCCTCTTCTAAAAATTATTGTTGTTGTTGCTTTATCTCATTTTTCTGCTCAATGTTTCTTTCTACCTGAAAACAAATTTTTTAATCTGAAAAAATAATTTGCTTTCAACTCTTTTTGCTACCTCCACCTGTTTCCTCCCAAATCAGGTCTGTGTCAAAAGTTCATTACCAGCAGCCCAAAGAACCGTAGGATTCTCTCACAGATGCACTTTTGCATCTGCCAGTGATTAAGAACAAAGCACAGACGTAAAAGCAACCCAGGTGAGAAAGGGTTACCAGGAGCCACAGAAATAAGCACATCTTAGCAAATATGCTTAACTAACTCCCATCACTGTAAACCTCCCAACTAATTGAATTAAGGTTAACATGAATCTTAACAAGAAGATAAAAAAGAATTGGACTCTGAATAAAATTCTAAATTTACCAGAGTATTTTGGATTATTATCCAAATGAATAGAATGGGCAGGGTTAATAGATTGCTAGATTTGATTTTTGATGGAGTAAAAATTCAACCAAACCAGACCTTGGTCCTCCTGAAGATAAGTGGCTGAATAATACTTGAGAACTTCCCTTGTTTCAGGAACTGTGAGAAGTCTTTAGGTACCTTGAAAGCACAGGTGACTTCTCTATTTGACACCAGTATGCCCTTGAAAAAGTTATTCTGTCTTTCAGCATCACAATTTCTCTCTATGTAAAATGTTGGGAGTATGTAGTGTAACCTAAATACATCACCTACCTCATGCCTGTCACAAAGAACGTTATCTTGAAATTAGTTTTCTTTCAATTCACTTCCTTATGTAATCAATCCCACAGCACCTATGAAACAGGTGTGATCATCCTTTTAAGGATGCACTGGCTGGGCGAGATGGCTCATGCCTGTAATCCAGCACTTTGGGAGGCCGAGGCAGGTGGATCACCTGAGGTCAGGAGTTCAAGACCAGGCAGACACCTGTAATCCCACCTACTACGGAGGCTGAGACAGGAGAATCACTTGAATCTGGGGGGCAGAGGTTGCCATGAGCCAAGATGGTGCCACCTCACTCCAGCCTGGGCGAAAGAGCGAGACTCCATAAAAAAAAGGGGGGGTGCACTGACTTAGGCTTGGGAGAGTGATGAGAATGCAAACATAGGTCTCCTGGAGTCTCCAGCCTGTGATGGCCAACATAATGCAAATTTAGCCTCAACATGTGCATATTTGTGGGGAAGCATGCTATAGTTGAAGGGAGGAAGATGGAAAAGAAGTAGAAAAATATGGAGACATGTAGCTACATGTATGTGACCATATATCCTACATCTGATCTTGGAAGCCATGCAAAATGGCCAAGTCCTGACTGGAGATGTTGCAAGAGAAGCAATGTGGTACACAGTTTTTTGGTTTAAAACAGTGGTTCTGGCAGGAGGTAGGAATTCAGTTCCTCAGAGGACATTGGGCAATGTCTGAAAACATTTTGGTTATTACAGTGGGGGAGGGAGTGTTACTGGCATCTGGTGGGTAGTGACCAGGGATACTGCTAAATATTGTAGAAGGCCCAAGGCAGCCCCTACAACAAAGAATTATGCAGCCCAAAATGTCAGTAGCACCAAGACCGAGGCACTGGTTTCAAATGAAAAGTTCAACAAGAACAATAAAATAGTCTTTTCATGTATTTATTCCTTTTCAGTAATAGTCTTTAAATATTCTGGCAATAATGTCAAATGGAGGTTTGCTCAGTACACTAATTCTGTGAGAAGGTTACAATGTTCTAAGGTGAGAAAAGTATGTGTTTAAATAAATGTATTGTTTCTAATACTGGAATGAAGATAGCCCTGAGATAATTGATACTTAAAGTAGTTATAGGTTTTAAATCACAAAAGGTACTAAAAAACATATTTATAGGCTTTAAATCACAAAAGGTACTAAAAGGTACCAGTCAGTAATGTTGATCTAAAATAAAAGTGTAAAATGTTCTCACGAAATTTTCTTCTGTCAGGAAAATCTGAATTCCTTGACTTCAATTATTTGAATTTTGGGGATTTGGAACAAACAACATCCAAAATCGATCGTGCATCGAACAAAAAGATGTAGGAAAGATAAAGACACAAGTTTAAAATCATTTTAAACATGTGTACTGCTTTAAATGTCTATATTTTGCTCAAACTGGTACCTTCCCTGTAAAACTGACACCGAATCCAAACAAGATGACACAATAATATTCTTCAAAGAATGAAGAGTAGATTCAATATATAGTTTACCTGTGTGTCAAAAAACAAAACTAGCTTGATCATTGAAAACCAACTACTTGCGGAGGAAAAAAATAAAGGCAATTCATTTTCTTATTTCACTGAGTCTTTCTAACATAAAAAAGCATGAAGACTGAGTGTTCAGTAGAGTCTACAATGTTGACCCCAAAGTTCAGGATTGCATTGTTAGGTTTGACTCTGTCTGATGGCAGAAGGGCTTCTGTCTCCCAGCATCTAATAAGGAAAATCAAGTTGTGTTTTCCATGTGGTGACTCCTATCAGCAGAATTTTAAATATACTTTTAATAAAAGCACATGACATGTGAAACTTTATGGTTGGTATGCGTAGATGGAAAACCATTAAAAATGTTTTTAATATGGGAAATTTATGACCACAAAATCAGTATATATCAAAGACTTTGGCCAAGGCATACCAATAAAGCATTCACCTACTGGGTAATGTTAAAACAGGGCAAGATAAAAGTAAAGCTGGTTCATTTCTTCCCATCACAACAAAAAGATTGATAAAGAACATACTTGATATCAAACAGAGCTTCCTGCTGGCTTCAGTTACCTGGGAGTTCGGAGCCTGTGGTTTGAATAATGTTCCGCCTACAATAGGAAAGACAGCAGAAGTGTGGAGAGACTGATGGGGCTTCCTGCAGGCTGAGCTTTTAGAGTTCAAACTCATTCTTTATTCTCGAGTAGAAACGATAACAAATGTGTAAATAAATAGTCACGGATCTTCTGATGTTCCTCTTTTGGTGCTGGGAATTGCATAATGGTTCACCCAGTGGAGATGAGCTGCATTCCTCAAACTGTACTCCAGAGTTATGTAAGTTATCAAAAGAATTGGCAAAGAAGAATTTTTCACAAATTCACCTGAAAATAAATCTCTGTATATGAGATTCCTGAAGAAACAGGGTTTAGACAGTTGGTGCACTGACTAAAGAAAATTTGATCATGAAAAACATAAAATCTGTAATATTAATAGACTTCCTACACAGCATAAGCTATCATTTTAATGACTGTAAGTTTTGTCTCTTTAATTTTGGAAAATATGTTGCCAAAGTAATAAAATCTTAATATAACAATCTAAATTTTAATATGAAATATAACTATACCTGATAGAGGTCATAATTTTTTTTTCCTAAAAGGAATGCCTAAATCACTATCAAAGAGATCTCCTCTTGATCCTCGTGAACTTAGCCATTATTTATCTCATTTTCAAACATATCAGTAAAAACACCTAAGACAATACATTTTGTAATTTCATACATCATTTTCTAATCATTTCTAACCATTGAAATAACAATTATATTTGGCATTCAAGTTTTTGAAATCCACCTTTGTTTCTGTTATTAGCAGATATGCTTTGAGTAATGCACAGAGGGCAATACTCTAACTTCTGACAAATGAGCCTTTAAGTTAAAGGAAGGTGGAGACAAAGAAAATTCTGATATAATTCAAACTGGCTGAGCTATAGAAGCAGTGCCGAGTGACCACGAGAGGGCAGCATCCTCAAATAGTTGTGAGGGGGAGGGGCGGGGGCGGCAGGGATGCAATTTATGGTGGTTAGCTGAACCTGTGTAGAACTTCAAAGTCTTGTACTGTTTTCTAATTCTTCCAGTCGAAACCCAGAAAAGTGAGAACAAGCATTTTTTTTCTCCAACTTAAAAAACAAGTGGAAGAAATTCTAAAGCAGAAATAACAACACTTTACAGCACTTAACCATGTGTCTGGCACTGTTCTAAGGGCTTTACAAATATTTACTCCCTTAGTTCTCCTAAGAACCCTGTGACGTGCACACCATTATTACTCCCAATCTTACAGAAAAGGAAACCGAGGCACGGGGAGTTTATCACTTGCTCCAGTCACATAGCTGCCAATCGGTGGAGTTGGGATGCAGACCACAGCAGCTGGATCTAGTCCAAGCATAAGACTTCTCCAGTGGAACTGAGAATTCCCAGTGGGCCCTCTGTTCTAGTGAGTCATTAAGCCTCTCTGATGAACTCGAAGTCAGATAGTAACTTTCTCCTCTCACTCAATTTTCTTAGAAGATACAATGTGATATTTTTGTCTTATTTTCCATAATAATAACCCATCTGCACTTAAAAAGAAATCCACCGTGTTTCCTTAAAATGCACACTATTACAGGCATATGTGATATATGAAGACTCGTCAAAGAGAATAATGCCCATTTTAGGCTTTGAGTCTTAAGACAGTGGAAACCTAAATGTACACAAAAATAAATAAAGACTCAAGCCTTGGTCAGCACCGGGCTTATAAATTGGTTAAACCAACAGCCTACATATGGGGAAAAATGAAGAATATCTACAAAATAATATATTATTATATGCTCATCATGATATTGAAAAAATTGACTCAAGAACTACTTGAAGGGGATCCCAAGCTAGAAAAAGACAAATCAAATTAATTAATCAATCAGGAGTATCAAATCAAAACAAGTTTTAAAAATAGACTTATAGGAAAGAGGTAGTAAATTCATGTTGAACAAATCTGAACTGTCAAGTAAACCATTCATTCATTCATTCATTCATTCATCTGGAAATTATGGAGAGTTAGGGACAGAAGCAATGACCTCTTCACAAAGTAGAGGCTGAAAGAGGAGTAGGATTTTGCTAGAAGAGGCAAAGAAGGAGAGTGCTTTCTAGGAAAGGGATCAACAAAAACCAAGTTCAGAGATGAGGAAGAGCAGAACGTGTCTGAAGAATGGCAAAAAGCCATAATTAGCTAAAATCTGTGATCTCTGGAGAAAGGTGGGGGAAATGAGCCAGCAAATATAGGGGGTGGAAGGGAGGAAAAATATTTCTTTCCTTCTACTTATCCTAGGTTCATGGCTGAGGCCCTATAACAAAATGAAGATTAACAAAAGAGGCTGGGCACAGTGGCTCACACCTGTGATCCCAACATTTTGGGAGACCAAAGTGGGAGGATTGCTTCATCTGAGGAGTTTGAGACCAGCCTGGGCAACATAGGAAGACACTGTATCTACAAAAATCCAGGAGGATTGCTTGATCCTGGGAGGTAAAGGCTGCAGTAAGCCATGATTGCACCACTGCACCCCAGCCTAGGTGACAGAGCAAGACATTGTCTCAAAAAAAAAAAAAAGTAATGAAAGAAAAGCATAGAAATGTGTTTAATATAAATTGTACATGATACCAGAGCCTTCATAAGGAAATGAAGACCTGAAGAAACAGTTCAACCTGAATGTTTTTTGTTTTGTTTTGTTTTGTTTTGAGACAGAGTCTCACCCTCTTGCCCAGGCTGGAGTGCAGTGGTGGGATCCTGGCTCACTGCAAGCTCCGCCTCCCAGGCTCACACCATTCTCCTGCCTCAGACTCCCGAGTAGCTGGAACTACAGGCGACCGCCACCATGCCCGGCTAATTTTTCATATTTTTAGTAGAGACAGGGTTTCATCGTGTTAGCCAAGATGGTCTCGATCTCCTGACCTCGTGATCCACCCGCCTCGGCCTCCCAAAGTGCTGGGATTACAGGCGTGAGCCACTGCACCCGGACCTGAATGTTTTTTATAGTAGATTTGATGAAGAGTGGACAGTCATGAAGAAATATGACAGGGCAAAAAGAGTATCATCTAATGGTAATAAACTGGAAGAAGTTTATTACCATTAACTGGGAAAAGGCCTGTTTGTTCAGATTCTTCTCTGTTACCCTTCATCTTCAGAGAGAAGGATATTCCTGTCCTCTGGGTATAAGGAAAGCATCTCTCACATGAGAGTCTTATGACCTTATTCAGGGGAGGGTCAGAATATCCTCCCAGGTTTTATGACCGGAAGAAGGCCAGCAGCAGGAGTGGGAAAGCAAGTGAGAGTGACTTTCCCACTTCTGCAGTTTTCTCAAATTACTTCAGCTTAAAATGCCCAATATGCCAAGGTTCCATATTTTGGGATAGTGAGTCCTGAACCCCATCAAGGGCAATGGGATCTTAAGTCTCTGAAACAAAAGTCTTGGTAAGGGACTTGACTTTTATATTGTAGGAAATGCAGAAAATAAGATTAAATTCTGGTGCATATCTAGTGTGCAAGTAAAAGGTTATCTTCAAATGTGTTATTAAGTATTCACATGAAGGATTGAATCATGAGTTCCTTTAGGGTCACAGATGCTGCCCGATCAGGAAAGCAAGCCCACATTTTCAAATGGCTTAATGAATAGGAGCAGCAACAATTAAAAAGAAGTACTGAAAGAGAGGTGAAGAGAGGAGGTGAGTAAGGGCAACTGAAGAACAGGTAATAGAGGTAGTGTCTCCAGAATGCACAAAAGAGGAGATTTAAGCAATGATGGTCTGTTTATCAGTTAATGTCCATCAGCCTCAGACCAGCAAAATGATCAAGAGGACCCAATTACCTAAATCAGACATTTTAAAACATAGGCATGTGCCTCTCAAACATTTTGAGTGCCTACTATGTTCAAGACACTGGACTAGGTGCTAGTTTAATGCAAGATGAAAGAGAGATGATTTCTGCTGCCCAGAAATTTATAGTCTGTATAGGAGCAGGGTGAAGTTGGTCAATAATAAAAATCATTGTACTATAGTCAAGATCTCACGAAGAGCTGTCTGCATAGTTCTATGTAGAGAAATAAGAAACTGGTCATTTAGAAGGATGTTTAGGTTATTTTTTATTATTATTATTATTATTATTATCATTATTATTATTATTTTAGAGACAGGCATTCACTATGTTGCTCCGGCTGTACTCAAAATCCTGGACTTAAGCCATCCTCCCTCTCAGCATCCCAAGTAGCTGGGATTACAGACAGGAGCCACCACGCACAGCAATGTTCAGGTTATTGTTTTCCAGGACTGTCTGGGCCAAGGATGCTATTCGTTCCTCTTCTCTTCTAGAAGATTCTATTTCTCTCTCAAGGTTTATTTCTCTGAAGAGGTTCCTAAATCTTCTTTCACCCCAGCTCTTAATAAAGGCCTAATCAATGAATAAATGAATGAATGAATGAATGAGGAAATTGAATGTTTATGTGACAATTCAGGCCCCAAAAGTTTGCATAATCAAATATAAGAAAAAATCCTGCCTTGCAAAGAAAGTCTTTGTGTCTCTTCTTCCTGCACCAAAAAAAAAAAGTTTAATAATATGCTTTTGTTTTACAAATAGTAAATTTAGACATTTCCTTGAAAGAAAACTGAGTGATATCTATGCAAGCAAAAAAAAAGAGACAGAGAAAAGTGGATACTACACTGAATAGAAAATTGAAAGGCTAGTTTTAATCCTAGCTTGCTACCATCTAACTGGATAAACTTAGACAATTTGAACTAATATTTCCTCCCTGTTTCAACTAGTAGAAAATGTATTAATTAGCAACTTTTTTTTCCGTGGGGCGTGGTAGAGAGAAAAAAAGTAAAAGTCAATTCACAATGATCAGAAATGAAAAAAATAATGAAAATTAAAAAAAAACTTTAGGCACTTTATTACATGTTTGGGTTTAGTGTACCTAGTGTATGCAATATTACTTCATTTTCAAAATTATTCCAACATGCATTGTTCTTGTACTGCAGATGAAGAGTCTGAAATCTAACGTTGTTTGTAGTTACATATTCCCCCAAAGTGGCCAAACTAGCAAAGTAGAGCTATGACATATATATGAGATCTATTCACATAAAAATAAAATGCAAAATCCCTAAATGCAATTTTCTCATTGCATGAGAAAATGATTTGAAAGTTTTTGAGAAAGTACTATAATCAGGTTGACTTTACATATACAGTAATAACACGATGCAGAAAAAAATTATTTTCTCATGAATTTAACAAACAATTGCTAAATAAGTTATTGTGCCAAGGACTGGGGTGCAATACAGTAGAAATTGTGTCCATCCCAGGGAGTTTTCAGTGTAGTGAGAGATGTAAATAAGTAATCAGCCAATTACAATTCAGTGGGGTAAGTATTGATAGAGGGGCGGAGGATACTCTGGGAAAACATAAAATGAGTTCTGAACTCTGTGTGAAGAGTCAGGAAAGCGTTGATGGACCAGCAGAAGTGAGCCAGGTGAAATGTGGGTAGGAGTGTTCCTGAGAGGGGAAAGAAAATGAGCAGAGACCCTAACAATAGAGAAATATGACTTATGGCTTATTCTGGGGAACTAATACAGGTTTCCTGTGCCTAGAGGGTAGGGTTTCAGATGGGGAATGGAGAGGGATGAAAGTAGCAGTAGGTATAAAGGAGCCAGACTAACATGAGCTTTGAAGCCATGGTTAGGAGATTGGATTTAATTCTAAGGCTGCTAAGTATCACCTGACCTGTTTGTGAGTTAGTATGGAGGCTGAATTGGAGAGAAACACAACTGTAGGCAGGCTACCAACTGTGATAGACTCCATTACTTGTTCGCAATTGTTGGCTCCCTCCTGACTCTGAGCACACTCTCCTGTGGGTATAGTATACTGCCCTATCCTAACAACTATGAGCTTGGCCACAGGACTCACTCTGGCCAACAGAATCCTAGTGGACTTAACATATGCCACCTCCGAGCAGAAGTTTTAAGTGTATGTGATGTGGCTCTGTCCTTCCTGAGCTTCTTCCCTTGGCCATGAGACTAGTTAACCTCAAACAGGAACTGCTGCCTCAGCCTGAGCCCTGGAATGACATAAGATGTGGAGCCGAGCCAAAGTCAGGCAAGCCCGGCTAGACTCAGGCAAGCCCCACCCCTCCCAGTCAAACCTGCGGTTAACCTGCTGTCTTCATGTAACACAAACAAGAAATAAATGTTTGTTTGTTCGTTAAACAACCAAGATTTTAGAATTGGCTGTTGTCACAATAATTGCTGACTAATCAATCAGCAATTATCACAAGTGAAATGTGATAATGTGAGAAATGTGATAAATGACTGTGGTATAAATTAAATTGTGACATTAAGGTTGGGAGATTTGAGGGCTACCAAAGGAACAAAACCAAACAGGCCTTAGTAATTTATTAGAGGTAAAAGTGAAAAATATAGAGGAGCAAATCATGATATTGAGATTTCTGTCTCAGTAACTGGGGATGGGAAGCAAAGACATGTTAGAAAATTTTAAATGTTGAATTCTTTAGCAAGTACAAAGAAAATAATGGAGCATAAGTTAACACTGACAAATATTTTAATGCACATTTGTGTGATTATAATTACTAAAGTGACTATCATCCATCTCTGTTAAGCATCTAACAAGTGGAAATAAGCTTAATTTGCATGAAAAGAGGTTATTACACTCAAGAATGACACTTCTGACTAAAAAGGTTGTTAGATATTAGAATGCATTATCCATGGTATTCAAGGAATTTTCTTTTACAGGGAATATTTAGTTCCAGATTAGACATGGAATTTTCAAAATTAATTATGAAGGAAGATTTTTTTTCTAGCAGTGTGATTTTACACTACTCTTTCCTATTCTTCAATGACTTTGCTTAGGTTAATTTTATCTCTCTGGGCCTTCATTTCACCATCTGTAAAACCAAGAAATGGGACTGGATGGTTTTCAAAGCTCCTCACAGTTTGGAAACAGCGAAGCAGACCCCACCAGGACTGTACAACATTATGGAGTAAGCACATAGCCTGGATTATGAAAGGGGTCTTGGGAGGCTTAGGAAAGTTACCTGTATATACTGTCCTTTTTATATATCAATATTGATATTGCCAGAGATAGAGAGAAGACACTGTTTTTAAGCCAGGTTTTTTTTCTGATAAGGAAAAATGTTTAGTTAAAATCATTTTTGGCATAATTAAAATGTGGAAAAAAAAGGGTCAAGAAATGTAATTTTCTGTGACTTTTAAAATATGAATAGAAATCCCAAATATTTAATGCCTTAATCCTTGCTCTATGTGTCAACATAATTAGACTTTACAGTTTGACCTAAGTAGCTACACTTTGCCTTGGAAAAAATATTAGGATAAGCAATATCTATATATGCCTTTAGACCTAACGCAGCATAAAATATGATAAGTAATACTCATAATTATTGGATTTGACAAGTGGGCTGTTTTTACAGCTATGTGACTTCTAAATAACTAGATGCTTTAAGTACAGTTTAACGTTATTAAATGAGATTTTATTTACAAAATGTCTGGCACATAATAAACAATTAAAAAAACCATGTGTCATTAGCACTCTCAGGTCAGGCCTATTGTGGAGCATCTGTAAATGCAGGTGGTGCTAAGTCTGATCACAAAATAACTGAAATCACAGATTACCAATCAGTTAACAACACTTATTGGGTACAGAGTCCTGCAAATTCAGACACTGTTATGCAGAAAGGAAGGAAGTTCATGTTAGAAAATAGACTAAGCTATATGAGACCCAAGAGGAAGTTAGGCTATAAAATGGAAACACACACACACACACACACGACGGTTTCTGATCACGGAGTTCCTCAAATTTTAAAAATAAATAAGAACATGCTGACTTTTCATCTACCCGCCAAAGATAAAGCTAAAATACATAAAGACAGGTAGTCTAAAATGCAAGGGTCACAGGACAAAAGGTCTGTACCCATGAAGTATGGAATAATTTCTTAAACTACTAACCCAACCCAACTACCAATCATTGGTAATCTGTGATTTCAGTTATTTTGTGATCAGACTTAGCACCACCTGCATTTACAGACGCTCCACAATAGGCCGGGCCTGACAGTGCTAATGACACATTGTTTTTTTGAATGTTTATTATGCGCCAGACATTTTGTAAGCAACAGACCTCTTTATGCACTTGTAAGGGCAGAAAGATGTGACACCTTTCCTCATCCAGCACAGCTGACATTTCTATAACAAAAGACTGACTGGTTAGCAAGAGAAAAGCGTAACAAATTTATTTAATCAAAGTTTTATGTGACATGGGAAACTTCAGAGATGAAGACCTAAAGACCCTGGGAAAACCATCTATTTTTATGCTTAGGATCAATGAAGAATGGGTAGCCGTGTAGAAGTGTGATTGGACCAAAGGGTAATAGACTGAGGGCAGAACCCAGTGAGGTCTGACTGATCAGATTCTTTTTGGCCTCCCTGTGTAGCCTTCTTTCCTCCTGGATATGGGGCAGGACCCATCTGGAATGAGAATTTTCAAGGGAGAAGGGAGAGAGTGACCTTTATATGTTTTATGACTTGCTTTGGAAGAAAGAGGTTCTAGTTTCTGTGACCCACCTTGGGAAAGAGGAATTCTGGTTTCTATGACTCGCTTTGTGGTAGAAAGAGGGGCAACAGATAGGAGGACGGGAGAGGAGCAGAAGGACCGTGCCTCTCAGTCTTTCAATCTCCTTTAGTTCAAAGTACTCAGCATGCCAAGGTGCCTTACTTTGGGGTATCATATTGTCAGCCCCAATACCCTCATGACTATCAAAGAGTTTTACAGAAGACTTTTACTAGTCTCAGAATTAGTAGGGAACAATCTTTTTGAGCTAAAAGATGGCCAATATGTAACTTTGCACATAGTAGGCACTCAGATGTTTTGAATGATAAATTGTTAGGGTTAAAAACCATTAACTCTGTAAAGGAAAATTAAGTATTGCTGTATCTATTTGGCCCAACATATCCTCCATGAACTAATTAGAGTAATGACTATTTGCAGACATTTCCACACAGGTAATTATTTGTAAGCAAGTTAACATTTTTTTAGAGGGGAGGGAAAAATTCAAATAATAGTTATTTCAGATATTATTCTCAGTTTTATGATATGAAATACTGGTCTTAGTATATGTACCAATAATGTACATATATGTATAATAATACCAAAAACTTACAGTACATATATGTGCCAGATACCATTATAAGCACAACTATACATGTGTATACATTCATTTAATTCTCACAAAAACCCTATCAGGTAAGTCCTATTATCCCCATGTTACAAAAGAGAACACTGAGGCTTAGAAAGGTTAAGTAACTTACTTCGGATCACACAGCTAGTAAATGATAAAGACAGAATTCAGATGAGATCAGGCACATTCAGGGTGGTATGGCTGTAGACATAAAGCCAGAATTCAAACATGGGCAGTGTATCTTCATTATCTGTGCTCTTAACCCAAATGTTATGGTGTTCCTCCAGTAAACTAACTAAGATGTATTTCATTCCAGTATCTCTCACAAGACTGGAATTTCCACCAAGGCAAAGTGTAGCAACTCAAGCCACGTCTCATAAATCCCAGTGTTGCATATTCTCCTTAGTATATTTAAAATGACAGCTGATGATAAAGGAAAATCTGCTTTCAATAAATCTCAAGCTCAGGCTCAATTCAGTCTATCATATCACTTTGTAATATGAAAAATAAAATGGAAAATCCATATATACATTAATGATCACCTTATTTATTTGTTCCATCATCCAGACTTTGAATGGAAGTGGATGAAAAGTGGTCCAATGTTGGGAACAGGCCCCCCAAAACCTGGCCATAAACTGGCCCCAAAATTGCCCATAAACAAAATCTCTGCAGCACTGTGACATGTTCATGATGGCCATAACGCCCATGCTGGAAGGTTGTGGGTTTACCAGAATGAGGGCAAGGAACACCTGGCCCACCCAGGGCAGAAAATTGCTTAAAGGCATTCTTAATCCACAAACAATATTATGAGCGATCCTTAAGGACATGCTCCTGCTGCAGATAACTAGCCAAACCCAACCCTTTATTTTGGCCCATCCCTTCGTTTCCCATAAGGGATACTTTTAGTTAATCTAATATCTATAAAAACAATGCTAATGACTGGCTTGCTATTAATAAACACTGGGTAAATCTCTGTTCGGGGCTCTCAGTTCTGAAGGCTGTGAGACCCCTGATTTCCCACTTCACACCTCTATATTTCTGTGTATGTGTCTTTAATTCCTCTAGCGCCACTAGGTTAGGGTCTCCCCGACCGAACTGGTCCCGGCAGTCCAAAAGGAATTAAAACAGAATTTAATTAGACATTGTATTTATGTCCCTATGTTTTTCAACTTTCACATACTGTAAATAAAATTATAGTCCCCTGTGTAATCATTTCCATTAACACTGATTTCCTGAGTGATCTGTGTGATAGAAACTTGTCAAATTCATAATCAATATGGATCAAGCAGAAACTATTAGCTCTGTTCTACCTGGATAATGCCTAACTCCAAGTGTGTTGTTCAAAGACACCCTTATCATGATCCTGCTGCAGTTTGGAGTCTTGCACCAGTGTCCTGCCTGTCAAGAGCTGTGAAGACCTAAGCTATTTACCAAAAAGCAAGCTAACAATTTATCCTGCCACAATTTCATGGATAATTGCAAAAGCCACAAGACTCTGGATTAGACTCAAAGGACTTTCTTACTTCCAACACAACGGGTAGCATGTGTTTTCATATTCACATCAACCCCTTGTTCTGCTAAGTCTCACTGGAGTAATGAAGGTGGGCTGGGTCGATACATGAAGGAGGTTTGCATCATATTGTAACTAGTATAGCCAGTTTGCTAGCTTACTCTAAAAGTAACCCCTCCCTCCCTTTGTTCCTTGTTACATGTAACTGTTTGCTAGAGAATTCCAGTGGCCAATATTGAAATAATGTAGGCATAAAGTGGAGATAGCAGTTGCAATTTTCTCCCTTCTGAGAAAAAATTGGTGTTCAATTAATCCATAACCTGAACCCTGCTGAGATGATGCCAGTGAGGCCTCTGGGTGGTCCATTACTGAAAAAAGTCACCAGAAAATTACAAGCAAACTTGCACCCCGCACCATGCTGGTGCATAGTTTCCATGCCACCTTTCCCCTTTAAACCTCTTTAGCCAAACTGAGAATTTGAGATGGTTTTTTGAGAGTTGAGTCAGGCTGTTTCCTCAAGCTTCTAGCACTTGAAGAAACCTGCTTTCCTCCCACTAATCCTCACTTCTCATGTCTGGCTTTTCAAGCAGTGAGCAGCTGAACATGAATTTGGTTACAATAGCCAAGGAATCCCAAATTTAGGAAAACTTTATTTTTCTTTAATGGGCTACAAACAAACCCGCTCATTAAAGAAAATAATATATCTCTCTCTTTGCCCTAGAGAGAGATATTATTATACTGGACAGCAAACAAACCTGCCCTCTGTTGTGGAGAGAGATCTTACCTCTGTTTTCCAAGACTATTTACTATACAAACATCTTTGAAAAGAACAAGGGGTCTGTTAGTTCTGCTCACAAGATGTAAGAAATGAGAGAGATCTACCTTTCTCTCTGGAGAACTACCTTTCAACATACCTTTACTGCCGAGCCATGTGACTACAGCCATTTGTCTGCAACATACTGCCATAGCCAGGTGGCCCGACTGAGTCAAGGATCAGGATCAGTTTGCAGGAACTCTGATTCCCATCCAACAGTAAAATCCTTATCATAAACCTCCAAACCACAGAAGCCTGGAAATCTACAAATACTACTCATCCAGATGCTGACCAGCCCACTAAAAGTGAAAATAGACTTCTGCTGTAACTATTCAGAAGAGAGAAGGAATCTCTGAGGGTTTGTACTCACTCTTTTTCTCCTTCCCTTTAGCACCCCCACTCCTACCCAGAAAGAATACATATCATCTACTGTTCTGTTTAATCTATTTAGATCATGTCTTTGGCAATTTATGGACTTTGCAAAATTTGTCTCTACACTATCTTCCTTCTACTATCATCATTCCTCGTGCCCTCATCCCACAACCTTGTCCCCACACTAACATGGTACATTCATCAAGGCCAAAGAGTTTACTCTTCCTGCCCAGTCCTAGCCTTGCTCTCTTATCTAACGGTTTCATTTTTCAGACAGGTATCATCTCTAAGAAGGCTTCTGTGTACATTCCCTCAGTGTAATTAGTCTATTCTCATGCTGCTAATAAAGACAAACCTGAGACTGGGTAATTTATAAAGGAAAGAGGTTTAATTGACTAAGTTCAGCATGGCTGGGGAGGCCTCAGGAAACTTACAATCATGGCAGAAGGGGAAGCAAACACATCCTTCTTCACATGGCAGCAGCAAGGAGAAGTGACGAGCAAAAGGGGGAAAAGCCCCTTATAAAATCAGCAGATCTCGTGAGAACTCACTCACTATCATGAGAACAGCATGAGGGTAACTGCCCCCATGATTAAATTACCTTCCACCCAGTCCCTCCCATGACACGTGGGGATTATAGGAACTACAATTCAGGATGAGATTTGGGTGGGGACACAACCAAACCATATCACTCAGTATTAGAACAGTTGCTAATCCTTTGCCCTTCCACGCACCCTGTGTAAACTCCTGTCACTGGCTTAATTTACCACTTTGTATTGCTATTACCAGCTGACATGTTGGCCTCTGTGCCTAACTTATGAGGGACTCGAGGTCAGAGCGTTTGTCTTTATTTACAAATAACCAACAGCTTGTTAAAAGATAAACTTAGGCACACTAAACTTTCAAAGAGTTTATTTGGGCAAACCGTGATTCATAAATCAAGCAGCTGAAGATGACAGGAGATTTTCAGCTTCACCAAAGGAGCATGGGGGGAAAACTTTAATAAGGCTCTTCTCGGAAGCAAGACGAAGAAATGTGTGACTGGTTACAGTGGAATACTAGCCTTAAAGTCTCTAGTTAAAGGTGAGTTGGCCATTCCTAATTGGTGAAGTCCCGAGTTAAGAGCTGAGTTGGTGATTCCTGATTGGTAAAGACCTAATTAGAGGTTAGCTGGCAGTTCCTGATTAGTAAAGTCCCTAATTAGGAGTTAGTTGGCAGTTCCTGATCAGTAAAGTTTAAGTTTCATTTTACCATTTACATTGCATTAGGTTTCGGTTTGCTTACATAGAAACCCAAGGTGCTGAAGTTAGGCCATCTCAGCCGAATGGCCTCCCAATAAATTATTTTTAATGAGCCTAATGCAATGCCTGGCACATAGTGAACATTCAAAAAACTATCTGCGAAAGGAAAAGTGAATGAATAGTGCAGTCACACTGAGCTCATTCACAATTGAACAGAAGGCTCCGAGGAGCCAAGGCTTTATGGCTAAGAAACAAACCTCTAGTGGGAAATAGCAAGTCCTGTTTCAGGTAGGGCATGCTTGCTTCCAATATAGAAAAAAGTGAACAAAGGTTACCAGTAGAGCAAGGATTTATTACACCCACATATCAATAAAGCACTTTACGAAATATGAGAAAAAGCTTACAAATGGATAGACATCTTTCATAAATCCCTGAAGAAAATGATTCATGTCAATTACATGATAACAGTATTTCTTTTAAAAATGAATATTTTAGCATGAAAAAGATACATAATCAAGAAAAACATTCGGCCGGGCGCAATGGCTCACGCCTGTAATCCCAGCATTTGGGAGGCCCAAATGGGTAGATGACGAGGTCAGGAGATCGAGACCATCCTGGCTAATGCGGTGAAACCCCTTCTCTACTAAAAATAACAAAAAAAAAAAATTAGCTGGGCTTGGTGGCGGGCGCCTGTAGTCCCAGCTACTCAGAAGGCTGAGGCAGGAGAATGGTGTGAACCCGGGAGGCAGAGCTTGCAGTGAGCGGAGATGGCGCCACTGCACTCTAGCCTGGGCGACAGAGAGAGACTCCGTCTCAAAAAAAAAAAAAAAAAAAACACATTCATCCTATTGTTAACAGTAGGTAGCTAGTCAGACATGAGGAAAGTAGGAGAGGCCACCCCACCAAACCACCAGGAATGTCAGGCAACCGTCAGGGGATGGTCAGCTGGTTGTTGATTGTCTCTATAAAATAATGATTGGTCATAGCCAGCACCAGGGAAAGGCCCCGTCTCCCAGTAAACAGAAACATCTGAAATCAGCAGCTTCCTGATAAGATCTCAGGAGCTGGGCAAGTGGGCTCAAGCATGCACGTTAAGAGGAAAAATGGTGGAGTTTAACTGGTATATGACCTTCGAGGGACATTCGACTGGTAAGGGAAGAACGCCTCAAGTGAGCAAGTGTAAACTCCAGTAAACACACTGAGCATGCTCCCCTCCCAAGGCTATTAGGCCACTGTGAATGCAGACAGCCCACCCCAAGAAAAGAATCAGGGGAGAAGGGACACGAGC
This sequence comes from Homo sapiens, assembly GCF_000001405.40. NCBI lineage: Eukaryota > Metazoa > Chordata > Mammalia > Primates > Hominidae > Homo > Homo sapiens. Next base: position 137,300,992 of record NC_000006.12, on the reverse strand, counting down.
CCCCCCAAAGCATGCCAACATATAAAATCCCACGTCAAAGGTCAAACAGTGCACTTGATCTCTCAAGCCACCCGCTTGGCCTTCTTCCAATTGTAATTTCCTTCCTTTCATTCCTGCCCTGAAGCTTTTTAATAAACTTTCACTCCTGCCTAAAACTTGCCTCAGTCTCTTCTTCTGCCTTATGCCCCTCAGTCAAATTCTTTCTTCCGCAGAAGCAAGAATTGAGGCAGTGGCAGACCCGTACAGATTCGCCACCGCTAGCAATATTATCACCAGGAACTTTTTAAAAAATCTGATAATAGGTTTCAGGACACACTACCCCAAAATATGGCAGCTTGGCACTGGAGAGAACAGCAGAAGCAGGAAGGTAGTCTCACTATCCCTTTGCCCTTCTTCCTTGAAGCAGGTCATAAAACCTTCATTCCAGAGGCACCCTTCCTTTCCCCAGAGGATACGAACATTCTTATTCTCGAAGACACAGGGACTCCAAGAAGAAGCTGAACAAGCAGGCCTTGCTAAACTCCCCTAGCGGGCTACCATTCAATCATATTCCTTTTGTGCAATCCAACTCCTGCACAACTGACTCTACACTCCAGCAAGCCTAAGCATAAACATATACAGGTTTCCCTGGTTCTTTGAGTCCTCATTTCTGAAGGCTCTCATGTAATGTAAAACTTACATGAAATAAATTTTGATGCTAATCTAGTCTTTTGTTATAGGGGTCTCAGCCATGAACCTAGAAATGAGTGGAGAAAAGATATTTCTTTTCCTTTACACAAACAACACATTGCAGAGGCTTAAACTAACCAAGGTTTCTTTTGTGCCTACATGAAGTCTGTAGACCAGGAGATTGTCCAGGATCTCTGTGCACTCAGTGATGGCTCAGCATCTACGTAACAATATGTGCTGCCATGATCATTTCCAGGGAGACAGGGCTCAGAGAGTCTCGCCCTAGCAATGAAATACTTTTGAAGAGATTAACATTACTTTAAACTAACAACACGTGAACAGTCATCAGTCACAGAAAGAAACATTATCTAAACTTAAGCAGATACACCCAAGAAAGTACAGCTGAAATAGGAGAAATGGCCACCCCTGTCCTTCCGAGGGAGTTTCCTGTTTGGCAGAAGAATGACTTTTAAATATTAGGAAGTATGAATTCAGCTTCCCATGAGCATTTAAAAGCCCAATAGAACCTTCCATACTTTCTCACTGAAGTCCTAAACTCCCCCTCTCCTTTTCTTGCTAGTGGATAAATTGGTGTATAACCTTTTAGCTTTGGACAGACATCTTTCATGAATCCCTGAAGAAAATGAGTCATGTTATTTACATGATAATAACATCTCTTTTAAAAATGAATATTTTAGAATGAGAGAGATAATCAAGAAAAGATTTATCATATTTACTCATTACTAAAGGGGATTTACTTGTTACTAAAGCACTCCCCAGTGTACATGGACATGGTTAATAAACTTGTCATTTCTCCTGTTAGTTTACCTATTGTCCATTAACTCACAGGGCCCCAACAATCCAAGCCTAAAATGGTAGAGGAAAAGTTTCCTCCCAACACTTTCTACACAGGTCACTTCCATTCACACTTCATGGGCCTAAGAAAACTAAGTGGCCAAGCCTAAATTCAAGGGGGTGGGAAAGTGTGTCACTCCATACACCCAGAATTAGAAAATAGCCAGAGATTGATGAACACTTGTAATGTCTACCTCAGTGGGGCTTGGAAAAGAAATGAGCTTCACTCACAACTAAGTTAAAAACAAACTAGGTATAGAATGAGCATAAAAAATCACTCTTCTGGGGGTCATCTGTGTTGTAAAAGATGTATCCTACAGCATGACGGGAGACAGATTTATCTCTTTTCCATAGGTGTATTTCCTAAGCTTTTAGACAGAGGCAGGTACATATATGAAAACAATTGATAGGAAAAGTCTTTAATTCCTAGTCATTCTGAATACCAGTAAAAAGAATAGTATAGGGCAAAAGAAATATCTTTTCTTCCTATCTTAGGTTCATGGCTGAAGCCCCTATAACAAAAGACAGATTAACAAGAGAAATGCATATGAATTTATTTAATAGAAGCTTTACGTGACACAGGAGCCTTTGGATATGAAGATCAAAGAAACAGGTAAACTTGTGCATTTTTATGCTTAGGCTTAATGAAAAGCGAACAGTCATGGGGAAGTATGATTAGAGGACAAGATGGGTGTGATCTAAAGGTAATCATAGCAAGGCCTATTGCTGAGATTTTTCTCAGAGTCCCTGTGTCTTCACAGATAAAGATACTCCTTTCCTCTGGGTACAGAAAAGATACATCTCAAATGAGGGTCTTATGACCTGCTTCAGGGGATGGTAAGAAAATTCTTTCTACTTTCCTAGTCTGCTTCAGAAAAGAAGGTGGGAGAAGTTTCAGGAGGCCTTCCTGCTTCTACAATGTTCTCAGTTTCCCTCAGCTTAAAACACTCAGTATTCCAAGTGCCCCTATATTTAGGGGTAGCATGTCCTGAACGCTCTCATTAGTTTTGATTTGTTGGCTTTCCATAGGGGTTTAAGGAAAACCAGGAAAGAGAAATAAAAGTTGGATGGTAACAGTGAGGGAGGTAGAAAAATTAGAAATTCTTATTCATTCCCTGTAAAAAACTCAGGCTTCAAACCTAGTGGAAGATCTGTTCTTTTACTTGGCTGTTTAAACAGTAGGTTTGTAGGAAAGGATGTAGAACAAGTTGTTATTTGCATCTGGAGAAAGAATTGGTTAAACACTGAATGTTCATGTTTGATATTGTCTGAAAAGTTACTCATGATGTTCCTGTTTGGAAGCTGGGGTAGTCAGGGATGACACACTACGGCTTCCCTATCAGGTTTCCTGTGGTTCAAGAATAAAGGGAACTGCAGGCTTCCCACCAAGCACATACATTTGCAAACTGCCGCGAGTCAGTTCCCAAGGCCAGGGTCTGGCCCTTGACAAAGGCAGCTGAGCGGCAGACTTAGTCTATTTCACTCTCCCTGCCGGGCAGACCCTGCATCTCAGGAAAAGCTACAGGATTCCTTCCTTAGAGAGCTACAGAGCTCATAGTTAGGGGGAATTGTCAGGAATAACTCAATATTTCCTTTCCGTGATAAAAGAAACACTTTCATTAAGGAAATACCTTCAGCAGAGCTTCTCACCCCTGTCTCGCAGAAAGCAAGGAAAATGGAAAAAGAGCTATTTATCACAAATTGGACTTTAAAAACATACTCATTTCTTGATGAGTTTGGTTGGTTCCATAGGGATTACAAGCTTGTGGGCAAGGCTTTTGAATACGTTCAATTCTCAAATCAAGGACTCAATGAAATTCTCAAATTTCATCAAGGACTTAGTATCTAATTAATTCCATCACTGCACTTCTGAAGCTTCCAGCTAGACCTATTAAAATCTGCCTAGATCAATGAATTTATCCCCATGTGTAATTGTAAAATACGTAACCTGAATATATGTTACACAGTGAAACTTCCCTTCACAAGTGTGCTTTTCTGGGCTTCAGCTTTAGATAATATCAGAAGTTACTTGTTTATTCCTCTTCAAAACTCTCAGTGAAACTGGCGAGGCCTAATATGTATAAAATGCTTGCTATGCTGAAAGCCCTGGGCTGCACACATAACAAGGTTGAAATCATTTAATCCTCACCTTCTCCTCTCAACCTCATGAACAGGTACTATTCTTATAGTCATTTTTCAAATGACAAAGCCCTAGGTCACACAGCTAAATCTGGCAGAGAGCTCAAACTGGGAAGCCTGACTTCAGAGCCCATAGCCCTAATCAGCACATTCTATACTTCTAGTTAAGGCAAGATGTTCATTTTCCATAGGATTGACCATCATGCCACAGAGGCCTTTGCGTACTCCTTGAATATTAGAGATACTTGGCTCATAGTGTCCATGAAAAGAGTCAAACTCTGTAAAATTTATTACAGAAGAATATTATTCTGTATTCTGTATTCTGAAGAAATTTATTCTGAGCCAAACATGACTGACTGTGGCCCGTGACACAGCCCTCAGGGGGTCCTGAGAATGTTTGCCCAAGGCGGTTGGGTCCAGCTTGGTTTTACACATTTTAGGAAGACATGAGACTTCAGTCAAATACATTTAAGATGTACATTGGTTCAGTCCAGACAGGTAGGGCTACTCAAAAGGGAGGGATGCTTTCAGGTGGTACGTAGATTTAAAATTTTTCTGGTTGACAATTGGTTGTGTTTATCTAATACCTGGGATCAATAGAAAGGAAATGCCTGGGTTGGGATAAGAGGTTGTGGAGATCAGTTTTATCATAAAGATGAAGCCTCCAGGTAGCAGGCTTCAGAGAGAATAGATTGCAAATGTTTCAATCCGACTTAAGGTCTATGTTATGTTAACACCAGAGAGGTATAATGAAGCATGTCTGACCCCCCACTTCCCATCGTGGCCTGAACCAGTCTCTCAGGTTACATTTTAAGAGCACCCTGGCTGAGGAGGAAGTCCATTCAGATGGCTGGGGAGCCTTAGAATTTTATTTTTGGTTTGCAACAGATATTTATCCAGTTTCAACTGATTTGAATAATTACCTAATACGGATAAAAGATAAACTTGGAATATAAGTAAAGAAAATGTTATATTATGACTGTTAAAAGCTCAGGTTGTCCAACATGCATGTGTTTTTCAGAAGACCTAGATGCATGGGTACCTTTGGCTACATTAAGGACAGACAGCAGCAAGGGGAGCATAACATTTGAATGTTTGCACATCAGGGTTTCGTGTGTTACCTGACTTAATCTTCATAGCGTCTTAAGAGAGAGGTTGTGTTACCTTCATTTTTCCGATATAGAAATGGATTCCCAGAGGCACTTAGTAACATTTCAAATAGTCGTTAAGTGGCATAGCTAGGATCGGAGCCTGGGCATGGTCCCCACTAGCACAAATGCACGGGGCTTAGTTACCCCCAAAAAAGGGGAGCTGAGCTTAATCCCTATACAGCTTCCCAGGATTTTCCAGCACTCCTCAAAATTATAGATTACTACGGTGGAACAGAGAAAGATACATTTAGTGCACATTGGCTTGGGCTGAGCATTAGTGGATAAACAGGAAAGAGACAAATAACAAGAGATTGATAGGGCCTGACAGTCCATATGTACCACACTCGTGTGGAGGAGGAGTGGTGCAGGGGATCAGTGACACATCACCAGGCTGAAGATCACAAATGTTCAGCTTGGCCACTCCACACTACCCAACACTAGTCACTTACTGTCTCTGAGCCATATTTGTCTGGTCTTAAAGTGGAGATATCACTAACCCCTGCCATATCACAGAGTCTATTTCTACATAACAAATGAGTCTAAAACAACATATATTTATTACATCACAGTTTCCACTGGGTTCCGGGGCACTTGTCTGGATCTTCTGCTTCAGGCTGTCTCACAGGTAGCAATCAAGGCAATCTGAAGCGTCAGCTGGGGAAAGATTCACTTGCAAGTTCACGTATGTAGAGGTGAAGGGAAAGCTTCCCCTTTGCTGTGTCAACAAAAGGAGTCAAACTCTGTAAAATATTTGAGGGGATTTATTCTGAGCTAAATGTAATAACCATGACCCATGACACAGCCCCAGGAGGTCCTGAGAACATGTGCCCAAGGTAGTTGGGTTACAGCTTGGTTTTATACATTTTAGGGGACAGCAGTTATAGGCAGACATCAGTCAATACATGGAAGGTGTACATTAGCTCAGTCCAGAAAGGTGGAACAACTTGAAGCAGGGGCTTCCAGGTCATAGGTGGATTCACAGACTTTCTGATTGGCAATTGGTTGAAAAAGTTAGGTTATTATCTAAAGACCAAGGTTTTTATTATGCAGATCAAGCCTACAGGTAGCAGGCTTCATAGCTCATATCAGATCTAAAAGGGTGCCAGACACTTCGTTAATGGTCTCCTGGATCAGGGAAAAGATCCAGAAAAGAAAGGGGATTCTCTACAGAATGGAGATGTTCCCCGTAAGAGACAGCTTTTTAGGGCCATTTCAAAACATGTCAAAGAAATATCTTTTGGGCTAAAATACTTGATTTCCTTATGGGTTTGCTAAATGTCGTGTGATTCTATACTAGAGCAAGACCGAAACTAGTTCATGGCCTGAACTAGTTTTTCAGGTTCACTTTGGAATGACCTTGGCCAGGAGAGGGGTCCATCAGTCAGTTGCGGGGCTTAGAATTTTATTTTTGGTTTACAGCTGTCAGAAGGTTGCTGAAAAAAATCAATTGACAAAGGCAGATTAATAGGAGAAATGGCACACAAATTTATTCACATACCATGAGGGAGAATCAAGAATGATTACTCAACATCCCAATGGGGTTCAAATATTTATATAGCCTTATTTTAGAGGGGAGGAGAGTGATGGGAATATAGGTAATTCTGTTAAGGGGCAATAAATGATTATAAGGGAGAATGAAAGAATACTTGGGAGGATGAATGGATAGGGGAACAGAGATTAACTTATAAATGATTCTCTTTGGAAATGGAATGAGCCTGAGGGATAGATATTTCGTGAAGGGGTATAATCAGGTCTGGTTACTTCTTGGTCTTTTTCTCTGCAATAGCTAGTGTGATAACAGGGAGAGGAAGAAAAACTAATTGTTCTTCTTGGTGGGTCTGTCTAGTCTTCATGTGGATAAGGAAAAAGTCATTCCCAGCATCTGTTGATCTCTTAAGAACTTTAATTCAAAATACTCATTATACCAGGGAGCCATATTTTGGGGTGAAATTCCCTGCACTCCTTCACTTACATGGCTATTGGGAGGTTTCAGTTCCTCTCCAGTTATAGAACTGAGGACCCCTCAGCTTCTCTCTGACTGTTGGTCAGAGGCTGCCCTCAGTTCCTTGCCACATGGGCCTGTCCGACAGGGCAATTAACTTCATCAACACCAAGAAGAAAGAGACTGCTGGGAAGACAAAAGTCACAGTCTTTTGTAATCTAGTCACAGAGGTTACATACATCTCATTATTTTTGCCATATGTTTTTGGTAAGAGGCAAGTCTCTAGATCCAGCCTGCACTCAACAAGAGGGGATCACATAAGATGTGAATATCAGGAGACAGGAATCAATTGTGGCCATCGTAGAAGTCTGCCTCCCTACCACAGGTAGGCACTGAATGGAAATCCAACAAGATGATGTGTTTGAAAACACTTAGAAGCCTGGTAAGGTTTAAACGTGGCCATTTCCCTACAGCTTAAATTTTCATAACTAGTATTGAATAGAATGCCATTGATTATTGCATTAATTTCATTCTATGCCTGTTGGTTAGAATGTGAGCTTGACCAGGTATTGGCACAGTGCCCTGCAAAGTAGCTGCCCAGGAACACACAGCTACTTTGTTTGGGTGCCTAGGGACTAGTTAAGGCATGGAAGCTATGCTACCAATAGGTTGACCATCCCTAATCTGAAAATCTGAAATCTGAAAGGCTCCAAAATCAGGAACTTTTTGAGCACCAACATGATACCACAAGTAGAAATTTTCCAAACCTAGCCTCATATGACAGGTTGCAGTCAAAATGCAATCAAAGCTTTGTTTAGGCCAAGAGGGGCAACACACACCTATAATTCCAGCACTTTGATAGGCCAAGGCAGGCTGATCACTTGAGCTCAGAAGTTCAAGACCAGCCTGGGCAACATGGTGAAATCATGTCTCTATAAAAAATACAAAAGTTAGCCAGGCATGGTGGGCTGGGAGTGGTGGCACATGCCTGTAGTCCCAGCTATTTAGGAGGCTGAGGTGGGAAGATCGCTTTAGCCCAGGAGGTCAAGGCAGCAGTGAGCTGAGATCACACCACTGCACTACAGTCTGGGCAACAGAGTGAGATGCTGTCTAAAAAGAGAAAAAAAAAAAAAGCTTGGTTTCATGCTCTAAGTTATTACAAATATTATATAACATCACCTTTAGGCTATGTGTATAAGGTGTTGTATTAGTCTGTTTTCATGCTGCTGATATAGACATACCTGAGGCTGGGCTTGGACTTACAGTTCCACATGGCAAGGGAGGCCTCACAATCATGGTGGAAGGCAAGGAGGAGCAAGTCACATATTACCTGCATGGCAGCAGGCAAAGAGAGAGCTTGCGCAGGGAAACTCCCATTTTTAAAACCATCAGATCTTGTGAGACTCACTATCATGAGAACAGCACAGGAAAGACCTGCCCCCATAGTTCAATCACCTCCCACCAGGTTCTTCCCATGACATGTGGGAATTGTGGGAGTTACAATTCAAGATGAGATTTGGGTGGAGACACAGCCAAACCATATCAGATGTATATGAAACATAAGTGAATTTTGTGTTTAGACTTGGGTCCCATCTCAAGATATCCCATTTGAAGTATATGAAAATATTCCAAAGTTCAAAGCAATCTGAAACACTTCTAGTCCTCAGCTTCCTGAGTAGCTGGGACTACAGGCACATGCCACTGCTCCTGACTTGACAAATAACTTTTTTTGTTGTTGTTTGTTTTTTGTCTGTTTTTGAGACGGAGCCTCACTCTGTCACCCAGGCTGGAGTGCAGTGGTGTGATCTCAGCTCACTGCAACTTCTGCTTCCCAGGTTCAAGTGATTCTCCTGCCTCAGCCTCCGGAGTAGCTGGGATTACAGGCACATGCCAACACACCGGGCTAATTTTTTGTATTTTTAGTAGAGACAGGGTTTCACCATGTTAGCCAGGATGGTCTCAATCTCCTGACCTTGTGATCCGCCCCCATTGGCCTCCCAAAGTACTAGGATTACAGGCGTGAGCCACCATTCCCAACCCGACAAATAACTTTTTTAATGAGCTTCTGAAACTCTCTACTTTGTAGTCTCCTTCTACCCAACCCCTAATAAATACTTTATAAAACATTTGAGAATACACAAGGCTTCTTAAGAACATAGTTATCACATGATCCCAGAAATGACTTTATGTGATTATGGTGCTGGTGGATCAGCCACCTCCTGGGATACTCCCCTCTCTGTAAGCTCTCATTTTCTTCAAGGTCCTCCTCAAATCCTACTCCTTCTTGACATCTTTAATTACTCAAGCCAGTACCAATTTTTTTCTTTATAAATAAAATTATTTTATACCTAATGTTACTGTCTTATGACAAAGCACTTTAAATGTTTATATTATTTGTTTCATGGGGTCAATTTTTTCTCCACAAGATGCTTACAAACTCCTTAAAAGCAGAAACCCTGTCATATGAATGTGTGCTCCACATGCTGTTCCAGAGCTCGTTAGCCGTGGGTTGAACAAACAGCTGAAAGGAAAAGGCTTAGAACTCTGTAAATGTGGAAGTTGGAAATTGGCTCAGTTCCACACTCAGCCCACACAAACCACTTCCCACACTAGTGTGGACATGCCCATCTTTTCCTGGACTATAACCAACTTTGAAGATAAGAACTATTTTTTACTCATCTTAGACTTCTCTCTTCTTCACTTTGTACCAATGCCCACATCCCCTGGAATAAAAATCCCACTCAAGTGGTTTGCAATTACACTGATCTGGCCCGGAAGTTATACCAAAGACCCATTAACTAAGAAATGAATCCAGTGCTAGAAAGATAAATGGTAGATTCAACACCAAGAGTACATTCTGACATGGCTACCTGGAGCCTCTGACTGGGGACCCCCTTTATTTACTAACCAAAGAAGATCAGCTGACCCCTGTGATACTATGGGTTTCCTACCCTTGCAATCCCTCCCACACCCAACGAAAAATATATAAATAAAAGCAGAAACAAAAAGAGACCATTTCCCCTCTTCCAAACCAGAGAGACCAGAATTCTTACAGATGGGGTCTATTCTGTATGGTAGGTACTTTCAGGTAGTATTGGACGTATGTAGGAAAGCCCTGCCCGGGCCTCTCCAATTAAATGGTGCCATCCTATGACCTGAGCAGCCTGCCAGCCTCCACCTCTACCTGGGCCAGGAGTCATAGATATGTGACTAACTGAGAAGATAAATTAACTTTGTTTATTTACTGGGCAGAATTAATCAATTCTACCACATTTTTATGTTATTTGGTGTTTTGCCAATGTCAATTCCATCTGTAATAGCTCCTTTCCAAGACCCAGACAATCTGTGTGTTTTATCTCATCTTTTTTCTGCAATCTGTGGGTTTTAATCACTATTAGCTGAGTTTCCCAGGAATTGAGGCAGCTGAGGAGTTGCAGGAGCCAGAACAACTGGCATGTGTCAGAGGGCAGGTAAATGCACTCCCACAAATGTGTGTTGGGCATTTACTTTATGCAATGTGCTGTGTTAATTGTTTGGATATGAAGACGAGTCAGATACAAGTCCTACCCTCAAAGAACTCAAAATCGTTTGTGGGAGATATGTTTGTTCCCCTTACACATACACAGACACACACCTAGTACAAGCGAGAATATGCCAAGTGATTCAGCAGAGGGATAAAACAGGTGCTGAGAGAAGACAGACGAAAAAGTGCATTCGGACTGGGGATATCAGGAACTTCACAGGTAAGTGAACATTTCAGATAGAAACTAAGACACAGTTACAATAGGCAAAGAAGACGTGGTTGTTACACTGAAGACAAATTGGCAATTGGTGGGTGTGGTTTTAGAATAAAAAATTAGTTTGACTTTTCATGCCATGAAGTTTCAGTAATAATAATAAAACTTTAATTGAGGTATTTCAACAATATACAAGATTATGAGGCATTCTATTATAAACAGAATAATGCTTTATTTAGTTATTCTATTGATAAGCATTATGCAAAGACATGAGTTTGGGTCTAGGAAATGTATGCACACAAAACAGGGAATATCTTTATTTCTGCTTCTGGTGGGCTACACAGTCATAAAGAGTTGAGAGACAACTGAGAGACTATGTAAACTGAACTCATTTTACCCACCAGTAAACTGTCAGCAATAGAATTTACACTAGAACCCAAGTCTTCTGATATTTACTCTCAAGTACATTCCACTAAAACCACCCTGGGAAGCTCCTGGGAGAGGAGGACCTTCTCTTCTTATTTATTTTTTCGGGAATGGAAGGACAGAGATAATGATGGGAAACTCATCTCATCCCACGGCCTCATAGGTAGTTACTTTTGCTTAGTCAGGAAGTTCACTCCTCCCAGATGGCCAGCTCAGGACCACCCTCCAGCCTGTCCTGGGATCCTGCCCTGCCTGATGCCCTTCCCTCTCTCTCCCAGTCTCACAGCCCTTTCTCCGTGGGTCAGCGATGGCTGCTTCAGGCGGGCTGGTTCCCTACCCTTCACTCTATTTTCTCCTCCATAGTTTCTAGTATTAACTGGGTAAGAGAAGCAAGCGTGCAAGCATGAAGACCCAAGGAGAATAGGATTTTCATCTGCTTAGTTCACTGCTGAGCAATGTTTGGCACACAGTAGGCCTTCGGTGTTTTCTGAATGAATGGAAATATTTTTTCTTTCCACCATTCAGTTAAATATTTCCATCCAGTGGAAATGTCTTCATGACTTCAGTCACTTCATCCAGGCTCTGGGGAACCAGGCCACCCCGTTACCACCCTCACCGGTATTAGCAGTCTTCGTGGGGAAGACAGATTAACACAGGCACTTTCAATTCCTTTCTTGGAACTCCATTTGGACACGCAGCTCTCCCTTTTTCCTAGTCATTCTGTTAATATTAATTTTGTAAACCCTCCAGATAAGGAACAATAACTTCAGTAAGCTCTTGCCCACGTCAAAGATTATATTACAAAGATGGACTACAGAGAGCAAAACACAGTTGGCAAGACCAAAAGCTCATGAAGATGAAGGATAAATTACCCAAGGGAATAACGGGTATATAAATACTTAACACATATATATTATACTAAGATATATTATACTATTATACTTAGTATATATATTACATATACTAATTATATATAATATATACTAAGTGTAACTTCTAAAATGTAAATGTATTATATTATAAAATATTGATTATTAAAATTTAAATTTTATAAAAACCTTTTTAAAAGTCTGTCTCTTTCAACAAAATGCCTAGACAACATCTGCTTCTAACACTAACCTACTCTGATAGGTAATTCTCTTCAATCGTGTTCTTCAACTGTGCAAAAAATAGTATTGCATTTTCTTAATATTCTAAGGAAAATACTCCTACCTCTTTTATTTCATGCTGTACTTCTTTTACATGTTTTTCTTGTCATCTCTTTTTATCTAGAAATTGAATGCCTGTTTCAATTTCATACTCCTTGGTTTCATTCCCACAAGTCTCTAAAAGTTAATTGGGTGGGTATTAAGACCTCTCACAAATTATCATAGTACTTAAAAGCAAAAATTTTAAGACAGAGCTACCAGATGTTGAAAAGGAATGTAAATAATCTACCATCTCTACACCTTCAAAGATATATAGGAGTCGCAACCAGTGTGGTTATCATTGTGGAAATACATCAAACCTGTTCATACTAGTTTTTATCTAGTTATGCAGAACATTTTTATCAAGTATCTACTGTACACCAGACCCTGTTCTGTATGCTACGATAGAGTGAATAGAATCCATGTCCTCATGAATTTTTCTCAGTTTTCCTATTGTGTGTATATGTGTTTGGGGTGGGGATGGAGAAGACTTGCCTGAAGGTTTGGAGAAATGTCATAGAAACTCAGTTTGAAATTGAATATTACAACCTCTTGTCTTTCAAAAAACAGCTCCTTGGCCATTTCCATCTTGTAGCTCCCTATATCAGTATTAAATGGGTTTATTATTATAGCTTTATGAAAAATCTTGATAATTCCCACCACTTTACTTTTATCTGAAAAACAATCTTGGCTATATTTTCAGTCTTTACTCTTTCATATAAACTTTTGAGATCAACTTATCAAAATTCATGAAAAACCCTGCGGGAATTTTGGTTAGAACTAGGTGCTCTTGTTTTTAATTCCAGGAAGAACATTTTGATATTAATTAATTTTGGAGGTAAGGTTATTGTTCATAAACATTCACACACCTACCTTCTTAGATGGGATGTGTTTGCCCATCACTTGTTTTGGAGCTGGACAGGTGGTTTGCTTTGGCCAATGGCATGAGGACTGAAATAATGAGATCAAATGCTTGAAAGATATCTCCATGATTGGGCTTATATTCTTGTACCTTAATCATCACTGAGAGAAGACAAATTAAGACTAGTCTGCTGGTCCAGGGAGAATAATGCAGAGCTGCCCAGCTGAGTCCACCCCAGATTGGTCAACCCCTATGCAACCTGCAAATGCTTGAGCAAGTTCAACTAAAATCAGTAGAATTGTCCAGCTGACCCATAGATATGTAATAAATAATTGCTTACTGTTGTATTCAACTAGATGTTAGGGATTTTTGTTACAAAGCAGTAGCTTCCTCTTACATTGCCCTAAAATTAAAACTGAGTTTTATAAATATTTGTAACAAATACAAGTTGTTTTATCTGCCCAGAAGAGCATCCTACTTTTCTTCTGCCCATTCTGATCATGTAGTTGTGGTAGGACATCTAATCTCAAACTCTAGACCCCTGACAACAGGTATTGGCACGTGACCAGGCTGAGTCCATAATGCTGTCTACTTCACATGACCACAGAGATTTGTCCAGGGTCAGGTGGATGACCTAAGTGAGGCCCATCATAACCCTTCCCATGGAATTTTCTCATTGAAGCTACAAGTGGAAAGTTTTCTCTTTTTCCCTGAGTGGGATTGATATGTATATGATTCTAGAAAAGCTGGTAGCCATGTCTTCTACCAGCAGAGAAAGCTGAAAAAGTTAAACCACCATGCACAGAGAAGCACTGAGTCCTCAAGGTGTTCTAGCCTGTGGTTCGCATAGACCCTGATCTTTCCAAGGCCTAATTGTTCAGTTCTTCACTCAGTCCTATGAGTCACTCCCAGTATCCTTCCAGCAAGTTCCTATTTATGCTAACAGTGATGCAAGTTAAGTTTCTGTTATATTCAATGGAGAGAAACCTAACTAATACAATAATTTTCTAAATTTAAATGAATGACAAAATAACCCTACTCAATCAGATAAATTGACAATTTTATGATTCATTTAGCAATCTTTCTACAAAATGCCAACTTTTGACACTTTATCTTAAAGTTTTTGATTGGCTACATTTCCTCTTAATTTAAAAAAATAAATTGTGAATTCATACTTCTGGCACTTCATACTGGATGAATAGTAGTTTTCAATATTTAAGTAGGTCGAAAGATTCTTGCACAAAATATTGGCCCTTCTATGGACACCTTTGAGCCAGTCCAACTCTATAAGAAGAGGAGATGACCCTGAATGCATAAAATCACAAAATCCTATCATAGTAAAATATTTGAGATATTCCCTTCAATTTACTGCATTTAAGGCCTTTGTGAATGAATTAAACTATGAACTGATTATGACCCTGTGCATTAGGCAACACATGAATATTTGAGGGTGAAAGAGTACACAGTAGGGGGTGAGAGTGCAGGCCCAGGGAATAGCCTGTCTGAGATCAAATTCTGGCTCCGTCCCTTAATAGCTATACCTTGTGACAGTTTCTGACCTCTTGGAACTATGTTTTCCTTAACAGGAAATTAAGGTGGTATTAATAATACTTCCACTATATGGTTGATTTGATTATTACATGAAATAATATATGTAAAATGCTAGATATGTATGGCTGATGCATAAGGGCTATGAGAGTGATGGCCATTAATAATAACAATTATTCTAGGTCTTCCATGATTCTAGGATCTCATGCTTTATTCTTATTTCCAAAGATAGCACTTCGAAAAACAATATACAGAGATCGTTTTACTCTAACATTGTGAAGAATGCATTTAAGGACTTAAGACTGGCTATTTAAACAGTTTCTGCCCTGGAGAGAAACAGTAAAGACAAAAAATGTATTATATTAATACCCATTTATAAAGACATAAACAAATATATTCCTTTCTAAAGTTAGGATTTAGGTACATATTACTCTGCAAAACATTATAAGTACTTATCAGAATAAAAAATATATTTATATGACTGCCAGAAAACTCAGAGCTATATTAAATTTCCAACAGCTCCAAATGCTAGATCTGTGATGTCGAGTGGCAATTATGCATTTGCTGCTTTTAATCAATTGTGTGTTTTTAAAATTGTGGCTTGAATTCTAACTAAATAGGATAGGGGATAGATAGATAGATGATAGATAGATAGATAGACAGATAGATAGATAGATAGATAGATAGATAGAAAAAGATAAGTACCCAGAATCTGATCCTACATAGAAAGTTATCAGTGAGTTTTCTACTAGTTTAGATTATAGAACACCAGTGCAGATGGAAAAGTATATTATGACACAACTGAGGGGTATAGCAAATTTTTTGTGTGGCTTTCTTTTTTTTTTTTAGAGTTGGGGTCTCGCTCTGTTACCCAGGTTGGAGTACAGTGGCGTGATCATGGCTCACTGCTGCCTTGAACTCCTGGGCTCAAGCAACCCTCCCACCTCAGCCTCTGGGGTAGCTAAGACTTACAGGCATGTGCCACCACACCCAGAAATTTTTTTTATTTTTTACAGATGGGGCCTTGCTATGTTGCCCAGGGTGGTCTCAAACTCCCAGCCTCAAGCAGTCCTCCTGCTTCAGCCTCCCAAGTCACTGGGATCACTAGCATGAGCCATCACACCCAGCTTATGGCAAATTTTTAAAATTAAAAGCGTAATCTATCTCTTGCATTCTTAGTCATGTTTAGCTTGTCTTCTAATTCAGGATTAGCTGCTGTAAGCCAGAGCACATTACTGTTTTTGGCACAAAATTCCTTCTTGCTGAAGCTCATCACCCTGCCTCCCCTGGCATTTGTTTACATGGTCAGTCTCTTTCCTTCCATCACCTTGTCATAGTCAGCAGGTGCCCCTGTGGCCTCATACTGTGCCACTGTCATTCTTCATGTCACTACTTGCAGCTAACACCCATATTGAAGGATGAGAAGAAGTTAAAGCACAATTCTAACACACAGTCTATCAAGGTTGAATTAATGTTCTCTCTCCAACTGATGATGAAAAAGATATTTACTTATATTGCTCATTTTAGGTTTTTCCATTATTACATGTAGCATAGAAAGGATGTTCCTCTTGAAAACAAGAGAAAAGGATCCAAAGATCACTGCTGGCTTCTTCCAGAGTCAGGACTATGTGGTAGATCATCCACAAGTTCTGCTTACTTGGAAAGAACAGAAATGTATGCCTATTTTCAGCTGAGCTAGAAAATCGTAAGCTTGTCAAAAGCCTCGGTTTCCCTTTCCCATTGCTATTTTTGTCCATCGAAACTGCCCAACAAAGCTTCCACTCTGAATCAAGTTCAGATCTGACTTCTCAGCTCCCATTCCCAGGCTGCATGTGCAGCTGGGGGAAATGTCATCCCTAGGGCACTAGGAGATCCAGGTGTGGCTTTCAGTTCTTCCAAAAATCTTTCTGCGTCCTGTTCCTGCAACTACTACACAGAAAAAAATAAAAACACATCTAGCCAGAACGTCACAGTCTTTCCCCCCAAAGCTTTTCGGCACATCTCCATTTCCATCTTCCCTCCTTTCCCAGCCTTGGGAGAAGAGCTGAATAAGGCCAACTCTCTCCCAGCGCTCTAAATCCAGGTCCCCTTAGAGACCTGCCTCCCTGCCTCCCTATTTACCTTCCTCCCTGTCTCCTCCCACACCCACCCAGCATAAGCTCTTGTCCCTCAGTCTATCTACGAGATTGTGTGAGTCTCTTCGGATATTTTAAGAAATGCTTCTTTAATGATGACTATGACTCTCTCCTTCCTGTCACAGTCAAACTGTGACAAACAGTAGTCAAAACTCAGTGTTTCTCTTTTCTCAACATCTATTTCCACTCCAACACTTTGAAAACTCTCCCTTGCCAATCAAGTCCTCTGAAACTGCTCTCACCAGAATATCTCTTGATTTCCTGTGACTAAATACAACAGATACTTTGATATGTTTACCCTGCTGACCACAAGGCAGCATTGTATCTATTCAACAAATACTCCTTCAGTCCTTGTTATGTGCCAAGAAGAAACATAAGCCATAAAATGAGGTTAAAGAATGATGGAGTGGAGGTGAGGGTAGAGGGCTCTAATTCTCTCTTTTTTTTTTTTTTTTTTGAGATGGAGTTTCGCTCTTGTTGCCCAGTCTGGAGTGCAGTGGCATGATCTCGACTCACTGCAATCTCCACCTCACAAGTTCAAGTGATTCTCCTGCCTCAGCCTCCTGAGTAGCTGGGATTACAGGCATGCGCCACCACACCCAGCTAATTTTTTGTATTTTTAGTAGAGATGGGGGTCTCACCATGTTGGCCAGGCTGGTCTCGACCTCCTGACCTCCTGATCATCTCAGGTGATCCACCGGCCTTGGCTTCCCAAAGTACTGGGATTACAGGCATAAGCCACCGTTCCCAGCCAGGGGCTTCAATTCTAAATAGATGTTCAGGGACAGTGACATGTGTGCAAAATCTTGAAGGAGATGAGGGTACAAGTCATAGTGATATATGGGGACAGAGAGTTCCAAGCAGAGGAAGAGCAAGTGCAAAGGCCCTGAGGCAGGAACAGGCCTGGCACACTCATGCCACAGAAGGAAGCCAATGCAACTACAGCAGAGTGAATCTGAGGAGAGGAGAGAGATGAGGGCAGAGAGGGGACAGGGTGGGGAGGGGCAGGTCATATAAAACTATGTGTGCCATTAGGTGGGCTTTGGTTTATTTCCAGAGAAGTGACATCATCAGTTTTGCATTTTTCACTCTGGCTGATGTAGGAAAAATATACCATAGGGGACAAGTGTGAGTTCTGTGATGACGTTAAGTGACACCAGAGAAGATGGTGGCACAGGTCAGAGGGATGATGGTAGAAGCAGTGAAAGTGGCCACATTTAACAGTGTTAACCACTTCTCAAATATATATATATATATTCGAGAGAGAGAGAGAGAGAGAGTATTTTTTTAGAGATGGGGGTCTCACTATGTTTCCCAGGCTGAATTTGAACTCCTGGGCTCAAGCAATCCTCCTGCCTCAGCCTCCACGTAGCTGAGCTACAGGAGCATGGCAACACACCCAGCACTCTCCATTTTATCAAAATCCTTTTTCTCCCTTTGCTTTCAGAAACCAAACATCTCCTTATTTTCCATCTACTCCTCTGTCCACTGTTTTTCAGCCACTTTTGCAGGCTCCTCGTCTTCCAGTAAATCCTCTGGTGGCCTCTGGTCCCATCCTTGGAGACATCCTGGAAGACATCCCCAGTCACCTCTGCACTCTCCCCAGATCATCTGGTGCAACAGCCTGGCTTCTATGTTAATAACTCAACACTGGACTCCATGCATGCACCTCCCTACTCAGTTTCCAACCTGTGAACACTGCAAGCCAGCCCCACCTGGACTCTTTAAATTCAACACGTTCCAAATTCACTTGTCATCATTCAACATGTTCAAAATTGACTCGTCTTCTCATCTGCACATCGGCTCTGCCTCCTGTTCTTTTCTACGTTGGTGAGAAAAGAACTGTTGCTCAAAGCAGAAGTGGGAGCTGTCTGAATGGCCTCAGTGCTCTGCACACGCTGGGGAAGTCATTGCAGCACCTTCGGAATCTCGCTTGTCTCCACCATCTGCCTTCCTGTTAATCTGGTTGCTCCCTCTCACTGACCCAGTTACTGTGTTTCTTGTCATTTCTGATGAACACTACGCTGGGTTCCTAGTCCCTGGGTAACACAAATTCAAGTGTTCAGGAAATGTGATTTTTCCCTGCCCTCTATAACTAAAGTTAAATTCAATCTATGTCAATTCCATGTAACCTCCCTTATTCCAGCCTCCCTGTCCCCTACCCACCCGCCTCAACTTTCCATGAGAGAAGAGTATGTAGAGAGAGCACCCACTCAGGGAGCTCTGGGCATATGTGGTCTCTCCCTATCCCAGGCAGGGTGTAGAGAAATTCCATGATGCTATCCTGCCTGTCTAGAGGCCCATGCAGCCATCTCTCACTGCCCCACCCCTCTCCATGCTAAATAGAGGGAAAATCTGCATGGCTTGCCCCCTGTCTGGGCTTCACCTTGAACGCAAGCCTCAAGGGCCCCCTGCTCCTGGATTGCCCCTGTCTCTCCAGGGACCCATCTTGAGGCCTCAGCCTGGGGCCAGAAGGGGAGGTATCTGGGCAGTCAGAGAGCACAGCTGCTTCTGAGAACACAACTCCCAAAACCCATTAGTACCCTTTCCAACTCTCTCTTCGAGCCCAAGTATTCCTAACTACACCTGTGCCACGCCTGTGCCAGAAACCTGCTTTGGTCATCACATATTGGTCTAAATCTAATCTTTATAAATAAACATTATGTCCTGGGACAGTCTAGGTTGAAACTTTTGAAAGGCAAGAGCTTTCAGAAATCACAGGTATTATTTCAGCTGCATCACTTCTCCCCTGGGATAACAGGATACAACTCCCAATGGAGGAAGAGCAAAGTGGACAAGCAATGGGGAAAGCGGGAAGGAAAATCTCTGCTGACGTCCCTCGCTTATGATTTCATGGACCTGGGTGCTGCCTTTTGTGTCTCCAGGAGCTCCAGTTGTTTGCCTGAGAACCAGGCCTAATACCTCAAGCCCCTGGAAACCAGGAACCAGAAAAGTTCCAGAGAGAGGCATCCTTCCCTCCTTCTCTACTTCATTCACTGCATTTCCTCCTTTACCTCATCCCTCAGATCTGTCCCTTCACCTCCATTCCAACAGCCACAAGCTTAGATCAATGAATGGACCAAGAAGGACTCTTAGCTGCCTCCCATTTTGCCCCCAAGCTCCCCATCCTGCACAGTGAACAAACTAGGATGCCCCCAACAAATCTCATCCTGTTCCCTCTGCTGAAACTCTCACTGGCCCTGTCCCCTCCAGGACAAGTCTGAAACTCCTCACTGCAGCATAGAAGGCTCTCGGGTGCCAGCTTCAGGCCCACTCAAAGACTCTGCCTCCTCCGGCCATCCCTGTCCCTCACTCACACACTCTGCCTGTCCCTCATTCACACACTCTGCCTCGGGCACACTGCCCATGGCCTCAGTTCTCGCTATGTCCTCTCTGCATTCTCCACATCCGTTCCTCCTTCATGGTAAGTGCACATCCCCTCCACAGCATCCCTGCTTCATCCTGAACTCGGTAGTGAAGGCATCAAGAACAATCAAGCTGGGCACGGTGGCTCATGTCTGTAATCCCAGCACTTTGGGAGCACCAGGCAAGAGGATCACTCGAGCCCAGGTAGTTCAAGACCAACCTGGGCAATACGGTGAGAACCTGTCTCTAAAAAAAATTTTTAAATTAGCCAGTTGTGGTGTTGTGTGCCTGTAGTCCCAGCTACTCTGGAGGCTGTGGTGGGAGGATGGCTAGAGCCAGGGAGGTAGAGGCTGGAGTGAGCCAAGATCACACCACTGCACTCCAGCCTGGACAACAGAGAAAAACCCTGTCCCCACCCCCCCAAAAAAGAACAATCAAATGATGGCATTTTTGGAAAGCCATCTTAGAGAGAAAAGACAAAGGGAACTGGTTTGTTTCATCTGCCAAAAAGTGGCACAATAATAATTGTGTATCCCTACATTTCTTTTACTCCCAATTCTTCATTGAGTTAGCTTAAAAGTGCCTTCCTTTCTTATTACCTTATGGAAGGGATTACATATCCTCTGGCTTTTGAGGTTCAAATTCTCAGGTCCTGAACAGACTCTGGGAAGACCCCTGGGTCTAGAGAAGGAGAGGAACACCAGGGAGCATGAGTGATCTGAGATGGGGGTAGGCTTAACCATTCCACCCTTGGGGAGATTTGGAAACCCCAAGACCATGGAGGACCTGTGCCTTCCCTCAGTGAAGCCCAGGTCTGGAGCCTCAGGCCCTAGGATTCCTGTAACCAGAAAGATGCAGGAGCAGAAAGAAGGTCAGCTGGGTGTGTCTAGAGAGCAGCCCTGAACAGCCACGTTTCCCCCAGGCCCAGCATGATACTGGTGTGGAAAGGATTTCCTGCTGCCCAGAATGGTGTGAGGTGGGGAAGGTTTTCTATGCATGCAAGAAAAAGAAAATGTGGCACAATACTAAAGGAAGTCGGAGATACCTGTAATTGACTGAATTTAGTTTCTCTTACCCAAAGGAACAGGGCATTTTCCACGAAATCCGTTGTATTTACAGATAAGCTTCCTGCATGATTGTTATAGACTGAGACTCATACCTCCCTGTCCCCCTCTAAATACAAAGTGAGATTCCCTTTAATTCAATGAAGATTCGTTCTTGATCTTTGCTTATGGACAGGCAAGAAGAAATGGGCTTAAAATGAGATAGGAAGCATTCTAGTTGGATTTAAGGAAGATTTTCAGGAAAATAAGGTGATATGGTTAGGCCTTGTGTCCCCACCAAAATCTCATCTTGAACTGTAATCCCTATAATCCCCACATGTCAAGGGTGGGACCAGGTGGAGGTAATTGAATCATGGGGGCAGTTTCCCCCATGCTATTCTAGTAATAGTGAGTTCTCATGAGATCTGACGGTTTTATAAGCATCTGGGATTTCCCCACCTTGCACTCACTCTGTCCTGCTGCCCTGTGAAGAAGGTGCCTGCTTCTCCTTTGCCTTCCACCATGATTGTAAGATTTCTGAGGCCTCCCCACAATGTGGAACTGTGAGTCAATTAAACCTCTTTCCTTTATAAATTACCCAGTCTCCGGCAGTTCTTTATAGCAGCGTGAGAACGGACTAATACAGTAAACACCCAAAAAAGGATATGATTATGTTCTTTTTAAAAGAGAACATTGGCATATAATCTTCCTAATGTTGTAGTTCATATTTTGGTTCATGATAAATCAGAATGAATAAATCAAGCTAGCACACAGTCTGTACTGCACCTGGGGGAAAGAAGTTTGTGCCAACCGCGACCTGAGCCACCCCCACCCTCAACCCTGACTCGGCTGCTCTAAAGACACAATGAGCTAACAGACAACACTCATCTCCTGAACAGCAGCACCTCCAGTGCCCAGGCTGCGGGATGCCCAGGATGCAAAGATTCTCTGCAAGTTCAAGTTTGTGTGCATGTCAGAGTCACAGGCTTGATGTACAGGAATTTCTTTTATACAATGAGAAAGGAGATGTGGAATCATAACCCTGTATAATCAACCTGAGATAAGGTTTAGGCTTTTCTCAAATTATCACCTCTTCAGTTTCCGAAAATATTTGACCAATAGAATTTAAGTTTGGTCTGTCTATTAAGTGTTTTAAAAATATTCTAGAGGGGCAAGGTTGATTAAAAAAAATATGTATCAGTTCAGTTGTGTATGCCTCTGTTGAACAGCACAGAACAAAAATCATCTTCAGTTTTTCAACTTCCAGATATGTTATATTTCATCACCTTTATTGTGAAGTGATGACAGTTTCCAAATGGAGTGAGCCCAGTGCCATAGTTAACACAGAATCACAGTTTGTTTAAAACAGGTCTAAATCCTTTCCTATCCATTTAAATTATCACTGTTTTAACTGCTAGATTTTGGAATGCTGAAGATTGAAGAGTTATAAGATGCAGTGAGTAGCGAGAAAATCCAAATGACATTTCACGCTTGCGTGTGCACAAACACACACAGATTTTATGGTGTTTACCAAAAGGCAGTATTTATAGCTCTGCATAATTTATAGCTTTTAAATGTAATGTTATAATGCAAATAGTTTTTTTTTTTTTTTTTTTTTGCCCCGAGTGATAAGCTCATGAATAAACGTAAAAAGGATGCTAGGCTGGAGACAGGGATGGGAAGAGGAGGCTGAGAATGAATCAGCATGCGCCTGCTTTCTCCAGAAACTGTCACGACGGCCATGGGATCGGTTCACCGCTCAGCATGATGACTCGGGGCACAGCTATGTGTGACATGGCATTGAACAATTCCCATCCGAGGCAACAGACCAGGAATGCTGCTCAGCCCACCGTGCAACAAAAATGTATGAAATCGCATTAGCAGAAAAACAAGATTTCTGGGTCTTATCACAGAAAGGCTTTTTTCCTCTCCTAGATGAATGTTCACCTCTAATTGAACAACTGTTACCCTCTTTATTTCTACCTGAAAGTGGCTTTTACAACTCATAATTAAGGGCAGGATCTTTATAATCCTGTCACAATGAAATGTCTTTTTAGTGCCTGAATGCAGTTCATTAACAGAATATTTAGGGCTGTTTTTTCAGTGCATAATTGGACTACAATTCTCCAAAACATGTTCTGGAAGGCTGAAGACCATGATCGTTGTAAAACAAACACTATGTGAGACTCGATTTGTAGTTGAGAGGGAAATTGCAGCAGGGAAAATAGCTAAAACCAGGCATTCTCTAAATTAATATGATAAAATCATTTTTAAGAGAGAAGTAAATAATTTAGCACAATAATTTCCAAGAGTTGATACCACTTCATTAAAATGACAGTGCTATGAAAGTTCTGTAGGAGTTCAAATTTAGACTTTTTCCCGAGGGAATTGTGCATTTCACAGAAGTAGGGATGGACAATACTCTTTAGTATACACAATGGACTTCAGGGGATGTGAGGAAGCTTAAGGGTTAATTTGTTTAAAATTCATGGCTGATTTATGAGGAAACATTATACATTCTACTCACAAGCTGTTAGATTTGGAAGACTTTAGATAGAAAAATTAATTTAAGGGATCCAAATCCTAGCTCTTCAGCATACTAAAACAAGCCCAACCAGGAAGTTATTAAACGATACAAAGTTGAAATATAAACAGATCTTTCCATCTAAACACACATTTCAGTCCTGTATTCCTTGCTTTTTTAGCTTGCTACCCACTTATTCCAGCAGGCTCAGGTCAACCTTCCAGATGGAATTAGCCTTGTTTTTCCCACAAAGATTCTAAAAATCTTTTTAATCAGTCCTTGTTCATGTAGACACGAACCAGGGAAATTAGTTCTGAGACTAAGCTAGCGCTGTCAATCTTTCCTTTTCCACCTCTTTCAAAGTAACTCTCAAGCATCTGAAAAACCCTCCAAACCATGGACAATTCCAGGGCTCCAAAATCCTTTAGTGAAGAGGTTGATAAACTGGGCTTATGGCAGGCCTTCCCACTGAAAAATCCATCAAGTCTCTCCCAAGGGTAAAAGTGCAGGCCCTTAGCTAAGGGCATGCTCTTGAATTGGCCATTTATTTCAAAATTCTCAAGAAAAGACAAAATGATCGTATTAGCTTGATGTTATGTTTTTGTTCAAGGACAATAAAAGGTCAGTAATTCACATGGAAGCAGAGGCTCAGACAGATTAAGTGACTGGTCCAAAGTCTCTCAGCCCATCCAGAACTCAGATCTCTGTTCGAAGGGCTGAGCTCTTTCTATAGTACTACTCTGCACTGAGTGTGTTCCATTTAATTTATTAAAAGTCATGTGTTGTTATACATTGAATGGCAAGTAAAGTTCACTATGTTTCTAATAACCCTATGGAATAAAAACTGCTTACAAATGAATGAAAACACAACAAAAAAGCAAGCAAAAAAACCTTGTCAGATTCTTTTAAATTCAATATACAAAAATGAAATTTTTATTTATTTTTAAACTCAAATATTTTGAAACTCTTGAGCCATAGATTAAATTAAGAGCAGGTTGTTTTAAAAATAATTTACTTTTACAACTCCATGAACATAACTGACTACAAAAACTTTTGTCAGTAATTAAAACATCTTGAAAATAAATCTTAAACATAGTGACATGTGTTTAAACTGATTGTATTAAATTTAAATGTAATGGGAGTTTTGGTTTTTTTTTTCCCCCCATAGACTGTACCTTAATTAAAATAAGAACTCTGACTTTTTCTCTGCATAATAAAATCAGACTTTTTTGAGATATTTATATTTTAAGATAAATTTTAACAGTATATCTCAATATATTATTATTATATGTGGTATGTTATATGTAAAATATATATGACCATGTAGTTGCTATCCAAAATGAAAATCACTTAAAATTACCTACTATATGTTGTTAATGATTGCTAAAACTAGTTAGTATAAAATATAACACCAGTATGGTTTTATCTATGAGATGTACAGTTTTGTGAAGTATCTCCGAACTGAAGTCAAATTAATTGGCTCTGTGTCTTTATGCAAATAAGCTCATAGCTTTGTTTTATTTATAGGATGACAAATGCAGTTTTGTTTTTTAAAAGTATTAGCCCTAGTGAATTAGCAGTGATATTAGTGACCAAAACCCCAATGATCAAAAGATTGGAAATCCCTTAAGATACTTTACCAGAAATATTAAAAAATATATTTTGCACCAGACAATACACCAACATAAAAATATTTTCTATTATGTTTTAAGTAAACAACACTGCATTTTACTGACACTTTTTAAGATGAAAAATATGATGATAATGTGCATAAAAACATTTTTGCTACATAAAGTTTAAAGGTGAAGCAATGAGAAGAATAAAGCTTTATCATTTTCACATTGTTGAAGGATACAGACATCTTAATTGTTAAATTATATCCATGAATCAATTTCAGTTTATTCAAGCATAAATATATCTATGAAAAAATTATTTTTATTATGTTATTGGAGATCTCTGTCTCATGTAGTTCCTCAAGAAATGATATAAAATGATTGATTTCCTAATGTATGTTCTTTTGCATGGATTTATTTAATAATCTCCCTGAATGTTGTTCTTTTTTTAAGAGCTTAGCAAATTTATTCTCAGTCAATGAATTTCATTATTTGTCCTTAGGATAATATTAATTAAATGCAAAACTCAGCATTTTATAATTTTTGTCAGAAAATATCAATTTTGCATAATACTACAAATTCTAATTATGAATATATTAAAAGAAAAATTGAAATATAGCTAGTAAATGTTCTATGATTAGATATATCAAACTACTATTTTTAAAGCAAATTTATAACAAGTCAGAAACATATTTCATTTCAATTGTAAATTTATTAGCAGGCATTTTCCCCACACACTTCTAAAGTAAACATAACTACACTGTAAGCAGAGGTGATTTGTTTTATTTCAGATAGTGTTTTTTAATTGTATTGTTTTAGTTCAAAACGTAATAGTAATGTCTGTACTGGTGCAGTGTTAAGTTCATGTTAACACTATTAAGAACCTTTCTGCCAAAGCAAAGTATCTGGGCTATGTTGCCAAAGATTTCAAATGAAGAAGAATTGTTTCTTAAAAATATTATCTAGTTAGCAAAGATCTTTTCTTTTTTTTTTTTAACTAAATGCAGAACTAATTTGTATTTTATTTATGGAAGATTATGATAATGCAGAATACAAATGTGATTTATTTTATGTGTAATTTCAATGTTATTTTATTAGATATAACATTTTATTTCTAGTGCTTTGGGTACTACGACATCAAAAACATATGTAGGTATATTTTACTGTTTAAAAATTTCAGATTTCTTATTCTACTTTAATGATATTAAAATAAAAGTATTTTATATAAGAATAAAATCACTTTATTAATTCTTAGATCTAACAATAAAATGTAAATTCATAAATAAAAAACTAGTGGGTATTCCATTTTAGTGAGAAATCTAAATTATGTTTTGAGTGTATTATCAAAATCTACCTTCAACAGGCCTTAATAATTTATGTCAGCAATTCTCATTATTTGCATATGGTATTATATATCCAAGATCATCCCCCCAAATTAATTAACAACCTTAGAGTTCACTGGGGTGAATAGATACAAAATAAACATACAAAATCCAGTAGCCATGGGATGACATAAACTACCTAGAAAAACCCTATAAGATATGGAGCAGATCTTATTTCTAGAAAACTATACACTTTTAGAGAGGAATAATAAAAGGTAAGTTTAAAATTTCCTGGCTAGAACAATGCATGACTGTAATTCCTCCTAAATTAACTCTCATGTGTTAATGAAGAATAAATAAAAATAACATGGCAATGAGATTTTATCTGAGATGAGAGACACTTCCCAAAATGATTCTGGAAGAATTAACAAGGAAGAATAGCTCAGTAATACTTGAAACTAACCAAGAAAGGAATGATGTGTTTAAAAATGTTAACTATTACAATATAAATTGTACGGTATTAATGAAAAAATTAAAAGATAGATTGATGGAACAAAACAGTTTTAAAAAATCCTACAATATAAGAAACTGGTATATTGTAAAAACAAATCATAAAGAAATGAAAAAAGATGATTTACTTATTCAACAAAACTTTAAAAAATTATCTATTTCAAGAACAATTAAGATAAGCACTCAACTTATACTGTACTAAAGGATTTATTAAAGACTTTAGTATAAACAATGAAATTCTAAAATACTGCATGAAACAGATGTGTATTTTTAACTGATATGAAGGTAAGACATTTCTAAGATAAAGGCGATGAAAGAGATTACATGACGTAATACAATCAAAACTTCTGTACATTTAAAAAAGCACAAAATAATAAAATGTAAAAGTAAATCTTTAATTGGATAGAAATAATTTTGACAAGAGGTTTCATTCTTAATTTATAATAAAAAGCTCTAAATGGGAAAATGTTAATTGCTATATATATATTTTTTGAGATGGAGTCTAACTCTGTCGCCCAGGCTGGAGTGCAGTGGTGTGATCTTGGCTCACTGCAACCTCCACCTCCCTGGTTCAAGCAATTCCCCTGCCTCAGCCTCCCGAGTAGCTGGGATTACAGGCATCTGCCACCACACCCGGTTGATTTTGTATTTTTGGTAGAGAAGGGGTTTCACCATGTTGGCCAGGATGGTCTGGGACTCCTGACCTCAGGCAATCCGCCCACCTCGGCTTCCCAAAGTGCTGGGATTACAGGCATGAGCCACCATGCCCGGCCGCAATAAATATATTTTTAAATGACCAAACTCACTAATAAAGAAAAATGCAATAAAAACACAATAAGGTATGATTTATAATCTGTATAATTGGCAAAATATGCTTTAATTGTTAATTCTCAACTAAAACAGGCACTTATCTGTTATTTGTAAGACTGTAAATTGATCTTAATTTTAGGAAAGGAAATTGACAATTATCTCAAAAATTTCATAGTTCTTAAGTAATTCTGCTTCTAAAGAAATACCATAATTAGACATAGGTTGACAAAGAAAAAATGAAAAATATAGACTTCGATTTGTTGAAGCAGATAGAAACTAATCTTACTGAGTATAGATTACTATTCTGACTTTAATGAAAGTAAATAATTCGACATTGAAAACTTTCTTATCAGCAGTTTACATTTGAGATTACAACATAAACTCAAATAGTTCAGGTAATTAATGTAAGATGAATCTTTTATTTGAATTATCAACAGTTATCTCAATTTATTTGCCTCACCTTCTATTGCAACCCTGATCATTGCTGATTTAGGGAACTGAGAAATGACTCGCATTATTCCTTTTACTGTTGGGCATTTCCTAGGTTTCACAATCCCTGGATAGGAAAAATTATAGGCTGAGAGAGAGAAAAAGAGAGAGAGAGAGAAAAAAAATGCCCTTGAAATCCAAACATGTTAAGCATATTATTTATAATGGAACATAAGCAAAAGGTAGAATTTTTAAAAACTGACAACCTTGCAACACCAGCAATTTCCTCTCCCTGATACATTTAAAGTTTTAATGAAAAAATAAACCACTTTTTCCAATGTTACGATGTAAACATAACATCATTCTGTATTAAAATTTATTTCATCTCTTTTTTTCAAGGAGGAGAAATAATGTCATTTTTCTTTGCAGAATAATTCTGAATTTTTCATGAGGGACTTAAAAATCTGTCAAGAAGATTATTAAATTAATAATGTAATAAATAATTTCACACTAAAGAAACAATTTAGCTCTAAACATCATACCATTTTGACAACGATCACCATTATCTGGGATTATATTGAACAAATTTCGTTCTTTTCTCCTAAATATGCCAAATCTTACAATGTTATACAATGACTAAAAAATTTTTTTCAATTCTGTATTCCACTACTCTTATAGGGAATAGTCTATACATGTTGATTTGAAAACTGAATTTTTCAACTTAAGCACTGGAAAAATGATACCTGTGAAAATATTAATTCTATTGGAGTTGTTTATATTCTTTTAGGTAGAACAGGATTACGTATTATCTTTTTTAAGAGAGTACTGTACTTTTAACAAAAATAAATAACAGATCAATAAAATTTTCTAATTTTCTCCTGGTTTTAAACCTAGGATATAGAGGCTTAAATGCCCAAAATAGGTTGCTATGTTGCATTGACATCTAGTGGATTATGGCAGCTATTACAAGGGTGAAGACAGCTCGCTTAGAACAATGCTAAAGCTGAAAGACGACTTAAAAGGTCACCTCTTGTCCAATCCAACATTTGGAAACTGAGGCAAAGAGAAAGTAAATTTGTCTGAAATAATTCAAGCATTATAAAGACATGTAAAGTAAATATAGTATTGCTTATGGTAAATAGAAACTCAATTTTAGGAGCAGAAAACAAATAGAAATACAGACTACAACACAAATTCAAATAGTTCAGGTAATTAATGCAAGATGAATCTTTTGTTTGAATTACCAACAGTTACTTCAATTTAATTGCTTCACCTTCTATTGCAACCCTCATCATTGCTGATTTAGGGAACTGAAAAATGACTAGCATTATTCATTTTGGGCATAGAAGATACAGTATTTTCCTCTTTTCTTACATGAAAGTTAGCATTATAGCATGCACAAAACTTATCTTGCTTTTTCCATTTAAGAATATGCATAAGTACACACATACATGTTTATATTTTCAAAATGAGATACTGGAAATTTAAATTAAATGTATTTGAAAGTGATTACGTGCACGGGGAGAGAGAGAATGGGGGAAGGGTTAGTGATGGAAGCAAGACTTTTCTGAATGGTGTGTTACATACGACTTCAGAATCATATAAACCTTTTACATTTGGAATCTTACAAATGTTCTATATTTTCTTTTTTAACTTTTATTTTTAAGCTCAGGGGTACATGTGCAGGTTTGTTATATAGGTAAACTTGTGTTATGGGGTTTTGTTGGACAGATTATTTCATCATCCAGGTATTAAGCCTAGTACCCATTAGTTTCCTGATTCTCTCCCTCCTCCCACCTTCCCCCCTCTGATAGGCCCCAGTGTGTGTTGTTCCCTTCTATGTGCCTGTTTTACACTTTCAAAAAATAAAATTAATCTAAAAAGAAAACAATCAATTCCCAACATAAAAATAAACTGAAATTAACACATTAATGGAATATCATGAAGGTGGTAACATGACCTTACAGAAGAAAGAATTATATCTGGTTACCTTTATGTTAGCTATAAAGTCTTAGTAGGATTAATGACAAAAAGAACTGTAACATTGTTTTAACTTCACTGAGTAATTTTCATTTGGATTTTATATTTTTTAACTAGTTTATACACATTATAGGACAAAGCAAATAGGTAACTATATTAATGTTGGTAGGAATCAAGATTTTCCGTGTAAGAGAAAAGGAAGACAAGAAAAAAAATTAAAGAACTTAAGTAGAAACCTTATATTGTTAATCTGAATTAAAAATATTACTATGTCCAACCCCACTAGAAACAAGAAAGAAATTACTATAAACTCTGAAAACACTTTTTTATTTAAAAAAACATGTATTTCTTAGCTCTGTTGACTGAAATGTTTAGAAGCACTGACAGCCCAATAGCAATGAGCACCCATATCACCTAGATTATGTCTCTAAACTCACTTCTCATTGAAAAGAATTAGGGCTCCCCAGAGAAATAGCTGATTTTAAGTCTAGGGCAAAGCTGATTTTAAGCCTGGGACAGCTTGCAATTGGGCCACTGGAGATTTCAGCACCCCAGCATTTTTTAGTATCTGAAATAATGAGAATTCTGATTAGGCCCTTGCTTGCTTGCAAATGTTAACCACTTGCTTTTTGCCCAAAATTCCTTGTTCCCACAATGTAATTATAAACTATAGATGTACCGTTCCTGTGCCAAGCAGCAGGAGATAACTCCAGTGTCACAAAAAAAGTTTGCAGAAAGAATGAATGCCTAGAGGGATGTCGTGACCAGCTGCTGATGCCAAGAAGTCTGGTTGCTCAAGGTGTTATCTCAGACTGAAGAAACAGACTTTTTTCCCCTAGATTTCCTGTAACTCCCCATCCTTTACTCTCCAGCCAAATAAAAACTCCCCGCCTCTTCTTTTTGTTAAGGTAGATTGGAGAGATTTTTGCCCTCCCACCTCATTTTGGGCAAATCAGATAAACCCTTCTCTATCTCCAAGCACCTTTGTGTCAGGGTTTGGCCTCAGCTGCATGCTGGGTACACGAGCCTGAATTTGGGGTTCTATGACATGCTTATGCCAGAAAGCAAGGAAAATACCAGCAGAACACACAGATCCACTTGAAGGTTTTCCGTTGTCAAATGTGACATCTGAGGATGTGAAAACAGTAATGACTACAACTGGTTGAAAAACATTGAATAAAGGCATATTTTATTTTATTGCACTTCACTTTATGATGCTATGCAGATGCGGATGTTTTTTACAAATTGAGGTTTTGTGGCAGCTGTGTGTTAAGCAAGTCTATAGGTGCCAACTTTCCACAACAGGTGCTCATCTCATGTCTCTGTGTCACATTTTGGCAATTATCACAATATTTCAAACTTTTTCATATTTTATCTATTATGGTGATCTGTGATCAGTGATCTTTGATGCTATTATTGTAGTTTTTGGGGGGTGCCATGAACCACGTTCATATAAGATGATGAACTTAATCAATAAATGTATGTTTTACCATGACTGCTCTACCAACCAGCCATTCCTCATCTCTCTCCTGCTTCTCAGGTCTCCCTATTCCCTGAGATACAATAATATTGAAATCAGGTCAGTTAGTAACTCCACAATGGTCTCTATGTGTTCAAGTGAAAATAAAAGTCACACATCTCTCACTTTAAATCCAATTCTAGAAATGATTACATTTAGCATGGAAGGCGTGTTGACAACCAAGGTAGCAGAGTAGCACTTTTACTTTCCAAGAACTTTTCTTTTGCACCAAACTTGACCTTTGCAGCAAACAGCCAACTTGTGAATGCAAAGGAAAAGTTCTTGAAGGAAAGTAAGTGCTACTCGGGTGGACACACAAACGCTAAGTAAAACAGCCCTATTGCTGGTATGGAAAAAGTTTGAGTGGACTCAATAGAAGATCAAGCCAGGCGCAACATTCCCTTAAGCAAAAGCCTAATCCAGAGCAACACCCTAACTTTCTTCAATTCTACGAAGGCTGAGAGAGATGAGTAAGCTGCAGAAGAAAAGTTGGAGCTAACAGAGGTCGGCTCATGAAGCTTAAGGAAGGAAGCCATCTCCATAACATAAAAGTACGAGGTGAGGCAGCAAGTGCTGATGGAGAAGCTGCAGCGTTATCCAGAAAAGCCAGCTAAGATCACTGATGAAGAGGGCAAAAGAAACATATTGTCTGTGGACAAAAAGCAGTCTTATATTAGAAGAAGATGCTCTTCAGAACTTTCATAGCTGGAGAAGAAAAGTCAGTGCCTGGCTTCAAAGCTTCAAGCAATAGCTGACTCTTTTGATTGGGGCTATTGCAGCTAGTGACCTAACATTGTAGCGAATGCTCATTTGCCATTTTGAAAACTCTAGGAAGAATTATGCTAAATCTGCTCTGCCTGCACTCTTTAAGTGGAACAACAAAACCTGGATGACAGCACATCTGTGTATAGCATGAATTGCTGAATATTTTAAGTCCGCTATTGAGACTTAATGCTCAGAAAAAAAAAGATTTCTTTCCAAATATTATCACTCACTGACAGTGCATCTAGTCACTCAAGAGCTCTGACAGAGATGTACAATGAGATGAATGTTATTCAACACAACATCCATTCTGTAGCCAATGAATCAAGGAGTAATTTCAACTTTCAAATCTTATTACTTAAGAAATACATTTCGGCCAGGTGTGGTGGCTCATGCCTGTAATCCCATCACTTTGGGAGGCTGAGGCGGGTGGATCACGAGGTCAAGAGATCGAGACCATCTGGCCAACATGGTGAAACCGCGTCTCTACTAAAAATACAAAGAAGAAGAGCTGGTTGAATGATGCTGTCACCATGAGGAAGTAATCAGGCAAACCTAGAATGTGGAACAATGTATATTCTATGCACATTGTTCTATGGGACAATTACACCAGGTTTTTTCAGTTAAGTCAATGGGAAGGGAAAAGAAGAGGGGAGAGGGGCTTGCTACAGATGTACAAGGGGGCATGACAACTGAATGTAACATGTGAGTCTCGCTTGGATCTTGATTTGGAAAAAAAAATCATCTTAAAAAGACATTTATTGGCCAGGCACAGTAGCTCACATCTGTAATCCCAGCACTTTGGGAGGCTGAGGCGGGCGGATCACCTGAGGTCAGGAGTTCGAGACCAGCCAGACCAATATGATGAAACCCTGTCTCTACTAAAAATACAAAAATTAGCCAGGCGTGGTGGCAGGCGCCTGTAATCTCAGCTACTCGGGAGGCTGAGACAGGAGAATCACTTGAACCTGGGAGGCAGAGGTTGCAGCAAGCCAAGATCACGCCATTACACTCCAGCCTGGGCAACAAGAGCAAAACTCCGTCCAAAAAAAAAAAAAAAAAAACAAGTTTATTAAACAGTCAATGAACTTTGAATATGGATGGACTGGGAATTAGATATTAATTAATTATTGTTATGAATTTAGGTGTGATAGTGGTAACTGGTTATATTTCCCTCTTTTAGGGACACATTGAAATACTAGGTGGTAAGTGCCATTTTGCCTGGAATTTGCTTTAAAATTCTTCAACAAAAAAGGGGTGCAAACAGGTGATTCAAGTGGGCAAAATGTTGATTATTTTAAAATCTGGATGGCTGCTGCTATGGATTGAATATGACTTGTATGTTCCCCACCAAATATTATGTTGAAATTTGATCCCCAGTGTGGTGATGTTGGGATGTGGGGTGCAGTGGGAGGAGTTCAGGTCATGGGTTATGAATGGTTTGGTGCTGTTCTCAGGGTAGTGAGTAAGTTCTCATGCTGTCCCGAGATGGATTGGTTTTGAGGGGATGGATTAGTTCCCAAGGGAGTGTGTTGCTCTAAAGCCAAGAGGCCCCCCAGGTTTGATCCATCTTTGCACCTGCCTGCCTGCCATTTGACCTTCTGCACCATGTTTTGATGGAGCACAAAAGTCCTCACCAGAAGCAGAGCAGATGCCAGCACCATGCTTCTTGCACAGGCTGCAGAACATGAACTAACTCAACCTCTTTCCTTACAAACCACCCAGCCACAGGTACGCCTTTATAGCAACACAAAACAGACTAAGCCAGCAGGAATATGGGGTTTTATCACACTCCTCTCTCCATTTGTGTGTATTTGAAATAAAGAGTTTTTAAGGAAAATGTAAAATTGTATGTGAGGTTAAAAAAGAACTGCTGCTCCTATGATGACGAATTTTGGGTTAATTCACCTGCTGTGAAGAGATGAAAAAAGAAAAAACGAAGACTTCACTTTGCTTCTCCTCTATATTTTTAGCAGTCTTTGGAGATTATTCTTACTGGGGAAGAAATTGCACTGAGTCAAAGGCATTTCCTTCTCAAGTGCTAATACGTTACCACACATTACCTCTTACACAGTTCCCTCCTCAAAGAAACATAAACATAGCATAACAGAAGAGAACAGCCTTTTGCGCCATTTTTCAGACACTGGCTCTCCTTGTCCCCTGAGGTTTTCTTCTTTCTGAGTGCACATTCCAGATGGCTGTGCTTTGAAATCCCACACCTGCTCCAACCCTGATCCTCTCCTAGAAACTCCTCTGAGGAGGCATCTCTGGTCTCCCAACCAGGGTGACCAACTCTCTTCTCTGTCCCTTCGTTTCCTTGCATACCCTCCCCGCAGCACTTAACATGTGATATGAAACGCATTTGTGTCTCTTCCCTGGACCATAAGCTCCCTTAGGGCAGGGACTCAGCCTTTTAAACATTTCTTTCCAGTGTCTAATATCTTCTGGCAAATAGCAGACTCTCAGTAGCTGCCAAATACATGCATGCTCTGGTACTATCTCCTGTAAGCCTCGGTAATCTTAACAAGGTTTCCACTATGAAAAATCTCTGTTCTTAATTTCCTTTATTAAGTATTAAGTTTTGGATGTTTCTGTCTAGCAAAAAGCCTGTACTCTGAACCAATAATTTAATCATCTACCAGTTTTGTTGATTAGAAGATAATACTTGTCTCTCAGGGTTTCTAAGGCGCCGCACCCAGCCAAGAGTTTTTATTCCTTGGCATGTGTCCAGGAAATTTCTAGTTAAGAATAGGCTTATGATAATCCGGTCTAAGATCTAGAAGATTTACAAGTCATAGGAGTTTTAATTTATGGGATTCTGGAAAGTGAACTAGTTGCATAATTTGTATATATATCCATTTTCCTGAACTATTTTTAAAAACATCTTTCTTGACATGTGTCACATACCATAAAATTCAATCATTTAACATATACAATTCAATGTTTTAAAATATATTAATATATTTGTGCAAACATCTCTATAACTTTAGAGCATTTTCATCACCAGCCCTCCTCCAAACACCCTGCTGCCATCACTGCCCATTCTCTCTCCCCTCTTTGGCCCTAGGTGCCCACTAATGTACTTTTTGTCTCTGTAGATTTGCCTACTCTAGACATTTCTCATAAATAAAATCATACAATATGTGATCTTTTATGACTTGCTTTTTTTATTTAGTATTTACAAGGATCATCCATGATGTAGCCTGTGTCAGTACTCCATTCTTTCTTCTGTTGCCAAATCCTATTTCATTGTATAGATATACCTCATTTTGTTGATCCATTCATCAGATGATGAACATTTGGGTTGTTTCCAATATTTGGCCATTATATATGATGCTGCCATGAAAATGGCAAATTAAATTTTTGTGTGGACTTAAATTTCCATCTCTCTTGGACATATATAGCTAAGAGTAGAATTGCTGGGTCCTGTGGTACCACCATGTTTAACTTTATGAGGAGCTGTCAAGCTGCTTTCCACGGTGGTTGCATCATTTTACATACCCACCAACAATATATGAGGGTTCCAATTTCTCCACATCCTCACCACTTACTATCATTCCTTTTTTAATTACTGTAGCTATCCTAGTGAATGTGGTTTTGATTTGCATTTGCCTAATGTCAAACAGATGTTGAGCATCTTTCCACGTGCTCATTGGCCATTTATATAACTTATTTGGAGAAATGTCTATTCAAATACTTTGCCCTTTTAAAATTGTGTTGTCTTTTCATTGTTAAATTATAAAAGTTCTTTATATATTGTGAATTAAGGCTCTTATCCGATATGTGATTGTCATAGTTAAGAAATCATTGATTAGCCCAAGGTCACAAAGATTTAATCTTGTCTTAGTCTGTTTTCTGCTGCTATAACGGAGTATCACAGACTTGATAATTTATACACAAAAGATTATTTGGCTCACAGTTTTGGAGGCTGGGAAGTCCAAAGGCATGGTGCCAGCATCTGCTTAGCCATCTGGTGAGGGCTTTCTTGTTGCATCACACCATGGCTGAAAGCAGAAAGGCAGGTGACAAATGAGACAGGGAGAAAATGGAGGTCAAACTTATGCTGGAGTCCTCTCCCTCAATAACTAATCCACTACCCTGATAACAGCATTAATCCGTTCACAAGGGCAGAACCCTCATGATCTACACCTCTTAAAGGTCTTACCTCCTAGTACTACCCCAATGGCAATTAAATTTGACCATGAGTTTTGGTGGGACATTCAAACCATAGCAAATCCCATGTTTTCTTTTAAGAGTTTTGTAATTTTAGCTCTTTCATTTCAGTTGTCAGGGAAGCTACAGATTACCTGTCCCTGTGTAAGTTCTCAGTTGAGACAAGCCCCTGTAACAAAAGCAGATCAACAAGAAAAAAACAAACAAGTTTATTAACACATACAGTGAACACCATGCAGGAAAAACCTCAATGAAAAGTAACTCAAAGCAGTTGCTTAGAACTCTGGCTTGTATCGCATCTTCAACAAAGAACAATAAATTTATAGAGAAATGACAGGACAAAGGAAGGCAATTTCCTTTCGGGGTAGGAAACAGTGGGAAAATAACTATATGGGGGTAAACTAATGAAGTAACGTTTGTTTGCAGATTCTTCTGGTGCTTTCTCTGGGTGAATAGAGTCTAGAGTTGTGTCCAGTAAACGAGAATTTATATCCTACCTTGAGGCAGAAAAGGGGAAGACAGCGAGAGCTTTTTCCATTTGCTGCTTCTTAATTGCCTTCAGTCACAAAATAATTGATAATTGTTTTAATATAGTGTGAAATAGTAGTTCAAGTTCATTCTTTTGCATGTAGAGATCCAGTTGTCCCAGCAGCATGTTTGGAAAGACTTCTTTTCCCCATTGGAATTGTCTCGGCAATCTTATCTAAAATAAATTTATATACATGTATATATTTATATACATATATACACATGTATATATGTGTGTGTGTGCAGGATTTTTAAAAAAACTTTTATTGGGGTGTGATTGACATACAAAAAGCTGTACATATTTAATGTATGCAACTTGATGAGTTTGAGGCTAAATATACATCTGTGAAATCATTACCACAATCTAAACATACCCATCACCTCCAAAACAGTTTCCTCCTACCCTCTATATTTATAATTATTTGTGTATGTGTGTGTGTGCATGTGTGTGTGTGTAGTATGTGATAAAACATAAGATCTACCCACTTAGCAAATTTTTAAGATGTAATACAGTTTTGTTAACTATAGGTATTATGTTATACAGTAGATCTCTAGGACTTACTCATCTTTTATAACTGAAACTTTGCAACTTTTGGCTAATAGCTCCCTATATCCCCCTTTCCCCAGCTCCTGACAACCACCATTCTACTCTCTGCTTCTACAAGTTTAACTATTTTAGATTCCTTATGTAAGTGGCATCAAGTAGTACTTGTCTTCCTGTGTCTAACTTGTTTCACTTAGCATAAAGTCCTCTAGGCTTATGCATGTTGTCACAAATGGCAGGATTTCCTTCTTTCTTAGGGCTAAACAATATTCCACTGTATATATATAACACATTTTCTTTACCCATTCATCCATGATGAATATTTAGGTTACTTAGGTTCATGCTGCAATGAACAGGAGTGCAAATGCTCTTTGAAATCCCAATTTCGATTCCTTTAGATATATACCCGGTAGTGGGATTGCTGGATCACATAGTAGTTCTATTTTTAAATTTTTTGAAGACCCTCCATAATGTCTTGCATATGTAGGCTGGCTTCTAGACTGACTGTATTCCATTGATCTATGTGTCTATCCTTATGTCAGTATCATGCTGGCTTGACTACTGTAACTTTGTAGTAAGTTCTGAAGTAAATGTGAGTCCTCCAATTTTGTCCCTCTTTTTAAGGATTCTTTTGATTATTCTGGGTCCCTTGCTTTTCCATATTACTTTTAAAGTGCATATATCTTGTTCTTCTGAAATTATTTCATTTATGTGTTATTTCTGGTTATATCATCCAAGTTTGTTTATTTTTTTCACTCATGATTGCTTTATCTTCATTTCTTTCTCTTTAAGATTTTTAAAAATCTTTCAGACAATGAATTTGGGTTCCAAAGTGACTAGCTTGTCTTTTAATATTTTAGCTAAAAGCATTTTAAATTTGTGTGGTATATGTGTATATTTTGTGACTGAATCTTCTTACATCCTCTTATTACAATTTCATTTAATAAGTGCTTCACCGAAATTTAATTAACATAACATAAAATTCACCCTGATAAAGTGTAAAATTCAGTGTTTTTAGTAAATTCACTCAGCTGTTGAACCATCTAATTCTAGACTGTCTAACTTCAGAACATTTCATAACCCTCCAAAGAAAATCTTGCCATCTTAGTTTTTGAAAATTTTTTGGCAAGCTTCATTCTTGACAACTTCTTCTTTTTTTTACTTTGGTAAAACCACCACCTTGCCTTGAGCTATTTGCTCATTCAAAACTAAAGTTTATTTAGGCCACTTGATATGATTCACCTTGTCTCTAGAGAAATCTTAAAACTTTTTCAAGGAAGTGGTCAATTATTTACATAAACTTGAAAAGGCTTTGCTTCTCATCACTTCAAACACAAGGCTTTGAGAATTACCCATTTGATTTGCTACTTTGCAAATTCACAAATAACTCTATATTTGAACATTTAAATTGTTTGAAGTGTTTGGGGAAACAATTTACTTCCTGGCTCTATATCCTTTTTAGTTATCTCTTCCTTTTATGTAAGAACTGCATTAATAGATGACTTTCAAGAATATTATGAGAAAAAATAGTGAAAGTAATTTAAGCAAAGTATATTCTGTACTCAATTCTACATCAACAATGAACGAACCTCTTGTCCACAACCATTTAAAAACACTCCATTGAACTCAGATGTAAAAGTTTACTGAGTTATGTCAGTGGAAACTTTGCCAAGAACAAACAAAACAATGAGGCCATAACTGGAGAATGTTCTGTTCTCTATTTTTTTTTTTGAGACAGAGTTTAACTCTTTCATCTGCCGCCCAGGTTGGATGGAGTGCAGTGGTGCAGTCTCGGCTCAATGCAGCCTCCATCTCCTGGGTTCAAGTGATTCTCCTGCCTCAACCTCCCAAGTAGCTGGGACAACAGGCCCACCACCACGCCCGGCTCATTTTTTGTGTTTTTGATACAGATGGGTTTTCACCATGTTGACCAGGCTGGTCTCAAACTCGTGACCTTGGGATCCACCTGCCTGGGGCTCCCAAAGTGCTGGGATTACAGGTGTGAGCCACTGTGTCTGGCCTATCCAACTATTTTTCAAAGTCATCAGAAAAGCCTTGATATCCGTCATTCACTATAATGCAGAAAAACCTCACATTTTGAATTTAGGCATACCTGGGTTAGAATTCCGCTAAAGAGCTGAGTTAGCTTAGATAACATATAACAACGGTAAACCAAAAAGTATCTGAAACAAGTCACAATCCATTTAGAAGTTTTTTTTGCCAAGGTTGAGGATGCACCCAGGAGACAGGTCTGTGCCTTTCTCCAAAGATGATTTTAAGGGCTTCAATAATTTAACCAGGAAAAGCAAGCTGGAGAAGGAATAGAGAGGGTATGGGCATGTGACTGAACTCACATATTGCAAGACAAAAGGATCAGGTAGGGGAATAGTCAATTATGTATTTGTCTTGCCCTCAGTGGATCCACACTTTACACAAGATAAGGTGAACATGTTACCAGTGGAAGGTGTCCAGGAACAAAGAGTTGGACAAAACTCACAAATAAAGCAAGGAAAGAATGAAGCAACAAAAGCAGAGATTTACTGAAAATGAAACTACACTCCACAGTGTGGGAGCGGGTCTGAGCATAGGGGCTCAAGAGCCCCGTTACAGAATATTCTGGGGTTTAAATACCCTTTAGAGGTTTTTATTCGTTACTTGGTATATGCCCTATGGAAACGAAGGGGATGAAGTGAAGTTACAAAGTCATTTACTCAGTGTATGCCCTATGTAAATGGAGAGAATATTTCCTGTCATAGCTGAAGCATTTCCACTTGATTTACGTCTAGGAAGTCATTAGGTTCCCTGCCTCCAGACCCTATTCTCCTGCCTCAAACACAGAGTGAAGATATTTAATATTTTATCGTAGCTATCTGCTTAGGAACAAAAGGAATGGCAGGTGCTTGCATGAGTCAGCTTTCAGCTTAATTTTTCCCCTTGGCGTACTGAATTGGGGTCCCAGGTTTTTATTTTCCTTTCATACAACAGACCTCCACTTTCTGACCCTCAGCTTTCTCATCTGTATGTGTAACCTGACTTCTTCCAGACCTCACCAGCTGGAGATGTAGATGAAGTCAGCTATAGTTTGAATGTTTGTGTCCCTCCAAATTTAATGTTGCAATTTATTCTCCAGTGCAACCATATTAGAAGGTGGGGCATTTAGATGGTGATTAAGTCATGAGGGCTCCACCACAGCAAGAAGGTACAAGCCTCACCAGACACCAAACCTGCTGGCACTTTGAAATTGGACTTCCCGGTCTCTGGAACTGTGAGAAATAAATTTCCATTGATTATAAGTTACCCAGTCTGAGGTTTGTTTTTGTTTTTGTTTGAGACAGCGTCTCGCTCTGTTGCCTAGGCTGGAGTGCAGCGGTGCCATCTCGGCTCATTGCAGCCACCACCTCCCGGGTTCAAGCAATTCTCTTGCCTCAGTCTCCTGAGTAGCTGGGATTACAGGTATGCACCACCAAGCCCAGCTAATTTTTTTTTTTTTTTTTTACTAGAGGCAGAGTTTCACCATGTTGGCTAGGCTGGTCTCAAACTCCTGGCCTCAGGTGTTCCACCTGCCTTGGCCTGCCAGTGTACTGGGATTACAGGCATGAGCCACTGCACCCAGCCTAAGGTATTTTATTATAGCAGCAGGAATGGACTAAGACAAAGGCACATTAACAATCATGATGCATACTTCCTTGGCAACTTTCCACCTCAGGCTTTGCAGGATTTCTGCTTCCATGTCAAGTTCATCACCCCTGAGTGCTTCCAGGGCTGTCTCTCATGTGCTTACCTGCAAACAAGTTGGTTTCACTCCCACCATCAAGGGCAGTGCCCCTACTCCACACTCCACAGGGGGATCAGATCTGTTTTCTTGCTTCCCTGGACTCGAAGCAAGCCCTGCTGCTGCTTCTCCAGTGAATGAAGGCGTGTCCACCAGGTTGAGGATGACCAGGCATCTGAAATCATTTTGGTTCTTAGAGTCGCAAAACCTCTACTCTGATCTAAGTTTCTCTCTTATCCTACAGGCTGCAGTTTGTGCAAAAAATCTTGAGATACATGGGTTTCCAATTCTAGGGCACATAAGAATAACTTGGTGAGTTGTTAAAAATGCAGACTCGTGAGCCCCACCCAGGACTCTGGATTGAATTTTTCATGTTGAAAGTCCGCAGGTCACCTGAAAGCTATTCTCTGGTGTACTGACGATTTGGATAGCCAATGGTCTGTTGTTGGGACTATTAAGACAGACTCACTTCTTTTCTCTTGTCTCTCCAGTCTCTTCCTCACGGCCTTGAGCTGACCTCTAGCCAGAGTGACATACGAGAAATGCAAATCTCTATCATTTATTTCTCACCATCCTGCAACGCAGTCATTTTCTCTCAATAATACAATACAACAAAAGCCCAATATATTAAACTGATGTCATAGGAGCTGCTCAGCTGAAGGGAACTCATGAGATGGGTTTATGGGGAGCGGGGAGCAGACTTCCACCCAGCCACTCAGTCTTCCTGACCCTTTCCCACCCCACTGCCAGCCCCAGCAGCAGCCCTGGATAACCTGTACAGAACAAATGACCATGGAACACAGCCTGAAAATCACATCTCCAGGGGACAAATGCAAAACTCCCTGCACAACAAACAAACAAACAAACAAAAGCCTGGCATAATCCAACCCCCATTCACCTCTCCAGCTTCATCTCTCCCATCACCCACTCAGAGGTACTCTATGCCCTACAGCTGTGCTGACAATATGGTAGTCACTAGCCACATGTGGCTATTTAGATTTAAATTAATTACAATAAAACAAAAGAAAATATTCAGTCCCATTGTCAACTAACCACATCTCAAGTGCTGAATAGCCACATGTGGTCAGTGGCGACGGTGATGACAGCACAGACACAGAATAGTTGCATCATCACTGTAAGTGCGACAGGACAGCAGTGCTCTAGTGACACCAAGTTAACCACAGTTCCCAAAGCCCACATACTTTCTCACAGTCTAGAGCCTTCACATATGCTGTTCTCTCTATCTAGCCCCTTCTATTCTCTATTGTCTATTTGGAAAATTCTCAGACATTCTTCAAGATTGTCTCCAAGCTCCCCCTGCCAGGTGCCTTCTAGTCAATTTCCAATCTCCAGTCTCATTCAGAGATGACTTGAGCACTATTTCCTCTCTGATCTCTTAATACCCTGAAATTCTTTTCAGATGACAGTTTTCACATGGTTTTACAACTGTTTGCTTGGCTCTGTATATTTTATATTAGATGTAAACATATATATTTTAACTCATCTTTATAGCCAAAGTAATCAATAAATATCTATTAAATTAATGACTTTATTGGAGAATAATCAAATTGCTGTATATATCTGAATGAAAATGGCAATAATCATGGAAATGGTGGATGTGGGAGGCAGAATAATGCCCATCTTCCCCATAAAGATGTCCGTATCTTAAACACCAGACTCTGTATATATGTTACCTTAGCAAAATGGACTTCACCGATATTAAGTAAAGGACCTTGAGATGAGAAGATTATTATGAATTATTTAGGTGGGCCACATGTAATCACATTGTGATCCTTAAAACTGGAAGAGAGAGGCAGAAAAGGAGGGCAGAGTAAAGCAACGTGAGAAGGATTCAACCTGTAGTTGCTGGCTTTGAAGATGGAGGAAGAGTCCATGAGCCAAAGAATGTGGGCAGCCCCTAGAAGCCGGAAAGGCAGGGAAACTGATTGTCCCGTACGGCCTCCAGAAGGGAACACAGCCCTGCCTACCCTTGGATGTTAGCCCAGTGAGACTCACTTCAGATTTCTAACCTCCAGAACTGTAAGATAATAAACTTGTGCTCTTTTAAGCCCCTATGTTTATAGTAATTTGATAGAATGCCAAAAGGAAACTGATATGGTGTAGTTAGAAAGGGAAGGGTGTTAGTACAGAAAGAATGTGTTTCACCAGGGAACTGCTCAGCCCTGAGGTCTCAGGGTCCAGTGGAGAAGGAGGCCACACTGCAGCAGGGCAGGAACATTATTGCTGGCCCCAAGGCACAGAGGATGTGTCCTGGGCTCTAGCTTTAGTCTGAGGAGCTCTGTCAGGTGTGAGAAGGGCTTTCCTGTGCCCCTGGAGCTGGTGATTTTGGTACAGGTAGGAAGATAAGTTTTCTGAATAAATCTAATAGTGCTAACACCTAGTTTAGACTTCACCCTCTTTGACAGCACAGAAAATTACCAAACACCTCTTAAAATTCTGCAAGTGTATAGCCCATTGCATGACTTCAGCAAATATTTACAGTGTGACATATAAAAGACACTATATAGCTTCACAAACCACTGGAAATTTTGTTTTGTACAGTGTAAACAGAGTAACTTGCATCATAACTATAATATATCCACATAAGCAATGAAGAACTTTCTATTGCGATAAACTGTAAATATTTACTATCTAGTTCCCAATCAGGGTTTCAGTATGAATTGAATAATTTCCAGTGATCTAATTTTTTTTGAAAAAGCATTTCTTTAACAAATATCTCTTATTCCCAGAACCATTCAAACCCCTCTGGATGCAGTGATAAAAAACTTGGTCACATTCTAGCAGTGGGGATAGAGCTATAAAGCAGTGAACTCAACAAAGTGCTAGTGGCATTGTGATAAGAGCTCTGAGGCCATGGTAGTCATCATGGCCACCCCCATCCTTAAGGAAAGGTAATGATTAAACTATGTCTTAAGGATAATTTGGTGTCTGCCAGGTGAAAAAGGTGGAGTAAAGGTGGCTCCACAAATATAAATGGGGAAGGTGGCATTGCCAGCAGATGTCAGCTTGAGCCATGATCCAGGGTCCTGGTTAACCCAGGAAACTGCAGTCATTCCACACTGCAGGCCCAGAGTGTAAGTGGAGCCAGTGAATTCTAGGAAGATCTCCCTGAGGAAGTGATGCTCTGAGCTGAGATCTGAAGGAAGAATGATGGTTAACCAAGTGAGAGGTAGGGAATCATAGCAGGCAGATGGAACAGCACAT
The DNA here is from genome assembly GCF_000001405.40 of Homo sapiens. Classification (NCBI taxonomy): domain Eukaryota; kingdom Metazoa; phylum Chordata; class Mammalia; order Primates; family Hominidae; genus Homo; species Homo sapiens. The sequence goes on along the minus strand of NC_000006.12, from coordinate 137,256,221 downwards.
GCCATGGTCCTGGCGCAGGATGAAGAAAGAAAGAAGGGATGATTGGTTTCCTCTCCTAGAGCAGGTCAACCTTCAGGAAAGAAGGTCAAGACCTTCATCTTCTTCACACTCCATTGCCACTTCCCACTCTTCACAATATCAGTATCAATATTAGGTGGCAAATATTCCTACATTAAGACTGTATCCAAAGTTGGGATGTTTTTCAACTTTCATTTAAACATTTTTCATTCATAGTTCTCAAATTTTAAATTTCAGATTTGCATGCAGAAACAATCAGTGGCCCAGGATCATAAGATCTAAGTTCTAATTACTGTGTGATCCTGGTTAATCACTTAACTTCTCTGGGTTTCAGTTTCTTTGTTTGTAAAATTAAGAGGTTAGACCATAGGGCTTTTACAGAAGCCCTGAGAGTTCTATATTTATGAGGTTTTAGGGATTTAAGGCTTGAAGGGGACTTGGCATGGTATAATTTAGAGCAAATTGTGACATAGCTTATATCCCAGCTCTGCCATTTTATAGCTGTGCGACCTTGGGCAAGTACTTACTTTTTTTTTCTGATCCACAATTTCTGAATATAATAATATCTACCCTGAAGAGTTAGGAGAAACCCATATATATTTATATATATGAGAAACCCATATATACAGAAGCTATTTTTATTATAACAGAAATGCACTATTTTAATACTTTGATAAGTTTTATAACTTTTTTTTAAATTGTGAAACAATATGTAATAGTCTCAAGAAAACTTAATCTTTGTCAGAGTTTTTCCAAGGAGAGTAATAATTTATCTTCCACAGATGTGAGGTGTTATTATCACCAACTCAGACACACACAGATAGAAAATTATATTTACTAGCATGTGCCCTTCTGCTGAAAAGACCATTGAACTTGAGAATGTGAGAGGGCTTTTTCTCATCAAATAAGAAATTGAAGAAGAGAAAAGAATTAGTATCAACAGGGAACTAACATCTACAACCTAACAATTTTTGTTTGTTTCAGCTTCCATTCTAAGAGGCATTGTCACTAAGATTTAAGGAACAAAATGTAGGAAGTGAACCCATGAAAATGACAGGCTGTGAGAATGCTCACTGGAGAATTTAGTTTAGTTCAGTGCAGTTTTAGAAAAACTGAATTATTGGGGAACCCCACCCCCAATATTTCAACATAGGTTCTTTTTATTTTCCCTAAGTGTCGGCCAGTCTGAGAAATAAAGAGAAAGAGTACAAAGAGAGGAATTTTACAGCTGGGCCACCAGAGGTGACATCACATATCGGTAGGTCCGTGATGCCCACCTGAGCCGCAAAACCAGCAGGTTTTTATTAAGGACTTTAAAAGGGAAGGGGGTGTACGAACAGGGAGTAGGTCACAAAGATCACATGCTTCATCAAAGGGCAAAAGGGAGAACAAAGATCATATGCTTCTAAGGCCAATAAACATCACAAGGCAAAGGGCAAAGCAAAGATCACAAAGCAAAGGACGAAATCAAAAACTCCTGATGAGGGTCTATGTTCAGCTGTGCATGTATTGTCTTGATAAACATCTTAACAGAAAACAGGGTTCAAGAGCAGAGAACCTCAACCACATAGGACAGACACTCCCAGAGTGGCTGTTTATAGACCTCCCCCCAGGAATGCAATTCTTTTCCTAGGGTCTTAATACTATATTCCTTGCTAGGAAAAGAATTTAGCAATATCTCTCCTACTTGCACGTCCATTTATAGGCTCTCTGCAAGAAGAAAAATATGGCTCTATTCTGCCAGACCCCACAGGCAGTCAGATCTTATGGTTGTCTTCCCTTGTTCCCTAAAATCGCTGTTGTTCTGTTCTTTTTCAAGGTGCACTGATTTCATATTGTTCAAACACACATGTTTTACAATCAGTTTGTACAATAGTGGTCCTGAGGTGACATATATTCTCAGCTTACGAAGATAACAGGATTAAGAGATTAAAGTAAGACAGGCATAAGAAATTATGAGTATTAATTTTCGGAACTGATAAATGTCCATGAAATCTTCACAATTTATGTTCCTCTGCCACAGCTCCAGCCGGTCCCTCCGTTCTGGGTCCCTGACCTCCTGCAACACCAAATAAGAGAAATAATTTTCACCTTTATTTTACCTACATAGGCCATAGTCCTGAGATCCCATTCATGTGCAGATCCTTTTCTTTCCTTTCCTTTTTTTTTTTTTTTTTTTTTAGATGGAGTCTCACTCTGTCACCCAGGCTGGAATGCAGTGTCATGATCTCAGGTCACTGCAACCTCCATCTCCCGGGTTCAAGGGATTCTCATGCCTCAGCCTCTCAAGTAGCTGGGACTACAGGTGCATGCCACCACACCCGGCTAATTTTTGTATTTTTAGTAAAGATGGGGTTTCACCATGTTGGCCAGGCAGGTTTCAAACTGCTGACCTCAAGCGATCCACCCACCTAGGCCTCCTAAAATGCCAGGATTACAGGTATGAGCCACTGCACCTGGCCTTATCTTCTCTTTTCTAAATAACTATGACAAAAACAGGGCTATGTGCTTCTAATAGTGATAAATAAAATTAGATTTTTGAAGCTACATTCTTCATTATATACAAAAAATTAGTTAAATGATTCAAGTTTTGAAATCTACCAAAATTTGCATTGCTTTACTAAACCTTTAAAAAAAATCACATTATTTATTCCATTTCTTCCATTTTTGGCCAAATGACATATTGCCTATGTAGAAAAAAACCTCCCAGTGCAGAACACCTATATTAAAATTACATTTCAAAAACATTTTCAAATGCAGGGTTGAAGTTATGGAGCAGTAAGGCGAGTCCTTAGAGGTCCCAAAGAACAGCATTAAAGTGGTATTTATGCTGAGGGCATCGTCTTCATCCTGGTGGCCCAGGGCATATAGTCTAGGATTCAAATCAGTCAGGTTAAAGTCCCCTGCACAAAACATAAAAAGAGAATAACTGGGGACATGGAAACCCACTCTGCAGAGATAGATGCTAGCACTACTTGCCGATTATAACCTCAGAGCAGGAAGAAAAAGAAGGAAAGAAGAGGCTGGGTGCAGTGGCTCACACCTGTAATCCAAGCACTTTGGAGGCTAAGGTGGTCAGATCACCTGAGGTCAGGAGTTCAAGACCAGCCTGACCAACATGGAGCAACCCCGTCTCTACTAAAGAATACAAAATTAGCTGGGCGTGATGGTGCATGCCTGTAATCCCAGCTACTCGGGAGGCTGAAGCAGGAGAATCGCTTGAACCCAGGAGTCAGAGGTTGTGGTGTGCTGAGATCGTGCCATTGCACTCTAGCCTGGGCAAAAAGAGCGAAACTCCATTTAAAAAGAAAAAAAAAAAGGAAAGAGGAAAAGAAAAAGGTAAGAAAAGAAGGAATGAAGGGAGAGAGGAATGGAGGGAGGGAGAGCTACAGAATACAATCATTTGTGACACTTGTTCAAGATGGTAGGGCAGACTTTATTCAAGGGGAGCCATGGTCATAGTTATAGGGAGCACTGTAACAAGGTCTTCCAGTTGCAAGGGAGATTTGGCTCAACTCCTACTCCAACAAGAATAAGTGAAGATTTTTAACCAAGGAGCAGAGTGGGGATCAGTGAACAAAAAATTACTCAGGGGAAACATCAAGGACAAGGGTTTCTGGCTAGACTGATCTAATAGGCTAATTCCTGAAGGCAGGCCAGGGGGATCAGATATGGAGGGGGCTCAGATAGCAAAGGTAGGGGATTTTCTACAGCCAAGCTGTCTTAGCAAGATCCTTGCTCACACTGGATTCTACGAAGACAAGGAGGGAAGCCCAAGGTTGGGGCTAGTCAGAAAGTGCTCAGGAGCCTGACTAAAGTTTTAGTCAACAGAGACAGTCTTTGTCGGAAGGAAGGAAGGAAGGATAAGAGAGAGTGAGAGGAAAGGAGGAAGGTTAAGGATTTAGGGAAAGAACGAGAGAGAGAAAAAGAAGAAAAGAAGACAGGGAGAGGAAAGAGAAGGGAAGGAGGAAGGGTCACTTCAAAGAATTCCTTCCATAAACTGATCCTTATGTTGGCTTGCAACAAAATTCACATAATCTATGCTCCCATTTTGAAGCCCCAAGCTGAAAATTTAGTTTTAAATCTCCAGGTTGATAGTATACCAACGTGTTTAGCAGAAGTAAGTGCAGTCAGTCCTCTGCATCCGTAGGTTCCACACTGGTGGATTCAACCAACTGCAGATGGAAAATATTTAGAAAAAATAATAGATGGTAGTGTCTGTACTGAACACATGAAGACTTTTTTCTTGTCACTGTTGCCTAAGCAATACAATATAATAATTATTTACATTGCATTTACATTGTATTAGGCATTATAAGTAATCTAGGGAGATGATTTAAAGTTTACAGGGGGATATATGTGTAGGTTATATGCAAATATTACATCATTTTACATCAGGGACTTGAGTATCTCTGTGAATTTTGGTATCTGCAGGACATCCTGGAACCAATCCCCCATGAATACTGAGGGACAACTGTATGTATATATATATGCATACATGTATATACACCCATATGTATGTGTTTAATATGTTTAAAGAAATAATAGAAGGAATTAAAAATGACATAGAGTAATAAGAGGCCATGAAAATAGTCAAGCAGATTTGAAATACCGAAATAGAAAATGTAAAATTAATATTTGAAGTTAGAAATTCATTGGATGTATTGAACAGCAGATTAGACACAACCGAAGAGATGATTACCCATACACAGCCAGAAAGGTGATAAGATGAAAACTGGGAAAGAGAGGTTGAAAGTTTTGGGGCATAGAATGAGAAAACCTAAAATATATCTAATCAGTTTTTCAGAGTGAGCTAACAGAATGAAGGAGAAATGTTTTTGAAGAGAGAAATTGGCTGAGAAAATTTTGCAACTTATGAAAGATTATTCTCAGATTCACTGAGTCCAAGGAAACTTAACAAGATTAAAAAAAAAAAAACAGACCTATATCTCTAGATAATACATTAAAACAAACCAAAGAGACGCACAGAAAAGAGAAAATCCAAAAGTAGTTAAAAGGAGAAGATATTCACCTCAAAGAATCAACGATTAACAGCTGCCTTCTCAAAAGCAAGAGTGGAAGTCAAAAGATTGTGATATATTGTCTTCAAAATACTAAGAAAAACTCAGTACAACTGTCTTTCAAGAACAAGAATAAAACACATTTGCAGACGAAGACAGATTTTGCTAGCAACAGACTTCACTAAAGAACCTCTGAAGAAAAAGGGAAATGATCCCAAAGAAATATCTCAGATGCAAAATGGAATGGTGAGTGAAGAAAACCATAACACCTGGCTCCATCTAAGGAATCACTGATGGCATGAAACAATAATATCAACAGTGACCACTTTTTGCAAGTTTAAAAATTAGGCAGAGCCGAAATACTGAAAAAAATTGCATTGCAGTTGGGTGAGAGGTAATCAGGGTTGAAGCATTCTAAGACCTTAATGTTTAAAGGGAAGGAAAAGTTTAAGTTGAGACTTATTAAATTAAATGTAAACATTAAAGTTTCTAAAATAACTATTAAATACCTAGACATAGAATGTATAATTTCCTTCTTTTTTTTTTTTTTTTTTTTTTTTTTTTGAGACAGAGTCTCACTCTGTCGCCCAGCCTGGAGCGCAGTGGCGTGATCTTGGCTCACTGCAGGCTTTGCCTCCCAGGTTCACACCATTCTCCTGCCTCAGCCTCCCAAGTAGCTGGGACTACAGGTGCCTGCCACAATGCCCGGCTAATTTTTTGTATTTTTAGTACAGACGGGGTTTCACCGTGCTGGCCAGGATGGTCTCGATCTCCTGACTTCGTGATCCACCCGCCTTGGCCTCCCAAAATGCTAGGATTACAGGCGTGAGCCACTGCGCCCGGCCAGAATGTATAATTTCCAAATTAGCAAAGGGAAAAAAATGGAACATAAGTGAGGGAGACTTTGAATCAATCCATTTACATAAGTCAAAAAACACAAAACTAAACAATATGCATTTCGACATACTTATATGATGACATTAGTTCTTTTTAACCAAAGGAATGATTAACACAAAGTTTAAACCGGTATATACCTCTCCCGAGGATAAGGGAGAGCCTCCACCGGCCCAGCTCAGGGGGAGCTGGTTGGATCCTTAAAGGAAGTAAACAGAAACCTCAAGTTAATTTGAGGAGAAGTTAAGAAAGGGATTGTGTACAAAAGTAGGGGCAGTGTGTAGAAAAACAGGTTTAATGCAATACTCCATTGGCCAAAACTAACAGGAAGTTGAAAGGCAAAGGAGGCTGCAGATGGTGTCCATAGACATCCTCTCCCTAAAGCCCAGAGCCAGTGAGGCAGTGAAGAGGGAGCCAGGTGAAGGGCAAACCCAAGATTACACTCAGTGAGGCTCATTTCATTCTCCTTATTAAAACAGTGAACGTACGTTATTTCTACCAGTTTGTATGCATGATATATTTTACTGGGGAAAAAATACAATAAAATTAATAATGTTTGGGCTTTTCTTTTCTCATTGAAAACTTTAAAAATGTTTCAAAAGTAGGAAGGGGGAGCGAGGAAAGTAAAAAAAAAAATTAAAATGACTAGTAATAGCCATTATTTTTCTTTTGTTGTTATCTATCTTTTTTTACTTCTTTGTATCCTCTGCTATGGTCTAAGGGTTTGTGTCCCCCTGAAATTCACATGTTGAATTCCTAATCCCCAGGGTGATGATATTAAGAGATGGGGCTTCTGGGAGGTCATTAGATCATGAGGGTGGAGTGCTCATGGATGGGATTAGCTCCATTATAAAACAGGCCCACAGGAAGAGTGAACCAGGAGGAGAGCCCTCACCAGGCACCCAGTCTGCCTGTGTGTTGGTCTTGGACTTTCCTCCAGAACTGAGAGAAATAAACTTCTAATGTTTATAAGCAACTCAGTTTATTGTGTTTTCTTATAGCTGCCTGAATAGACTAATACACTCTCATCTGCAAAGAGGACAGCAAAATATTTTAAAGGGTCTCAACCTTAAGTTGTCTCAAGCACAGAGCACCTGAGGCAGTGAAGCCAGTAGCAAAGTGAGAGGCAAAGAAGCTTAAATCAAGTTTGGCCTACAGCTGTCTCCTTATGTATTTTAAGTTTGACTTAAAGGCTTCTCTGTACCTAAGGAACTATAACCTCAATGGATTTGTAAACAGACTGTAACCTACTCTTGTGCCAAACACTGAGTTTTGGCCAGTCAGAGAGGGCCAACCTTTTCAACCGTGTTCAAATAAGGCAGGCACCATGCTGTGACCAATCCAGCTGCTTCTGTACCTCACTTCCGTTTTCTGTGCTTCCCTGTTCTCTTTCTGTTCATAAATCTTCTTACATCACGTGGCTGCACTGGTGTCTCTCTGAGCCTACTCTAGCTTGGGAGGCTACTTCATTCACAAATTGTTCTTGGCTCAATTAAATTCCGTTAAATTTACTTTAGCTAAAGTTTTCCTTCTAACACTCATTTATCAGATCTGTCAGCCAAGAAATAAAAGCAATTTCCAAGTTTCTCACTGGGAAGTCAGGGATGACCATTTATGAGGAGGTAGTTTGGTAGATCAAAAATGGCAGACTGGGAATGAATTAAATCTCATTTACGTGAAAATAACATACAAATAAAAATTAAACAGAAAAAAACAATTTAAACATAAATAAGTCTAAAGATCATAGACAAAGTGGTTTTCCTTTTTTTTTTTAGTTTCAGTGTTCTTCATTATAAAAAACATTTTATTTAAAAGCATAGTCAAGCAATAATAATGACTAACAACTCCTGGGTGCTTGCTTTTTGTCAGGCAGGGTTCTGAGTGTCATACATGCATTTAGTCCTTTTGTCATGACTGAAACCTACAAGAGAGGACTATTAGTACCTTTTTATAGATGAGGACACTGGGGCATAAAGAAATCAAATCACTAGGCAGTGGTAGAGCTGAGCTAATGTCCTTTCATGCCTGTGGCCTTGAAGCTGCTTGGACTAAGGGGCAGGATGCCTGCCCACAGCTCCATCCCTTCCATCTTCTCCTCAAGCAATGGGGCACCCTAAAAGAGGGCCTGTGGAACTCAAAGAACTATGTGGAACACAGTTTGAAGTCTACTGACTTAGAGGGAAAGAAGAACATAATAACATTCAGGAAAATATTGGAATTGAGTATTTCATTTGAAACAGGGCTTCCCAGAAGCCAAGAAAAACTGGGAACTAGCATGGCTTAGATAAGGATTTCCTAACCTATGACTCATTGAAGGCCCTGAAGTCAAAGGTAAGCTCCTGTTCATGTGGTTACCTGAGTGTCCTAGACACCCTTGCCCATGGAACTAAGTTTCCCTTTAATGTCCAAGTCAGGAATAATCTGAGTCTTCAGCAGGGTTGGGTGACCAAAGTCCAGTCTTTATCCAGCTTCTGACAAAATGGAATCTAGAAATTTCAAGGCAAGCCCATATGTGCCAAAGATCATCCTGATTGTAGCTTGCCATCCCAGTCAGACTTCTGGCTCTACAATGTAGTTCCTCCCAATTTCTTACCATTTTATATGAGTAATTCTACACATATAGCATAATTACAATATAAAATATTGGTTAAGGCCACAAACTTAGAGATCTAACAGACCTGGGTTTCAATCTTGTGTCAAGCACTTATTAGGTGTGAGCAAGTTGTTTAACATAGCTTCGGTTTCTTCATATGTAAAGTAAGGATTATAATATACACCTAAAAGACTATAGTGAGAATTAAATTCAGTAAAGCATGTGCCTGGGTCATCCGATGTACTCTGTGAATGGTAGCTCTTGCAGAATTATTAATTTTTGCAACAGAGTCTTCTAAAAAGATGCAGAAACCTTAATTCCATAGGACCATTTCTCATATCAACATTCAAGAATGTCAAAGACATTCAAATAAGGCAGATTAAGTTACATTAGTAAAGGCAACTTTACAAAGAGTTACACTAAATAATTCTGGTGATCTAATTTGATATTGTGATTTAATTTGAAACAAGCTAGAACCTGAAATCGTACTAGGGGTGAATGGTTAATATTTTACTTAAACTGTCATCAATATCAGCTACCTTAATTGCACTTTCCTCATGAATTGAGTCAACTCGAAACTGAGCTTTTGGGTGAATTCATAGAATACAAGTATTATTTGTTGTAAACTGAGACTAGATGCACAGGTTCCAGATGTGTACATGGCAAACTTTACTTCTTATTTGGAAATTATGAAGTATGTTTTGCTTGCTAAATAAGTGGGAATTTGCTCCAATCTTGTAAGGAGGGGGAAAACAAGGGTAGTGAAATTCATCTCCCAGAGAGCACTTCTCCTTTTGCTTCCTAGAATATCACCAAGAAGGGCATGTAGATCTTCCTTAAAACAGGATGAGAGAGTTTTTGCCTCACAATCAAAACTTCTGCATTCAGTTTTACAAAGCTCACTCACAAACAATTAACGGTGTTTGGGTCAAAATTGAGAAGTTAAAGTATTTTTGAAATAACAAATCCCAAACAACAAGCAAATGTATTAAAGGATTTGTTCAAATCAACCTTTTAGTAATCTGTTCTTCTCTTTAAGTAGCACTTAACTGCTGTAGCACTGAGAAATAATGCTGTCACAGTGGTGTGCAGCCTGCTCTAGCTGCTCATCCAAAGTCTTATTTATTTAGCGGTCATTTACTTCACAGTTATTATGCACTAAATTATACTAGCTTAAGTATAGCATACTATATATTTATATTTATATTTTTCTAACATAGTTTTTCCTCACAATGAAACAGACTTGTCCTTCATACTAAACTTGGTGAGGCAGTCCAGGTCAGTGTTCTAGGACAGGTGCCCCCAGTCCCCAGGCCGTGGACCAGGGCCAGTCCATGGCTTGTTAGAAACCAGGCTGCATAGCAGGAGATGAGCGGCAGCGAACATTACCGCCTGAGTTCCACCTCCTGTTTAAAAATTAAACAGAAAAAAACAATTTAAACATAAATAAGTCTAAAGATCATAGACAAAGTGGTTTTCCTTTTTTTTAGTTTTTTATGTTTTTTATGATCAGCAGGTGGCATTCAATTCTCCTAGGTGTACGAACCCTATTGCGAACTGCACATATGAGGGATCTAGGTTGCATGCTCCTTATGAAAATCTGAAGCCTGATGATCTGAGGTGGAACAGTTTCATCCCGAAGCCATCCCCTGCCCTCATCTGTGGAAAAACTGTCTTCCACAAAACTGGTCCCAGGTGCCAAAAATGTAGGGAACTACTGTTCTAGGACATACCTTAAGCATCTTAAGGAAGGGAATATAAAGATGCATAAAAGATTCTAGTTCCTCACCAGATGGTGAACTAATGCTGAATACCATCATTCCTCCCCAAACTGAGCCCAGAAGTGTCATGGTGAAAAGAAAGTGGATGATGGATCAGGACATAAAGACTCTGAGAAACCCTAGTCAAGATAAAAAAGCCTGTATCCCAGGGTTGGAGCAGAAGAGACCACAGGTGCAGCAGGCGGGGATGGGCTGCGGAGAGCTTTCTGGTGGTGGCCATTTCTCCACCACGTGTGCCCTGCTGGATCATCACCAGCCAGGATCTATGGCACTTGTCAGAGGCTGTGGCATCACATCAGGACAACCCTGAAACCAGGTCACTGAGAAGAGTAACAGCAGGCAAGGCAGACCAACTGCTTCCTGATCATTCTTCCCCCAGTCCCACTCAGGCCACCCCTTGGGACCAGGAGATGACAGCCCAGGAGGCAGCTTTGGGGAAGACCTGTGCAAAGTGAGATTCAGAAAGGTCCCCTGAGCAACAGGATAAGGAGTGTTGAGGGCATAATAAACGAACCTCACCTCACATCAGAACTCTCCAAGCTGAGAAAGTGCACACACGCTCACTCCTTAAGCATACTTGGAAAAGCAAAAGCTAGGATGTAAGCCTCTATCCCTTCCCTCAGGCACACACAACAGCCAACAGCAATGTGTTAGCTTCCTGGGCAAATAACAGGGTGTTTGATGAGCCATGCACACTTCTCCTGAACTTACCAGTTGTTGTTTTATATAGCTTGATTGATGCTAGATTGATTGGTGCATGAATGGGTAGGGAAAAATAAAACCCCAATATATAGTTGAAACAGACCCCTATTACAAAACACAGATTAACAAGAGAAAAACAAACAGACATTTATTAACATGTATATTTCATATATACGTGGAAGATACCCAGAGAATGAGTAACTCTCAAAGAGGTGTTTGGAATTTCTGCTTCTACGATGAAGAAGTGAAGGAAACATCATCCCCAAATATAACAAATTGGTATATTTTGAGCTAAAAAACACTGGAAAAATTACAGTTTCAGAAAAAGTCTAGTTGCCCTGTCTTTTCCTGCATGTAGCAAGCCAAAAAAGATTCTTTTGGGAGGGCTGCCTTCTCCTTACCTGGGTAAAAGAATATTCGTTATCACTGGAGACTGAGATTTGGTGCTGCAACAGGCCTAGGTAAATAAACTTCTGGAAGTAACCCTTATCTTCCACTAGTTTTACATACTCCAAATACCTCCTAGTGACTCCCCTAGAATGTACTATCCCTAGCCAGATCCCCTTTCCCCTGTCATTTCTTCACAAATTTATTGTTGTTTATCTAAAAAGTATAAAAGCATCTTACTTGGGCCGCTTCTTGAGGCTTCCCTCTCTTGTGAACATCCCCATGTGAATGTAAAATTAACAAAACTTGCATGCATTTCTCTTTTTATTCTTCCTGTCTAAATCCTTTTAGGGGCAGGGAATGTATGTCAAGACTTTTGTATTGAGTGATACATTTTGTAGAATGGAACAATCCAACCGAGGTAGGCCCACCAAGGGCTCAGACACTTCAGGAGTGAAGGTTTGAAAACAATCAAGGGCCGGGCATGGTGGCTCATGCCTGTAAACCTAGCACTTTAGGAGGCCAAGACAGGTGGATCACTTGAGGTCAGGAGTTCGAGACCAGCTTGGCCAACGTGGCAAAACCTCGTCTCTACTAAAAATACAAAAATTAGCAGGCGTGGTGGTGCACACCTGCAATCCCAGCTACTGGGGAGGCTGAGACAAGAGAATCGCTTGAACCTGGGAGGCAGAGGTTGCCGTGAGCCGCGATCATGCCAATGCCCTCCAGCCTGGGCAACAGAGCAAGACTTTGTCTCAAAAAAAAAAAAAAAAGAGAAAGAGAAAAAAACTAGAAAAACAATCAAGTGAAAAAAGCATTTAATCATATAAAGAATCCCAAGTAGCTAAGGCGCTGGCTAAAGGTAAAGGGAACATGAATGGGTAGGAGGTGAAGGAAAGCATAAATATCAACTAGCTTTGAGATAATTTGCAACAAGAAGTACCAGACTGCCCCACAGGTATTGTTGTATGGCTGGGGGGGAGATTACTTGTCATCTTTGCGCATCAGTTACCTGGCCTATAGGATGCAAGCTGAGAATAATCATGTCTACTGTGCGAGGTTATTTTCAGGATTATAATCAAGATATAAATATTTGGCACTTAGTAGGGGTTCAGGACATGATGATCATCCTGTAGATAAGAAGTAGGATATAGTGTAGAGGGCTAAGAGCAGAGACTTTGGGGTTAGAGTAGAGATTGGAATCTCATAAGTTTACAGACCTGGTGCACGTTGTTTAAGTTCTCAAAGTCTTAAATTTTCACTTCTTCAAAATTGACTTAGATATACTTATTTAATGGTGTTCTAAGTAACATACAATAGGTAGAATATAGCACTTGATAGTACTCAAAAATAGTAGCCATTATTTTTTAGTGAGGTAGCGTCCAAGTTTCTCAAATCAAGTAGGGAAACACACATAGGCAGATGTGTTCAATACAATGCCGTAAGTGGGGAGAAATCGATAGGTAACCAGGGTGCAATGAGAACAGGAAGAGTGGAGATAGTGGGGAGCATCTAGCCCAACCTGGTGATGCTGTTAACAGAACTATATCCAGAAAGGTAAACATAAATGTGCTCATGGACCCAGACATAATCAAGGAGGGAGCTGGGACTGGGATCCAGAACTTCCAACCCTTGTATCAATTTATTTTTGTAACAAAATGTTATATTTGTATGAGATATAAAATAAATACAGATTACTTATTTTTCCTACTCAGAATTCTTATACAAAAGATAAGACATAACCATCACATAATTACACCTTTCAGGGAGTAATAGCTAAAATATAAGATTTTCTTGTTTGAAACTCTTATCTCTCATTCACATCTTTTAAACACAATACCACACAGTAGGACCCTTAATAGTTACATGAGCTACAACGGAAGACAAAAACACTAATTAACTCTTTGAACAAAGATTTCAATGTCTTTTATATACCAGGTACTATTCTAGGTGCTAAGCGTACATAAATTAATAAAAACACAAAAAATTATAGGGAGAGACAGTAATAAATAAGTAAAATATATAGTACTGTCTGCTTTTATGTTATTAATGGTAAAATGGGCCTGTATAGTGATAGCATGTATTTCTCTACTTCCAAATCTTACTGCTTAAAACATAATTGTTTAAATATATATTTTAAAGTTAGAGTTTGTCACAACTGTGTTTTCTGCAGATCCACCCTCTGAGAGAGGCGACTGTAAAGGGACTCTGTAGTATACGTTAGGGAAATAATAAAGCTGGAGCTATGGTTGAACAAAGAGAGAGGATTTTCTAATTAGTTAAACTATATATATATTAGTTTTAACAGGGAAACTGTAAAGCCTTTCATAGGCAGATACAATTGTCTCTTTTACTTCCATGTGGCAGGAATAATAAAGAAATTCCAATTTTCAAATTTCAAAGGGAATGAGACCCTCCGGGAATTACCTTAGAACTAAGACTTGAGGAAGCCTTAGAAAAAGTGGCAAGAATTTTAATATTCAAGAATCTGAAAGTAGCAAGAAAAATATTAGGAATTCTGACCTCATGAATTGGGTAGAATCCTCAAAGCCCTGAATCTGTGCATAGCATGGGAGAATTTGGGGCAAGACGTATTGCGATTTAGAGTAAAGCTAAACAAGTATTTTTCTAAGGAAGAAATGAAGAATGAATGGAGCACCAGTATCTGTGAAATAGGGATGAGAATGGTAATTATATTTAAGTTTTTGTATTTCTTTGATTCTTGTTCTAATTATATTTTTCAATCACAATCCCTATGCTTAAAGCTTTATGATTTCCTTAGAAGCACATGACAAAAAAAAAAAAAAAAAAAAAGGCAGAGCTCTTATCTGAATCTTATCTCTAATAAGGCCAGTGGTGACTCCTCATCTGGACTGTGAACAAAGGCAAAGTTGATTCTGGTATGTCCTCATTTCAACACACAGGTATTCCCAGCACAGAGCTGGTACATTCCATTTTGCTTTAATCTTTTTTTTTTTCTATTTTGCTCCCTTGTGGGATCCAACGAGCTGGTAAATTCTAGCAAACACAGAGCAATAGCAATTGTCACAGCCAGTCAGGATAATCTACAAGCAAAAAGAACTTCCAGGAAGCCAACATAATTCTCTATAAAAACCCTCAAATATTTGACTAATGTACCATAGACACTGTACAAATAAGCACAGTCCCGCATTGCTGTCTCTGGCTAGATACAGAACTCTTTCATTGCCAGTTAGCAATGAACACTAAAAGTGAATATAACGCAATGTGTGTCCCACATCCTGATCAGCCATTTCTAATAGGCAGTACAGGAGTACTAAGAGAAAGACTAGGTTAAGGAACATTCTTTTCTGGTTTTGAAAAATCATAACCAGAAAAGCAACTCATGTCCTAGGGATAATGAGTCAATAGTAAAGACTTTTTCAGTGGCAGATAGAACATTTATTTGGGGCATCTTTCCAAAATCTAAAGTTCATATCTTCTGGAATGTCAAAGTTAATGGAACTTGAATAAGAGCCTTTGTCGCCTCTCTTTCTTGATAACTATGGCTGATGTTTTTGAAAAGTTATCCCTAAATATATCCTTGTATAAAATAATAGAGAATAAAGCCATTATCCAGTTTTTGATAAAGAAACATCTAGTATAAGGGTTAAAGGGTTCACTTTAGAGACAAAGTGAAGGAAATAAGTCATGTTGCATACGCTAGTCTCTATAATAAGAACAGGCTGCCAATCTGAAGCATTTCTATTCGAAACAAAAAGTACAGCTGAACAACAATTCAGAAACATGCCAGTTTTTCTCAATACCCAGAAATTTCTGTTTGAAACCATACTTTAAGTTATTCAAAAATGTTGTGCTGGCCGGATGCGGTGGCTTACGCCTGTAGTCCCAGCATTTTGGGAGGCCGAGGCGAGCGGATCACCTGAGGTCAGGAGCTAAGAGACCAGCCTGGTCAACATGATGAAACCCCACCTCTACTAAAAATACAAAAATTAGCTGGGTGTGGGGGAACGTGCCTGTAATCCCAGCTACTCGGGAGGCTGAAGCAGGAGAATGGCTTGACCTGGGAGGCGGAGGTTGCACTGAGCTGAGATCGCGCCATTGCACTCCAGCCTGGGTAGTAGAGTAAGACTCTGCCTCAATTAAAAAAAAAAATTTTGTACTCCAGCTGGGCTCAGTGGCTCATCCCTGTAATCCCAACATTCTGGGAGGCCGAGGTGGGAGGATCATTTGAGGCTAGGGGTTCAAGACCAGCCTGGGCAACAAAGTGAGATCCACTCTCTACCAAATTTTTTTTTTTTTAATTAGCCAGGCATGGTGATGCATGCCTGTAGAAGCAGTTACTCAAGAGGCTGAGGCAGGAGGATTGCTAGCCAGGCATGGTGATGCATGCCTATAGTTACTCAAGAGGCAGAAGCAGGAGGATTACTTGAGCCCAGAAATTTGAGCCTGCAGCAAGCCATGATTGCACCACTGCACTCCAGCCTGGGCAGCAGAAGGTGACTCTGTCTCAAAAAAGAAAAAAAAAGCGTTCCTTGGAACAACAGAGAAACTTTCTTGTAATGTCAGCATAAAATAAAGCACATGGTGTAACTTCCCCTCAACCAAACCACAAACAATTACAGCATAAACATCCATGTCTTTATAAAGCAACAACTAAAAATGTTACATTCAAAGTTAGGACTATGGAAAAAGGGACAATTTTTTAAATGCAGCTTGATGTATTTTATGGTATGGAATATCTCTTCCTGTAAGTTATCAAAATATGAAATACCATTTATTTATGTGCAAGCTGCTATACTGCATTACATGGGTTAGCTCATTCATTCTTCCCAAAATCCTGTGGAAAAATTATTATTATTATCATCCACCTTTTACAAGTGAGGAAAATAAGGCATAGAGAATCAGTTTCATGGCTTATAAATGAATAAGCCAAAATTCAAAACCATGGCTGTCTGACTCCAGAATTAAAGCTCTATTTTTTTTTTTTTTTAGCAAATTGTCTTTCCCTATAGCTATGGATATTTCCAAAAGAAGAGGCTTGAAGGCCTTTGCTCTTTTCTATATATATTCTTTCATTTATTTTACCTATTGCTTTTAAAAACACTTCCCCAAAATGAGTATGTTAGAATTAGAACATTGCCTACCTGTAAGACTTTATGACTGGTGCTGTTTGACACATCCTACACTACTCCTCCATGTATGCATCATGTATCCTTAATTTCTTCCTCTCTCTTTTTTTTTCTTTTGAGGTCTCGCTCTGTCGCCTAGGCTAGGGTGCAGTGGCACGATCTCAGCTCACTGCTGCAGCCTCTGCCTCCTGAGCTCAAGTGATCCTCTCATCTCAGCCTCCAAAATAGCTGGAACTACAGGCCCATGCCCAGCTATTTTTTGTAGAGATGGGGTTTCACCATGTTGCCCAGGCTGGTCTCGAACTCCTGAGCTCAAGTGATATGCCTGCCTTGGCCTCCTAAAGTGCTGTGATTACAGGCATGAGCCATATATCCTTAACTTCTGAGAATTTTTATTTTGAATACCATGCTCTCAATTCATAACAGGTAGTATATAAGTTTAGGTAGGCATTTAATTTATTTTGTCGTCAGATTTTTTAATCCTAGAAATAAGTACATTTAAATGCTCTCTGATCTACCCTGTACAATTCCATGAGTCTACAAATAGGCCTAAATGCCATTATATTATCTATTATGCCCCAAACAGCTCCTTCCCAATGTCCCTGTTTATCAACGGATATTTAAGCAGACTCCTGGTGGAAACCAGGAAATGAATTGCACGCATATCTAGGTAAAAGCAATTCAAGCAGAGGAACAGAATGTGAGGTTGGAGCCTGACTGGTATGTTCAAGAAACCTACAAAAGGCCTTATAAATGGAGCAGAGAAAGCAAAAGAAAAAGTGGCACAAGACGAGGTGTGAGCAAGGCTAGCTGTGCAGATGTGCAGTCACAGAAGGCCATGGGCATAGAAGGGCACTGCACTTTGTTTAATGCTCTGTCATCAGCACCTTGAATTACTTCATAATATTTTTAATAAGAAGCCCCACATTTCATTTGGTACTAGGAAATGCAAATTATGTAGCCAGTCCTGGGTTAGAGCAGTAGCAAGAAGTCAATTGCTGGAGAATCCTTTAGCCATTGACTATTGTAAGGACTTTAACTCTGAATAAGATAAGAAACCATTGAAGGATTCTGAACAGCAGAATGATGAGCTTAGAGTGTTTTTTCTTTTAAATTACTCTGGCTCCTGCCATTAGGATGGATCTAAGAGGACAAGAGTAAAAACAGAGAGTTTCAGCAAGAATCCAGTTAGGAGATAATGATGATTTGGTCCACTACGGTGCAGTAGAATTGGAAAGAAATGGTCAGATTCCAGGCATATTTTGTAGGTGAAGCCAGAAACATACGCTGATGGAGATAATGTGGGGCAGAAAAGAAAGAGGGACATCAAAGGTGATCTCAAGGTTTTGCGCCTGAGCATTTGGAAGAAGAGAGGAAGACTGAAAGAAGCAGGCTTGGGGTTATGGAGATCCAGAGTTTGGTCGTGGATATGTTGAAGTTTGAGATGTTTATTAGACACTCAAGGGGAAGTGTTGAGTAGCTAGGTAAATATGCAAGTCTGGGGTCTAAGAAAAAGGTTTGGGCTAGAGATTTAAATATTCGGATGTGGAGAAGATGAGGAGGAACCAGCAAAGGAGAATAAGGAGGAATCAGCAAAGGAGAATGAGAAAGAGCAGCCAGTAAAACAAAGGAATCAAGAGGAAGTATAACAGTACCCTAAGATTCAGAGAGGAAAGAAGAAGGGACCTTCTTGTGTGTCAGTTAGCCTATGTCAATATGCTGATAGGTCAAGTAAAATGCAGCTGGGGAAGTGCATGACCATTGGATTTAGCAAGACAGGGACTTGAAAAATGTTTCACTGTACTGTTGGGATCCTTCTCCTTATTGTCTAAATGTGAAACTTCAAGCATGTCAACTCCTTATTTACCCTCATGTCAATAATATTCAGCTACTAATTTTGATAATCCTTTTATCATTTCCACCCTCTTTATACATTTTTTTTTATTTTATCACACCCAGCCTTTACCAACATTACAATCTAGTTCAGGCCCCTGTTATTTCAGGACTGGATTCCTGAGTACTGCCCCAGGCTGTCTCCTAGTTTAAGCTCACCAGCAGCCCATCTTGCTTAGTCATCTGGGAACAAAGCTTTCCTTGGGAATTTCCCAGGTTCTTCTGCTCTTAAAAGAAACATACCAATGGCAGGCTTCCCTCACCCACTTCCCCACCCCAGTGCACAAACATGCCCTCCTGATATACAGCACACTCCTAATACTTGTCAACCCCAAAGGTCTGCCTGAACTCCAAAGAACCCACAGTTAGAATTGCCACTCAGGAATTCCAAGAGGCCCCTTCTAATCATCAGAATTTGAGGGGACTGATCCACCAGTCTCTGTTAATCTATAAGGAAGTGTGAGAGATTGAAATATATCAACACTGATTAAGTTGGGCAAAGGACAGATGCTTTCCAATAAAATATAAGCTCATATACCTATTAGAAAAAAGTAAAACTTTTAAAAACCTGAAAATATTTTACTACAAGGGCACAGAGCAAGTGGAATTCTCATTTACTGCTGGCAGGAATTCAAAATGGTTTAGCCACTTTGGAAAATAGTTTGGCAGTTTCTTATAAAGTTAAACAAATTCGTGGCACATGACCCAGCAGTCCCACCCCTAGGTATTTGGCCCACATAAACTAAAACATGTGTCCACATACAGAAAAGTCTAAAAGTGAATGTTTACAGCAGCTTTATTCATAATCACCAACAACTGGAAACAACCCAAATGACCACCAACTGGTGAACAGATCGATCTTTTCAAAATGTTGTACATCCATAAAATGGAAGCCTGCTCTAGAATAAAAAAGAACTAAGTGTTGATGCACGCAACAACACAGATGCATCTCAAAAGCAGTATCCCAAGGGAAGGGGACGGAGACAAAAGGCTAAGTCCTGAATGATTCCATTTCTATGGCATTCAGGAAAAGGCTAATCTGTACAGATGGAAAACAGATAAGCGTTTACTAGGTGGTGGGTGGAGGTAGGTGACTGCAAAGGGACCTAAGGGAACTTTTTGTGAATTAACTTGATTGTGGTTGTACTTAGATGACTGTATAGGTTGTCAATGCCATAAAATGTATGTTGAAAGTGATGCTTTTGACTGCATGCAAATATAAATAATACCTCAATAAATCTGATTTTCAAAAGTAGTGGCAGGGCACGGTGGCTCACGCCTGTAATCCCAGCACTTTGGGAGGCTGAGGCAGGTGGATCACAAGATCAGGAGATCAAGACCATCCTGGCTAATATGGTGAAACCCTGTCTCTACTAAAAATACAAAAAAAAAATTAGCCAGGCGTGGTGGCGGGCACCTGTAGTCCCAGCTACTCGGGAGGCTGAGGCAAGAGAATGGTGTGAACCCGGGAGGCGGAGCTTGCAGTGAGCTGAGATCGTGCCACTGCACTACAGCCTGAGCGACTGAGCAAGACTCCATCTCAAAAAAAAAAAAAAAAAAAAAGAAGTAAGTTAGAATCATGAAAGCAAATGAGGGCAAGTACTTTGGTTTACTCACTGCTTTCTCCCTAGTACCTATAACAGTAACTGGCACATGAAAAGTATTTACAGTAAGGAAGGAAGATAGAAAATAGAGAAAGAAAAAGAAAAATTGAAGGAAAGAAGTGGCGGAGGGAAAGAGGGAAGCAAACAAAATATTTCTGTATTAAAATGTCAACCACTGCATTACTTGTTCGGCAACAATTTGGAAACCATCTAAATATTCACCCTAAAGGGAATAGGTAAGTACATGATGGTTCATTTATAAAATGACAATATTCAGCCTTTTAAAATGTTTATGAAGTCTTTAATGAAAAATAAAATGCTGAGTTAAGCATGTTGGCTCATGGTCTGTAATCCCAACTACTCAGGAGGCTGAGGCAAGAGGATCATTTGAGCCCAGGAGTTCAAGACCAGGCTGCACAAAATAGGGAGACTTCATCTCTAAAAAGAGTTTTAAAATTCAACTGGGCATGGGGGTACATGTCTGTAGTCCCAGGTACTTGGGAGGCTGAGGCAGAGGATTGGTTGAGCACAGGAGTTCGAGGCTGCAGTGAGCTATGATTGCACCACCGCACTCCAGTCTGGGTGACAGAGGCAGATCCGTCACTAAAAATAGTAACAGTAATAATAATTTTTTTAAAAATAGATGCTAAAATATAATATTAAGCCAAAATAAGACAGAATTCAAAGTTAAATACACAGCATACTTAGCTATGTAAAATTTTTAAACATTTCATATAAAAAGTATTCCAAAAAAATAGCCAAAAATTATAATAGTAGGTCTCTATAGGTGATGAGATTATGCTTACTGGTTTTCAGGTTTTTTCTCACACTTCCCTGTACGTCCAAGGCTTTGCACATGAGAATAAATTGAAAACAGTATTAAAACGTACTTTAAAAAAATTGATGTTCAGCAAAAGAATCTAGACACCAGACTACCTAAAGTAAGATTCCACTTATATAAGGTACAAAACAGGAAAAACCAAGCTCTGCTATTAGAAGTGAGGACAAGGGTTCCCTGTAGGCTAAAGAGAAAAGAATAGCAGGGAGTATAAAGAGGACTGGGAGCTGCTGGTTACTTAGATATTCTCAGTTTTTGAAAATGAATAATTATATTCACGTATGTGCACTTTTCTGTATGTATATTATAATTTGCTCAAAGTGATTTTAAGAAAAAGTATTATAGTTCTCATCCCAGAAAGAGGCAGAAGTGGATATTTTAAAGATCCTAGAAGTCTTCCTAAAACTATGCCCACAACTAACATTGCCCAATTAATTAATCTATTTTCTTGGTTGAGAACTTAATTCATACCAACAGAACAAGCAACCAAGTTTCTTTTAAAAAGTTCAGGACTTAATATACTAACCAGTCCTCCAGATTCTCACAGATCATACTAAATACCCATAAGAGCATTGAAAGGTTGGCAATGAAATGCCTACTAAACAGGTGTATGCATTAAAGAATTAGGCTACAGAGAGTGCGCCACTGCACTCCAGCGTGGGTGACAAAAAAAAAAAAGGCTATAAATATGACTCATCTACATGTTTCTACTGGTGAAAAAACTCACTGCCATTTCCTTCCTCTTAAGGAAGTAAGGACGCCTTTTATAGCCCTTTCTCGCAGGTGGATGGATGGCTGGAGGAGAAAGAGGACAGTCAAGCAGAAAAGGAAAAGAAAAGTGATGAACCTCAGTGGGGTTTGTCCAATTAAGCCACATCTGAATATAAGTAAGAAAGGATTCCTGAAAAAAAATACATGTGTACCAGCTACTTATACAGAGGTAGTCAATTAAGGACATAGTATAGAAAGCAAACTGCAATGTTAAGAAATAAAAAATAATTTTTAACCAATAGGTATTCTTAACAAAAAGTTGTTAAAATGAGTAAGAGATGTGGCAAATAGAAAATATAATAGGAAGAATGTGCATTCAAAGACAGAAGGGAAAATAAATACTTGGGTGTGCTTTCTTCCCTTCCTCCACTTCCTTGTTTTCACCATCAAGAAACACTGATCCTCCTCCTGAAAAGTCCCCGAGATATAAAACCTTGCTTCCTCAATCTTGAAGCAATGACTCATCTTTTTAGCACAGCTCTCCCCTTTCCTCTTCCCACGATTCAAAGTCCCTTCAATTGAAGGCAGACCAGATTATTTGGCAACTTTAGAAGACAAGCTTTCTTTTCAGGAGTCAGAGCCAAAGGGATTTCCCTGAGGAAAATACTAACAGGAAATGTGCACCAGTAGAAGGAGACTCAGAGACCTGGCCGAATCCTGCCTGCAGGACAGGCCAACTGAGTCACCTGGCTTGGGACTTTGGGAAGATCAGTTAGTTGGTCTGCCTCTCTGTGACCACATCTACAAAATGATAATAAATAACATTGGTGTGCTGCCTACTGCTTACACTTGTGGGAATCCAATAATACAATGGTTGTTTAAAAGTACTCCCTACATTGTACAGCACACAGTGATGAGTTCCTGTTACTATTATTACATCAGGAGTCAGTACTGATAGGTAGTCCACAGGCTCAGATCAGCTGCAGTGTGAAAGATGAACAGAAAAATTAGATACAGTTCCTAGACCAGGGCTCCCAAGCTGAATGCCTTTGATTTAAAATCAGGCTGTCTCCAAACCTTTTGCCCAGCACGGTGGCTCACGCCTGTAATCCCAGCACTTTGGGAGGGCAAGGCAGGCGGATGGCTTGATCTCAGGGTTTGAGACCAGCCCAGGCAATATGATGAAACCCCAGTTCTACAAAAAATAGAAAAATTAGCTGGGTGTGGTGGCGCATGCCTGTAGTTCCAGCTACTAGGGAAGCAGTGGTGGAGGATCGCTTGAAGCCAGGAGGTGGAGGTTGAAGTGAGCCAAGATTGCACCACTGCACGCCAGCCTGGGCAACAGAGTGAGATCACAAAATAAATAAAATAAAATAAAATAAAATCAGGCTGTGACAACTGTCACTCTCTACATGTAGCAGAAACTGATTCATGGGTAAAAATCAGAAGCTGTACAGTGGCTTCTTTAATCATGGACATGGCAACAGAAAAACAATAAAACAATTGCTCCGTAGCCCATGGTGCTCTAGTTCCTGCTTCCTTTCCCAAGGCCCAACCTTTGGAGTCCCTGATATAAATTGAAATGCAAATGAATTAAAAACAACATCAAAAATACTTTTAAAAAGCATGGCTGTTTAGCAAAAGAATCTAGACACAAAAAAGTGCATACGGTAAGATTCCACTTATCTCTGCCCCCACCTCCTTCCAACAAATTTCAATTTTGGACTAAAATAATTTACAATTTAAAAGCCTCATAGTGTTGCAAAGGAGGGCTAGACGGAGGACCTAGAACCTAGCACTTCCTGGTGCAGTCACTGTCAGGGTGAGGCACTGCAGTGACCTGCCGACTGAGGAAGACTTGGCCAAAAAGAACAGGCAATGGAGCTGAGCTGAGAATGAACGAGGATCAGATGGCAGGCTGTTGCAGTGACCAAGCAGAAGTGCCCAAGGCCAACACAGTGACCACAGATATGAGGACAAAACGACAAACATGAAGGACATTATGTGCTAGTCCAGCAGATTTTAATGCAAATCACATATATCATTTTACATTTTCTATTAGCCCCTTTAAATAAGTATAAAAGGTATAAAGAAATAGGTGAAAATAATTTTGGTCATATATTTTATTTAACTCAATATATTCAAATTATGATCATTCAATGTATAATTGATATTTTTTAAACATTAATGAAATGTTTTATTTTCATCTTTTGTACATACATCTTCCAGAGCCAGTATGTATTCAACACTTACAGTTCAACACCGTGAGGGCTAGCCACATCTCAAGTGCTCAGAAGACACATGTAGCTAGTGGTCATCATCGTGGACAAGGAAAGCCTAGACTCTTAAAATACCTTTAGATGTTTTAGTCTATCTCATTTCATAACCTACAAACTGGACCAGATTTACTGATTTTTAAATCAAAATCTTTGACTCTTAAAAATCGATTGTATGTCCAGTCCATTTCATGTTCCAAAATCTTCCACTTAGAGAAGAGTCCGCTCACATGAATTGGAACTAAAAGCAATGTTCACCGTGAGTGTTCTAGCTAAAAAACCACAAAATCCCTAACTCGTCTTCACTGCTGAGACATTAACACACTTCTAACCACAGAGCTGAAAAAGCAAATCTTTTGAAGTGATAATGAGGCAATGATTAGAACTTAACACCTTCTAAAAAGGAAGCTCATTGCTACAGCTATTTAAACCTCTAAGTTCTAATTCAAAACCTCTCAATTTTATTTTTGACAGTGAAAATGGGATCAATTTCTACTATCTAAAAGTATTGTTTCTATAATTTCATTCCATTTTCCTAAAAGAAACATAAAAATAACAGAAATTTAATACAATCATCATCACAATAACCATTTAATAACAAAACTACTCAGTAGCTGATAATTTTAAGCCAACAATGAAAGATAAACAAAGAATCTGTTTCTCATGAGGTTGGGCATAGCTTCAGGAATGGGGGAGCTTTCTCTTTGCCCTCACCCAGTCAGAAACACTGCTTGTGTCCTGCAAGGCAGGTTCGGGGCTCAATTCACCTCCCTAACTTCTCTTCTATCTCAGATGCCCTATCTTCCTAAGGCACCAAGCCTAGAGTGTATATGAAAACTATACTGGACACCATTTTTTTTCTTACTGAAGCAGATTCCAACTATTGTTCCTTTTTCTGGAAGTTTTGTCACTCAGAGGCAGTTGGAAGCAAGTTCAACCATGTGGCTAGGTAGTCAGACCTTCTTTTGTGCTACCAGGCCTGTCTCTTGGAACTTGGTACTACGAGAGTCCTTACTTCCTTCTCAGAGACAGGTGCCCCACTCAGAAGCAAGTGCCCTAAAACTGCAATACGACAGAAGAAATTCTGCCAGCAGACAGCCTTGAGACTCGAACTGCAACATCAGCTGCTCTCTGGTCTCTGCCTGGTGGCCCACTCTACAGCTTTTGGACTTACCAGCCTCCATAATCATGTAGGCCAGTTCCTTAAAATAAATCTTTCTCTCTGCAGATACACATCCTATTGGCTCTGTTTCTCTGGAGAATCCCGACTTATGCCATCACGTGCAACGTTTCAAAAGTTTAGTTGGTGATTTAATGGACTATGCTGCTAGTGATTTCTGACCAAGCCTAGGAGAGTTTGAAGATTCCTCTTGAACATAGGGTTGTCTCTTAAAACATCCATTCCAGCCCTCCCCAACTGCATAGCGGTCATGGGGTTTGGGTGGAGCGGACCTCACCCCTCACTCCAGGGGGGACCACATTGGTGATCCAGACCTAAGCCATTACTGCCCCTAATTCCCTGCCCAAGGAAACTGGTCAGAGATAGTCTGTTTGAAATTTGTAGCAAATGTCCTGTCTCCCTCTGAGTGAGAAGGAGGAGCATCTTGGCTCTGTGGCTTCTGCAATTTACCTTGTGACCACGGGGGAAGTCAGCCTTAAGATGAGGAAGGGACAAAACAGGCACACAAAAGTGGAGCTGTGCGAATCAGGACTAAAGCATGTTTACCCATTTGAACCAGTCTTATACCTGACCCAATGGCAGTCTCATCTAATGGCTTTAAGCCCTGTTCCCGCTGGATGGTGGCTCAGAATATAGACATGATGCCCTACGTGTGGTCTCTCCTTTGCCCCACTCTAGCATTGCTGTGTTTGCAGAGCCTCAGCCTCTCTGGAATTTCCATGGTAAGGGTCCCGATCCTTAGAACTTTAGTCTGCTCAGCTTTATTAGCACTCTAATTTCTCACCAGAACTGGAGCACTGCCCAGCAAACCAGCCACCTGGCAGGGGTTCTGAAACCCTGCCTTATCTTTATCTCTCTCTCTCTCTCTCTCTCTGCCCCACCGCCCCACCCCATATATATATGACAGCCCCTGACTTCTTCTGAACAACTGTATCAAACAAGAGAGCAGACTCCCTCCACTCACCACCACTCACAGCCCATGCCACAGCACTACCACCCACCTGATAGTATGTCAGTTGAGGACCCTGGGATAGAGATGCTGCTTGGTCAGAGATTGTTTTCCCACCTTCTGGAAAATTTCCTACCTGCCTCAAAGGCCAACTTTAGAGCCCAGTTCTCCCCAGCCCCACCTCTAGTATTTCAACTTTCCCAGCTAAAGATCCAGCACATTCCGTTAACACATCTTTTTAGAGTGTAAATTGTGAGAGCATGAGGAGCCTTGTGTGGCTGTCTCCCTTGAAAACAGGGTGAAAGTGGCCTAAGTGGAGGAGGATGAATGCAATGTGGATGTGGTGATCTCAGCCACTACGCCTGCACCACCAGAATGCAGCTGCACAAACTCCCTTCCAACTGAAGTCTTGCCATGTGTGTTTGAAGAAATGTAGGCACTTGTCCACACCCAAGATATAAGGGGGGTCTGGGAAATATAGTGTTTGTTTAATTCTCCCTTGAGCAAGCAGAACTTAAGGAATCATCACAATGACTGGAAGTGTCAAAATGCATTGAAAGGTTTTAGACCACAAATAGGACATGTTATCTACACTTGCCCTTACTAAGTGCACAGACACTTAGGATGGGAACAAAAGTACAATCGATGGAAAGCCAAGCTCAACTTCACACTTTACCAGAACCACTGGCCCTCACTAATGCCTGGTGCTGCTGCCCAGAATGGGTCGCTCTGCCACACTTCACTCCCACAGTGGCTTTCTTCCAGAGGCCAACTGTCCTCTCTGCCATCCTTCATATCTGTTTCTATGTCCCTGAGTCTCAATTGCAGGCAGGATTCAAGGTCATTTCAAGAGATTTCCAGTCCAGTTTAAATCAGGGGATATGGCTCAGCACCTGTGTAAGGCTCCTGTCCATTTCATGGCAGTTAGGAAGTCCCCCAATATCTTGTGACCATTATCAGATTTGCTTGTCCTATGCAGTCTGAGGAGCTCCAGCTGGTGATTCTGCTGAACACCAGCTGTCTGAGTCTCAGCTTTAGCCCCATGAAATAACCAAAGTTAAAGTCAGGAATGTCAAAGTGGAGTGGGCCTGTGTGTGAAATGTGCTGGGATTCAGGGACAGACGAAAGAGAAAGAAAATGTGAGCAGACAATGCTGAGCAAAGAGAAATACTAGCCATGATTTATCCAACATGTTCTCTGTCCCAGGCACTGAACAACTCATATGCCTTCACTGAACCCTCACATCTACTCTACTGAGGTGAGTATTACTGCGATTCCCAATTTACAGATGAGGAAAGTGAGGCAAATGGAGATATAATAACTTACCCAATGTTCTAAAGCTATGAAATGATGGGGCTGGGATTTGAACCCAGTGAGTCTGGTTTCGCAGACTTTTTTTTTCTTTTTAGAGATAGGGTCTCACTCTGTTGCCCAGGCTGGAGTGCAGTGGTGCTGTCATGGCTCACTGTAACCTTGAACTCCTGGCCTCAAAAAATCATCCCACCTCAGCCTCCAGAGTAGGTAGGACTACAGGTACATGCCACCATACCTGGCTAATTTTTTTATTTTTTGCAGAGACGTGGTCTCCCTATGTTGCTTAGGCTGGTCTTAAACTCCTAGCCTGAAGTGAGCCTCCTGCCTTGGCCTCCCAAAGTGCTGGGAGCCACTGCACCTGCACCCAGCCAGGCTTCTCATACTCTTAATTAACCTCTGCATTCCCTGACAAAGGGACTAGACATGTGCATTATCAGGAAAAGGTATCCTTTCTCTTGGATGCTGCTGGGAACACAGTAAACAATTTTGCTTCCCTGAACTCCACATTTTTGCCATGTTTCCATCCTAACTATCCCTTTTTGGTGTAGTTTTCTAAAAAATATGCTTATGTCCTCAGATAGGTCCCAGTTAAATTGTTCCTCCCTGCTCTGGCCTAAGGAATAGTGTTGCCCTCGTTCTATCTTGATCTTAATAAGTGAGCTCTTACAGTCTTCTATCAGACTGCTGATAACCACAAATGACTACAGAATAGGATAGAGGTACAATGACTGTGGCTGGCCCGTGCAGGACCTAATAAAAGGCAAAGCCAGGAGAAGCACAAGCTGACCGTGCTTAGATTTGTCACATGCAATTATTGGAATCTAAAGCTGTAAGCACGTTTTTCAAAAATACAGTCATTGCTTAGTAGTCCATAGGAAAATACACACTTTCTAAAAATGTCTATTTTATTTTCTCTACCACTATTCAGTGGTTGCTAGGAGCCCAAAGTGAGAGTAGAAAGTGGTTTCAAGATTCAGTTCAAAGGTCTCCTCCTACTCTAAAAAATTTCCTAACCACTCCTCACCACTTTGAGTAGAACTCACTGCTCCTTGTGGCGTTCTTGCCAGAGCTGGCCCAAACTTCCATTACAAGTCAAAGAAATAAAACTGTGATGCCCTTTTTAGTTTACAAATCTCTCCCTCTCTCTTTCTCTCATTTGCTATTAGAGAATAAGCTCTCTTTAAATCACAGAGGAGCAGGGAGGTGATGTAGCAAATAATAACACAGCTAACATTTATCTAATAACACAGCTAACGTTCATCTAATAACACAGCTAATGTGACTTGTCAGGCAGAGGACTACAGATTTTTCATAATTATCTCATTTCACCTTCACAAAGATCCGATGCTGTGTACATTATTCTATCTCCACTTTACAAGTAAGGAAACTGAGGCACAGAGAAGACAAGTCCCTTGCCCTAGATCACATGATAAAGCAGTGGTGGTGTGACCCCTAAATGCAGGCAGTCCAGCCTCGGGGACTTCATGCTCGATCACGGTGCTGCACAGTCTCACTCACAAAATGCCTGACTGACTAAAGACTGTCTTGCTCACTCCTAACCAGCAACTAGGATTTCTGTGACAAAATGAACCCATTTCTCAGATGATACATTTCCATGCAGATACAGTTATCCTCTATGTAATCTGGAGTAGTAAGAAATTACATTTTCATTTTTGTTTGATTTCTTGTCCGAAAAGACATATTATAAATTTTTCATTCACACAAATGGAGTGTATTTCAATTCTCTTTTTAAAGGTCTAAATGTTAGCAAGTATACATTCTTTGACCAAAGTATTGGTTGTTATAACTTGATGATGTAGGGGACAAGAGATTCTTTTCTCACTCACTGTTAGGTTCATGGCCAAGGCACCTATAACAAAAGACAGATTAACAAGAGAAGCGCATACAAATGTATTTAATATAAGTGTTTTTTTATGCTGAGGTTTGACGAAGAGTGGGCAGCCATGCAGAAGTGTGCTTGGAGGACAAAAGGCTGTGATCCAATGGTCATAAACTGAGGGGAATTTAGCAAGCCTGCTTGTAAGCTACTTCTCTGTGTCCCTGTGTCATCAGAGATTAAAAAAAAAAAAATTCCTTCCTTCCTGACATAGAAAGGGCACTCTGTAATGTGGCCTTATGACCTCTTTCAGATAAAGGCCCAAGAATTTATTTTTGAGATGGAGTCTTGCTCCCATCACACAGGCTGGAGTGCAGTGGCGGGATCTCGCCTCACTGCAACCTCCACCTCCCAGGTTCAAGCAATTCTCCTTCCTCAGCCTCCTGAGTAGCTGGGATTACAGGTGTGTGCCACCACACCTGGCTAATTTTTGTATTTTTAGTAGTGACGGGGTTTCACCATGTTGGCCAGGCTAGTCTTGAACTCCTGACCTCAGATGATCCACCCACCTCAGCCTCCCAAAGTGCTAGGATTACAGGCATGAGCCACTGCGCCCGGCCCCGATATTTCTTTTATAACCTGCTTCAGGGGAGAAGTGTGGGAAAAAGTCAGAGAGTCACCTTCTCACTTCTGCTGTTTCTCCAAATGCCTAAGTACCATATTTTCGGGTAGCATGTTCTAAATCCCATCATTGACAAATGCCTACAAGTAAGAACCAAAAAGGTAACAAAAATCAAGCTGCAGAGTGTAAGACAGTTGAGATGATAGGCGTGTGGTTCAACTGTGGAATTGTGGGCCATAGAGACAATATTTTTACGTTTCTGAACAGTTAGGGTTTTCTGAGCCCATTTTACTGAATCTTGGAATCTAAGCTAAAAGGACAAGCCTGGTGTTAACTTCGAAGTGATTAGTGAGAATGCCAGAGAAATTTACCTCCCCAAAGATACCTGCGTTTTCATTTCAAGGAAGAATTAAACCCCCAGGACCATGGAAACATCTCCTGGGATGTAAAGCCAGAGACACTAGTCTCATCTTTCCAGTGGGGAAATTTATTTACATTCCAAAAGCTAAGCTCCCAGAATCTTTCTTTCTGTTCCCAAGGAGAATGTGTTTATACCAGGGAGCAATGGATTTCTCGTCTTTTCTCACAGCGGGAGGGGAAAGTTGGCCCTTTCTCCTATATAAATGCCCAGATTCATTTTGGAGGGTGTCCTCACTTACAGTAGACACCATTACATATAGGATGACATGTGCAGCCTACATGTACATCTGGGTCTCATTGCATAGCCCCAGAGATAAGAACTGGGACAAAAGAGAGCTGACAAAATTATTTGCTGTAAGTAAAAAAAAAAAAAAAAAAGAAAAGTGTTCTGCTCTAGAAATCTAGTATTGGCATTCAAGATAATCACATTAAATATAGATACTTAAAACTTAACAGGACTACGTGCCCTGCCTAGAACCAATGAAAATGGAATTCTCTCTGCTGGCTAAACAAAACACATCTGTTGGCTGAATTTAGGCTCTGAGCCTGCCTTTTGAAAAATGAGCCATCATACCATGATTTGAAAGGCACCCAAAAGACCCTTTTGCCCAAGGCAAACTATCTTATTGTATCCTTTCTTGTCAAGACCTCCAGTGTCACCACTGGACACATTGGTTCTTCTAGTTAAGAACTGTTCGAATGTCAAAATATCTAGGAGTGTCCACCCCAAAATGGTTATCAAATATTGATGTCAATAAATTAATTTGTTCAATTTGTTCATCTATCATTACCCAGAGCCATCTAAGAGCATCTGCTACGGAACCATTGACCTAGATGTTGATGAAAGATAAGGATGGAGAGACACTTTCAGCTGAAGCCTTGTGAGCTAGGGAAGTTTTTGGTATTCTCCAAGTAGGAGGACTCTGGGCTTCTGAGAAGCAGCAAGAAGTCACTGGGCTTTGGTGTGTGGTGAAGGAAGTACGGAGACTGGAGGGGGAAGATGCACTGAAAGAGGAAGTATGAGGCTCTGAGGACAAACTGCATGCTGCTTTAGATTACTCAGTTCTTTTTAGCAACAGTTTTTTTCAGCCTGGTGTTTAGTGTTATATTGGGAAATGTTTTCTAAAAGAATAGGGTAGCTGCCCTTTATGATGCTGAAATGGCCAAAAATTTCATGGCTAGAAATGAAATTCATTGTGCTTTTTTTTTCTTTTTCTTTTTTTTTTAAGACAGAGTCTTGCTCTGTCACCCAGGCTGGAGTGCGATGGCACAATCTCAGCTCACTGTAACCTCCGCCTCCCCAGTTCAAGCCACTCTCCTGCCTCAGCCTCCCAAGTAGCTGGGACCACAGGCGTGTACCACCACACCCACCTAATTTTTGAATTTTTGGTAGAGATGGGGTTTCATCATGTTGGCCAGGCTGGTCTCGAACTCCTGCCCTAGTGACCACCCACCTCAGCCTCCCAAAGTGCTGGGATTACAGGCGTGAGCCACCACACCTGGCCTGTTGCGCTCTTTTAGTTGCAAGGAACAGAGACATTTAGGTTACCTTTAGTGACAAGGGATGTTGGTGAAGATGTGTGGGAACATCAGAAGAGGAAAGCCTCGCCAATGAGCTAGTGCCCAGGGAGCACAGTGAGGGAGCACTATTCGGGGCACATGGCAGTTCTGCTAAGCCTCTGGCTGCTGGGCCTCTTGTTCTCCCCTCAACAAGTGATCTTCTTTGCTTACTATTCTAGTCTTCTACATCCTGTACTTGAGTTTGTTGTTTCTTCTTTTCTCCTTTCTCCCTTCCACTCAGTCATCCTCTTCTCCATCATGGTTTACATTCCAACTCTCTGAAAGCCAATCTATTTAGGTTGGCCTGACATTGAGTAAAAAAAAAAAAAAAAAAAAAAAAAATCTGCACGATTAACAGAAAATCGAACTGATGGTGACTTAAATCAACAGGGGTTTATTTTTTTCTCCCATAGGCCAAAGGCAGGTGGTCATAGACATTAGTTCAGAAACTCAATGCTGACGATGATTCAGGCTTTCTAACTTCCTGTTCTTCCACTGGTAGCTGTTGACTTTTCATCTTCAATCTTGTTGCCTCATGGTTGCAAACTGCCAAGATCTGCTGCAGATCTAGGCGTCACTGGATCTACATTCAAGGCAAGAAGATTGGAAAAGGGCCAAGGCCAGCAAACTCTCCCATTGCATCTGCCCCTTCTATGAGAAAGGAAAAGTTCTCACAGAATGCTTTCCAATCCTCTTCCCCATTATACACCTGATGACCACCACACACACACATGCCTCACAGACTTCTGCTTGTGTTTCGCTGACCAAAACTACATCATATACCTACACTTAGCTGCCAAAAAGGCTGGGAAAGTGAGTAATGAGCCTGTCTAGCCTCTGCAGTAGGGAGGCAGCAAGATAGAAGGGGACCGAAAAGAGCTGTTAGCAGTCAGCTAATGAGTAGTATCTGCCACAGTCACCACGCAGCATGTGGCATCTACCCTAGGCAGTGCTCTAAGACAAGCCAACTACTAGAATACTTGACTGTCTATGGATAAACATCTTCAAGCCAGGGGTTGGTCTGATACAATCGGATGTCAGCATGAGAGCTAAGAGGAGGGTTGAGTGCAAGGCAAGAGGATAGTGCTTTGTTGAGTACCAGTATGATATCCAAATATCTCTCTAAATTCTTATCAGTGACCCAATTATAGCTTAGCCAGCCATAAATTCAACTATACCTGCTTCAGTCCCACACCTCTTTACAAGCTTGTTTTGTTCATCATATATTTATTTAATAAGTGGCCACAGACATTGGTTCAGCTGCTCAATGCTGACAGTGATGATTCAGGATTACATACAATTGATGATTCAGGATCATCAATATTCCATAAATATTAATGGAGTAATAGGCACTTGGCTAGGTGCTCGGGGTCTGACAGTGAAGAAAACAAATTTATTTTTTAGAGGAAGAGGGAGACTACTGAAACAAAATTTTCTACGTGTGTATATACATATTTTATGTATGCACACACACACGGATGCATTTCATTAAATCTCAGATTAAGTCCCTGTTTACGCACCTATAATCGTGTTGCTCTCCTTGGTAACAATTACTACAATTTCAGTAATTATTTGTGAAATATATATATATATAAAATGCATATATTTAACACATACAATTTATTCATATTTAATTCAAATTTAATAGATATATTAAATTTCCAGTAGAATCTCCAGATAGTAGTAAGTACTATGGAATAAACAAAGTTAAATAAGGGCCAGTGTAAAGGCATGGGTAGAGTGTGAGAGGGCAAGAGTATTGGCTATAATTTACAGACTAATCAGCGGAATTTAAACTATATGCTTCAGTTACAAATCTTCACGCTGTCTCCTTTAAAGGGAAGCTGGCAGACATTTCTGCTTTGGAGAAAAGAGGAAGGAAATGCACTGTGCTCAGAG
This sequence comes from Homo sapiens, assembly GCF_000001405.40. NCBI lineage: Eukaryota > Metazoa > Chordata > Mammalia > Primates > Hominidae > Homo > Homo sapiens. The sequence goes on along the minus strand of NC_000006.12, from coordinate 137,222,611 downwards.
CCAAAATGCACAGTTTGTTCCACACACACAGGCTCTGTTCTCATTGGATCATATTTCTAGCTTCTTAAATTGTTTTATTTGGCCTATTAACTTGAAAGGCAGGTGAGTATGGTCTTCAAAATGTAGCCTTGCTCCTGAGCAGCAGCACTTCAGTATACACTTGGCTTTGGAATGATCTACGCTCCACCCCAATTTGTTTTCTTCATTTTAAAAACTAATCTGAGGCTCTAGTGGGGACCAACGTATACTTGGATATTCCCCAGCCATTAGGCATTGGAAATTTATCAAGGAAAGCTGGCACCGCTCATTTGTTTCTGTGTTAGCTGTATGAGATTTTTATATGGGATTTTAAAATACAGTTTATTGCTCTTCTTCCTACCTCTCTTATTAGCCGGTGGCCACCCCCATCTTTTAACTTTATTCAGGCTAATTTTACCTTATCCTTCAGGTCACAACATAATGGTAACTTCCTTAAAAAAGAATTTCCCTAAATCCAGACACAGTGGCTCACACCTGTAATCCCAGCATTTTGGGAGCCTGAGGCAGGAGAATCATTTGAGCCCAGGAGTTTGAGACCAGCCTGAGCAACACAGCAAGACCCCAGCTCTATAAAAAATTTAAAAACTAGCCGGGCATAAGGCCAGGCGAGGTGGCTCACTCCTGTAATCCCAGCACTTTGGGAGGCCAAGGTGGGCGGATTGCTTGAGCTCAGGAGTTTGAGATCAGCCTGGGCAACATGGTGAAACCCCATCTCCACAAAAGACACAAAAAAATGCCTGTGGTCCCAGCTACTTGGGAGGCTGAGGTGGAAGGATGGCTTGCGCCCGGGAGGTGGAGGTTGCAGTCAGCTGAGATTGTGCCACTGTACCTCAGCTAGGTGATACAGTCAGACCCTGTCTCAAAAAAAAAAAAAAAAATTAGCCAGGCATGGTGGTGTACACCTGTAGTCCCAGCTATTTGGGAGGCTGGGGCAAGAGGATCATTTGGGCCCAGGAGTTTGAGGCTGCAGTAAGCTATGATCATGCCTCTGCACTGCAGCCTAGACGACAGAGTGAGACCCTGTCTCAAAAGAAAGAAAAAAGAAAAGAAAGACTTTCTTTAAAATGTAGACTAAGTTAAATTCCTGTTTATACTCCTTTAATCTCTTCCCATTGCTCTCCTTGGGAATGATGATCACGATTTCAGTACTTGTGTAATTCCTTGTTTAACAGCTATCTCCCTCAGTAGACAGTAAGCTCCGTGAGGGCAGGGGCCATGTCTGTCTTGCTCAGGTCTTTATCTCTGTGCCTGGTCATGTCAGTCACAGACAGTATCACTTGATAATATTCACCCAATTAATAAATATATTTAGTCTCCAAATGACTAACTAGCAAAGTCTTCAGAAGGATACGTAGGGTGGTGGGTGCTGTGATTGTGAAACTTGCCCAGATCCCTCTCAGGAACAGAAGACTGGGTTCTGTCCCCTTCCTGATGCTAGGAGGGCTGCCAGTAGACACCCTCAACCGTCAGCGTTCCTCTGGGGAATGCCTCCATGAAAGAAATGGACAGCCCCAAAATCATGACAGTTGGTATTCAATGACTAATCAGTGCTGGGCTTTAAGACCCAGCCCCTCATACCAACTCAAGACACCTTTACAAGGCCATCCCAACTCCAGAGCGCCCCTTGGGAGCCTTTACTGGGATGGCATCACAGATCAACTTCTTCCTCCGCTCTGCTTCCTCCACCTCCCCTTCACAGACGTTTATTCCAAGAGCACTCCCTAATCAATCAATGCCTTATACCTTAATCTCGACCTCAGAGTTTACTGCCAGGGTAACCCAGCCTGTGACAAGTACCACAAAAATGTTTACAAACTGGATATCATATTTTGTCCTACTCCATAGACGCCTAAACGGTAAAGATCAGTTATTTATCCTTGCATCCTTACAACGACTAGAAGGTGTCTTTCATATAGTGGACATCAGAAACACATCAAAGGAAATATTCTCCCTAAACTTAGTCTAGATTGAGCTAAATTCTTCTGATTCAAAGTGTGGTCCTGTTGAAAGGGGCACCAGCATCCCCTGTGCATTTTGTCCGAAATACAAAATCTCAAGACCCAACCTGAATTAGAACTACTGAATCCAAATCTGCATTTTATCAAGATCCCCAGATGGTTCACATGTATGTTGAAGTTTGAGAAGTACTGAGCTAAGAGATTTATTAATACAAGTAAAATGATCTGGCTGATAATACCTCTAGTTTATATAGTGTCTTTATAAGGATTTTCCCTCTTTAAAAATTTTCCTTAACACTAGTAATCATGCAGTCTTTCACTCAACAAATACTAATTGAGTGCCAAGTAAAGATGTCAGCTCTACGGAGCTTACATTTTAGAAGGAGAAGAAAACAAATATCAAGGTGTATATTATAGTGTACAGCAAGGTGAAAAGTGCCATGAAAAAACAGTAGGGCGGGGTAAGGAGGAGGAGAAGGTGTGTTGCAATTTAAAATTTTTAACAAAAGTTCATGATACTCAGAGAATTGAAACAGGTGAGATCATTAGACATTCGCATGTTTGAGCACAAGCGCTGAAGGACTTAGCAATGTGGCTGCAGTGGAATAGGAGAGATGCAAAATAACAGACAAACCCAGAGAGGTAAGAGAGCAGACCTCTTCATGAGAGGCTGCCTGATAAACTGATTTGACACTGAATTGCTGAGAAGGTAATGCAAATAGTTTTTTTCTCCAAGAACAAAGTAGTTCTTGGTCAAGCCGATTTGATTTGGGCTGTGGGAATCTGCACAAACCATTTCACTAGCTAAGTCTCAGGTTCCTCAAATGAAAAAGCAGGGACTGGAAATGGCTTTTGAAGTCTCATTCTCTTCTAAAAATGTCAGGCTCCAAGACAACCAGGTGAAGTCCAAGAGTTAGTAAAATAAGGATTGTGGCTCGGCTGTGGCCTAATGCAAACTTGCACAACCCCAGGAAACCGAAAAAAACTGGAAGAAGAATTGCAGAATGGGGTGCCAGGTTGAAAGACCTTAACCTTTGCACTCAAATTCCTCCCACACCCAGAAGTCCAGGTCCCGACCGCACGACGCCGTGCTCACTGCTGGGTGCTGCGCCTGAGTCCGCCTCCTGCGGCTTCCCGGACTTGACCCCGCCCACGCCCTGGTCCCGCCTCCTGCCGACGCCGGCACAGACCCCGGTGACGGAAGTGACGTAAGGCCGGGGCTGGAGGGCAGTGCTGGGCTGGTCCCGCAGGCGCTCGGGGTTGGAGCCAGCGACCGTCGGTAGCAGCATGGCTCTCCTCTTTCTCCTACCCCTTGTCATGCAGGGTGTGAGCAGGGCTGAGATGGGCACCGCGGATCTGGGGCCGTCCTCAGGTACCGTCGTTCGCGGCAGGGCTGCGGCCGGGTCGGGACGAGAGGGAGGGAGGGATCCGCCCCAGCCGGGAAGCCCCGCCCCGCTTCTCCGAGGTCGCCCTAGCCCGGGACCCCTGCGTCGGGCCCTGAGCGGGCGACGGGGACGCGAGGTGGGGTCGCGAGACTGGGGCTCCGTGGTTTGAACTCGTCGGTTGCCTTTCTCCTGCCTCTTCCCTGGTTGCCGCCACAACAAATCACGCCGCTTGTTTTTCCGACTCTTGTAATCCACTTTTAAATACGATTATGCGCTGCAGAAGGACGTTGCTGGTCAATGTGGGACAGCGTGGTCTCAAAGATTATAATATCGTCTTCTTACTGTACCTTTTTTTATGGTTAGATACGCAGATACTCACTAGTATGCTACGGTTGCCTGCAGTGTTCAGTGCAGTGACAGGCTGTACAGGTTCATGACCTAAGAGCAGTAGGCTGTGTCATCTGGGTTTGTCTGGGTTTCTACTGCCCGAAGAAATTGCCTAAGGGGACATTTCTCCATTTCTCAGAACGGATCTCCATCGTTAAGTGACGCATGACTGTGAGTGTCCTGATCAGCATGTGGCATCGTGGTCTCAGTTCGTGGCTTAAATACTTCTTTCTTAGCGGGGGTGGGGGGGGGGACTCAAAGTGCTTAGGGTAGGAAAGTATGCATTATGTCGCCAGCTGAGAAGTAAGTGGCAGCTGAGAAGTAAGTGGCAGTCCGTCTTAGGTCTCAGTCTGGAAGTGGTGGATTGCCGGCACTCACTAGCAGATTTGGCAGTAGGTCTCTTCGTACGGGTTTGTTCTTCGGAGCATTTTATTTCCACCTGCTTATTGACATTTCCTAGAAAACAAATGTTGAGGGTGGCTTTTCTGAAGTGCAGAGTAATTGTGATTACGAGCTCCAGAGAAAACAGTAAACCTTTTCAATTCAGTTTTCTTTTTTTTATTATGATTTATGATTCATAGGGACTTTGAAAGGTCCACGTTTTGGTTCTGTGTTCACAACAATCTTCTGGAGTAGGCGTTATTTGTCTCTCTCTTTATGGACGAGAAATTGAGTTACGGAGAGGCCTGCCCAACTGGCAGAGAGGTCATAGCCACTCAGTGGGGAGCTGCTCAATTTGGCTCCAGAGTCCAAGTTCTTAACTGCTCTTCTAGGCTCTAGTCAGTCATCCACATGGGCAGTTGCAGTACTTTGCGGTAAGAGCTTGCACTTAGGCACAGACTAGTGGAAAGCAAGGCGGGGTGCTTGTCTCTTTTAGGGAAGTCAGTGAAGACTTCACAAAGGTGACCCCAGTGTTGGAACCAGAGGTGCAGAGACTGAGGTGCAGAGGTGTGATAGCATGTTGAATTCGTGGAATATTAAGCGTTCTATTGTAAAGTGTGTGTGAGAGCTTACAAGGGGAGGAGATAGGTTAGGTGGAGAAGTAGGAACCAAATAATGAATTGCCATATTATGTGTACCAGCAAGAAACCTAGCTTTATTAACTTAAGCAAAAAGAGGAATTTATTGTCTCAGAAAAACCAGAGTTAAACAGAAAATTATAGATGCCAGCTGGGTCTCAAGAGGCTAGAACCAGGAACCCAAACTGCTAGGACTCTCCATTTCTTATTTCTGTCTGGGTATTGACAGCTTTCCACACTTGGCAGGAATCATGGATGCTGACAGCTTCTGAGTTTTGACATCTTGCAGCCTCCTCCATTCTAACAAAATGCCAGGGAAAGGCTCTGATTTGCCCAGCTAGGTTCAGGTGCCAGCTTGCATGGGAAGGACATTCTCGTAGAGGGTTGGGTTGGGTTACCAGAAGAAGCGGAATGGCGTGCCTGAAGTACAGGTGTTGAGCCAACAAAATAATACACCCACTATGCCTTGCTGAAGTCAGTCATTATTTACTAATGCTGACATCATTGGATTATCAATTACAAAGGGAAATGATTTTATGCAGGATCAGACATGCCATTTAGAAAGACCAGTCATCTTATAAAATAGTTTGAGGGTAAACACAAGGCCCATTAGGAGGCTGCTGCTTAAGTTGGAGTCGATAAGTAGTTTAAGTGGAGAAGAGGACAGTTAGCAGAACATTTAGAAGGAAGAGTTAGTAGGCCTCTGACTGGATGTCAGCAGAGAAAGAGGATAACGCTAGCGCAGGCATAGCGTTAAAGCAAGTGCCAGGCCCTTCCTTCTGAATACGGGGCCCTATGAGTGCACCGTGTGACCCCTGTGAGTGCACAATTTGCACGTCCTTGTAGCTTGCTCTGGGAGGAGGATTGCCTGTCTGCCTCCCGTGGGAAGATCAACTGCAGCCTTCTATATTCTGCAGAAACTTTTGAATTTGTCTCTGTACCTCTCGTTCTAAAACTGGGGTCACTTTTGTGAAGCCTTTCCTGACTCCCCTAGAAGAGACAAGCACCCCGGCCTTGCTTTTCATTAGTTTCAGTGAGCCCTCTTTTTAAAGTGCATTTCTAACACATTTCTCTAGATTTTTCAGTGCATTTCTCTAGATTTTGTTGTGTTCCCTGTTCTTTTAAAGTTAATTTAAAACACAAAATCTCCAAAGTAGGAAGAAACCAACAATGCTCTGGCTCTTGCTTAGCTTCCCAGCCTTATTCTTACTGTTGCTGGGCTTGACTCTATAGTTGAAGTTCATCTTAGATGAGAGGACCTGGTAAGAACAGGGAAGCAGACAAGTGAATATGGTGATATAGTCAGTCTCCAGGAAATCCAGGTGTTTAGGAATGTATTGTGTTACATTCATGGGCTTTCATTAATACTTCTTAAGTGAAAATAAAATCTGTGTGTGCCACTTAATCAGTAGTATTTCACTCTTCATGCACTTTTACACATAAAAGTAGTATATATTTTTAAGTGAATCAGGGTGTGCCACTGGCTTTCTTCATCCAGATGAGTGTCCCACTCTGAGTAATAGCTGAAGAGCTAGGCTGGACTTCACACCAACTGGAAGGCTCTTCACTGACCTTGTACAGTTTATCAGCTATGCTTCCTACTAATTATCTGACTTTAGGATAAAGCTCTGAGTACTGTTTAAATTTTTCACTATTTCTTTGGATTCTATAGTTATTTCAGAGATTCAAAATACACAGGATAATACTTTTTAATTATATTTATTGAATAGGGTATTAAATTTTCTTTTTCATTTTATTCTGATTCATAATTCACACAGACTTTGAAAGGACCATATTTTGGTTCTATCTAAAAGAAAACCTAGGCTGGGGGCAGTGGCTCATGCCTGTAATCCCAGCACATCGGCGGAAGGATCACTGGAGCCCAGAAGTTCAAGACCAGCCTGGGCAACATGGCAAAACCCATCTCTACAAAAAAATACAAAAATTAACCCTGTGTGGTGGCATGTGCCTGTAGTCCTAGCTACTGGGGAGGCTGAGGTAGGAGGATCACTTGAGCCCAGGAGGTCTAGGCTGCAGTGAGCCATGATTGTACCACTGCACTCCAGCTTGGGCAACAGAGCAAGACTCTGTCTCTCGTGTTTGTGTGTGTGTTTGTGTGTGTGTGTGTGTTTGTGTATGAAAACCTAAAGAAAAGTAATAAACAGCTATCTTACAAAATTTGGCAGCATACCAGTAGTGAAGTTGCTTTACAAACCAGATGAGTAATTAATGGTTCAATTTTGATTGAACAAAGAATCAGAATGAGGTTTGAACCAGAATGAAGTGAATTCCTAACAGAAAGGAATTTACTTGTAATTTTCTTATTAAAGGGGTGCCTTTATTTTAGATTATCCTAATGCATAGTAATCAGAATACTAGGTATCTGTTTAGGTCTTGTGTATTTTTAAGAAATTATTCATTTTAATGCATTGTTCAACTTTTGCAGTGGCCATAATATAATTGTGATAATGTAATAAAATCAGGAAACATTACCTGAAGCAGATGCTTTTGAAGTCACCAGAAAATAGTCTTCTCCAATTCCAATTTAAATATGGAGGTAATTTACCCCTTATTTTATTAAACGATCACAAAGATGTTGGAAGCATTTTTCTTAATGAAAACCAACAAAACTTTGCATATTGTCAAGTTACGTAACTTCTCTAAGCCTTTGTTTTCTCATTGGTAAAATATGTATGGTAACATTGTCTCCCTCACGGGATGGATGTGATGAGTATCTGAGGTAATGCATTAAAAAGGTAAGCACACTGTGTGTCTTGTAGTAAATACTTAATATGTTAGGGATTATTCAATAATGTGCATTATTATTTTAACAAATATATCTTTAAATATTAAATTCCCTTAGTCATATGTGAGAAATTGTGTTGGCTTTTAAAAAAACAAACTTAACCAGATCAGTATGAGAAACTTAAAACAGGCTCAGCAGCTAACTCATTCTTCCATCTCTTCCAACAGACAAAAAAGTTTGGTTTTTTAGTAGACTGGAAAGGCCTGCATTGTTTTTTCATTTCCTCAACTGTTTTTCAATTCAGAATGAGTTAGTCCAAAAGAGAATTAGTGTTGAGAAATGACTTCTCTCAGGGACTAGATTGGTCTGGTCCAGTCAGAACTAATGCCAGACCAAACCCAACTAGATGAAATTGGATAAATAGGAGTAAGAATAAAGCCCTGGATTTCAAGTCAGAAAAGTGGCTGAGCAGATATTTATTGGATAAGCCCCAACTTGGTGGTGGTGCGAGGGAAAAATATAGGGGAGGTTAGTTACTTACAAGTTCACTGCAGGCCACTATGTGTTATGCCTGGCTCTTTAAAAAGAAAAATTTCAATTAGAAGATTTCAATGAACACTTGAAACATCACCTGCAAGAATTATCAAAATGTCTGTACTCAGCTTAAACCTGGGGGATGCGGCTCCTTGCTACGGTGAAAGTTGGAAAGCATTAAGAAAAATAGTCATTTTATCACCACTGGAAGCCATTCGGGAGGGAGATTGTAATCAAATATGTTCTGACAAAAATACAAAGGCCTTGATTTGGTACTTTTCATTTATTCAGTGTGGATTTCTTATGCTGGTTCTGTTTGCTGTGCAGATGAAACCTTTGTGACAGTCCCCATTCCTGTCCCTGTATCTTTAACATGGGGAAGGTGTTAGATCTTCTCTGAGAGTTGTTCTTAAGGAAAAGATCCAGATGCTTTAATTTGAAACATTTGTTTTTGAGTTGTAGTGTCAGATGACTTAGAATCCAGAACAACAGTTTACTTCATCCTCACTTCCTTATGCTTCTCAGCGTGCTCTTCCCATGAAGAGGTTGGTGAGCAGGTTGTCAGATGATTTCTGCAGAGTCCATAGCCCTGTTCCACCATAGATGTACAAACCTTTTATACAGTCTTTTTACACTAGTGTGTTAAGATGGGTGATGAACTCCTCGGGCTGTCCTTTTTTAAAGAGACACAGATGCTTTTGGTGGTTACAGGATGGACTCAGGTAGCAGCCCTGGTTCCTGTCACCCAGCTATGCAGAGGAAATGGCCAGTGTCTTCAGACTATACTCTGCAGGTATCTGTAGTTTGCCATCCACCCTACATTCACCAACATTTATTGCAGAGCTATCACGACTGCTATTTTTTGGTCCTTTGTGACATTGTTATGGTCCCGTCGATAGCACTGCTCTGTATCACCTGCTGATCTTCACTGGTCTTTTGTGTTGTCTCTCTTTTTTCATATCCTGTCTCTTCTGGCTTATCAGCTTTCTGAGGAAACAGTTGGCTTTAACCAGGGCCCTCCTTTTTTTTTCTGCATTGTAATTAAAGTGTTAGGAAAAACAAATTCTTCTCTCCTGTGTTTAGTTTTCTTAAATTATCAGCTGTGAGTTGTAGGGGAGTTCTGGGAATTAGATCTTAAAATAGCTAAAGTTTACTCCGGATAGTATGCAGATGTAATACACTAAATAATTCTGAGTCCATTTCCAAAAGCAACATGAGTTACACAAAACTATCTTGGCATTTTCAAGAGATGGGAAAATCTGTAAGATTATCTTATTTCATGAAATCACTCTGGTAAGATCTTTTCTTAAGCCCCAGAGATAATAATACTCTTTTGCTGTTTCTACATATATTTTTATTTACATAGTGTAAATGTATTAGAAGTTAATTGTAAGCCTTAATTAATTTAATCTGAATATATAACAATTTAAACCTCACATTACAAAATTCTGAAGCTTAAGAAAACTGCTTATGTCTGTCATATTATTTTGGCAAATAATATTTGGCAAAAAATAATATTTGGCAAAACAAAGGCAGATGTCTAATAACCACACAGTTTCTCCTCTGGTAGCATTAAAAACCACAGATTACATCTTTTGGTGTAAATTTATAAGTTTTTCTTTTAACCTAGTAGTAATTTCTTTTTGCTATAAACCATTGAAATATTTTCCTCCTACCACCTGTCTGTCTTGCTTTGAAAGCTATGATTTAAGTCCTTGTCCTAGTCTAACCATATCAGGCTTTTACTTAAATTATAGGAAACATACTTTGATTCACGTTAAAAACTAATCTAATGCTGCACAAGCCTACTCCTGTTTGTAGTTTTCCATTGTGTGATTCAGTAGCCCCTTCCTAAGTACAAATGCACTTTGTTTGATATTCTAGTATGCAGATTGACTTCTATATGCCTTTTTCTCACAGGAATTTCAGGTTGAGCGTATACCATTATAAAGCCATTCCTACTGGGTATAATTAAAAAGAGAGCCTTAGGCTGGGCCCGGTGGCTCACACCTGTAATCTCAGCACTTTGGGAGGCCCAGGTGGGCGATTCATGAGGTTGGGAGTTTGAGACCAGCCTGACCAACATGGTGAAACCCCATCTCTACTAAAAATACAAAAATTAGCCATGTCTGGTGGTGCAAACCTGTAATCTCAGCTACTCGGGAGGCTGAGGCAGGAGAATCGTTTGAACCCAGGAGGCAGAGGTTGCAGTGAGCAGAGATCATGCCATTGCACTCCAACCTGGGCAACAGAGCAAGACTCTGTCTCAAAAGGAGGGGAGTGGAGCTTAAAAGGAAGCAAAGGATTTCCAGTCTTGGAAACCTAGAGGAAGGGGGGTCCTTGCTATGTAGTGGCAGAAAGCTGAGTGACACTGTAGCCTTCAGTGACACCAAAAGTAGAGAATGTCTGAGGAGCTGTGTGATCTAGCTCAGGAGGTTTCTAACCAGAGTGCTGAAAGTGCCACCTGGTTTCTTCTTGCGTCTTATAGTAACAGGTGAGACTTTGCTCAATCATGGGAAGAACTGTTAAAAAGAAACCAGGACCACCTGGTTTGAAAATTCTCAGCCTCTCGAGAGGCAAAAAAATGCCAAAATGAAGAAATGGTCTCCGAAGGAAGGCTCAGATTTAGTATGAGTTTTCTTAGCATCAAGTACCTCTGTTTTCCGGTTGAAAAAGTATATTTATATGTGTGATTGTTATTTGATATTAATGTTGATTGAACCCAGGTGAAGAGGAATGACTTTTATTTCTACCTAAAATATGGATTGTGAAGTATTTGAGTTGTTTCAGGAGGTTGAGATGCAAACGTGTGATAGAAAAAAGACCCTCTTAAGGAAGCCTCAGTATCCCCTGCTATGAATGGCCATGGGAACTCTACAAAAAACAAAGAGCCAAGGCTACTCTGGCAAGAACAGTGCCTTAGGGATCACCTACAAGGAAGTTGCTTAGAGAACCAGAGATGGCAGGTACCAAGAGCCTTCAGCTGCGCCTCTGGAAGCAGAAGGAGAAAACCTAGGTGTCTGGTCACTGGCCACAAAAAGGTCAAGTTAGTAGTATGAAGTATTTGAATCTTCAGACCCTCCCCAGCTTGATAATCTCAACCTTTTGGCCCAAATTATTACACCATTTTGGTAAATAATATAGAAGTTAGATCTTTTGGCAATAACCAAATCTATTCATTTGTTTGAGGGGAGCCATGAAATATACAGGTTTACTGTAAAGCATTCTGTTTTTAAGTTAGTTTTTCCTCAACTTTTTTTTTAAAGAACACTTAAATTGTAAACATAAAGCAGGGTTTCTCAACCTTGGCACTGCTGGCATTTGGGGCTATATTATTTTTTGTTGTGGAGGCTGTCTGATGCATTGTAGGATATTTAGCAGCACCCTTGGTCTCTGCCCTCTAGATGCCAGCAGTACCTCCCCCACACACTTCTTCTCCAGGTTGTGAGAGCCAAAAATGTCTACAGACATTGATTGCCTAATGTCTCCTGGCAACAAAATCACTTCCCACAGAGAACCACTGCAATAAAGGAAAAAATAATCAGAAAAGGAAAATAATAATGGTGATAGCATTTAATTGTCCATTAGTGCCTATTATTTACCTAAAAAACTCTTAATCCATGTTCTGCTTTGAAAATATATGTGTTAAATAATTGTAAATTAAGGCAATATACCAGTTTGGTCTTGAATATTGGAATTTTTGTTTGGGGAAAATATAGATTTTCCCTTCAGCAGTAAGCAAATATCTTAGGGATATGAAAGTAACACCTCATGACAGATCAGGAAATCTGAAGTATTTAGCAGTGTGGCCAAGAAAGAACCCAAATTTATTAATGTTTGACCTAGGGAGTATTTTTCTTATTTAAGCAGTCTGCTTGATATAAATATAAATCATCATCATTATCATCCAAGGCACTTTGGAAAAATAGAAACTTCTGTCCCTCTCACAATTTTTGAGGATGATTATAAGTTATGTTTGGAAGCCACTGTTCCTATCCACATGGACATTCATTTATTTGTTTTAGTTATATAAGTAAATCATGTTTAATAGAGTGTTCCAGGGAGGTGAGATTGAATAACCATAAATTTGGGGTCACATCGCTAACTGTGTACATTCATGTTTATCTGTAAAGAAGTGAAGGGAGAAAGGAGAAGTGTGTGTGTTCAGTTTTCCAAGGGGTGTTGGATAACAACCTTTTACACCAAACAGTGGGGAAAAATGACTCCTTTTTTTTTTTTTCTAAGAGAACTGAATGCAGTGGCACAGTCACAGCTCACTGCAGCCTTGACCTCCTGGGCTCAAGCAATCTTCCTCAGCCTCCCGAGTAGCTGAAACTACAGGCACAGGCCTCTTCACCTGGCTAATTTTTTAATTATTTGCGGAGACAGGGTCTCCAACTCCTGAGCTCAACAGATCCTCCCACCTCAGCCTCCCAAAATGCTGGGATTACAGGTGTGGGCCACCGCACCTGGCCCATGACTACTTTTAATAACTAGATTTTGGTAGTGTCTGATTAGATGTTAAAATGACTTCTGTCTGTTCTCTTACGTGACTCAAGTCTTATCAACAGATGTTTTCTGAAAGAGTGAAGGCAAGAAGAAATGTTGGGTATGTTTTGTAAAAAGCCCTGCACACCCCAGAGAGCAGAGTGTTGATGAAACTGGAATGTGTGGCTCCATTGTTCAATCTTTAGGTATCTATTCCTGTACTATAGAAAAAGTGTGGAAGGCATAAATAGTAGTATGTGTAGAGTTGAGAGGTTGATGGTATTTTAGAGTGAAATTGGCCATCCTCATTGTAGCCAGTTCCTCTGTAGACATTTGTATTAGTCTGTTTTCGTGCTGCTGATAAAGACATACCCAAGGCTGGGAAGAAAAAGATGTTTGATTGGACTTACAGTTCCACATGGCTGGGGAGGCCTCAGAATCACAGCAAGGGCGAAAGGCACTTCTTACATGGTGGCGGCAAGAGAAAAATGAGGAAGAAGCAAAAGCAGAAACCCCTGATAAACCCATCAGATCTCGTGAGACTTACTCACTATCACGAGACTAGCATGGGAAAGACCAGCCCCCGTGATTCAATTACTTCCCCCAGGTCCCTCTCATAACACGTGGGAATTCCAAGAGATACAATTCAAGTTGAGATTTCGGTGGGGACACACAACCAAACCATATTATGCTACCCCTGGCCCCTCCAAATCTCATGTCCTTACATTTCAAAACCAATCATGCCTTCCAAACAGTCTCCCAAAGTCTTAACTCATTTCAGCATTAACCCAAAAGTCCACATTCCAAAGTCCCATCTGAGACAAGGCAAGTCCTTTCTGCCTGTGAGCCTGTAAAATCAAAAGCAAGCTAGTTACTTCCTAGATACAGTGTGGGTACAGGTATTGGGTAAATACAGCCATTCCAAATGGGAGAAATTGGCCAAAACAAAGGAGTTATAGAGCCCATGCAAGTCCATAATCCAGTGGGGCAGTCAAATCTTAAAGCTCCGAAATGATCTCCTTTGACTCCAGGTCTCACATCCAGGTCATGCGGATGTAAGAGGTGGCTTCCCATGGTCTTGAGCAGCTCTGCCCCTGTGGCTTTGCAGGGTACAGGCTCCCTCTCAGCTGCTTTCACAGGCTGCCATCAAATGTCTGCAGCTTTTCCAGAAGTTGTCAGCAGATCTACCATTCTGGAGTCTGGAGGATGGTGGCCCTCTTCTCACAGCTCTACCAGGCAGTGCCCCAGTAGGGACTTGTGTGAGGGCTCCGACCTCACATTTTCCTTCCACACTGGCCTAGCAGAGGTTCTCCATGAGGGCCCTGCCCCTGCAGCAAACTTTTGCCTGGGCATCCAGGCATTTCCATACATCTTCTGAAATCTAAGCAGAGGTTCCCAAATCTCAATTCTTGACTTCTGCACACCCATAGGCTCAACACCATGTGGAAGCTGCCAAGGCTTGTGACTTCCACCCTCCGAAGCCACAGCCTGAGCTATATGTTGGCCTCTTTCAGTCACAGCTGGAGCAGCTGGGACGCAAGGCACCAAGTCCCTAGGCTGCACACAGCACGGGGACCCTGGGCCTGGCCACAAAACCACTTTTTCCTCCTAGGCCTCCGGGCCTGTGATGGGAAGCGCTGGCGTGAATGTCTCTGACATGGCCTGGAGACATTTTCTCGATGGCCTTGGGGATTAACATTAGGCTTCTTGCTACTTATGCACATTTCTGCAGCCAGCTTGAATTTCTCCCCAGAAAATGGGTTTTTCTTTTCTGTCTCATAGTCAGGCTGCAAATTTTCCAAACTTTTATGCTCTGCTTCCCTTATAAAACTGAATGCCTTTAACAGCACGCAAGTCACTTCTTGAATGCTATGCCACTTAGTAATTTCTTCCACCAGATACCCTAAATCATCTCTCTCAAGTTCAGAGTTCCACAAATCTCTGGGGCAGGGGCAAAATGCCGCCAGTCTCTTTGCTAAAACATAGCAAGAGTCACCTTTGCTCCAGTTCCCAGCAAGTTCCTCACCTCCACTGAGACCACCTCAGCCTGGATTTTATTGTCCATATTGCTATCAGCATTTTGGGCAAAGCCATTCAACAAGTCTCTTAAGTAAAGTTCCAAACATTTTCCTATTTCTTCTGAGCCCTCCAAACTGTTCCAGTCTCTGCCTGTTACCCTGTTCCAAAGTTGCTTCCACATTTTCTTGTATCTTTTCAGCAATGCCCCACTCTGCTGGTACCAATTTACTGTATTAGTCCTTTTTCATGCTGCTGATAAAGACATGCCCAAGACTGGGAAGAAAAAGATGTTTAATTGAACTTACAGTTCCACATGGTTGGAGAGGCCTCAGAATCATGGCGGGGGAGAAAGGCACTTCTTACATGGTGGCAGCAAGAGAAAATGAGGACGAAGCAAAAAGCAGAAGCCCCAATAAACCCATCATATCTCATGAGACTTATTCACTATCACGAAAATAGCACAGGAAAGACTGGCCCCCATGATTCAATTACCTCTCCCTGGGTCCAAGCCACAACACATGGGAATTCTGGGAGATACAGTTCAAGTTGAGATTTGGGTGGGGACACAGCCAAACCCTATCAACATTGAATACAATCTGTAGTATCAAATATTGAAAATTCTAGTGATGAAATGAGGATTATTAATTCAATAATCAGTGCATTTGATTATAAAACTTCTATCATATTAAGGGAATTTATTGCTTCATGCTGTATTTGTGTTTCCTTTATATTGCAATGATGTTTCCATAATTTAAAACGAATCAGAACTCTTCTATAGATTTTTCAATAAAATTAATTTCTAGATGTCTACTCTTCATTTAAATAATTTTGGTATCCTGGTGAATTCTACTTTTCTTCAAATATACATATCTGGGCAATGTGGCATCTTACAATAAGGCTTTCCAATATTAATGTTAGTTTCTTACAATTGTCCCTTTTACTTTTTTATTTTCTTACAGTGCCTACACCAACTAATGTTACAATTGAATCCTATAACATGAACCCTATCGTATATTGGGAGTACCAGATCATGCCACAGGTCCCTGTTTTTACCGTAGAGGTAAAGAACTATGGGTGAGTGTCACTCTTTTATTTATCCTTTTTATTCCATTTTTGTTTAGGTCCTTGGAAATTCCACAACTGTGTTCTTTCATCAGCCTTCCCACGTGGCAAAACATTCTAAACTGCTTATAGAGGTCCAAAAGTACTAAAGATGCAAATTCTTTGCCAAATATTTCTTGCCTCTTATTTCCTCTTCCTTATCAGTATTGAAATAGAGAAGTATCACTAAACTTCTGAGATTAGCATGACAAATAAAGCTAATAGTTACTATGTCATCTTCCTGTAGTGTATTTTTAGTAGAACAATATAAATTTCAAAAAACTTTTTTGACAACTGTTAGTTTTTTTAATGTGCTTACTTCTATAATTAACATATATAAATGGAATTTAGAGTTGTTTAAAAAAACAGATTTTTAAAAAATTGAATGTGGAATGTGGCTTGCATAGGTCTTACATTTTGAATTGAGCCTCTTTACTGTAACAGAGTTTGTAGTTCTTCTAACTAAAGAGTAAGGGTTTCCTACTTTCTCTGGCGTCTCCATCCTATTCTTAGCTCTGCTCTTTCTACCGCTTTGTGCTGTGAATAAAAAGCAAAGCACAGACAGAAATGGTTTGAGTTTATTTAATAACAATAAAAGTTATCTTCGCATTTTTTTATTCTTTTTAGTGTTAAGAATTCAGAATGGATTGATGCCTGCATCAATATTTCTCATCATTATTGTAATATTTCTGATCATGTTGGTGATCCATCAAATTCTCTTTGGGTCAGAGTTAAAGCCAGGGTTGGACAAAAAGAATCTGCCTATGCAAAGTCAGAAGAATTTGCTGTATGCCGAGATGGTGAGTAGAATGTGTACACATGTAAATTTTAAATTGGAAAATATTTATACATGTCTTCTGTATGTTTGCTTTTATTAGCAGTTGCTGAAAATTATCACAATGCTTAAGAAACACTTGGAGGAATTTAGAGTCAGTACAGGTTGAGCATCCCAAGTCTAGAAACCCAGAATGCTCCAAAATCTGAAACTTTTTGAGCGCCAGCATGGCACTCAAAGGAAATACTCATTGGAGCATTTTGGATGTTCAGATTTAGAATGTTCAACTGGTAAATATAATGTAAATATTCCAGAATCCAGAAAAAAAAACTCAGAAACCGAAAATACTACTGATCTCAAGCGTTTTGGATATGGGATACTCAACCTGTATCCTCCCCTTCTTTCAAGCCCCACAAAATAGGGCTAACAGGTGGCCATCACTTAGCTGCTTCTATGCCATGACATTTCCACTTCATACAATTATGGGTCTGTGCTGCCCAGCGGTCCCCTGCACCACCCTTGCCCTTCCCATCTTTTGTCATTCATTTGTAAGTTATATTCACTAAGGACTTTGGCAGCTAACTCTTATTCTGAATGCCTGGGGAACCTGAATACCACCTTAATACATTAAAAAATTGCAGAGTTCCTTATTCTCTTCAGCCACTGTGATTTTCAGGTCTTCAGTCTTCCAGCATCCCACTCCCATAGTGTACCTGATGTTTGCTGTCACCTCAAACTCTTGAATCTTTAATTCCAGTTCCTGTATTCCAACTATGACATCCTGCCTTAGCTCTCAGACCCTGACTCCTGGGTAAAAGACACCTTTAGTCACTTGACTCCTCCCTAGTCTTCTAGCCCTTGGGTCCCTTTCCCTCTAGCCTCACTTCCTTTCTCTGCTCCTGCCTTTTAGATTGTGCCACCTCGGTCTCTTCTACAGGCTCTTCCTCTCCTTACCCTTTAAATACTTTTCTTCCCCAGAGTCCACAATTTTGTCATATGATTACCACACCATCTGCATGTTAGATTTTTTTCCATATAGATTTATCAAGGGCCTACTACGTGCCGGAAAGTATACTGGGCCCTGAGGATACACTGATGGGTTAAAAACAGACCTGCCTGGCACACAGTGGTACACAGTAATATGTGAAGACTAGATAAATGGTTCACAACAAAGTCTCAAACATCAAAGACCTAATAAATATTTATGGAATAAGTTCTGATTTTTCACAGTAAAAAGAGTTTTGATGAGGGAAGAAAACTAATGCCATTTCTGAAACGTTTTTTAGAATCCAGGCTTCTTAATCCACAGAAGCAAAGATAAAGGAAAAATTACTTAATAGAGTCTATATTATGTGAAGTCTTTTTTTAACCAAAGTTTATAACTATTTTTATTTACAACTAGAAATGAAATTAAACTGCTAAATAGGCATTCAGATTAAATAAGAGTACTTCTTGCCTGAGATTTATGAAACATTTGTTTATTAAGGACCCCGAGACTATCTTCTAGATATTTGTGGAGTGGTTTAAATGTGGTCCTGCTTTAGAACAACCAGAACAAAAACAATAGGTTGATTGATAGATTCTGGTAATTTTATGAAATGTACCATTTAGTTCCAAGGCCAGTATTTATTATACTTCCTCCTCCTCCTTCCCCAGGAAAAATTGGACCACCTAAACTGGATATCAGAAAGGAGGAGAAGCAAATCATGATTGACATATTTCACCCTTCAGTTTTTGTAAATGGAGACGAGCAGGAAGTCGATTATGATCCCGAAACTACCTGTTACATTAGGGTGTACAATGTGTATGTGAGAATGAACGGAAGTGAGGTATGTGTTTCACATTTTTCATAATGGAAATTCTTGTGTAGCTAGCAAAAGTTGTTCCTTTCTGTAGTGTAATGAAAATAGGATGCTTATAAATATTCAAGCAAGACTCACAGATCATAGATTTGATAAGAAAAATATGTGAATGCTATTAAAGCAAAAATGATACAGAGTTAGTCACTAACACTGACCATGTGAATACATTTAGTTTTTATTTGCTTCATTTAGCAGAATGGCTCTAATCTAGGATTTTTCCCAGTACACCTCCATTGCTCCACTGGTAAAATGAGGATTTTCTTCCTCATTGGCGGTGACGTAAAGTAATATTAATACTTCTGTTTCCCACCAGCTAAATTTCTGGACAAATGAATAGGACAAATGAACATTTGTTAGTTTAACAACTAACAATAAACATTCCTGCAATTTGAGTTTTTAAATTTACCATTTTTATAAGGAATATAACAGATGCATAGTATCGTGCTGTGTTGAAGTAACAAATTGACTTATTGATAGTAAAGCTATTTTTAGACATGTTCAAGTCAATCATATATATTTCTTCAGTTGTTTGACCAGGACTAATATGGTGATTTTTTTTTTTTTTCAGATTAAAAGAAGCTGTGCATTTTCACTGTTTTCTTTTTTCATCTAGATCCAGTATAAAATACTCACGCAGAAGGAAGATGATTGTGACGAGATTCAGTGCCAGTTAGCGATTCCAGTATCCTCACTGAATTCTCAGTACTGTGTTTCAGCAGAAGGAGTCTTACATGTGTGGGGTGTTACAACTGAAAAGTCAAAAGAAGTTTGTATTACCATTTTCAATAGCAGTATAAAAGGTAAGTTCTTGCCATTTTTTTTCTAAATATAGAGGGAGCAGTAACTAAAATAGGATCATGTGAGGAAAGCAAACTCATTTGCAGTTTCAAAAGATCTGTTTTAACAATATTCATTTGCATTAGTTCCATTCCTTAGAGAAGTTCAAAATTAAAAATAAAGCAGTTTCTCACACATTTAAAGATATAGAACAACTAATTTGGAAAGCCATGTGATGGCCCCTTGACCCAGGAAAGAAAAAATATATAATAAGTACATAAAACTACACAAATGTTTGCATTTCAGGATTATGAATTATAAGTCAGTTTGTTACTTCACCATAGCAAGATGTTGTGAATCCACTAAAATGTTCTTTATGGGGATTGTAATTTAAAGACTGAAGAGCAGGAACGATCACTGGTTACAACTGTATGACGTGGACTGGACAAAGACTCGAGATTAATATCCAAAAAAGTTTATAGATGGGTTTGAATAATAGATAATGGGTCATTTTTATAACATTTTACAATAATTAATTTTATTTCATCTTTTAATGTGGGGGGTGGGGAGGTAGAGATATATATGCTAGAACTTGAACTTTAGAACTGTTACTCTCAGGTGTCAGGAACCTTAAAGAAGTTTGGACTTTTCTTTGCAGTTAGGAAATGTAAGTGTTCATTATAGATAATTTATAAAATATGAAAAACCAGAAGAAAACAAAATAATCTGTAGTTCTACCATGCAAAAATACCCCATTATTCACAGTTTGATATTTTCTTTAGTTTTTCTACATAGACATGATCATATTGTATAGTATATATGATTTTGTGTATTGCTTTAAGCATATATTGTAACTCATGCTTTGATGATTATCTTTGTGTGTGTGTGTGTGTGTGTGTGTGTGTGTGTGTGTGTGTGTATACATATATTTTTTTCCTTAGGATTTTTTTAGAATAGATTTCATAGGTTTAAAATTTTATGATGCAAGTATATTTTCGAGGAATGGAAATATAGGCTGAAGAGCCAGAACAAACACCTAAAATTCAATACTAATAACTTCAAGCCATTATATGAAGGTTTCAAATAGGTGATTTAAAGCAGTGCAATGCATTTTATGCTAATTTTCGTTATGCTATTTGAAAAATAAAACCCTTCTTAATGCTCAAAATTTGAAATAATGCAAATGCCGCAGATTTGTTTTTAGCCTGAATTATACACTGCACTGATAGTATGGCCACACGGTGGCATTGCCGTGGCTCCTGAGCAGCAGCCCTGCCTGCTTGCCTCAATGCCTTGCAGCCAGCACTTGCTCAGCCCGTGGGACTTCTAACAGCACTAATGTTGGTTTTGTAGTTATTTTCCTTTTTACTTTTGTAATGATTTAACTTTTTTCACACCCTGTAATAAGCGTAATAGAAGCATTCATTAGTAACTTCCATAGTTAGAAAATTCTGGGTAACAAAATGCCCTAAAGGATGCCGGACATTGTCACAGTATGTTAGAGTGCTGTTAATTTGGAAGAGAGAACTATGAAAAAAAAAAAATACTGAAGATTGTGCTGCAAAAATAAAAGGCAGCATTACAGCAAAGTACACAATGGTGATTCTAGATGTATGTGCTTGGAAACAAATCTTTCCTATTTTATATTATTTATGTCTGGTTTATAACTAAGGGGACTTTATTCCTGTGCAGCATTGCTGTGTGCATGTACATCTGTGAAGCTTTATAAGTATTTGCAGTCGTGAAATAAATGTAACAGGAAATTCTGAGGAGTGGGGCTAAATCATCTTAAGAGCAATAAACATTGCCAGAATTTCTTTCTTTTTTTTTTTGTTGTTTTGTTTTGTTTTGAAATGGAGTCTCGCTCTGTCACCAGGCTGGAGTCCAGTGGCACAATCTCAGCTCACTGCTACCTCCACTTCCCAGGTCCAAGCGATTCTCCTGCCTCAGCCTCCCACGTAGCTGGGACTACAGGCGCATGCCACCACACCCAGCTAATTTTTGTATTTTTAGTAGAGATGGGGTTTCACCATGTTGGCCAAGATTGTCTCGATCTCTTGACCTCGTGATCCGCCCACCTCGACTTCCCAAAGTGCTGGGATTACAGGCTTGAGCCACTGTGCCCAGCTGCCAGAATTTGTTTCTAAGGAGAGGTATTTTTAAAATTATTCTTTTGCATTTTTAACCGAAAGAAATGCATAACCCTGGAAACACACTGTATGTAGGGCTGTAAGGAAATTATTGTAGAAAAGCTATTTTAACTATGTTGTGTCATAGTAGAATAGTCCCAGAAAGTTCTAGAATTGCAGAGCTGGGAAGAACCATATTGCTATCTAAGACAGATACCTAATTTTTTACTCAGATTTCCTAACTTCTGCTTCCTTCAGTGTTCTTTAAAACTCTGGCCCTATTCACTAATTTGTAAATCTATTCAAGAATGGCACTAAGACTTTTTGATAGATAATAGCAGTATTCCATCTTAATTGTAACTTGTGATTTCTGCCTTTTTTAAGGTTCTCTTTGGATTCCAGTTGTTGCTGCTTTACTACTCTTTCTAGTGCTTAGCCTGGTATTCATCTGTTTTTATATTAAGAAAATTAATCCATTGAAGGAAAAAAGCATAATATTACCCAAGTCCTTGGTAATGTATTTAATTTTTTTATATACACTAAAAAGTTAACTTGAACCTTTTTTGATAGTTTCTTAAATTATGTTTTTAAAGTAGAATGATATTCAACAAGATGTCACCTGCCATCAATCAGTCAGTCTACCACACATGCAAAATCACATACTGTGTCTTTTGCTGTGCAGCAAGTATTTTGTTTTTTTTTTTATTCTCAGGGAAAAACACGGTGAGACAATTCTGTTAAAGATCTTAAAGTCTAGGGGGAAGAAAAGATAAATATACATTGGCTATATAACGTGTGATAGATTCAAAGATTTATACCTGAGCCCATGAGGACTTTGTCCAGCTTTGGGGTGGGGTTAGTCATGGCTTTTCCAGAGGCAATGCCTGAGCAGTCTTGAGGGACATACAGGAGTTTAGGCACTAGGGGACAGAATGTGCTGAGGTCCAGAGCCAAGAAAGCATGACTTTGAAAGCTCTGCAAATACAGAAACACTTCATTATGGTTGGAGTATGAAAGGAAAGTTGGCCAAAAATGAGACTAACGTAGGAGTTTGACGATTTTAATGTCCAACATTTCAAAGCCTTTGATGTAAAGAACATTTAAAGGTAACAGAATAGTATCTATTTGAGTCAAATATGACAGGAATAATATCTGTGATGCTCAAAGGGCACATTAAAATTTGCTATAAACTACCTTTAAAGTGGATAAGAACTCTCAACAGTTAGTAGTCAACTCACAAATGAATTATAATATTTTATTCTTACTAGTAATTAAGCACAAAGTAACCTTGCAGTATGCCATTTTACACGCGCTAGAGAAGAAAAAAGAAACCTGGATATCCAGTAGTACCAGCAGTAGCATAACGGGTAAATGCTGGTGAAAAGTAATCTAGCCCTGGTAAGAATAAAAGCACACAGTGGGTATTCAGTGTAATAGTGACGTAAACATACCATTTCTTTGATATGGTCACTCCACTCTTAAAAAATGTATTATAAGGAAATAATTTCATAAATAAAAAGATGTACAGGATATTTAACATGTTCCATAGCTAGTAAAAATTGGAAACATTTCCCCATCTATTAAATTATTTATCAGTATAAAGAAATAATATGAGCTACTAAAAATTATAATGATGAAGGCAAGTAATGAGAATATTACTTAAGTAGATGTGCCCACTTTGTAAACATAATGTGCGTACATGTGGAAGATAATTGTATTAGGATTCTCTAGAGGGACAGAACTAATGGAATATATATATAAAGATATATATATAATACCAAATAAACTCCCCTTTATATAAATCTATATTTTATATATTATATATTATATATATTTTATATGTTATATAATATATATTATATATTATATATAATATATTATAAATTATATATTTTATATAATATATTATAAATTATATATTTTATATAATATAAGTTATATATTTTATATATTATATTATAAATTATATGTTTATATAATATATTATAAATTATATATTTTATGTAATATAAATTATATTTTATATAATATATTATAAATTATAAATTATATATTATATATTATAAATTATATATTATATAATATATATTAATTATATTTTTCATATATATATATATAAAGGGGAGTTTATTTAGTATTATTTAGTATTAACTCACACGATCAGAGGTCCCACAATAGGCCATCTGCAGGCTGAGGAGCAAGGAGAGCCAGTCCAAGCTCCAAACTTGAAGAATTCAGAGTCCGATGTTCAAGGGCAGGAAGCATTCAGCATGGGAGAAAGATGTAGGCTGGGAGGCTAGGCCAGTCTCTCTTTTCACATTTTTCTGCCTGCTTACATTCTAGCCATGCTGGCAGCTGATTAGATTGTGCCCATTCGGGTTAAGGGCGGGTCTTCCTTTCCCAGCCCACTGACTCAAATGTTAATCTCCTTTGGCAGCACCCTCACAGACACACCCAGGATCAATACTTTGTATCCTTCAGTCCAATCAAGTTGACACTCAGTATTAACCATCACAGTAACGTACAAAAAGCAACATATATTAGTAAGATATCTGATGGCTTTTTAAAAATTCTAAAACTTTGTTTTTAATATTACTATGGGACCTTTCATTAAAAAGAAATGGCAACATCTGATTCACCCATTATCCTAAATGTGCCATTTGGTGGTCCATTACTTCAGACCTTTGTTTTTTTTGAGGGTAGGCACTTAAGCTTAACAATTTTTTATCTTTAATCAATTTTTCTCCCCATAGATCTCTGTGGTAAGAAGTGCTACTTTAGAGACAAAACCTGAATCAAAATATGTATCACTCATCACGTCATACCAGCCATTTTCCTTAGAAAAGGAGGTGGTCTGTGAAGAGCCGTTGTCTCCAGCAACAGTTCCAGGCATGCATACCGAAGACAATCCAGGAAAAGTGGAACATACAGAAGAACTTTCTAGTATAACAGAAGTGGTGACTACTGAAGAAAATATTCCTGACGTGGTCCCGGGCAGCCATCTGACTCCAATAGAGAGAGAGAGTTCTTCACCTTTAAGTAGTAACCAGTCTGAACCTGGCAGCATCGCTTTAAACTCGTATCACTCCAGAAATTGTTCTGAGAGTGATCACTCCAGAAATGGTTTTGATACTGATTCCAGCTGTCTGGAATCACATAGCTCCTTATCTGACTCAGAATTTCCCCCAAATAATAAAGGTGAAATAAAAACAGAAGGACAAGAGCTCATAACCGTAATAAAAGCCCCCACCTCCTTTGGTTATGATAAACCACATGTGCTAGTGGATCTACTTGTGGATGATAGCGGTAAAGAGTCCTTGATTGGTTATAGACCAACAGAAGATTCCAAAGAATTTTCATGAGATCAGCTAAGTTGCACCAACTTTGAAGTCTGATTTTCCTGGACAGTTTTCTGCTTTAATTTCATGAAAAGATTATGATCTCAGAAATTGTATCTTAGTTGGTATCAACCAAATGGAGTGACTTAGTGTACATGAAAGCGTAAAGAGGATGTGTGGCATTTTCACTTTTGGCTTGTAAAGTACAGACTTTTTTTTTTTTTTAAACAAAAAAAGCATTGTAACTTATGAACCTTTACATCCAGATAGGTTACCAGTAACGGAACAGTATCCAGTACTCCTGGTTCCTAGGTGAGCAGGTGATGCCCCAGGGACCTTTGTAGCCACTTCACTTTTTTTCTTTTCTCTGCCTTGGTATAGCATATGTTTTTGTAAGTTTATGCATACAGTAATTTTAAGTAATTTCAGAAGAAATTCTGCAAGCTTTTCAAAATTGGACTTAAAATCTAATTCAAACTAATAGAATTAATGGAATATGTAAATAGAAACGTGTATATTTTTTATGAAACATTACAGTTAGAGATTTTTAAATAAAGAATTTTAAAACTCGTTTTTGTATTCATTTATTCAAGCACTTAGGCAGTCTTTCATAGTTAAGCAGAATATTTTTATATCCACTGCTTGTTTCCATGCATTAATGCTATAGGATTATTTGCTAATTGTTCATATTTAATATTTAAAACAACCCTAAAAATAATATTTTTAAATGGTCCTTATAGGTCTATATTTCAGTGCTTAACACCCAGTGTGCAGAACACTGTTCTAAGTGGTTTGAGAAGAAAAGATTTAGCTGTAGAGCATGTGGATTGAGGAATCTAGCATAAAGGTGGTGGGCAGAGCCATGGAAATGGATGGAACCTTGAGAATTACATGGTGTGGAAAGAATCCCCAGTGAGAGGCAAACCAAGAGTTAATATATATGTTACCCAAGGATTTCTTGGAATTACTAAGAGGATAGAAATATTCAGAAATTAATATGAATCTGTGAATTAATGGACCAAAAAAAATGAAATACAATTTACATGAGTAGCAAATCACATTTCTTTGGTTTCTGGAAAGATATTTCTCTTCACTTAAAAATGCAAATTACAAATGAGATACTATCAGTGAAAAAAGTAGTGGTGTGGTTTGCAGTGGAACTGGTATAGTCACTGATTTTAGGGTAATGTCTTGTAAATTGCTTTTCAAACTGATACCCCATACATATCACATTCCACAAAAGTAATATCCTTCAACAGACTTTGATCTCTCTTGTGGGAAAATTACAAAAAAAAAAAAAAAACTACATGAACAATGCACACATTAGAATGGGAAAAGCAAAAATATGAAAATAATTGAAATAGCCAAGGAAGAGGTAATACTTACTACCCTCCAAAATGATTATACCAATGTGTACTCCCATCAAATGTGAATGAAGTACCTGTTTTTACACCCTAGCTAATTGACTGAAATAAGTCTTTAATCTCGGTAAAACACTTTACACATTAAATGCATTTGCATTTCTTTAGTAAATTTGAGCATGTTTTTATATCTTATTTATAGTTTCATGCCAACTCATCTTGTTCTTTGTCCATTTTTTTATGGGCTGTTTATATCTTTCTTACTACCCTTTATCTGCCCTGAGTTACAGATTTATTTTATAATTTCCTGCCTTTTGACTTACCACACAGATGTTTAAGTTGTTTATAAAGTCAAATTTATTTATTTCCTTCTATTTTTAAAAAGCCCTTCCCCTTTCCCCAAAAGATAGAAGTTTTCACTCATGTTTTCTTCTGGTCTTTGGTGATGATTGTTTTACATTTAATTCTTCTATCCATCTAGATTTTTTTCCTTTGAGGACAGAGATAGAGATCCAGCTTTATTTTTTTGTTTTAGTTTCCTGTGGCTGCCGTAATAAATTACCACAAACTTGGGTGGCTTAAAACAACAGAAATTTGTTATCTCACAGTTCAGAGGCTAGAGGTCTGAAATCAAGGTTTCAATAGGGCCAGATTCTATCTGAAAGCTCTAGGGGTGGAGGGCCCCTTCCTAGTTTCTAGTGATTGTTGTCAATCCTTGATATTCTCTGACTTATGGCTGCATTATTCCAATTTCTGCCTCTTGTCACCTGGCATTCTTCTCTGTATGTCTGTGTCCAGATCTTTATAAGGACACCAGTCAATTGGATTGATTAGTCCCACTCTAATCCAGTATGACCTCCTCTTAACTTGATTACATCTGTAAAGACACTTTCCAGTTAAGATCACATTCATAGGTACCAGGGGTTAGGACTTCAACACATCTTTTTGAGGATACAACTCAACTCATATATTTCCCTTAACAAATTAGTTATCCCAAATACTATTCATTAAATTATCTAACTTTTCTATGCTGATTTCAAATGTCACATTTATCACATGCCAAATTCTCAGCACTCCTGGAACAGTTTTGTTGTTCAGTCTTTTCCCGTCTATGTATCACACTTTTAATACACATTATACTGGGATATATTTTATGTTTTTTTGAGACAGAGTCTAGCTTTGTCACCCAGGCTGGAGTGCGGTGGCACGAACATGGCTTACTGCAGCCTCAACCTCTTGTAATCAAGCAACACTCCTGCCTCAGCCCCCCAAGTAGCTAGTACAGACGCTCATGACCATACCTGGCTAATGTTCTGTATTTTTTTGTAGAGACAGGGTTTTGCCATGTTGCTCAGGCTGGCTTCAAATGCCTGTGCTCAAGCAATCTGCCTACCTCAACCTCCCAAAGTGCTGCAATTACAGGCTGTTTTGACTTCTGAGGCTTTCCTGAATACTTTCAGCCAATGTTCATTGCTCATATTTCTTAGCAATAATTATTTATTTATTTACTTACTGTATTTTTAGTAGAGACAGGGTTTCACCATGTTAGCCAGGATGGTCTCGATCTCCTGACCTCATGATCTGCCTGCCTCGGCCTCCCAAAGTGCTGGGATTACAGGTGTGAGACACTGCGCCCTGCCAGCAATAATTATTTTTTAGGTGAACTATAACCTAAATTTTTTGGCCAAGTTTTCCCCCAAATTTTAAACTCCTTTGGGATTTATGTTGGCATTGTTTTGACTTTATAAAATGTTTAGAAATAACTAATATTTTCAAGGGTTGAATGTTCTGCAAGAATGGAGACTATTTCTGTCTTCAAGTCTTACATCCCTCATTAGAGGTTTACTTCATACAGGTGTAGAAAATTTACTAAGTGTATTCCTTGATATTTTATGTTTTTTGTTGCCTATGGGAATGTCATCTTGCATTGTGGCTCCTGAATGGCTGTCTATATGTACACGCACACACAAACTATTGTTACAAGTTGTTTTTGTATCTAGCCAACATCTAAACTGTTTTTTCTTCATGGTTTTTAGTTGATTGGTTTTCCCAGTGTACAAACGTGTTGTCTATAAATAAGAGTAATCCTGCCTTCTCATCACCAATATTATATTTTGTTTTTTATTCCCTTGTCCTCAAACTTTGATGAATTGGTATACGCTATTTTCCAAGAGTGATTGACCAAACCTGGTGGCTGTGGGCAAATCGCTTAGCCTCATGAGAGGGTTGGATTACATTCTCTCTATCTTTTGGCTCTTAAGAGTCATTGCTTCCATTTGTGTTAATTAGTAAGAGCATTGGCTGGGTGCGGTGGCTCATGCCTGTAATCCCAGCACTTTGGGAGGCCGAGGCAGGCGGATCACAAGGTCAAGAGATTGAGACCATCCTGGCCAACATGGTGAAACCCCGTCTCTACTAAAAACACAAGAATTAGCCATGCGTGATGGTGCATACCTGTAGTCCCAGCTACTGAGGAGGCTGAGGCAGGAATCGCTTGAATCCAGGAGGCAGAGGTTGCAGAGAGCTGAGATCACGCCACTGCACTCCAGCCTAGTGACAGAGCAAGGCTTCGTCTCAAAAAAAAAAAAAAAAAATTAAAGCATCATCTTTCCAACACAGTTTTGTGTCTAAACTTAATTTTTTTTCCCCTACTTATTTCTGGTTACCAGAAATTCACGTTATTGAACCATTATTCATGCCAAGTTAAATTGTCTTAAGATTACTGCCTGGGTCCAATTTAAGGTACCACTTCTTATGCCTGATAAGGATATAAGTGGATGACTTAGAAAATAAGTGCCAGCTTTGTTTGTATAGTCATTAGTTAGCTTCATTTATGAGATGCAATACTTACTCTACCTTCCACCGCCCTGCAAATAATAACTGGTCTCTCCATTGGTACTGTTACAGGGCTTTAAGGCTTAACCACGTACCCCAAGCTCTCTTTGCTCCAGTATCTCCTCTGCCCAGGAGATAAGTGTCAGATATTTAATTGAGAGGAAAGAGTGGCAGAGATATGTTCTGACTAGCACATTCCCAGAGTGTCCTTTCTAGAGCTAATTATAAAATGTTATAATACCCACAATGTATCTCCAAAATTAAATATTGAGCAGATATCTACCAATAAAAGGTGAGTAGTAGAGAACACTCACACATTGGCTTCTCAGACAGCCTTTTTAAGGAAAATTCGTGGAGCTGAACAACACAGGTATGTAGTCAGACTGGATGTCAGACCCCAGCCCTTGGGCTATGGGACATTTTTGCTACATAACCAGAGATGTGCCAGTCCCTTTCCTGGTATAAAAAGAGGTGAGGGCCAAAGGGGTCAGTAGGTACTTCACTCAATTCGAGGGGCCTCTGATCCATCTGAGGTGAGGCCACTTTTATTTCACTTCTGACACCATCTTGTGAACCTAAATAACAGCAAGAGTCTCTCTAAAAGAAAATAATATTTGAGAATGGGTCTTGCAATGAGAAAATAGTAAACTGCCTGTGTATTCAGGGAGATAAAGGAAGACAAAAGTTTTTAAAAGAAAAATGAAGATGACCTAATTGTATTGAGATAATTAACCTTTACTATGTAAGCCAAAAATAAAATTGTAAGCCCTCCCCACCTCAAACCATCTAAACGGACGCCCCCTCTTGGCCAAGCGCATTGTAAAGTTAACCTGAAAAACTAGTTCAGGCCATGATGGGAAGGGAGAGTTGGATATAACTCAGTATACCCTCCTCCCTTTTGGAACTTAGGAAAAGCTGACCAGCATTAAACTTACGTCTGATAAGAAACATTTTCAATCTATTCTCTCTGAAATCTGCTACCTGGAGGCTTCATCTGCCTGATAAACTTTGGTCTCTACAACCCCTTATCATCATAACCCAGGTATTTCTATTGATTCTGGGTCTTTGGGTAACAACATAACTCTTTCAACAAATTGCCAATCAGAAAATTCTTAAATCTACCTATAACCTGGAAGCCCCCACTTCAAGTTGTCCTGCTTTTCCAGATTGAACCAGTGTACATCTTACAGGTATTGATTGATGTATTATGCCTCCCTAAAAAGTATAAAAGCAAGTTGTACCCTGACCACCGTGGGCACATGTCATCAGGACCTCCTGAGGCTGTGTCATGGGCACATGTGTCATGGGCACATCCTTAACCTTGGCAAAATAAACCGTCTAAATGTATTGAGATCTGTCTCAGATACTTTTGAGTTCACAAATTGGTGATGAAGGGATTCTGAGTGGAGGTGCCCCTGACCTTTGATGAATCTATTGGTGCTTGGTACCAGCTTGAGCTATCCTTATGGCTCAAATCAGAAGGACAATTTGCTGAGGCCTGGGAGTTCCCCCTCCAGAGAATCCCTGATCTCTCAAAATTTGGTCGAGATCTAAAGCTTATTTTGCTCTACAACTCCTTTTCTGGAGTTTTACTTGATTCCAACAAGGAAAGCAAGTTTTTCTGCTTCCATGATGATGCATAGCAGGTAACTCATTTCTGGAGTTTCAGCTAGTTTCCGATAGGGAAGGCAAGAACCTTATGTCTGTTCCTGTGCACCTTTCCAGGTATTTTTCCTGCTTCTAAGATGGTAAAGAGCAATCTTGTGCCAGGGCTCTATTCCTAGGTAAGTAGCAAGAATTGGGATTTTTTTGTCTTGGAAATTCTCCTTAATGACTACAAGTTGAAATTGACAAGCAGCTGGTTTTAATTTCTCCTTACCGTTAGAGCACTCAGTAATCATATTGTTGGGGTTTTTGTTGTTCTGATCTTTCTCCCATAGGATTTGATCAACTATAACAGACTTGGTCAAATTCCAATGAGAATTCCAAATTAGGGGAAACAAGGCCTCTGAATTGGCTAAAATTCCTGGCAGCTGCACAAACAAAAACAAAAACATGTGCTTGGTTTCTGTGTTCACTTCCTTTCTTAAAAAAAAAAAACAAAAAACAGTTATTCTTCTGTTTACTTTTGTTCCACTCTATTTTTCCTTCCCCCTTCACCATCTCTGGTACCAAGAAAAATCTACAGAAGGGTTCTAATGTCTCAGACCCCTTAAAGAACTCAGAACAAAGGCACCACTCCCACCCCCTTTTGGGGTGTTCTGTTTTCTTTGTGGGGTTTCAAGAGTCATGGGCAGATTCTTCTTAGATTTAAAACTCTGCTTTCCTGTATTGCATTACCTGACCCTCTTGGCTTTTGCGGGCACCAGAGATTACCTTGTACTGTGAGAAGATGTGACCTTGGAGTGTGTAATGGCAGACAAGAGCTATAAAGTTAGGAGTGGCTGAGGACAGTTTACAGCTGGTCTTAGCTTTTTCCACCCCGCTGCCCCCACCAATGAAGTTGTTGTTTAGGATCCTAATTCTAGTTCAGAGGTGCATTCTAAAGAGCTTTCTCATTGTCTTCTCTCCCAAAATTAATCTCGATTGGCTTGTCTGTGTATTTGTGAGAGCAACTAAACTGTTGTTTTTGTAGATAAATGTCAGACTGAGTTTCCTAAGCTCTGAAAAGAAAGGGCATTTTGCTCCTTCCAGCCAAAAGGCATCCCTGGGTTACTGGGGTGGAGCCTAAGGGGTTGACTACCAACCCCATGAAATGCAGCCGCCCTACAGGGAACCCCCAGCAAAATTAGTTTAAAAAGGTTCATCCAGGAAGCTCATGTAGGAACTCCATGTTTTGAGCACTCGGAGGTCTAAACCTCCAGAGAGAGAAACTGAGATACATAAGAGGGTGGCAACGACTCACTGGTGACACACTGTGGAGCCCCACCCAGAATCAGCATATTTTGACCCACTAAACTAAAACTTAGGCCACAGCTCAGTTCCTCCTTTTAAGAAAATATGTGGGGAATAAATTAAGGATATGGAAAAACAAGAACAAGGCCTCTCAGGCACCTCATTTCGTTTCATGGTGCCTCTACTTGCAAGTGGTTGTGTAAATGGAAGGGCGTGCCAGGTTTTCTAATACTCCAGCTGGTTACACATTAGGTCTGTTCTTGTGCGCATTTTAAACTGATGGGCAAATTACATCAAGGAAAATTCAGAACCTAAAGTTCAACCTGCAACTCTAAAGTTCCTAAGTTCTCTATCTCTGTTTTCTTTTCCACCTGCTTTGTCTGCTATTATTAACACATTTCTACTGAGATAAAATCCACTGTTTGCATCCAACCGTTTCTTTTTGTTATTGTTTTTGCAAACTGGTAAGTTTATATTAATATCTCATAGCTAAAATTTTGAAGTGAAAGCAACAGGATCTTTGTATGAGTGTGTATATGTGTGTTTATGTGTACAAACATGTATTTTATTATGTGTTTTTGGCCACAAGGTACTAAAATGGCTTAAAGTTGAAGGGTACTCATACATTAAACAATAAGCCCAAATGCTTTTCAAGGTCATGTGACAAGTAAAACCTTTTATAAATAAACTGGCTTAAAATTATTGGTCAAGTAATATTAGAAATGTCTTATAAATTGTCAACATATATTTTTGTTTGCATTTATTGATCAGCAATTTCATACTTATCCCTGACAAATACTCTGTGTCAAAATTTGACATAAAGTTTATAAAACTGTAAACCCAACCGTTATGGTTGGATCTGTATCCCCACCCAAATCTCATGTCAAATTGTAATCCCCAGTGTTGGAGGAGGAACCTGGTGGAAGGTGATTGGATCATGGGGTAGTTTCTCATGGTTTAACACCATCCCCCTTGGGGCTGTCATGGTGATAGTAAGTTCTCATGAGATCTGGTTGTTTAAAAGTGTGTGGCACCTCCCCAACAACCTTCTCTTCCTCCTTCTCCAGCCATGTAAGACATGCCTGCTTCACCTTCACCTTTCACCATGATTATAAGTTTCCAAGCAAAAGCTGCTATGCTTCCTATATAGCCTGTAAAACTGTAAGCCAATTAAACCTCTTTTCTTTATAGATTACCCAATTCCAGGATTTTTTAATAACAATGTGAGAACAGACTAATACACCAACCCAAAACAGAATGATCTTTGCTTGTGTAGTTTTTGACAAACAAGATATCAAATATTGTTGGTTTAATGAAAACAGCTAAACTTGGAATTATTGGTAAAATAACCATATATTTAATCCTGAGGTTCTTACTTAGGTAAACACCTGAACTTCATAGGCTATAAAAATCATTGACAGGGAAATAACTTTAAATGATGACTATCACAGTTTTCATAGTCTACATAAAATATTAAAATAAAATAATCAGGTAAATGTAAAGGGATAAATACCTGTAAATAAACTTGTCATAATTTAGAATATAAAATTATATTAAATTCAATAATAGATATTTAATTAAATATCTGGGTATTTTCCAATTCAAAAAATTATATTTTATTCTTTTTTTAAAATATGTTCTTATTAAAAGGTAAATAATTTTTGTCTAATTCAAAGCTTATTTAAAAGTCCTGTATAAATAAGAATGTGAAAGGAACCAGGAAATAGACCAATATAAAGAAAAGTATAGATATACAGAGGTATTTTTGGTAAGAAAGCTTAAAAGAAAAGTAATTTTGTATGAGAAAAATATTGTTTGGTGAATTTTTGTCCTAAGATAAAATGACCGAGTTATTCCAGAAAGAGTGACACTTAGGTCAAAGCAGAAAGTCCAAGCATGTTGTGAATGGTCTGTGTAAGTCATAATAAAGTTAGTAAAAAAGAAATTTATACAAATGTTATGTGATTAAGTTGTCCATAATTACAGAAAATTATAATCTTTTTTTTAAATTGAACTTTTATGTTAAAAATACACTAGACTGGGTGCGGTGCTCACGCCTGTAATCCTAGCACTTTGGGAGGCCGAGGCGAGCAGATCATATAGGTCAGGAGTTCGAGACCAGCCTGGCCAACATGGTGAAACCCTGTCTCTACTAAAAATTAAAAAATTAGCTGGGCATGGTGGCAGGTGCCTGTAATCCCAGCTACTTGGGAAGCTGAGGCAGGAGAATCACTTGAACCTGGGAGGCAGAAGTTGCAGTGAGCTGAGATCGCACCATTGCACTCCAGCCTGAGCAACAAGAGCAAGACTCTGTCTCAAAAAAAAATACACTAATAAATAACTAAAGATTTGGTTAGAACAAGATTTTATTTAAAATATTGAGTTACTCAATGCACAAAGTTTTTAATTTTTAAATTCTGTAATGTTTCTTTTTGAAATTATTCAAATTGATATCTCAGTCCTTTTTTCGCTTTTGAAAAGGCCTAGGATGGTAACTCTCTCCTTCAACTTTTGTTTGGCCTTATAACTTTTTTAAATTAATAATCTAAAGTAGGGGAGAGAATTTTTGAAAAGAGGCAAATGAAAAATCTTTTGGACCTGCCGTTTTCTATATGTCTGTTATATCTACATGTTTACATGTGCCATGTGGAAGTGATATTTCACTAACAAGTGGTACAAAAGAGCTCTAATCAATTGGCTTGGAGAATGTTAATGCTTATCAGACTGATGGAACCTAGCTCAGATGCCTTTTAGCTCACATGACTAGTAATCTTTGGTAAGATTAATTTGGTAAATTTAATCTCAATTATTTCCAGTAATTTAAAATCTTAAAGTCATGTTATGTTTAAATTAAGTAAACCTAGGTTACTTTTTTCCCCCACTGGGGATTTGGGTTAATAAGTCATGTAATGTTTAAATTAAGTAAACCTATGAGTTTTTTTTCCACTGGGAATTTGAGTTAATAAGACTTAAACTAGTAGGTGAATAAAAGGTGTTTTTGGTGAGGTTTCTGAAAACACAAGGAACTAGTTTTTGCTAAAGAAAATGTAATTTTTTTCTAGAGACTATTTATGAATCACTCTAAAATAAAGGAAAAAATTATATAGATAAAACTAAATGGATAAAGAAAAAAATAAAAGGGTGTGAAATGAGAAATCCTGACTCTTGAGTAGCCATGTGGTTGCCCATCTTAAGGAGCTGCAGCTGGGCTATAGTCAGTTACTAAAAGTAAAAGTTACCAGTGGAATTAGAGATGGATCCTACTCATACTCCCAGGGAGTTAGTTCCCTGAATGCATAAGGGAAGGCAAGCTAATAAGGAAGAAAAATGTTTCATCCTTTGGTTATTATCTGTAAAAGCTGAAATGAGAGTAAAAGAGTGTTGGGTTGGTCCTTAAGAGTGGACCAAGACCAGAAGTGGGTCTGTCTCAGCTCAAGCCTCTAGCATCCAAGCTACTCACAAAAATATAAATTAAACCGGGGCAACAAAGTTTACCTCTGAGACCTGTGGTTACCAAGAAGATAGTAAATGTAGGGGCAGGGCAAAACAACTATTAAAACCAGAGGCTATAATGTAAAGGAATTGTTCCATTTTGTAGATTGGTATAGTCAGCTTCCTGAGACACTTTTACTATAATGGATTTAAAAATAACTAATTTAAGGATAGAATCCTTAATTTTAAATGCTACAGAGTGAAAGAGCTTCTTTAGTTTGATCCATGACCCACAGCTCACTATTAAATCTCTAATGAGTATAAGTGATCCAAATGCATAGGAGGTTATTCCTGAGAGAACATCCAACCCTAGTGGACTGGATAAATGCCACTGTAAAGTCTGTTTACCCCAAGAAAGGGACTGCCCAACTCTCCCTATAAAATGCCAAGTGGAGTAACCCAGATGAAGCAGTAGATATGATTCATAAGCAAGCCACATGGTACTGGCTTTATGATGACCAGGATATTCTCCCACTTTATATGCCTATTACCCAGGTCATGGTAAATTTGGGGGTTAAAGAGGTCCCTTTTACATAGGCATCCCAGGTGACATTTCTCCGACAGAACCATACAATTGTTTGACAAGTTGTATCAAATTTGCTGTCCCTTGTGGGTCTTACAGATCCTTAATAAAATGTTGAGGTAATTTAAAAAAAAATGAGAAAGGCAAAAGAGAGTCAAAGGAGTCGCCCCAGAAGGGTGATAGAAATCTTTGGATGGTTGTTAAGAAATGAAATAAATAGAATGGAAATTGAGGGGGTTAAAACAAAGGTATTTAAAACACTATTTGTCCAGATTGTAAAATTAAAAAAAAAAAATCAAAAGCCAAAAGTTATAATGAGAAAGCTGACATTGCCTGGGTGAGTAAAATGTGAACCCAGAACATTTCTTTCCCTTTTGTTTCTGAGCTTTCTTGTTCTCAGGTGTTTTCTAAGGATGGGGGAAATTGCACCCCACCCTTCAACCCCCCATTGCTCTCAGGGGTCAGGAACATCGGCCTCAGTCCAACCCAGTCTTTTCTATGGCATTTTCCTTCTTTTTAGGGGGATTGTAATGGCACCTATCTTTTCTTTTACAATATTGGGGGTGTTCCACTCCCAACCCAATGGCCATAGGCACATGTGTAGGATGGATAGGAAGACAGCATCTCCCCATTCCCCCTTCCCTCCTGGCTGGGGTGCATGACTGTCTGCTGCATGTGCATGTGGTGTCCAACAGCCATCCAGTGCAGGATTGAGCCACAGCTGCTGCCCCAGCCCCAGGGTGATCTCAGGGGCCTGGGCCCCATGCAGCCAACTGGCCAGTGTCCCCTGCCATGTATCCACAGAGTCTTCCCCACCCCAAGCCAAGGGGTCCAGCTCAGTGCAATAGCAATTAAGTTTCTCTGCCTGTTGGAGAAATACATTTGCATTTCTCAGGCATATTTTTCTTTTCTCCACCTTGTCAGCAGTAAACACAGCCCTGCATTTAAGCTGTTGTTGTTGTTGTTATTTTCTTTTGTCCACCAAGTCATGAGTTAGTAGGCTGGTGTGAAAGTAGTTGTGGTTTTTGTCATTACTTAGAATGATGGGCACCACAATTGCTTTCGCACCAACCTAATAACACAGCCCTGCGGGTAGAGGGGTCTTCTCTGTGCCAGAAGTTTTCTTCCTTTTGGAAGGCATCTTATTAGACCAGGACCCTAATTCACAGGACACCATTTTCCCTCCCTTGTTTGAGAAGGACCTAATTTCACAGTTGCACCTTAGCCTTCAGCTTATGATAAGGCGGCAGCAGCCAGACTGGTGAGGGACACCTGGGGATTGATGAGTCCATGCACCCACCTACTGAGGCAGTTCTTTTGTCCCAAACTCAATTCCAAGCTTCATGTAGAAGCCCTAGGAAAGATAACTGCATCGGAGGGATCCAGAGGCAGACAACAACAAAAATTAAAAAGCACAGTATAGGTGAGCATGACTAATTCCTGACAATTAAGCCAAGCCTCTTGTTTCATGGATAAAGGTCATACTAGTATCAATGGCCTAAATGAGGTCTAGGGCACTTGAAGGCTATTGAGAGCAGGGGGAAAGACAGTTTGTGGGTAACAGTGGATAATCCCATCCACTAGGTCCCCTGTTACCATGGGTGAGAACCGTATTGGCACCCATGGGTGGCACCCTGTCGAGGTTGTCAGGACTTGGGGACATAAGGACGGAAGAAGGAAAATGGATGCTTGTTCCTTCTTTCCCTCACATACCCTGGCTATTTCCTAGAAAGAGAAAGGAACCAGGGATGTCTGGCTCCCCTCTTTCTAGATGAGTAGCCATTCATCTTCAATCTGTCCCCCTTTCAAATGCATCCTGAACCCCTGGGGAGCCTTTGAAAAAAATCTTTTTTTACTTTTTCCTCCTTTGTCCTCTCTTCACAGATGGGTGACTGTGTCCCTGTACTAAAGGACATTCCCATAGGATGCATCCTCCAAACTGAGAAAAGTTAATTTCCCAAACCTTAAACTGGTTGGCTTAGAATTGAGCTCAGGGGAAGGGAACCCAGAAGCATGACATGCCAGCAAAAGGATAAAAGTTTTTTAACCAGTCAGACTTTTGGCCTCTCTCTCCCTGTGTAAACTGGTGAAAAGAATGATAAGGATCACTGTTGATATTCCCTGTAAAGTTTCCATTAGTGAAAAAGGTTTTATGAGGCTGGTCTTAAGGTGTAGCCAATCTGGTGTGCTTCGCGTGTCTTAATTGAGGCTTGTTGGTTGAACCTTGAGGTTCTTTTGATAAACTTCCAAAGCCAGAAATATTGGCTGCTTGGCATGGCTGAAGTCAGGTAATGTGGGATTTAAAAGGACTTTCTTAAAGAGAGCTCAGCTTAATTAAAAGTGGATATCCAAGCTATACGTATATTTGAAAGGCCTTTATGTTTTTCTCTTCTTGGATCTTGTTTTGCTGGAAAAAGATTTTTTTCTCAGTTGACTGAATTACTTTTCTCCACCTTGTCTTGCCAGTGTTAATGCGCACATGAGAGGCCCTAAGATAATTTCTGATGGCATAGGGCTGCTTGGTAAAAACAGAAAAGGCACCATGGATTCCATTTTGGGAGAAACCTCTGTTTTCCTCATGGAACCCCAGGAATTAGAGGCAAATAGATCGCTCTCAAAATCCGTTTTTGTTTTCCAGCTATGCCTGTTTATTAGGCCCTAGAAACTGCATGCAGCCACTTGGGAGGCTGAGGTAAGAGAATCGCTTGAACCTGGGAGGCAGAGGTTGCAGTGAGCTGAGATCGCACCATTGCACTCCAGCCTGGGCAACAAGAGTGAAACTCTTTCTCAAAAAAAAAGAAAAGAAAAAGAAAAAAAGAAAATAAACTGCATGCTTTCTTAGCCCTGCTCTTAAAGGGTCCCACCCAGAGACCAAGAATCCAATTAGGAGATGGGCAAATGAAAAATCTTATAACACTCAATCTTCTTCTCCATCTGTGTAGTTATAAAAAAGAGCTCTAATTAATTGGCTTAAAGAAAAATCAGCACTAAGATCAAATATTTTTGGAGGAAAGATAAAAGCTATAATGCCTTTTAGTTCTTGTGACTTTAATCTCTGAGAAATAAAAGTAGTCTTAAAGATAATTGATAAAATGCAAATGTTCTTAAAATGTAAATAGCTGGTCTAAATTATGCAAGTCAGGCACTAGGTGGCTAAATGTTTTAAGGTTGTAAACGGCTTCTTTTGCCTTTGAAAACTGTTCAATCTGCCTGCTTTACAACTTGGTAAGGCACAGGGACATATGGAATTAACCACACCCTTAATTATGCTGGAAGGAATCAAACTTTATCAGCACCTAGTGCGTAATTAAAACGACTTACCAGGTTTTAAACTAAAATTAAAAAGTGCTAAGAGGTACCATTATAACATGTAATTGAGACCACTGAAAATAGATTTACATGCAAGGTATGTAAGAACAGTAAAATGTGTTATTAGTCAAAGATTATAAGAATGCATGGAAATGTAAGTTTTTGCCTAAGGTTAAAGGACTATTATAAATTAGATAAGATAAACTAAAGGTTTAAACAAGTTGTGGGAGGTTTCTAAAAATTAATCTTGCAAAAGAAATTCTGTGTGTGAACATTGATTAAATCCAAAACTCTATTATATGGTTTTTCTACAAACTGAGCATTGAAATGAAAGCACAACAAGGTTTTCTTAAAGCCCTAATCTGCTCTTTAGCAGATTAGTAAATTAGTAATTTGTAAAAGGTTATAAAAGGCTTACAGGAATCTTACCTCATGATCAAACTGGTTAAGATTGGATAGAATTGTCTATAAGGTTTCATTAAAAAATTGGGGTTGACATTAATAGTAAACTAATGTGAGGGTAAAATTTGGCTTTCTCTCCCTTGTATAAGATTTTCATGTAATAGTAAAGGATAATTAAATATTTCAGTTTGTCTTCCAGATAGACTGCCAAGGAAATGAAAGTGAAGACAGGAGACAAATTCTTTGGAAATCTAAGTCTTCCCTCTAAATGAGTAAAAGTTTTTGGCTTGTTTTAAAATTTTTGAGTCATCATTTTGGCAAAATAAGTAATTTATGGTAATCTGGAATTCTACTTCATAACATTGTTTTAAACCTCTAACATATTTAATGGGCTTCCCAAAATCAAATGTCAGCTTCAAGGTTGTCTTTCCTGACCCCTAGCATCCCTGGAGCATCCAGAAGAGAGGTAAATAGGATTACCTGACAAATTTATGTACATGGGATTGCCAAAATGATATTTAATCTTCTTTGGGTTATATTTTAGTGAATAATAATATATGCTCCAAAACTGTATGGGATTTCTAAAATTCTAATATCTAAGTATATGCTATCACTCACAATTAAAGGTGTTATGTTAGGTGATTATAAGCCACAGAGATAACAAAATTTCTTTGTCAATTGTGTTTTTGACTGTAACTACCATGGACATTTTGCTATTCACAGACCATTGTTTTGTTTTGATCTTCTTCAAATAGGATTTATAATCAGCTATAGAAACGTAACAGGTGCTCTCAAATGCAGGTTTCTGATAACTTTGGAGATTGTGACATTGGAATAATGGAAAAACGTACAGGACTCATGAAGAGCTGAAATGTTCACAAATATCAAGCAGAACAAGAGTTAACTGAACAGACTGAACTAATAGAAAATTGAAGTAATCTTTTTTAAACTTTAGCTTAAAACAGTGCTGATCTTTTTTTTTGAGCTATACACAATCTTTAATAATTGAGTAATGCAGACTCCTATGAACAAAATTTAGCACTTTTTTTTCTCTCTGCCTGCTTCCTCTAGAATTTGGAAACTATCTGTGAGTATTCTTAACTTAGGGCAATACGGTTATTTGCATCAGTGCAGTAAGAATCCACTTTCTTTTGCAACAGGATGCAATTGGAGAAACTGGTTGCTTTAGCAACCAGTAGCTGTAACTTTAACTTTACCAACCAGTAACTGTAACTTTGACTGGAAGGGTATGTTTCCCTTTAAGGAATCAAGCTCAACTTGCAGAGCCAATAAAAGCCCCTTGGGTAAACCAGCCTCATACTTTGTCTACACAGTCCCCATACAGGTTCCCTAACCTGTAGTGAGTAAAGAATGTCACTTTCTAACAGGGCCAGGAACCGCATATTCTTGGGACCTCAAGAAGAGAGCAATTCACCCAACTCATAGGTATTAGAGGGTACAAACCCATGGCTGGGCTCATTTTTATGAAGTCCTATCTGAAATTCCTTGTGGAACAGAGTTCCATCAAAGCCAATTTAAAAAGCCTATGTAAAAATAATTATTCTTGTTGTACTTTGTGCAAATAAGCAGACCAAGTGTAAGACTAAAGTTTATTTTACAAACAACTCACTCCTATTATGATTTGTTTTTAACAAAAATGAGGACTGGGGAGAAAGAAATTATGTTTCAAAACTTATCATACATTTGTCATTAAATTCTAGACTCATTAGTT
This sequence comes from Homo sapiens, assembly GCF_000001405.40. Taxonomy (NCBI): domain Eukaryota; kingdom Metazoa; phylum Chordata; class Mammalia; order Primates; family Hominidae; genus Homo; species Homo sapiens. The sequence goes on along the minus strand of NC_000006.12, from coordinate 137,181,505 downwards.
GTTTTTAAGTTTTTTGCCTACATTTTAAATTAACCCTGCTTATTCCTGTGAACTAACCAGTGATCTCTGGCTGCAGCTCAGAAGAAACAAAAGGCATGGGTAATGTAAAAATCTGGAACAGTATTCTAGTTCTGAACAATTATCCTACAAATCCTGCCAGATAATGGGAGTAAATAGGGTGCCCATAACCCAGAGGTTTCTTTTTTGGGAAAATAAACTACGGGAGCTAACCAAAGCCAAGTCCCATGCACCCAAATCTTAGCAGGCACAACTACAGCTACCAGTTATCTGGGCATGTCAGCAGCCTCAGGATTTTTGAACTGTCCTTACCCTTCCCCCATTTCATTTTGGTACATGTCTTCTAATAACCTGGTTTGTCTCTTCTCGCCTTCAGGCCCTCAAACTCCAAACAGTTATGCAACCAGAGCCTCGAATGATGGTCCCTTTTACCAGATACCCTTAGATAGGCCTCTGAGGGAGACCCAACTGCTGTCTTTCCAAAACAGTGCCCTCTGTCAGCAGAAAGCAGTTAAGATGGGTCTTTGTCTTTCTTCTTATCCTTATTCTAATGGCAGTTAGATGTACTCTTTTAGATGGGGGAATGATAGAGGCAGAAGACAGCCAAATGCCATCCAGGACATTGTGTACAGGGGGCTTGCCTAAACATGCCCATGGTGAAAAATTCCATCCCTTAACACATGCTCAGTAAGGGAAATAAATCAATGTAGCGTGGGTTCAGACTAAGGGCCTGCATGTGCACTGGGAGAATGGGGTGGAGCCACTGGGAACATGCAAAAAATCCTGTATTGCAAGCGTCCTCCCTCTAGGCCCAGAGACTGTTGCAGAAGAGGTGGGCACGTGAGATTGTAAGGGCTGATTTGGAAGGATAGAATTAACTCAAACCCTTCAAATCAAGGATGAGTACATGGATGCCTAAACAGCTGGTAAAACAAGGGACTTTGCCTTCTGAGCTATTACATGGCACCTCTTCATCCACTCCAACCATAAAGAATTTACTGCTTCCTGTAGAATTAAAAGAAAATAATAAGTAAAAGGATAAAGATACCAAGTGACAAAGCCTCCTGGTATAATATTTCCAGTTATGAGCCATGCAGGTATATATTTTTTAATTTTTTCAGAACAATTCTTATGTTTTGTATAAATAATTGCTATAAGTCCATAACAAAACCCAAGATTACAGTAGCATAGAAGTTAAAGAAAAGTCAGTTTTGTAACCTCACCTTTAACTTTTTGTTTGTTGACTTTTTACTTAGAAAATAATTTAAAGGCTAATGAATGTCTGTCCATGCCCATTTAATTGGGCATCTGGACTAGAACATTTAATTGGCTATAAGTCATTTGATTCTGAGTCCCTCAGCCATAGGGAGTTCCACTTAGGGACAGGATGAACCCAGGGCAGGCAGCCATGCCACCCCAGCAACGCTATGGGAAAAAATAAAATTTTGGTGGCCATTGATCTTGCCTCTTATCATTGTTATTATTTTTTTTTGCAGGGGGCCGAGGGGGAACAGAGTCTTACTCTGTTGGCTGGAGTGCAGTGGCACAGTCATGACTCACTGCAACCTCCACCTCCCAGGTTCAATCAGTTCTCCTGCTTCAGCCTCCCAAGTAGCTGGGATTACAGGCATGTGCCATTACACCTGGCTACTTTTTTTGTATTTTTAATAGAAACGAGGTTTCACCATGTTGACCAGGCTGGTCTCAAACTCCTGACCTCAGGTGATCCACCCACCTCGGCCTCCCAAAGTGCTGGGTTACAGGCATGAGCCACTGAATGGACAGCACTGATTATTGCTGGAGAAATCCTTTTATGGGACTCTTACATGATTATTCATAAGAGGGTGAGAAAAGGTGTTGCTAGTAAGCATGTCCTCGGTGGTCCTCTGGGTGCACATGTGCAGTAGCTGTACATGCTTGTTCATACATCTCATAATTCATCAGCATCTTAAATCTCCACCTAGGGGTGTGTTTTTTACTATTATCATGAGAACAGGGTCCGTTTGAGAAGAGGTAAAATCAAAGTGCAAATGCTGTCTATGGGAAATATTCCCTGCAGGAGATAGCTGTGCTTGCATGAGCTGGATTACAATGCGAATACTGGGGCTCATTGTGTTAACTGCACTTACTTCCTTGACTACCTGTCCTGCCTCATCGTCACTCCATTGTGACTCTAACAACTTTCACATATAATTACTCTCACTTCCAATTTTTTCTACTTAATGCCTTCCAGTGGCTTCCCCTTCTTCAGAACGCACCCAAAGTCCTTCCATCCTGTTCAAGTCCCCTGGATCAGGCTGCTGGGCCCCTGACCTCACCACCAACACTCTGCCCCTTGCTCCCTCCTCTCCAGCCACATTGCCTCCTGCTCCTTCATCTGGCCTCAGCCTTGGGGCTTTGCTGTGCCCCCTGCTCAGATTTTCCTCCTCCAATGTCTGTGTGGCATCCTGCCTCACCCAACTCAGACCTTTGTTCATATGTCCCTGTCCAGCAAGGCTATTCCTCACCCCCTACCTGCAATGGTATCTTCCCATTATTCTCCCTCCCTGCACCTACTGTGTCTCCATGGCACTTAGCACCACCTGACAAAATAGTGATGTGTCAGTTTATTATCTGCCTCCCTGCCACGGACACTAGGATATCAGCTCTATGAGAACAAGAACTTGTCTAATCCCTGCGTATTCCCAGAACTTCAGACAGTGCCTGGCATAGGACAAGTGCTCAATAAATATTTGTCAGCTAAACATATTGTCTACACAACCCCCTCCATTTCACTTATATTCATGTCAGTTTTACTCCTTTATTATGGTTTTACAGTTTACAAATAAATACGTACTTATAAAAATAAAAAATATATTTCTATATATAATATAATTTTATATTTATTTATATGTGTTATTATATATAACCTAGAATATTAATATAATTTATTTTATGTATTATAGAGAAAGAAACATGTCTGTTTTCTGTGATTCCAGAAATTTTGAAAACTTCTACAGAAGAATTGCAGAAATTCTTGCAAGCCAGAACTGATTGAAAGTCAATAAAATATATGTATAAACGTACAGGATTATAGTCAGATTGCAAAAAGCTAGATAAAATCAAAAACAAAAAACCAGCTATAACAGCTTGCCAAATTCAGTGAACTGACTTTACCTCAACAATTCTACCTATGTTACTGCATCTGTAGAACTGCTCATTTCCCATTATTTTAACTTCCCCTCTGTAGGACTGAGAATCAGGTATGACTCCCTCCTGGGACCTATGGAGACTCCTCTCTCTCCACACACCTTGATTCCTGCTTGCAAGTTTGGGAAACATTAAAGCAGCTATGGGTAGCCTGGGGACATGCTCCAGCAGGAAGTGGAAAGAAATGGGAGGGAGAACTAATGCGCCTGAGCCTCTACTATAGGCAGATGGTTGGCAAAGTTTCTCTTATTGACACTCCTAGCTATCTGGTAAGACTAGTATTATACATTTTTTTCCAGTGAGGAAACTGAGGCACAGTGTATTAGTCCTTTCTCACACTTCTAATAAAGACATACCCAAGACTGGGTAATTTATAAATAAAAAGAGGTTTAATGGATTAACAGTTCCCCATGACTGGGTAGGCCTCACAATCATGGCAGAAGGAGGAGAAGCAAAGGCACGTCTTACATGGTGGCAGGCAAGAGATGTGTGCAGGGGAACTGCCCTTTATAAAATCATCAGATCTTGTAAGACTTATTCACTATCATGAGAACAGCATGGGAAAAAAACACCCCCATGATTCATTTACCTCCCACCAGGTCCCTCCCACAATATATGGGGATTATGGAAGCTACAATGCAAGACAAGATTTTGGTGGGGACACAGCCAAACCATATCACACATGAAATTTAGAAGTTGTTTTACTGTAATTTAGAAATTTAGAAGAGATATGTCTTGGGAATACAATATAGTAGGAACTCAGAATGCAAATAAAACATTGAGGAGGCAGAGCTGGGGTCTTGTGGATGAAGGGTGGGAGGGAGGGATGCCTCAGGCTGGAACAAGTGCAGCTCAGAGGACAAGGAGCCAGCTAAGGGCCGAGAGGGGAGCCCAAGGCCCAGCATGGCCCTTGGGCAGGAGCCTCTGCCAGGGTCTTGTTGGGCTAAGCAAGGAACATGGATGTGGAAGAAGGTTGGAATCCTTCCCATGGCTGAGGTGGAGCCCCTATTTTAAGGCATATGGGATGTCTAAGTGGGTTCAGTTAAGGAGTCCAGAGACCCCAGAAATCAAATGAAGTTAGTGAGTACTCTGGGTTTGTGTGGGAGCACTTGGGGGGAATGAGAAATGGCATCCTACATGCCTTTAAGTACCAGGATGGGGACCCCAATGCAAATGGATGAAGCTCGAAGTACATTTTGAGAGAATTGAATTCAGGTTTCACCTTTCTCCAAAGTGCATGCTTTTCCACTGTTGCCTGATATCTCCAGTTTCCTATATTTCAAAAAGAAACGTTAGATCTTCCGCTTGCCTTTGAACAATATGCGTCACGCTTTATTTAACTTTGACAAACTAGCAGCCACATCCAGAAATAGCTTTAGGTGAAGCTAGAAATACAAAATAAGTTAGTTATGGTGGCTGCTCATATGCTACAGTAAAAAAAAAAAAAAATTTAAGTCACTGTTTTAAAATGTAAAAGGTATTTTTCTTATTCTAAGGCTCATGAAGATTTTTAAATTTTGTTTAGAGCTCAATGTACATCTTGTTGGACTGATACACTCCTAAGCAGTTGTCTGGCTACACTTTATCTTTGTTCTTAAAGAGTAAATTAAATAGTGAATCTAATAGTAAATGCTAATCCACCTCCCAGAAATCAAAGCAAAAAGAGAGAGTATTTCCAAATTGAGCATGGTTACGTAAGTCAAGCATCTTTTTTCTTCTTCTCTGGATATCATGAAAAAGCAACAATGAGAATTAAAATTAAACAGCCCTTCCATTTGGAATTTTTGCTTTTCATTCTTTCCTTAAAAACCCTTGGGTGAGGAAAAGAAATCTAAATTGCAGAATTGCTAAAAAAAAAAAAAAAAAAAAGAAAAGAAAAAAGAAAAAAGAAAACATCACATTTTAGAGCCAATGAGGGAGCTTATACATTTCAGAGAAATTCCTAGTGTAAAAATTTGTATTGGTATAAAATAAAGAATAAAACAAACAGAACAAATATCTGACTCAGGAGTTTTTGTTTTTTGAAAAATCCAACAAATTAAATAAAACAAAAACAAAAGGAAGGAATTTTTAAAGGTAAAGGAGATAAAAATGAGACATGACTTTTTTTAAAGTAGAATACAAAACTACAAAATTTAGTTCCTTGAAAAGAAATTTGAAAATAAATATCCAGCCAATTTACTAAGAAAACAAGGGGAAAATCATTACTCAAAACAGAAAATTATAAAAGGGAAGTCACAGAAAAAGGAGAATTAAATAAATCATAAAGGAATAACTTGCACAACTCTGTACCAATAAATTTAAAGGCATGAATAAAAAGGATAGTCTTCTAAAGAAAATATACTTTGTAGCAACTGAATCTAGATGAGATAAAAAAAAAATCGAAACACACTAATTACCATAGAAGAATTAGAAAATTGTCAGATAATACTATCCTGTATTTTCTGCCCCCAAATTCCAAAAGCACCCAGATGATTTCTCAGGGAAATCTATGTATCCTTAAGAAGCAGATAATTCCTAGGTCACTCAGATTAATTTATCCAACTGACGAGCTGACTGCAACATTGCATGATTTTGCAAAGGTCATTGTTGCCCATGAGTGTCTGAGCTCGTGAGTATCTGACCATAGTAACCTCACAGTCCACAGAATCTCAGCCCCTTCCCCTCAGGACTCCTACTTCAGACCATAAAAAGCAGAAAAGCACCTTCCCGTTCCTTTAGCTTAATTCTTGTAAATTCATGGCAGTTGCTAAAATCACATTCCTTTTTTTTGATTCACTAGACATGTGATAAGGGCTTACTGTGTCCCCAGCCTTGTCCTAAGTGCTAGAGTTAAAGCAGTGAACAAAACACATAACATCCCTGACCTCGTGGAGCTTATATCCTAGTTGGGGAGATAGACAACAAGAATAAAATGAAACATAGCCTGCCAAATGATGATAAATGTTTTGGAAAACAAACAGATAAAGGTGCCAGGGACAGCTGTTGGGGACTGCTATTTTGGGTGTCATAGAATTCACTGATAAGATAATATTTGAGCAGAGACATGAAGGAGGTGAGGGAGTGAGCCTGGACATCTCAGGAAGAGCATTGGAGCAGAGGGAACCTTGCTAATGTAGGGATGTGCCTGATATGTTTGAGAAACAGCAAAAAGACCACCCAGGAGGGAGCACCATGGGTTGGGAGGAGAGCAGTAGGAAATAAATTTAGAGGTAACAGGACCTGGTTATATAGGGCTTAGTAAGGGACTGGAAAAATGTTGACTTTCAATCTGAGTGAGATGGGAAGGCATCACAGGGTTCTGAATAAAATGTTCTATTCTGACATTTAATAGGAACACTCCACCTGATGCAGAGAACAGTGACAGAGGCAGGCAGACCAGTAAGGAGGCTGTGGCCACAGTCCACACAAGAGATGATGATAGCAGGTTACCAAATGGGTACAGTGGAGGAGGTGAAAACCAGTTGGATTCTGGTTATGCCATGAAGATATTTTCAGGATCAAACAATACATACAAACATACTGGTGCATGGGCATAATGATTGATGATATCTGGTAGGGGTTTCAAGGTGACCTTGGGTGAAGAATAATCAAAGCTACATATTGGGTACAATGTACATTACTCGGGTAAGAGATGCAATAATATCTCAGACTTCACCACTGTGCAATCCATCCAGGTAACCAAAAACCACTTGCACTATTGCACAGCTACTGAAATAAAAAAAATACATATTTTTTAAATGTTACCACTCCTTTATGTTTTGGTTTTCAGAAATAAATTTTAAAAAATTTTTTAAAGAATAATCAAAGCAAAATCAATAGCATCTTTTATCCAGAAAAATAAGAGTGAAGAGCAGGAAAGGTTAACCTCATTAAGCCCTATGTCCTATGAGTGGAGATTTTAAATAATATATTAGTGATCACAGTCCAAAAACTCAGATTAGTCATTGTGCTTATCACCTGTGTTTGAATAACAATGTTTCTTTTTCTTTTCTGAATTCAAGTTCACAAACCATTTTGAATTTTTGCATGCCAATTATTTCCAGAATGCCGAACTGCTTAAAGGACATGAATATTACTCGGTGGAGCTATTAATGTCCCAGCAAATAAGAAAGAACAAGTTGTTTCCCTGTTGTTGGCTCTACAGCTCTATAGTTTTCCAGAGAGGGAGAAGGGTGGTGTTCAGATTATCATTCATGATGAAACTTTTAAAAGATGCTCAGCTGCCCACCAAATCATAGGATGAAGGAAAGGGCCTAGCAGAAACACAGTTGCTCTGACTTCCCTTCAATGGACAGCACCAAAGTCATACTGAACACCAGTTTTTAAACACTTCTCTGAAAAACAATAAGAAACACTTAGCCCTTTGCTACCAAGACCTGGTTGAAGAAAATGCTGTTGGTTCCCTGAGGGCTGGCTCTGTAGTCTTGTTCATTTCTGCATCCCCGATGTCTAACACAGTGCCTGGCATATAACAGTTGCTCAATAAACATTTGTTTGACTGAATAAACGATTCGAGAAGCCAATGGACAAATGTTCTTTGACATCATTCTATCCCTTTATGGAATGTCTATTACAAGCAAAGAATAACACAAGAGGAGTTTCATAATACTCCTCAGGCCCTGAGGCTAACCAGATCTGATTTCAGCCCTCACTTTACCACTACTCGCTATAGAGCCCTGGTCAAGTTCTCTCCACCTCTCTATCTATGTCTCAGTTTCTTCATCTGTAACATCAAATGAATAATAATACCAATCTCCTAGACTTCATAAGAGGATTAACAAAGACAAAATATGGGAAAAACATAACATGGCGTCCCATAATTATTAGATCTTATTATTGACACTAAAATGGCATTAAAATTACCAAAAGGAAGACAGCATCTGGTAAGTAAACTTTATTTATTTATTTATTTATTTTTTTGAGATGGACTCTCGCTTTATCGCTGCCCAGACTGGAGCGCAGTGGCGCGATCTCGGCTCACTGCAAACCTCACCTCCTTGACTCAAGCAATTCTCCTGCCTCAGCCCCACTGAGTAGCTGGGATTACAGGCACACACCGTCACGCCTGGCTAATTTTTGTATTTTTAGTACAGACGGGGTTGCACCATGTTGGCCAGGCTGGTCTGGAACTCCACACCTCAAATGATCCACCCACCTCCGCCTTCCAAAGTGCTGAGATTACAGGTGTGAGCCACCGTGTCTGGCCACATCTTGTAGATAAACTTTAAAAATCTTTTTTCTTTGTTATGAACAATTTTAAGTACATACAAAAGTAGAGTATAATAAACCTGACACCCAATTTCAACAGTTATCAGCTCATGGATGGTAACCCCCTTTCCCAGGCCTTTGTATTATTTTGAAGCAAATCCCAGACATGACACCATTTCATCTGTAGTACTATAATAGGTAGCTCTAAAAAAAAATAAAAATAATAACCAAAATTCCACATCACACCTAAAAACAATGAAAAATGATTCCTTAATTAGATAAATGGTTGGTCTGCTGGAAGCCACAAGAAGAAAGGAAGAAGAGAATCAAATCTGTTCAAGACAGGGGCTTAAGCAAGTTCTCTCCAGAGTCAACACGATGATGGAAATACCCGTTGTCACCGTCAAGGTGGACTCTCCCTGCTGCGGAGTGGGGCCGAGGTCGGGGGAGGGCAGGGAATGAAGCCAGCATTTCATGCCTGAAAGGAGGCAGAGCGGAGATCCCCTAGTGACTAAAACTTTCTTACTTCCCAAACAAAACAGCATTTCATTTGAAACAATTCTGTACAAATTCTTCTGCTTCCAGATTGATGGGAAATTAGAATTTAATTTTATCTTTTCATCTACCTTGAGGCCTTGTTGACAGTGTTGGCTTTTATGCAGGTTCTATTACACAACTAGAGCTAATTGAACAGTGACAGAACTGGTCTGGTTTGTGAAATTTAATAGAGCACCAAAGCTCACGTTTTGGGGAGAATTCAGTTCTTAAATATGTTTTGCTTATCCCACTCCGCCTAATTTCCCCTCATTTGTTTGACAAAGTCAGCAACCCAGTGGAAACCTCAATTTCGTTCTCTGCTGCTCTCATCATAAAACCTCGAATTTAAATATTTTCCTTTTATTCTTAGCTGGAACTTGGAGCAATTTGGTGGCTTCAAAATGAGATCTATTGGTATTGAAGCCATTGAACATCAATAGTGCAAACCCACATTATCATCCCCCATTTAAATACCAAAGTAAATGTGAAGTGGTAAACATTAGCAGGGAAGTGAATAACAATGCTGAGAAGGTTGCAAGCTAAGGAGCATGAAGAGGTGAAAAGGGAACATAAAACGTGCTGCATGTTTCTTCTTTCAAAGCAGAAGCTACCTTATAAGCACCAAAAACTTCAGCTGGAGGAGATACAAGCCTGGATTCAGAAGACTGCCGTAGAACAGAGGCACTGGGAAACCTGATGTTATCCACACAAACCTTTCCACATAGGGCTGGCCTCAGAAAGCATGCAGCGCAACTGCCCTCCAATAACTGAAATTTGTTAAATGAAAATTGATAGTGGCCTGGTCCACTGGGATCTGGTTTCTGAGGAAATTTCTGATAAGCTCTCTTCTAAGACCCTTTGCTCAGGAATAAGGTTTTCCCTGCGTGGCCCCAGCTCCACCCAAGGCCTCACAGTCTCAGGCACCCGAGTGTCTAGAAATGTTCACAGGTGCTGGGTCATGGGGTTGGGATGGAGGGTCTACACTTGAGAACAACTCCTCTGCTCCTGTCTGTATGCAGAAGGCCATTCTTCCCTTTCTCTTTGAAGACTCTGCCTCCTCCACATCAGCAGCACCCAACCCTCTCCTTTTAGCACTTTCATTTTACCTGCTTCCCCTCCTACATTCTAGTCTTGGTTAATGGTTGTGATGGAGGGTGGGAGGCAAAGTGGCTTTGCAAGCCGGCTTCTGAAACTTTTCATCTCCCATTTAAGAAGGAGAAGAAAAAGACAGAGAAGGTTAGATGAATAGAAGTTGTAACCCTGCTGTAGCTCCTTATTCTCTACTTTTCCCTTGAGAAGCAAGCTTAAGGAAGGCAGGGGCAATGTCTCTCTTATCTGCTGCTGCATCCTTGCTGCTGAGACTAATTCCTAGTTTATGGTAGGACAGCAAATATTTGTGAAATGTTATTGGATAGCTGCATGGATGGATACTGCTTAGCAGCCATCATTATTCCTTACTAAAGGAGCTATTCTACCAAGAACTTGAAAGAGACTATACAAGAGAAAATAGAAACCAGTATACATTTCCCCTTTTGATCTAAAGAGCCTCTCTTTTTAACAACAACAAAAAAACCTTTATGACTTGCGGAGGCTGAAGCAACTTCATTTTTAGATGCTAATCTGCCATGTTGACTTCTGATTAATCCTTTTTCAGGAAGGCTTCTAAGATTTCTAGTTTATCGATTGTTCCTTGTATGAGAACACATACTTGTCATAAGTCCTGCCTGTACGTCAAAACCACCTTGATGTTATGATACTTCAATTGTCATATACATCCCTTCTGAATCACGCAGGCCCTTTCCCGGTGGTATGTAAGCCCTGGGTCTGTTGCGGGATGATCAAAGACTGAAGAGACCGAAAGTTCAGGAAAGTTTATTAAATTAAGGTGATCACCGGCTCAGCTAGTCTGAGCCCCAAACAAAGGGCTTTTCCTACTTTTAAATATCTTAAGGTGGGAACTACGTGAGGCGGGAATCGAGTTACAGAAGCAAGAAACAAAGGCAGTATTACAACGTTTGTTACATTTTGAGAAAGACATGTCTTGCAGCCTAAACTTATCAGTCTTGTGACCCTGCAGTCATGCAGGAACTCACTGGGCCTGTAATAAACTTTGAGGAATGTGGAGTTGGGGAGTATAGATAAGGTCCACTGTCCACAGAGAGAAGACAGGCTGTTAATATTCCCTTTTAACGTGAATGTAAGGCAGGGGTCACATTTTGCAGGAACTTTAAAAGGATTTTAAAATTTGTATTACTACTACTCTTAGGTTATAGTTGATTTCATTAATTCCTTCTTCATTTCCCCCTTTTGGTGCTCGACACAAATGTAGATTAATAAAGAGCACCACAGTTAGCTATTTCTTCTTGAGTGGGTACATACTCATCTTGGGATACCAGTTGGTACTTTTGCAGAGCCTTTATTCGGATGGTGGTATGTCTGTCTACCATTGAGTCTATGGTGGATTGGATGCTTCCGATTAGAAATGGCAAGAGACAGGGAAGCAGTAGGCATCCACCTTTTATGGCCACAAAGCCTAGTATTACAGTTTTAAAGCCTCCAAACCATGAAAACCGTCCTCCAAAGAGTGAACTCGGGTTCCAACCAGACCATGTCTGAACCAGAACATGAGCTAACTTCCGCATCCTGGCAGTGATTTCCATGACAGCTTTTCCATTGTCATCAATTTGTAAGCAGCAATTTGTTAAATTAAGTTTTCCACAAACCCCCTTCTGAAGCTAAAACATAATTCAGTACTAACCTGTTCTGATAAATGGCATCTCTCATCTGGGTTGCCTGTATGGCTAGCAAGTCTAAGGCTCAGGCTGTTTCATTGACTATAATTTCCAGAACTGCTTGCAACCTTATGATGTGGTTTAACATATAAATAGGAGTACAGTATCCCCATGACCCATCTTGTGCCCAGGGGGCCATTCATTATCTTTCCAGCCCCCTATTTCAATGTCCTTTTTAATGTTAGTATTTATTTTTTCCTCAGTACTTATTTTTGTAAACACATTTCTTTTGACTCTTTTTCTGCCTTCATCATAGACCAGATAGCTTAGATCTTCCCCTTGCTGCAGGGGGAGTAGCAAAAAGAATGGCCTTATTGTTCCTAATATACATGCCCCTGTCCATTTATCGGTTAGTAATTGATAAGCCTTTGTTCCACAGATCCTATATAATCCTGCAGGTGCTCTCCAAACAGTTGGAGCTTCTAATTGGTACCATGATTGATTTAGTGTTGGGAACTGCAAAAAGGGATTAAAGTGACACAGAGGAATCATCTATAAAGCTTCTCCATTGTGTTCTGTTCTCAGATTCTTCAAAATATTGTTGACCTAGGCAAGTTGTTTCCCCTATCTGGTTCTGAAAGGACTTGCCCCAACAGGCAATACAGTATTTTCCAATGATGGGGTTCCTTAATAGCCAAACACTTGGATTTGCATTGAATTTTGTAACAAATTCAGGCAAGGTAAAATTGTCTTGCAGCATCAATTCTCTGGCTTCCCAGGGCCATTGATCTCTCATATTAGCACCTCCACATACATAACAGGAAGTAACTCCTAAATTGTTAGCAATACTTTTGGCTAGCTGGACAAACAGATTTTCAGTTGATATAGGAGGAATTTGAATTTTTGATACTTCAGAATTAAAGTGTTCATTGAAAGATTTATAAAACCTGAACTGTTGTATTGGGCTAAGTTGAACTTGAGTCCTTTGGGTTTTCTTTGTGATGACCAGAGGAATACCAAGTCCTAGGAGAGCTCCTGCCTGATCAAAGGTTAGTAATCCTTTATGCCCTTTAGTCCAGAAAGTCATATTTGGCTTTAGTATTGTCAGATTGAGTGGGTAGCATGTTCCAGTTGTGTACCCTATCTTCTCCTCTTGGCTGGCAAACAGAGCAGCCCTTCCAGTGTATAGGTGCTGATTAAATTCATGTGTGGTCCACTGATTATCACAATCAGGGCACTCTTTTTCGGACTCTCCTATTATGGCCTTGGTGGCTCTGCTGCTGACTCTTTCTTGTCCTAGATTTTTACAGATGGTCCAAATATTATTTAGTTTACTGAGATGTGCAGCTTGGCAGGCATCAAAATATATGGAGACGGGCCCTTTATGCGCGTAAGTGAATACTTGCGTTTTGTTTACAAGTTTACTGACCCCAGTTTCTGTGGGGTTTGTATATGATGGCATTAGGGGTTCACCAAATTTGGACTTCAAATAAGAAGTCATAGGGCAAGAACTCTGGGTCATAACATATTTGGGGCTGCCCGTTTCCAGGATCACAGACTGAGTAATTAGTCTGGTTATAAACAACAAGTTCCTGTATGAGTCCCTGTACACTCATAGTAGGTCTGGTATAACAGAGTTTTAGTCACACCTTTTCCAGACCAGGCTTCTATCATACAGTGATGACAGTCATCCTGGTCCCCTTTTATAACCATAGGTGAAAGTGTCAGTGGCTTCAGTATTACTAATATGATTAAACTTATACTATGCATGGGCACCTTTCTGGGCAACAAGCTTGGCAGCATTTGCAAAGATAACATGACAGCAAAATAATTACTACAAGTAAGAGTATAACTATGTTTGTAAATTTAGTCTACATTTACTTATGTATCATTGACTTCCTCAGGCTTCAGCCATGCATAGACTAGTCAGCTTCCATTTGTGTGACTAGAACAGGGCTCGATGTTTCCTCAAGCTTCAGCCGTGCGTGGACCAACCAGCCTCTGGTGTGGTTGAAGCAGGGCAGTTGTCCTTGTCAGCAGTGGCTTGGTTTCACCACAGGATCAGCCATGTTGAGTGGTCTGGGTTTTGTTGACTTGTCCACTGGTCCTGGGTGGTGGCTGCTTCTGGTTTCAGCCGGCTATGATGAACCCAAGGTATGATACCTGCAACTTTAACAGCAGTGGGAGTAGACAAGATCACAATATGGGGACTATCCCATAAAGGCCCTAAAGTGGTTGGGTTCCATTGTTTGACCCAGACAGAGTCTCCAGGTTAGAAGGGTTGTACTGCATCTGTGAGGCTAACAGGTATTCTTTCTCTTACCCATCCTTGCATTTCCTGCGAGACCTCACCTAAGGCTTGCATTTGCCTTCTTAAGGTTAATTCCCCAATTTTTTAAATCCCCGTTTATCTGAGTTATGATCAGGGTGTCGGCCAAACACTATCTTATAGGGTGAATACCCAGTTAATTTAGTAGGGGTGCACCTGACTCAGAGAAGGACCATGGGCAGCACCTGATCCCATCTTAGATGAGTTTCATGGCAAAACTTTTTTAACGGCTGTTTGAGTGTCCGGTTTATTCTTTCAACTTTCCAGAACTCTATGGGTGATAAGCTGTATGCAGTTTTCATTTGATTTTTAACCTCTGTGTTAGCTGTTGTACTATTTCTGCCACAAATGCTGGGCCATTGTCTGATCCTAAAGTTAGAGGCAGTCGAAATCTAGGAATAATGTCCTTTAGTAAGATTCTGGTTACTTCCCGAGCTTTCTTTGTCCTGGTGGGAAATGCCTCAACCCACCCTGAGAAAGTGCAGACAAACACTAGCATGCACCGGTAGCCTCCGGTTCGAGGCAGCTCAGTAAAGCCCACATGCAGGTTTTCACAGGGTGTAGCTCCAGTTTCTTGAATCCCTGGGGGCCATGTTGGCCCCTGCTGTGGATTGTTTGGGGCACAAGTTAAACATTACTCATAAATGGCTCGAGTGATGGCAGTTAGGCTCAGCAATAGAAATGCCATCCTACAAGAGTCTCTAATGCAGTTTTTCCCATATGTGTTCCTTGATGAAACTGTTTTATGAACCAGGGGCTATTGCTTCTGGGATAGCTGGCGAGCCTCCCATTTGAGAACTTCCACCAACTTCCTTTCTGGTAACTTCCACTTTCCTGCTCAAACCAAGCCTTTTCATTAGAGGAGTAGTTAGGGGGTTCTGTAAGAGGAAGCTCCAATAAGGGCATGGTAAGGGTTTCCTCTTCCTTCTTAGTTATCGCTGTCATTGCAGCTCTTTTGGCTTCTCTTTCTGCCTTTCTGTTTTCTCTGGCCTTGTCATGTCCTCCTGTTTGATGCCCTTTGCAATGGATGACTGCTACTTCTTTTGGAGCCCATACAGCTTCTAAGAGCTGCTCTATTTCCTTTTTATTTTTGATTTCCTTTCCTTCAGTAGTTAACAATCCTCTTTCCTTATATATGGCTCCATGGGCATGCAAAGTGGCAAAGGCATACCTTGAGTCAGTATAGATGTTTACCGACTTTCTTTGGCCAAAAGCAACACCCTAGTGACAGCTATTATCTCAGCTCTTTGGGCTAAAGTTCCGGCCGGCAGAGGGCAGGTTTCAGCTGCTGAATTCAGTGTTACCACTGCATATCCAGCCCAACTGATAAACCTTTAGATATGAAGCTGCTTCCATCAGCAAAGTATTTAACATGTGGGTCTTTTAAGGGCTAGTCCTTTAAGTCTTTTCAGCTTGAGAAAACTTCATCCACAGTTTCCACACAACAGTGATACCCTGGGCCACACAATGGGGGCTTTCCATGCTCCGCCCATTCTATCAGCAGCAGTGTGGCCGGATTTAGAGTATTCATAGTCTCCAAGGTTAGGTAGGGGATTTCACACAAAAGCCCTTGATATCTTAACATTCTAGGGTTAGAAAGCCAGCAATGTCCCCTCTGCTCCATCAGAGTGACAACCGTGTGGGGCACCCAAATTATTACCATTCCTCTGTTGTTGGGACAGTAAGGGTCTTTATCATGGCTTTTCTTTGACCTAGATTTAGAGTCATGTGCCCTTCTGGTATAAAGGAGATTTGTGCTTGCAATTTCTGGAGGAAATCTCTTCCTAACAAGGGCACCGGAAAATTTGGCATTCATTCTTCTAGTGTCCCATCTGCTTGCATCTCACACATTGATCTCCCTTAAGCCTAAGTTGGCCCTCTTGTCCTGGCTTAGCTTCCTGGTTTTACCTAGTTTGTCCTCTATCATGACCGCAACCACGACCACATCCTCTCACAAAACCAGTTTCTCTTCCAACTAAGGCCACCGCCAGCAAGTCTGCCTTTTCCTTAGCTCTGCATCTAGCTTTTCTCTTGGCCTCCTCCTTCTGATTTACAAACACCTTAGTAGCCACCTGGATAAGCTGGGTAATATTCACACCTTCAAACCCTTCTAACTTCCGATGTCTTCTTGCACCTGGCTTACAAATGCCACATTAACCATACACTGATTACCCGCAGCCTCTGGGTCAAGTGGCATGTAAAGCTGGTAAGCCTCGCACAGCCTCTCATAAAATTCACCGGGACTTTTATCTGGCTTCTGGCGAACCTCTGAGACCTTTCCGATATTGGTGGCCTTTTTCTCTCCAGCGTTTATTCCATTTAGGAGTGCCTCTCAATACTGCTGCAAACTTGTAGCCCTTGAGCCTGGTTAGGGTCCCAGCCTGGGTCAGCCTCTATCAGGAGTGCTTGTTGTGTATACTGCCTGATATCTCCTGTGCTTGAAGATGCATTTTTCTCCAGCCACTGGAGAGCAGCTTGTATAACTCTACGGTGCTCTTCCATATTAAATAATGACAGAAAAAAATGTTTACAATCAACCCAGGTAGGATTGTGAGTTAGGAAAATGGACTGCATTAGATCTATAAGAGCCTGAGGCTTCTCTCTATAGGAGGGAGTATGTTGTCTCCAATTTAAGAGATCAGTAGTAGAGAAGGGCTGATAAAAGAAGAGCTGTTCTCCCCCTTGGACTTCATTCTGTGCATTCAAATAAATTTGTCCCCATGTTTCTCAGAGTGGCATCTGCATTGCTTGGGCACGGACCGACCTAAGGCGGCCGACCTCATCACCCTGGAGTTCCTCCCTTGGCTTTTCAGTCAAGGGCTCTGGCTCCTCTCTGCGTGGTGTTGCCTGAGGGGTGCTTCCTTCTGAGTCTGAGTCTCCGGAGGCAGCCGGGGCAGCCTTCTGTCTAAGCTTTGCCAGAGGTGGATAAATTGGTGCATAGTGGGGTGGAATTTCTAACTCTTCAGGCGGGGCCTGTAGGACAGGTTTTTACTGCTTTTCCTGTGACTTTTCTTTTTCTGATGCCTTGCAGTTTCTTTCTATTGTTCCTGGTTTTGTCTTGGCCGTTAGAGTCTTACAGTAGATCTCAAAGTAGGCCTGCAGCCACTTAGGGAGGGTCTGAATTATACTTAGCCAGGAGTCAATATACGGAAACTGATCCAGGTGCCCGGGCTGTTCTCCAAGCCTGGTGACCACCCGAAACACTCGGCCAATTATCTCCCTGTCTATTGTCCCCTTGGCTGGCCACCCTACATTAAAAGATGGCTATTTTATCTCAAAAAAGTTCTCAGTTTCTGTGAAGTTAGCTTAACCCCATAGTCACCATTAAAACTTTTTTTAAAGTTTTTCAGCACGCACTCCAGTGGAATAGGCTTTGACGCTTTTCCTCCTGTTTCCTCCCTTGTGATGCACTTTCACTCTCACTTTCACTCTTGGATCCACCAGACTGGGTCCTATTACAGGAGGTTCGGACACTGCTTAGCCAGGAGCATGCCTTAATTCCTGTCACAGCTAGCTGCAGCTGTGGAGCTGGTCCTCTGGGCCGTATGCAGTGTCCTAGGTCTGGTTTTTCCCACACTCGCCTGGGAGCACACAGTCCACGCTAAGAGATCTGTGCCTCCCCACA
Organism: Homo sapiens; assembly: GCF_000001405.40. Classification (NCBI taxonomy): domain Eukaryota; kingdom Metazoa; phylum Chordata; class Mammalia; order Primates; family Hominidae; genus Homo; species Homo sapiens. The sequence continues at coordinate 137,163,864 of NC_000006.12, read as the reverse complement.
TCAACCCCGCCTTGGTCTCTCCCGAGACCATCTCTTTTACACACTTTCACACACCTCCCCCATCCCCAAAATGGTTTTCCTTTCTGACCGACTCATGAGCCCCACTTACGTCTGGTGTCAATTAGGGTGTGAGTTTCATCTGAATCAATGGGCCTCTCCCATTGTCCCAACCCCCTCGGGTCAGACTAGTTGTCATGCCCTTGGAGGTGACCAGGCTCCCCTTCCATCCTTATGGGACGGGTCTTGCCTTAGGGCCCAAACCTTACTGCAGTTCATATGTCTATGCACTGTTCTTGTGACTGTCCTGCAACCCTTTCCACTGGTTCCATTTGCACTGTTGGAGGAAGGCTCCAGAACGTGGAAGGGCTGTTCTCCTTCTGGGCTAAAACTCTCCCGGTGGCACCAAGGACCCCAGATTTCCCATGTCCTGGGGCTCTAACCCACAGGCAAAGGAGACGAAAATCTGCCATCTCCAATCCCAGACTGGTCCCCGGAAATGTTGTGGGACAACCAAAGATTGGAGAGACCGAAAAAGGTTCAGGAGAGTTTACTAAATTAAGGTGATCAGTAGCACATATGTCCAGAAAGTCTGAGCCCTGAGCAAAGGGCTTTTCCTACGTTTAAACATCTTAAGGTGGGAACTACATGAGGCAGGAAGCGAGATACAGAAGCAAGAAACAAAGGCAGCATTACAACATTTGTTATATTTTGAGAAAGACATGTCTTGCAACCTAAACTTATCAGTCTTGTGACCCTGCAGTCATGCAGGAACTCACTGGGCCTGTAATAAACTCTGAGGAATGTGGATTTGGGAAGTATAGATAAGGTCCACTGTCCACAGAGAGAAGACAGGCTGTTAATATTCCCTTTTAACTTGAGTGTAAGGTGGGGGGTCACACTTTGCAGCAACTTTAAGAGGATTTTAAAATTTCTATTACTACTACTACTATTAGGTTATAGTTGATTTCCTTAATTCCTTCTTCAGGTCTACAGGGTAATGGCATGAGGGTCCACCATCTTGTCTTGCCACTGTCCAGGACACACACATGGCTCTGTTCATAAGTCCCTACGAAATGTTTCTTTCTGAGAAACTGGATATGTCAGCCTTTTTCTTTGACCTCTCAGCTTCCTTGGACTTTAAGGGTAGGTTTGCACAGACCTGTTCACTATGGAACATGACTTTTTTGTTCTTTCATGTATAATTTTAGTATCTCTAAACACGTGTAGTAAAAAAAAATGGTAAGAAGAATGATATAATGAATCATAGACAGAGAACAGATGACCTGCTTCAATCAGATTTCAAAGACAATGTGAAAAAGATCTAATGTAGCTCAAAAGGAGTGTCTTCCCCATTCATCTTTTTAAGGAATCATGTGGTTTGACAGGCTCAAAATCTTTCTCCAGCTCACTGGAAACTGGGTGTGAAAATGGAAGAGGAAGAGGCATTAGCTAAATGGAGCCCAGGACCACTATGGAGTGGGAAAGGCTGAAGAGTACGGCAGGGAGCCCCGTGGAGAGCCAGATGCAGTGGAAGGGTATGGGGCATAGCAGGGAGATTAATTGGGGACCTACCAAAAAGAGAGGAAAAGAGTGAATCAACGATAGACCCCTCTTGCTTTGAACCACTGCCAGGGGCCCCGATAGCTGCAAATGCCAAGCACATTACTCAAAATCACCCTGGCAGCCAAGTCCTAGTCCTTGGCAGCCTCTCCGCCTCCTGGGGCCAGATTCCCTTAAGGCCCCACTAGTTGTTTCATTCACTCACCTGCTTGCCACTTGCACAATCCCTGCACTGCCCTGCCCTTCAGATCTGCCCATCCTCAGTGTTTTACCTTTCTGCAGCTAATGAAGCCCCAACAAAAAACGAGCTTCCCAATAAAACGAGCTTCCACATAAAAGTGACAGCAAATGTTTTTTGAAGTGATTTTTATACTTTCATATTTTTCCTAAAATAAAATAATATAATGTAGTATCAAAATAAAATTGTAGTTGCTTCAAGGAACCATCTGCCTTAAACCCGGGAGTGATTGTCTGTTTGTGGATTTTACAGTTTCCTCTTTGGTCCTGAGCTGGTTAAAAGGAACACTGGTTGCCTGAACAGTCACACTTGCAACCATGATGCCTAAACATTGCTTTCTAGGCTTCCTCATCAGTTTCTTCCTTACTGGTGTAGCAGGTAAGTGCTTTGTTTCTTTTTAATTGCTCATAGCTTTGTCATCTGAGTCCAATCAAGGATCTGTTGGAAATGGCACTGGTGCTTTTTTGAACTTTATAAAGGCTGCAGCTTTTGATGTCACTAAATGATCAGAGCAGGCATGGGGTTAGTGTCTATCTGCAGCTTGAATGACCCCACATGTACTTAATGAGTTCCCACTAAAGAAAAGGCTCTCTAGAGGGTGCAGAGACTTCATACAGAACAAATGTACATCCATTTCTCTCTCTCTCTCTCCTTCCCTCCCTCCCTCTTTCTTTCTCTCCCTCTCTCTTTCTCTCTGGCTCTCACTCACCTTAGAATGTCTTTTACCTTGAAGGAACACTAAATCATGGTGGTTACCAGCACAGGCTCCTAAGCCAAGCTATCATGGTCTGGATTTCAGATCTGCCATTTACCATCTAGGAAAACTTGGGAAATTTACTTAACACCCTCAATTTCCTCATTAGTAGAATGGGGATTCTAGGTCACTGTGAAGATTAAATCAATTAATATATGCCAAATGCTTAGAGAAGTGCCTGGCACAGGATAGGGACCACAAACAACAGGTGAGAATTTGCTTCTGGTATTCGTGGAGGAAACTGCAGGAGTGTAGAGCATCTTATCAGCACCACATACTTCTGAGCAAGCCTGTAAGAATGCAAGTTAACAAATGGGTACCTCTCAGTGTAAGTGATTTAAGTAACTTGCCAAGATGGTGCAGTTGTCCAGTGACTAATACATAAAAGCAATTCAAGCCTTCATCTTCCAGAAGTGTTTGGATTTGAGAAGACTCTGGTACTTGGTAACAGCAAGGGCACATTTAGCAAAATACGGCAGGAATTCAAATGCTACCAAAATGTTCCTGGCTCTGCATCTTACCAAACCTGTAACCTCGAGTAAGAGATGCAACTTTCTAAAGCCTCAGCTTCCTCATCTGTAGAATGCGATAATAAAAATATTTACCTTACTTGGTGGCTGTGGGAATTAAGTAAGTTGTAAAGCTTTGAACATAGTGCCTAACATAAGTTAATGTTCATATATGTTCAATGTTTGATGAATGCCGGCCAGAAGGAGGAGGAGGAGGGAAGAAGGAAGAAGATAAAGTATAGCCTCAGCTTCTAATTGGTCTGCCTCTTTCATTAGCTCCTCTCTCCCATGGCTTTGCTCTTGGTTTTCTGTTGGAGGGTAATGGCAGGCTCTGCACTCAGACTGTCTGGGTACAAAATCAGCTTCACCATTGGCTGCCTGGCAATCTCCTTCAGGTGTCCAAGGCTTCGTTTTTTCAGTCTGTAAGAGGAAGACCATAATGCACAGTACCTTCCTCACAGAAGAGCTGGGCAAATTAAATGAGTGAATGCAGATAAAAGTCCCTCAGTGCCTGGTGCAGTGTTATTACTGTTGGTGGTGGTAGCACTGATGTTACAAAAATGAGAGAAGAAATCCATAGACAGAGAGATTAAGGGCATTAAGCCATCTATCTTCATGTTAGCAAATCAATTCTAGGCAGGCCTTCAGGAAATTGTGCCTGTCATCTCCTGAAAACTTCTGGAATGTTTATGTTCTAAAGATGACTGATCAGGCAGTGATTTTTGTGAGCAAAATCAACTGTGGCTGTAGACTCTTTCCAAGAACACAACACCATTTGATGCACTGATGGTGGTCCAAACAATAAAAGTGAAAACAAATTAAAAAACAAATAACAGTATTCACACTATTTGGTTGGTAAGAAGAAAGGCCTGAGGAAACAGTCTTGTTCATTTGAAAATAACAAGTCTTGAAAGTTCAGAGCTGAGACCATGGGCTTGGAAGTGTTTTTTTAACCATCTCAATAACGTGATACATTTGAGCAAAGACTTGAAGGAGGTGGAGAAATGAGCCATGTGAAATCCAGGGGAAGAGCAGACCAGGAAAAGGGAAGGGCCAGTGCAGAGGCCCTAAGGCAGAGTCACTGGAGTCATGGTGGAGCAAGTGAAGGAGTCAACACTGCAAACACAGGGGTCGGGGTGACAGAAGATGAGGTCAGGGAGAAAACAGAAGATATGCTTCCTGGCCGGGTGCAGTGGCTCACGCCTGTAATCCCAGCACTTTGGGAGGCCGAGGTGGGCGGATCACTTGAGGTCAGGAGTTCGAGACCAGCCTGCCCAACATGGCAAAACCCCATCTCTACTAAAAATACAAAAAAATTAGCCAGGCATGGTGGCGGGCACCTGTAATCCCAGCTACTCAGGAGGCTGAGGCAGGAGAATCGCTTGAATCCGGGAGGCAGAGGTTGCAGTGAGCTGAGATCACGCCACTGCACTCCAGCCAGGGCGACAAGAGTGAAACTCCATCCAAAAAAAAAAGATATGCTTCTTGACTCCTCCTTCTGCCCAACTTCTTATCCCTTATAAAAAACCTTGAACCCTAAGTAAAATTTTGCCAAAATTCTCTTGCCTCCATGCAACTAAAGGCAAGCAAGGTTGTACCACCTATGTTGCCTGATTTGAGGAAGAAAGCACAAGTCATGCCAGTGCAAAATTATCCCATGCCATGCCATGATTAGTCTCAGAAACACTACCCCCCAGCAGGGTCTTGGGCAGTTTTCCTCATTAGCATGACCATTTCATCTGAGGGATTATGCTTGGATACTTGGAGCCAGGATGCAGGCAGGTAAATACAGCCATTCAGGAGTGGGACAGCAAAGGCAGACCTACCTGGAAGCAGGACCCAGAGATTGAGCAAGAACCTGCGAAAGGAGGGACTGAGTGCTGGGCTGAGGTCCTGGAGCCCAGAAGTGGTCACTAGCAAATTTTGCTTGAGTAGTACCAATATAGTGATTCCTAAGAAGATGGTTGGTGGTCTTAGTGTGGGTCTTTCATCTCAGTCATTATATTCCATCACTATTTGGGAACAAAATAAGAGCAATATTTTTTTTAATGCAATTTACTTCCCCCACAGCCTGGGAAATAGGGTGGGAAGGTATCACGTACATGTTTATGATCTGGAACTCATTATTCTGAGACTTTAGCGTGCATCAAAATCATTGCATTGAAGATTCAAAATGTTGATTTCTGGGCTCCACCTCTACTATCTGCACTTAGAGCAACTACTTTAGGGAATCCTGATGCAGGTATTCCACTGAAAACTACTGCTGGGAACAGCAGTGCTCCAAGCAACGTTCAATGTTCTTCCTTCTCTTATTATCTTAGGAACTCAGTCAACGCATGAGTCTCTGAAGCCTCAGAGGGTACAATTTCAGTCCCGAAATTTTCACAACATTTTGCAATGGCAGCCTGGGAGGGCACTTACTGGCAACAGCAGTGTCTATTTTGTGCAGTACAAAATGTAAGTAAATTGAGCCTCCTTCAGCTGATAGAGATGGCACTGGGATAACATGTTCTAGAATGCAATGGAGTGTTAGGATCCGAGCTTTTTTTCAGTTTCAGAGGGGTTGAGAAGAAGCCAAGGTCAGGATAACAGTGACTTGTCTCCCCTGAAGGCTGCCTGGGGACTCAAAATGCATGATGGTATGCAGTGCACTGGGCAGATACTTCAGCCCTAGACCTGCACCAAGACCTCACAGGCTCAGCCTTTGCCTCCATGGAGGAGCCTGGCACATGGTGGGTTCTCAATATAGATTTGTCAGGCGAATGTTGGAAGCAACTTATTAGCACATAGCGAGTACTCAGTGAGTGAAACTATCGGTAGTTGAAAAAGAAGTTGTGGCAAACATGGTGGTGAGTGTGTAAAATAAGGTTTTAATTTAAAAGTCACTTTCAGAGTGGATTTACTATTTAGAAAATTCCTTTCAAAAACTAATGACTCTCGTAAGCATGAACACAAACTGGAACACGCTGCTGCATGTTCCTCTCGTGTGATCCTCAGGCTACTCCTGCTGGATCATTGCCAAAACTCAGATATAATCTACTCCTTTCCTGGCTCAAGGCTTGGAAACAAACACTCTTGACTTGAAAATGTCAGGTTTTTCCACTCATATATTTCTGGGGGGGTGAGGGGGGTTGAGGCTCAATCCTGTCTCCTGACAGTGAGACAGGAGATATTACAGTTTAGCTTTCATGGTTTTTCAATAGAAATTCAGGAAATCAAATGCAGCTATGGCCAAAGTAGCAATTTTTATCCCATAAATTCATCCATGTCTCTCCAGCATGGGGTAGGTCCTAGGTCAGATTTTCCTGCTAATTAATTTCGGAAGGAATATCCCCAGAAGCATCTCCATCTTTAACCGCTACGACTTCTCTCTACATATTTTATGTAGCGATTGTAAAATGTACAAATCTTTACAATGAAGGTTTCTCCATTACAAAAGTAGATTTGTGCATTGCTGGAGATACTTTCAGCATGCAGAAAGTAAAGATTGGTACTCTTTTTATGCTTCCCCTGGAGTAGTATAAATAGGTCAAAAGTGGACCTATTTGTGGTCCAAAGTACTAAGAAGATTAGAAACTGTTTTACCATGAATCTAATGAAGATTAAACTTCAGGACCCCAATGCAAGGATTTTATATTTATAAATCTTTTCCTAAAGAGGACTCCCAAGCTGCTATGGTTTGAGTTTGTCTCCACCAAAATTCATGTTGAAATTTGATCCTTAGTGTGGTGGTGTTGGAAGTAGGGCCTCGTAGGAGGTGTTTGGGTCATGGGGATGGAGCACTCATGAATGGCTTGGTACCATTATTGCTGCAGTTGAGTGAGTTCTCACTCTTGCAAGACTGAATTTGTCATGGAAATGTTTCTATGAGAGTGGTTGTTGTAAAGCCAGGATGCCCCTTGAGTTTGGCCTCTTCACACGATCTGTTTTCCCCATTGACCTTCTCTAGCATGTTCTCATGCAGCATGAAAAGCTCTCACCAGAAGCCAAGTGGATGCTGGCAGCACATTTCTTGTAACTTCCCAGGCTGCAGAACATTGGCTAAGTACACCTCTTTTCCTTATCAATTACCTAGCCTCAGGTGTTCTGTTATAGAAACATTAAATGGACCAAGATTGTATAAATTTCAGACCCCAGAATACCTGAATCCATTCCTGTCTCTAAGGGATTTTCAACAGCACAAGACAAATTTATAATTTTGAAAACTTTCACTTTGGTGTATCCAGTTCATGGGCTATAATACTGTTATATCCCTTGCGTTTAGAATAGGATAAACAATGAGATATTATTTTAAAAGAGAAGTCTGTCATTACAGCTAAGTTCAAGACTTATTATAAATAAATAATAATTTTAAAACATCAAATTATACTCAATATATGTTGTGGTTCTGCTTTAATTGTGATGGAATGAAACTGCTGTCACCATGTAGATTACCGAGTATAGATACCGTCTATCTTCCTTATTATGTGTCTAGAAAGCTAGATTTCAAGTCTTTCAATAAATATTTTGGGAAACCTTTCTCCCCAGACTCCAATTCCTTCTCTTTTCCCCACCATCACTTTGTTACATTGGTCTGATTTATGGCAGGTAAGGAAACAAAGCGTGAATCTTCCCTTTGACTATTACACCATCCTGTGGCCTCAGGCTGAGTCAACCACTCTGCCTCTTGCCTCACTACCTTTTTTCATGGGATTCCCTCCCCCTCTCCCAACCCCTAATTACAGGGCTCCATATATAGTCCTCAATAAAAGTTCCCGTCAATTTTCAATAAAGAGATTAATCATGTATGTTGGGTAGGCAACACCTGAGATGAAAAGTGGTAGCAACTTCTCAGAAGCAGCCACATTACTCAACAGCAAGCTGATGAGAAGTGGAGAAAAACCACAAACAGCCAAAACCACAGAGCATTAAGGATGTGGAGAGTGAGTATTCAAAAATGGAAGTCAGTCCACACACCAGAAAGAACATTTTGCCAAGTATTAAAAAAAAGGTTAAAACCCTTATGTTAGTGATACAGAAAGCGTCAGGGATGTTTATCTTCCAGCAAGACAGCACTTTAGGTAATGCTGTGGTTTCTATGTGTCCCCCAAAAGTTCATGTGTTGGAAACCTGATCCCCAGTGCAGCAATGTTGAGAGGTGGGACTTTGGGGAGATGATTGGGTCATGAGGATTCTGCCCCCATGAATGGATTCATCCATTGATGGATTAACGAATTAATGTGTTATTGAGGAAGTGGGCTAGTTATCAAAAAAGTTGGTCTGTTTTATATATATTTTATATTTTATATATATATGTATATATATGTATATGCCATCTCTCTTGAATCCCTGTGAAGTCCTCTGTCACCTTAAGTCTCTGCAGAGAGTCCCCACCAGCAAGAAGGCCCTCACCAGATGTGGCTCTTATGGCTCTTAGACATTAGACTTCCTAGCCTCCAAAACTGTAAGAAATAAATTCCTTTTCTTTATAAATTACCCAGTCTCGGGTATTCAGTTATAGCAACAGAAAATGGACTGAAACAGTTAATAAGAAGGAATTTTTTTAAAGATTCTGAAGAGGAGCCATAAGCTATCATGGTGGTATTGCTACTAGAATCAGGTATAAAAAATTATTAGTCTGAAAATACTGAAGACTCCTTGAGTGGAGAAAAGAAACTCAGATCTTTGCCTTTTCCCTGCTACAGATATGGACAGAGACAATGGAAAAATAAAGAAGACTGTTGGGGTACTCAAGAACTCTCTTGTGACCTTACCAGTGAAACCTCAGACATACAGGAACCTTATTACGGGAGGGTGAGGGCGGCCTCGGCTGGGAGCTACTCAGAATGGAGCATGACGCCGCGGTTCACTCCCTGGTGGGAAAGTGAGTTCCATGGAGTTTCTTTGCCCTTGTTCTTCCTGCTTTTGGACAGCCCTCCCGGAGCACGGCTAGTGACTAGGCCTTGTGCTTTGCTGAGGTCTCTACATCATTATCTCTTTTGGTCTAATTGTCAGAACAACTCTAGGAGATAGCTTTTATTATCCTAATTTTCTAGTCCAGAACATCAAGATGTAGAGGCTTTAGTCATTGCTCCAATCTCGCAATCTGTATTATCCAAGTCAGGGTTCAAATTTGCTATATCTGACTGCAGAGCCTCCACTCCATCAATTTGTCACCTTGTGTGTGTGTGTGTGTGTGTGTGTTTGTGTGTGACAGGGTCTCGCTTTGTCACCCAGGCTGGAGTGCAGTGGCACGATCTTGGCTCACTGCAACCTCTGCATCCCGGGTTCAAGCGATTCTCCGGCCTCTGCCTCCCGAGTAGCTAGGATTACAAGTGTGTGCCACCACCCTTGGCTAATTTTTGTATTTTTAGTAGAGACGGGGTTTCATCATATTGGCCAGGCTGGTTTCAAACTCCTGACCTCAGGTGATCTGCCCCCTTTGGCCTCCCAAAGTGCTGGGATTATGGGTGTGAGCCACCATGCCCAGCCCCTAAAAAAGTATTTTTAGACAGCAGAATTTGTCATAGTGCCTAGTCCTTCCCCAAACACGAGGGTTAAGTTCATGAAAATACTGATTACAGGAATTTTCTGTTGAGGAAATTAAGACTTTTAGTCACCTCCCCAAAAAGGCAGACCAAAAGTGCTTTCTCAGTATCCATCCTGAAGGATATTTATTCCTTTTTTAGTTTAGTCACAACCATAGAATAATATAATCTAAGACATAGGTGTTAAAATTAACCATTACCAACAGACATTGGATAAAATAGTAGAGAGAGAGAGAGAAGGGGTTTAATGTATAGATATAAAGATGTGCATAAATAGAACAAGAAAAAAAAAAGATATTTACCACAGTCCTCATAATTGCAACAAGTCAACTAGTCATGAAGCTGTAGTTAATATTTATGACTTCTTCCTTCATTATAAACTCAACATTCACTTTCTTTCCAGCCAGCACTTCAGCTCTTTATCCACGAGGAGTTTGAGTCCTTTTGGTGTTTCCTGTCTCCGCTTGACCTAACCTTACATTAATTTTTATCACTGAATAGAGAAGCTCTAAGAGGCACACCAGAGGATACCAAGAATTCTTCCACCTGACCCCATTGTATTTATAACTATATTATGCCTTGAAAATCAGAATGAATCACCCTAGACAATATAAGAACCTCATTTTCTTTTTGTTAGTTAAATGGCATGAGGCGCTCCAAATGGTCAGGAGAGAGCCTCGACTTCCAATTTTTGGAAACCATTTTTGTTATAAACCAGAAGAATTCAAGGCCAAGCATATGGGAAACAAAAACATGTCATAAGTTGTTCACTATGGGTAACAGTCAGAGTTGCCCCTCCCACTTCTACTTCTTGTATCCTAGACCAGTGAATTCTGTCTGTGGAAGAAATAGCACCATATATTGGCCCTAGGCTTAGTGAAGCATTTACCAATTGGAGCATTTACCAATTCATATGCCAATTCACAAGACGTCTCTCAAACTGAGTTTTCAATTATCCATTTCACCTTCCTATAAAGTCATGGATTTCTGAGCGACAAATATATGATATATATTTGTCCTATGGGTCTTGAGACCTTGCTTCACTCCTTTCACATTAACTTAAGTTCTTTGTCATAAGCAATGTATTGTGGAGTACTATGCTCATGAACAAGGCATTGACTACATCTATGGGTGTATGTGTGGTCCCAGGAGTGGTTAGGGGTCTGCTAATAAAAGCATTGAAGCAGTAAATAAAAATCTATAAACAAAATCTGTAACCAGAATCTATATCCAGCAGTAAAGAAAATCTATAACCAATGTCTCTTGCCCCCTCCCTTTTGGAAGGGAACAAAAATAAACCTACCTGCAACGAGATGGAAGATGAGAGCCCCTGGAATATGGCACTATACTAGGGGTTCAACATTGATCTTCCTTACTGGAAAGTTGGACACTCTGCAGGTCAGACCAACTTTGGTAAGAGGAGATCCATATTGTTAAGTCTATATATAGCCTCCATCATGCAACTATTTTGTTCAAGAGCCCATAGAGCAACTACAGGACACTGGGGAAATAGATGGTCACTGCATCCACTTAGATTTTTTTAAACAGCCTTATTGAGATATAATTCACACAGCCTATACTTTAAGCATATAGCATACAGTTTAATGGTTTTTACTATATTCACAAATATGTACAACCATCACTCACAGTCAATTTTAGAACATTTTTATCACCTCAAAAAGCAACTCCATACCCTTTGGCTATCACCTTCCAGTCTCACCATTCCCTTAGCCCTCAGCCCCGGCAACTACTAATCTTTCTGTCTCTATAGAGTTCCCTGTTCTAGATAGACTAATATAATACATGATTTTTTTGACTGGCTTCTTTCACTTAACGTGTTTTCAAAGTTCATTCAGATTGTAGTATGTATCAGTACTTCATTCTTTTTTGTGACCAAATAATACATTATATGGATATACCACATATTATTTATCCTTTCTTCAGTTGATAGACATTTGGGTAGTTTCCACTTTTTGGCTATTATGAATAATGCTACTATAAACAGTCATGTAAAAATTTTTGAGTGTGAGTTTTTTTGTTTTTTTTTCTTGTTTGTTTTTTTGAGAGACAGGATCCTGCTCTGTCACCTGGGCTGGAGCGCAGTGGCACAAACATAGCTCACTTCAGTCTTGAACCCCTGGGCTCCAGCAATCCTTCCACCTCAGCCTCCCAAGTACCAAGGACTATCAGGCATACGCCACCACACATAGCTGGGCATACCTTTATATTTCTCTTCAATATATACATAGGAGTGGAATTGCTGGGTCTCATAGTAACTCTATATTTAATCATTTGAGGAAATGCCAGACTACTTTCAAAGCATCTGCACTATTTTACATTCCCATCAGCAATATATGAGAGTTTTGATTTTTCCACATTTTTACCAATCTTTTTTGACTATAGCCATCCTAATAGGTATAAAATGGTAACTCATGTGGTTTTTATTTGCATTTACCTGCTAATTAATGATGTTGAGCTTCTGTTTTATGCTTATTGGCTATTTTGTACCTTCCTTGGAGAATTGTCCATTGAGATCCTTTGCCCATTTAAAAAATTTAATCAAATCTTTTTATTTTTGAGTTGTAAGGGTTCTTTATATATTCTGCATACCAATGCCTTATCAGATATATGATCCTCAGCTAGCTCCTCCCATTCTGTGAGTTGTCTTTTTACTTTCTTGATGGTATCACTTGACACCAAGTTTTAAACTTGGATGAAATCCAATTTATTTCTTCTTTTGTTGCTTGTGCTTTTGGTGTCATATCTAAGAATCCTTTGCCAAATCCAAAATCATGAAGATTTACCCTATGTTTTCTCCTAAGAGTTTTATAGTTTTATCTCTCACAGTTAAGTCTGATTCATTTTGAGTTAATTTTTGTATGTGGTGTGAGGTAAGGGTCCAATATTATTCTTTGACATATGACTATCCAGCTGTCCCAGCACCATTTGTTGAAAATTATCCCATTGAGAGTTCTTGGCACACTTGTTGAAAATCAATAGACCATAGACGTGTAGTTTATTTCCAGACTCTCAATTCTATTCTATTGAGCTATACATTCATCATTGTGCCCATACCACACTATTTTGATTATTGTTGCTTTGTAGTAAGCTTTGAAATTGGGAAGGGTGAGCCCTCCTCTTTATTCATCTTTTTCAAGATTGTTTTGACTATTATGGGTTCCTTGCAATTCTCTAACCACCCAGATTTTTTAAGACCACTTTTCAGTATGAGCCTTTTGCTTTGCATTCATATGGCCACAGAAATATTCACATTCTGTATCTTAGTACTTAGGGATCCATCCATACACCTCTTCTAACTGGTGCAAGGTCCAGTGAGATCCAAATTAATTAGATACTGTCCAAAATGCTAGATGCATTTTCCCCCAACTCTCTAATTAGCAGGAGGGTGGAATAGAGTTGAGCAAACTAATTCATGGTAACTCTTGGTTGTCTCTTGGATACATTGAAATTCAAAGCCAATATACTCAACAAGCAATTCTCTAGTAGAGGAAAAGGAGATTTCATGACTAAACTGATGAACACCAGTGAAGGGAATTCACAGATCAGTGTGATTATTATATTCAAGCCTAGAAATAGGGTCACATTCAAATTTACTTATCAAACAAAGTTTCCTTCAGTCTAAGCCATTAGGCCAGTCAGGTAAGAATAGCCAAAGACATTGACTGACACAGCTTTAGCTCAATTCTATTTAAATTGGGATAGTGTTGAGTTAAGAAGGGTTTGTGTGTTTTCTGTATGACCTTTCTCCCTAAAAAAAAAAAAAAAAAAAAAAAAATCAGAAAAGAAAAGAAAAGAAAAAAGCTTTAGACCAGGTCCTTTAAAAAGCCATTTTATTTCGGGGCCTCTTAGTAGAAGAATAAGAAACCCAGTCTATAGCTACTACTCTTGTTGATGCAATAGTGAGAAGAATCACCCACTCAGCTGCCTCCTCACCCCCAGGCTTGCGCTCTCCCACCACAGCTCCTAAGAACTTCTGAAGAACATATTTCAAAAAAGCACGTTTCTAGTTCCTCAAGACAGCATGTTTGTGGCATCTGTGATATAGACTAATGAGCCAGCTGCATGCATTGCCTCCTCTGACACCTGTTTTTGAGCAGCAGGATGTTATCTTAGATTAAGAAGTTCTGATTTATGGTGTCTATCTAGAGACAAAGCAAGATTTTAAAAATAAAATAAAACAAAGTAAACTTTCTTCAGTTAAAAGCAGCGTTTGATACTTAGCGAGATTTCAGTATTATTTGACCCTAGAATTACTTGGATTAAAAATAGATGTGAAGGCCAGGTGTGTTGGCTCCATGCCTGTAATCCCAGCACTTTGGGAGGCCGAGGTAGGAGGATCACTTGAGGCAAAGAATAGAGCATTTCAAGCAAGGGACCAGCATTTGCAAAGGCCCTCTGGCATAGCAAACTCAAGGGACTGAAAGATAACCAATATATTGAAGAAGAGCATGCAGGAAGGAGTCCATAATGAGATGGGACTGGAAAGGTAGGCAGGTACAAGAATTTTTTAAGGAGTTGTGACTTCCTCCAGAAAAACATAATTTTATTTAGGAGCCATATGATCAGACTTGTGTATAGAAAAGATCATTTTGACTATATTTTGGGGAACAGGTTGGATGCAGATAAGTGAAGTAGCAGGTTACTAATAATAGTCTACAGGAGACCGAATTTGGCTTATGAAAAGGACTAGAGAAAATTTATTCCTGGAGGGACATTTAGTAAGCAACATTGGCAGGACCAGGTGATAGATCGGATATAATGGTGAAGAGGACATGTCAAAGATGACCTCTAAGTTTCTTGCATGCATAATTAGATGAATTGCTGAGATCTTTTTGATGGGGTTTGATGAAAAAGACCAGTTTGGTGGGATGCAAGGTAATAGAGATTATGAGTTTGGTTTTGAATATGTTAAGCTTAATATGCTTTTAAGAGATCCAGGGGACATATCTCTTCAGATCCAAGACTCAAAGTAAAGTCTTTATTAGAGACAAAAATTTGTGAGTCATTTCATGCATACAGTACAGTGGACATTGATAGGATTGCCTAGGGAGAGAGTAGTGAGTGAGAGGCAGTTTTGAGTAAGACCAGATATTGAGGGACTTTCACCCAAAGATGCCTGAGTAAGAAAAATCTTAAAAGGAGACTGAGAAGGAATAGCCAAAGAGGTAGGAGGAAATCTGTGGGCTGATATGTTCATGAATAGTGCGGGAAGGTAATATTTCAAGGAGAGAGCTGTTAAAGAGTAAAGTGCTATGAGGTCAAATAATCTTGACTTGGTCTTGTAACACAATCACAATCCAGTGAATGGGTCAAGAAACTTGCAACTGATTGCAAAACTGATTTTGCAATCAATTGCAAAATCTAGCATCACAGATCATAAGCCAGGAGCCCTGTGATGTCCGCAGCTGACTCACTGATAGGACAATGCCTGAAATATGTGCCTCACTACAAAAGGGACATGTTTATTTAAAGTTAACTATCCCATTATTCCAATATAGTTGGAAAGTGCTTTAAAAACTTATGGTTCCAAATTAAATAGCCTGGGAGTAGGAAACTCTCTTCTTCTAAAACACTTAGAAATTCTGGATAAAACACATTCTCCAAACTCCACAGAGGGGCAAAAATAAAAATAAAGGGAATCCTTGGGGGCCAAAACAAAGTAAACGGAAATCAAAGGGGAACCAGAAGACCAACACAGTGACTGCCCCAGCTGCCCTGAAGGCATTTGCTGGATGTGGTAACTAGACCCTAAGTGGTAACAGCCACTCCCAGGACAAAAGACAAGGTTTTAGGCCAGCACAAGGCAGGGAGTTAGAACTAATACCCCTACAAAAGTCTTAGAACCTCCAAGGGCTACACTGTCAATAAAAAGTCAGACTAGCCTGGATGTGGTGGCATGCACCTGTAATCTCAGCTACTCAGGAAGCTGAAGGAGAATCACTTGAGTACAGGAGTTTGAGCCCAGCCTGGGCAACATAATGAGATCCTGTCTCAAAAAAAAACCCAAAACCAACCAACCAAACAAACAAACAAAAGTCAGATTAAGAAAAGCCCTTCCAATAAACAGAGGAAAGTAATTTGTATGTTTCCATCTTTATTCTGCTAAGAATCTAACACTCCCTACATTTATAAAGGTTCGAGATTCAAATACATATGCAATTTTCTTTTTTATTTTTGTTTTTTGACATGGGTTTCACTATGCCACACAAGCTATAGTGCAGTGGCATGATCATAGCTCACTGCAGCCTCGGCCTCCCTGGGCTCAGGTGATCCTCCCACCATGCTGATTTGTCATTATACATAATGCGTCTGTATATAATACATTCCTTTGATGATTTGTCAAATTTTTATGTTTTTTCTTCAGCAAAAATAGATCCTCCAGTCATGAATATAACCCAAGTCAATGGCTCTTTGTTGGTAATTCTCCATGCTCCAAATTTACCATATAGATACCAAAAGGAAAAAAATGTATCTATAGAAGATTACTATGAACTACTATACCGAGTTTTTATAATTAACAATTCACTAGAAAAGGTAAGTTCAGATGAATAGATATATTTAGAGTTTTTTTCTTTTGTTTATTTAACCAATATTGTGGTCATATGAGATGTCCTCTTCTGCTACTCTGCCTCCTCTTACTTTTCCTTATCTTTAATTTCTTCTTACTCTCAGCCATCATTGATCAACGGTTGGTGGTGGCATCACCATCAGAATGTGTGTGTGCCCTTTCCATCCTCCGGTTTGTCTCTACAGTCTTCCCTGCATATCTAAAGATTGGTATTAACCGTATTTAATTGCATGTGACTGCCACAAATATTCATTTTTACGGGCTTTGCACACCTTATTTATTTATTTATTTATTTATTTATTTATTTATTTATTATGTATTTTATTTTTAGACCAGGTGTCACTCTGTCACCCAGGCTGGAGTACAGTGGTGATCATAGCTCACTGTAGCCTCTAACTTCTGGGCTTAAGTGGTCCTCCTTCTTCAGCCTCCTGAGTAGCTGGGACTAGAAGCATGCCCATCACATCCAGCTTTTTTTTTTTTTTTTTTTTTTTTTTTTTTGTAGAGGCAAGGTCTCACTATGTTGCCCAGGCTGGTCTCAAACTCCTGGCCTCAACCAATCCTCCAGCCTTGGCCTCCCAAAGTGCTGGGATTGCAGGCATAAGCCACCTCCCCGGCCTCACACCTTATTTTAAAATAGCTTTTGAATCACATGATTATTTTTGTGCCAGTTTTGCTGCGATTTTTTTTTTGAGACAGGGTCTGACTCTGTCACCCAGGCTGGGGTGCAGCAGTGCAATCACAGCTCACGGCAGCCTCAACATCCTGGGCTCAAATGATCCTCCCACCTCAGCCTCCCAAGTAGCTGGGACTACAGGTGCATGCCACCATGCCCAGCTATGTTTTTTTGTACTTTTAGTAGGGACAGGCTCTGGCCATGTTGCCCGGGCTGGTCTTAAACTCCTGGGATCAACTGATCTGCCTGCCTTGGCCTCCCAAACTGCTGGCATTACAAACATGAGCCACCAGGCCTGGCCTTGCAGTGGTATTCTAATCCACCATCGGTGCTTCTGTCTGGATTTGGTGGATAATTGAATTTGTTCCTTTTTTGGTGCCATCTAAGATGAGGGGTTTTTGTCGTAAGGAGCAGAAACCACAGTTTAACTTGTTTAGAAACAAAAGAGGAGGGGAGGGATAATTAGGAGATAGGCAAGCAATCTCAGGGACAGAGGCAGGACGTAGAGTGCCGGCAGCCTTAGTGGTGACTGGGAAGGGAAACGGAAGTGAGTTCTAAGGGATCCTGCTCTGTCTCTCAGACTTTCTGTCTCTATGTGGCCACAGTTTCATGCCTGCAGTTATCTCTGCTCATCTCGCTGCACATCATTCTCACTGCACACTTCAAATTCTTAAAAAGAAGGCCAGGTGGGGTGGTTCATGCCTGTAATCCCAGCACTTTGGGAGGCTGAGGCAGGCAAATCATTTGAGGTCAGGAGTTCAAGACCTGCCTGGTCAACATGGTGAAACTCCATCTCTACTGAAAATACAAAAATTAGCCAGGCGTGGTGGTATGCGTCTGCAATCCCAGCTACTCAGGAGGCTGAGGCACGAGAATCTCTTGAACCTGAGAGGCAGAGGTTGCAGTGAGCCGAGATGGTGACACTGCACTCCAGGCTGGATGATGGAGTGAAACTGTATCTCAAAAAACAAACAAAATTCTTAAAAACAAGACTCTGACCATGGGGTCAACCAGCCAACAGCCCTCAAGGAGAAGTCAAGTTGCACCTACACAGCCACTTGCCTTGTCCCTTTACCAGGCTATGGCCTAGGACTCTAGAAAAGAAGGATGTGTCTGGGAAGAAACCCCACAACCCATCTACTGCTGTGACCATGTACAACTTGTTAATTTAAACAAAAATGCAGCTGTGACTTAATGGCAGCCATTTACCAACTGATTATTTTCTCTCTCGTGTGTAGGAGCAAAAGGTTTATGAAGGGGCTCACAGAGCGGTTGAAATTGAAGCTCTAACACCACACTCCAGCTACTGTGTAGTGGCTGAAATATATCAGCCCATGTTAGACAGAAGAAGTCAGAGAAGTGAAGAGAGATGTGTGGAAATTCCATGACTTGTGGAATTTGGCATTCAGCAATGTGGAAATTCTAAAGCTCCCTGAGAACAGGATGACTCGTGTTTGAAGGATCTTATTTAAAATTGTTTTTGTATTTTCTTAAAGCAATATTCACTGTTACACCTTGGGGACTTCTTTGTTTATCCATTCTTTTATCCTTTATATTTCATTTGTAAACTATATTTGAACGACATTCCCCCCGAAAAATTGAAATGTAAAGATGAGGCAGAGAATAAAGTGTTCTATGAAATTCAGAACTTTATTTCTGAATGTAACATCCCTAATAACAACCTTCATTCTTCTAATACAGCAAAATAAAAATTTAACAACCAAGGAATAGTATTTAAGAAAATGTTGAAATAATTTTTTTAAAATAGCATTACAGACTGAGGCGGTCCTGAAGCAATGGTTTTTCACTCTCTTATTGAGCCAATTAAATTGACATTGCTTTGACAATTTAAAACTTCTATAAAGGTGAATATTTTTCATACATTTCTATTTTATATGAATATACTTTTTATATATTTATTATTATTAAATATTTCTACTTAATGAATCAAAATTTTGTTTTAAAGTCTACTTTATGTAAATAAGAACAGGTTTTGGGGAAAAAAATCTTATGATTTCTGGATTGATATCTGAATTAAAACTATCAACAACAAGGAAGTCTGCTCTGTACAATTGTCCCTCATTTAAAAGATATATTAAGCTTTTCTTTTCTGTTTGTTTTTGTTTTGTTTAGTTTTTAATCCTGTCTTAGAAGAACTTATCTTTATTCTCAAAATTAAATGTAATTTTTTTAGTGACAAAGAAGAAAGGAAACCTCATTACTCAATCCTTCTGGCCAAGAGTGTCTTGCTTGTGGCGCCTTCCTCATCTCTATATAGGAGGATCCCATGAATGATGGTTTATTGGGAACTGCTGGGGTCGACCCCATACAGAGAACTCAGCTTGAAGCTGGAAGCACACAGTGGGTAGCAGGAGAAGGACCGGTGTTGGTAGGTGCCTACAGAGACTATAGAGCTAGACAAAGCCCTCCAAACTGGCCCCTCCTGCTCACTGCCTCTCCTGAGTAGAAATCTGGTGACCTAAGGCTCAGTGTGGTCAACAGAAAGCTGCCTTCTTCACTTGAGGCTAAGTCTTCATATATGTTTAAGGTTGTCTTTCTAGTGAGGAGATACATATCAGAGAACATTTGTACAATTCCCCATGAAAATTGCTCCAAAGTTGATAACAATATAGTCGGTGCTTCTAGTTATATGCAAGTACTCAGTGATAAATGGATTAAAAAATATTCAGAAATGTATTGGGGGGTGGAGGAGAATAAGAGGCAGAGCAAGAGCTAGAGAATTGGTTTCCTTGCTTCCCTGTATGCTCAGAAAACATTGATTTGAGCATAGACGCAGAGACTGAAAAAAAAATTTACTTTGATCTCTGTTTTTGAATTCTTATTATTTATATTTTGCTTACTACCTTTTTTGCCTTTTGTCCTTTTGTGGAGAGGGCGATGAATTAAGAGTAGTGGGGTGGGTGGCGAGTAAGTAAAATTTCAAATAGCATTTTAGTGAATGCAATTCAGTAGTCCTGAAGCCTGACTTAATAAAACAAAATTCATTTATGGTTGTTTCATGAAAGTTATTAGATAGGATCAAGTTTTGTTTGTATATTGTTTGCCTTGCTCTGTTTTTGCTTTTGTGCTTAGGCAAGTGCAAAATACTCTATGGAAATCATAATTGTCATCTTCTTCATGGTGTTAGGGATATATTGTCACATGATTTCAATAAATCCTTTTTTTGCTTTACATTTTGGAATATTTGTTATTTGAGCTTTTAAAAGAAGAACACAATGTTTAAGTCTGCCAGATGAAATTCCAGTTAAACATCTTAGGCCCACACGAAGTTCCAGCCAGGAAGGAGCAAACAGTTTTGAGCCCGACTGAGCTTGCCCTGTGATCAAATGCAATCCCAGTCTTACAGCTGCTCAGGCCAAAAGCGTTGAGGTTATCTTTGTCTCCCCGCTTTCTTTCACATCATATATATTCAATGCACCAATAAATTCTATTGATCTACCTCCAAAATACAACACTTCTCAGAACTACCTATTCCAGGCCACCATCATTTCTCCTCTGGATGGTCACTATGGTTACCTCATTGGTGTCCCCGCTCTGCTTGCCTCCCTCCAGTTTTGTCTTAACAAGGTGGCCAGCATGAGCCTTGGAACATAAATCAGATCATGTCACTTTCCTGCTCTAAAACCGCCAATAGCTTCCCATCTCATAAGGGTAAAAACCAAAGTCTTTATAATGGCCTCCAAGGCGCTGTATGATCTGTTTCCTTTCCTCATAATCTCCCAGGCCTCACTCCCTAATTCTCACCTTCCTCACTCTTCTCCAGCACACAGACCCCTTGCTTGCCCTCAAATACAAATGCCCTAGGCTTCTGGGCCTTTGCACCTGTTATTTGCTGGAAGGCTGTACCCCCAGGTTTCCATAGATTCACTTCCTCACCTCTGTCAGATCTTTGCTGGAAGACTGCCTTATCAGTGAGGCTAACTTCACTATTCCATTTAAAATTGCAACCTACCCTCTGCAATGATCTATACCACTCAGTTTCCTTCCCAGCACTTAAATCACCTGACATGCTGTAGTTACTTGTTGACCTTGTTTATTGTTTATCTTCCTCCTCTTCCACTAGAATGTAAAGGCAGGTTTCTGGTTCTTTTTCCACAGCCATATCTTCATTATCTATAACAGAACTTGGTACCTAGCCGACAATTAGTATTTGTTGGATAAATTAATGAAGCAAGAGTAGAAGCACTGAGAGCATGAGGGGGTGGGTCAGGAGATCAGGAGTGAGGCTTTTCTGGTAATTTCTTACAACTTGCTGCCTCATCTTCCTCCATGGGTAGGTGTGGGAAAGGGGGCCATTTTTTACCAGGATGCAGACACCAAGATGTGCAGAGACCAGATCTCGTGCAGTCCTGGTGCCACAGCAGAGAGTTATTCTATAATCATCATTCTTCCTCCAACTGAGTGTCACTTCCTAGGTATTGTTTCTTCTCCCTGGCTGGTGGTCAAGTCCAGAAGTCCTGTCCCAGAATTTCTTCAAAAGGAGAGAGGGAGTAAAATTGGGTATGGAAAAAAGACTCACATTGACAAAAAAGAATTTTAGAGTCTTCTCTAAAATGTTGCGGCAAGTAGATAAAACCATGAAAAACCAGGATGCCCTATGTGATTGTTAATATTAAGTGTCAACTTGATTGGATTGAAGGATGCAAAGTATTATTCCTGAATGTGTCTATGAGGATGTTGCCAATAGAGATTAATATTTGAGTCAGTGACTGGGAGAGGCAGACCCACCCTCTATCTCAGTGGGCACCATCTGAGCAGCTGCCAGCGCAGCTAGAGTAAAGCAGGTAGAAGAAGATGGAAAGAACAGACCTGCCGAGTCTTCTGGCCTCCACCTTTCTCCCTTGCTGGATGCTTCCTGCCCTCGAATATCAGACTCCAAGTTCTTCAGCTTTTGGACTCCTGCACTTACATCAGTGGCTTACCAGGGGTTCTCAGGCCTTCAGCCACAGACTGAAGGCTGCACTGTCACTTTCGAGGTTTTGAGACTCGGACTGGCTTCCCTGCTCCTCAGTTTGCACACGGCCTATTGTGGGACT
Organism: Homo sapiens; assembly: GCF_000001405.40. Lineage (NCBI taxonomy): Eukaryota > Metazoa > Chordata > Mammalia > Primates > Hominidae > Homo > Homo sapiens. The sequence continues at coordinate 137,141,954 of NC_000006.12, read as the reverse complement.
TCACTTTGTGATTGTGTGAGTCAATACTCCTTAATAAACTCCCTTTCATATATACATCTATCCTATTAGTCCTGTCCCTCAGGAAACCCTGACTAATACACCCTATAGGCAGATGAGCCTATTTTACCTGGGGTTAGATCAAAGTTGTTTGAGGGAAGGGGCAACAGAAGAGAGCTAACTTCTCATGTGCCAATGAGACCGAAGGAAAGATTCTAATGGACACACAAGATGCAATACAGAAATCTGGAGAAATGGTTCAATAGGGAACACACAGCTCCTAGTGAGGATTAAGCACCCCCAGTCCCTACCTTCCCCTGTGAAGACAGGGCTGTGGCTACTGCCGGTTGCTTGGAATAATGCTCTGGCAGGTGAGAGGCCCTCTTTGCCATCCTCACAGGGATTTGCAGCCCCTGGGTTCTCCCTCACCCATCTTTTGAGGGATCTCGCCAAAGGTCTGCCTGCTCACAGGAGCAAGCAAATGGTGACAAACAGTCTCACCGCAATCCTGCAAACTGGCTGTGAGAGAGGATACAGTGACGGTAGTTTCCTCAGGCATATTTCTCATCAGGTTTAGGCCTTGGCCTGCCCAAGGTGACACTTGCACATACTCTGTTTTCTCTTTCTTCATACTGCCTACAAGTCATGATTGTTTCTACTTTACAGGTGAGCCTCTGATGGGTTAAGTGATTTGCCAAGGTCTGGAAACCATATCTGTCTAATTCCACAGCTTATTCTCTTTCTATCAGACCCTTTAGAACTTCCTCTCAGCCTTTGTACATAGAGATTTCCCTTTAGTCTCTTAATTAAAATTCCTTTTTCAAATGTCAGTTTTGCCCTGTTGAACTCTGGGACTCTTCTTCCCCTTTAATGTCAGTATGTTGAAGGGTGAGTATTAAGAGAGCATGGGACAGGGAGGCCTGATAAAGCAGCTGTTCAGCTGGTGGGTGGCTGTCTGCTCTCAGGGACAAAGAAGAGCAGTGCCTTAAAGAGCCTATTTGTTGGCCAGGCGCGGTGGCTCATGCCTGTAATCTCAGCACTTTGGGAGGCCGAGGCGGGCGGATCACGAGGTCAAGAGATTGAGACCATCCGGGCCAACGTGGCAAAACCCCGTCTCTACTAAAAATACAAAAATTAGCTGGTGTGGTGGCATGCACCTCTAATCCCAGCTGCTCGGGAGGCTGAGGCAGGAGAATTGCTTGAATCCGGGAGGCGGAGGCTGCAATGAGCCAAGATCATGCCACTGCACTCCAGCCTAGTGACAGAGCAAGACTGTGTCTCAAAAAAAAAAAAAAAAAAAGAATCCATTTATCCAGCATGAATGGAGGTACATATGGATGCTCCTCAGCTTATTGTGAGGTTACATCCTGATGAATCCATCGTAAGTCAAAAAACCTTAAGTCGAACCTTATTAAGTTGGAGGCCATATGTACTCGCCAGAAAGAGCTCTGAAGTCTACACAATTACTGGAAAACATTCACTCATTGGTAAATTCCATATCTAACTAGCTTTTTTAAAAAAAAATTGTATTGTGTATATTTAAGGTATAAAACGTGATGTTATAAGATGCATGTGTGTAGTAAAATGGTTACTATAGTGGAACAATTTATTAATCTTCTCAGTTACCATTTGATATAGTTTGTCCCCTCCAAACCTCATGTTGAAATGTGATCCCCAGTGCTGGAGGTGAGGCTTGGTGGGAGGTGTTTGAGTCCTGGGGGTGGATGTTTCATGAATGGCTTGCTGCCCTCTTTGCAGTAATGAATGGGTTCTTGCTCTGTTTGTTCACATGAAAGCTGGTTCTTAAACATCCTGGGACCTCACCCCTTGCCCTCGCTCCCACCTTCATCATGCAACACACCTGCTTCCCTTCACCATGCGACACACCTGCTTCCCTTCACCTTCCACCATGATTGAAAGCTTCCTGAAGTCTTCACCAGAAGCAGAAGCTGCACGGTTTGTGGAACCATGAGCCTCTTGTACGGTTTGTAGAACGGTGAGCCAAATCAATCTCTTTTCTTTATAAATTACCTAATCTCAGGTATTCCTTTACAGCAATGCAAAATGAGCTAATATACCATGTTTCTCCTTGTGGCAAACAGCTATAATATACTTAGTTTAGAAAAAATCCTGTATATAACACTATTATTAATTTTAATCCACATGTTGCTGTACAACACATTTTTTGACTTGTTTATTCTATATATTTGCTACTTTGTAACCTTTTACCTAGATCTCCCCATTCTCCCCTCCCAGACTCCAGCACTGGTAACCCTGTTTCATTCTCTCTATATATTTGATCTTTTGGGAAGAATACCACATATAAGTGAAATTATACAATATTTTTCTTTTTGTCTCTGGCTTATTTCTCCTAGTATAATGTCCTCCAGGTCAATCCATGTTGTGGAAAATAGCAAGATTTCCTCATTTTCCTCTTTTTAAAGGCTGAATAATATTCCATTGTATGTACATATCATAGTTTATCCATTGAAGGACATCTAGTTTGTTTCCATATCTTGGCTATTGTCAATAATGCTGCAGTTAACATAGGAATACAGATATCTTCACGAGGTAATGACTTTATTTCCTTTGGGTATATACCCAGAAGATTAACTGCATATAGTAGTTCTATTTTTAATTTCTTTAGGAGCCTCTGTATTATTTTGCATAATGGCTGCATCAATCTCCATTCCCACATGCACAAGGCTTCCTTTTTCCCTCTCATTAATATTGTTATCTTTTATCTTTTGATAACAGCTATCCTAACAGGTGAGAGGTGGTATCTCATAGTGGTTTTAATTTCATTTCTCTGATAATTAGTAATGTTGGACACCTTTTCAACTAATACTTCCAATGTATCTGCTGTCCATTCTTATGTCATTTTAGATAAATGTCTATTCAAGTCATTTGTCCATTTTTTACTGGGTTATATGTTTTCTTGTTATTGATTTGTATGAGTTCTTTATAAATCTTCAATATCAACTCCTTATTTGATATAAAGTGTGCAATTTTTTTTTCACAATCTGTAGGTTGTCTTTTCATTCTGTTGTCTCATTTATTGTGCAGGAGCTTTTTAGTTTAATGTAGACCCATTTATTTATTTTTGCTGTCGTAGCCTGAGCTTTTGACTTGATATCCAAAACACAAAAGAAATCATTGCCAAGGCCACTGTAAAGGAGTTTTTCCTCTGAGTTTTTTTCCTAAGAGTTTTTTGCTTTAAGGTCTACTGTTTAGGCCTTTTATCCATTCTGAGTTGTTTTGTGTATGGGGTAAGAGTCCAATTTTATTCTTTTGCATATGGAAATCCAGTTTTCATAGCACCACTTATTGAAGAGGCTGTCCTTTCCTCAATTGTTCCTTTTTCATGTCCTTGTCAAAAATTAGTTGACCATATATGTTTGGATTTGTTTATGGGCTTCCTACTCTGTTCCACTGGTCTATGTGTCCATTTTTTCCCAGTAGCATTTTATTTTGATTACTATAGCTTTGTAACATAATTTTAAATCAAAAAGTGTGATATCTCCAACTTAGTTTTTCCTCTCAGGATTGTTCTGGCTATTTAGGATCTTTTGTGATTTTACACAAATTTTAGGATTTGTCTATTTCTGTGAAGAATGACATTGAGACTTTGATCAAGATTGCATTGCATCTATATATTGCTTTAGATAGTATGGACATTTTTAACAATATTCATTCTTCTCATCCATGTGCATGGACTATCTTTCCATTTATTTGTGTCCTCTCCAATTGCATTCATTAATGTTTTATCATTTTCAATGTAGAGGTATTTTACCACCTTGGTTAACTTTGTTCCTAAGCATTTTTTTGATACTATCATAAATGGGATTATTTTCTTGATTTCTTTTTCAGCTGGGTCACTATTTGTGGATAGAAATGCCATGGATTTTCGCATGTTGACTTTGTATCCTGCAGCTTCACTGAGTTCATGTATTAGATCTAATAGTTTTTTGGTGGAGTCTTTGGGGTTTTCTACTTACAAGATCATGCCATCTGCAAATAGAGATAATTTTACTTCTTTCTTTCTGGATTGGATACCTTTTATTTCTTGAGAGTACTTTCAGTACTATGTGGAACAAAAGTTAGAGTGGGCATCCTTGCCTTGTACCAGATCTTAGAAAAAAAGCTTTGAGTTTCTTCACATTGATTATGATACTAGCTGTGGGTTTTTCATAAATGGCCTTTATTATGTTGAGGAAATTTCTTATACCTAAACTGTTAAGAGTTTTTATCAAAAAAAGATGTTGAACTTTGTTGAATGCTTTCCCTGCATCTATTGATATGATCATGTGGATTGTGTCTTTCTACCTGTTAATGTTATGTATCACACTGATTGACTTGCACTGATTGACTTGCATATGCTAAACTAGCCTTCCATGCCAGGGATAAGTCTCACTTGATCATGAGGTATAATATGTTTGGTCTGTTGTTAAATTTGATTTGCTAATATTTTATTAAGGATTTTTGCATCAATGTGCATCCGTGCTACTGGCCTTTACTTTTCTTTTTGTGTGGTATCTTTGCCTGGCTTAGGTATCGAGATGATGTTGGCTTCATAAAATGTGTTAGGAAGTACTCCTTCCAGCTCTGTTTTCGGAAGAGCTTAAGAAATATTGGGGTTCATTCTTCTTTGAGAGTTTGGTAGAATTCAGCTTTAAAGCCGTCAACTGGTCCTGGGTTTGCTTTGTTGGGATGTTTTTAATAACTACCTTAATCTCTTTGTTTATTATTATATTCAGGCTTTCTATTTCTTCCTGATTCAACCTTGGTAGGTTGTATTTGTCTAAGAATGTATTCATTTCCTACAGGTTATCAAATTTGCTGGCATATAATTGATCACAATAGTCCCTTATGATCCTTTTTATTTCTGAGGCATCTGTTGTAATGTTTCCACTTTCATTTCTGACTTTACATATTTGTCTTATTTCTTTTTTTCTTAGTGAGTCTGCCTATGGGTTTGTGAAATTTTTTTTTCAAAAAAATTTTAACCACTTTTCTATTCTCTATTTTATTTATCTCTATTCTCATCTTTATTATTTCCTTCTTTCTGCTAAATTTGGTTTTAGTTTGTTCTTTTTTCTAGTTCCTTGAGGCACAATGTTAAGCTGCTTATTTGGGATTTTTCTTACTTTTTAACACAGGTACTTTTTGCTGTAATCTTCTGCCCTCCTAGAACTGCTTTGGCTGCAATCCACAGGTTTTAGTATGTTATGTTTCCATTGTCATTTATCTCAAGATTTTTAAAAATTTCCCCTTTGACTCATTGGTTGTTCAGGAACAAATGGTTTAATTTCCATGTATTTGTAAATTTTTCAAAATTCTTCCTGTTATTGATTTCTAGTTTCATACCATTGTGTTTGGAAACAATATTTGATGTGATTTTCATCTTCTCAAATTTATTAACACTTGTTTTGTGGTCTACCATATGGTCTATCCTAGAGAATGTTCTATATGCACTAAGGAAGAATGTGTATTTGCTGCTGTTGGATGGAACATTTTATATTTTATATATATATATATACACACACACATACATATATATGTATATATATGTGTGTGTATGTATATATCTGTTATGTCCATTTTGTTTAAAGTGCAGTTCAATTCTAGCATTTACTTATCAATTTTTTGTCTGGTTGATCTGTTCATTGTTAAATGTAAAGTAATGGCGTCCCCTACTGTTACTGTCTATTTCTCTCTACTATTGTTATCTATTTCCCTCTTTATGTTCATTAACATTTGCTTTATGTATTTAGGTGCACCAATATTGGGTACATATATTTAAAATGATTATGTTTTCTTCATGAATTGAGCATTTTATCATTAAATAATGACCTTCTTTGTTTCTTGTAACAGTTTTTGACTTGAAGTCTATTTTATCTACTAAGTATAGCCACTCCTGCTCTCTTTTGGTTGCTATTTGCATGAAGTGTCTTCTTTCATCCCTTCTCTTTCAGCCTACATGTGTTTTTAAGACTCAAATGGGTCTCTTGTAGGCACCATATAATTAGATCTTGTTTTTTTAATCCATTCAGCCACTCCATGTCATTTGATTGGAGAATTGAATTCATTTATAGTTAAAGTACTTATTAGTATGTAAGGACTAACTACTGCTTCTTGTTTATTGTTTTCTGGGTATTTTATAGATCCTTTGTTTTTTTCTTCTTCTCTTGTTTATCTTTGTAATTTGGTGATTTTAGTAGTGCTACATTTTTATTCCTTTGTCTTTATCTTTTATGTATCTGCCATTGCTTTTTACTTTGTAGTTACCCTGAAGCTTACATAGAATATGTTATAGTTATAATAGACTATATTATACTGATAACAACATAACTTCAGTTGCATACAATAGGCTTTTATTCTCCTCCCCCCCTCCAACACACATGATTTATATTTTTATGTCACAATGTACATCTTTTTATATTATGTACTTCTTAACAACTTATTATAGTTACCATTATTTTCAACTGTTTGACTTCTTTTAACCTTCATACCAGAGATATATATAATTTACAAGCACCATAACATTATTGTAATGTTCTGGGTTTGATGATATATTTACTTTTACGGTGAATTATATGTGTTCATACATTTTCACGTTAGTAATTACCGTCTTTTATCTCCACTTGAAGAGCTCCCTTGAGCATTTCTTTTCTAGTGCTGATGAATTCTCTCAACTTTTGCTTGTCTGGGAAAGGCTTTATTTCTCTTCCTTTCTGAAGGACAGTTTTGCTGGGTATCATGTTCTTGGCTGCCAGTTGTTTTCTTTCAGCACTTTGAATATATCATCCCATTCTCTTCTGGCCTGCAAGGTTTCTACTGAGAAATCTGTTGATAGTCTAGTGGTGATTTTTTAAATATGTGACCTTTTGCTTTTCTAGCACTGCTTTTAAAATTCTCTTTTAATAGTTATTTAATTTGGACAGTTTAATTATATTGTGTCTTGAAGAGAACCTACTTGGATATAATTTGTTTAGAGATTTTTAAGCTTCATGGATCTGAATGATAATACGTTTTCCAAAACTTGGAGGTTTTTCAGCAATTTTTTTATTAAATAAACTTTCCACTCCTATCTTTGCCTCTTCACCTTCTGAAATAAACATACTGCAAATGTTTGTTCACTTAGTGATGGCCCATATGCCCTCTAGGCTGTTCTCATTCTTTTTCATTCTTTTTTTTCTCTTTCTCTGACAGGGTAATTTCAAGAAACCTATATTCAAGTTTAGAGATTTTTTTTTCTTCTGCTTGATCTAGCCTGCTGTCAAAGTTCTCTATTGTATTTTTTATTTTATTCATTGAATTCTTCAGCTTCAAGATTTCTGTTTGGTTCTTTTTTAATAATATCTATCTCTTCGTTGAATTTCTCATTCAGATCATGATTTTTTCTGATTGTCTTGAATTGTCTATCTGTATTCTCTTGTATCTCACTAAATTTTCTTAAGATTATTATTTTGAAATCCTGTTTAGGCAATTTGTAAATTTCCTTTGCTGAGGGTCAGTTACTAGAGAATTACTGTGTTCTTTTGGTAATGTCATATTCTTTGCTTTTTCATGGTTCTTATGTCCCTGGGTTGATGTCTGCACATCTGGTGGAGCAATCACCTCTTCCAAACTCTACCAAGTGTTTTTCACAGGAAAAGACTTTCACCAGAACATGGGTCTTAGTGTGCCAGCTGAGAAGGGTATGGTGACTTTGTTTTTAAGTAGATGCAGTGGTATAGCCTCCATGCAGCTGCTTTAGCTGCAATCAACATCAATGATAACTGTGGGTGCCTTGGTGGCTTAGGCTGTAGGAGTTTGTAGTAAGCAGTGATAGTAGCATAGGCTGTTAAGGTCTTCAGTTACAAGTGCTTTGGGTGGCCTCTTGTTCTTGTTTTCCTCACAGCGGGGATTCTTAGTTGAGTGGATCTTTCTTGGTGTCAGGTCTGACACAACCTACAAGCAGCTGCAGTGGCCCTGGGTTCTGGGGCACAGATGCTCAAAGTGACTGTTGCACCAGGGCCCTGGGCTCAGGGTCTCATGAACCTATTAGGGCACCTGGGTCTTAAGGTACAGTTTCTCTCTCTTGAGTCATGGTTAGGTGCAGACTGCCCACAAAGCCGGGGCCTGTGACTCTGAGGCAGGGTACAGCTACAATTTTGGAACCAGAGCCAATAGGGCACAGTGGCAACTCAGGCCCTGGGGATGAGGCATCAGGCAGTGGTGACTCTGGACCCTGGGACAGTAGGACTAGGCAGTATCCCAGACCCTGTGAAGCCAGATCCAGTGGCAGCAAAGATGCCAGAATGGTAGAGTGTTTGGAGTTGCTTGGGCCCTGGGGGGCAGGGAGCAGCACAGTAATGATTCCATTTCCCTGAGTAGGAGGTGTCTTAGTAGCTCAGATTCTAGGGGGCTAGTCCAGTTCTAGGAAATCAAGGTACTATGGTTGTTCAGCCTATAGGAAAAGATATCTCAGTTCAGCCAATGCTGTTTCTCTGGGACGCAGGTACTATATCAGCTCAGCTCTGGGATGAGCCACTGCTCTCTGTGGCTATGGCACTGATTTCTCAGGTGGTAGGGTGCTGCTTCAGCTCAGGTCCAGGGGGCGCACTGCTCAGGGCAGCCAAGGCGCTGTTTCCCTGGGAAGCAGTACACCACTCCAGCTCAAGCCACAAGGGTGGGGCACAGAAGCAACTGGGAGGGGCAGATGGAGAGGCTCCAAGGTAGCTTGGCTCAGGAATGGCAAGCTATCAGGCAGGGGTGGTTCAGTGGTGACAAAACCTCAGGGATGGAAGAGTGCTGTGGCAAATCCATGGAGCAGGACACACTCAAACAGTGGCTCTGGTTCCAAGATGGCACAGTGAAGTAGCTGCATGGACCACAGGGAGGAGGGCACAGTGTTGGCTTCTTCTCTAGGGGAAGTGCAGCTGTGTGGACTCCAGGCAGCTCTCTCAACTAAGCTTAATACGCCCATGAGGACTGCAAAGAACCTCAGTGGTGAGGACTGTAGGTGTTCAAGGTGGTGATGAGGGCTGCTGGGGTCCTCTTGCTTCCCTTTTCCCTGCAAAGAGATATCCCTCCTGGTTCCTTGCTGATCCGACTGGGGTATGGGATGGTGGAGGCAAGGCATTTCCTTTCTTTTTCTGTGTGGCCATCCTGGATTTCTGTGTTCCACGGGGTTTCTGCCACTCCTTTGATGTACTCTGGCATTCTCCTTTAGTTATTTTTATCAGAATGTAGTTGTTTATTTGTTGTTTTTGGCTGTCTTTGTTAGGGGAATGAGTGGGAGAGGCTTCTAATTGGCCATCTTGCTAACATCACTCTCAACTACTTTTAAGGCTATTGTCAATCATTTTTATGGTATCTTGACCTCCAAGCAAAAAAAAAATCGTAATTTTTTTTTGGTAAATTAAGTTCCAATGGTTCCAAGGCAAAAAAAGAAAAAGATAAAACCAGCTTGATAAGATGAAACTAATTTAGGATAAACTCTATCCAAGCCTTTTAAAATCATAACCATCTTGAAATTCTCGCACCAAACTACATGGTTTCCTTAACTTTTTAACTGCCATTTACCCAGAGAAATAAGTTTCCTTAACTTTTTAAACTGCCATTTACCCAGAGAAATAAGTGAACTTGGTGAATAGAACTTTTCTTTATTGTTCTTGTGGATTTTCTTTTATTTTATCCTGCTAGTAAGGATTATGTTCCCTGGAAAGGAAAGTAGACCTTTGTGTCTAAACAATGACAAAAATCACTACATAGTCAATTGCTAGATGTTGCTTAAGCCGAATTACAAAAATTGATCTCTACAAAATGAGGGTTGCCAAGGAGACAAACCTTGCTCCTGATGCTCCAAAGGTATCATTTTTTTCAGCTGGGACCTCAATCTCTTCTAGTACTTCTTTGACAATAGCTAGCCTCTATTTACCATAGCCCCTTGGCCGGATGTGGGGCAGAGGCTGGTCCACTGGCATTCCTTCCCTCTTGGGAACCATTTGCCTTCCTTCTTTCTGACTCTCAGTCGCATACAAAAAGCAGTCAGTTATACTTGACTGACATTCTCACAAATAAGCCTATCCTGCCAGATTTTTGCATTTGGGGCTTTTTATCTGTAAAAGAATAATTTGGAATGAAATGCTTTGCTCTGAGTGAAACTGATTCCAGGCAGTGCTGTGTAACTGGAAATACATGTTTTAAGCAGAAAGGCCCTTCACCCTTCAGCTGAAATGATACTGTGCCCAAGGATGATGGTCCTGGAGATGGGTCTGTTTATTCTTTTTAGGGGTCTGAGAAGATGAGAGCTGGGTGAGAAGAGGCAAATGGTAGATCTACCCCATTTCCATACACATCCCTCATTTCATTCACAGCCCCAAGAATGCGACGTGACGGCCCCCAGAGCTCTGCTGACTCTTTGCCTTCCCTGGCCCTGTTTGCCACCTTGTCAAAGAAGTCTTCCCACCTCCCACCCCATCACACACACAGGGCAATCATCTGGTGGAACTTGACTCAGGTGGATCAATTAGAGCTATTTGAAATACAAACATTGAGATTGGAGAAGAACAGCCAGTTCTCTCCTCTGGAGTCATGCACTGCAAGGATCTGTTAGGCTTAGAGCTGCTGCAGGCAACTTTCTCAGCGTAGAGAGAGCCCAGTAGAGGAGAAAGCCAATGTGAAGGAAAGCAGAGTAAAGATGGGAAGAGACAGATTCCTGATAGTATTCAAGTAAATCCAGCTGTGCTGAAAACCAGCCCACCTTCCGTACTTTGATTTTAAATGAACATATTAATTACTTTTTCCCCTTATTTTACTATTATCTTAAATTTCTATCACTTTCAACCAGAAGATCCTTGACTAATAGAACAAAAAAAAAGTGTGTGTGACATGAATTATGTATTGTATTAACAAAAGTAAAGTTTCTGTGCTCAATTTGCACTAATTGTATCATCTGCATTAAGTTACAGCTTAAACTTTTTAAACAACTTCCCAGCAGATGGAGAAAACCCAGTAGAGAATGAAGCCACTGTAAGTTATGAAGACAAAGTTACAGTTTAAGCTTTTAAAAAAAGACTTTTAAACTGTAACCTCTAAATATTGAGAAGAACATGGCCGGAAAGTTCATCTTTCTGCAGATGATACAATTAGGGCAAATTGAGCACAGAAAAGCCCTACAGAACTATGCTTGGTTATTCTGGTCAGGGTTTTATCAGAGACGATATCAGCCAACATCTACTGTTGTCAGCAAATTCTCATTTTGCTTATATCACATGGTTCAATTCACAGCTTCCTTGGTACTAAATTCTATTTATGTGTTGTATCACATTTATTGACTTGCAAATGTTAAACCATTCGTGCATCCCTAGTTTGAAATCTAGTGTGTAAACCTAGTATGTAAAAAGTACATTTTTACAGCAGTAAATCAAGGTCCCATCTGATAGTCTTCAGAAGTCATGTGGCTGTATGAATACTCTAACCAAAAAACCAATATCTCCCTTTTGTCCTATTAATATAAATTTCAAGGACAAAAGGCAATTTTAGAATGCTCCAAGTTCAGGCCAGAAATATTTACTGACATCCTAATACATGGCCAGTGCAATGCTAGTGACCAAAACTCTATTAAATACACCACAACTACAATGTCTTCAGTATTTATTTCAAATGCTTGCTGCTCTTGCTCTCTCTCCCTTTCTGTTTCTTTCTCTCTCTTTCACACACACACACACACACACACACACACACACACACACCGTATACATACATAGTTAGCATCTGCCATTGTACTCTCCTAGCATGCCATCTCTACTGTTTTGAGAACAGGTTTTGTTAAAATAAAATAAATAAAATAAGACACAATAAAATAAAAAATGGCCCTGCCTCACAATGTAGAATAATAAGGGAGACTTGTTCTTTAGAGGATTCCTTAATCTAAATGCCCACTAAGAACAGGCTTTCTTTCCTGCCTAGTAAAGCCAATACCTGATTAATCATTTCCCTTCATATTTGTGCAAAGAACAAAATTTTACATCATTTAAAATTAATCTGTTTTTGTTTTTTCTCAAAATAAGTGGGTTTCATGCTAGGGATGCAGGGGATGGTTTAACATTTGCAAGTCAGTAATTGTGATACACCACATAAATAGAATTAAAAACAAAATTCATATGATCATCTCAATAGACGCATAAAAAGCATTTGACAAAATCCAGTTTTCCTTTATGATTAAAACCCTCAGCCAAATCGGCATAGAAGGGACATACCTTAAAGTAATAAAAGCTGTCTATGACAAACCCACAGCCAACATTATACTGAATGGGGAAAAGTTGAAAGCATTCCCTCTGAGAACTGGAACAAGACAAGGATGCCCACTTTCACCACTACTATTCAACATAGTCTTGTAAGTCCTAGCCAGAGCAGTTCAGACAAGAGAAAGAAATAAAGGGCATTGAAATCAGTAAAGAGAAAGTCAATCACCGATGATGTGATTGTATACCTAGAAAATCCTGAAGACTCATCCAAAAAGCTCCTAAATCTGATAAATGAATTCAGTGAAATTTCGGGATACAAAATTAATGTACACAAATCAGTAGCACTGATATACACCAACAGCAACCAAGCTGAGAATCAGATCAAGAACTCAACTCCTTTTACAATAGCTACTAAATACATATATATACATATATATAATACTTAGGAATATACCTAATCAAAGAGGTGAAAGATCCCTACAAGGAAAACTATAAAACACTGCTGAAAGAACTCATAGATAACACAAACAAATGGAAACACATCCGATGCTCTTGGATGGGTAGAATCAATATTGTAAAAATGACCATACTGCCAAAAGCAGTCTATAAATTCAATGCAATTCCCATCAAAATACCACCATCATTCTTCACAGAACTAGAAAAAAACTATCCTAAAATTCATATAAAACCAAAAAGGGGCCCACATAGCCAAAAGCAAGACTAAATAAAAAGAACAAATCTGGAGGCATCACATTACCCAACTTCAAACTATACTACAAGGCTATAGTTACCAAAACAGCATGGTACTAGTATAAAAATAGGCATATAGACTAATGAAACAGAATCAAGAGCCCAGAAATACAGCCAAATACTTACAGCCAACTGATCTTTGACAAAGGAAACAAAACATAAAGTGGGGAAAGACATGCTATTCAACAAATGGTGCTGGGATAATTGGGAAGCCACATGTAGAAGAATGAAACTGGATCCTCATCTCTCACCTTATAAAAAATCAACTCAAGATGAATCAAAGACTTAAATCTAAGACCTGAAACTATAAAAATTCTAGAAGATAACATCAGAAAAACTCTTCTAGACATTGTCTTCACCAAAGAGTTCATGACCAAGAACCCCAAAGGAAATGTAACAAAAACAAAGAAAAATGGATGGGACTTAATTAAACTAAAAAGCTTCTGCACAACAAAAGGAATAATCAGCAGAGTAAGCAAACAACCCACAGAGTGGGAAAAAATATTTGCAAACTATGCATCCAACATAAGACTAATATCCAAAATCTACAAGGAAGTCAAACAAATCAGCAAGGAAAAAACAAATAATCCCATCAAAAATGGGCTAAAGACATGAATAGACAATTCTCAAAGGAAGATATACAAATGGACAACAAACATATGAAAAAATGCTCAACATCACTAAGCATAAGGAAAATGCAAATCAAAACCACAGTTCAATACCACCTTATTCCTACAAGAATGGCCATAATAAAAAAAAATAGATGTTGGCATGGTGTGGTGAAAAGGGAACACTTTTACACTGCTGGTGAGAATGTAAACTAGTACAATCACTCTGTAAAACAATGTGGAGATCCATAAGGAACTAAAAGTAGCTCTAACATTTGATCCAGCAATCCCACTCCTGGGTATCTACCCAGAGGAAAAGAAGTCATTATACGAAAAAGGTACTTGCACATGCATGTTTATAGCAACACAATTCACAATTGCAAAAATATGGAACCAGCCCACATGCCCGTCAATCAATGAGTGGATTTTTAAAATGTGGGATATATATACCATGGCATACTACTTAGCCATAAAAAGGAACAAAATGGCATTTGCAGCAACCTGGATGGAACTGAAGACCATTATTGTGAGTGAAGTAACTCAGGAATGGAAAACCAAATATCATGTGTTCTCACTCGTAAGTGGGAGCTAAGCTATGAGGACACAGAGGCATAAGAATAACATAATAGACTTTGGGCACTCGGTATAAAGGATTGGAGAGGGTTGAGGAATAAAAGACTACACATTCGGTACAGTGTACACTGCTTGGGTGATGCATGCACCAAAATCTCAGAAATCACCAGTAAAGAACGTATCCATGTAATCAAACACTACCTGTTCCCCAAAAACCTATTGAAATAAAAAATTAAAATTAAAAAAGTAATAAATCTTATACTTTTAAGGAAAAAGTAGATGTGATTGTGACTCCTGCTCTTCAGTAAAAGGAAAAGTAAGCCCACATCATTCTGCAAGGAAAAGAATTAGTCAACTACTAAGATCTGAACCTATTCTCTCAGCAACTACACTCGGAATTGGCACATATTCCTTTGCCTTCCCCCAGCTGAGTGAGGAAAAACAACTAATCTGATAGGAAAGCAACTCCAAGAATTTTCTTCACCACCACAGTGGCCAATACACCATGGGCATGCTTTAAGTATTGGTTACTGGTTAAATTACCTCCCCTCTACAGACATTTGTCATTCTTGAAGGATGCTTCATATCACAACCTTCATCTAATGACTGAGTTATCCTCCTGGTTTATGAAATAGTAGCAGATGCTCTCTCTCCCTCCCAACCTTTCTTGCAACTAAGGGCAAGTACTTGCCAATCAGATACTCCTGGCCCAGGCTTTAAATTGCAAGCTAGGTCACAAGTGAGCTGTTCTCTGCAGAATTCATTCTGGCAGGGGTCAGGGAGTGGGAATGGCTCAGAGACAGCTGTGGATGCAGTTTAAGTGGTAAATTCTGACGTCTAGTGTCAGAGCTCTATGGGACATAAGTTGCAGTGCTGTGCCCAGTGGCAGCAAAAGGGTCATCAATGGGCCACTCTGTAACACAACAGGAATGTTGTTCCTGACTATGTAGCCTCCAGATCTGGTCTTCTGTGCCACCCATCCTCCAGAAATCCTGTAAATTAACCAAAATTTATTTTTTAAAATTAAGTCTTAACTCACATGCAGAAAAGAGCACAAGTCTTAAGAATGTAGGTCAATAAGGCCTGGTGCGATGGCTTACGCCTGTAATCCCAGCACTTTGGGAGGCTGAGGTGGGTGGATCATGAGGTCAGGAGTTCAAGATCAGCCTGGCCAAAATGGTGAAACCCCATCTCTACTAAAAATACAAAAAATTAGCCGCACATGGTGGTGAGCACCGGTAATCCCAGCTACTCGGGAGGCTGAGGCAGAGAATTACTTGAACCCCGGAGGCGGAGGTTGCAGGGAGCTGAGATCTTGCCACTGCACTCTAGCCTGGGCAACAGAGTGAAACTCCGTCTCAAAAAACGACAAAAAAAAAAATAAAAAGAATGTAGGTCAATAACATTTTACATATCACTTCCCTGTGTAACCACTGCCCAGATCAAGATATAGAGGATTTCCAACATGCAGAAGGCTTGTTCATAGAGCTCTCTCACTCAGTATTCCCTCAGGAATGGCAATCCTGACTTGTCTCCCAGAGACAAGTTTTTCCTGCTGTTGAACTTCATATAAATGGAAATACACAGTATGTAGTCTTCTATGCCTAGCTGCCTTCACTCAACATTGTATCTGTAAAATTCATCCATTCATACCTCTATTGAGGCATGTATCAATAGATCATTTTTTTAATTGATGTCTAGATTTCCACTGTGTATTTACAACACAATTTATATAACTCGTTGATGGACATTTGGTTGCTTCCAATTTTGGGTTATTACAATTAAAGTTTCTACAAAGCTTATTATGTATGATTTTTGGTAGACAAAAGTCCAGATTTCTGTTGGATATACCCAGGAATAGGTCATTGGGTTTAAATACGTTTAAATTTAGTGGCTACTCACAAACATTTTTCCAAAATGATTGATTTATATTCCAACCAGCAATATAAAATAATTTTAGTTGTTCTATGTTCTTGTAAATATTTGGTATTGTTAACATTTTAATTTTAGCCATTCTGGTGGGTACTAAGTCATGGTTCATTATGGTGTGTTTGCGTGTGTGTGTGCATGTGACTTTGAGCATGTATTAAAGTAACTCCTGAATGAGGAATCAGAAAACAGATAAAGCTTGTTCAAAGGACTAAAGGAAAGACAGAAATACTTATAGTCATTAAAAGAAAGAATGTTAATTTAGATACAAACTTGCTTAGTGTCCTACAGGTAATGAAACTATAACCTTTAGGGTTATCTTTTTTATTGAAAATCATTTACATGTCTACGGAAAAAAATCAGTTGCATTGTTCTAGAGAATAATTTACATGCCATTCAGTATACTAAAAATTAACATCTATCTGGATGTACAAACTGAGTGATTCTATCTCTACAAAAGTCATACGTTGGAATCCTAATACCCATTGTGATGGTATAAGGAGGTGGGGACTTTCAGAGGTGAATAAATCATTAGGGTGGAGCCCTCATGAATAAGATTGGTGCCCTTTTAAGAAGAGACATGAAAACGGTTATCTTCCTCTCAGCCATGTAAGACTACAATGAGAAGACAGCCATCTGTGAACCTGGAAGTGGGTTGTCACCAAACACTGGATCTGCTGGCACCTTGATCTTGGACTTTCCAGCCTTCAGAATTGTGAAAAACAAATATTTATTGTTTAAGCCACCCAGTTTACGTTTTTGTGCTATGGCAGCCCAGACTGACTAACAAGATTTCTTAATAAATAGCAACTACCGAGTCAAAGATGAACCTATTTGACAATGAAAGGACATGCAGTCATCCTTTTCTCTTTATAAGTTATGGACATTTTTCATTAATCATTCTTTCATTGCTATTATCAAGGATCTCATTGTGGTTTAGCCTCGTAGACTTACGTAGATGTAGCAAGAAGCATTATTTAACATTTAGAAACCAACCTGTGGTGTATAACTAGGAAATTCAGAGCTGTACCTACTTAAGACCAGATTAACTTCTGTCTAAAGTCTTTGTAGGAACTGTCTTTTTAACAGTCTCCATTACTCCAAGATGTTTTTAGTTACTCTTGTATTATGATGTTAGAAAACCAAACCCAAGAAATTCATCTCTGTTAGATTACCTGCAGTACCTATAAATGTGGGTAAATTCCTTTGTTTTCAAGGTCTCAAAAGTCTTCTGAAACCATGGGCCTGCAAGAAAGCGACCTTACTTCCTGTAAGGCTGGGTCTCTATAAACCATGAAATAGACACCAGAACAGCTTCCTAGGAGGCTTTTTAGCATTGGTTTCATATGTGAAGTACAACTCTTGCTTTTTAATGGTTGACTAGTCATACATATTTAAATAAATTTATTGGCACTCTAAAAAAATAATTTGGAACTTGTCAATTAATTTGTAAAATTAATTGTCTGTTAAAAAGGTTTTATTGAATCTATGTAGGTAACTACATTGCCACTGAAAGAAAAGGGATTCGGTAAAAATAATTGTTGCTGATTACTGAAGGATCAATGACCATAAGATACTCTTTTTAAAATGTCCTAATAAAATAAGATTGGAAATAAAAGAGTTAAGAATAGATTAAGTAGCAGTATCCATCATATACCTATCAAAAATATAACATAGATGTGGAACACTTGCAGGGAACTAAAAAAAAAGAAAAGATATGATATCAAAACTAATGCTAACATTATTCCAATAAAAAATCACAGTTTTGTATTCTCATCATTTCATCATTTTTCTTTTTTTCTTTTTTTTTCTTGAGACAGAGTCTTGCTCTATCACCCAGGCTAGAGTGCAGTGGCGCAATCTCAGCTTATTGCAAACTACGCCTCCCGGGTTCAAGTGATTCTCCTGCCTCAGCCTCCTGAGTAGTTTGGATTACAGGCGCCCGCCACCACACCTGGTTAATTTTTGTATTTTTAGTAGAGACGGGGTTTCATCATCTTGGCCAGGCTGGTCTCGAACTCCTGACCTCGTGATCCACCTGCCTTGGCCTCCCAAAGTGCTGGGATTACAGGCATGAGCCACCATGCCCGGCCCATCATTTGTCTTAATTAAGTCTTGCCTCACTGGATATTGGGGAGAAGTCTAGTTTCAAGAGTTCATGTCTTTTCTGGACAGTCTGACAGTAGTCTAAGTAATGCCCACTCAGAAGCCATGTCTGCGTGAGTCCAGTCTTGGAAGTAACAATAAGTGTAGAAGTTTCTGGTAGAGTCCTTTCCACTAAATTTCTGAAACTATCCTTTTTTGATAAAGATCCATTTCTAGAGTTGTAGCTTATAGCAGAGGCTTCAGGCAAGTATAAGAGAAGGGCTGAGACCACTGGTTTATAAGAAGACAGACTGGCTGCAGTTAGTATAATAACTAACAAAATCAGAATGAAGGAAAGTAAAATTTTCTACTAGGGTATAATACATAATTGCCTTCTGAGGATTTGATCAATATTTCCCCTGAAGATAAGAATAGTCTATAAACAGTTAGAATTGTTAACAAATATCCAGGGCTTTCCAATCCATCCTGCCAAGTTGTAACAAGCTCTGAAACACACTTATCAGTAGGACTTTACCAGCACAGAACTAACCTAGGAACAGCTGAGCCTCATTTATTTAACCTTTTCCATGAAGCTGTCATGATAGCGTTGAACGAGTTAAGAAAAATAGACCACCCCAAAACTAATTATTTTTAGCCCCCCTCTTTTTATAAAGTTTAATTTAAAAAATCAATTTTTAATCTGGGAAGAACCTCAGAGGAACCACATAGTTTGTTTAGTGCAAAACGTTTTTAAGAAAAAAATTTTATGAATCTAAGATCTGATCTTGGGAAGGCAAAACTGAAACAACACAAGTGGATGGTTTCTAGTTCAGAGCATTACACAGGTGCTAGTGATCAGCGTATAGCCATAGTAGGTGGTTTGGCCCCTTATTAATAAGAGGCTCATGTAGCATTTAAAAATAAACCCAACAGAAGGTAACACCATCGTAGGAAAACTTAGCTTACTCAGAAGTAACTTTTATTCTTTGCTTGCTTGCTTACTTGTTTGTTTAATAATCAAGAACAGGCCAGGTACAAATGACTCATGCCTGTAATCTAGACACTTTGGGAGGCGAAGGCAGGAGGATTGCTTGAGGCCAGGGGTTCACAGTTACAGTGAGCTATGATCATGTCACTGCACTCCAGCCTTGGTGACAGAGCGAGAACCTGTCTTTAAAAAACAAACAAACAAAAAACAAACCAAAGTCAGCATAAAGCATAGAAAGTTATTTTGATGAGATATGTAATCTCTGCCATTTGAAATAACACAAAGGTAAAGGATAATTTACTACCTCTTAATAAGCACAGACTGAGGACTGCAAGTCCAACTTATCACATTTTAACAGAGGAAAAAATTTATAGTCTTGCATTAACACGGTATTCATGTGTTTTCTTTTTTAAAAAAATCTTACAAACAAACCTGTCAAAATTGAGCCAACTTTGCCAAAACTTTTAGCACATTGTGTTGCTTCTTTTCAGATTCATTTACCTTTAGGTATTAATCCAAGGCAAATAAAATTCTCTTTCTGCAAGCCTTCTATAAACCTTAAATATCATATCAGGTTTTTTCTTTACTACTTCTTTAACAAGATGCTCTCCTATAAGAAAGTCTACTCTTTCTCTTCCTTGCTAAATAATAACTCATCCCATTATTACCTAGATTCTACATTCATACTTCTCTGCCTCCACTTTACTTAGGATAGTCTCAACCACATAGAGTAATCATAACTTTTAAACAAAGTAATTAATTTCTCTTTCATGGAAAACTCTGGAAGACAGGACATTGAGAACTGTCTTTCGTACACTAGCATTTTAGCAGACCAGCAAAGCTCACAATGTGTGTGTGTGTGTGTGTGTGTGTATAGTATCTGCCAAAGAAGAATAGATCTTTGTCATTCCAACAGAGATGACAAAAAAAGTCAGTGCATAGAACCAGATCTCCATCCACTGCTGCCACAAAAGGAGAGTAACAGATTAGCTGTGCACAAGCCAGACTCACATGTACACAGGGTGGCGATCTCAGTAGAGACAGGCTGGGTATGTATTAATACTAGTCCCTGAACTTCAGTGAAAAAATAAATATGGACCAAACTTAAATTAGACAAGGCATAATTGGATGAATAGATGTAGCTCAGAACAGAAACAGAAACAAAAACAAAAACAGACTTGAAGAAGGGAAAAGAACAGAGAAACAGAGCCAGCAGGGTAAGTGTTTATTGCTGCTTGAGATTGTCTCCAAGAGCACAAGAAATACCTGGCATCAATCAGTGCAAAATTCAATAAGCCTAATTAATTTCAGAAGGGGAGTTTCCTGGGACATCTATGTGGAATCTCCAAAAATTGTCAAAGTACAATATTCAGTTAAAACAGATCTCCCAGCCTCATGAATATAACACATGTTAAAGATTTATTGAACTCATTATTAATGAAGGAATCAGCAGAAAGTTAAAGCTGGTTTAGTTCCTGCTTATGGTTTCAAATTGCTTTTCTCTAATCAACATCCTTTTAATACCGTCCTTTTTCTGTTTAAATTACCCAGATTTGGTTTCTGCTGCTTACACCTAAGAGACCAGCCTACTACATAAATTAGTACCATCACTGGTTCCAAATAACAGGCCTTGAGAGACAGAGAAAATTTGTGTGTATATTTTAGCCTTGTTAGAGCTGAGGGCAGTGAAAACATAGGTAAGAGATGGGACACTAGAAGCTAATGCTTGCCTTTAATCAAATTTCCTCTATGATACCCTGGAATAAAATGTCCCTTGAAGTCAAGGCTTTAGAGGAATGAAGGGAGGTATTGTCTCTAGAAGATTTAAAAGCTCTAATACAAACAAATGGAAGTTTGTTTGACTTTTATTACCATGTGCCTGTATACTCATTCACTAGCTTTTTTGGTCTGAAAAAAAGTAAGTGGGTTTTGGAAAATGACAAAGAGTAATTGTAGGTTTAATCAGGTAGTAACTCCTGTTATAGCTGCTGTTGAAAAAACAGTCATTGATTGGAGAAAGTCAACACAACCTCTGAAAACCAGTATGCAGCTTTTCATCAGGCAAATCTATTTTTCTCTATTTTAGTCAATATAGAACACCAGAAACACACCTTCAGGAGAGAACTGGAGTGCTCTACCATCTGCAGGACATGGCACTGTCTACTGCTCAGAGGAGACTGGGCTGACAGAGCTGGAGAGCCAGAAGTAACCCTCACCCACATGATTTAGTAGGATACGTGTGTGCCAGAGGGAAGGAAATAAAATTCATAAAATTCAGGAACCTACCCAATCAGTCAAGTCCTAGGAGGTTCAGCACACTGTGAGATACCCTCTGAATTAAGTGACATGTCGCTATCCTTTTTACCCCCTACCATTAAAAAAGGTCACTCGGTGGACCTCCTCAGGGTTTGGAAGCAACATTTGGTTTACAGTCCCTTGCGTTTACTAGATGAATTGAAAATTTTTGTATTTGAGTTCAGCCCAGAAAAAGAGATGACTTTTCTAGTTCATACTGCCAACAAGCAGCTCAGCCACTTGGTTCTTAAGTCCCAGAAGAACTAATTCACTGTATTCTGTGGACAAGTTGAAAATTAACAACTGCCAACACACCCTATAGACGTGGTGAGGTAAGAAATAGGAAAGAAAATTAAATATATATCTCTCATATATTCACACATATATAATATTATATATATTTACATATAGATTCATGTAATTTTTAATTCATTTTTTAAACTTAAAAAATATATAAGTTTACATACACACATATGTGTAGTATTAGGTTTGTGCAAAAGTAATTGTGGTTTTCTTGCGGGAATCAGGAGGACTAGAGAGACCACGGGGAAGAGCAGGATGATTTTATTGAGTGCAATCAGACCCAGTGGATGATCATCCAGAGACTGGGCCCAGAACAAAGACAGACTTGACTTGTATACACACTTCTAAAAGAGGGTGGGCTAGCCTGAAACAAGCTTACAGTGGCACAAAGCATAGTGGCATGAAAGCAAGGATACAGGGCAGAACAAAGGCAGTTAATCAAATTGTGACAGGTACATAACCCAGAATTACACATGACCTTTGCTATGCAGCCCAGATGGCTGTTATCTAGACTTTGCTCTAGTGCCTTGCACAGGCTTATCTCATAACCTTTGCTATGGTGCCCAGGGAGCTGTAGTTCAGGCCTGCTCAGACAGCTCAGGACCTTCACTGTACCACTTAGATAAAACAGAATATTTGAAGTTACTAGTTACAGAGAACAGGAATCTATAAACTCATACCATAAGAGAAAGGAAAATTTGTTTTTCTCCTCCCAAGGTTGAGGGAGTGCTGGGAGAGTCTCCAGAGCACATTCCTTTGAGCCCTGGCTTCCCAGATAGTGTTTATCGAGGCTTTTCCTGGGTCTGGGCTGTGCCTGTTGCTGCCCCTGGGATAAGTCAGCCTAATACAGGAAAGCTTATTTCTTTTTCTTTTTAATTTTTTTTCTTTAATTTCCACCTCAGTTTTCGCCAGTGCTTTTTATCTTGGTCTCTGCTGAATCCTCAAGACCTGAAACCAACACATAATTGGTGCTTGTTAAATATGTGTTGAAGGATTGCGATTGAATAAATTATTGATCAGATTTTAGCCAGGGCCAGATTTCAGTTTTAGAAACATTACTCTGGCTGTAATATGAAAGTTAGATAGAGGAGGTAACACTAGAGAGGAGACCAAGCAGGAAGTCGGTGGCAAACCCTGACAGTAGACACACAGCCACGGCTTCCAAGGTTTTGGACTAAAATCCCACCCTCTTCAGCAAATAACTAGTCTCATTCTGGAAAATGTCTACTGTCTTATTACTCCCCTTGAGGGAGGCTGAAAGCCTGACCTCGGGGTCCCCTGGGACCATGTGGCCCACACTTCTCATCATGAATGGGTCTTCTCTGGACCATCAAGCCATGAAGCAGGAGGAGCATAGCAAGACTGGATCCAATCTTACAGCACAAATAAGACTGCAGGATGTCAAGGATCAATGGACAAGGTGACCCACTCAGTGGACGTGTGACCTAGTCAGTCTCTTTCCCAGACACCCTGGTGTTTTCTCAATGTGTTCGTGAGCAAATGTCTGTGCAATAGGGATGGGGGTCCCACATGGCTCAGAAGAGCACAGGCCTCCTCTCACTGAGGCTGACCTGGCTGCTGCAGGCCTGAGTGTCCCATCAACCAATGGCAGGAAGCAGCCTGTGAACAGCTTGGATGTTAGCATATCTTGGAGGGGACAGTGATCTGCCCAGTGGGGTAGACACATCCAGATTTGGGTTTACCATCCTAGCTCATCGTGTTTCTGTTTGGGCCAGCACCTGTGGACTTATTGAGTGTCTCATTGGCCATCATGCTTTACCACACAACAATGCTTCTAATAAAAGAACTCTCATTGCAAGAAAAAAGTAGAGCAACTATATCTAATTGTCTACCGGACATCTCCTTTTGGATGTTTTGGAGGCACCTCATGCTCAACATAACTAAACACATGATCTTCTCCCAAAACCCAATCCCCTTCCACAATTTTCTAAGTGAATGGCACCATCACCAATCCAGGTACCCAAACCAGAAACCTTGACATCATCCTTAGCACCTCCCTCTCATCCTTCATATCTAATTATTTCCGAGTGTTATTAATTTTCCCTTCTAAATATTTCTTAAATCCATCCACTTCCCTCTATTTCCACCATTTGTGCTGGGTAGAACTTTCAAGAATACTTTAATTATGTTATTAAATAGGTACTGCCACAACTTTCACCCTCATCTCTTTCCCCTAGTTCCTGATAGTAGAGTCGACAGAAAGCATTTTGTGAGGTGCAGAAAGCATCTTTTAACCCTGAGGCAACAAGAATAAGGACAAAAGCCCCTATATACAGGAGGATGTGAAAGTAGAAAGACAAGATGTGCCCAGATTTCCAAGGGCTTGTTGCACTACCAGGATGTGCCTGGCCCGCCTGTCTCCATGCACAAAGCCCTCTTTGTATAAATTTCTGAATGTATGTAAGTAACTTCATTGTCACTTAAATGAGTGTCACCATAGCTCCCCACCAAGACTTTCTCTCTGAAAGCAGTGGTCATGTGGGTGCATGTTTTGCTCTTCTTAAGGAATTGGAATTTTGTTTTTGCTTCAAAAAAAAAAAAGCTGGCAAAAAAAGAGTGATGCTGATATACTGTTTGTCCCTTTGACTCAACCTAAAATGCTTCTAAAATCAACACTCAAAAGCAATACTAACCACTACCCTAATTCAATCAACATCAAAAGATAGGAAAAAATAAAACTTTATATCAAAAATTTCAAGACTGTTTGGGCATGCCATACCCATCTTAGCTTAAGTCTCAACCAATCTCCCTCTTCTTATCCCAACACATGCACACACAACATACACACAACACATACACAACCCCCAAACACATACCACACCATACACCACATATACATCACACTACATACACACCACACACAGAAAACACACTACATACACACTTCACACACACCACATACCACACCACATACACACCATACACATATACCCACCACACACAATGCATTACACCATACACTCACATACCACATACCACATACACACACACTACACACAGACCACATACCACATGACACACACATATCACATCAAACACGCATACATACATACATAAATCTTTTCCTCTGGATGATCCAGCTAGAGGATCTCACTAATCCCCTAAAAGCACTATCTCTCTTCACTAAGCTCTGCTTTGTCACTGTTGAAAGATATTTGTTTTTTGGCTCTGTCACCCAGCCTGGAGTGCAATGGGGCAATCTCAGCTCTCTTCAACCTCCGCCTCCCAGGTTCAGCAATTTTCCTGACTCAGCCTCCTGAGTAGCTGGGACTACAGGCACGTAGTCCCTGGCTAATTTTTTTTTCTTTTTTTTTGAGACGGTGTCTTGCTCTGTCACCCAGGTTGGAGTGCAGTGGCACGATCTCAGCTCACTGCAACCTCCACTCCTGGGTTCAAGCAATTCTCCTGCCTCAGCCTCCAGAGTAGCTGGGATTACAGGTGCCCACCAACATGCCCGGCTAATTTTTGTATTTTCAGTAGAGACGGAGTTCCACCATGTTGGCCAGGCTGGTCTCGAACTCCTGACCTCAGGTGATCCGCCCGCCTTGGCCTCCCAAAGTGATGGGATTACAGGCATGAGCCACCATGCCCGGCCTGTTGAAGGATATCTTGGTAGGTCAAAAAATCATTTACTGTAATGAAAATGAGATATGGCACAAGGATAAATTTGGAAGATTAATGTGGAGCCATAACCTCAAAAATATCATTACCTTTCATTCAATCCATAGTAGCAGTGACAGTTCTCACCGTTCACAATTCTCAGATGCATCCCAACCCTCAGATTTAGGTCTCTAACACTAATCTCCAATTCAAAGCTACAGGACTCTTCAATGAGTCCGTATGGAAGAAAAAACCCAGATGTTTCTTACGACACTATTTTTGTCATAAGAAAATCGGGGCAGAGCTAAAAGGTTGAAGTAGAAGGCAGCTTACTTCCCGTCAGCCAAGTTATGCCAATTTGAGAATGAGTTCAAAGCAAAGCTCAAAAGAGAAAAGTCAGCATAACATGCAGAAAAAAATTGGTTGTAATAATAAAATGAAAAGAATTGGTTTTAATTTTTAATGACTTTTAAATATATAACATATAAAATATAAAAATATTTTAAAAATGTATATAAATACAAATATAAAAATATTGAAGAAATCATGAATATATGAAAAGGTGATATGGAGATTTTGTTCTTCAATTAAGCATCTCTATATATTTCAAACTGTATATGTATTTGTTTCTGCCTATGTAAACAGGAAAGGGTGAACAAAAACATGTGAGCGAACCAAACAATCCCAGAAAAGTAGGAACCCTGCCAAGAACAGGAAGATCTGATCAGCTCTGCTGATTTTATACAACAGGCAGAGAGAGGAAGGCCCAGCACATGTGGGTTCTCATAGTAAGATCAATTACAAAGAGAGGCCGCAGGAGGCTTCCAAAAGGACATATTCACCAAATGTTCTAGAGAAGAAAACTACCCAGAAAAACTCAATCTCCTACTTTCTAGGGAAGGAAAATTTCTACTAATTATAGCTACTAATTTTAATAAAATACTAATGATAAACACTTGTATTTTTAAAATATCAGGAATCTATGTCTATATACCAAAATGTACAGCTATTCTCAAAAACTTAAAGGATACCCCATTTGAAGAAAGACACATCTCAAAAACTGAGAATCTTCATAAAAGGCAAGGACCTGCGAGTTCCATAATGAAATGAGTACGTTTTTATAAAACAGACTCAGCCTGTTATCAACACTTGGGTTTGAATTTCTTGGATGTTGCCACTCAAAAACTTGTGATTTCTACCAAAGAACCTGCAATGTCAGCTATCCTGCAATAACCTTCATTTTTCTTTGGGTCCGGTAGGGTTACAAAAATCATAAGCTAGTAATAAAACAATGGCTGGCAGGATTATTGAAACCCCTAGAAAATGTAAAAAATAAAACCCTAGGAATGTGCAGGATAAGAACAAAAAGTAATATTTTATCTCTTCTGCTCATAATCATTTTGGTATAACATCTTTAATTGGTTTTGTAAACTTTGCAATGTTTTATACATTTGTGTTTCTTATGGGATTTAAAGTACTTATGAATCTTCATTTAAATTAAAATGTAAAGGCCTTTAATTAAATGTTTAATAAATGTTTAAATATTTGGTGGAATCTAATTGGTAAAACTCATAAGACTTTTTTTTATTACTTGTGTAAGTGCCATGTAATCCTTTAGGGAAATGTCACCTTTTTAAAAATGGCAATTGATTGGCAGGGTACGGTGGCTCACGACTGTAATTCCAGCATTATGGGAGGCTAAGGTGGGTGGATCACCTGAGGTCAGGAATTCAAGACCAGCCTGGCCAACATGGTGAAACCCCATGTCTACTAAAATTACAAAAAAATAGCCAGGCGTGGTGGCACATGCCTGTAGTCCCAGCTACTCCACAGGCTGAGGCAGGAGAATCACTTGAACCCAGGAGGCGGAGGCTGCAGTAAGCTGAGATTGCACCACTGCACTCCAGCCTGGGTGACAAGAGCGAGACTCTGTCTCAAAAAAAAAAAAGGCAATTGATTAATAAATTTAAATTATTTATTAATTGAACATTAAACAACCATTAAGAACATATTTTCTTCAAACATTAAAGCTCCTAGGAAGTTAAACAATCTGTCAACCTCCTTCTGCTCTGAGTCTCATGGCCTCAGTAGCACTAGATCCAGTCTCAGTTAAGGTGACCTAATTACTACAGATGATTTGACTCAGTAAAAATACATTGAACATATATTGTACACCACATCCAATGTGCTGGCATGTGTAACCCATAACTCGAAACACCTGCTCTCTTGACCAATACCAGTTATACCACAGGAATAACTGTAGTTCACATCTCTTACCCTATGTCTAGAAATAAAGTAGGGTATAGAGTGATGGATTCTGCTATGGAGTATGCCAGAGAGACAGCTTCAGACATCAATGAGGACTTGCGAGGTAGAAGTGCTTAAAAAGAGAAAAGAAAAATCTATTTGCCAAATCGTTCCTTCCTCACAGCATTAAACTAATAAATGTTTGCATCATGAAGCACCACGTTCCAGCAGCATCCATTTACTTGCTTCTGTTCATGCTCCAAAACATGTTTTAGAGGCTTTCACAAACTAGTGTGAGATGTGCAGCAGTTGCACATAGTAGTAGCTAAGAAATACTTTTCCACATTGAACAATTCATTTTTTTCTTAAAACTATATCTAATAGGTGTAGATGTAATATGTCAATTACTTATCTAGACAACTAAAGCAAGATGGAACACTATAATTATAAATTGTGTTATTTTCATTAATATATGTAGTAAGATTTAATTAAAATTACAAAACATTGTTTCAGCTTAGACCATCTTGATTCTAAAATCTCACCAATTGTACATATAATTTATTATTTAATTTTATTTTACCTTTTATTTTAACAAGATATCCCAAATACGTTAGTGAAAAATAACTTTTTAAAAATGAAATTATAATTTTTATATTTCCCTTTATTATTTATTTTAATTATAGATAGATATAAATATATTTAAAATCCAAACAGTCTGAACACAATTATATTTTTTAATACTAAATCATTGAGAATAACTACAAGTCAAGAATATGGTAGGAATTGATCATCTGGATTTCATAATATAAAACAAATCTTATATAATTTTTTCATCTGTGTAATGATAGACTTGATCAAACATGTATCAAAGGGGTGGGGGATGGGAGTTGAACAATGAGAACACGTGGACACAGGGAGGGGAACAACACACACTGGGGCCTGTTGGGGGAGGTGGGGTAGTGGGAGGGAGGGAGAACATTAGGAAAAATAGCTAATGCATGCTGGGCTTAATACCTAGGGGATGGGTTGATAGGTACAGCAAACCACCATGGCACACATTTACCCATGAAACAAACCTGCACATCCTGCACATGTACCCCAGAACTTAAAATTTAAATTTAAAAAAAGGAGATGGGGGAGGTAAAAAGAAAAAGATATGTAAGAACATCTTCAAAGAAATGGTTAGCTTAAACTCAAAATCTGAAAACAATGGGAGAAACTAGACTTTAAAATCTTTCATAAAAATTTAATTACTGGTGAAAACAATGAAAATAAGCAAGAAAAATATTATCAAATGCACAGCTTAATCAGTTCAGACAGAATCCCTGCAACTTCACATTCTTTATTAAATGAAGAAGTAATTACTGATCATAACACATCACTTGCACACATAAAATTATTTAACTGAAAAGACTGAACAAATGGTAGTCAATCAATAGTATTAAAGGCAAGAAAACACCAACAGAAAACACCGATGTGATGTTCTTAAAACAGTAATATTTTATGTCTATTTAATCAAGTATAATGATGCTTATCTGGAAATAATAGCAAAATAGTTAAAGAAAACAAACAATGGGAATTTTCTAGACTCTTCTAAAGCCGCTCGTGATGGCAGCACAAGGGTACAGTTGAGGCAGGAGCACAAGTCTGTGTTTCTACCACTCAATATGGCAGAGACAGCGATTTTCTCATGAGACGAATTGGTAGCTGGGTATGAGCTGTCTTGAAGGAACTCAATACAAGAGGGCTACTGGAGCTGGAAGACTCCGGGAGGAATTTGCTGTAGGGTAGGCTACTGAGGGCTGAAACTTGAGGGGTCACAAAGCGTCAGTAGGTGTGGTAGCCAGATTCCAAGACTGCCCCCAAAATCCCTGCCTCCTACGATTCACACCCTGTGTAGTCCCCTCCCGTATTATATCAGACCTGACCATTATAGCAGAAATGAGAGCATGTCACTTTTGAGACTGAGTTATAAAAGACACTATACACAGTATTCCCCACCCCGTCTATCCACGGAGGATCTGTTCCCCAGTGGAAAACCTTCGGTGGATGCCTGAAACTGCAGATAGTACAGAACCCTACATACGCTATGTTTTTGCCATCTGATAATTGACCCAGCTACTAAGTGACTCATGGCTGGGCAGCACATACAGTGTGAATCCACTGGACGCAAGAATGATTCATGTTCCAAGCAGGATGAAGCAGGACAGTGCAAGATTTCATTATGCTACTCAAAATGGCATGCAACTGAAAACTTACAAAGGGTTTATTTCTGAAATTTTTCACTTAAGAGTTTTGGCCTGCAATTGGCAGTGGTAACTGAAATTACAGAAAGCGAAACCCAGTTAAGAGGGTACTACTGCATATCTACATATCTATACTTCTATTTCTATCTCTATCTCCAATCTTTATCTCTCAGATCACTCCTCTAAGTAAAACCAGCTGCCATGTCATGAGCAACCTTATGGAGAAATCCATAATGTGATGAACTGAAGCCTTCTGCCAGCAACCACCTGAATGAGCTTGGGTTTCTGTTTATATCCTCCAGCCTCAGTTAAGCCTTAAGAAGACTGTATCCCCAGCTCAGCTTGAATGCAACTTCATGTACCAACTAATCTGTTCCAAATTCCCAACTCTCAATTATATGAGAAAGCAAATCTTTGTTGTCTTAAATTGCTACCTTTAGGGATAATTTGCTATGCAGCAATAGATAAGTAGATTAGACAGATAATTCCTCAAGGAATTGTGCAGGATGGATAGATAGCCTTACAGGAGCAAAGAAAGAAATCACTAACATGCTTTACAAATTATTCACCTGTTGATGGACACTTGGGTCACTTCCATTTTTTGGCTATTACAAATCATGCTGCTATGAACATGGGTGAACAAATCTCTCTTCAAGTCCCTGCTTTAAATTCTTTTGGGTGTATACCCAGAAATGGCATTGCTGAATCATATGGTAATTCTATTTTTAATTTTTTTAGGAACCACCATGCTGTTTTCCATAGAGACTGCACCGTTTTACACTTCCATTAACAGTGCTTCATTCCAATTTCCCACATTCTCACCAATACTTGTTATTTTGGGTTTTTTTCTAATAGTAGCCATCCTAATGGGTATAAGGGGTTATATGGTTTTGATCTGCATTCCCCTAAATATTAATGATGTTGAGCATATTTTCATGTGCTTATTGATCATTTTTACATCTTCTTTGGAGAAATGTCTATACAGGTCCTTTGCCCACTTTTTAATCAAGTTTTTTGGTTTTCTTGTTTTTGAGTTGTAGTTCTCTATATATTTGGAATATTAACCATTTATCGTATATAGGATTTACAAACATTTTCTCCCATTCTGTGGACTGACTTTTCACTTTGTTGATTGTGTTTTTTGATGCACAGAAGTTTTTAATTTTGATGTAGACTAATGTATTTATTTTTTCTTTTGCTGCTATACTTTCAATAGTTTACCAGCCTTTGATCTACATGATCAACATGAGTGAAGAGAGACACTAAGAAAAAGAGGTGTTATCAGTGATGAAATAAAAGTTATTGAAACCTAAGGATGAAATGAACAGGTAAACTAAATCTGTATTGAATAGGATAAGGAATATCAATCTTAAAACCTTGAAGATTAAAAAAATGTTAACTGTGGGCCAAGTGCAGTGGCTCACGCCTGTAATCCCAGCACTTTGGGAGGCTGAGGCGGGCAGATCACAAGGTCAAGAGATCGAGACCATCCTGGCTAACACAGTGAAACCTCGTCTCTACTAAAAATACAAAAAAATTAGCCGAGCATGGTGGCGGGCGCCTGTAGTCCCAGCTACTTGGGAGGCTGAGGTAGGAGAACGGCATGAACCCGGGAGGCAGAGCTTGCAGTGAGCCAAGATCGTGCCACTCTGGGCAGCAGAGCGAGACTCTGTCTCAAAAAAACAAAAAAAAAGTTAACTGTATTAGTCCTAGTTCTTCAGAGAAACAAATCCAATAAGATAGATAGATAGACGATAGACAGATAGATGATAGATAGATAGATAGATAGATAGATAGATAGATAGATAGATAGACAGATATAAAAGGAGATTCATTATGGGAATTGGCTCACATAGTTACAGAGGCTGAGAAGTCCCACAATATGCCATCTGCTAGCTGGAGAATCAGGAAAGCTGATGATGTGTGACTCTAAAGGCCAGAAAAGCCAATGGTGTAACTCAGTCAAAGGCTGCTAGTCTGGGTCCCAGAGTCTGAAGGTCTGAGAACCAAAAGCTCCAATGTCCAAGGGCAGGAAGAGATGGGTGTCCCAGCTCAAGAAAGAGGAAACCCCTTCCTTCATCCACCTTTTTGTTCTATTCTGGCCCTCAACGAATTGGATGACACCTGCCCACGTTGGTGAGGGTGGATCTTCTTTACCCAGTCCACTGATTCAAACGTTAATCTATTCCCAAAACACCCTCACAGACACACCTAGAAATAATATTTTGCCAGTTATCTGGGAATCCTTTAGCCCTTTTGGGTTGATGTCTGAAATTAACCATCACATTAACTAATATTCACTTTATTAAGTCAAAACATCTCAGTGTGTGCATTGTGTTTAAAGGACATCTTAATACAGGATCATCTATAGCTCTGCACATGGCTCAAACTGGGCATGAACATAGAATTCCCACACAGTGAACTTAACATAAGATATTCAGAACAGAGGGGCCATGGCCAGCCCATTAAATTCCACAATTCATTTGCTAAGAGCCTAGAAATCTTATGAAGCACCTAATTTCTTTTTCTGAATAATAATAATATTTCCATTTCTAGAAAAATCTATTAATTCTGTGATCCAGATTACTGTTTCTAACATAATGCACCTATTAAATGAAACATAGTCCCTTGAATCTTTGGCAATAAATGCACCATCTGAAAGGAAATACCAATTCTAAACTCCAAGCCAAAGGAACATATGCAATGCTTACATTGTTTTTGGTATGCTTCAATTCTACCTTTTAAGTTATGAAGCTGTTTGAAATTCTAGTTCACACATAAGAAGATTCTAGGCCATCAGTGCAGCAAATACAGAATTTCCTCATCATTTAGGAAATTAAATCTATTAACATTTAGGGAAAAAAACTTTATATGAGCATTTGCCTGAAATTCAGGTGGTATTGAAACATTTCCTGCAATGAGAGAGAAAATAACACAGAAAATAAATGCTGCTTTAGTGACTTAAGTAATAATTGCATGCCGTCCCCTGGAGTGTTTTCTGTCCTTAGGAGCAGAACCCTATTGCACTTTGTTGGAGTGGAATGAGAGTAGGGATAATATATAAATACCTTTTAAAGAGGATCTAATAAAGTCACAAATAACAGAGTCAAATGGAGTACTAAGGGAAAGTAGGATCATTCAGACTAATCCTGTAACTTTGAGATTGACATCGAAAGCTTCAGATGTTTAAGTGGTTATTTCCTTGTTTGTGAAAGGTTTTGTTGGGAAAAGGCCCCCCAAAATCTGGCCATAAACTGGCCCAAAAAATGGCCATAAGCAAAATCTCTGCAGCACTGTGACATGTTCGTGATGGCCATGACACCCACGCTGGAAGGTTGTGGGTTTACCGGAATGAGGGCAAGGAACACCTGACCTACCCAGGGTGGAAAACCACTTAAAGGCGTTCTTAATCCACAAACAATAGCATGAGCGATCTGTGCCTTAAGGACATGCTCCTGCTGCAGATAACTAGCCAAACCCATCGCTTTATTTCAGCCCATCCCTTTGTTTCCCATAAGGAATACTTTTAGTTACTCTATAATCTATAGAAACAATGCTTATCACTGGCTTGCTGTTAATAAATAAGTGGGTAAATCTCTGTTTGAGCTTCTCAGCTCTGGAGGCTGTGAGACCCCTGATTTCCCACTCTACACCTCTATATTTCTGTGTGTGTGTCTTTAATTCCTCTAGCGCTGTTGGGTTAGGGTCTCCCCAACCGAGCTGGTCTTGGCAGGTTTGAGGGTGGCTGGAGACATGTACTAGAAACAATATACTGGACTGTCTGAATCATGAGTTTGATCCAAAGCGGTGCTTCCAATGTATATGTTTCCATGTGTGTCATGCATAAACATACACACACATCATTATGCTAATATATACATGTCTAGGCACTCACATGTACAACTGTGCATATCAATATTATTTTCTAAAGAGAAGAATTGTGTTTTCTTTTTCAAGATGTGAGAAATGTCCATTTTTTGCTTTTGCCCCAAATTTTTACTGTTTATAAAGTTTTACTACAGCTAAGGAATTTTGCAATGCCTGAGTAATAAGACAGATTATTACTAGCCATACTAACTTGGAAACCCCCTAGATGTTTCTCTTAAAACTTTGGTTTGGGGTGGTCAGATGTGGAAAGAAAAGGGGAAGAAATGCAGAAGATGTGAAAAGGAGTCTGATGGGAAAGTATGCCTTTCTGTATTCTACTACTAACTAAATCATGTTTCTCAAACTTTGGATACTTTTTTTTCCAAACATGCTTCTCAAACTTTAGAAACTTGAGAAGCTTTTTTCAAAATATACGTGTACAGCCCACAACACTGGAGATTCTTTCATGGAGTCTGGGGCAAGAATCAGCAAACTTTTTCTGTGTAAAGATTAGAGAGTAAATATTTTAGACTCAAGGCCATATAATATTTGTCAAAACCACTCAGTTCAGCCGTTGTAGGGCAAAAGCAGCCATAGACCATATGTTAACAAATGAGCATGACTGTGTTCCAATAAAATGCCATTTACAGGACAGATTTGGCCTCCAAGCTGTAGTTTGCCCACCTGTGGTGTTCAGTGACACCCAGGAATACTATACTTGGAAAAGTGTTATGCATCTATAAAATTCTCATTAAAATTTATTTTTAAAACTTACCAAAAACTCAACAGGAAAGTTATAAAGGGTTAGAATAGGCAGTTCCAAAACTAGAGAGAGATGAGAGAGAGAGAGAGAGAGACAGAAGGAGGGAAGGAAGGAAGGAAGGAAGGAAGGAAGGAAGGAAGGAAGGAAGGAAGGAAGGAAGGAAAGGAGGGAGGAAGGAGGGAGGGACCGGGTGCAGTGGCTCACGTCTGTAATCCCAGCACTTTGGGAGGCCAAAGCAGGTGGATCATCTGAGGTCGGGAGTTCGAGATCAGCCTGGCCAACATGGTGAAACACCATCTCTACTAAAAAATACAAAAATTAGCTGGGCATGGTGGCAGGCGCCTTAATCCCAGCTACTTGGGAGGCAGAGGCAGGAGAATCATTTGAACCCAGAAGGTGGAGGTTGCAGTGAGCAGAGAAAAAGCCATTGCACTCAAACCTGGGGGACAAGAGAGAGACTTCTCTCAAAAAAAAAAAAAAGGAAGGAATGAAGGAATGAAAAGAAAGAAAGAAAAAGAAAAAGGAAGGAAGGAAGGGAAGGAAGGGAGAAAGAAAATGATTTTATAAAGGAAGGAAAAAATGCTAAACATAATTTTTTAAATGCAAGCTAAAACAAGACACCATCTTTTACCTAATAAATTGGCAAAAACTAAAAAGTCAGATAAGACGCAATTTTGTGAAGCCATGGGGAAGCCAGCACCCTTAGTATGAGGATAGGATAATACAACTTCAGAGGGCAGTTTGGACACAAATTATAAAATTACAGGGCACAAATATTTATGTATAAAGAGGGATTATAATAGCAATATATTGGAAACAATCTAAAAATCCTCCAAGAGGGACATGGTTGAAAAATTACCGTATATCTGTTAAGTCGTATGCTACATAAGCACTATAAAGAATAAGGTAGACCAGTATGCTGACCATAATATTGGTTAACCCCCCAAAACTATTCTCACTTTTTCTTCGGTGGGGCTGCCCCGACTTAAGATGACTTTTTTCAAACTTTTTGCAGCTAAATGTAGCCAATTACCTGAGTTCTCACCAAATGGAAATGAATGAAATTGGTATGTTCATCTTCCAGTTCCTCTTCTGAAAGATGTTTACTTTCAAATCACCTTTCCTTTTTCTATGTCTTTAGCAGCTGTGGAAGCTATGATTTGAAGACAATTGCTTGACTTCACTCAAATGCATCCCTGAATGATTTCCTGGAACAGAACCTGCACTGTACTGCACTGTAATATGTGAGAGAAATAAATATCTATCCTATTTAAACCAGGGCATTTTGGCTTCTCTTTGCAGCAGCTGGGCACTTGCCCTAAATAATACAGAAATGTGCATAGTGCTGCCATAACTGAAACCTAAGATGTGGCATTGGTACAATGAGAGAATCACAGGTGATGGGGACGTGGGTATTTCAGGCTAAAATGTTGACCACCCTTGTTCTATTGTCAAAAAACATTTGGCAAAGCTATTACCTACAATAACTGGAGAAGCAGATCGCTTCTCCTATTGCTTCAAATGAAGCTATTGGAAAGAATCCAAATGTCAATCTGTGTTGGCTTCTCTTTGCTGTCTATAAACAGGTTTTTAAAAAAGTGATCAACTAAGACAAGAATTGACAAGTTTGCAAGCAGAGCTGGAAGAAAGTAGAGAGCATCCAAAAAGAAGAGACTTGTTAAGGGTTGAAAAGCCAACTGATACGTAAAGAGGCTTATAATAGCACTTAATTGAACCAGAGCTGCAAGTGATAAAACCAGTACTCACGCCCTTTCTCAAAGGCCTGTTAAGACTCCTCAGCCACACAGAGAGGAAGCCTCAGGCAAAGAACAAATCCAGGGTGTTGCCTTTCTACCCAAGCCAATTTTTTTTTTTTCAGATAGCTTCAAGGTACCTACGATTCAAACAGGAAAGAAAAGTGTGTCAAACCTACAAGCCAGGAAATAGGTCAGCCTGAATATCCACGTGCAGAAAAGAACATTGAGAGTGGTCAGTGGCCCAGGTACTGACTGGAAGTAAGCAGACCCAAAGCCAACTGAGTTCTTAATCAGAAGCAGTGTTTTGGTAAAAAACCCTGGTGAATAAGACATTCAATAAGTCACATGAGTATGATGGGCTCAGAAGGCAAACCCAAATCTGGATGTGTCTCCCCCATTGAGGACAAATCACTGCCCCCTCCAAGATGTTCACGGGCTGCTTCCTGCCATTGACTGACGGGACACTCAGGCCTGCAGCAGCCAAGTCAGCCTCAGTGAGAGGAGGCCTATTCTTCTGAGCCATGTGGGACCCCTGACCTTACTGCACAGACATTTGCTCACGAGCACATTGAGAAAATGCCAGAGTGTGAAACTGAGTAGGTCACATGTCCACAGAACAGGTCACCTTGTCCATTGATCCTTGACATCCTGCAGTTTTATTTGTGCTGTAAGGTTGGATCCAGTCTTGCTATGCTCCTCCTGCTTCATGGTTTAATGGTCCAGAGAAGACCCATTCATGATGAGAAGTATGGGCCACATGGTCACAGGGCACCCCAGGGTCAGGCTTTTAGCCTCCCTCAGAGACCACTAATAAGCCAACAGATGTTTTCCAGAATGAGACTAGTTATTTCCTGAAGAGGGTAGGATTTTAGTCCAAAACCCTGGAAGCCATGGCCGTGTGTCTACTGTCAGGGTTTGCCACCAACTTCCTGCTTGGTCTCCTCTCTAGTGTTACCTCTTCCATCTAACTTTCATATTACAGCCAGAGTGATGTTTCTAAAACTGAAATCTGGCCCTGGCTAAAATCTGATCATTAATTTGTACATCTTTAATAAGCATCAATTATGTGCCTGTTCTAGGTCTCGAGAATTCAGCAGGGACAAAGTAGAGGGCCCTTGTTTTATCCTTTGAATCTGTAAAAGAAGCTAACCTCATAATGTGACATGAGGGGCACTAGCCCTGCAATGGCGGCAAAATTTCACCATTAGACTTTCATTCTTTGAACAAAGCTGTTTATCTTATTCTAAAATGCAAATGTGCTTGAGCACAGTAAAGCTTTGTCATTCATGGTCATAAACAATTTTGGGTAAATTTATTTATATGATGAGTTCCAATATGACAACCCAAGCTTATCTAGATGAGTTTTGTGGCATCCTTGATAGGGGCTTTTATAGACAGGAAAAATTACTAAGGGGATACTGTGATTTTCTTAAATTAATACTTTATTTATTAAAATTACAAATTTAAATTCCTCATTATTCCTTGAATTTTTAAGTCCAACTCATAAACCTTATTACTTTGTTTATGAATCTGGCAACTTTTAACCATCACTTTTAAGTGGCCTTTTATACTTTAATTGAATTAGTTTAAATATTTAAAAACTTGATTTTTTTTACCCTTTTTGAATACTTCAATTGTGCAACAAAAAAGTTCAAGAACTGTAAGATATCTAAGCCTTTACCCTACCTGGAAACTAACTAATTGACTTGTCAGTGTTTCTTAGATGCTGGCAGAAGACATGAGACTCTTGGATCAGAGACAAAGGGCTTTAATACTCACAGCAATAGCTTTAACCAGAGTGTCATTCTTTTGCATCAGTCCACTTTTTGTTAGGTCTGGAATAGGACCCAAATACAATGTGATGAATAAATTTAATGTGGTACCCTAAATGGGATCCAGGTACAGAAAAGAAAAAAAAGGACATTAAGTAAAAACTAAATAAAGCATGGACTTTAGTTAACAATAATGTATCAATTAATTTAGTTCATTATTTATGACAAATGTACTATACTAATATAAGATTTTAACAATAGGGGAAACCAGGCGTGGGGTATATATATGAGAACTCTCTGTACTATCTTCATAATTATTTTGAAAATTTGAAAATATTCTTAGTTTTTTTAAGTTGAGCAAGTGAAAAATATTAGATAAAACGACAATACATATTGTACTTGAATTTAGAAACATTGTGAAAATTATAGCCAAATGACTGAAGTTTGGGAACACTGGTTTTGAGAATAACAGGGATGGCTGAACTATGCTGAACCCTTGATCCTTCCCACCAGTGTGACAGGAAGATGTGTGATTACACCACAGTACTATCTACCCACAGCTTACAATTTCAGATGGTTATTCCACAGCACTAAGTAGAAGACTCTTTCATGAACCATCCTGAGAATGGGCAGGCACTAACCACCAAAAGCAGAGCTGAAACTTCTCTGAGAGTGAGACATGTCTTTCTTTAGAGGAACTGGGGCTTCTTGGTGGCTGGGTTCTCAGGGGATTTCTTAGTGGAGAGTTACTATAAACATCTAAGCTCTGGTTTACCACAAAGGTTTGGCCCTTCAGACACCTGGTGTCTTTTAGCAGCACCCTCAGCAAACATGAGTCCTTGTCTACAGATAAGACCTCAGGCTCAGAGAATAGGGATTGGAAGCTGAGGATCACACCACTGATGGCCCATTCTCAGGAGCCCTCTACCATCTCTCTTCTCACCCTGTTCACAATCACCTAGGGATTGTAGCACTTGTCCCCCTCCCCAACTTCAACACCCAAGGTCCCAAAGTGATAGACAGAGTGCCAACATTCCTTATCTGTAAAATAGAGGATAACAGGAGAGAGATGGTCTACATCAGCAAGTCTGGAGTTTTAGCCTATGCAATAATTGTCTGGAAGGCTTGTGAAAACACAGGGAACTGGGCCCCACCTCCAGAGTTCCTTTTTCATAGAGTCAGTAATTTGCATTTCTAACAAATCCCAGGTGACACTGATGCTCTGGTTGGGAGCTGCACTTTGAGAACCACTGGTTTAAATGATCTCAGGGGCATCTTTCAACTTTCATAGTCATTAAATCCATGTGTCTCAGACTCATGTGATCATGAGACTCACCCAGAGTCTTGGTTAAATGCACAGATCAGCAGGCCCCACCCCAAACTTTCTGACTCAGAATTACAAGATGAGCAGCCCAGGTGATTCTTATGATCAGAGGAATTTGGGAATCTTTATAATACCAAAAGCCAGCGCACCATCAGTGAATACGGTCTTTGAGCAGGACATGGTGAGAAATTGAGGGCATTCAAACATGGCACACAGGCCCAGGAGAAATGAGTAAAGCTGAAGGAGGGGGTGAGAAGGGATCAACAGGGTCAAAGTTTTGCCCTGACCCTTGCCCATGGCACGCATAGCACTGCAAAAATCATCTCAACCACTGGACATGAGCCTTTGCTACTCCACTGTCCATTAGATGGGGAGGGAAGGAGGCTCAAGGGGATACAAATGGCCAAGGTGATGCTGGGTCAAAGGGCAACTTCAGAAGGTCATAAATGTAACATTCATTGAGTGTTTTGGCCTTAAATTCATTTATATGATGAGTTCTAATATGACAGCAGCCTAAGCTTGTCTATGAGTTTTATGGCATCCTTGACAGTCGCATTTGTACACAAACAGGTCAACCCACGAGCATGGTGTACTGGGAGGGCTGGAAGGGCTAGAATGGCAGTGCCCATCAAAATACAGCTCAAAGACCCCAGTCATTTTCCCAACAGAAAACAATACCCAATTAAGCTGGAAGCAAGAAAGGGCATAGTGTCTGTAGTTAAGGGGTTGCTTGCCCGTGGACTTCTGAAATCCTGTAATTCTCCCTGTAATACCCTCATTTTGACCATTTTGAAGCCTTTGGGGGAATACCATATGGTACAGGAGCTCAGGGCAATGAATGAGGTCGTGATCCCAGCCCACCCATTAGTGGCAGATCCACGTACTCTTCTGACTCGAGTGCCGGGGAATGCAAAATGGTTTTAAGGTTTTTTGGTCAGATGCCTCCTGGGTTGGACTACATACAAGAAGGTCATCTACATGTTGGAGTATACTCCCACTTTCTAATTGAAAATTCCTCAGATCCCTTTCTAGGGCTCAGGCAAAAAAAAAAAAAAAAAGGAGCTGTCCCAAAAGCCCTGAGGGAGTAATTTCCAAGTGTATTGTTTTGTTTTTCTCTGCCATTCAAAAGGAAAAAGGTATTGAGACTCCAGGCTCAGCGGGCTTAAGTGGTGTGACCAATGTCAGAGGCTATAATAGTTGCAGAATAAGGACTAAAACCTCTTCTAATCCCTAGACCAATGAGTTTCTTCCAGAGAGTGTTATTTGAAGGTAACGTCATCCATTTCGTTAAACTATTTTACCTATGAGTCCCAGAAAATGAAATTCCGTCATTAAGATATTCATTCCTTTGAGCCTTTTAACATCAGTGTCAGATGTCTCTTTTAAGATAAAAATATTTTAAGCCTCTATCAACTAATACATCAATGTGGTTAAACAAAGATGTAGCAGAAAGCTGGGCCTAATGTAGTAGTTAATGAGAGGCATGCCACCACCATAACCCCAACCTGCCTGGCAGGAAGTCGAAAGAGTAAGAGGAGAAAGAATCATGAGTAGGGAGACAGGCCTTCTCAATGGGTGTTTGGGAAGTTCCAGGGCCAGGAGGGCATTATAACTCCTGCTTCTCAATTTTGCCTATGTAGTCCCCAGAAAATACTAGTTGCTTTGAATTAAACAGAAACAGTATTATCTCAACTGAAAGCAATCTGAGGCTTTAGTTTGGCCTAAATTCTTCTCTTACAGACTTCTTTTATTTTTTTTAAGACAGAGTCTCACTCTGTCGCTCAGGCTGGAGTGCAGTGGCACAATCTCAGATTACTGCAGCCTCCATCTCCCGGGTTGAAGTGATTGTCCTGTCTCAGCCTCCTGAGTAACTAGGATTACAGGCGTGAGCCACCACGTTTGGCTAATTTTTCTATCTTTATTAGAGACGGGGTTTCACCATGTTGGCCAGGCTGGTCTTGAACTCCTGAACTCCAGTGATCCACTCACCTCGGCCTCCCAAAGTGCTGAAATTACAGACATGAGCCATGGTGCCCAGCCTCCTCTAATAGATTAAGGGGCAGAAAGAATCTTCTTATAGAGAAAGACACTATCCCGTGATGGCAACCCAAGATGCCCTATCTAAAAGAATGATTTCAAAATGACACTATCCAAAAAAGAAGGCTTAGTCAGGATAAGAATCAAGGCCTTTTCTCTTTTTTCTCTGAAAGTCAGGATTCTGGGCAGTGTCATTTTTCCCTGGTGATAACCCTCCTTTCTTTCCTGCCACGTCATGGGGCTGCTTTAAACCAGAGACCCAAGGATAAGGTTGTTAGAAAATTGGAGAGTGGCAGTGAAAGAGCAGATGCTCCCGCCTTATAAATTAGCAGAAGATTATGCACGGCCAGCTGTACCATGGAACTGCCCAGGTTTTATACCACACCGTGATCCTCTGTGTTTATCATATGGTCCAGCATCTGGTCAATTCTGTCCCCAGCTCCCATATATCTATTCAAATCAAGCTTCGGCTGGGGATTTATTTATGTATATAGCTTCAATCTCAATCAGGATCCCTCCTGAGGTCTTAACTTGCAACACGGCAGGGAATTAACCCAGCAAGTCCTTTGTATCACAACTCTAAGTTACTCATTCACCTGAAGGTAACCTTTTTTTTTTTTCATGCAAGGTTTAGGAAGTGAGGGGGTGGCCAAATGAGGAAGATATGTATGTGTGACGAGAGAGTCAGAGAGAGAGAGAGAGAAGCCTCCAAGTGTTTATACATCAACAAAACCAGACATGGATACTCTGAAATAAGGTAAAAGTAACGTACTGTATGCCTTGAATAAGAAAAAAGGGAAAGAGATTTTCCTGTGTTTAAAAAATCTTGGGCTAAACCTGAAGTTATATAAAAGTTTCCTAAGCATTTTTCTCCTTTGTAACAAGATAGTATTTCCAAGAAGAAAATCCACTAATTGATTTCTTGGCATTGAGTGTTTGCCTGGGGTGTCTTTTTCCATTTATTTTAACAGGTAGATATATGGGCCTGTCATTGTGGTTAGGCCAAAAGAAAGTTCTCATTCTCCTCTCACACCATGCATCAAAACAAATTCTAGATTAACCAAAGAATTAGACTGAAAAAACTCAAACCAAAAATAAACTTAGAAGAAAGCACTTTGCAGGCCGGGTGCGGTGGCTCACGCCTGTAATCCCAGCACTTTGGGAGGCCGAGGCGGGCGGATCACAAGGTCAGGAGATTGAGACCATCCTGGCTAACACGGTGAAACCCTGTCTCTACTAAAAATACAAAAATTAGCCAGAGAG
The DNA here is from genome assembly GCF_000001405.40 of Homo sapiens. Taxonomy (NCBI): domain Eukaryota; kingdom Metazoa; phylum Chordata; class Mammalia; order Primates; family Hominidae; genus Homo; species Homo sapiens. Next base: position 137,099,293 of record NC_000006.12, on the reverse strand, counting down.
CCAGGTGTGGTGGTGGGCATCTATAGTCCCAGCTACTCAGGAGGCTGAGGCAGGAGAATGGCGTGAACCAGGGAGGCGGAGTGCAGTGAGCCGAGACCATGCCACTGCACTCCAGCCTGGGCGACAGAGCAAGACTCCATCTCAAAAAAAATAAAAAAAGAAGAAAGCACTTTACTATTTTTCTGATCTCTGGAAGGTAAATAGCTTTTAGAATATAGAAACAATGGAAGAAGTCATAATGAAAAAAGACTAATAGACTTTATAACCCCATAAAGCTGTAAATTTTATGAGTCTTAAAATTTAGCATAAACCAAATTAAAAGACAAAAAGAGAGGTGTAAAGTTTTTTGCAACAGTTAATGAATAAAAAGTTAATATTCTTAGCATATGAAGAACTCTTATAGATCAATAAGAAAAACATGAAAACAATAAATAAATAGGAAAAAGACATAAGCAGTTTTATAAAGGGAAATACAAATTTTGGTAATTTTTTATTGTTCAATTAATTAGTAATTTTAAAACTTAAAGCAAAATACTATTCACACCTATCAACAGAAAAGGGATTAAATTATAATACTCATTTTGCAACACAAACAAAAAGTAGAAAAAATCTTAAGGCTCTTCAACTATTGGGAAATGGGAAGGTACATAGCTATGTCCTTTAAGCTGTTAGGTTCTCATTAAAAATCATTCTTGGCGGCTGGGTGCGGTGGCTCACACCTGTAATCCCAGCACTTTGGGAGGCCGAGGTGGGTGGATCACCTGAGGTCAGGAATTCGAGACCAGCCTGGCCAACATGGTGAAACCCTATCTCTACTAAAAATACAAAAAATTAGCTGGGCATGGTGGCACGCGCCTGTAGTCCCAGTTACTCGGGAGGCTGAGGCAGGAGAATCGCTTGAACCAGGGAGGCAGAGGTTGCAGTGAGCCAAGATTGCGCCACTGCACTCCACCCTGGGTGACAGAGCGAGACTGTGTCTCAAAAACAAAAAAACAAAAAAAAAAAAACATCATTCTTGGCCAGGTGCAGTGGCTCAGGCCTGTAATCCTAGCACTTTGGGAAGCCAAGGCAGGAGGATAGCTTGAAGCCAGGAGTCCCAGACCACCCTAGGGGACATAGCAATACCCCTACAAAAAAATTTTTTTAACTAGCTAGGCATGATGGCACACACCTGTAGTCCTAGCTACTCAGTAGGCTGAGACAGGAGGATCACCTGAGCCTAGAAGTTGGAGGCTGCATTGAGCTATGATCGTGCCACTGCACTCCAGCCTGGGCAACAGAGTGAGATCCCGTCTCAAAAAAAAAAGTCCCTTTTATGAGAGTTTCAAATAACAGAGGAAGGAGGAATAAATTCACATTTCTGTGGCCTAATTCATGAAGTGCCTTTTCCATATAGATTTGATCTGTTTGAAATGACAAGTCTATATCAAGCTTTCTAGTCAGTGTCTGGCAAATGGAAATTTTTTCAAGAATCTTAGCTATTATTGTAATTCTTATATAGTCTTTGAAACAACTCTGTAAAGTTGCCGTTGTTTTTCCCATTTCATCAGAGTGAGCCAAAGTTCAGAAAGTTCAAGCCCAAGGACATCTACCTGAGCTGCTGTGGTGAAGCCACGCAGTCCATGTTCTTCCCAGCCACATTTTGCTGCCAAAGGCTAAATAATTCAGCAAGATTCATCACAAAATTCAACAATATGCCCCATGAAAAATCTGTCTTCGACTGTTTGGAGGGTGGGCATTTTGTCCTTTAGGACAGATATTGAAAGAGGCTTCTGGATATCACTCTGATATGAAGCGGCTATTTTAGGATTTCAGGATGATTTCTTATAAGAAAGAGCTGGTATACTAACAGTAATTAATCTTTTACTTGCCAGAGGGAAAGAAATACTTTACAATGTCTTCATTATTTTTTCCTATTTCAGAGTTTTCCAATGTCTGAAGGCAAATATGCCTATCAATTGCAAATCACAAATTCTCAACCTGGACTCTGAGGCATGGTATTGAGTAGAATGCTATAAATATGACCCAGCTGTTAACTTTGCATGTTACAAACAGAGATGTTTCATAATGGCTCATCAAGTGACTTATAAACATCAATGATGCAAGACAGAATAACTTGTTTTTTTCTACTATACCATGATGTTAAATACATCTTCTGTATTAGATTTTGTTACCTACATTCTCCCTTTGTTTATTTTTGAAAAATAAAATCCTTTTTATGGTACTCCAGACATACATTTGCATATCAGAGAGTTGGTAAAAAGAAAAAAAGAGAGAGTTATTTGGTATAAAAAGGAGTCATTAAAGACTTTAACATCAATTTGGAAAATTCAAGAATTAAGGCAGAAGACTATCATGCAAAAAGCAGTAAGTTCAAAGTAAGAGTTTAAAAAAGCAAGGGAGATTGTGGGAAATGAGCTGCCACCTTTTTTTCCCAGATTTTTATCTCATTTTAACTTTCTTTTAGGTACAATGGATGCAGACATGTCTGTAAACATTACTAATTTGAAATTACTCCTCTTGAATTTGAAGCGTATTATTTGATGGAATACTGTAAATGTGCTCACAGATGTTTCCTCACATGCTTCAAAACATAGGTGTCCCAACATGGTCAGCCAAGTGGCTTTTAAATATTGATGATGCAAGAAAAATTACCATGTTTTTATATAATTGGGCACCATTGAGGTTTTGCAAGGCTTCAGATTTTACTGGTAATAAAAGCTATAAATTGAGTCTTCCCTTACTACCAATCTCTTCATCTCAGACCTGCCCCAAAACCCTACTTGTCTGACATAATAAACAGTTGAACCCCAGCATAATTAACCAATTTTATAAGATGGTTTTATGATCAACCTAGAATATAGATGATACAAATGTCTTCCCATGTTACAGGGTGGCAAGCCGATTTTCATCAGACATTTATGAGGAGATCATTTTCTCTGACCACTTCATTCCCAAGGCCAGGGCTGATGGGAGGTAGGGTAGGTGGTGAGGGAGACAGTGAGGAAATGGAAGTTCTATCACCAAGAAAATTTCCTGGTGAGTGTGATATCAGGCAGTGAGAGAGTTTGAGAAGCAAAGAGCAGTGGTTTGCTTTTATTTTTTGGTTTTTGTTTTGTGGTGGTGGTGTGGGGTTTGTTTTTAGTGACAGGCTTTAAATCACAAAGAAACATTTCAAAAGTAAATGACATTTAACTTGAATAACTGGACAAATGATTCTTCTAACATCATCTGAAGAGAAGCTATTTACCTTCTGATGCATTGGTGAGGGGCCATATGGTGTTGTTATGCCATTTATGCATAGGAATTCCTGTTTTCATACTGAAGTATGTACACACACACATATATACAGTGTTAGTTCTACTGCTCTCTCATCAGTGGATTTCAGAGATATTTCCATTTAGTCTCATTGAAGGTCTGGTGTGGGAGGATATGAGAGAGGAAGTCACTGGGCCCATGGGAAACTGAGTTTGGGTGCAACCTCTGAAGCCAGAAGAAGGGGAAGCCACCAGTAACCTAGTTATCTCATCCAGGCAACCAGTGATGATTTACATGCACAGCTGTCCTCAGACAGCCCTGCTGCATGGCTGACAATTACAGGATGGTTGAAACCCTGCTCTCTGTGTCTAGTAAATATTATTTCTATTGTCATGTCAAAACACTAGGCCTTTTTTCAATTATTCAGCTTTTCTTTTACAATCATCGATTGTACTGTGGAAAAAACCTCAGGAGAAAACTCTATTATATACCAGCCAGAATCCTTTAACGAGTAATTTTGCACATTTACCATAAACTTAAACTTGAATCTTACACTCTTCAGTGTTTTGGGTTGCAAACAACAGTAGATTTTCTGGCTAACCTGAATTTGTTAGAAGGATATAAATAAGCTCCCAGCGTTGTTGGGAAAACTCAGCATACTTAGGCAGAAACGAAGGTAGGCAAAGCCCCGCCAACATCCTGCAGGGACCTGCTGATCCCGGGTGCTTGCTATTACGCCACTAGCCTACACCTGACATCACAAATAATATGCAAGTGGCTGAGCCTTTGAGATGCCCAGCCACGCTTTGGTCACATGACCATGCTCCAGCAGCCAGGGGTCAAAGAGTCGAAGAAAGATCGTCCCCCTTTGACTTCCATTGCGGCGAGGGACAAGCCCTGTCCCTCACCCATCTTCAGATTCTCCCCAAACAGGAAGGATACTGGGCATCCAGAAGCACAAAATGTTTAGGGCTTGGTGGTCGGTGCTTTAACTACATTTCCTCACTTAATTATGACAACAGCCGCGTCACTCCTGTCTTAAAGATGAGAAATCAAGGCTCGAAAAAGACAAGCAATTGCCCATCATGGTGAGATCTAAGATATTGAAGCCCCATTGCACACATCACAGAAATCTTACATTATGATTAATCTCACTCAAATGTTAGGTGTCTTTGAGTGTATTTCCTTAGAAAAGTTGTGATCTGAATGTGGTAACACTCTTGACCAAAACACAGGTTTCATTAAAAAACAAAACAAAACCATTTCTTCAAACACAGCCGTGTCATAATAAGAGTCTTTAAGAATAAGTTAGTGCCTGTCTATTCCATATTACAAGCTGAAAGCATAATTTCTTTAAGCTTAGCTGTCAATTTATCTGAAAATATGGAAGGAATAACATATTCTTAGTTTACAACAAGGAATTTATGGCTTAAAGATGCTTAGAGGGGACTGTTTTTTTGCTTCTGCGTAGAACCACAGCACGCTACTGACCTCCTGTGGCCATATTTCAAGGTACTGTCTTCTATTTAAAAGGAGCTTCTTCAAAGAGAACAGCAATTGCAGGAGAGGTCCCCCGGGTGTTTGATCCTGATGTGTCATCATTGAGAAACTAGTTGTTGTTCTACTCAAATGTGGAATTACTGAGCCAGTAAGTCCAACTGTGCTCTGCCCAAAAGCTACAGTCTTGTTCCTAATAATTTGCCCAAGTCTTTGCCCACAACATAACTTCTATATTTTTAAAAAATATTCACTGAGCACCTATTGGGTTTGGGGCATCTGACAAACACTTTACCTTGTCTCATTTAATCAATGCAACAACTATATTATTGCCATTTTATAGAGAAATTGAAGTTCAAGGAAGATCAGTAATTTTTCCCAAAATCAGAGGCACAAAATGGGATTTTGATCAAAGGATTCAATCCCCTTCCCCATCTTCAAGGTCTGTAATATGGTTTGGATACATGTCTCCACCCAAATCCCATGTCAAATTGTAATCCCCAGTGTTGGAAGTGGGGCCTGGTGACAGATGATTGGACAATTGGAGCGATTTCTTGTCAGTAGTTTCGCAGCATCCCCTTGGTGCTGTTCTCATGATAGTGAGTGAGTTCTCATGAGATCTGGTCATTTAAAAGTGTGCAGCACCTCCCCACTTCCTCTCTCTTGCTGCTGCTCCAGCCATGTAAGACTCCTGCTCTCCCTTTGCCTTTTACCACAATTGGAAGCTTCCTGAGGCCTCCCCAGAAGCAAAAGCCACCATGCTTTCTGCACAGCCTTGCAGAACCATGAGCCAATTAAACCTCTTTTCTTTATAAATTGCCCAGTTTCAGATAGTTCTTGATAGTAGTGCAAGCACAGACTAAAACAGTCTTCTAACATCACCCATGAAGGCTTCCGTGACTGCTTGGCACACAGAGATATCACCTCCTCAGGACTTTAGTACTTGGCTCATACTCCTTTATATTATTATTTTTATACGTGTAGTAAAAACCTTGGTCAAAGGTCAGATGGGAGGGGTGTTAGTGTGTAAATCTAGAACAAAAAATTCTCCCAGGGTCAAAATCTGCACATGTAGTTGTGAAAAATAATGATGGCTCACATTTACCAGCTGCTAGCTGTGAGCCAGAGATGTCTCGATGTGCTTAACATGTTCTAAATGACTGAGCATGTGGCTTCAAGGCTTAGCTGGTTACAGCGGTTGTCTAGGAAATGACTGAATCTTTTTTACACCAACTCTGCAATGTGGATGTTACTAATATCCCTGGTTTATAGATGAGAAGACTGAGATGTTAAATCTGTTGTTTTCAAAGGTTGAATTGTGTCTCCACAAAATTCATATGTTAAAGTTCTAACTCCCAGTACCCCAAATGCGGCCTTATTCAAAAATATGATGGTTGCAGATGTAATTAGTTAAGATGGGGTCTTATTGGAGTAGAGTGGGCCCTTAATCCAATATGACTGGTGTCCTTCAAAAAGAATGCTATGTGAAAACACAGACACACACACACAGTGATTATACCATGTAATGGCCAGACACGGTAGCTCATGCCTGTAATCCCAGCACTTTGGGAAGCCGAGCCAGGCAGATCACTTGAGGTCAGGAGTTTGAGACCAGCCCCACTAACATGGTGAAATGCTGTCTCTACTAAAAATACAAAAATTATCCGGGCATGGTGGTGGGTGCCTATAATCCCAGCTACTCGGGAGGCTGAGGCAGGAGAATCGCTTGTACCCGGGAGGCAGAAGTTGCAGTGAGCCGAGATTGCACTACTGCACTCCAGCCTGGGCGACAGAGAGAGACCCTGTCATACACACAAAAAAGACTGGAATTATGCTGCTGCAAGCCAAAGAATGCCAAAGATTGCTGGCAAACCACGAGAAGCTTGGAGTAAGGCCTGGAACAGAGTCTCCTTGGTGGCCCTCAGAAGGAATCAACCCTATTAACATCATGGTCTGACTTGCAGCCCGCAGATCTGTGAGACGACATATTTCTGCTGTTCTAAGCCACCCAACTTGTGGTGCTTTGTTACAGCAGCCCCAGGAAGGTACAGTGCTTGGCTAAGATCTCAGAGCCACCAGGTGGGGAAGCACAAAAGCAGACCCCAGCAGTATGGCATGAGAGCCAGTGCTCTTCCCTGCACTGCACAGGCTGGAGAGAAACAGGAGGAGGAAGGAGGTAAGTGATTGCAGAAATATCTCACATCCCTTGGGAGGGTGGCCAGTACCTAGAGCCAGGGGGAAGGGCTTTTATACAGAATCCCCACACTGCAGAAGCAGTCACTGTGTGTGTCCCAGTCTCCAGTTGTACTTCTTATCACCCAGGATTCCGGGTAGTCATACTGATATGATATTGAGCAACATACCATCTGCAGCAACAACAGGGGCAAGGGGAATGGGTGCCCATGCCTCCTTTGACCTTTCCATGAGCCCTGTCTTCCAGCTGTCACACACCCACAGCAATAAACAGGGTGCTCCAAAAAGGTTAGTGAGGTTTTTTAAGATTAATTGTTTTATTGGCATTTAATTGCTGTGTTAGTCTATTTGCATTGCTCGAGGAATACCTGAGGCTGTGTAATTTGCAAAGAAAAAAAGGTTTATTTGGTTCACAGTTCTGCAGGCTGTACAAGCATGGCACCAGCATCTGCTCCTGGTGAGGCCTCGGGGTGGTTCCAATCATCACAGAAGGCAAAGGGGGAGCATGCATGTCACATGGCAAGAGGGGAGCAGGAGAAACGGGGAGGAGGTGCCAGGCTGTTTTTAAACAACCAGATCTCATGTGAACTCATAGAGTGAGAACAGACTCATCACCATGAGGATGACACCAAGCCATTCATGAGGGATCCATCCCCATGATCCAAACACCTCCCACCAGGCCCCACCTCCAACATCGGGGGTCACATTTCAACATGAGAGGAAAAACATTTGGAGGAGAAAAGCAACCAAATTACATCCATTGCCATAAAATAAATTGTACATATTTACAGTGCACAATTTGATAACTTATGACATCAGCACACATCCATGAAACCATCACCACAACTAAGATATTGAATGCATCCATCATCCACAGAAGTCTCATCACACCCCTGTGTACTCTGTCCCACCTCGCCATCCTACCCTCCTCTCTGTCCACAGGCAATCTTTCACTTGTCTGCTCTCTTTCACTATGGATAGCTTGCATTTTATAGAATCTCATATCAAGAGAATCATATAGTATATTCTATTTTTGTCTGGCTCCTTTAACTTGGCATAATTATCTTGAGATTCATCCATGTGTTGTGTTATATCAATAGTTCATTACTTTTTATTTCTGAGTAGAATGCCACCATACGAGTATATCACAATGTGTTTATCCATTCACCTGTTGATAGGTACTTGGATTGTTTCCACTTTAGAGATATTACAAATAGTCTCGTCCACACATTGTGACAGACTCTTTGTATGGACGGATGCTTTTATTTTTCTTGGGTAAATAGGAGTGACATAGGAGTGAAAGGCTGGGACCTATAGTAAGTGTATTTTCACTTTTTAAGGAACTGTCAAATGATTTTCTGTTGTGATCGTACTGTTGTATGTTCCAATCAAGAGTGTGACAGCGTTCTGGTTGCTCCATCTCCTCTTCACCAATATTTGATATTGTCCATTTTTTTTTAGATTTGTGCCACTGTAATAGAGGTATATCTCATTGTGGTTTTAATCTGCATCACCCTAATGATAACGGTATTCGTGGAGCATCTTTCGGCTTGCTTATTTGCTATACCTTCTTCAGTATATATAACTCTATCTCTCACCTATGAGACGTTTAATTTTGGTGACTCTCTGAACATTTCTTCTTAGTTTTTGCCCTCTGCATCCCCAATTCTTGACTTCTATGCAGATTTAAGCTCTACTTATTACCTTGATGTTTTCCATCCTATATAATATTGAGATGAAGATGCCTCCTTGGTGGAGGCAGTGAGACCAGGAGAGACATTTGAGGTTCTTTCTTGCTTTCCCCACATTGCCCCATGATAATCCCTGCCTGGTCTAGAGTCCAGGGGTGTCTTAGTCTGTTTGGGCAGCCATAACAAAGTACTACAAACTGGGTAGCTTATAAACAACAGCAATTTATTTCTCCAAGTTCTGGAGGCTGGGAAGTTCAAGATCAAGGCATTGGCAGATTCCGTATGTGGTGAACACCCTCTTCCTGGTGCACAGATGGCACCTTCTTGCTATGTCTTCATATAGCAGAAGGGGGAGGGAGCTTTCTGGGGTCCCTTTTATAAGGGCACTAATCTCATTCACAAGGGCTTCACCCTCATATTTCATCGCCCCCTCCAAAGGCCCTGTTGCCTAATGTCATCACACTGGTGACTAGGTTTCAACATGTGAATTCGGGGGTGGCACAAACATTCATTCCATAGCAAAGAGGTTCCATGTGAACAGCACAAAAGTACAGCTCAGGTGAAAAGCTGACAAAAACAGGTGCAGACAACTCCCCTGTCTAAACCACTAGGTTGCTGAGGAGTCCAGAGGAGCTTGTCTCCCTCCAAGGCACCTCCCCACTAAGGGTTAAAGATGGAGACCTGGCCTGGCCTAGAGTCACCTGGTACACAGGCAGCAGTCGGGAGTGGACCAGGCTGCGCCCTTCTGCCTGGGCATGAGGCCTCCTGCATTTCATCTGCTCCCCTCTCCTTAAATCACGAGGTGCCCACCCTACGCCTGGCTTTTGACCCTTCCCCAATCCACAGCACCAAGTGGTGTATACAGAAACGAACTACTAAATCATGATTCAAACTTTTAGGGACCACTCCAGAATAAAAGAAGAAAGGTATTTATAGGAAACCAAAAACCAAAAATGAGTAAATAACTTCTTCAAAAGACAATTCCATCACTGACATTAATGGGAACTGCTTCTTGGGTCCTTGAGATGTTTACTTCTGCAAGGTATCAGAACTCTTGGCCACCCTCCAGCCCTTTCATTACCTGACTCGTCAATTTAGAAAGACTAACGAGGCATTCTCAGCTCTGCCTGGCCTTTCTTCCTCTTGGGAGTGAGCCAGCCTGAGAGTGCGGGAGCTCTTCTCTGCTTTTCTGGAGGAGGGGTCTGTCTGCTGCAGGCCAGTGCTGCTGGGGCAGAGTGAGTAAATGGGCCCGGCTGCCAGTCAGAGAGTAAGCCCCTTTGATTCTCATGCTAAGCTGCATCCTCCACCTTAGACTCCCGTTAGTAATAAAGGTGAGACTTTAGCTTCAATATTTACCTTTTTCTTTCATTTTTCAACTAGTTTAGAACTTATTCAAAAAAAAGGGGAGGTGTGCATTATCTCCTGAAGACCTCAGCAACTGGCAGCCACAATACAATTTTCAGTCAGTCAGTGGAGGCTCAAAAAATCCTTTTTCTCCTGCTAACTGTTGCATACCCTCCATCAGCTACTCAAAATCCTTTTTTTTTCCTGCTAACTCTTGCATAGCCTCCACCGGCTACTCAAAATCCTTTTTTTCCCTGCTAACTGTTGCATAGCCTCCACCTGCTATTCAAAGTGTGGTCTGCAGAAGAGCAGCGTGGGTATTACCTGGGTGCTTGGGAGAAATGCACAGTATCAGGCCCCACCTCACACAGCAATGGAATCTGCATTCGAACCACATGCCAAGGGGATTCATATGCATGAGAGCTAGTAGCAAATATTAATAAGAAGGTAAGTGTTGCTCTCTCTCAGCTCACTCTTAACAGTTATTTTATTAAACATTTATCATTTTATTTAGCTTTTTATTTTTAGATAGTATTTTACAATAAATTTGTTCACAAATTTGTGCAATAGTGATAAAATGTATCAATATAAAACCAATTTTGCAAATACATAGCACAACTTATATTTTTAAAAAGAAGGTAAAATAAAAACTTTTTAAGTAAAAATTGTATTTTTTATAATAGAAAAATAGATAAGCTATATTGAGCACATTTGTGTTCATTTCTTTCTTTCTTTCTATTTTCTTTTTTTTTTTTTTGAGATAAAGTCTTGCTTTGTTTCCCAGTCTGGAGTGCAGTGGCATGATCTTGGATTGGCTCACTTCAACGTCCACTTCCCAGGCTCAAGCAACCCTCCCACCTCAGCCTCCCCAGTAGCTGGGACTAGAGGCACGCACCACCATGCCCAGCTAATTTTTGTTTTGTTTTGTTGAGATGGGGTTTCGCCATGTTGCCCAGGCTGGTCTCAAACTCTTGAGCTCAAGCAATCCAACTGCCTTGACCTCTCAAAGTGCTGGGATTACAGGCATGAGCCACCATGCCCAGCCTCATGTTAGTTTCTACAGTAGTAGTGTTCAGTATCTTGGTTTCCAGTCAATAGTTTAGTTTTGCTATAACATATAGGCCTTCAGAGTTTATTTAAGTAGAATAAAACTTTCATATGAGCCTTTCTGACAGCCTTGTTTTCATTTTTGGTCAATGATTTACTGCTTTTGACAGAAAAGGGTGAGAGGCAAAGGAAGACGTGACTCATTTATTTCTTCTTTTCAACAGAATGTCAGCCTGAGTCTTACTGCACACATTTCAAGATCGTATTGTTGTGAGATAATAATACCTTAGGCTTATGTGGTATGCTGCCATTAGCAAAGCGCCTTCCCAGGTATTATCTTGTCTATCCTCCCACTAACTGGCAAGGTGGGTGACATTAAGCTTTGCCTACTGATGAAAAGAGTCAGGCATACTGAGGTTGACTTGCCTCAGAATACATGGTGGGAAATGGCGAAGCAAAGATAGACAAACCATTCCCCCAACTCCAAGCCCAGGGTCAGCTCCAGACTCAGCCTAGATGGCATTAGTCTGAATGTGCTGTGTTCCACAGAACTAGAGTCTGGATATGGAAATAATAGAAACTAATATTGGCACTGCTTTAAATGCTTTACCTTTGAAAATTTACATCTATTAACACACTTAATTCTCATAACAACCCAATAATCTAGTTATTTTTATTATTCTCCTTATATAGATCATATATATCTATATATGCCCTCAGTTTCAGCTTCTAAGAAAATTTATCAATTATCAGGTAAAAAAATGGCTTCTATTAAATTTCAAAACACAAGTCTCCTTATTACTAGGATAAATACATGAGTCTGGGTTATAAATGACTTCAGACGTCAAATGACATACATTTAGTAGTATAATGGTAAATGTCTCAAAACCAGATTTCTGAGGAGAAAAGTCCCCAATTTGTAGATTTTGCCAATTTCTGAAGTATAAATATTTCTATTTTGGTCGATTCTAAGCTATCCACTTGACATCACTGCACCTGGAGATGGGAAGCGATGTGTACATTCCGCTTTTACAGGCTGGTACTGACACATCCCTGGTGCAGAGCCACAGACAGTCTATTTTCAGTTGGTATTCTTCACACTCTTCAGTAAACCCAAACGGTTTTGCCTTTGCCTTTTAAAATATTTTTGCAAGAATTTTGAACACTCTTTTGAGTTACTGTTAATTTTTCCAAATGTTTTTCTGGACTGGATTATGCTAATAGTCCCTACACAGCAGGAAGACCTGTATATAAGCCTCTAAGCCAAGGGTTGGCAAACTCTTATAATGCGCCATACATAAATATTTTAGACTTTGCAGGCCACTTGCTGTCTCTGTCACATATTCTTCGTTTTTATCATCCTTTTAAAAGACAAGATTTATTCTTAGGCCAGGGGCTGTTTAAAAACAGTTGGGTTTGTCCTACAGGCTGTAGTTTGCTGATCCCTGATCTAAGCCCTGGGAACACTGATCAGGGAGAGAAATGAGACTGGTCATGTGGTCAGACACTCCTGATTTTACTGTTTATGTGATATTGGCAGGTCAAAGCCTTCTACCTTACAGGATTATAAAGGTTAAAGTAATTAATTCCTTTGAAAGTTCTTTCTAAAGTATAATATTTCAAGAACCATGGAGTATCATTGATAGCATTATCCTGAATTGCTCACGAACTACTGCAGTTACAATCCCAGTTTAATCAAAACCTTTACTCAGAGCAGAAAGTACCAGCTCTTTAAATATCTGGAAGCCCAACAGCAGGGGAGGACTGAAACAAACTCAGATCATTATTATAAACCCCTCTATCTGTTCTAAGCCACTCCTGGGAAATATCCAGGCCTTCTGGCAATGGATAACAATTTCAACCTTAGCTCTATTTCACATTGTTCAGGTCTCTGACCCTGCAAAGATATTGTCTGATATAGAGTAGGTGCTCAATCTATACTGAGTGAATGAATGATCATTTTCAAGTACCTGAGTGCTCACCTTCTATGAATCATAGCTTCCCCAAGCCATGGTCCCAAACCATATGCTCAATCAGCCACCTGCCCAACCCAACACTAAGAGACACCCTCTCCATATATGGAGATGTTTTTCCTCACTCAGTGGACAGGAAAGAAATGAAGAGAATGCCATGTGGGTAAATAATCTGCCTCTCCATAATTATTGAATAGATGTCTGAATTTCTTTATAGCTGAAAAATCAACATATTAGGATCGGAATTACATCCTAATGAAATTTAAGAAGAAAAGGAAGAAATTCCACTTTTGAACTGACTGAGAAACCTAATCTGACAATTTAAGGACGAGTATTCCAAGAGCTGGGTTGATAGGAGGACACCCCAGGAAGAGGTGATCTTAAGCTTCACTTCCATCCCATTCTTATAATATGTAATGTTTAGACAAGACCTCCTTATTTACAAATGCTTTACAATAATTTATTAATCTGGTACACCTTATGACCTAGCATTTTAGAGTACTTTAAAAACAAAGATTAATTACTCTAGGGCTTAGCAAAAAGGTGGAGGCGTAATAAATGATTCATTAAACTTTGTGGGGTTGAGGAAGGCTTTATCCATTTCACAGAGAGAATATTTCCTATGTCTGGGCAGCACAGAGGGATCCAGGAAAGGTCACATAAGAATTCAAAAGCAGAACTGAATGAGAACAAATGCATTTTCATTTCTTTACAAAAATATTTTAATGTGAAGTTCCCTTTTACTCTTATAGCTTTTAAACATGATTTCTATTTGAACATACTTGGTAGAATTTTGAATTCTAATGTCAAAATCAAAACCCATTTCTCTCAATTCTACTTCCTCATTCATCTCTCACCTTCAATCTGCAATATGAGCTGGGATCCTGTTTTTAACTTCAAGTGGGGACAGTTCCATCTATCTGAAATGTGTTTATACTTTGTGTTTTAAGTAAATTTTCTAACTATATGGCCAGTGTGTTAAAGGATGATAAAGAAAGGTAGATTTAAGAATCTAGTTTCAGAAAGAGAATGCAAACTTTATTTTCAGATGCCAGAGAGGAAAAAAAGTACAACTATACTTTTTACTTCTATCAGTACATTAGGAAAAAGAAGTTGGCAATGAATTACAACATTTGTTAGAATCCAAAGAGACGTCATAAAGTCCTACTGAAAATAGAAGTGAGAGTAATTAGGAAAGCTGGTTTTGAAATAAACAGAAAGTGATCTTCATAGAGCAATTCAAATTGGTCGATATGTTTTTACAGAGTTATGAAATCATGCAGCATTTAGTTGTATTTCACTTTTATTCATCTCTGGTGAGGCCATATCCTAACCAGGACATTCATTCCAGTAAAAGAAGGATGGAAATACTACAAATTTGTGATATTTAAACCAAATGAGTGAAAAAAGAATTTTTTAAAAATCAACTCTGGTGGATTAAAAGAATTAAGCCAAAATGATTCTAACTTCACATAATGGATCCTAAAAGAACTAGTGATGAATTGCTATCACCAAATCTCACAGTATAGATAAAAACTACACTGGTGCTCATCTTCACCATGCCATTGTGCAATTAAATCATAGTAACTGTCAGCTCTTTAAATGACTTTGTTCCCTATGAATTAGCCATTTTGTGGATTATCTGTAACAACACTTTCATCCCAGACCCATTTTCTTCTCTGCTATGCTACATGTTATGAAGCATCTTCCCTGACATCCGTTGGTATCTTCAAAAGAATAAATTTCTTTAGAAAGTAATCTAAGCCTAATGTTTTCCAAACTTCATTGCAAGCAATACTAGTCCTAGGAGATGTTCTGTAAAAAAGAGGTTCATCATCAAATAGATTTGAGCATAACTGCTTCGGATTCCTCTCTTGATGATTCACAATGCATTTTGGATTTTAAAATTTCTGAAAAGTCTTGCAGTAAAGAAACTCGCTGGAGCTTAGCCTGGGGGCCCGTGCCTGTAGGCGCAGCTATCTGGGAGACTGAACTGGGAGGATTGCTCCAGCCTGGGAGTTCCAGGGCAGCCTGGGCAGGACCCTATCTTAAACAAAGAAAAGAAAAGGAAATGTATTTGACCATAAATAATTTTATTTTTTCTTTTTTTCATCTAACACTAGTTAACATTCCACAGAATTAATGTTCACAGGCATACTTTGGAAGATCTTCTATAAGTAAACAAAGAGGAAGTGAAGCCAGCTGGAAAAAAATTTCATAGCTATACCTAGTTTGAAAGACTTAGTATGAAAAAAATGCAAAATATCTTATTAATAGTTTTTTATTTTGCTAACATATTGAAATGATAATGTTTTTGATATATTGGATTAAATAAAATATTAAAATTTTTTTAAAAGGTTATAGCCACATTTCAAAGCCAAACCTTAGAGTACCAGAATCACCCACACAATGCTAGGGCCTGGGATTTGCACCAACTCATTCTCTGCTTTCCCATGCCTTATCCCAGCACCAGAATGCCTGAATCCCTCTTCATTTCCTCCCTGTGGCCTGCCCTAGTTACCTGCTAAGATCAGCATTGTTTTTTAAGATAAAACTCTTATGAAGTTCTTTGAGCTTAGATGGAAATTAGACTTCTGTCTTTAGTTGAAAGCTAGCAGTATTTGAAAAATACATGCACCTAAACAAGACAATATTAGGAGTGTGTCTAAGAAAAATAGAATAAAAACATAAATACTAATTTTTAAAATGTCAGCTTCGGGGGACGGAGGTGCATAGTGGTTTTTAGACTAAGTAAAGGAATTGGAACTATAACTATTTGCCCATAAAATTACATTCGCTCAAAACACCCACAGGCAATTGTTGAGAATGGCCAAGAAGTGGAGAGGAAAGTAGAAAAGAAAGCCATGAGAGATGGCCTGTTGAATTCTGTAATGTTTCTTTCTGACAACAAAATAACAAGAAAAATAATCTCATGTAAGAAAATGCTAATAAATTATTCTTCCTCATTTCCCCTCCATTGTTTTCACAGCATCCAGGAATTTTCAAACATAGCACTCACAACAAGTGTAATCCCAAGGTTCTCAGTGAAATTATGTTTAATGTCTGTCTCACCCACTAGAGTGTGATGCTTATAAGGGCAAGTGCTGTGACTGCTTGTTTGCTTCTGTGTCCTGCAGACTAGCACAGTGCCAGCACTTAACAGCTGTCAATACAATATCTGTGGAGAAGGAAGGAAAGAAGGGAGGGATGCTGCATGAGATGATCAATATATTCTCATAGAACAACAAGAGGAAAAAGTATATAACTAAGTATTTTCCTATTCTCATCATTTTGAAGCAAGAAAAGTCACAAATTAACACATTTTTCATTATTATGCTGAGCAGGGTGTAAAAAATAGTGCTGTTTCAACAGAACAGAAAAGGACTCAGGTATTCTCATATTTCTTTTCTGAGCCTAGATTTGCGCAGGGCCATTACATGTGATTGTAATTCCTGTAGGTAAGCAGATGGTCAGGCAGCGCACCAAGAATTATAATAATCTATGTGGGATGTTTCTAAGACATGAGTTAATGCTTTCAAACCCATAAAGCTTGGGATTTTATGGAGATGAACCACATTATAGACCCACATGCAAGCATGTACTCATCAAAATGATCTCAACTGAATCAACAGCTCAGCTCATTTGCACCTCCCGACCTTCTGGAACTGACCTGAAAGATGCATCCTCAAACCTATTTCTTCTTACTAAGGATTGCAATTAGACATAGAAAAATATATATAACTAGCAGTGCTGACATGTATTTGAGGGTTCCAATCCCTTGATCCAGAACAAATATGGGCAACACGGTAAACTGTGCTGCTATAAGCAAAAATTCTTAAATTACAATCCACTGCCTCTCTAAGATTTCAAGGAACACACCAGAGGTGATTTTGAAAGCAATGGGAGGGGGCATAAATGGAAAGATTCCCAAGAGTAAACTGATTTCCACTGATTATCCACAATTAATTGAGAGTCAGTTTTGGTGCAGTGGAAAGAAGGCAAGACTCGGAATCCAAAGAGCTAGATGTGAATTAGGACTCAGACACTATTACCAATCAATGGCATCAAGTGGTTATTGAGCCTCTCTCAGCCTCAGCATTCTCATCCATAAAATGGGGATAAACAATACCTGCGTCGCAGCATGGCTGTGAAATAACCTGTGTGAAATGCCTGGAAGACAGGCCACTGCCAGTGGACAGATTTTACTTTTCTTTCTTCTTATATCTTTCTATTTTAGTAATAATACTTTCATTTTTTACAACATCTTACTGTTTTCAAACCTCTTCTCCATAGTTTTTCTTAACCCATCTCACTGCAGCATATGATACGAACATCAATTCTGTTTCACATGTGAGAAAACCAAGGCTCATTCTAAAACCCAGGCTATTTTACTTCTAGTACTGTGCTAATGCCACTAGACTGAATATTTAATACCCAAAACCATAAGAGGAAATAGATCAAAATAGTGAGCAGATTCTAAGATAAAAATATAATAATCCAAGTTTTTAAAAGATGATAATAGGTCATATGGACAAAATGATATGGCAATCCAGGTGACATCATTTCATTTTTACTACCTGGTTGGGGCTACAAAAGACTAGAAATAAATATCTCATTAAGAATTATAGAGTGCATGATATAGGATTTAGCAGGCTTATGGAGAGCTGTGAAATGATTCATTTAAAAATTTATTTTTATTGCAATTATTGTTTGCAGAAATCTACTAATAATATACACATATATAAATATATGACCTTTATTTACAGCTCTTGCCATTGCAAAATTACAGTTAAATAGGAAGTATGTATCAATTTTAGTAACTTAATAAAATAATGAAGCAATTCATATGGTTAATTGCTATTGGGGAAATATCTTTTTGGTTCTTGTCTATTTTCATTTCATTCCTGCAATGAGTGTACATGCCATCACCAGATGTCTTCATTTAAAAATGAAGTTTAGAACAATTTTATGAAACAAAATCTCAGAAATAAAAAGATGGAACAGAGGTAAAATAGTTTTAACAAATTTTGGAGGACAAAAAGAATAAACATTAGTATTTGGAAACAGGGCATATGTGAAGTCCCCAGCATACTGCCTGCTGGATAGTAGGCTTTCTAGTCCAATTTTCCTTTTCTGCCAGGTGAAGATATTCAGAAGAATAAAAGGTAGAAATGATGAGTCAATGAAGATTGAATCTGAGAGCAGAGACAGAAGCAAAGAAGGGTCAAGATAATGAGAAAGCCAGGTGGGAGGGGTTCCCTGGAAAAACTCCAGCTGCCTGGGCCCTGGGAGGAATGCACAGTGGGATGGAGCCACAGAGGTTCCTGCTGTTTGCAGCAGGGAGGATCCCGGCCCCTCCTCTTCCTGTGTGGAACCTGGGGTGCAAACAGTGGGCTGGGAAGCACCCCAGCAGGAACTCTGGCCTTGCGGAAAGTCCCTGTTTCCCCTTTTTTTTTCCTTTTTGCCCAATAAATTCCATAATTCTCACCCTTCAATCATCTGCGAGCCTAAATTTTCCTGGCCGTGTGATAAGGACCCCTGTCTTTAGCTGAGCTAAGGAAAAAGCCCTGCAATAGTAACAGGTTCATGTTTTATAGAACTAAAAGAACCCATCAATAATTTCTTGAATACCCACTGTGTGAAGTCTGGCAGGATTTCTGTAGTGGGGTTCAGCTGTACCACCAAGATCCCAACCTCAGACTGAAGTATTGGTTTCCCAGCAGCCAGAGGTGTTGGCTGCACACAGCTATGTCTCTCTTATGGAACTGCCCTTGGCTGAAGAAAGCTGCTTTACTCAAAGTATGCTGCCCTCTTCGGAAGCATCCAGCACCCAGGGACTAATGGCTGCAGGTTCCAAGGCCCAGTAGCCCCTTGCTATAAATGGAACAACTCTGAATGGCCATCCCAGCTCCAGGGCCCCTTCTGGGCTTGGCCAAAGCTTCTGTTGAAACTACATCACAGTTGTGCCTCTCTAGGAATATCGCTTCCCTTGCACCTTCCCAGTGTTGATCCTTGGAGCACTCACCAATAAACTGCTGCCCATACATCTCCATATCAGAGCTGTTTTCAGGGGACCCAACCGAAGACAATTGGTTACACAGCACAAAAATTCTAGAAGATAACATCAAAAAAACCCTTCTAGACCTTGGCTTAGGCAAGGATTTCAGGAACCCAAAAGCAAATGTAACAAAAACAAAGATCAATAGATGAGACTTAAACTAAAAAGCTGCTGCACAGCAAAAGAAATAATCAGCAGAGTAAACAGACAACCCACAGAGTGGGAGAAAATCTTCCCAATCTATACATCCGACAAAGGACTAATATCCAGAATCTACAAGGAACTCAAACAAATCTGCAAGAAAAAAATAAACAATCCCATCAAAAAGTGGACTAAGGACATGAATAGACAATTCTCAAAAGAAGATACACAAATGGCCAACAAACATGAAAAAATGCTCAACATCACTAACGACCAGGGAAATACAAATCAAAACCACAATGCGATACCACCCTCACTCCTGCAAGAATGGCCATAATCAAAAAATCAAAAAATAATAGATGTTGGCATGGATGTGGTGAAAAGGGAAGACTTTTACACTGCTAGGGAGAATGTAAACTAGCACAAACACTCTGGAAAGTAGCGTGGAGATCCATAAGGAACTAAAAGTAGATCTACCATTTGATCCAGCAATCCCACTCCTGGGTATCTACCCAGAGGAAAAGAAGTCATTATACGAAAAAGATACTTGCACACATGTGTTTATAGCAGCACAATTCGCAATTGCAAAAATATGGAATCAGCCCAAACGCCCGTCAATCAGTGAGTGGATAAAGAAATTGTGGTATATATATATATATATATATATATATATATATATATATATATATATATATTTGGAATATATATATATGTATATATATATTTGGAATATATATATGTATATATATATTTGGAATATATATATATGTATATATATATTTGGAATATATATATCTGTATATATATATTTGGAATATATATATGTGTATATATATTTGGAATATATAGATGTGTATATATATTTGGAATATATAGATGTGTATATATATTTGGAATATATATATGTGTATATATATTTGAAATATATATATATGTATATATATATACACCATGGAATATTACTCGACCATAAAAATGAATGAAATAATGGCATTTGCAGCAACCTGGATTATATTGCAGACCATTATTCTAAGTGAAGTAACTCAGGAATTGAAAGCCAAACATCATGTGTCCTCATTCATAAGTGGGAGCTAAGCTATGAGGATGCAAAGGCAGAAGAATGATACAATGTACTTTGAGGACTCCGGGGAAAGTGTAGGAGGTGGGTAAGGGATAAAAGACTATATATTGGGTACAGTGTACACTGCTCAGGTGATGGGTGCACCAAAATCTCAGAAATCACCACTAAAAAACTTAGTCATGTAACCAAACACCACCTGTTCCCCCAAAACCGATTGAAAAATAAACAAACAGTTGGTTACAGAAGTGGTCCCAGGAGGCAGACTCCATTATGAGATCTGGGAAATTGATTACCCATTTGGCCAGTTGCAATAAGGACCCCCCACCCAAAGCGTGGCGGGTAGAGAACTGATACTCTGACACATTGTAGAGGTCAATTGTCAAACTGTTCAGCGACTGGAATGAGACAGCACTGGGAAACGATGTGCTGGCTCAGGTGTTTGAGAGGTATGATGGGCATCAATGTTAGAAGGGCTATGGAACTAGGGAAACCTGATTGACCTAGGGGGACTGGCTTCCCTGCAGAAGTGGCTGCAGTTCAAGCTGACACTAAACGGTGAGTTTGCATGTGAGGGGAGGGAAGGATGATCAGAAAAGAGCTTTCCAGTCAAAGGAAACAGCATATACAGAAGTTCTAATGCAGAAAAGTGCCTGGCAATTAGAGGAAGGGCAAAATGGCCAATGAATCTCTAGAGAGTGGAAGCATGGCTGTCAGCGGAGGCTGGGGAAATAGGCAGGGGACAACTCACAGCCATGGCAGGATTTGTCTTGTCATTTTAGGAGGAGTGATAAACCATTGAAGGATTTGAAGCAAGGAAGCTACAAGATAAGATTTAACTTTTAAGAATCTCTTTGGCTATTTGTGAACTGACTGGAGGGAATAAAAATTGAAATGAAGAAAGCAGCTGCTCAGGGCTGTTGCCGTTCTTATACTGGGATGTGACTGCTCTCACTAGAGCCTCATCTACTCATTGAGCTACTAAACCACCTTCTTGGTGATGGAAGGCCACATCCACCTCCTGACACCTACAGAAATGATCTGGGCAATTTTCCTTTAGTTTAATCTCTGTTAAACACTAGAATGTGGGCTCGGCAGTAATAGAGACTTTGTTTGTTGTATCACTGCTGTATCCCCAGCCCCTAAAACAGTGCTTGGGCCTTAGAAGATGGCACTCAATAAATGTCTGGTGAGTCATTGAATAAATACGTTTTATTTATTTATATGTATTTTTAATAATATATATATTGAGACAGGGTCTCACCCTGTGGCCCGGGCTGGAGTGCAGTGGTACAATCACGACTCCTTGCAGCCTCAAACTCCTGGACTCAATCAACCCTTCCACCTCAGCCTCCTGAGTAGCTGGGATCACAGGCATGTGCCACCACACCCAGCTAATTTTTGTATTTTTTGTAGAGATGAGTTATCACCATGTTGCCCCAAGCTGGTCTGAAACTCCTGGGATCAAGTAACCCTCCCACCTTTTCCTCACAAAGTGGGATTACAGGTATGAGCCACAGGGTCTGGCCTGAATAAATGAATTTTAAAGGAAATACTCCCAATCAGAGTGGAGCAAGTTTCTGAGGATTATTCATGCCTTGAAATCAATAAGTGTGAACAAGGCTCCAAGGGGAGGGAGCAGACCACAATTAAGCAATCCATAGCAACTCACCTATTTATTATATTTATATGGTGGATAAGTAATGGAGACAAACAGGTGTTGCGTGCAGGTTGGGAGATCTTAATGAGACTGGCTGAAGATAAACTTCCCAGGCGAGCTGTAACCTTGTGCTGCAAATAATTTCATTCAAAGTAAGAGCAGCTGGCATGTTTCGACACAAACTGGTCACCGACCCTTGTTTTTCAATTCCTATTTTTTTGTTTTGTTCTTTAATGGAAGAATTTTGGTGTTATTGTTGAATATCATCCAAACCAGCTGTGAAACCCAAATGATTTCCAGTCCTTGCCTGTAGGTCTGGACCTGAAAAAAAGCCTATCAGCTCTTGAGTGACAGGGAAATGTCCTGGCAGCTGTGTTCCTACTCCTGAGCGCCGTTTTAGGGCTGAGACTAAAGCTAAGAGCCGCACTTGAGACCACTCATCTCTTCAAACCTTTCTGTGCTGCTCAGAACCGAAAATCAATTTTATGTAGGAACAGTATGTGATTCCATATTGAGAAGGCCTGTACAGGTGAGTCTGTGCCCTCTGTCATGGCTGTAAACCAGGACATTGCATATTCATGCTTAAGGAGACCTGGCAGGACACCCAGACTGAGGAGCATGAGAGAACAGTGACACCCAGTGGCTAGCTGGCTGCATCTCCAATGTGCTGGGCACAGAGATGGCTGAGGGTGGAGCCCACTATGCTCCAGATCCCAACTTCTGCTTTTTGTCCTTTCAAGCTGGAGAACCCTGTGAAACTCCAGGAAAATTCTAATTGCAGACCAGGTTCTACCAATAATATTTATCCTTCCATATTCTCTGCTACACTTTTTACTTTCAGGATAAGCACCTATCTCTTGCTAGAGTTACTGTGTTTTAAATTGCATCATAAAATTTAATAAATGTTCATGTTCAACAGTTGATAAAATATAAAATTCCAAAATTCCTTTTTTTCTAGTTTTTCAGAATAAAGTTTGTTATTCAGTCAACAAATGTTTACTGTGTACCTACTAGGTGCCAAGCAGTTAATAAAACAGAAGTTCTTTTTTTTAATTATCATACTTTAAGTTCTGGGATACATGTGCAGACAGTGCAGATTTGTTCCATAGGTATACACATGCCGTGGTGGTTTGCTGCACCCATCAACCCCTCATCTACATTAGGTATTTCTCCTAATGTTATCCCTCCTCTAGCCCCCCAACCCCCAGCAGGTCCTGGTGTGTGATATTCCCCTCCCTGTGTCCATGTGTACTTATTGTTCAACTCCCAATTATGAGTGAGAACATGCAGCGTTTGGTTTTCTGTTCCTGTGTTAGTTTGCTAAGAATGATGGTTTCCAGCTTCATCCATGTCCCTGCAAAGGACATGAACTCATCCTTTTTTATGGCTGCGTAGTATTCCATGGTGTATATGTGCCACATTTTCTTTATCCAGTCTATCATTGATGGGCATGTGGGTTGGTTCCAAGTCTTTGCTATTGTGAACAGTACTGCAATAAACATACGTGTGCATGTGTCTTTATACTAGAATGATTTATAATCCTTTGGGTATATACCCAGTAATGGGATTGCTAGGTCAAATGGTATTTCTGGTTCTAGATCCTTGAGGAATCACCACACTGTCTTCCACAATGGTTGAACCAATTTACACTCCCACCAACAGGGTAAAAGCGTTCCTATTTCTCCACATCCTCTCCAGCATCTGTTGTTTCCTGACTTTTTAATAATTGCCATTATAACTGGCATGAGATGGTATCTCATTGTGATTTTGATTTGCATTTCTCTAATGACCAGTGATGATGAGGTTTTTTTCATGTTTGTTCAACATAAATGTTGAAGCCACATAAATGTCTTCTTTTGAGAAGTGCCTGTTCATATCCTTAGCCCACTTTTTGGTGGGGTTGTTTTTTTCTTGTAAATTTAAGTTCCTTGTAGATTCTGGATATTAGCCCTTTGTCAGATGAATAGATTGCAAAAATTTTCTCCCACTCTGTAGGTTGCCTGTCCACTCTGATGATACTTTCTTTTGTGGTGCAGAAGCTCTTTAGTTTAATTAGATCCCATTTGTCAATTTTGGCTTTTGTTGCCATTGCTTTTGGTGTTTTAGTCATGAAGTCTTTGTCCATGCCTATGTCCTGAATGGAATTAGCTCGGTTTTCTTCTAGGGTTTTTATGGCTTTAGGTCTTATGTTTAAGTCTTTAATCCATCTTGAGTTAATTTTTATATAAAGTGTAAGGAAGGAGTCCAGTTTCAGTTTTCTGCATATGGCTAGCCAGTTTTCCCAACACCATTTATTAAATAGGGAATCCTTTCCCCATTGCTTGTTTTTGTCAGGTTTGTCAAAGATCAGATGGTTGTAGATGTGTGACACTATTTCTGAGGCCTCTGTTCTGTTCCATTGGTCTATATATCTGTTTTGGTACCAGTACCATGCTGTTTTGGTTACTGTAGACTTGTAGTATAGTTTAAAGTCAGGTAGCGTGATGCCTCCAGCTTTGTTATTTTTGCTTAAGATTGTCTTGACTATAGGGGCTATTTTTTGGTTCCATATGAAACTTAAAGTAGTTTTTTCTAATTCTGTGAAGAAAGTCAATGGTAGCTTGATTGGGATAGCATTGAATCTATAAATTACTTTGGGTGGTATGGCCATTTTCACAATATTGATTCTTCCTATCCATGAGCATGGATTGTTTTTCCATTTGTTTGTGTCCTCTCTTATTTCCTTGAGCAGTGGTTTGTAGTTCTCCTTGAAGAGGTCCTTCATGTCCCTTGTAAGTTGATTCCTAGGTATTTTATTCTCTTTGTAGCAATTGTGAATGGGAGTTCACTGATGATTTGGCTCTCCATTTGTCTATTATTGGTGTATAGGAATGCCTGTGATTTTTGCACATTGATTTTGTATCCTAAGACTTTGCTGAAGTGGCTTATCACCTTAAGGAGAGTTTGGGCTGAGATGATGGGGTTTTCTAAATATACAGTCATGTCATCTGCAAACAGAGACAATTTGACTTCCTCTCTTCCTATTTGAATACCTGTTATTTCTTTCTCTTGCCTGATTGCCCTGGCCAGAACTTGCAATACTATGTTGAATAGGAGTGGTGAGGGAGGGCATCCTTGTCTTGTGCCAGTTTTCAAAGGGAATGCTTCCAGCTTTTGCCCATTCAGTATGATATTGGCTGCAGGTTTGTCATAAATAGCTCTTATTATTTTGAGATACGTTCCATCAATACCTAGTTTATTGAGAATGTTTAGTATGAAGGGGTGTTGAATTTTATCAAAGGCCTTTTCCGAATCTATTGAGATAATCATGTGGGTTTTTTGTCATTGTTTCTGTTTATGTGATGGATTATGTTTATTGATTTGTGTATGTTGAACCAGCCTTGCATCCCAGGGATGAAGCCGACTTGATCTTGGTGGAGAAGCTTTTTGATGTGCTGCTGGATTCGGTTTGCCAGTATTTTATTAAGGATTTTTGCATCAATGTTCATCAGGGATGTTGGCCTAAAATTTTCTTTTTTTGTTGTGTCTCTGCCAGGTTTTGGTATCAGGATGATGCTGGCCTTATAAAATGAGTTAGGGAGGATTCTCTCTTTTTTTATTATTTGGAATAGTTTCAGAAAGAATGGTACCAGCTCCTCTTTGTACCTCTGGTAGAATTTGGCTGCGAATCCATCTGGTCCTGGGCTTTTTTTGGTTGGTAGTCTATTAATTGCTGCCTCACTTTCAGAACTTGTTATTGATCTATTCAGGGATTCGACTTCTTCCTGGTTTAGTCTTGGGAGGCTGTATGTGTCCAGGAATTTATCCATTTCTTCTAGATTTTCTAGTTTATTTGTGTAGAGGTGTTTATAGTATTCTCTGATGGAAGTTTGTATTTCTGTGGGATCAGCAGTGATATCCCCGTTATCATTTTTTATTGTGTCTATTTGATTCTTCTCTCTTTTCTTCTTTATTAGTCTGGCTAGTGGGTCTATCTATTTTCTTAATCTTTTCAAAAAACCAGCTCCTGGATTCATTGATTTTTTGAAGGGTTTTTCATATCTCTATCTCCTTCAGTTCTGCTCTGATCTTAGTTATTTCTTGTCTTCTGCCAGCTTTTGAATGTGTTTGCTCTTGCTTCTGTAGTTCTTTTCATTGTTATGTTACAGTGTCAATTTTAGATCTTTCCCGCTTTCTCCTGTGGGCATTCAGTGCTATAAATTTCCCTCTAAACACTGCTTTAGCTGTGTCCCAGAGATTCTGGTAGGTTGTGTCTTTGTTCCCATTGGTTTCAAAGAACTTATTTATTTATTTCTGCCTTAATTTTATTATTTACCTAGTAGTCATTCAGGAGCAGGTTGTTCAGTTCCCATGTAGTTGTGCTGTTTTGAGTGAGTTTCTTAATCCTGAGTTCTAATTTGATTGCACTGTGGACTGAGAGATTCTGTTCTTTTGTATTTGCTAAGGAGTGTTTTACTTCCACTTATGTGGTTGATTTTAGAATAAGTGCAATGTGGTGCTGAGAAGAACATATATTCTGTTGATTTGGGGTAGAGAGTTCTGTAGATGTCTATTAGATCCACTTGGTCCAGAGCTGAGTTCAAGTCCTGAATATCCCTGTTAATTTTCAGTCTCATTGATCTGTCTAATATTGACAGTGGGGTGTTAAAGTCTCCCACTATTATTGTGTGGGAGTCTAAGTCTCTTTGTAAGTCTCGAAGAACTTGCTTTATGAATCTGGGTGCTACTGTGTTGGATGCATATATATTAAGAATAGTTAGCTCTTCTTGTTGCATTGATCCCTTTACAATTGTGTAATGCCCTTCTGTGTCATTTTTTATCTTTGTTGGTTTAAAGTCTGTTTTATCAGACACTAGGATTGCAACCCCTGCTTTTTTTGTTTTTGTTTTTGTTTTTGCTTTCCGTTTGCTTAGTAAATATTCCTCCATCCTTTATTTTGAGCCTATGTGTGTCTTTGCACATTTGATGAGTTTCCTGAATACAGCACACTGATGGGTCTTGACTCTTCATCCAATTTGCCAGTCTGTGTCTTTTAATTTGGGCATTTAGCCCATTTACATTTAAGGTTAATATTGTTATGTGTGAATTTGATCCTGTCATTATGATGCTAGCTGGTTATTTCCCCCATTAGGTGATGCAGTTTCTTCGTAGTGTCAATGGTCTTTACAATTTGATATGTTTTTGCAGTGGCTGGTACTGGTTTTTCCTTCCCATATTTAGTGCTTCCTTTGGGAACTCTCATAAGCCAGACCTGGTGGAGACAAAAATCTCTCAGCATTTGCTTGTCTGTAAAGGATTTTATTTATCCTTTGCTTATGAAGCTTAGTTTGGCTGGATATGAAATTTTGGATTGAAAATTCTTTTAAGAATATTGAATATTGGCCCCCACTGTCTTCTGGCTTGTAGGGTTTCTGCAGAGAGATCCGCTGTTAGTCTGATGGGCTTCCCTTTGTGGTAACCTGACCTTTCTCTCTGGCTGCCCTTAACACTTTTTCCTTCATTTCAACCTTGATGAATCTGAAGATTATGTGTCTTGGGGCTGCTCTTCTTGAGGAGTATCTTTGTGATGTTCTCTGTATGTCTTGAATTTGAATGTTGGACTGTCTTGCTAGGTTGGGGAAGTTCTCCCGGATAGTATCCTGAAGATTGTTTTCCAACTTGGTTCCATTCTCCTCGTCACTTTCAGGTACACCAATCAAACGTAGGTTTGGTCTTTTCACATAGTTCCATATTTCTTGGAAGCTTTATTCCTTCCTGTTCATTCTTTTTTCTCTAATCTTGTCTTCATGCTTTATTTCATTAAGTTGATCTTCAATCTCTGATATCCTTTCTTCCACTTGATCGATTTGGCTATTGATACTTGTGTACGCTTCACGAGGTTTTCATGCTGTGTTTTTCAGCTCCATCAGGTCATTTATGTTCTTCTCGAAACTGGTTATTCTAGTTTGTTATTCCTCTAACTTTTATTCAAGGTTCTTAGCTTCCTTGCATTGTGTTAGAACATGCTCCTTTAGCTCGGAGGAGTTTGTTATTACCCACCTTCTGAATCCTACTTCTGTCAATTCTTCAAACTCATTCTCCATCTAGTTTTGTTCCCTTGCTGACAAGGAGTTGTGATCCTTTGGAGGAGAAGAGGCATTCTGGTTTTTGGAATTTTCAGCCTTTTTGCACTGGCTTTTTCCTCATCTTCGTGGATTTATCTACCTTTGGTCTTTGATGTTGGTGACCTTCGGATGGGGTTTTCATGTGGACCTCCTTTTGTTGATGTTGATGCTATTCCTTTATGTTTATTAGTTTTCCTTCTAACAGTCAGGCCCTTCTGCTGCAGGTCTTCTGGAGTTCGTTGGAAGTCCACTCCAGACCCTCTTTGCCTGGCTATCACCAGTGGAGGCTGCAGAACAGCAAATATTGCTGTCTGTTTCTTCCTCTGGAAGCTTTGTCTCAGAGGGGCACCCACCAGATGCCAGCCAGAGCTCTCCTATATGAGGTGTCTGTTGACCCCTGCTGGGAGGTGTCTCCCAGTCAGGAGGCACAGGGGTCAGGGACCTACTTGAGGCAGTCTGTCCCTTAGCAGAGCTCAAGCACCATGCTGGGAGATCCACTGCTCTCTTCAGAGCTGGCAGGCAGGAACATTTAAATCTGCTGAAGCTGCACCCACAGCCACCCTTTCCCTCAGGTGCTCTGTCCCAGGAGACGGGAGTTTTATCTATAAGCCCTTGACTGTGGCTGCTGCCTTTCTTTCAGAGATGCCCTGCCCAGAGAGAAGGAATCTAAAGAGGCAGTCTGGCTACAAAGGCTTTGCCGAGCTGTGGTGGGCTCTGCCCAGTTCAAACTTCCTGGCAGCTTTGTTTACACTGTGAGGGGAAAACCACATACACAAGCCTCAGTAATGGCAGACACTCCTCCCCCGACCAAGCTGGAGCATCCCAGGTTGCCTTGAGACTGCTGTGGTGGCAGCAAGAATTTCAAGCCAGCGGATCTTAGCTTGCTGGGCTCCATGGGGATGGGATTCACTGAGCCAGACCACTTGGCTCCGTGGCTTAAGCCCCCTTTCCAGGGGAGTAAATGGTTCTGTCTCACTGGCGTTCCAGGTGCCACTGGGGTATGAGAAAAAATTCCTGCAGCTAGCTTGGTGTCTGCCCAAATGGCTGCGCAGTTTTGTGCTTGAAACCCAGGGCCCTAGTGGTATAGGCACTAAGGGAATCTCCTGGTCTGCAGGTTGTGAAGACCACGGGAAAAGTGTAGTATCTAGGCTAGATAGCACCATCCCTCATAGCACAGTTTCTCATGGCTTCCCTTGGCTAGGGGAGGTAGTTCCCCGACCCCTTGTGCTTCCCAGGTGAGGCGACGCCCCACCCTGTTTCAGCTCACCCTCCGTGAGCTGCACCCACTGTCTTAACCAGTCCCAATGAGATGAGCCATGTGCCTCAGTTGGAAATGCAGAAATCACCCGCCTTCTGCATTGATCTCACTGGGAGCTGCAGACCAGAGCTGTTCCTATTTGGCCATCTTACCAGCCACTAAAACTCTCTTGGAAGTTACATTCTTATTGGGGAAGACCAACAATAACATATGCAAATGTATATGCACATGCACACACGCATACACAGACATACCATAATGTCAGGTCAAGGTAAACGCTAAGAAGAAAAATGAAACTAATTAAAGCATAGAATTTGACAGAGGGATTGGTGTTATTTTGGAGGGTGGTCATACAAAGTCTCTCTGAAAACATTTGAGCAGAAACTGGAATTAAGTGAAAGATCAGATTATAATCATGTCAAGGAAGAACTTCCACACAAATAGAAAGGCAAATGATTAAGATAATTTTCATGCAGAACCAAGGTTCTAGAGAAAATTTTAAATTGAGATCATCAGTGTTAAAAGAAAAATAATTATACCAGAAAGCAATTTTAATTCTATTTTTAGTTAAAGAAGAAAAGACGCTCTGAGCCTAAGTTCAACTTTCATATTTTAGACAGAAGTCACAAAAGCTAATTACGGTCAATCTAGCTGGGCTCAGTGGCTCATGCCTGTAATCCCAACACTTTGGGAGGCTGAGGTGGGTAGATTGCTTGAGCTCAGGAGTTTGAGACCAGCCTGGGCAACACAATGAGACCTCTGTCTCTACAAAAAACTCCCCCCAAAAATTAGCCAGGCATGATGACATGTATCTGCAGTCCCAGCTACTTGGGAAGCTGAGGTAGGAGGATTGATCGCCTGAGTCTGGGAGGCAGAGGTTGCAGTGAGCCAAGATCGTGCCACTGCACTCCAGCCTAAGCAACAAAGTGAGACCATGTCTCAAAAAAAATGAAGTTAATTGTGGTCAATCTTTGAATTAGAAACATAGACTCAAAATAGTGTAGTAAAATAACAAAATGCCACTATTTATAAACAATTTATTTTCATGAAAAGGCAAAGAGACCATTAGTCCGGAGTGAGAATAGCCACTCAGGGCCCCACTCTAAGAACATTCAACAGGAACAATGCAACTACAAGCATCCAATTGGTGGTAAAGGCATTTTACACACATGCACACGTACACAGACACACACACACACTTAGAAAGTTTTACATTCGTTAAGGTGTTTGATAATAGAAAAGGGAAAGATATGCCTTTTTTCCTTGTATTTCCTCCTTATTGAAGTATAGCTTACATTCTTATTTCTGCTCATCAAGAAGCACCAAAGGACTAAAAGAAAAAAGAACTCTGGGGTTGCCCTGTCTTTCCTTTTCCATCTCTATTGCCATTTCTAGCACATGTGGCTGATTAACACAGGAAAGAAACAGGAGTAAGAAAGCCTATGATAACTGATATGCAATAATGTACACATCTCTTAAGAGTATGCTTGTTTAATTTCTGACAAGGCTATGATAACTGATATGCAATAATGTACACATTTCTTAAGAGTATGCTTGTTTAATTTCTAACATGTATATGTTTAACCACCACCCAGATCAAGACATAGAAAATCCATCCCCAGCTTCTCAGAAATCTCTTTCATTCCCCCATCTACCTAAATTTAACCACTATTCTGACTTCTATCAGGATACATTTATTTAGCCTGTATTTTGGACTTCTTACAAATGAAATCACAATAGCATATATTCTTTTTGTGTCTGAGTTCTTTTACTCAGCTGTCTTTCTGTGAAATTCATTCATCTTGCTCTATATAGCAGTAATCATTTATTTCCATTGCTGTTTAGTATTCCATTATATGAATATACTACAGTTTATCCTTTCGATGAACTTTTGGGTTATTTCTTGTTTGGGGTTATTATGGATCAATCTTGGGGTAATTAACATTTTTGTGCATGTCTTTTGGTGAAAATAACCATTTATTTTTGTTGAGTATATATCTAGGATTAAAATTACTGTTTCATAAACTGGGCCATTTACCTAATTTGCAAAGCTCAGTGCAAAATGAAAATGTAAGGTCACTCATTTAAAAAGTGGGGGGAAAAGTGTCATTAAAGATATGAAAACGTAAAGCTTTTTCCTTTTTTCCACTTTCTCTCTCTCTCTCAACTTGTCATGGTATTCTTTTATCTGCAATTTAATGTCATTCTAAGTAGAAAAAAATTAAAATGTTTAAACATTAGCTTGAATTTTACCATTCATTTTGTATTGTACCCAGTGGCAGTTTTAAATACAGATATGAGAGCATTTAACCTGTATGCAGAATCACTAAATTATGTAATTTGTATTCATTAGCTTGTACATGCATCAGCATTTCATTCTTGAAAATGCTACACAGAACTAAGTTAAATATTTTTCTTTCACTTCTTTAAACATGCACATTATGCTAATACTTTCTACATTCAGTTTATTGGTGAAAAAGAAAAACTAAAAGAAAAAAGAACTCTAGGTTGCCCTATCTTTCCTTTTCCATCTCTACTGCCATTTCTAGCCACGTGGCTAATACATGAAAGTAACGGGAGTAAGAAAGGCTATGACAGGATTCATTGGTTTTTTTGCGTGTGTGTTGTTTAAAATGGCATTGCCTTCTCTCTGCATTCAAAGCAAATTCTGGTTCAAATGGAAATGAGGCCTCTCCTGGCTTTCAGAGTCCCCCACTTACCATGTACTCCTTTGAGTCTTATTGAACTCCCAGATACTTGGCTCCAACTAAAATTCTAGGCTCATGGAGCATGGCGAATGCTAGACCTGAATGTAGCAAGGAACAGCAGCAGACACACAAATTGACCTTACCTCCTCTGGGCATGCTCCATGTCAGGCCTCTGAGCCCAAGCTAAGCCATCATATCCCCTGTGACCTGCACATACACATCCAGATGGCCAGCTCCTGCCTTAACTGATGACATTCCACCACGAAAGAAATGAAAATGGCCTGTTCCTGCCTTAACTGATAACATTATCTTGTGAAATTCCTTCTCCTGGCTCATCCTGGCTCAAAAGCTCCCTTACTGAGCACCTTGTACCCCCACTCCTGCCTGCCAGAGAACAACCCCCCTTTGACTGTAATTTTCCTTTACCTACCCAAATCTTATAAAACGGCCCCACCCCTATCTCCCTTTGCTGACTCTCTTTTAGGACTCAGCCCACCTGCACCCAGGTGATTAAAAGCTTTATTGCACCAAACACAAAGCCTGTTTGGTGGTCTCTTCACACGGACGCAAGTGAAATTTGGTGCCGTGATTCGGATCAGGGGACCTCCCTTGGGAAATCAATCCCCTGTCCTCCTGCTCTTTGTTCCATGAAAAAGATCCACCTACGACCTCGGGTCCTCAGACCCACCAGTCCAAGGAACATCTCACCAATTTTAAATCGGGTAAGCGGCCTCTTCTTACTCTCTTCTCCAACCTCTCTCACTATCCCTCAACCACTTTCTCCTTTCAATCTTGTCGCCACCCTTCAATCTCTCCCTTCTCTTAATTTCAATTCCTTTCATTTTCTGGTAGAGACAAAGGAGACACATTTTATCCATGGACCCAAAACTCTGGCGCCGGTCACGGACTCAGGAAGGCAGCCTTCCCTTGGTGTTTAATCATTGCAGGGACACCTCTCTGATTATTAAACCACGTTTCAGAGGTGTCTGACCATGCAGGGACGCCTGCCTTGGTCCTTCACCCTTAGCGGCAAGTCCCGCTTTTCTGGGGGAGGGGCAAGAACCCTGACCCCTTCTCTCCCTGTCTCTACTGCTTCTCTGCTTTTCTGGGGGGCAAGAACCCCCCAATCCCTTATTTCCGTGCCCCGACCTCTTATCTCTGCACCCTGATCCCTTATTTCTGTGCCCCCACCTCTTATCTCTGAGCCCCAACCCCTTATTTCTGTGCCCCAACCCCTTTTCTGCTTTTCTGGAAGGCAAGAACCCCCCAACCCCTTCTCTCCATGTCTCTAACCCTTCTCTGCTTTTCTGGAGAGCAAGAACCCCCCCCCCCAACCCCTTCTCTCCGTGTCTCTACCCCTTCTCTGCTTTTCTGGAGGGCAAGAACCCCCCCCAACCCCTTCCCTCCATGTCTCTACTCTCTCTTTTTTCTGGGCTTGCCTCCTTCACTATGGGCAACCTTCCACCCTCCATTCCTCCCTCTTCTCCCTTAGCCTGTGTTCTCAAGAACTTAAAACCTCTTCAACTCACACCTGACCTAAAACCTAAATGACTTATTTTCTTCTGCAATGCTGCTTGACCCCAATATAAACTCGACAGTGGTTCCAAACAGCCAGAAAATGGCACTTTTGATTTTTCCATCCTACAAGATCTAGATAATTCTTGTCGTAAAATGGGCATTCATAAAATGGGCAAACGGTCTGAGGTGCCTGATGTCCAAGCATTCTTTTACATATTGTTCCCTCCCTACTCTCTGTTCCCAATGTGACTGGTCCCAAATCTTCCTTCTTTCCCTCCTGTTTGTTCTCTCAGTCCCAACTCCAAGCATTGCTGAGTCTTTCTAATCTTCCTTTTCTACAGACCCATCTGACCTCTCCCCTCCTCCCCAGGCTGCTCCTCACAATTCTTCCTCAGCCTCTGCTCCCCATCCCTATAATCCTTTTATCACCTCCCCTCCTCACACCCGGTCCAGCTTACAGTTTTGTTCTGAGACTAGCCCTCCCCCACCTGCCCAGCAATTTCCTCTTAAAAAGGTGGCTGAAGCTAAAGGCATAGTCAAGGTTAATGCTCCTTTTTCTTTATCAGACCTCTCCCAAATCAGTTAGCGTTTAGGCTCTTTCATCAAATATGAAAAACCCAGCCCAGTTCACGGCTCATTTGGCAGCAACCCTGAGACGCTTTACAGTCCTGGACCCTAAAAGGTCAAAAGGCCGTCTTATTCTCAATATACATTTTATTACCCAATCTACTCCTGACATTAAATAAAACTCCAAAAATTAAATTCTGGCCCTCAAACCCCACAACAAGACTTAATCTCACCTTCAAGGTGTACAATAATAGAGTAGAGGCAGCCAAGTAGCAATGTATTTCTGAGTTGCAATTCCTTGCCTCCACTATGAGACAAACCCCAGCCACATCTCCAGCACACAAGAACTCCAAATGCCCGAACCGCAGCTGCCAGGGGTTCCTCCAGAATCTCCTCCCCCAGGAGCTTGCTACAAGTGCCAGAAATCTGGCCACTGGGCCAAGGAATGCCCACAGCCCAGGATTCCTCCTAAGCTGCATCCCATCTGTGCGGGACCCCACTGAAAATCAGACTGTTCAACTCACCTGGCAGCCACTCCCAGAGACCCTGGAACTCTGGCCCAAGGCTCTCTGACTGACTCCTTCCCAGATCTTCTCGGCTTAGCAGCTGAAGACTGACACTGCCCGATTGCCTTGGAAGCCTACAGAACCATCACAGATGCTCTGGGTAACACTCACAGTGGAGGGTAAGTCCGTCCCCTTCTTAATCAATACGGAGGCTACCCACTCCACATTGCCTTCTTTTCAAGGGCCTGTTTCCCTTACCTCTGTAACTGCTGTAGGTATTGATGGCCAGGCTTCTAAACCTCTTAAAACTCCCCAACTCTGGTGCCAACTTAGACAATACTTTTTTAAGCCCTCCTTTTTAGTTATCCCCACCTGCCCAGTTCCCTTATTAGGCTGAGACACTTTAACTAAATTATCTGCTTCCCTGACTATTCCTGGACTATAGCCACATCTCATTGCCGCCCTTCTTCCCAATCCAAAACCTCCTTTGCGTCCTCTTCTTGTATCCCCCCACCTTAACCCACAAGTGTGGGATACTTCTACTCCCTCCTTGGCTACCGATCATGCACCCCTTATCATCTCATTAAAACCTAATCACCCTTACTCCACTCAATGCCTATATCCCATCCCGCAGCACGCTTTAAAAAGATTAAAGCCTGTTATCACTCGCCTGCTACAGCATGGCCTTTTAAAGCCTATAAACTCTCCTTACAATTCCCCCATTTCACCTGTCCTAGAACCAGAGAAGCCTTACAGGTTAGTTCAGGATCTGAGCCTTATCAACCAAATTGTTTTGCCTATCCACCCCATGGTGCCAAACCCATATACTCTCCTATCCTCAATACCTCCCTCCACAACCTATTATTCTGTTCTGTTCTGGATCTCAAACATGCTTTCTTTACTATTCCTTTGCACCCTTCATCCCAGCCTCTCTTCGCTTTCACTTAGACTGACCCTGACACCCATCAGGCTCAGCAAATTACCTGGGCTGTACTGCCGCAAGACTTCACAGATAGCCCCCATTACTTCAGTCAAGCCCAAATTTCATCCTCATCTGTTACCTCTCTCGGCATAATTCTCATAAAACACATGTGCTCTCCCTGCTGATCGTGTCCAACTAATCTCCCAATCCTCAATCTCTTCTACAAAATAACAACTCCTTTCCTTCCTGGGCATGGTTAGATACTGTCGACTTTAGATATCTGGTTTTGCCGTCCTAACAAAACCATTATATAAACTCACAAAAGGAAACCTAGTTGACCCCATAGATCCTAAATCCTTTCCCCACTCCTCTTTCTGTTCCTTGAAGACAGCTTTAGAGACTGCCCCCACCCTCGCTCTCCCTGACTCACCCCAACCCTTTTCATTACCCATAGCCGAAGTGCAGGGCTGTGCAGTCAGAATTCTTACACAAGGACCACGACCACACCCTGTAGACTTTTTATCTAAACAACTTGACCTTACTGTTTTGCCCAGCCCTCAAGTCTGCATGTGGCAGCTGCCACTGCTCTAACACTTTTAGAGGCCCTTAAAATCACAAACTATCCTCAACTGACTCTCTACAGTTCTCATAACTTTCAAAATCTATTTACTTCCTCACACCTGACACATATACTGTCTGCTCCCAGGCTCCTTCAGCTGTACTCACTCTTTGTTGAGTCTCCCACAATTACCACTGTTCCTGGCCGACTTCAATCCGGCCTCCCACATTATTCCTGATACCACACCTGACCCCCATGACTGTATCTCTCTGATCCACCTGACATTCACTCCATTTCCCCATATTCTTTCATGTTCCTTACCCTGAACACACTTGGTTTATTGATGGCAGTTCCACCAGGCCTAATCGCCACTCACCAGCAAAGGCAGGCTATGCTATAGTATCTTCCACATCTATCATTGAGGCTACTGCTCTGTCTCCCTCCACTACCTCTCAGCAAGCCGAACTCATTGCCTTAAGTCAAGCCCTCACTCTTGCAAAAGGACTAAACGTCAATATTTATACTGACTCTAAATATGCCTTCCATATCCTGCACCACCATGCAAGAGGTTTCCTCACTACACCACGGTCCTCTATCATTAATGCCTCTTTAATAAAAATGCTTCTCAAAGCTGCTTTACTTCCAAAGGAAGCTAGGGTCATTCACTGCAAAGGCCATCAAAGGGCATCAGATCCCAGCACTCAGGACAATGCTTATGCTGATAAGATAGCTAAAAAAGCAGCTAGCATTCCAACTTATATCCCTCACTTTCAGTTTTTCTCCTTCATATCAGTCACTCTCACCTACTCCCCCGCTGAAACTTCCACCTATCAATCTCTTCCCACACAAGGCAAATGGTTCTTAGACCAAGAAAAATATCTCCTTCCAGCCTCACAGGCCCATTCTATTCTGTCATCATTTCATAACCTCTTCCATGTAAGTTACAAGCTGCTAGCCCATCTCTTGGAACCTCTCATTTCCTTTCCATCCTATAAGTACATCCTCAAGGAAATCACTTCTCAGTGTTCCATTTGCTATTCTACTACCCCTCAGGAATTGTTCAGGCCTCCTCCCTTTCCTACACATCAAGCTCGGGGATTTGCCCCTGCCCAGGACTGGCAAATTGACTTTACTCACATGCCCCGAGTCAGGAAACTAAAATACCTCTTAGTCTGGGTAGACGCTTTCACTGGATGGGTAGGCCTTTCCTACAGGGTCTGAGAAGGCCACCGCTGTCATTTCTTCCCTTCTCTCAGACATAATTCCTCGGTTTGGCCTTCCCACCTCTATACAGTCCGATAGCAGACCAGCCTTTATTAGTCAAATCAGCCAAGCAGTTTTTCAGGCTCTTGGTATTCAGTGAAACCTTTATATCCCTTATGGTCCTCGGTCTTCAGGAAAGTAGAACGGACTAATGGTCTTTTAAAAACACACCTCACCAAGCTCAGCCACCAACTTAGAAAGGACTGGACAATACTTTTACCACTTTCCCTTCTCAGAATTCAGGCCTGTCCTCAGAATGCTACAGGGTACAGCCCATTTGAGCTCCTGTATGGACGCTCCTTTTTATTAAGCCCCAGTCTCATTCCAGACACCAGACCAACTTGGACTGTGCCCCAGAAAACTTGTCATCCCTACTATCTTCTGTCTAGTCATACTCCTATTCACCGTTCTCAACTACTCATACATGCCCTGCTCTTGTTTACACTGCTGGTTTACACTGTTTCTTCAAGCCATCACAGCTGATATCTCCTGGTGCTATCCCCAAACAGCCACTCTTAACTTTTTTTTTTTTTTTTTTTTTTTTTTTTTTTTTTTTGAGACGGAGTCTCGCTCTGTCGCCCAGGCTGGACTGCGGACTGCAGTGGCGCAATCTCGGCTCACTGCAAGCTCCGCTTCCCGGGTTCACGCCATTCTGCCTCAGCCTCCCGAGTAGCTGGGACTACAGGCGCCCGCCACCGCGCCCAGCTAATTTTTTGTATTTTTAGTAGAGACGGGGTTTCACCTTGTTAGCCAGGATGGTCTCGATCTCCTGACCTCATGATCCACCCGCCTCGGCCTCCCAAAGTGCTGGGATTACAGGCGTAAGCCACCACGCCCGGCCAACTCTTAAAGTAAATAAATAATCTTTGCTGGCAGGACTATGCTGAATCTCCTTAAGCACTCTCTAATTAGATATCCTGGGTCCTCCCAATTCTCAGACCTTTAATACCTGTTTTTCTCCTCTTATTCCATTTAGTTTTTCAATTCACACAAAACCGTATCCAGGCCATCACCAATAATTCTAAATGACAAATGTTTCTTCTAACAGTCCCACAATATCACCTCTTACCACAAAATCTTCCTTCAGCTTAATCTCTCCCACTCTAGGTTCCCACACCACCCCAATCCCGTTTGAAGCAGCCTTGAGAAACATTGCCCATTCTCTCTCCATACCATCCCCCCAAATTTTCGCCGTCTCAACACTTTACCACTATTTCATTTTATTTTTCTTATTAATATAAGAAGACAGGAATGTCAGGCCTCTGAGCCCAAGCTAAGCCATCATATCCCCTGCGACCTGCACGTACACATCCAGATGGCCAGCTCCTGCCTTAACTGATGACATTCCACCACAAAAGAAATGAAAATGGCCTGTTCCTGCCTTAACTGATTACATTATCTTGTGAAATTCCTTCTCCTGGCTCATCCCAGCTCAAAAGTTCCCCTACTGAGCACCTTGTGACCCCCACTCCTGCCTGCCAGAGAACAACCCCCCTTTGACTGTAATTTTCCTTTACCTACCCAAATCTTATAAAACAGCCCCACCCTTATCTCCCTTCGCTGACTCTCTTTTCGGACTCAGCCCGCCTGTACCCAGGTGATTAAAAGCTTTATTGCTCACAAAAAGCCTGTTTGGTGGTCTTTTCACATTGGTGGTCTCTTCACACGGATGCAAGTGAAACTCCACATTCTCATAATATTACAAAAACAAGTTTAAAAATAAAATTATTAAGAGTTTCAAGACATGGATAGGTAAGCATTAAACCACAAACAAAGCTCTTCGGAGTTTGGGACCCTGAGCGACTGTACAGATTGCTTGCCCATTATGCTGGCTCCATCTGGAAAATCATTTGTTTTCTGATTTAACCAGTTTAACCAATTTAACACCAGCAATGTAAGAATGTTCTAGATGTTCCAATGTCTCACCAGCACTTGGTATTGTTTAACCATCAAAACGGGAGTGTATTAGTATCTCCTTGTGGTTTTAACTTACATTTCCCTGATGACCAGTGATGTAGAGAGGCCTGTTTTCTATTTTGATATCTTCTTTTGTAAAGTATCTGTTCAAAGTTTTGCCCATTTTTATAGTGGATTGGTGTATCTTTTTCTTGCTGATTTGTAAGAGGTATATTATCTGCTTTCTTTTGACATACATATGTATTGCAAGTATCTTCTGACCTCTACTCTTTCACTCTCTTAATGGTGTGTTTTGGTAATCAACAGTTGTTAATTCTAATGAAATCTAATTTACTAATCTGTAGCTTTATAATAAATTTTGATATCTTGATGTAAGTTGCCCAATCTTATTTTTTCTTTTTTTTTTTTCTTTTTTTTTTTTTGAGACAGGGTCTTGCTGTGTCACCCAGGCTGGAGTGCAGTGGCACGATCTTGGTTCACTGCAACCTCTGACTCCTGGGCTCAGGTGATTCTCCCACCTCAGCCTCCTGAGTAGCTGAGATTACAGGCACACGCCACCATGCCCGGGTAATTTTTATGTTTTTAGTAGAGACAGGTTTTTGCCGTGTTGCCCAGGCTGGTCCAAACTTACTTTTCTTCTTCAAGATTATCTTGGTTCTTCTAGGCCCTATTTTAAAATTAAAAGCCCCCAAATAACCCGTGTGCTAACCTAGCATTTTCAAAACTCTTCAGGCCTTAATTCCTTAAATTACCCAGAAAAGAGAACTATGCTACATCTGAGGTGAAACCAGACTACCTCTGGATTTGAACTAAAGCAAACTGTTAATATTGTGCTTTGTTTTTCCATACCACAAAAGAGGAATCTTTAGTTTCTTTTCACATACTCTAGCTAATTAGCATCCCTGGCAGGTACAACCACCAGCTGAATTATTATCAACAGTTGTTGCATTGAGAATTTTTTCAGTGATCGTGAATGCCAAGGTCATTCAACACTTGCAAGGATTTTCATCTTCTTTATGACCATCATTTTTTATGGTACTGACTGAAGTAACTTCTGCAACTATTTATAAACCCTCCTAGAAGCCATTGTTTCTGTTGTCAGCAGTAATGTTTCCATAGTAGTTCTCAACCTGAAAATAGAAAAGAAATGATGAAACAACATTACAAATCCTTGAGTTAAAAAAACTTCTTTGAGATTAAGTGAAAATTACCTAATATCCAGAGTATATGTATATATAAAGCGTAGTGTTCTGCATAATATATGTTATATATGATGCATATATATTCTTCCAGTTTGCAGTTTGTCTCTTCTCTCTTTTAGTGTCTTTTCATGGCAGAAATTCTTTATGTTAATGTAATCAGACTGTCAATCTTCTGATTTATGGCTAGACTTTTTATGTCTAAGAAACACTCTCTGACCCCAGGGTCATATAGATGTTCTACTATCTGGTCTTTGAAAATCTTCCTTCGCATTTAGCTCTTATATTGGCTTGTTAGGGCCGTAATAACAAAGTACCACAAACTGAGTGGCTTAAATAACAGAAAGTGTCTGACGTTTTGAGGGGCTACAAGTCTGAAATCAAGGTTTTGGCAGAATTGGTTCCTTCTGAGGCCTATGAGAAAAAATCTGTTCCGTGTCTCTCTCTCTCTCCTGGCTTCTGGTGGTTTATCAGGAGTCTCTGGTGTTCCTTAGCTTACAGACACATCGCCCCATCTCTGCTTTTATGTTCATGTGACATTGTCCCTATGCATGTGTCTGTATCCAGATTTCCCCTGATTATAAGGACACAGTCATTTGGATGAAGGGCCCACCCTACTCCAGTATGACCTCATCCTAACTTCACTGATTACATCTGCAATAACCTTATTTCTGAATAAGGTCATATTCTGAGGTACTGGGGGTTACGACTTCAACATTTGAATTTGGGGGGACATCATTCAACCCACAACAGCTCTTTAATTTACTTAAATTATTTTGAAGGTGATGTAAAATAAAGTACATACCCAGTTTTCCCAGAACCACTCACTGAAAATCCTGTCCTTTCCCCACTAATCTGAAATGTCCCTTTCACTTATCAAATGTCCCTAAATTTGGGACTCTATATACTGTTTCATAGATCTTTTTGTCTACCACAATGTCTGAAGGTAATTTTATAAGTCTTGTTATGTGTAAGGGAAACTCTCCCTCTCTAAACTTTTTCAAAAACGCCTTGATTATTTTTAGACCTTTGCAATTCCACTCAAATTTTATAATCACTTTGTCAAGTTTCATAAAAATCTGTTACAATGTTGTTGGAATCGTATTACATCTGTAACCTAATTTTGAGAGATATTGAGTCCTCAGTCCATAACCACAATCCATATCCCTCCATTTAAAAAGGCCTTCTTCAAAGTCACTCAATGAAAGTTCATACATTTTCCTATAAAGATCTTGTATGTCTTAGATATTTTTCACGTTATTACAAAATAGTACTTTTATTTCATTTTAACTATGTATTATTGGCGTGCAATTGCTTTGAGGACATTGAATGCATGAATAGAATCCTATAAACTCTCACATTCATATTTGTAAATTACCCAGAGATACTTTTCCACTGTCTGTGCATATAATCATATTATCTATGAAAGATAACAATTTTATCATCATTTCTAATTCTTATGACTTTCTTTCTTTTTCTTCCCTGCCATAATGGCTGGGACATCCAGCATAATATTGAATTCAGAAGGAATGACAGGAGACACACTTGGTTTATTCCTGACCTTAAGGAGATACTTTCAGTATGTCATCATTAAGTATATGCTCATGAAGCATTAAGATCTTCATTATTAGATGAAGGAAGTTGACTTCTATTCAGAAGTTGCCAGATTTTTTTTTTGTTTTGTCCTATTT
This sequence comes from Homo sapiens, assembly GCF_000001405.40. Lineage (NCBI taxonomy): Eukaryota > Metazoa > Chordata > Mammalia > Primates > Hominidae > Homo > Homo sapiens. The sequence continues at coordinate 137,057,141 of NC_000006.12, read as the reverse complement.
AAATAGACATCTGATTTTTCTCCTTTATTTGTATTTGTAGTGAATTACAACTACTGATTTTTCTAATGTTAAAACAACTTTACATTTGTTGAATAAACGCTGTTTTGTTATGATGGATTCGCATCCATTTTCTCAGTGTAATTTTTTGGCAATGCTTTATGGAGCTGTAATTCACATATCATGCAATGTATTCATGTGAAGTGTGTAACTCAGTGGTTTTTAGCATGTTTGCAAAATTGAGCTACCATCATCACAATCAATTTGGGAATATTTTCATTACCCCAGAAAAAAAACTCTACTGTTTAGCCGTCACCCCCAAACCACTCTCAACCACCACCTGCCCCAGCGCCTGAAAGCAACTAATCTATTGTCTGTCTCTATAAAATTGCCTATTATGGACATTCCATATAAATAGAATTTATTTCATATAAATAGAATGTGTGGCCTTTTGTGACTGGCCTCTTTCACTTAGCATATGTTTTCAGGGCTAATCCATCCATGTATCCATACTCCATTCTTTTTGACAAATAATGTTTTATTGCATGGATACGCCTCATTTTATTTATCCATTCATCAGTTGATGGACATTTGGGTTGTTTCCAATTTGGGGCTATTATAAATAACATTGCTATGAATATTTGTGTACAAGTGTTTGTGTGGACATGTATTTTCTTTTCTCTTTGTTAGATACCTAGGATTGGAAGTGCTGGGTCATATCATAGCTCTTTGTTTAACCATTTTAGTAACTGACACACTGTTTTCCAAAGTGGCTGACTCATTTTATAGGCTCACCAGCAGTGTATGAAGGCTTTGATTTCTCTACATCCTTGACAATATTGTTGTCTTTGTTATTATAATATGGCACTTTTACCCTCATGGGTATGAAGTGTGGGTTTCACTGTGGTTTTAAACTGCATTTTCCTGATGAGTAATGATGTCAAGCTTCTTCTCCTGTGCTTATTAGCCATTTGTAGATCTTCTTTGGAGAAATGTCTTGTCAAGCCCTGTGCCCATTTTTTACTTGAGTTATTTGTCATTTCATTATCAAGCTATAAGAGTTATTTATATATTTTAGAATCAAGTCTCATTAGACATACGATTTCCAAATATTTTCTGTCATTCATTTGGTGTCTTTTCACTGTTTTGGTGGTGTTCTTTGAAGTGCAATAATTTTTAATTTTGATAAGTACGATTTACCTATGTTTTAAATTTTGATAAGTACAATTTACCTAGTTCTCTTTAATTGCTTGTGATTTTTCTGTCATATTTAAGAAACCATTTTCCTACTCAAGGTCATGAAGTTTATCTTATATTTTCTTCTAGGGGTTTTATAACTTCAGCTCTTACACTAGGTCTTTGATCTATTTTGAGTTAATTTTTGCATATAGTTTATGAGACAAAGTTCAAAGAATTTTACTCTTTGGCCATGGATATACAGTGTTCTGCATCATTTGTTGAAAAGACTACCCTTTTTCCATTGAATTGTGTTGGTGCCCTTGTCAAAAGTCAATTGACCATAAATTATTATTCTTTTGAAACTCTCATTATATGTCATTGATGTATATGTCTGTCCTTATGTCACTGCAACATTAGCTTGGTAGTAAGTTTTGAATCAGGAAACTTGAGTCCTCCAACTTTGCTCTTTAAGATTATTTTGACTATTCTAGCTCCCTTAAATTTCTATATGAACTTTAAGATTAACTTGTCAATATCTGCAAAGAAACCAGCTGGTATTTTGTTAATGATTGCATTGAATCTGTAGATCAATTTGGGGAGTATTACCATATTATCAATATTAAATCTTCCAACTTATAAGCATTGAATTCTTTCCATTTATTTAGATCTTCTTTAATTTCCTTCAGCAATGGTTTTTAGTTTTTGTAGTATAAGTTTGTGCTTCTTTTACTAAATTTATTCCTCAGCATTTTATAGTTTTTGATACTATATTTTGAGTGGAATTGCATTCATTTTCTCATTGTTTGTTGCAACCATGTAAAAGAACAATTGGTTTTTGTATACTGATCTTGTATCTTTCAACTTTGCTGAACTCATTCATTAGTTCTAATAGTTTCTTAATGGGTCCCTCCAGATTTTCCATATACATGATCTACATCTAAGAGTATGTCATCTGTGAATAGAGATAGTTTTACTTCTTCCTTTTCATGCCTTTTATTTATTTTTCCTGCTGAATTGCCCTGTCTGAAACCTCCAGTACAATACTAAACAGAAGGGTTGAGTGTGGACATCTCATCTTATCTTCATTTTATAGGGAAAGCATTCAGTCTTTCACTACTAATTGTGATCTTAGCTGTTTCTTCACACATGCCATTTATCAGGTTGAAGAATCCATTTTATTTTTAGTTTCTTGAGTATTATGAAGGGGTGCTAGACTTTTTCAAATGCTTTTTCTAAATCTATGGAGACAATCATGTCTGTGGTTTTTGTCCTTTGTTCTGTTGATATGGTATATTATATTAATTGATTTTGGGATATTAAACTAACTTTGCATTGCTCAGCTAAATCCCACTTAATCATAATATATAATCTTTTCTATATGTTGGTGGATTCAGTTTGCTAGTATTTTGTTGAGGATGTTTGTGTCTATATCCGTAAGGAATATTGATGTGTAGTTTCATTTTATTATTATATCTGTGTCTGGTTTTGGTATTAGAGTAACACTGGCCACTTAGAATGAGTTAAGAAGTGTTCTCTTCATTTTTCCAAGTGTCTATGAGAGACCGATAGTCATTCCTCTTTAAATGTTTGGTAGAATTCACCAGTGAAGCCATCTGGGCCCAGGACATTTTTAAGATGCCTTTCCACGTACATTTTATGAATAAGTTCGTCTATGTCTAAAAGATAATCTTGCTAGGATTGTGATAGGAATGGAATTAAACCTATTCTTTCTTTAGAAAGAATTGTCAGCTTTACAAAACTTTTTTTAAAAATTAAAAAGAAAACAAAGAATTTACAACCTTGATTTTTAAATGTATTAATTCATTGAGTACTTACATTACTGTGCAGTGGTATAGTTATACATGATTGATATATTTGAATATTTGAATAACCATGCCTTGGTATACTAAGTAAATAAAGAAGTACTTAACTGAATTATCAAAACTAACACCGAAACTTTACATTTCACTTTAAATGTATAAATCCTTTTTATGCAAATCTCTCTTAGGTTTAGCTCATATTAATTCAATACACAGAATAAGAAAACAACTGATGAAAGAAGAAGAAAAGTTAGAATATATGGATGATAAACAAGATATGACTCTGACTTTCAAATAATAGCTAATTTGTCCCTTTCCAAGTTATTTCATATCCTGTACAGGATAGTTGAACACTGAAATGGAGATGTGAGGATTTCAGAAAGGGAGTGTGTCTGCACATAGATGTGTGTGTATTTTCTGTGTGGGTGCATATACATGCTGGTTAAGAAACAGACCCTTTGGATTTGCAGCTTAAAATATATAGAAAAAAACTTCAGAGAAGTTTTATTTGTTTTAACAAAATTCATCGGGAATGTACTACATTCCCAGCATTACACTAGACACTGGAGATATAAAAAAGAACAAGGCCGGGCGCCATGGCTCACGCCTGTAATCCCAGCACTTTGCGAGGCTGAGGAGGGCAGATCACCTAAGATCAGGAGTTCAAGACCAGCCTGGCCAACATGGTGAAACCCTGTTTCTACTAAAAATACAAAAAAATTAGCCAGGTATAGGCATGGGCACCTATAATCCCAGCTACTCTGAAGGCTGAGTCAGGAGAATCACTTGAACCTGGAAGGCAAAGGTTGCAGCGAGCCAAGATCACGCCATTGCACTCCAGCCTGGACAACAACAGCAAGACTCCATCTCAAAAAAAAAAGAGAGAGAGAACAAGGCATAGTTCTTGCCCTCAAGAAGTTCACAGTCTAATAGCCATATATGTAACCACTTCAATATAGTGCTATAAATACATATATAACTGATACATATTTTTGACATTATCAGAACTGTGTGATATATACAGAATACATATAACAGTGGCACAAAGGAGCCACGAGAAACACTGGAAATAATGCAAGAAATATACTGAAGATGAAGATGGAAGGATATAATGCTTGAGTAGAGCCACAGAAGTCTTGGAGAACTCCCAGACTTTTCACTTGGGTAACAGAAAATATAGACACTGTACAGATGAGTTCAGCTTGGAACAAGTTGAAATTTAGGTACATAGGACTTACAAGTAGAGCTGGGGAATTAAGAGAGGGATTTCTAGAGCTCAACAAAGAGGCCTAGATTGGAGATTGAAAACTGAAATTGGCCTGGTGCAATGCCTCATACCTGTAATCCCAACACTTTGGGAGCCGAGGCAGGAGGACCACTTGAGGCCAGGAGTTCAAGACCAGCCTGGGCAACATAGCAAGACTCGTCTCTACAAACATAAAAATAAAATTTAAAAGTTAGCCAGGCGTGGTGGCACAGACCTGTAGTCCTGGCTACTCGGGAGGTTGAGGTGGGAGGACTGCATGAGCCCAGGAGTTCAACGCTGCTGTGAGGTATGATTGTGCCACTGCACTCCAGCCTGTGCCACAGACATTGTACCCACCCCCACCAAAAAAAAAAATTGAAATCACCCATGGAAATATTGTAGAGTGAGAAGAAAAGTGAATAAAAAGACAAAACTGAAGAACTCTAATGTGTAGGGGATTGTTACAGCAAGAGGAACCTAGGGAGAAAATCCAGATGCCACTGATTGTTTATTATAAAGGTAGTCTGTGGCTGCCTGGGGATAGGGCTGGGGGTGGGGGTGGATGTCAGTGAAGTTCACAGAGGCCATCACAGGTGTATTCCCCAGGAAGCAGACTCTGAGGTAGACTTTAGTATGTACGGTGTTACTGGGGAGGGCCCTTGTGATAAACACCTGCTGGAGGGAGGAAAAGGAAGCAAGAGTGGATGCAGGTGAGCTGTGAGGAAGGTTCAGCAACAGCCTTGGCCAAAGGAGCTCTGGACTTAGAATGGACAGAATTGCCCCAAGTTGGACCAAGATGACTAGGTCTTCATTGTCCCATATCTGATTAGTCATTGGAACTGAGCCTTGGAAAGGGACCTGACCTTGGGTGAGTCAGTTCCCAGCCACTCAGAGAGTCCTTGAAAAGGCTGACAGCTGGAGGCTTCTAATATTAGCACTCCCAGGAGCTTGGACAACAAATCCGTCTTTGAAGTGGGGTCTGGGTGGTGCATCATAGTGTCTAACACAGAGACCAAGGCCACACTGTTTGGATAGAGTGGAATTGAGAATTAATCCATATATGACACCAGAGCCGTGCAGTTTCCTCAACATTAGGCCATCAGTTGGCCCATAACCCATCCTCCATTTGTTCATTAAAGGATGGAGAGATGAAGAGTCTGTCACTGTTTGAACTCTCACTTGGGGGCCAGATAAATGCTTATTTGGAATTTGGGTAAACTGAAGGGGCCATTTCTGTAGTTATTTGACTCTTCCTCTATTCTTTAGGCATCAAGAAAAGAGTAAGTTTCTTTGCTTTCAGCCATATATATATACCTGTCTATATAAAAATGACCCATCTTTTAAGAAATTGTTTCTCCTTGGTTTCCTCCAGATTAAAGCACACAGAAACTTTCTCTCTTTCTCTCTCTCTCTCTCTCTGTCACACACACACACACACACACAAACACACACACACACAGAGTACCTTCATATTCTGCAATTTCCAAACAATGGAATACCATTCTCCAATAAAATAAACCAGGGTTCCATGGAAAAATAGCTGGTTTTAAGGCTAGCAGAGATAAATTCAAGACGAGGCTGGAGTCTCTTACATTACCAGAAAGTAAGGAAGTGCTCAGGACAAATCAAAACAGGATGGGGGTGTATCAAGGCAACACAGGTGTCAACCTGAAAGAGCTCACAATGGCAAAAGCTGGAACAATTTGAGCAAGAAAATAAAGAATGTAGCATTGGACTATAACCCAAAGTATAAAATAAATACATTTGAGTCCATATTAATTTAAATAAATGATTTAAATAAATCAATAAGTAAATAGGGAGAAGAGAAGGGACAGATCTTCCTTGCAGAAGATTTCCAAATAACATACAAAGTTATTTCCTCCCTTCAGAAGGGGGAGCTTAATTTTGGCCACCACCACTGTCCCTCCCCAAGGGTAGGTTAGACTTAATGACTGTCTTCTAAAATACAGAGTAGGAAAACGTAAAACAATACCTTTACAGTACAGAAACCTGGCAAACACTTCCTTAAGCAAGTGATGAAGGTTAACATCATTATCAATGTCATGTGATGTCATATACTCTTGATATGATATGATTAAAAAAAGCACTTCACCTCTGTGATACTTTTTTAAGAAACCATTAACTTCAGTCTAATCATGAGAAAAAACATCAAACAAACCCAGACTGGGGCACATTCTATAGGACATCTGGCCAATACGCCTCAAGACTGTCAAGGTCATTAAAAAAAAAGGAAAACCTGAGAAACTATCAGACCAAAGACTGAGAAGACATGCCGACTAGATGTAGCATGGTACTCTGGATTGGATCCTGGAACAAAAAGAGAAAAACTAGAGAAATCCAGGCCAGTTGTGGTGGTTCACCTGGGGAGGCTGCAACAGGTGGATCACTTGAGATCAAGAGTTCAAGACCAGCCTAGCCAACATGGTGAAATCCCCCATCTCTACTAAAATACAAAAATTAGCTGAGCATGGTGGTGGGTGCCTGTAATCCCAGCTACTTGGAAGGCTGAGGCAGGAGAATCACATGAACCCTGGAGACAGAGGCTACAGTGAGCAAGAGATGATGCCACTGCACTCCAGCCTAGGTGACAGAGTAAGACGCCATCTCAAAACAAAAAAAAAAAAGAAGAAGAAGAAAAACTAGAGAAATCTAAATAAAATCTAAAGTTTGCTTAACAGTAATGTGCCAATGGAAATGGAAGTTTCTTAGTTTTAAAAATTTACCACGGTGATGCAACTGTGTGAGGAGTGTACAGAAACTCTGCACTACTGCCTTTGAAACTTTTCGGTATACAAGTACAACATTAAAAAACTAAAAAGCTCCTTTTGTTAAAACATGGTATTGATGCAAAATGGACAAACAGACCAAAGAGTAGACATCTAAAAATGACCCAATACATATATCTTCAATAGATTTTCAACAATAATGGCTAAAGCAATTTAATGTGGAACGAAAGTCTTTTTAACAAATAGTACAAAAACAGTAAGACATCTATTTGGAAAAAAAATCTCTACTCTTTTCTCATACCATATACAAAAATTAGCTCAATGTATTGCAGACCTAATTATAAAAGCTAAAACTATAACATTTCTAGGAAAAGCCATCTTTCTTTCAACCTTGGGATACACAAAGACTTCTTAGACGAGACACCACAATCATAACGAAAAAAAGTGAAAAACTTGACTGTATCAATATTAAAAACTTTTGCTCTTGCAGACATCATTGTAAAAATGAAAAGGCAAGTGATGAAGTGGGCAAAAATATTCGCAACGCACATATCTGACAAAGAACTTGTACCCAGAATACATAAAGGACACCTACAACTCAATAATGAAACAACCCAAATGTCTATCAACCGGAGAATGGGCAATCAAATGGAGTATATTCAAATAATGAGACGTCAGGGAAACATGAATATTTTCACGTTTCTGGATGGTTTGTCTCCCTGAGCAAAGAAAATTGGCATGCCATAGACTGTCTCCTCTTCCACAGAATCATTTGCTCCTCACATTGCAAGGGTGTTAGATCTGGAGCCATCTGGTCTCATTCAGAGAGTAATAAAATTTATCTCCCCACCATAGCCAAATGTTTATATTCCAGGGTAGGTACTTTCCCCTTTGCCTTCCTGAGAGAATTAATTTACTTTCCAAGAAATCTGTTGACATTAGGGAGCTAGGGTTTTTCTTCCTCTCTCAGAAGAAGACAGTGGCAACTAAGTGGTGTGTAACCTATATAAACTCAATATTAGATTGTCTTTTTATTTTGTTTTTAATTTGTTTGAAGCAATTCATTACATATGCTGAATATTAGGCCTTTAGCAATTATATTCATGCTGTTTTACAGTTCAGACCTCAAAAACCAGTAAGATATCTATATGGAAAAAAATTAATCTTTACTCTTTCCTCATATACAAAAATTAGCTCAATGTATTGTAGACCTAATTATAAAAGGTAAATCATAACATTTTCTCAAGTGTAAGAGGCATATAAGGAAATTATTAAAAGCACAAACTTTGAAAATAGATGAACCAGCATTCAGTTTCCAGTTTCTGTTGCTTATTAAACGAATGACCTGTCCAAGTCTGTCTCCTTGTTTTGAAACTTGGGGTAATGTAACTAACTCTCAGAATTGTTGTAAGGATTGAAGGAGGTAGTTAGGAAATTTAAATTTCTTAGGTAGGATCTGACTCAAAGAAAGAATTCAGTAACTTCGTATTATTAGTATGTATTATCCTTGGAAACTATTTAGTAATTAAACTAGGATAGAAAAAAATTATTTTTTGCCTGTGGTATTAGTGTTTGGGGTGGGAGGTAAGGAGTAGTGGTTTATGGCCTTTTTCATCGGGAAGCCTGGAAATCCTATACATCAGGTTCCACAAAATTAAGATCTCAATGTGGTAAATCATGGCAAGAGGAGTTGCAAAGTTGAGAAGTAGAAGAAAACCTCAATTCGAAAACATCATTTCAAAAGTCTCTGAAGAACACACTGAAGATTATATTGCCTGGGAGGCTTAGATGGGGAGGAACCAAGACTGCTGCTTCCCAAAGTTAGCAGAGGGGGGTAAGAGGTTAGATTTGAAGATACTAAGGAAACTCACTAAGGTGAGTTCTGGGTCACAGATGCAAACAAAAGAAAAACTGACTCCACTCTTTATTTCAATGCATGGGAAACATCAACTGAATACATGGCAAGTTCTCAGGTCACACTCATCCTGTAGAACCCTAGCCATTCTGAGGACAGAGTGGTGAGTTTGTGAACACGTAAAAGACAAGCCTTAGAGGTAAAATTTTGACTGCCTTCTGACAAGTGCCAAGGGGAACTTGAAGAGGAAAGGAGAGAGGGGACGAGAGGCATGCAGAAAACTGTTTGTTCTCAGACAATTGACAGCCCACTCATGGGGGAAGAAACTCCAAGTCGCAGTTACTCCATCCCCTACCCCGTTCCCACTTTCCAGCTGGAGGAAAAACTTGGTGAAATAATGAAATGTCACTGTTCAAGTTCAGAAGACTTAGGAGATAAGGGAAGGCTTTGTATAGGTCTGCTTTAGCCTCTTGAAGGGTCTGAACGATTCATATTTGAATAGAAATGCATACAAAATTTAGATATCCAAAAATGATTGGCCCCAAACACTTTTGTAGCAAATATTTACCCTATTTAACCCACAAGACTTAAGATGATAATGATGAAAGTAAACTAATACAATTTATAATCAAAAAGTAAGAACAACAGCAACTCAAGATAATATTGATAATGTACTGATCACACAGAGTCCTTCCTAAAACGTTCTGGGATTACAATGGAATCAATAAGAGTCCAGTTGGGAAAACAGAAACCACACTAGTTATTTCAACAGAAAGAATTTGCTGTAAGGAATTGGTTAAACAGATGTTGGAGTACTAAAAAAGTAAAGCAGGAATACTGAGATTGAAAGAGACAGAGTGACTACTAGAAGCAACTACCACCGTCAGGGTTAAAGGAACACAGGGCAGACGTGGGGTTCAGATCCCAGAAGCGAAGCCTCCAGGAAACTGGGACTCAGACCTCTGAGAATGGGGCATAGCCTACTCAGTGCTGGTATTTCTCAGGAGATGCAGTGAAGCTGATTCTGGGAGTACAGGAAGAAGCTGGGAACTAGAAACAATTGCTCCTAGAACTAGCTGTCCCTGCCAGGGTAAAGAGGCACTGTGGGGCCTTAGTGACAAGAACAGCAAACAAATAGGAAGCAAGTCCCTTCTTTCCTCATCCAGCTTTCAGGATTCCTTCAGGGCCCCTTTTGGTGGAAAGGAAAAGAACCAGCTAACAAACAAGAAAAGTGGTTTGAAGAGGCCTCACGTCAGCACCACGAAGCTAACATCCCAGCCTAAGGGGCCCTCTGACCCAGATTCCTCCTCTGTTTCCAAGTCTTTCAGGAAGGAAAAAGTAGCATACTTAGGCGACTCAGAAAATCCTGCCCCATCTTCTATCTCCTTACTCCCTCCTCACCAAAAAAGATCTTTTTTAATACTGAAGACCCCCTTTAAAAAGAAAAAGAAAAAGAAAAAGAAAACAATAGTTGCTCTAATTTGAGTGTCGTTTCCCTTTATTGGAGCATTTGAAAACAGACATTTAAGGGCAAAAGAGATGGAACACATCTGAGGTAAATCGTGTATCTATCTTCAGGCTGTGCCCAACCTTTAGAACCACCTAGAAAGGTACAAAGCTGAGAGCCTCTCTCAGATTTTTCATATAGTATTTCAAGACTCACCTCTTAATTGCACCCTTCCCCCCTCCCATTATAAAGAGCATGGAACCTAGGACCCACCGCCTTGTGTGGAAGTCCACACACCACTGGTCACAGGCCACTCACAGGTTTGGGGGACTTCATGATGATTCCTAGACTTTCTGAGTTTCCCTTGCCTCATCTGAAAAAAGGGCCAGGACCTAACTGCAGGTTGTGAGAGTTGAATGAAATCAAATAACAACTTTTCAGTCAGTGACAGACTGCATATACAAAGGTGGTCTCATACGATTATAATAGAGCTGAAAAAATTCCTATTGTCTCTAAAGACCTTCCAGGAGGACAGGATGTGAGGTGGCATCAGTGGCACTGACAATCCTGACCCTGTGCAGGCCTAGGCTAATGTGTGTGGTTGTGCCTTAGTTTATAACAAAAAAGTTTAAAAAGTAAAGAAAAAATAAAGAAAAAGAAAAATTTAAAAATAGAAAAAGCTTATAGAAAGAATACAAAGAAAAAATATTTTCATACTGCTGCACAATGTGTTTGTGTTTTAAGTCAAACGTTATTACAAGTCAAAAAGTTTAGGTCGGGTGTCGTGGTTCACGCCTGTAATCCCAGCACTTTGGGAGGCCAAGGAGGGTAGATCACCGGAGGTCAGGAGCTCGAGACCGGCCTGGCCAACATGGCGAAACCCAGTCTGTACTAAAAATACAAACAAATTAGCCGGGCGTGGGGGCACACACATGTAATCCCAGCTACTCTGGAGGGTGAGACAGGACAATCATCAAAACCGGAAGGCAGAGGTTGCAGTGAGCCGAGATCGCACCACTGCACTCCAGCCTGGGCTACAGAGCAATGCTCCATCTCAAAAATAAATAAATAAATAAAGTTTAAAAGATTTAAAAGTAGAAAGTAAAAAATCATAGTAAGCTAAGGTTAATTTATTATTATTGAAGAAATAATTTTTTAATAAATTTAGCATAGCCTAAGTGTAATACAGTGTTTATACAGCCTATAGTAGTACACAGTGATGTCCTAGGCCTTCACATTGACTCACCACTCACAGACTCAGCCAGAGCGACTTCCAGTCCTGCAAGCTCCATTCATGGAAAGTGCCCTATACAGGTGTACCATTTTTAAAATCTTTCATACTGTACTTTTGCTGTACCTTTTCTACGTTCAGACATGTTTAGATACACAAATATTTACCATTGTGTTACAATTGCTTGCAGTATTCAGTATGGTCACTTGCCGTACAGGTTTGTAGCCTAGGAGCAAACAACAGCCTGTACCATATAGCGTAGGCGTGTAAGAGGCTATACCATATAGGTGTGAGTACACTCTAAGATGTTCACACAAGAAACTCGCCTAAGACATTTCTCAGGAGGTAATCCTGTCATCTTAAATGATGCATGACTGTAAGATCTACGGCTGAGTGCCTAACTGTATATCGAGAAATAACGCTCTATTTCATCCGTCTTCCGATATTGAACTTTAACTGACCATCAGACCGGCCTGAATACCAGAATCTCTTTGCAATGCACTCGCCTCGCTCATTACCAGAAGGAGGTTTTACCTGCCTAGTGACCTGGTTGGTCTGGGCATGAACCCCGAGAGGTGGAAACTCTCAGACTCTCAGGACTGACAGCCGAGTGGCTGGGGACTATAAATCCGCGAGAACTGCCCTCGCGCTGCCATCCAGCTGGGTAGCCGGGGGAGCGCGCGTGGGGGCTCCGCGAGTCGCTCGCCCTTGGTTTCTGGGGAAGCCTGGGGGACGCGGCTGTGGCGGAGGCGCCCTGGGACTCAGGTCGCCTGGAGCGTGGCACGCAGAGCCCCAGGCGCGGAGCTGAGGCCGCGCGGCCGCGCTTGGCCCCAGCGGGCGTGGGACTGAGCAGTCTGCTGCCCCCCGACATGTGACCCAGCCCCGCCGCCCATGCGGGCTCCCGGCCGCCCGGCCCTGCGGCCGCTGCCGCTGCCGCCGCTGCTGCTGTTGCTCCTGGCGGCGCCTTGGGGACGGGCAGGTAGGTGGGTCGCGCCGCCAGGTGCGGGTCGGGGATGCCTCCAGGCCGGGGCCCCGCCAGGCAGAGCTCGAGGCCGAGCTCTCCCCTCCTGCCCGCCGGCCAGGTTTCGCTTTCGGGCGGGCAGAGGACGAGGTGCGCGGAGGCCGGAGCTTCCAGCCCCGGGGCTGCAGGGAGCCCGGGGGACACTCGCCGTCGCCTCGCGCACCTTGGCTCGGGGTCAAGTTTGCAGGACTCCGCGCTCCGCACTTTCGGTCTCGAGAATTGAGGTGGGGTGGGGGGAGTTCGGTGGGGGGTGCGCTCTGCGCGGTGCCCACAGCCTATGACTTGCGGTCGGGGACGGTTACCATGCGGGGCCCCTCGCCGGCCAGTCCCAGGTTCCCGCCACCACCGCCGCGGCCGCGCGGAGGGGCCCCTGTGGATGCCGCGTCTCGGCCGCCGGGCCCCGCAGTCCTGCAAGCCGCGCGTCGCGAGATCCGCGCTTTAAAAGCCAAACTCCCCGAAAGGGTCAGCCCCGAAGGAACATGATCCAGAAAGACGCAGCTTCTTAAAGTAAGCTCCCCCTGTCCTGGGTACGCCGTTGTTTCCTTTGCAGTTATGACCATGTACAGATAGTGCTCTTTGATTTTTCAGAAATAACAAAACTTTTAACTCGTTTACGACATAAGGTAACTGAAGAGCTCTTTCGTTTTGTTTGGTTTTTAAGTTTAAATTCTCTACCAATTGGAATCCAGTAAACCAGAATGATTCATTAACCTGATTGCTTTTTTTCCCTGTATTTCTCGTACATGAGAAAAAGATTTTTTAAAAAAACAAAAAAGATATCCGGGATCCCTTTTTAAAAAAATTATTTTAAAAAACAACAACAAAGCTTCTCCAAATACTGTGCTTTGTAGACACTTCGTTCAGGCCCCGCTGTCTTTTAACCCAGAACTGAACAGTAAGAGTGAATGCAGGAAGAAAGTTGACGGTGAATCTGGAGTCCTTGGTAGTTAAAGAAAAAGTTAAATTCAATATAGTTACAACAATAAGAAAAGTATGCACACAGATCTTGGAGAGATTTTGAACGATAGCTATTATACATAAAATATTTTATCTTTTAAATTTATCAGAAATTATAGTTATTTTTCCTTTTAATATTCCCGGGTAGACTGAATGGGAAGAAACGACTGACGTGCAAATATTGAGCCTTCAACTAACAGACAGAAATTTGTTTTTATTTTTAATCGAAGAGAGAAGCTGGGCGCTGTGGCTCACACCTGTAATCCTAACACTTTGAGAGACAGAGACATAGGCAGGAGGATGGCTTGAGGTCAGGAGTTTCAGACCAGCCTGGGCAACATACGGAGACCCCTGTCTATACTAAACATTAAAAAAATAAAAATAAAAAACTAGCCAGACGTGGTGGCAAAAACCTGTAGTCCTAGCTACTCCGTGTGCCCAGGAGTTCCAGACTGCAGTGAGTTATGATCACGCCACTGCACTCCAGTCTGGCCAAGGGTGAGACCCTGTCTTTGGGGAAAAAACCAAAAACAAAGAAAGTGAGAGAGAGAAATAAAATTGTTGGGTGCTGACATTACCAGGTAGTAATGTTCTTGACTTCAAAATAAAATTTACAAAACAAAACAGTAAGAAATCTTTTCTGACCCAAGAGACCTTGATACTACTTTCTTAGCTCTTCTTAGGGTATTCCCGTCCTCTCCTGGGTCTTTGGGCTAAGGTCTAAGGACTGCTGGGAAGACCACCTTAGAAGATGTATGTAGTTACCTGGATACTACCTGCTCGTAATTGAAGGATTATCTACAATGTCTTCTGTACAACGTGGGCTTACTAAGGTTCTATGACTTTGCCACTCTCAGGTAGATTAATGCTTTAATGCTCTCATTTTTTAAACTTCTAAAAATTTTCGTCTCACAGCTCAGTGCCATATCAGGCTGTAAAATACCAAAACATCCAAAGAGGAAAAAAAAAACTCAGCATGTCATGAACCTTGTAGGGAAATCTTGGTATTTCATTTCAGATAAAGTTGTAATGGAATTCAAAATGTCTATGCGGCTCCCTCAAGGCAGGTGCAACACGCTGTCATTCACTCTTGGACCCCTCCAGGGACAGAATTTCACAGTGAAGTTTATCCTTATGGCTTATCAAACTCCGCCCTATTGGCCATTCCCATATCCTGTTCTCAGGAACGATAAAGAACCATGATTAGCATAATATAAACAGGCATTTAAAGTCACTAAGATAGAATGGGAGATGGTGACTTCTCAGGTCATCTGCCTCCTCTGCTCAAAGCCCTTCAGAGGCTTCTACTGTTCCTGGAATCATTCTCAGTTCTACAAGATCCTGTGTGGCCAACTCCTGCCTGTCTCTCCAGCCTTATCTCACACCACCTAATTCCTGCTATCCTGGCCTTTTTCTACTTCCCAGACAAGCCAAAGTGTTTCCCATCTCACTCATACTGGCAGTTCCTCTGGAAGTTCCTACTGGAGATTCATACTGGCAGCCCCTCTGCTAGAATGCTGCTGTGCCACTCTATTCCCAGCTAACTCCTGCTCAGACTTTGGCCTCTCCTGCCAATGTGCTTCCCTCAAGAAGGTCTTCCCTAGGGAGTTCAACAATGAAAACACATGGACACAGGGAGGGGAACATCACACACCAGAGCCTGTCGGGGGGTGGGGGCTAGGGGAGGGATAGCGTTAGGAGAAATACCTAATGTAGATGACAGATTGATGAGTGCAACAAACCACCATGGCACATGTATACCTATGTAAGAAACCTGCATGTTCTGCACATGTATTCCAGAACTTACAGTATATATATATATATATTTAAAAAAAAATAACAGGGTCTTCCCTAAATCCCCAAAGAGGAAAAAAGTATAGCTTATGATGTCTATTAACAAATAAACTTGAGTTTTGGAGCTTTAGATTGCAGTCTAAATACCAAACAACAACTATGCTTATTAGAATGACTTAATGGAGTGAGAGTATTAGTCAAAATGTCTCTTCTTTGATACAAACATGGCAGCATTCCGTATTTTATTTCACTGAGAAGTTATTCCAGGACATACTTCACTCACACACACACATACACAGGGACATAAATGATTCTAGTGAACTAATTAAACTTGCAGAATTATTTTCTTTTTTTAACTTTTAATTTTGAACTAATTTGGGACTTGCAGAGAAGTTTCAGAAATAGCACAAAGAATTCCCATATCCCTCTCACCTGGTTTCTCCCAATTAAAACATCTTATGTAACCATTGTACAATGTTCAGACCAGGAAATTAACACTGGTATAGTGCTACTCACTAAACTATAGACCTTGCTGGAGTATCACCCATTTTTCCAATAATGCCCTTTTTCTGTTTCGGGATCCAGTCCAGGATCTCCCATTACATTTAGTGGTCATGTCCCCTTAGTCTTCTCCAACTGGTGACAGATCCTCAGCCTTTCTTTGCTTTCATGACCTTGATACTTTTGAAGAGTCCCAGTTACCTCTTCCTTAGAATATCCCTCAGTTTGGGTTCATGTAAAGTTTCCTCAAGCTTAGAATGAGGTTATTCAATTTTGGCAGAAATGCCACATAAATTGTCACTTCAAAGGATTTGTAATATCAACATGTCTTCTTATTGGTGATGTTAACCTTGATCGCTTGGTTAAGGTGGTCTCTTCAGAGTTTCTTACTATAAAGTTACGATTTTTCACTGTGTGACTAATAAATATTTTGCAGAGAGATACTTTGAGATTATGCAAAAATCCTGCTTATCCCCAAACTCACACCCAACTATTTTTAGTATCTATCGGTGGATTTTGACTGCAAAAACTACTATACCTAGTAGTGATTTTTTATTTCACTCTTTTTTTCCACATTTATTCATTGGAATTCTATTACAAGGAAGGGTCATCATTTTTGCCTTTTTAGGTATTTATTCAATTGGTTAAGTATATCAGTATGGACTCATGGATGTGTCTTCTTCTTTCATTTATAATCCAATACTATCATTATCAGTTTTATTGCTCATGCTGTTCCAGCTTTGGCCACTAAGAGTTCCTTCAGTTTGGCTCCTGTGTCCCTCTAAGGAACCCCATCTTTTTTGAGCACTTCATTAACTTTCTAGTGCCAACAACATTCCAGACTCATCTAGTGTTTTCCCTGCCCCAGGCCTGGAATTAATGACTTCCTCAGGAAGCTCTGGTTCCTTCTATTGGAGAAAGGTGTTTAGAAACCAAAATCTGGGTGTGAGGCATGCTTATTGCTACTGGAATGTTGTTTCTAGGTGCTCTCGGTGGACGGAGCTGGGAAATATGTGTGTATAGACTAACGTAGTTATACACACACATCTATATTTCTGTATGTATCTGTGGGTGTGTATATATATTTAAGACCGTGAGTTTGTAATGGTGCCACTAATTTCAACCTAACAATCAAGTTTCATTCTAGCCTTCCTCTTTCATTTACAGCCTCTTTGTCTAACAGTGAGAAACCCAGATGTCATTATCTACAATAGACTTATTTGCCTGATTCTAATATAAATATTTTCAGGATTGCTAACTCATGCTCTTATGAGAAAAACGTGTACTTACTAAATTATAGCCTTTATGTACAGTTTTCTGGTCTTAAGCTTTATAATATCCCATGAAGATACTATTGACCAAAGTTACCTGGCTTAGTCCTTTTTTTTCTTTACTCCTTTTGGTGTGGTTATTCTATCCATTTGGGATAAGTTCAGTTCATTTGTTAAACTGCTTGTATTACAATTTGGGTTCCCCCTCATGCTAGTTGTTTTGTTTGTGACATTTGGGGCATTTGGCAGCTAGGTGAAATATTACTGTGCTTATAAAAGTCAGAGCTATACAAAACGGTTTTCTCAGACAAGTGTGGCTCCCTTCTGAGCCCTACTACCTCCTTTCTATTCCTCACCATACCACCACCTCTTTCCCATTACACTATAAATGTGATTACGATGTTGTACTTACACTGTCATTGTGATATTCTGACATCATTTCTACTTTGTTCTTGGTCCACATTCCATGCCATCTCCTTCATTTCTTGTTTATTTTTCCTGAATTTCTTTTGCACCGATGAGCAAATATGTGTATGTTTTAAGATCCAGGTCTAAATCTGATTTCTGTACTGCAGCTAATGGAGGATTTGCTCGCTCAAGTGTTCTTTTTATCAAAAAAGCATGTCTTCTTTTCCAGCCTCTCTCCTATTGCCCTTCAAGCAGACTTGGGGTGATTTCTTATCTATAGATTTGCAGGCCTCCTGATCTATCAGCTTGAGGCCCAGCCCCAGCCTCCCCAGAGAGTATCATGTACCCAACATCCAAGCTTATGGCTACAGGTATCTCCAGCCTCACTCCTCACAATGTGCACTCCTCCTGCCTAGAACTACTCAGCTTCCTATAGAATGAATTCAGGAAAGGCAGTATTTGCGACCTGGAGAGCAGCCAAGGAGATTGGTTACCCATGGAAAGCGGCATGGAATAGGAACGACATAGTAGGGCTGAGGAGGAAGCACCACCTCCCTGATTATACCTTTTCGTTTAGCTCTGACTCTTAGAACCATAAGGTAGGACATATATATTTCACTTACTCATAAACTGTGGGTAAAGACAATAGGCAAGTGGGATTATTGCTTTAAAATTAAGATTTTAGTATAAACATTTCAACATAAAACTTTTGCTGTTTTTATAATTTTTTAATGAAACTGTATATCTCTATGTTGCCTTTTTTAGTGCTTGGCATAGTATTTTTCACAAAATGATTGTTCTGTAAAGTTGTATGGCTTTCTTAAAAGCAACTTTCATTATATGCGTTACATTTTAAAAATGACTTTCTATTTGCACCATTTTCTTCAAAGTACAATTTTACCAGGTGTCATTGACATGCTGACTTCCATATTGATTTAAAAAAAATGATCATCTGAGGCTTCAGGCAGCATATATTTTATGGAGTAAAATCGCATTATCCATCTTAATTATAACATTATACTTTTGCTATCATCGTGATGTTCTGACAGCATTTTTACATTTTCTTAGTCTACAGTTTATGACATAACACAAAATTTGATATGAGAAACATGAATTAAATCACTTTAATCAATTCCAAGGTCTATCAATTACATATAAAATTGGAGAACAAGGCCAAGGGCAATGGGTCATGCCTGTAATCCCAGAGCTTTGGGAGGTTGAGGCAGAAGGGTCACTTGAGGCCAGGAATTTGAGAGCAGCCAGGAGAGACCCCATCTCTACAAAAAAATTTCAAAAAATAGCCAGGCTTGGTAATGCCTAGCTGCTTGGGAAGCTGAGGCAGGAGGATCACTTGAGCCCAGGAGTTTGGGGCTGCAGTGAGCTATGATCGCACCACTGCAACTCCAGCCCGGGCAACAGAGCAAGACTCTGTCTCAAAAAAAAAAAAAAAAAAAAAAAAAAAGGAGAACAAAAGAACTATAGAAAGAAAGTATGCTAGTCAGAGACATTAAAATTAAATACTGCTTTATCTTTCAGAATTCCTTTTGATGTAGAAACTCAGAGTTGACAGGACCTTAAAAGTCACCCCACCCAGCTGCCACTCTCTTGATTGTCCTCTGCAGCATCACTTCCAAGTAATGACCTGTCTGCTGTGTGAGCACCTCTCATCACAGGATACTCACTACCCTGCACCCAGGCAGGCAGGATGTCCTGTCACTGCAGATTTCAACTATTAAAAAGTTCTTTGATAAAATGAGCTGAGCCTTGATCCTTCAATTTTCACTCACTGTTAGTCCTCATTCTAAGCCAATGAAGTCATGCTGGACAAGCTGTTCAGATCATTGAATTCAACCATCACATTTCCTCTGTGTCTTCTTTCCTCTCCAGAAAACCACCTCCCCAGAAAACTGCTAGGTGCCTTCTCTCTCCCAGTATTTCCAGTATATGTTCCAGTTTGTTTGCAATATCTCGGGCTGACTTCCTATAGATCATGATGAGACTGCTGGTCTACAACATTCTAAACACTGAACCTTGGAAGGTTCATTTACCCTCCAATGATTCAGCATCAGGTTCCTGATGAACACAGGCCTCTGATGTCTAAAAGGAGCCCTCCTTTCTTATCTTTGTTGTCATCTATGAGACACAGACCCTCATTCAAACTCAGAATTTCATATTAGTACAATTTCATTTTGCTCTGGAGGTGATTTTGTTTCTGTTTGCTTCTTACAGCATAGGGAATGAAAGTATGGCATAGTGTTTTATCTAGAACTTGTGATGATGGTCTTAAATGCAACTAAGGCTACTCTTTGCTGAAAGGACAATTTTTATTGACTATAAATATTATCTATACGAAATTGGGTCTGTTTTTTGAGGGTAGCAATCGCTGCATTACACTTTGCACCACCAAAATGGATACTTCAATCACTATCCACTGTTCAAGCAAATGCCAGCTCTACCCACAACACAGAGAAAAGGCATACTTAGTCCTGTACAGACTTGTGGGGAAGCTTTGTTTATACTTCTTGATTTCAACATGTATACCATGTATACTTTTCACCCCGCTTCTTCTCGGCTGCATAGTCCAAAGTTCCATTCCATACAGCTACATTTGCATTTTGATGACGTGGGATATTTTGGCAGCTATGTGCTCCTAGTTAAAGCATTTGTTTACATTATCAACCGTATTTAAATTTCCTCCTTACCAACTTTGCAGGGTTTTCTTTTGTTTTGGTTTTTTTGCTCAACATCAGTCCCCTCATCTTCACTTTCAGGAGACTCCAGCAGCTCTTAGAGCATTCATTTTTCTTTTCAATAAACATTGTGCTCATTGTTGAGGAAAGATACAAGCAAGCAACAGACACCTACTCTATTAGCTTCTCAAGGCTGCCATGGCAAAGTGCCACAAACTGGGTGGCTTAAAATAATGCAACTTTATTGCCTCACAGTCCTGGAGCCTGGAAGTCTGAAATCAAGGTGTCAGCAGGGTGGGTTCTTTCTGAAGGCTGTGAGGGAGAATCCATTCTGTGCCTCTTCGTGCTTCTGGTGGTGCTGGCAATCTTAGGCACCCCTTGGCTTGTAGACACAACACCCTGATCTCTCCCTGATCTTCACATGGCATTCTTCCTGTTTGCCTTCACATAGTCTTCCAGAAGACTCTGCATGTCTGTCTGTGTTCAGATTTCCCTTTTTATGAGGACACCAGTCATACTGCATTTCGGCCCACCCTGATGACCTCATTGTAACTTGCTCATCTCTTTAAAGACCTTATTTCTGAATGAGATCCCATTCTGAGGTACTAGAAGTTAGGATGTCAACATATTTCTTTTGGGCAACACAATTCAACTCATCACATCTACCATACCCTCAAAGACTTATAGAATACCAAGCAGGATCCATGGGCTTGGCATCTATGGTGGAAAAGAATGTTTTCTCAGCCACATGCAGTGGTTCCTCCTCTCCAACATGTTTAGGAGTCTGTGTCCAATGAAGGAAAACTTTTGCAGAAGGGTGAGAGCTGAAAGCCTCTACTGAGAATGTTGAGAGCCCGGACGAGGTCTTCTCTTGTGCTTTCCGTAACTTGACCATAAGGCAGAGCTGTCAATGGGTACTTAATAAAGACTAAAGACATTTAAATTTATCCAGCAGAGGAGCTCACTCTTCTGAGACCTCTGCCTCCCGTCTTGGCTGCTCTAGGGAGCACTTGCCCTGAGAAATCCTCTCCCTTGTTCCAACAAAGACCATTTTCATATGTAAGGCGTAACTACCCATAGTCTTCCAGCCCAGCATCCCTCTCCCTTTCCAACGAACCCATCTATGTTGCAGAATGTCTATAAATTATCTACTAAATGCTCAACTTATTATTTTTAAAATTAGCTTATCAATTTTAAGTGCAAAGTAGAATATCACATGCAGCCCATAATGTAGGGAATGAGGTATTTGAAGTGATCAGATTTAACAAAATAGGATTACCTCAATACCCCATGCATCCATTTTGAGTTTTCAAAACATTTAACTATATCCCGACTCAGTGTAATTTCTAAATAATCCTTCGAGTGATTTTTGCTCACTCATTCATTCAGTGTCATCCTTTTATACATATGGGGAGCTGTTCTAGGCTTCAGGGTGAACAAGAAAACAAGGGCCCTTTCTTCATTTAGTCTTCAGAGAAATATAGACAAGTAAGTGATTGCATTAAAATGTAAATGCCAGAATTGAGGAAAACAGTTTCTTTAGAAGCATAGGATAAGACACCTGATCTAATAATGGTGTCAGGCAGGGCTTCCTATAGGAAGGTCCTTTAAACTGAGACTTATAAGAGTTGTTGGTTAATTAATATACATGTATGCATATGTATATATCACATCACATTCTCCTTACTCAAGGATAAAAGGTGAATCAGAAAAGAAATTTGATATCCAAGTAAATGCCTTTCTATGAATAAATACCTTAAATACTTTTAGTAAAAACCATATTAATTCAATCAGTAGTCATAAGTAGGTTGCCATCTATGTTATATAAAATATTTATAATTCAATATAAATTTAGATCTTTTTAAAAATGTGGTAATATACACCATGGAGTACTATGCAGCCATAAAAAGGAATGGGATCATGTCCTTTTGCAGGGACATGGATGAAGCTGGAGGCCATTATCCTCAGCAAACTAACACAAGAACAGAAAACCAAATACCACATGTTCCCACTCTTTTTTTTTTTTTTTTTCTGAGATGGAGTCTCGCTCTTTCACCCAGGCTGGAGTGCAGTGGCACAATCTCGGCTCACTGCAACCTCCGCCTTCCGGGTTCTCACCATTCTCCTGCCTCAGCCTCCCAAGTAGCTAGGACTACAGGCGCCCGCCACCACGCCCGGCTCATTTTTTTTTTTATATTTTTAGTAGAGACAGGGTTTCACCGTGTTAGCCAGGGTGGTCTCCATCTCCTGACCTTGTGATCTGCCCGCCTTGGCCTCCCAAAGTGCTGGGATTACAGGCGTGAGCCACCGCACCTGGCCCACATGTTCTCACTCTTAAGTGGGAGCTGAACAATGAGAACACATGGACACAGGGAGGGGAACAACACACACCGGGGCCTGTGAGGAGTGCTGGGGGAGGGAGAGCATCAGGATAAATAGCTAATGCATGCAGGGCTTATCACCTAGGTGATGGGTTGATAGGTGCAGCAAACCACCGTGGCATACGGTTTACCTATGTAACAAACCTGCACATTCTGCACGTGTATCCTGAAACTTAAAATAAAATAAAATAAAATATAAAAAATAAAATAAATTCAGGTCTTTTAAATTTAAATATTAGCAAACAAATAAAGCTAAGTCCTGCTATCAGCATATTCCATATATAAATTACCAAGTAGTTAATATTCCTTTTCACATACATTTCTTTCTTAAAACACTAAAAATGAACAAACAAACAAAAATCCAATAATAGCAAAATCCCATGGAAAGGATGATTTTTCTGAGTGGTAGTCATCTAGTGGGTAGGAGTCAGGGGTTTTGTGACTGTAGGACACTGACCTCAAGATCATCGGCAGCCTCAACAAGCCACTGTGGTCTGCGGCTCTTTGCAACACTCACTCAAACCACAGTAATCAAAAGGCACACATTATGCTGTGGCTTCTGACATAGGTACTATTTACCACTTCCTGAGTCAACCCAGTCCTTTAAGGACTCTGTTAACTTTCATGAACAACATCAAAGGAACTGTCTTGCCTGGTCCAGTATCCAAGTTGTTTCTGGAGGTGTTGCAATGAAACAGTGAATTGAATAGTGTCCTCCCAAAAGTAATTTCCACCTACAACCTCAGAATATGACCTTATTTGGAAGTAGAGTTTTTGCAGACGTAATTAGTTCAGAATTTTGTATTGGTCCATTCTCGCCTTGCTACAAAGAAATACCTGTGACCGGGAAATTTATAAAGAAAATAAGTTTAATTGGCACTTGGTTCTACAGGCTACACTGGAAGAATGGTGCTGGCACCTGCTTGGCTTTTGGGGAGGCCTCAGGAAACTTACAATCATGGCAGAAGGCGGAAGGGGAGCAAGCATGTCACATGGCCTGGGCAGAAACAAGAGAGAGCAATGGTGGGGAGGTGCTACACACTTTAAACAACCAGATCTTGTGAGAACTCACTCACTATCAGGAGAACAGCACCAAGCGGGTGGTGCTAAACCACTAATGCCCACTTTGTGGGCATTCCATTCATGAGAAATCCACCCCCATGGTCCAATCACCTCCCACCAGGTCCTACCTCTTACATTGGGAATTTTTAGTACTTCAACATGAGATTTGGGCAAGGACACATATCCAAACTATATAAGATTTCATGATGAAATCATCCCAGAATTAGGGTGGACTGGTGTCCTTGTAAGAAGAGGATGGGACTCAGAAAAACCACATGAAGGCCAAGGTGAGCAGAGACTGGAGTGATGTTGCCATGAGCCAAGGAACACCTGGGGCCACCAGGAGCTGAAAGAGGCAATGAAACATAGTTTTCTAGAACCATCTGAGGGAGTGTGGCCCTGCTGACTCCTTGATATCAGACATCCAGCCTTAGAGCTGTGAGATAATGAATGTCCATTGTTTTAAGCCACCTAGTTTGTGGTACTTTGTTTTGGCAGCCCTAGGAAACTAATACAAGGGACTTGGACTCTTCTTTGTGGGCGTCTCTTCATTATTGCCCTGCTTTTATCCTGATTACTCTTGTTTTATATCTTGTGGCAAAATAATGTAAGTACCTCAAAGAGCCAGTCTTCTGCAAGTCCTGTTCAGCATATGGAATCTCTGTTCATTTTACTGCATTTAGTTACACAACTTTATCAAGGCGTAATTCAGCCTTGAAGAGGTCCGATCCTAGTCCTGGTCACCCTCAAAACAATTCATCATTCTGATAGTGTTCTTGATGGCTACCGAACACTTCTATCTTCCTGGTGTGTGATTGGAAAGTCTGAGATTCCAGTTGAGATCATGCCGTCAATCTCATTTGCCTCCAAATTCCAAGCAACAATCAGCAGAAGTAAATACTATTCATTATTTTCTTGAAAGTTAAAAGAAATGCAACATTGAAATTACTGTACACAAATGCTTCCACCGAAACAGAAAGTGAGAACTTGGAGCCAGGATCTCAGGGCCATGTGGAAAGAATAGCAATCGGGAAATCAGAGGATGGAAGTTCAGCCCCTCCTCGTCCACTGCCCTCTGTGGGCAAGTCACTTACCTTGAATGGGCTTTGGTTTTCTCATCTATGAAGGAGTAGGGTTCCATGATTTCTGAGGCCCAGAGATGACCACTGCCTGGGCAGTACCAGGCCATCACTTCACCTGCCTTGTGCCCTCCACCCGCCTGAGGGAACCTGCCCTGTCACTCTGTCCTTGGGGCTGGCCTTTGTACCCTGGTTCCCACCAGCTGTCTCCTGCCACTGAAACTAGCCCCTGCCTAACCCTCCACATTTCTTACATTTCCCCCAGGAGTCTCCCCACATTACCACCTATGCAACAACACAACAATCTTTTTCCTCTCCACAGAGCTTATTCTAATTCATACCAAGTAGATACCATACTGGATTTATTTTCTTTTTTTTCTTTTCTTTTTTTTTTTTTTTTTTTGAGACAGAATCTTGCTCTGTCGCCCAGGCTGGAGTGCAGTGGCACGATCTTGGCTCACTACAACCTCTGCCTCCCAGGTTCAAGTGATTCTCATGACTCAGCCTCCCAAGTAGCTGGGATTACAGGCACGTGCGCTGCCACGACCGACTAATTTTTGTTTAGTAGAGATGGGGTTTTGCCATGTTGGCCAGGCTGGTCTAGAACTCCTGGCCTTAAGTGATCTGCCAACCTCGGCCTCCCAAAATGCTGTAACTACAGGCATGAGCCAACACACCCAGCCTCATACTGGATAACCATCCTCTTTCATTTTCTTGATCACAACCTGATACAGGATTATACGAAGGACATAGTTCTGTAACAGTGAAGCATCACTTGATGATGGGGATACCTTCTCAGAAGTGTGTCCTTAGGTGATTTCATCCTTGTGCAAACATCATAGAATGTACTTCCCCAAACCTAAATGAAATAGCCTACCACTACACACCTAGGATATATGGCATAGCCAATTTACCCCTAGGCTACCAACCTGTACTGCATGCTACTGTACTGAATACTGTAGGCATTTGTAACACAATAGTATTTGTGTATCTAAAAATAGATACACATCTTATATATACATCATCTTATGGGACCAGCATCATTGACTGAACGTTGTTTTGCAGCACGTGACATTATTTCTGAAGTGTGCACCAGTGGTTTAAGTTGATCTTTGAGCTAGCAGTGCAGTTACCCAGCTACACCCAGCTGTACATTGTATCATCCAGGGCCCCAGCAACAGCACTGCTTGTTAATTTATTGTGGCTGTTATAGGCTGAAAGGTAACTTATGCAGGAAGGGTATCCAGCATAGGTGAGCGAATTGGATGTGCTTGGAGGAAATGGGCTGTTTTAAGTCTTTTGATGTCCACTGCCATTGGCCTGCCATTTGCCTGCTTCCCACAGATAAGTAATTCGTGGCAATGTTTATTACTGATAATAATGGCAGTTATTCATATAATAACAATAGTTATTGTTAACGGTAAGGAACAGTAAATATTTACAATGAATAGTAACTGTTGAGATGGGTGGCTGGGAGGAAATAAGTATAAAAGGTGAGAATGGGTACATAATAGTGGAGGAGGTGAAGGGGAGGTGATGCTGAAAGCATACTCCAGAGATGTCCAAGGAGTGTTTGAATTATCCCTGTACTGATCCACTGGGCAAATTGAAAAGTTACTACGTCTGAGTATTGGGAAACTTTTTTTTTTCATTTTTTCCCTTTGAAAAAGAAAAAGAACCAACTCTTGGGGTTAATCAATAAACCAAAATTATTTTCACTGCCTTTCTCAAATGATTGGTTAAGATTAAATCATTTGAGAAAGGCAACAAAAATAATGTTTGTTATTGCCTTGTCCCACTGTTCCTTTTTCTTTATTCCTTCTAACCTTCCTAAGGACAATGTCACATGTGCAAGTGTAAATTAAATACATAAATATAAAACTTTGGGAAAGCTGATGATGGGGACATGTGGTCTTTATGAGTAAAGGAGGCACCCAGAAGTGTGTGTCATGAGGGGAAAGAGTTACACTGTTTTACATCCCATTAATCTTATTTATTCTTTGCCAAATAGCCTTGCTGTTGCTTTTCAGCTTACTGAAGTACTTACTGATATATGCATTGAAAACTGGTGGCCGAGCATGGTGGCTCATGCCTGTCATCCCAACACTTTGGGTGGTTGAGGTAGGAGGATCACTTGAGCCCAAAAGTTTGAGACCAGCTTGGGCAACATTAATGAGACCCCGTCTCTACAAAACAATGTTTTAAAACTTAGCCAGTCATGGTGGCATGCATCTGTGTTCCCAGCTACTCAGGAGACTGAGGAGGGAGGACCACTTGAGCCCAGGATTTTGAGGCTGCAGTGAGCTATGATCATGCCACTGCACTCCAGCCTGGGTGATAGAGTCAGACCCTGTCTCAAAAAAAAAAAAAAAAAAAAAAAAAAAACCCGCAAACCGCTGACATTTTCCACCATAATTCTTTAATGAAAATGAAAGAATCTCTATTTTCCTCCCTTTCTCTAATGCTCTTTTGTCCATTATTTACCATTTAATCATTTCTGCCTCATTTTTTTTTACCTTTTCTATTATTTTTTTCTTGCACTTTTATCTTGTTGACTTTCCTTCTGAAAATTTCAAGTCATGAAGATATTAGTGGAAGAATTGCATTGCCTCTAGGAGGATAAAAAGAAGTACTAGTGTTGAAAATGATTTGAGGAATAAAGTGTTGATATTTAAGAAATAGTTACTGGTTGAACTTGGAGTTTCCAACAGCTATTCTTTTCAGTACTTTAGTGGTCCCAAACAGTTTGTCTTTGACCATGTTCTTTCTTTTATATTTTCCCTTCCTATGCATATTATCAAGTAGTAAAGATTTCAACCCATATTTGAATCTACTTTTCCAGTTACTATGATGATCATTACTACCAATTGAGATGTTTTGGAGATTATAACATGTGAAGAACATTAGGTACTCACTCTCAAAAAGTTTATTTTATTTTATTTTATTTTAGAGACACAGTCTCACTCTGTTGCCCAGGCAGAAGTGCAGTGGAGCGATCTCAGCTCTCTACAACCTCCGCCTCCCAGGTTCAGGCAATTCTTCTGTCTCAGCCTCTCGAGTAGCTGAGACTACAGTCACATACCACCATGCCTGGCTAATTTCATATTATTAATAGAGATGGAGTTTCACCATATTGGTCAGGCTGATCTCAAACTCCTGGCCTCAGGTGATCCACCCACCTTGGCCTCCCAAAGCGCTGGGATTACAGGTGCAAGCCACCATGCCTGGCCCAAAAAGTTTATTTTCTAAAAGGTAAGGGAAGAGCTTTATATAATCTAAGAGATGACATAAAGTAGTGGGACTGGTTTTCTAACAATGGGGCTGGCTTATACAAATTAATAATAGTCATTATGGGAGGCTACACACAAAAATCTCACAACAATGAATTTCATAAGCTCCCTTTTCTCAGTTGCAGGTACAGCTTGGCACGCACTGATCAGAATATCCCATTGAGTGGCAAACTTTCAACTTGGGGGAATGAATTTTATTGTTGAAAGCATTCAAAGCCACTTTCCACAAGTTTGGGTGATCAGGCTGGGAAATGCTATATTGAGCAAAAACAAGATGTAACTATTTAAAAAATGAGATTGAATTTTTTTTTCATGTTTCTAAGCTACTTCTGAAGATAATTGTAGCTGAAAGGAAACATCCCTCAAATGCCATGAGCTAAGAAGTATCATGAGAATAATCATAAACCCTCCCAAGTAAAGGACTTTAAAGATACACACTCTCTTTAGTGGGTAAAATTCAATAGATTTATTTTATTTTAAATAGTCTGTATGTTAAAGTCTTACTTGCTATGAAGCACCAACAGCAAAATACTAAAAAAACATGTTTAAGCACATAGATTTACTTACTGAGGTGTGGCCATAAAGAAATAACACCAATTTTTCTGTATGACTTATGTATTGCTCATCCATATAAATGTGCAGGTACCTGGCAGAGAAAGTATATATTGATGGGTTGTGCCCCAGACTCAGAAAATATCTCCTCCACGAGAGCAGGGCTTTCTGTCAATTTCTTTTTTTTTTTTTTTTTTTTAGATGGAGTCTCACTCTGTCACCCAGGCTGGAGTGCAGTGGCACGATCTCAGCTCACTGCAACCTGTCTCCCAAGTTCAAGCTATTCTCCTGCCTCAGCCTCCCAAGTAGCTGGGACTACAGGGGCACGCCACCATGCCCAGCTAATTTTTGTAATTTTAATAGAGATGGGGTTTCACCATGTTGGCCAGGCTGGTCTTGAACTCCTGACCTCAGGTGATCCAACCACCTCGGCCTCCCAGAGTGCTAGGATTATAGGCGTGAGCCACTGTGCCCAGCCCTTCTGTCTATTTCTGTCCTCAACTGTACCCCCGTGCCTATCATATATTCTACTTCTAGCCCATAGTAGGTACCAGTAACTATTTGTCACACGAATATAACTATGAACAGTTCCACCAGGAAAAGCTTAAAAGAATAATACTTGAGTTTACCTCATTGACTTTTTTATATCTTTCCTTAGAAGCCACAATCTTTAATATGCAAAATTGATCTTGGTCATATAATCTTTTCTTCCCACAACACTGTACTTGGGAGCATTTCCCACTTACCTAAATGTAAGTATCCCAGGCGAGAGCCCTGTCTTGGCCAGCACACTTGGGCCTGAGCATCCACCAAATGGCTGAAAAACCATGGGCAAGTCATTCAACCTCCCTGGGCCTCTATCCACTAAGCTGTAAAATGAGGATGGTAACTTTGGAGGACAATACTGAGCGAATAATTCCTGAGCTCTTTCTTTGTGCCGGGCACTGTTCCAGGAGCTCTATGTGAAGAATCTTAATCATTGCAACAAGCCTAAGAGGCAGATAGTACTGTTCCATTTTCCAAATGGGGAAATTGAGGCACAGAGGTTAAGTAACTGGCTTGAGGGCGCATAGCTGGTAAGACGTAGAGCATGGAGTAGGCTCCAGTGTGACCCTAGAACTTTGGTTCTGGAATCTCTCCCTGAGCTACTCACATAAACAATTACTAGCAACCATTGGGTTAGGGCAGTTGGCAGTACCTTGTAAGAATGGACAGTATTATTACAGAGAAAACTGAGGCAGCGCACCAGTCCAGCAATTAGTCAGAGAAATAATAGTGAGGTGGTGGTTAGGGGAAGAAAATCAAGTGCAACGGAACTAATGCTAGCACCGAATCGTGCTCTGTCCTTTATAGACGACAGTTGTGCAGCTTTTTTCTCAGGTAGGTCCTCACTGAATCATATTGTAAGTGCTGTTTAGAAGACTTACTTTTCAGCCAGGCGTGGTGGCTCATGCCTGTAATCCCAGCACTTTGGGAGGCCAAGGCGGGTGGACCACCTGAGAACAGGAGTTTGAGGCCAGCCTGGCCAACATGGTGAAACCCCATCTCACTAAAAATACAAAAATTAGCTGGGCGTGGTGGCGGGCGCATGTAATCCCCAGCTACTCAGGAGGCTGAGGCAGGAGAATGGCTTCAGCCTGGGAGGCGGAGGTTGCAGTGAGCCAAGATTGCGCCACTACACTCCAGCCTGGGCAACAAGAGTGACACTCCATCTCAAAAAAAAAAAGAAGACTTACTTTTTGTGGGAACTTGATATATAATTAGGAAGAAGAAGGGAGATCAATTAATATTTTTCAAGAGAAAGGATTCGTAACTTGGGACAGAAGAAAACATGCCGTTCCTTTCAACATGATGAAATTAAAACAATGCTTAAGATAATCTATGTGAAGGCAGTCATACCTGTTTTGCTCTTCGGCGGTTAGAATGTCATTGTTTACAACATCCGCTTCCTGAAATTAGTCAATCATCCCCTGGTGTTTCTGTACTGCCTTTTAACCTTGTTCCCACAGTAGAAAACTCACTTGGGATGGAAATTTTCTTTCCCTACAAGCCTATGAAGGTATTTTCCTATTTAAAAATACACATAAAATATGTAGCAACCACTTGCCATGCCATGGGTTACTGTGCCTTCATTAAAACGCAGCTGTTGAGTATCTTCTGACTGTGCAGATCCTGTGTGTAATGTAAGCTTACCAAGGTGAATTCAAGCTACACAGATTTGGTAGTTCAAGCTGTTCCACTTCAATTCAATGCTCATGTGAATCTAGGATCTGCCATGATTTATGTCAGCCCGAAGAGTTCCTGGTCAGTTCATTTCCAAAGCATTTATTTGCCAGACACTGAGAATACAAAGACCTTATAAGACCTGGTGTCCAACAGATCAGAGCCTCTGATTCCTTCACAGCTTCAGCTTTAGAAGGCTAAAGGGGGTAGGACATCTGGGGACTTTTTCTGAGCAAGGTGGAGCAGGGCTTCTGAAATGCTAAGGCTGCCCCAGTTGGTCATAAGCTTCAGAAACTTGAATGGTCCCAAAGGGGAGTCTCCAGAAGTGATCACATTTGGCTGTCCAGTCTCTTGCGATTTGTTTGCTTTCTGTACTGATTAATGAATGTGCTGGCCATAATGGGAAAGTCTAAATGCCTCAGCCACAAAAGAGAGGTTGGGTTAACCACAGAGGCTGATTACCCTGGCTGTTTATGAGTTCACCCTGAGAACCTTACCCTTTTAACTGGTGTTCATCAGGCACTCACGTATGCGTAGGCTTTTCCTTGAGTACAACTAAAAAGAAACAACTTTTACTGTCAGACATATAATTAAAACTGTAACATACTTAGATGGCAACCCTAGTATTCACTTTGA
Source organism: Homo sapiens (assembly GCF_000001405.40). Lineage (NCBI taxonomy): Eukaryota > Metazoa > Chordata > Mammalia > Primates > Hominidae > Homo > Homo sapiens. The sequence continues at coordinate 137,025,754 of NC_000006.12, read as the reverse complement.
GGCCATTAGGAAATGGTCACAAACCATTTTGCTATACTTACAGACCTGTATTCAAGGTAACTCTTAGAACAAATGTAGCAGCTGCATTTTATAAAACTCCACTAATGATAAATTTACCCATTTAGATCTATCTTATTAATCCATTATCTTCCTACTGGAAGGACCTGCGAGCAAACAGAGAACTTTTTCCTTTGGTGCTAGAGCATAAATGAAGCTGGGCTAGAAGAATTTCCCAAAGACCAAATGCATTAGTTCATTCCAGCTGCTAGAACAGAATGTGATAGATTGAGTGAATTATAAAAAACAGAAGTTTATTTCTGACACTTCTAAGGCTGGGAAGTCCAAGATCAAGGCAGATTTGGTGGATGGAGAGGGCCCACTTCCTGGTTCATAGATGGTCATCTTCTCACTATGTCCTCACATGTTGGAAGGGGCAAGGGACCTCTCTGGGGCCTCTTTTATAAGGGCACTAATCCCACTCATGAGGGCTCTGCCCTTATGACCTAATCACTTCCCAAAGGCCCCACCTCCAAACACCATACATTGGGTGTTAGGATTTAACCTGTGAATGTTTTGATGGGGAGGAGGAACACACACATTCCATTTATGGTGCCAAGTTATAATATAATAAAAGGGAAATAAACACTGAGAGGGGACACAAATCTCTATGTGGCTTACAAGCTACAGGAAATCAATCATTACCTCGAAGTTCATTAAATGGATAGTTCCTTGCCGACTCCTCACAACTTTGTGAAGGCAGAGGCCATCTTTAACCCACAACTCAAAGGGGCATCCTCACATATCCTTCCATCGTTCAAAGCTCAAAGGGAGTCCAGAGTTGATGACCCTTCCCTCAGTCTTCTGAGTTCTGCTTCCTCTGGAAAGATCAGTCTCCTGCCCAGGTGTCTGTGGTCAGGATTGCTCACTTTAGTGGAGACCACACACACCCTACACATCACAGCACAATCATGTCATTAAAATAGCACAAGCCAGTATTTATTCAATGATGCACACATGGAAAACCAAGGGGTCTCAGTTCCAAAAGAATGCTAGAGGCAGAAGGGACCTAAACGCAAAGGTGTGAAAAAACAGGGTAGGTTCAAGTATTGAAGGTATTTTGGTGGGGCTGGTGAACACGGTGCATTTGGCAGAATTGCAAAAGGAGACATTGGACCTGCCCATCTGAAGAATTTGTGTACCAAACCAAAGTCATGATGGTCTGGCACTCCCCAAACATAAAACTATGTGCACCAATCCAATGGCTTTTTAATTTGGGATGTGAAATCTCAAATATCTCAGAGAATCAGAGCCATGCTTCCAGACCATAAATCTATTTGTTAAAATGCATTTGTTACCCATAAATTGGCACACATTTCCTGATAGCAATGTGGGTGTGACATGTTTTCACTCTGGTGTTGATTCAATGACCTTATCAGTACTAGCAGGTTAGAAAATTGATTTCTCTCCATTGAAATGTTTATTCAGGAATCTTTCATCATGCTTTTCAAACTTGAAACAAACACAGTGCCTAAAAACTTCGCAATTTTTTTTAAACTAAAGAGAATACTAGTTATCAAATCGTATTTCTTTTTTAAATGTACTATTTCTTTTCCTTTAAATAAAAGTGCTAACTCTTGTTTTGTTTTGTTTTGTTTTGTTTTTAGATAGAGTCTCACTCTGCCACCCAGGCTGGAATGCAGTGGTGCGATCTTGGCTCACTGCAACCTCCACCTCCTGGGTTCAAGCAATTCTTCTGCCTCAGCCTCCCAAGTAGCTGGGATTACAGGTGCCTGCCACTGTATCTGGCTAATTTTTGTATTTTTAGTAGAGACAGTGTTTCACCATGTTGGCCAGGCTGGTCTCAAACTCCTGACCTCAAGTGATCTGCCTGCCTTGGCTTTCTTAAGTGCTGGGATTACAGGTGTGAGCCCACACACCTGGGCTAATTCTATTTTTTATCACTCCTTTGCATCATCAAAATAGATAAAAGCATGAGTATTCCTTGCTAGATCTTCATCTGTTAATTTTACTTTCACAGCACAGCCACTCTCTTCCTGATGGGACCTGTGCAGTTCTGCTTCATCGGCAGGTCCCACTTCTAGTTTGAAACTTGAGTTCCAAGCTTCCCATGCATCTCCCTCTCCACAGCCTGCATCTTGGTGCACAATGGAGCTACTGCAGTTATGGTCTCACTGGCTTCTCCCTTCTCCTCTTGGTCTATACAGTCTTTTCTCCCTTCAGCAGTGAAGTGATCCATTTGAAATATAAATAGGTTCATATTTTCCCCTGCAGCAAAGGATTCAATACTTTCCCATGAATTTCAAATATAATCCAGGCATTTTCCCAGAGTTTAGAGAGATGGGGGATCTAGCTCCTTTGTACTCCTTAGATTTCATCTTGGCCACTGTCCTCTTTGTCAGCTTTCCAAACTGATATTTTGACAGTTCCAAAGACACTGTCCTTTTGGATAGGCCCTTTCCCATCTCAGTGCCTAGAACACTGCCCTCTCCTAAGGCCCTGTGTATTTATGGGTTCTGTGACCCACCACTCCAGCCTTACTCCCTTGCTTAGTCTGATCACCAAATTTTTATGTATATATTTGTTTTTGTTTTTTACTTTTTAATGATGTCTCTCTTCCTACTACCCTGGAAGCTCTGCAAGGGCAGGAACTTACCTGTCTATTCACCATAAGATATCCACATGGTAGGCACTGTGTTAGTATTCAAGGGCTGCCATGGCAAAGTACCACCGGTTTGCTTTAAAAAACACAATTTATTCTCTCACAGTTTTGGAAGCTAGAAGTCAAAATCAAGGTGTTGGCAGCACCACACTCCTTCTGAAGACTAGAGAAGCCTCCTTCCTTGCTTCTTCCAACTCCTGGTGGTCCCAGTCATTTCTTGGCTTGTAGGTGCATCACTCCAGTCCTTCGTCTTCACATGGCATTCTCCTTGTGTCTCTGTGTCTTCCCATGGCTGTCTTCTTATAAGGATATCTGTTATACTGAATCAGGAGCCCACCTGACTTCAGTATGATCTCATGTTAACTGTATCTGCAACAACTCTATTTCCAAATAGGTCACATTCTGAAGTACTCAGAGGTTAAGACTTTAATATATATTTTATTTTTATTTATTTGTTTTTGCAAGAGAGGAACACAATTCAACCCATAAGCATACCCAATAAATATGAGTTGAATGACTGAATCAGATGAGTGTCGAACTGATGTTTCTCATCAATACAGATAGGATTGACTATAGTATGATTTATATGGGAGACAAAGAGCTAAAGTCCAAGGCCAAGGTGAAATATATGTGTCCATATCTATAAATTTAACTGTGGTTTCAAATTAATAGAAATCCTGTTCTCGGCAACTAAACATAAACCAGAGTAGAGTCCAACACAATCTTCTAGGAATCCCTACCTTCGTGGTCACCATATCATCTGGAGAACGTGTCAAAAGAGGAGGAGTTTCTGCTTGCATTCCCTAGGACCAGATAAGGGAGGACATATTCTGGCAGGAAAAGGAACGGACCTCCTATGACAAAATGTGGTGGGATCCCAAAAAATTTGCTGAACAGATTAGTATCTAACATTTTTAAATTCCCAAATTATTTGATGTATTAATATCATAGATTAATACATGTTTTCTCATCAGCCTTTTCTTATCTTTAAATTCTGCTTAAATTCTACTTGGTTTACAACGCTGGCATGTGAGTGAGGAGGTTAAGAGTATGGGTTCTGAACTCAGCTCCTCCACTTACTAGCTGTGTGAATTTGTGGCAACTTACTAAACTCCTCTGTGCCTCAGTTTCCTCATCTGTATAATAGAGATGATAACAATAGTACCTACCATAGGGCTGTTATGGAAACTGAATGAGTTGGTTTGTGTAAAGCACATAGACCATCCTGGCTGTGTGGTAAGGATTTAGTAAGTATTAGCGACTATTTTTATTATATGCCAACCAACTTGCTCATATCGACTAAATACATTTTAACATATAAAGGCTTTCACAATATTTATTATTATTATTAAAACAGAGCCTCTTAGCCTGTCATAAGTGGATCCCACTTTCAACATTTTATTTTTTGAGACAGAGTCTCGCTCTGTTGCCCAGGCTGGAGTGCAGTGGCTCTCTGCAACCTCTGCCTTCCTGGTTCAAGTGATTCTCCTGCCCCAACCTCCCAAATAGCTGGGACTACAGGTGCCCACCACCATGCCGGCTAATTTTTGTTTCTTGTGTTTTTTTTTTTTTGCTAGAAACAGGGTTTCACCATGTTGCCCAGGCTGGTCTCGAACTCCTCACCTCAAGTGATCTACCTGCCTTGGCCTCCCAAAGTGCTGGGGTTACAGGTGTGAGATACCACGCCTGGCCACAACATTATTTTTAATCATACCCAAATATATGATACCATTTCCAGGTGAAACCAGAACTAATCCAAAGGAACAAGCAGTCCATGTGAGAGAATTCTTTTAACTCCTCTTTGCAGAAAAGTCAAACCTCTCTGTAGTAAGAACCATCTATTTCCATTGATCAAAGACACATTATTAAAAGTCCATAATTAACAAAATACTACTAATCCACAGCAATTTATAAGCATCCATTTCTGAAAATAAAATGTCGACAAGCAGAGAGACAAGATGTGCTTTGCCTGATCTAAGGAAAGATGACTAACGTGGCTTAATTTGTTCTGATTTAAAAAAAAAAAAAAGGTTTCAAAACCAGCAGACCATGTCATAACAGGAATATTTTGTGTCCTGGAGAGATTTAGAGATGGGCTGATATCAAGACGTGACCTACTTTTCTCATGACAGGTCTGCCCCTGAATAATAGTTTGATTTATTGACAACAGGATGATCCAAAACTGAAACATTTTCTGCCTCTGCCATCAGAAAGATAACGTCAATCCAAAGGAAGAAACTGCAGGTCTAAAAGCTGTAGTATTTTTTCCCCAGATGCAGTGTACAAAATATAACATTCATTTTTAAGTGGATTTCTGTTAAAGATGTTTATTACTCTGAAATCTTGTCAGCGTATTTGCAATGAGCTTAACTAAGCATTTGTTTTTTAAAAAAAAATTCAAAAAGTTTTTACTGTGATCTTTACTTGCTATTAAAAAGATAGTAAGTTTCTGGTCTTCTCCTCGGGTAGTTTTTAATTTTTTTCATAAACATAAAATCAAACTATTAGAAAGAACATTTCTCAAAATTGTTAAGGCAAGAGCCATTTATTAAATTATTGGGAATGGAGGGGTTTTTTTTTTTTTTTTAGTGATTGGTCTGTCTTAGATGCTTTCAGTTTTAGAATCATTGTTGTATTCATTCTCTACTATTAGGTAACAAATTACCTTACACTTAATAGCTTTAAACAACAAATATTATCTCACATATTTTTTGAGGGTCAGGATTCCAGTAAGGGCTTAGCCAAGTGGTTTTGGCTGAAGGTCTTTCACAGTAGTGTAGTCAAGAGGCAAGCTGGGGCTGCAGTCATCCGAAGGCTGGACTGGGGTCGGAGGATCCACTTCTAAGATCACTAACGTTCCTCTTGGCAGGAGGCTTCACTCAGTTCTTCAGCAGCTTTGGGAAGCCTCAGTTACTTTGCCACATGGGCCTCCACAGGGCCACTCACAACAAAGCAGCTGGTGTTGCCCATGCAAATGATCCAAGACAAAGAAAACAAGACAGAAGCCACAGTGCCTTTTATCACCTAATCTCAGAAGTGTCTTTTGTCATGGCTTTTGTCATATTTTATTGGACACACAGACCAACCCAGGCACAATGTGGGAGAGAATGATACAACCTGTGAATGCCAAGAGGAAGGGATTATTGGAGGCCAGCTACCACAGTCATGGTGATAGATAAGATTTACCCATAATGTAGACGTGCAGGGGAGGCATACATAGTTCACAGCATTTATAATGAAATATATTCTCTTCTCAAAGAATAGAATGGCATAAGAACATTATTTTTTAATGTTATTATTGTCACATTATTCATTCTGTTGGTTTAATATCATTACCAGAGTTTGCTAACATTTCAACAATTGGCATAGCATTTGTGAAGGACCATTTAGACAATTACAAAGCATTAATCAAACTGTCTACTGAATCAATGAACATTAATTATTGACAGAACATTCCAGAGTATAGTTTATTTCAGAAGAGAAAAATTGCTTTGTTTCCTTATGACAGCAACCAAAAAAACTAAATTAAAATAAAATTGCCTGTCTATTTCTTTTACTCCAAGTTATTTCTCAAAACTTTTTTGGGTATGTTTTAGGCATCTTGAGAGCTCTGTCATTTCTTTACTCACATTAAAAAAACAAATAGGGCTGGGCGCGGTGGCTCATACCTGTAATCCCAGCACTTTGGGAGGCCAAGATGGCAGGATCACCTGAGGTCAGGAGTTGGAGACCAGCCTGGCCAACATGGCAAAACCCCATCTCTACTATAAATACAAAAAAATTAGCCAGGCATGGTGGTGAGTGCCTGTAATCCCAACTATTTGGGAGGCTGAGGCAAGAGAATCATTTGAACCTGGGAAGTGGAGGTTGCAGTGAGCTGAGGTCATGCCACTGCACTCCAGCATGGGCAACAGAGTGAGACTCTGTCTCAAAAAAAAAAAAAAGATAAATAGAATACAGTGTTGTAGAAGATAAAGATTTGTACAGATTGAACCTTGAGACGATATGCCTGGACTATACTATCTAAGATAACTTCTGTTTTCTATCTCCAAACTCATGTTGCCACAAACCAAAATGTTCAATTTCCTTTTCATTTCTATAAAGCCATGTTTTGACAATGTCTTCCACCAGTGATATTATAATGCACAGTCTATTTTATTTTGTATAAGATGCTAACCACTCTTCATATGTTAAGGCCATCTAAAAATGTAGGCCACAGCATTTTAGCTCTGGAAAGATCCTTGGCAATTTTTATGTTAAATGGGTTCCACATTTTGGAAGAGCTGAGAAGTGTTATACTCAATGTGCTGCCTCCTCATGTTCTATTTTGTCTTCAAAAATCTGATTAAAATTGAGAACCTAGTAGTACCACAAAGCAGTATTAAATCATTGATAAATATTCACTCTATGTAATCTCCAGAAAATACCAACACCACTTGCTACCCAATGGTTCCAAAGAATTACAAGAAGAAATCAAAGACTGATGTTGGGCAGGCTATGTCCTTTTGAGATTCCCCTACCCCTAACACACACACACACACACACACACACACACACACACGCACACGGCAGTGGTCAATTGATTGTGCTTCTCTGTAACATTTTTTAAAAAAATAAAACAAAATTTTTTAAATGAGCAAGGTTAAAAGTAGGAGTCATGACAATTATAACACAAGCATACCTACACTCAGCCATCTTTACACTAAAGAGCTAATTTTGCTTAGAATCAGGGTGATATTACAAAGTTTAATTCTAAAGTAAATAATTTTTCTTTTCACTTGGCTTGCAAAATAACAATACATTGTATAGAACTAATCTTAACTAAGGATTACCTCACACATAATTCCTTTCTCTGACATTAGTCCCAGCTACTTTACTCAAGAATTATGATCCTTAGCCAAGATTGGACCTGCCATCAGTGACTGAACTAAATTTTATTTCCTAAGTTTGATTGGCAGTATTAATATTTTATATTTTTCAAGTTCATTGATTGACTAGAATGTGCATATTTGTGACAGGATAAGTTGTTCATAAAACCTGATTGGTTATCACTCCGTGCTTTGTGATCTTTCCAATATTTTAAATTAATATTTTGATTCCTACATATTACCACTGAATTTTTTCATTTACTTTAATCCAAGGATTATCTTTGCTTTATTTTATAAGAAAGTAGCCTCTCCTTTCCTTTTCCAAGTTTTTAGTAGTTTCTCAATTCTTTACCATTTCTCTACAAGGATTTCTGTAAATTAATCCTCTAGGATACAGTTTTTCTTAGAGTGCACCTATGTGAACATATCAGTGTTTATTTAAATAAATTGTCTTATTTCATTGGTTCCTTTTCTAATTATTGCTTTACTATATTCTTTAGTAAAGGCAGTCCCAATTCTAACCTTTGAAACTCTGGCCTCTCGGGGTCACCTACTCTAAATTTTGTTTTTATATTTAATAAAGAGATTGTTTTAGTTCTCTGCTGTGCATAACAAACTACCCCCAAAACTTAGTGGTTTAAAACAATCATTTTATTATTTCTTAAATTTCTGGGGATTAACTGGGGCTCTGCCAGATGATTCTTCTGCTGATCTCACACGAGGTCTCTCATGCAGCTTCAGCCTGTGACAGAAGGGGCTAGAATGGCCACAGTAACTTCATTGTGGCCCCTTAATTGGAAGGCTGGGCTCAGCTGGGACACCAGGACAACTGAGCCTCTCTTCGTGCAATCTCTCAACATGGTCTCTCCAGCAAGTTAGCTGTTATTTTACATAGCAACTCGGGAATTTTTTTGAAAAGCAAAAGTCCTGGCTTAGTCCCAGAGCCACCTCTGCCACATTCTCTTTTCCATTTCAGAGATGTTACATAGGGCATGCATACTGGAAGGCCGTATTGGGGGCCATCTCTGGAGACTAGCTGCTACAGGAATCATGTTTTCCTTTTCTGCTACTAAGACCTCAATTCCTTTCTGCTCCTTTTTCAGTTCCCTGTGTCTCTGGTGGTTTGCCTAAACCTGCAAACATCACCTTCTTATCCATCAACATGAAGAATGTCCTACAATGGACTCCACCAGAGGGTCTTCAAGGAGTTAAAGTTACTTACACTGTGCAGTATTTCATGTAAGTTTCTTCTTTTCCTTTTGGCTAGCTTACAAACACAAGACTCAGACTCTTGTGAATTGTGTAAAGATAAACTCTCCGTGGTATTAAATGTGTTTGAAAAAGAGAAAAGTTTTAGATATTTCAGGTTAAGTTTTCTGGATGTTTTGTAAGATTAAATTAGAAAACAGTTTCTTCATGGAGACAGAGGCATTGGGGGGCTCAGGCAAGGCAAGGTTATTTAGACAGAGAAAAGAAGTTTCTAATAATAAAACATTATTAGGTGGCTGAGCAAACAAGGCAATCCATCATCTTGAAATTTCTAAGCTGTTTGGAATTATAGGCATCCTTAGACTCCTTGAAACCGCGTGCACATTTGGTGTGATCAGCTGTTGCACTTAAAGATAGCAGTGAATAGACATTTCATCTGGCCCTCAAAACTCATTGCAAGCAGGAAAGAATGCAAGACAGATAGTCAGTGTCCATCTTCAGAGAAACAAAGGAAATGGCCACAACCCTGACCACAAACTAGGAACCATCCAAGCCAAATCTTGTGGAATCTGAAGAAAAACAGCTGCAGAAACTGAAGGCAAACCTACCTACACCTTCCCAGCTCCAACCACAGGAAATGATTTCACAAAATAAGTATCACAGTGCAAAGAGGCCCACCTAACAATCTGAGAGCATGGAAATCTAAGGATTGCCACCACCAGAAATTAAGGAAATGTCCCCATGGAGCCCCAGCTGGGTGCCACAGAATATCAGAGGTGGTGAAACTGAAATAGAAATCAGGCACACAGGACATGTCCATTGTGGAGGCCCTGTCACAGCCCAGGGAGAAGCTGGGAATGAGCCGGGGTCAGGAGGAAAGGGAGGTGGCACTGGCTGGGAGGCAGCCCAGGAAGGCTACGACATCAGCCTCCTGCAGCCCAAAACCTGAGGGCAGACAGGCTTCACAGGGAGCAAAGGGAATAATGGATTTGGTGAGAGGGTGTTTGATGGAAACAGAAGTTTAAAATTATGGAGAGCATTGGCCGGACACGGTGGCTCTCACCTGTAATCTCAGCACTTTAGGAGGCCAAGACTTCTGGATCGCATGAGCTCACAAGTTCAAAACCAACCTGTGCAACATGACAAAACCCTGTCTCTACAAAAAATACAAAAATTAGCCGGTCATGATAGTGCATGCCTGTAGTCCCATCTACTTGGGATGCTGAGGTGGGAGGATGGCTTGAGCTGGAAGGTGGAGGTTCCAGTGAGCTGAGATCATGCCACTGCTCTCCAGTCTGGACAATAAAGCCAAGTCTTTTCACAAACAAACAAACAAACAAACAAACAAAAATTATGGAGAGCAAAAGCTCATTATCTGAGCCCTATTCTTATATCCATTTGCCTGTTCAACAAACAGCTGGCCCCACTCAAAAAGTAATAGTCCCAAGGGAACTAGCATAGCGCCTATTCATAATTACTGGAAGGGGGAAAGAAGAAAACAGAATACAAGTTTCCAGAAAGCTTTGCTATGGAAGTAAGGAAGAATTAAAATAAATAACAGTCCATAATTTTGTTAGAGTGCATAAACAACAGGATCTGTAAAGGTAAAACTCAAAGAAGAGAAAACAGTGAAAGAAGAGTTTCTAAGACAACAGGGAGAACATGCTTTTTTTTAAGGAAGTGTGCAGAGCTTAGGAAAATGCTGGAATATAAAAATACTGTATCAAGATGAAAAACCTGTTAGAGCTAAGTGATAGTAATGGTTGAACAGGTAATAAAAACTGTTTGGAACTGTGTATCATAAATGTGTGGTGTGTCTAGAAAAAAATTGGTAAAAACAATAGCAAGACATATCCTGGTGAAGTTATTGGACTTTAAGATAATTAAATGATTCATGGCCATTTTAGCAAAAGCAGAACTCAAGTTGAGAGAAAGGGAGAATTTCAATCTGGCAACACTCAACAGAATATATCTTGTGAGGAAAAGACAAGTATAACCTAAGACTCTTACGAAGTTCAGTAGACTGGTGTTTGGAAGCAGGTGGGAACTCAGGAGATCACTTTTCTGAGATCTTCCTGGAGGATGAGGTGGAGCACTAACTAAAGACGACCTCCAGCTAACAGAGAGATAAAGACAAACCCAAAAGAAGAACTTAGTGATGACCAAAAGACTGGTAGCATGCATGGAATTCATCTCAGTGTAGAACTAAGACTAAATAGTGATGGAAATGTAATTATAGAAGTTTCTTAGAAATAATTTGAATTTAAACAATAATATAAGGTGGAAAAGGGGGGGGGAACTATAAGTGTACTGATTTTCATAGCCAGAAGCCATTAAATGTCATCTAAAATGACAATATTTTATTATTTTAATAATTAACCTCTCAATATTTTTCACAAACCATTTTCTTAATTTAAAAGCTCTTTTAGGAACAAATATGTCTTGTGGTGACAAACATTTGCACTTCTGTAGTTTCTTTAATCTCACTTCAATTTCTTTTTTCTATCAAAGTTCAAGGCACATTGAATTGACTACTTTTATTAAAACCATATGTATGGTATAATCTAATTTTTGTCCATCTATTCTGCTATCATATCGTCCTTCTGTTTATACAGAAGCACAATGAGATATCCAGAATCATACACACCAAATGTTCCAGGGTAATGGGTTTTAGGATGATTTGTTTCTCTTTTGATTATACTTTCTGAATTGTTTGATTGTTTGAATTAAAAAAATTTACCATATTTTCAAAAAAGAATAAAGTCAGTTTTGTCTTTGAAAAAAAAATTCAGATAACTAAAACCAGTGAAAGACTTCAGCAGCGACTCACAGTGACCTCATTTATCTAGAACCTCATTCTCATTTCCAAGGAGTTTCTCAGGAGCCAGTGTTAGAGGAAAGAAATCACTTTGCAGAGAAAAGGCTCGTGAGCATGTCCTTGCCTCCTTATCCATTAGGTGGAGCAAAGAGCTTGCTCTGTCCTTTATGTTTTATGTGATCCAGAAAGGGATTTTTAAAAAATAGACAAGAGTCATCACTGCTTCGTGTGAGCAGATCACTCAGATTGTGCAACTTTTAAAAATATGTTTTTAAAAAGAAGCTTGCGATGTTGGAGTTCTTACATGCCTGTGCATGTGAAAGAGGGACAGGAATATAAGACAATGTATTTCACTGCCAGAGGGCTCCAAGCTCAGCTCTGGAGTCAGACAGTCCCCAGTTCATAGCCAGGCTATGAACCTAGCTGGGAAGGTTACAGATTATACTTTTATACTTTTGAGTGAAGTTTGTTTCCAAGGTGAAAATTTTCCAAAAGTTTAAATTCTATCCACCAAAACAATTAATGCAAAAAAATAGAATGTAGCACTAAAAACAGAAGTTTTGGCGTCAGGGAAGAGTGGTTCAAATCCCAGGAATGCTGTTTACTAGTCATGTGAATTTGAGTGGATCCCTTAATCTCCCTGAGCCTCAGCTGTCTCATCTGTAAAATGGGATGAAAATAAGAGTACCTACCCCCTAGGGTTGTTATGATAATTAGTGAGATAAAGCTTGTAAATCAGAGACCACTGAGGGCCCCATATGGCTGTTTGCCATGCGTGAGTGTCATTACTGGAATATTTGCTGAGTGATTCTGGTCATCATTCATTTATTTTGTTGAAAATCTTGTAAAGAGCCTTTTCTCCTGCATCAGCATCTGTCATGGGAAGCTGCCTTGCCTTTGGCAGAGTGAGGAAGTTTGAGGAGGGAGGGGCCACATAGGCAATGGCAATAGTCTTCAAGCCACAATTCAGGACTCTTTGATGACTCATGAAATGAATGTTGAGGGATATTATTTTTAATGGAAAGGAATGGAATGGTGTGGAATGGACTGGAATGAAAAATAACTGAATGCAAGGCATGTGGTAAAGTTTAAATATTTTCTTGTACAATTTTTGTTTTAATATGTTAGATAGTTTTATATTTTGTGAGCTGAATCACAATATAAAATGTATTTTTCTTTTCCCTGTGGATCATGGTCAAAAAAAAAAATTGAAAGCCCTTAAGTAACAGTGATCACTTGGATGGAGAAGTTGATCAGTAAGATCTGACTATATTTCTGATGTCTTTTGGTAGGTATGGTACTTAGGAAATGGGAAACATTTACTTTCAGAAATCTGTTGCCATATTCTGAAAAGAGAAAATATCCTTAAGCTTTGGCAATACATGGACATATCCTCTTTCTCAAGACACACTCTTCCCTTGACCTTTATGATATTTTTTTCTCATCCCTCTTTAGTTGCTATTTCCAGGTCTTCTTTCTATCCAACCTTTAAATCTTGACGCTCCTGAAATTTTATCCTAGACTTTATTTTGTTTCCATGGATCATTCATTCATGCTTGTGCCATCAATGAGCAGTTTGATGACATTGACTCCAAAATCCCTACCTCCCACACACATGTCTCTCCTGAGACCCATTGCCCACTGGGCATCTGCAGTGGGATATCTCTAACATACTCAGGCTCAAGGCATCAAAAGTGAACATCTTATCTTCCCCTCCTGCTCTGCCTCCCCATCCATTTCCCAAATCTGTTCTGTCTCAGTGCTCTTTTTCGTAGTAAATATCACCACCATTCCACCCATCTGCCCCAGACAGAAAGAGACAGCATCCTTAACACCTTCATTTCCCTAATCTGTTACATGTTTTCTATCACCAAGTCCTATCTCCTAATATTTCTTGCTTTTGTCCTGTCCTTATTTATCCTACTGCCCCTGTCCTTGTCCAAGCGACCTACATCTTCCCCTGGACCACTGTAGTGTCCTCTCAGCTGTTCCCTAGGCTGCCACTTGTAACCCATCACCTTTCCCAAACTGCCTCCCCTGTCCCTTTCACTGGCTTATCACATGTTACCTGAACTCTACACTTCAGTCTCTCCCACCTGAAAAGGGCTGAAAATATTGCCACCTCCCTATTTGCTATGGGGGTTGTGTTTTTAATAAAGAAAAGGAAAATCAGTATGACCAATCTAGTCAATATTATCATCATCACTATAATTATCAAAAATGCAGATTTCTGTATGCACTCCAGCCTCGTGTATTTTCCCTAGAATCATTGATACTTAGATTTTTATATGCTATGAGAACGTCAAAGTAATTTTTCTTCCAAGAAAAAAATGACAAACTGTTCTTCAAACAATCCGTCAAACTGACCTCGTGTACATAGTAGACTAAAAACCTACACAGATAATTACTAGAAGAATTGATCACACAATATGTAAAAATTTCACTGTAGCCAAAGAATAACAGTAAAATATATGCTTCCAAAATATACTGTCCACATTATAATTCACAGAAAGAAAGGTGATTACAGAAACTCTGACTCATGTTCCTGACAGCTGATGAAAAAAATTGCCCACCGCAAAAGTGGATTCTTTTTTATCTCAATGACAGGCACTTTTGTTTTTCTGAAGAGAAGGTCGTCAGTTCCATTCAGTTTTATAAAATGACTGAGTTTTTTTATTGTAAAGTATAGAGGGCACCTCATTATTAATTCAGCTTCTTTCTTAGCAGATATGGGCAAAAGAAATGGCTGAATAAATCAGAATGCAGAAATATCAATAGAACCTACTGTGATCTTTCTGCTGAAACTTCTGACTACGAACACCAGTATTATGCCAAAGTTAAGGCCATTTGGGGAACAAAGTGTTCCAAATGGGCTGAAAGTGGACGGTTCTATCCTTTTTTAGAAAGTAAGTAATGCCATTATTGCAATGGTCAGTTAAACATGTATTCATATCAGGTTTAACAGTCTCAGCCTCACAGACAGCCTTGCCCAGAGGAAGGTACTCTGCTTGGCTGTATTCTGGACCAGTGGGTTGAGTGAGCAGGACAAAGTCCTTAACCTTGCTGGCTCTGAGTCTCACCTTGATTGACTGATTGATTGATTGACTGTAGAGACAGGGCCTCATTATGTTGCCAGGCTGGTCTCAAACTCCTGGGCTCATGCTATCTTCCCACCTCAGCTTCTCAAAGTGTTAGGGTTACAGGCATAAGCCACCGCACCCAGCCTGAGTCTCATCTTTAGAGTGAAAGGTTTAACCAAGTGGTCTCTAAGATCTCTCCCAGATCCAAAATTGATACTAGATGACAATGATATCAAATTTTGACTTTGTCTTACTACTTTGTGGAAGCTATGTAATTTGAGGAACAAAATGACTTTATTTAATGTGGGTTTATGGACTATTAATGTCTCCACAAGATTGATTAAACATTGTCCTGATTATCCACTATGCTTCTTCTTGTATGAACTTGGTAGTGTGATGATGTAATTTCCAAGTGTAACCCAGAATTAAGGCAACTTCTTCCTGGTATTTACTTTTAAAATGTTGCCATCCCCTGAGCTATGGCTGACTCAGTCATGAAGGACCCACTCAGGGCTGCCATAATGAGCTCTGCAAGTGCTCCATAAGTCCAGGAGCCCTTCCGGATCAGAGGTCAGAAAACTACCCTTGGGACAAATCCAACAACACCCTTTCTGTTTTTCTACAAGCCAAGAGTTAAGAATGGTATTTATATTTTTAAATAGTTTCTAAAAATCCAAGGAATATTTTGTGACATTGGAAAAGTAAAGGAAATTGAAATGTTGATGTCTATTCATAAATAAAGTTTTATTGGGGCACAAGCCACACTCATTTGTTTACACAGTTACCTTAGATTGCTTTCGCAATACAGCAAGAGTGGAGTAGTGCAACAAAGATCATATGGCCTGCGATGCCTGAAATATTTACTGTCCAGACCTTTAGGATAAAAGTCGCCTGGTCTCTGTTCTAGATCATTCTAATCACATCTCTGATTTTCCACTTATCAAGTCATGTTGTTGTCATTTATCACCAACTTTTCAAGTCACAGAAATCTTACAAACAGTTTTGATTGTATTAACCATCTACTGTTTATGCATGTGACTAAGGAAACAGAATACTTGAGTTTGCTGTTCTAACATGGGATCAGGCTGTGTGAAGGTTGGTTTCAAGGTTGGTTTCAGGATGGTTTCAAGATCTGGCATATCTCAGGCCCACCTTAGTACATTTTGGGGCATCTCCTGTAAGAAGGTGTCTTTTAAGGCTGGGCGCGGTGGCTCATGCCTGTAATCCCAACACTTTGGGAGGCCGAGGTGGACGGATCACAGGATCAGGAGTTCGAGACAAGCCTGGCCAACATGATGAAACCCCGTCTCTACTAAAAATACAAAAATTAGCTGGGTGTGTTGGCAGGCACCTGTAATCCTAGCTACTTGGGAGGCTGAGGCAGGAGAATCGCTTGAACCCAGGAGGTGGAGGTTGCAGTGAGCCGAGATCATGCCATTGCACTCCAGCCTAGGCGAGGGGGCAAGACTCCATCTCAAAAAAAAAAAAAAAAAAAAAAAAAAAAAGGATGTCTTTTAGGGCCTTGATCCAAGTAGGATTATATGGTAGCTTTACCTAAGGTAATTTTTCATCTGAACATGATAATACCCTCTTTCTCCCCCTTTAAGCACAAATTGG
Organism: Homo sapiens; assembly: GCF_000001405.40. NCBI lineage: Eukaryota > Metazoa > Chordata > Mammalia > Primates > Hominidae > Homo > Homo sapiens. Next base: position 137,009,482 of record NC_000006.12, on the reverse strand, counting down.
CCCACCAGAGGTGGCACTGACTACAGATGAGAAGTCCATTTCTGTTGTCCTGACAGCTCCAGAGAAGTGGAAGAGAAATCCAGAAGACCTTCCTGTTTCCATGCAACAAATATACTCCAATCTGAAGTATAACGTGTCTGTGTTGAATACTAAATCAAACAGAACGGTAAGCCTGAAATGGAATGGGGCATACATTCATGTACCACTCTGTAGCTAATGTGGGAACAAACAACCCTGATGCATTGATTCTCTGCATGTGAATCTGGGAAGTCATGATGTTCAAAAGATACGCCGCACAAAATAAAGTTCTATATACAGAAATTTTACAGAACTAACTTCAGATCTTCTTTACAGAAACTCTGTTGACAGGATATGGTGTTGTTATTGGAGTGTAGAGAGATTGTACACTTCACTTTGATGAAGAGCTTTCACTTGCACAGTCTTTCTCTGAGAAGAAGAAAAAAATGTGAGCAAGGACCCAGGACAATGAATAAGAACTCTATCCATGTGTTGTTTAGAATTGTTCTCAGCATTGGTCCAGTTCCTGACCATGCTCTGCTGAGCTAAAGGAAAAGAGTATATTGAAACTGTTGCTGAAAAAAAAAAAAAAAAAAAAAGCTTATACTGATAGTAAAGAATTAAATGGTGCCTTGGTCTTCTATTTCCTTCTACAGTTATTTGTCTGGGGTGGTCCCAGAAATGTCTGGCTCTAACCAATGTTTGCAATTCCCTATCCTAGTGGTCCCAGTGTGTGACCAACCACACGCTGGTGCTCACCTGGCTGGAGCCGAACACTCTTTACTGCGTACACGTGGAGTCCTTCGTCCCAGGGCCCCCTCGCCGTGCTCAGCCTTCTGAGAAGCAGTGTGCCAGGACTTTGAAAGGTAAGCTTTAAAAAATCTTTGCTGGTCTAGGAAGGAGATCTGCTAAAACTAGAAGTCGGTATGATGGTTTAGACAAGGTTTTGACAAATCCGTGTCTAACAGAAACAGGTTGAGGCAAAGGCAGAAACAACTACCACCAGAAATGCGTGGAGCAGCCTGGGACTCTGCCATTGAGCTTGGCCGACGTTCAGAAGTGTTCTCACACCCTCGGAGAACTCATACAGGTCCCGTGTCCACTGCCAGCTTCTTTCCATGGTCCTTCGGCCACCTGCCTTGTGAATTAACAATGAAGAACTTTTACACATGCCTTTTTTCTTCTTTAAAATCATAATCACGCTGGGCATAGTGGCCCACACCTGAAATTTCAGCACTTTGGGAGGCCAAGGAGGGAGGATGGCTTGAGCCCAGGAGTTTAAGACCAGCCTGGGCAACATAGTGAGACCTCATCTCTATAAAAAATAAAATCAACCAGGCTTGGTAGTGCATGCCTGTAGTCCTAGCTACTCGGGAGGCTGAGGTGGGAGGATCACCTGAGCCCAGGAGAGGCTGCAGTGAGCCATAGGTGCACCACTGCACTCCAGCTTGGGCAACAGAGTGAGACCTTGTCTCAAAAAATAAAAAATAAAATCATAACCACTCTGATTGATAGAAATTCTGTGGTCTTCAAGAACATCAGACAATTTTATTGCTAGAAACAAAGCATTATTCTAAAACCACTGTAAAGCAGAATTCATTTTTTACTTTCCCTGGGGAATACTAATTATAGGTGCTTCCAGTTGTGTTCAAGTGCCACTAATTGGCTGCATGAGGGTCTGGGATCCACAAATCAGTGATCACTTCCTTATCCTTACAGTTGCTTCTCTCTATTTCCTTTTATTTATCTCCTCTTCACATTTTCTACACTGGGCTGCCAAGGAACCGTGATTGGAGATACCCATTCCTATGAGAAGACATAGAGTTGTGAGCTTGGCATTTGTTTAATTTTTCTGCCTTCACAGTGAGAGGAGCTTTAACTAAAAACTTGAAAATTGAAAAAAAATACATCCTAAAGTTTGCCTGCATCGAAGGGCTCTTCATCCATTATTCCTCCGCTTCTTTTCCAAACAGCTGGTCTAGAGACAGAGGCCGACGACCTCCACCCCATGCCTTGGCTCTATCACCAGCCATGGATAGGAATCCATAACCCCTGCTTTCCTCCTCCCTCACCCCTCCCACCTTTCACGATGAAACTGTCCGAAAGTAAAGAAAGGGAACTTTGTGAGTACCTGTGAAAAGCGCAAGGCTTTGCCTTTGACTCTCTGTCTTTATCATAGCTTTTCTTTTACAATGAAGGAGTCTCTACCATATATCAAATGAAACTAAAATGCCAAGCAAAACAAAGCATATTGAAGAAATCGCATTTGTATTTGGGAGAAGTGCTCTCTTTACTAACACCTTGATCAGTGCCAGCTGGTGGGAATGAATTTCCAGTGGAAATCATTAACACAATTGGAGCAAAAGCAACAAAATGCAGATTAAATTCAAAACTTCTCAGTAAGCAGATGAAGCCCACTTTCTCACTAATATGAAAAAAGTGGCCAAGTGCAATGGATCACGCCTATAATAACAGCACTTTGGGAGGCCGAGGCAGGAGAATCACTTGAGCCCAGGAGTTCAAGACCAGCCTGGGCATCATGGTGAAACCCCATCTCTACTAAAAATACGAAACTTAGCCAGGCATGGTGGCACACACCTTTAGTCCAAGCTACTTGGGAAGCTGAGATGGGAGGATCACCTGAGCCTGGGGAAGTCAAGGCTACAGTGAGCCGTGATTGTGCCACTGCACTCCAGCCTGGGCAACAGAGTGAAACCCTGTCTCAAAAAAAAAAAAAAGAAAGAAAAATTAACGGAATAATAAGGCTCTATTTCTGGTTCTGAACCCGTGCTATCCCAGCTGTTAGACCACCAGAGATATCTTTCCAACACACTGGTGTGAGGACCTGCTTTCTGAATAATCAGTATTACCTCTATTGGAACTATTCTTTAAAACATATTTCTGCTCTCTCGTCCCCCATCCCTAAAATACAATTATAGTTTATTAGGTTTGTTGTAATAAACATGGGTTAGTGTATACTAAATGCTATCAGTCATTGTTATGACTTTTTTCAATTAGGACAGGCTCAATCCAGGGACCAGGGATTGTATTAAGAGGGTTGGACTGAGTTATAGGCTACAAGCAGGGCAGGTGGTGTTCTGACACCCGCAGCATCCGCATCACAGCATTGGCACGTCTCTGTGTGGAACCTGGTGATGAATGTGCTCCTTGGGAATTGTGCAGGGTAACAGGCCCGCATGCGGAACTTTTCCCACCGGCTCTTGTTGACCACCCTCATCAGCCATGACACATCTGTTTCGCTTTCAACTGGATAGTTAACCAGATAGTGACTTTGCTGCTTTCTCTTGGGCCCAAGCATCAAGAGCATCCAACATTCTCCTGGATTAGAATGCTCCGGTCACACTCCTGCTGGTTTTGTTAGTGTGTAAGGAGCACACTCGGACTTTTGTCATTTGTGCTGAAGCTGCTCTTTTTCCTACAGCTGTATCAGTCAGGATTCTCCAGAGAAACAGGACCAATAGAATACATATAGATGCACATATCGATATATTTATTTGTTTAGAAATATTGATTTATTTTAAGGCGTTGGCTCACAGGATCGTAGAGGCTGGCAAGTCCGAATTTATAGGATAGGCAGGCTGGAGACCCACGGAAGAGTTGATGTTTGCAGTTCGCACCCAAAGGTAGACTCCTGGCAGAATTCCCTGTTCCTTAGGGTCATCAAGACATTTTTTATGAAAGTCTTCAATTGATTGGATGAGACTCACCCACATTATAGGTAGTAATCTGCTTTACTCAAAAACCTGCTGATTGAAATGTTAGACTCCCATTAAAAAAAACAACAACAACAACAACAAAAACCTTCACAGAAGGCTCTAGAATAATGTTTAGCCAAATATCTGCATACTGTGGCCTAGCCAACTGGACATGTAAAATGTACCATCACAACTTCCAAGTATACCACAGTGGCTTAACAAGTATGAGCTAGTCACAATGAGCTCTAGTCATCAGCTATATGGCCTGATTAATGGTGTGGGCCAGGGCTGCTTTTATTAAAACGATTTCCCAGGTCTTTTCATTTCCTCTGCGGACTTTTACTCATCATGAGCCTACAGCACAGCAGGCCCGGGAAGGGAGTTAACTGCCATTCGCACTGCACCCTGTCCAGCCACCTCCCTACACACATCCCCAGGCTCCAGCCCTACCCAGAAAGTCCAGCCAAACAGTGCAAGAACAGTTCTGCTACTCATATAAAAGTGGCGTCATGCATTCATGTCTTTCAGTGAACATGCAGAAAGATTGAGTCAAACAGGTGGCGTGGAAAAGTGGAGCAATTCAATGGGATCTTCACTGGAGGGTTTTGTTGTTTGTTTGAAATTCTGTGACTTACTTGAATATCAAATACACTTACTTTGAAATATAAGAACCTGCATGAATCTCATAGCCAGACATACGATGGTGGAATATGTGCTGACTTGGATGATTGATGTATCCTTAGTGTAAACATTTGAGGTACACTCAGATGATTCCTTCAGACCGTCTCTTGTCAGGGAGAGTAAGAATTCTGAGACCGCTTATAACATTTAGCTTAAGCTTCTCAACGTAGAGGTGAGAAAACTGAGTTCCCAAATGTAAGTGATCTGCACAGAAGCAGCTTAACGATACGAGGTTTTTCCCATCACATCAAATCACAACTATCTAATCCCTTCCCCCGAATTCCCACCTTTTTTTTTTTTTTTACAGATCAATCATCAGAGTTCAAGGCTAAAATCATCTTCTGGTATGTTTTGCCCGTATCTATTACCGTGTTTCTTTTTTCTGTGATGGGCTATTCCATCTACCGATATATCCACGTTGGCAAAGAGAAACACCCAGCAAATTTGGTGAGTACTTGGTGTGGCAGGGTTCTTTATTATAATAGTACACCTCCAGGAGGACAGAAGAGGAGGTTCTAGAACAGATTCAGTTCCCTTTAAGGGCAGAGTGAATTTAAAGTTAAATAGCTGGTGAATTAAAAAACAGTTTCTGGGCTGGGCATGGTGGCTCACGCCTGTAATCCCAGCACTTTGGGTGGCCGAGGCAGTTGGATCACTTGAGGTCAGAAGTTCAAGACCAGCCTGGCCAACAGTGTGAAACCCCATCTCTACTAAAAATGCAAAAATTAGCTGGATGTGGTAATGCATGCCTATAATCCCAGCTACTCGGGAGGCTGAGACAGGAGAGTCACTTGAACCCGGGAGACCAAGATTGCGGCAAGCTGAGACTGTGCCACTACACTCCAGCCTGGGTGACAGAGTGAGGCTCTGAGGCTCTGTCTCAAAAAAAAAAAAAAAAAAAAAAAAAAGCTTTCTGGATTAGCTGACTAACAGAACATTTTCCTTAGCTTTGAAAAGATGTTCTATTTAACCACCAGATTATACAAGGTCCCACAGATAAATTCAATCATGATCCCTGCCCTGCCCTTCTAGAAGTTCAAGCCTAGTCGAGGACTAGAATTTCAAAATAACACATGAAGGCTAAGATGAGAGCAGGCGCTGGGAATTCTGGGGGTACAAGGAGGGCCCCAAAACCCTACACAGGGGCTCAGCTCTCATGCCAGGGCTTGGCTATGAGAGGTGAGTAGGAGTTAGGATCCGTAGTGCAGGCAGAAGAAACAGCAAGGTGGATGTGTGGAAACTGCATGACACCCCTAAACAAGGAGGCTCCAGATGAGGAGCTAGAGAAGAAGATGAGACTGGAGAGTAGGCAGTGGGTCCAAGTAAGGGGAGAGCTGGGGTGCTGTTCTAAGGAGCTAGGCCTCATTCTACTGGCAAAGAGAAATCTCCATAGGGTTTTAGGTTAGGAGCATCATAGTCAGTATCAAGGTTTAGATCCAACCAGATATTAGTTCCAGGAAAACTTAGAGCGGAGTAAGACTAGAAACAAGAAAAGCACCTAGGGAACTGTAGCTTTGTCCAGGGGAGAGAAGATTCAAGTCTAACAGGCGAGAGTGGGATATCAGTCTAGAGAGAAAGACATGGAATGGAAACACACTTAGGAGGAACATGGCCATGACTTAATCCTTCACAGTAAGAAGAAGCAAGAAAGAAGAAAGAATTAAACCCACAGAGGTGGGACAATGTGCTGAAGGGTTCTGAAGGGCTGAGCATATTTTTAACAATCAAAACCATTTTCTTGAGAACTATTAAAAGATGTGTTCACGTGTACATGATAACATACCTTGTTTCCTGTTAGTTCAGTTTATAAGTTTTTCTATGATTCTGCCTGCATTCAGGTTTCAGAGTTGGCTTCTTAATGGCATTGGGAGACCTTTTCTGGAAGGAACATTCACAGGAGAATTGACCACCTGTGATTTTTTTGAAACTTAAAATGTTGTAAAAGATTGAGGCTGAAGGTTCTGTTTTGTAAAGTTAAATGAAATCACATGGTAGAGTGACAATGAGGATTGTAACTCATGCTCTCTTAGATAACAGGTATCTTTCATGGTACCCACAGCAATATTTTAATCTCATCTGAGCTTCCTTGACATGATTTAGAGTTTCTCTGTCTACCGTAAACTGGCAGATGAATTTCCTTTTTTGGCTCTATTATAGCATGATAAGAATGGTGTAAGGGGTAAAAACCATCCCTGCTCATATATTTCCCTCCTTTTCTACATCCAGTTCTCATGCCTGTCTGCATTTCAAGTATATCCAAAAACAGGGCAGGTAGCCCAGGTAACCACAGCTTATTAACAAGTGCATAGCAAACTATAAATAAAACAGTGTCACAAACTCTGCCACACCCAGTCTTTGCTACTCTTCATGTGGCTGAGATTCTGACTTTACAGAATGTAAAAAAGGTCAAGAAATGAAGCAACTCCTCTGCCAGTTAGAAGAGGGGGCACCAACGCCCCAGCCCCAGCCCTGGACTGGAGAAATACCCACCCAGCGAATCACTTCTCGCTTCCAACTATCTTTTGTGTGTCTTGGGTCTCTTGCCTCCCAGTGAGTGAGGTTTTCTGTATATTGCAAGCATAACTTTCATTTACATGAGTTGGTAAGAGTAGGTCTTTAAAACTGTCTGGTGACAAGATATTCTACCTAACAGCTGTTTTTAATGTCTCTCTAAAGTGAAAAGGTGAAAATCATTCTCTTTTCTCTTTATAGATTTTGATTTATGGAAATGAATTTGACAAAAGATTCTTTGTGCCTGCTGAAAAAATCGTGATTAACTTTATCACCCTCAATATCTCGGATGATTCTAAAATTTCTCATCAGGATATGAGTTTACTGGGAAAAAGCAGTGATGTATCCAGCCTTAATGATCCTCAGCCCAGCGGGAACCTGAGGCCCCCTCAGGAGGAAGAGGAGGTGAAACATTTAGGGTATGCTTCGCATTTGATGGAAATTTTTTGTGACTCTGAAGAAAACACGGAAGGTACTTCTCTCACCCAGCAAGAGTCCCTCAGCAGAACAATACCCCCGGATAAAACAGTCATTGAATATGAATATGATGTCAGAACCACTGACATTTGTGCGGGGCCTGAAGAGCAGGAGCTCAGTTTGCAGGAGGAGGTGTCCACACAAGGAACATTATTGGAGTCGCAGGCAGCGTTGGCAGTCTTGGGCCCGCAAACGTTACAGTACTCATACACCCCTCAGCTCCAAGACTTAGACCCCCTGGCGCAGGAGCACACAGACTCGGAGGAGGGGCCGGAGGAAGAGCCATCGACGACCCTGGTCGACTGGGATCCCCAAACTGGCAGGCTGTGTATTCCTTCGCTGTCCAGCTTCGACCAGGATTCAGAGGGCTGCGAGCCTTCTGAGGGGGATGGGCTCGGAGAGGAGGGTCTTCTATCTAGACTCTATGAGGAGCCGGCTCCAGACAGGCCACCAGGAGAAAATGAAACCTATCTCATGCAATTCATGGAGGAATGGGGGTTATATGTGCAGATGGAAAACTGATGCCAACACTTCCTTTTGCCTTTTGTTTCCTGTGCAAACAAGTGAGTCACCCCTTTGATCCCAGCCATAAAGTACCTGGGATGAAAGAAGTTTTTTCCAGTTTGTCAGTGTCTGTGAGAATTACTTATTTCTTTTCTCTATTCTCATAGCACGTGTGTGATTGGTTCATGCATGTAGGTCTCTTAACAATGATGGTGGGCCTCTGGAGTCCAGGGGCTGGCCGGTTGTTCTATGCAGAGAAAGCAGTCAATAAATGTTTGCCAGACTGGGTGCAGAATTTATTCAGGTGGGTGTACTCTGGCCTCTTGGTTCATTATTTTCAAACAAGCACACTTGTACAATTATTTTCTGGGTACTTCCCATATGCACATAGCACTGTAAAAAATATTTCCCAAAGATCACTCATTTTATAAATACCACTTTTTCAGAATTGGGTTTATTGCGAGCAGGAGGAGATACTTAAAACATGCACATATACCAGGTTGGTGGTAAGTTGGTCGCATGTGAAAACCTCAACTATTTAATCATCATGATTCATATTTTGAGTGAATACATCAGGCACAGACCTTCATGATATCACACACTCTTGGCTACTTTAAGAGGCCATCTTTAATACTTTATGAGTAGTTCTGGAGTGTAAACATAAACGAGTATTCTTTTGTAGTCAGAAAAGTGTCCTCTCAATAATTTAGTAGGGGCTTATTGTCTCTCAAAACTAACCTAAAAGAAAATGACACATTTTATAATAGAATATTACATTTATTTCTGGAAGTGTGTTTTCAAAAAGATATTTACATAGTCTGTAAACTAGAAAGTGTTAGGTAAAGCTCTAGGTTACTGTGTTACTATTATAATATTAAACATTCGAATAGGCAGTCGTTCAAAGACTCTTTGGAATATCTATGAATGAATATCCTCTATTCTTATAATATTAAAACCCATAAGTAAATATAGGACATACAAGAGAAATGAGTTAAATGACTATGTAAGGGAGAGTTTATTAAAATTTGATGAAATTTACTGTAGGAACTAAACTATGCCATAAAACAATAGCTTTCTAGTTCATTTCCAGTAACTGTTCCCATCTCCTTTACCACTTGTTAAGAAAATTAAATTCTTCAGTCACGCTGCTTTAAAATGGGACAAAATCTATTAAGTTGAACCATATATAATTGTGGATATTTGGCTGTTTTTAATCTGACAAGCAGTAACTTCATATGGTTTGCCTTAATATATATTTGTTTTAGTCATGAACTCATAATCCATTGATGCTCTTTCATGAGAAGAGATATCACCCATATTTCCTTATTGATATTATTGGTACAGGCAGACAACCCTGGTAGGAGAGATGGATTCTGGGGTCATGACCTTTCGTGATTATCCGCAAATGCAAACAGTTTCAGATCTAATGGTTTAATTTAGGGAGTAATTATATTAATCAGAGTGTTCTGTTATTCTCAATCTTTATAGAAACGATTCTGCTGGTTTTGAAGAACAGATGTATTACACTAACTGTAAAAGTAGTTCAAGAGTGAGAAAGAATAAATTGTTATTAAGAGCAAAAGAAAAATAAAGTGATTGATGATAGTTCTGCTTATTAATTCCATTCACAAAATATTCTCTAAGTACCTAATATGTCCTTCAGTGTCCTCATCTGTGCAATAGAAATAAGAGCTGCCTTAGGGCTGTTTTGAGGATTAAAAGAGTTGGACTATAGAAGGTACTTAGACCTGTGCTGGGCACATAGTGAGTGCTCCCTAAGTGTTTGTCATCATCATCATTAACTGCCAGGTCCCATTACTAACTGCCAGAAAGAAACGCCATTTAGACATACAACTATTGTGATTCAAAGGCAGACCTTGTCTAACTCTGTTTTTCTTACCAGAGAGTAAATAGTAATTTGCTTCCTACTTTGTGCCCTCAGATTGAAATCCTTCAGTGATTCAGCCACATTATCTGGCTTCGTAAAAGGGGAATCTAATTCTGAGTTGCTTTTACATCTCTTGTTATTCCAAGCATGTCAGAAATATTGAGCATTCTCTAATTTTGCTGCTTCAGTTCTTTGCAACTTATGTATATATTGAACCTATATATATACACACATTCAAACATGAGCATACAGTAGATATTTCTCATGGGGGTGGCGACATCTTCTTAGATGCGGTATATCTGTGTGGGAGGCAGCTGTCATGCATCCTGTTCCTCCTGTGGCCACGCCTCACCATCTCCAAGAAGCCACCCTTTGGTCCGCTTCAGATTCCATCTCTGTGCCTGAGGTTCAAGTGGAGCTGAGAAGTTGAAGTTTCAGAGTCCGACAAGTATAGTTGGTCCTCTGTATCTGTGGGTTCAGCATCCATGGATTCAACCAATAGCAAATCAAACATTCATTAAAAAAAAAAAAATCCACAAAGTTCCAAAAAGTGAACCTTGAATTTGCATTGCACTGAGTACTACACTGAATGCACTTAAATGAAGTGATGTCTAGGCCTATTGGGCATTACAAGCAATCTAGAGATGATGGAAAGTATACAGGAGAATGTGTGTAGGTTATCTACACCATTTTATACCATGGACTTGAGCATCCGTGGATTTTGGTATCCTCAGGGGTCCTGGAACCAATCCCCAGTGAATACCAAGGGACAACTATGCTGTTCATCTTATCCCTGGTCATTCCCAGGATTTTATATACCACTTGAACATTAGTTAAGTTTTCCTTATCTAATAGAAATAAAAAACATCTATTAGCAGCTCCATTTCCACACCCCATAAATCCTAAACAACTGGTGAACGAAAATACCACCTCTACAAAGTAAGTGAAACATAGTGCCATGTCTTCCTCTCAAGAAGGAAGTGAGGGAAGTGAACTTGTCACTGGAGCCCATAACATGGGAAAGATTTGGTGCCTGCCCATGCCGAGCCCAACTGGAAGGAAATCAGTGCAGAGAAAAACTATTTGTACAGCCCAGAGCACAAGACCGCCAGCTTGGTAAATCTAATGAGAACATTAAACAGAGGATTGGTTGTCATGGATGGGTACCCCTGGGTCATTAATCAAGTTATTTCTGGCCCACACATTACCACCCCCACATCTTGCAGATTAATTTTTGCTAAATTATCTTAGAAGAACTTTTCCTTTTTAATTCCCCACATTGTGTCTTCCATAAACCTATCTACAGATATTTTTCAAAGATTTTGCTCAAAAGCATGTACCTATAATTTTTAAAATAAATAGTGCTATGGTTATGGGTATTTTAACAATAGCTTTTATTTTTATTATAGAAGACATATATTAAGATATATGTATACCTATTCATTGTAGAATAACTAGAAATAAATAGGGGAAGAAAGAAAAATTACCTATAATACTGTCACCCAGATTTAACCACCATAAACATATTTGAATAGAGAAATGATTCTCAACTGGGAGAATTTTTGTCCCCCAGGGGATATGTGGCAATGTCTAGAAAATTTTTGATCGTCACCACTCAGGAGGAGGGTGCTGCTGGCATGTAGGGGGCCAAAGCCAGGAATAAATACTGCTAAACATCCTACCATAACAAAGAGTTATCCAGCCCAAAATGCCAATAGCGCCTCAGTTCATAAACCTTGGTGTAGGACTTTCCGGACATTTTCATTGCATGTATGTAAATATTTTTGCCAAAAGTGGGGATTATATTGGATTATTTTATAACTTGCTCCTTTCACTCAAAAATATGTAACTATCTGATTTTAACTACAGATTAAGTTTATAATGCACCAATCTTAGTCAAGCTAGAACATTTGAAACAACAGATTGGGAATTATTTTTTCCAAACATAATGCTTTAAAACAGTTTTAGGCCAGGTATGGTGGCTCCCGCCTGTAATCCTGGCACTTTGGGAGGCCGAGGTGGGCGGATCACTTGAGGTCAGGAGTTTGAGATCAGCCTGGCCGACATGGTGAAACCCCATCTGTACTAAAAATAGAAAAATTAGCCAGGCGTGGTGGCATGTGCCTATAATCCCAGCTGCTCAGGAGGCTGACGCGGGAGAATCACTTGAACCTGGGAGGTGGAGGTTTCAGTGAGCCAAGATGGCACCACTGCACTCCACCTGGGGTGACAGAGCAAGAGTCCGTCTCAAATAAAATAAAATAAAAATGAAAATAAAATAGATTTAGCCAAGCAGCAACCAAAAATACTGTAAGTCCTTTAAAGATAACTGAACCTCTCAAAAACACTATTTCCTGAAAATTACTACCTCTCCAAACTGGCTGGATGACTACTCTGGTCATGTATCGTCCCTTATTGGAGTTAGACTCTCTGTGCTTAGTTCCTACTACCACTTCTCCCAAGCCTTGGGTCCTCAGTGACATGTGCTTGAAGGCGGCCTTGGCCATGCAGGCCATTACTTTGACCATCTCAGCAGGACTGATGTTCCTCCAGCCCCCTTGGCCCATTTGGTGGCTGCAAAACTTCAGTCCTACTAGTTTTAATCTTTAACAAATTTTCCCTTTGATTTTCACTTCTGGTTTTCATGCCAATGAGTTAAGGTTCTTTCAGCATTGCTACATGCAAGACTCCCTTGAGAGAGGGGCTGAGGGCTGGTGTGTGAGGCTGTTTGGTGGTGCTTTCTGTTATGCTTGTGTTGATGGGTGGAGGCTCCTTCTGTCCCAAGGAACTGATGCTCTGACTCTTTGCTATAACTGGAAGCAGATGAGGCATTTTCTCCCTTACTCTCCCCAACAGATCTCTTTAGATTTCTCAATCTGTCATTTTCTGGATTAGGTGGTATTCGGAGGGTTTCCACCAACTCAGAAGATGGACATATGGCTCATGTTTATGTTTTCATGCAAAGGCCACTGAGACAGATGAGCACTGATGGGGATAAATACCATTGGTCATTTGCCTGTCCCTGGCACTCACTTTTGAGGGGCATATGAATTAGATACTGCTCTTAAAGGTCTCATACGGTTAAAATTATTTACATATTATTCTTTCTTCTCAGGCAAGTGCATTCTTTCCCATTCTGAAATTGATTTGACATGCTAAATAAAACATCAGGATATTTGATATGAGAGGAAAATTTAAAAATGATAGAGATATTATCCCCAAGCCCCCAAAAAGGAGGTGTGGTATTGGTATTGGAACTCTATTAAATTTTTTGACTTTTTGCTTTAAAAAGAATTTGCCAGCATTTGATTAACAAAAGGATATATGGACAAATGGAAACACACCTTAGAACTTTTCAAATTGACTGATTGAGGGATGGATAAGCCAAAGAAGAATCAGTATGGTGTACTGATTGCAAGGATAGACTCTTGAAGCTGAGAGGCTTGGTTTCTGTAGCTTCCTAGGTTTGTCACCTCAGGCAACTTAACTTAACCTCTTTGGACCAAACTCCCTCATCAGTGAAATGAGGATGATAATTTTACATACCTCAGAGGGCAGCAGATTTAAATGAATCAATATATTTGAAGCACTTAAAACCGTGCCTGACACAAAATAAGTGCTCAATAAATAAAACAATAAAAACAGCAATAAAAACAGCACCAGATGCACATATAAGAATGTTCATAGAAGCATCATTCATTTTTTTAATCTGCAAAAGAACACAAAGGCTTATCAGCAGAAGAAAGCTTTGAAAATGAACTACAACTTCACAGGGTAACATGAATGAACCTCACAAACATAATATTGAGCAAAAAGATTGATTTCTAAAAGAACACAGATAGAATAATTCCACTTGTATAAAATACCCAAACATAGAAAACTAAGCACTATATTGTTTAGGAATACATATATATGTTGTAAGACAAGGAAATGACTACAAGTTTGAGATTGTGGTTCCCCCTTGGGAACCAAGGACAGAGATCACATTGGAATTGGTAATGGTCTCCTTAAATGGTGATGAAAACAAGAGTTTTCCTTTGGTTATTCTTCTTTAGACTGAGCATGTATAGTATACATGCCCTAATGTATGTCTATTTAATTAAGCAAAACAACAATGGAATTCCAAAGCCCCTGAATTTTAGTGTCATACTCATGGGTTCCATAATCAGTATTAGCTTTGTGACATTGGTCAAGGCATTTGAAATTATGAAAACTGTCATACATTTTCCCTTGGAATTCACAAACAAGTATATTAATGGTCATATTCTGTTTATAAAAGCTCTTAGTTTGCAAACTTTTTACTAAGTCTAAAATTCTGAACAGGAAAGAGCCATTGACAGATTAGGTTCTATGCAGAAGGGCATGACCTTAAAACCTTAGCTTTACTGAGAACTGTCATTATTCAAAATAAACAAATACCTGAACTCTGGTAGGAAATGAGGAGGACACGTGATTCACACAAACTTCTGAAATGCAAGCACCTTTTTCTTATTCACAGGTAATATGCATTAATAAGTAATAAGATCTCAGGCAGGCAAACAGGTTGTCCCACTGATAAAAATTACGTAGTGTAAACAAATCCCTCTTTTAAGAACCAGCTACTAGTTTATCTCTGTTAGCTGATTTTAGCATGCAGGGAAGAAGGGTTAGGATTTTTCAAACGCTCTGTCTTTACACTTCAGCTGATTGTTCCTTTCTGTAATAAGCTTGCCTTGGTTACAATCGCTTAGTGACCATTAGCAAATAGAATGTGTTTGCTTTTCCTAAGGTCCATGTTTCCTGCCAGCTTGTTGCCACCAGCTTCCAAAATAAAATATTGTGAAATTACAGATTGAAACAACACTTTCACGTAGAAGCATCTTTAGTCGAGGCATCATGAGGAACTTTAAACATTTAACCTCTGGGAGAAAAAAAGAGTATAAACATATAAACAGAAGTATAGATAAGACATTCATATAAACAGAATTATAGTTAAGTATAATTAAGGTGTTTCTTGACTGGGCACAGTGGCTCATGCCTGCAATCCTAGCACTTTGGGAGGCCTGAGGCGGGAGGATCACTTGAGCCTAGGAGTTCGAGACCAGCCTGGGCAACTAACAAGACCCTGTCTCTACTTAAAATTCAAAAACATTAACCTGTGTTAATGTTTTTGGTGTGGTGACAAGTATCTGCGGTCCCAGCTACTCAAGAGGCCAAGGCAGCAGGATGGCTTGAGCCCAGGGGTCAAGGCTGCAGTGAGCCGTGATGGCGCCAATGCATTCCAACCTAGGCAGCAAAGCAAGACCCTGTCTCAAAAAAAAAGTTTCTTGTTAGCAACCCACATCAACTAAACCCTAGGCTCAAATACCAGGAGTGTTGTGTTCATTTTGAGCAGCACCTTTAACAAGGGCTTTAGCCAACCAGAAAACAACTTTAAAAAGTCTCAAAGCCAAGACTTAAGGGGAAGTGCAGAGAGAAAGAATCCAGGACTTAGTGAACCCCTGGTAACCATATGCAAAGGACTTTCTTGCAAACGAGGACATTAGATATATATGTCTGTTGCTTCAGAGAATAAAATTAGGACACATATTTGGGAGTCTCTGGAAGACAGAGTTCAGTTCTGAGTAAGGGAGGGTCTTCTATAATTAAGTGGCAGCTCCGAGGTACTGAGTTTCCTGTCACTGGAAAGGTTCAAGTACAGGCTGGTTTCTGCTACAGCTTTTGTAGACGGATTCCTCCACAGGGTTGGGATTTGGGATAGATGAGATCTAAGGTCCCTTTCACTTCTAAATGCCTAATATGAAATATGAAAAAACAATATTTGAAATCTTTTTTTTTTTTTTTTGAGACGGAGTCTCACTATGTCACCCAGGCTGCAGTGCAGTGGCGCGATCTCGGCTCACTGCAACCTCCACCTCCCATGTTCAAGCGATTCTCCTGCCTCAGCCTCCCGAGTAGCTGGGACTATAGGTTAATACCACCACACCCGGCTAATGTTTTCTATTTTTAGTAGAGACAGGGCTTCACCGTGTTAGCCAGGTTAGTCTCGATCTCCTGACCTCATGATCCGCCTGCCTCGGCCTCCCAAAGTGCTGGGATTACAGGCATGAGCCACTGCACCCGCCCTGAAATTACTTTTCTTTCCTTTCCTTTTTCTTCCACACAATTGACTAGCTTGCAACTCATTCTCTATTTTTCAAATACTGCCATAGACATGCCCTTTGTGTACAGCGAAGAGGAGCCAAGTAATACTCATCTGATATAGTTTGGCTGTGTCCCCATTCAAATCTCAACTTCAATTGTATCTCCCAGAATTCCCATGTGTTGTGGGAAGGACCCGGGGGAGGTAATTGAATTATGGGGGCTGGTCCTTTCCGTGCTATTCTCGTGATAGTGAATAAGTCTCTTGAGATCTGATGGGTTTATCAGGGGTTTCCACTTTTGCTTCCTCCTCATTTTTCTCTTGCTACCACCATGTAAGAAGTGTCTTTCGCCTCCTGCCATGATTCTGAGGTCTCCCCAGCCATGTGGAACTGTAAGTACAATTAAACCTCTTTTTGGGTATGTCTTTATCAGCAGCGTAAAAACAGACAAATATACCATCCTTGAATGGGACACACAGGAGCCCAGAAGTTCCTCCCTGAGGAGTCAGCACCAGACTGACACCTCTGAGTTCTCATCCTTACAAAAAATAAGTTCCAGTCTAGAAATGTCATCTTCCCCTCTCCCTTCTTCATGGCCATGATGCTTAAGCAAGTCCTTTTTACCTCCTTCTTTTTTCCTTAATGAAGTTTTTGGGTTGCCAGAAAAGGAAATACTGTACAAATGAGACTCAAAAGCTAACTTATTTCCGTAAATCTCTTTCTGACTCCTAGATATGTTCCCAGTACCTGAAACAGTACTGATCATATAGTAGTTACTCAATGAAATATTTGCTGATAGAATGTTTCAATAAAGGAATCTTTAAATTTATATTAATTAGTCCTCAAAGATAGACCCACACAATAGTTAACTGATCTCTGACAAAGGCCCAAGGCAATTCGATGGAGAAAGGGTTGAGCATTCACCAAATGGTGCTGGAACAATTGGATAGATAATGCCAAAAAAAAAAAAAAAAGAATATAGACAAAGACCTACCTTTCACAAAAATTAACTCAAAATAGATCACAGACTAAATGTGAAGTTCAAAACTATAAAACTTCCAAAAGAAAAACATATAGCAGAAAATCTAAATGATCTTGGGTTGGCAATGAGTTGTTAGTTACAACACCAAATACATTATCCAAAACGCGGTTCTGGCCAAAGGAAGAGCAAGTGCTCAGTCTCTGAGATGCACATGCACTTGTACTTTGAAGAGAAGGTCAGAAAGCAGGCAGCTGATCATAGAGAGGCAGGAGGAGCCTGGGAGAAGATCTGGGCAGGAGGCAGACAGAGGCCAGATCACAGAAGCCTGATGGTTCCTGTAAGGAGTTTGAGTCACACTTTAATGGCAATGGGGAGCCACTAGAGAGTTTTAAGCAGGAAACCGATATGACTTGATACAGTTAATAAATGTCTATTCAATCTAAATCTGAATGACCCTTTGATGGTGGCTCAGTGGGCACCTTCAACTTTTGAAGAGAGAATATGAAAGAAGAAAATGAGTTCTTTTGTTTGGGAGGTGGGGTTGGTTTTGTTTTTTATTTTTATTTGTTTTTGTTTTGCTGGGAGTTTGGAATAAAGCATTGAGTCTGGGGAATACTAACTTTAAGATACTTGCACTATTATCATGGGAAGATGCCAAGGAATATATGGGAATACACATCAAAAAAATGGGGGAAAGGATAGCTCTTAAGGATGAATCATTCTCATAAATAGAATCAGAGGACAAACTAGCTAAGGGAGAGCATAGACTACAAAGAAGGGTAGTCAAGAATAGAATTCTGCCTAGATTTGTGAGCATTTAAAGAGAAGGCAGAGGAAGGATGTTGAAAGATAAGGGGAAATGTGGAAATCATAAAGGCCACTTTGGCCAAGCTCCATATAGTCTCTAGTAAAGGAATAGAAAACCCAAAGTGAGAAATTTTCAGAGAGATTGTAACTAGAATGAAGACTCGAGTCAGAGGAACTAATATGAAGAACCCAGTAGAGGCAATACTATCTTCTGTATCAGCAAAATCAGCTCCCATTGAAGGCAGCAGGTTGAAGCCATAAGTAAAAGCTCTGGTCAAAATGAAATTGGGTCCCAGAAAATTTATCTTATAAAAATAATTGGGCAAATGCACAAGAATATAAGATGTTCATTGCTGTATTTCCAATTGCAAAAATTTTTCAGTAATTTGCATCTCCAACAATAAAGAATTAATTGAATTGATTTTATTACATCTGTATGGGCAAAATTAAGTAGCCATTAGAATAAAGGAGAGTATTCATACTTTATTTAGCAGAAAAATGTTTTTAAAATGGAATGTATCATATTTTTATAAATATGTATACATTTTTATATATTCATATTTATAAATATGTATACATTTTTATATATTCATATTTATAAATATGTACATATAAGTGCATAGTTTTTATTTCTGCTTACCTGTTTTCGGTTTTCATAATGGATATATATTACTTGTGACATTTTAAAAGTATTTTTAAAAGAAAAATGTGGAAATTCTATTATGAGCACATTTACTCTGTTACTGGCACCACCCTCAGGATCAGAGAGGCCTCTAGGCTATTGTATTTTAAAGACCAAAGCCTCAAAGAGAAAGTAATTAGGATGGAATGGTGAGAATTCAATGAACAATATCTTTCCAACAGTGTTATTAAGGACAGGCACAGCATGTAAGTTCAGATGGAAACATTCAAAATGCATTTGAACCGAGGAAGTAAAACCAGTTGAGTACAGCTGAAGATGAATAATCCCATGAGATATCTACCTAGCTGAAATTAAGGAACAATAAGACTAGTGTCGGTAAGGAAAGCTCTTCAACCCAGCCACAGAAAAGGGAGCTCATACAACCTGTGAACCATTATGATTTAATTTTAATTGTTTAAAAGAACCAGAGGAAACTCGGTAGTTGCAAGTGGTGTGTGAATTTTTAAAATATTTTAATACTGTTAGATAGAAAACAGATGCTCACTTATGGAAGCCGTTTTTGTTTGTATAGAATCCGAAATACAAATGTGCAATCGTATAAGCAAATGTCTCAACCTTCAAGTTTGCCTTTTAAATACTATTTGAGGCCCATGGTATGTAGAATAAAAATTATTAAAGTTTCAAAGTTTACAAGGATTTTATAAAGACCCTACATATCTGATGGGAGAGGGAGCTAGTAAACAAATATTTCTGTGTCATATCTCTATTTTCAGGGGAAGAATGGAAGGCAACGCCTCCGAATTAAATTTTGGGACCCCCAGTAAAATTTCAGGAAAGCCCAGAACTGATCTGAGAATGCACAAACTTGGCATGTCTTTGACAGAGAAGGCTCTGGGATTTCAGCGCGTTCATTGCCCTCCACTAAGGAGCTGCTCAGCAAAGGGGCTTCCCTCTGCTCTGCTCTCGGGTTCGGAATCCGGAGCGAGTTTCCAGTGAGCGGCGCCCGCTGAGCGAGTGGGAAAGCATCGCGCGTGCCTTTCCCCGCGCGCGTCTGCGGATCAGCGCAGGCGAGGTGGGTGGGTAAGTGCAGGGGAGCGGGGCGGAGGGCGGCAACGCACAGCAGTCAAGTCTTCCTTGAAATGCTGCAGGCAAAGCCAGACATTTACAGTTAAAAATGGCTCGATCTGATTCCACAGTCTTGCCAGGAAAGTCTCATTTCTTTGTGACCCTCCGCTGAGGGCTAGGACCCGTTCCTAACAGGGAGCCTTACATTGGCAGCGCCCCCGCGTGCGTTCAGAAACGGAGTAGGGTTACTCGCTGCGCCTGGTGCAGCCCCCTACACGTCCTCAGCCTGCCAGGCTGCGGGCCACATCTTTCCCGGGGTGGCTTTGGACTGACTGCGTCCCTTCATAGTCACCATGGCCCCTGGTTGGAGGCAGCAAGTCCAGGGAGAGGTGATGAGAAGCCCATCCCTCCAGACGGGCTCCTCCCACATCCGGGAGTGTTGGCCCCCATACCAGATGAATGCTTCCAGAGTGACCTCCCCATAAAGAGGTGGCTGAAATGGAAACAGCTTACCTCGAGTTCAGGCTTGCAGAAAATCACAGCTGCTTCAGGAAAATTCAAAAGAATTTTCACACACACAACCTTGTCTCCTCCAGCCAAGGGACATAAATCTCCACCCAGAAGACCCACTGCCCAGTTTAGTTTTAGTTCTAGCACCCATCCCCTGCAGCACCGTGTTCATCTTAATCAGAGATTTTGTAATGAGAACATCTGCTATTCAAGCTCACAAATTTGGCAATCTGATATAATAATGTATCTTTCATATGCAAGAAGGAACATTGTTGGGAGTGTTTTTGGAAGTTGGTTTTCCTTGTGCAATTTCATTATTTTGTTTTTCTCCCCCACTTCACAGCCAACTGAGATTTTAAAGCTGAGAAAAACTCAAGACATATAAACCATGACTCACAGCTATTTGTGAAAGATAAAATGCTTCTATTTCTCAGGTTTTAACTTTGAAAATTAAATATTCAAATAAAAAAATAACATTACTCCAATAGATGTCGGTGATAAAAATCATGAAAACAGTTTCTGAAAAGCTTCATAACACATCCAGATGGTTCTTTCCCCCTGTCCAATTCTGACCTAGTTCTGAGATTTTCTTTTTAAGTGCATCTTGACTTAACTGTTTACAAGTTGCCTCTTCAGCTTTTTTCCAGCAGAAGCCCCTGAGGAACCTTCTAGGGGTCCAAAAGGTTTCAGGGGACATTTTACTCCCTAAGGTCAGCCGAATGAGTCCTCCTTTTCTTTAGGGTATGACAGTCCTTTTCCAGACCTGTCAGCATGCCGAGTGCCTGTGGGGACAGAGGGCTGCTCCGGTGCCCTGAGGTGCCACAACTTGCCTCTCTCCACACCCCAGAGCCAGTCAGGAAGCTAATTGGTGTCTGCTACTCTCGAAGCAGCTGAAAACCTGAAGAGATGGAAAGGTTGCTTGTCAGGGTCTTAAGATCTGATTCAATAAGACAACAACGTAGAATTTTCAATTCTCCTAAGAAAAATTCTTTTTGAAAGAGAAATATGTCTAGAGCCAACCGTTATCTGCTCAAGGACTAAAGACTATTCTATAAATTTCCACAGTTTTATCTTACACCTTAAAGGGAGATGACTAGAAAAGGTCAAGATTATCTAAATTGGTTTCTATAAATCCAATAAAGACGTTGTTACTAAGCATCTACTGTATTGGAGCACTGGGGACGTAAGGATAAATGTTGGGTGCCCTGCCCTCAAGGAACTTACAAAACCTCCTCCATATACCAGTCATTTAAGAGGAGGTGTTTTCTTCGCCAGCAGAGAAAGTCGCTACTAAATGGATTTCGTACTTCTCTGACCTTTTGTCAGTGATTCCCAAGTCTTCATTTAAAATGTCAGCTGTAATGAGGTGATGCCCTCTGGAGAGACTGGAGCCTCTAACTCTTTCTTTACAACAGCCAGAAATCTGAGTGACATCCTGGACTCTTTTTTCTCCCTCGCCCTTCACCTCAATCCATCATCCTGCAGTACAAATTCTACCTCCATCATCTTCCAAGTCTTACACATTTCTGCATCCCCACTACCCCGATCTTAATTTGGGGTTTCAGATGTCTTACCTGAAATACTTGAAATGCATTTTAGCTTATCTTCTGATTTAAGCCGAATCAGGCACTTAATCATTCTCCACATTATATTGTAATTGCCTTTTTATTTGTCACCCTTTCTGCTAGATTAGAAGCCTTTTAGGGCAGACACTGAGTCCTTAATTTCTGTATCCTGTGCACCTAGCACAGTCATAGGCTAATAGCTGACATTCAGCCCACGCTAATTAAATGTATGTAAGAAAGGTACATGGACGCACGTATGCATTGAATATCTCCAAACCGGTTTGACAGTTCCTCCTTTCCTGTTTCCTCCCTGATGTCAATAATCACTCTCTATATTTTAGCAGCACCCTGCTACCCTAGTAAATTGTTGGTTTTAACATGCTGTGGGTGGCAAACTGGATCATCAAAGTTATTTAGACAGTGAATAGTAAGGGTGAATAGGCTCTGACTGAGTCCCTCTTCTACAACTAAAACAAATGAGCTTCAGTGAATTGATTTTGTGAAAACTGTTTCAGTGCCTCAGGGAACTTAGTTCCGTTGCTGTATTCCAGATTGCAGGAGTTGTCCTTAAGTCCGACTTCTAGGTAACTAAGGTGTTACTATATAAAATATTTTACTATTCAATGATTTTAATTTCTACTTTTATTTGAACAGGAATCTTTCAAATTTGCTTCCAAAAATGTATAGCAAGGATCTTGCTTTCACTGCTTTTTAATGATAAATATTTCTTACCAAAAATGTGTTCTTAAAATTTGTCTTGGTAGAAAATATATTTCTATTTTTATTTATATCTTTGTTGCTTAATTTTTGTTTGTTTTTTGTTTGTTTTTGTTTTTGTTTTTGAGACATAATCTTGCCGGAGTGCAGTGGCGCGATCTCAGCTCCCTGCAACCTCCACCTCCCAGGTTCAAGCAATTCTCATGCCTCAGCCTCCGTAATAACTGGGATTACAGGTGCGTGCTACCACACCTGGCACTAATTCTTTTGCATTTTTAGAAGAGATGGGGTTTCACCATGTTGGCCAGACTGGTCTCGAACTCCTGATCTCAGGTGATCTGCCTGCCTCAGCCTCCCAAAGTGCTGCTGTTTAACTTTTTTGAAGCATGGTTTAATATTAAGTGAGACAGGATGTCAAAAATCCATGCTCAAATGAGTTTAGAGTACCCTTAACTAAAAACCTATGAGCATTTGCATTATGCTGTTGAAAATCTCCCCCAATCCTGTTCTTAATGGGTTGTCAATGGAAAGCTGGGCAAGACAGCCCTAAGATACTTCTGAGGACAGGGCATTGGTTTCTGCTTTTTAAGCTGTGATTCGTTATATTTATTTTTTGGAGTGAAGCTGCTAAACACCTTGTAAAAGGAAGTGGAGCATCAAAGCCAGACAATCCTCCGTGAAAGCATCGTAAGTGCCTCAGTTGGAAGTACAAGTCCAGTCCATGCCATCTCCTCTGAAACTGCCTTCCACCTGAGCCCCAGCAAAGTGTGGGCCTGGACAGCCAGGTGTCCTCAGCCCATTGGAACAGGGCACCTGACCCTGGACTAGCAAATGCATGGGCTGGGCTAAGCCAATTAGATTCTTTCTCTCAGAAATGGAGACAGAATTAGTGGGTGGATGTTGTGTACTTGAGTCAGGGTGGAAGCAGCTGATCTAGAGAGAGAGGAAGCAGAGAGAAGCAGGGAGACAACCGCTCTGAGGCCGTAGGGGAGGCACAGAGTGTGACCTGAATTCAGCGTACAGTCACCTATGTAATTTGTGGGGCCCGGTGCAAAATGAAAATGTTGAGCCCCTTGTTTAAAAGTAAGAGGAAAATGTCATTAAAGGCACTAAAACATAAAGATTTTTTTTTTCATTAAAAATATTTTCTGGGCCGGGCGCGGTGGCTCACGCCTGTAATCTCAGCATTTTGGGAGGCCGAGGAGGGCGGATCATGAGGTCAGGAGTTCGAGACCAGCCTGACCAACATGGTGAGACCCCGTCTCTACTAAAAATACAAAAATTAGCTGGGCGTGGTGACGCGTGCCTGAAATCCCAGCTACTCAGGAGGCTGAGGCAGGAGAATCACTTGAACCCAGGAGGCAGAGCTTGTGGTGAGTGGAGATCATGCCATTGTACTCCAGCCTGGGCAACAAGAGCAAAACACCATCTCAAAAAAAAAAAAATTCTTATTTATAAAATGTAATAGGGGCATACATATTAGTTAGCTTGCATTGTCATAAAATACCGTAGACGGTGGCTTAAACAACAGACATTTATTTCCTCACAGTTCTGGAGGCTCGAAGTCCAAGAGGAAGGTGCCAGGAGAGTTGGTTTCTGCTGAGGGCTCTCTTCCTGGCTTGTAGACAACCACCTTCTCACCGTGTCTTCACATGGTCTTTCCTGGTGTGCTTGCTGAATGAGCGCTCTCTCTGGTGTCTCTTCCTCTTCTTACTAGGACACCAGTGCTATTGAATTAGGACCTACCATTAAGGCCTCATTTAACCTTAATGATCTCCTTAAAGGCCCTATCTCCAAATACAGTCACATTAAGGGTTAAGGATTCAACATATGAATCTTGGGTGACCACAGTTCAGTCCATAACAAGGGGTAATCATGATACATAGGTAACAACATAGAACTACGAATTGAAGAAAATATTTTTGGCGTCCTAATCTTATATAACATAATAAATAGTGTGCTTATTATTTCTCTTCTGTCTATGAGTTTCTTCTCTTATTTTTGTAACAGTACCACTGCTACCACCACTGCCAATACAGTCATCCCTTGGTATCCAAGGGGAATCAGTTCCAGGAACCCCCTTAGATAATAAAATTCTCAGATGCTTAAGTCTCTTATATAAAATGGCATTGTATTTGCATATACTCTACATATGTCCTCCTGCATACTTTAAATAATCTCTAGATTACTTATAATACCTAATACAATGTAAATGCTATGTAAATAGTTGTCATATTGTATTTTTTACTGTGTATTGTTTGTTATTGTGGGGTTTTTTTTAATTGGTTTTTCTTTTCTGAATATTTTCCATCCTCAGTTGGTTGAATCTGTCGATGCAGAGCCCGAGGATGTCTATACTTTATTAGTATGGTATCTTGATTGATCATGAGGTTTTTCTGGCTCACTTCTGCAAATTTGTTTACTAGGTCATCAAAATTTATACTTTTGGCAACTTCATTTTTAATTGATATAATTGAAAGCCACATGAGTTGCTCTTGGAATATGCAAGATTGCAAATAAATTTGGTAATTTTAATTTTAAGGAGGATCTTTCTGCTGATGTGAATGTTACTGGAGCTGTTAGGAGTATTTTATAGGCTGTGACGACATTAGGATAAATGTCTGATAAATTATATATATTAATACATCGAGAGCTGACAATTATTTTAGAATAATTTTTCTAAAAAGACTTAACTCTTCATACTAACCAGTTTCATGTAAGTCTGAATTTTATTTTAAACTCAAATTGTACAATGGTTTTTTATTTCCTCTCACATTTTCTGTAACTTGTGGAGGTTTTACAAGAAACTGGCTTTATGATTTGTTGAAAATGCAAACACCTGTTCATGCATTCTATCACTGTATCTTCAATTACAAGATAAAATTTAATTTTAAATGTCTTCTTCATCAATAATTGATTCATCCATTGCTTTATATGAAAATACCGGGTTTTTTTCACCAGATGAGATGGTCTTTAAATTTAATTTCTGTTTCTAAGCTTGTGAATATTTGTTTTGCAATGTTGTGGTAGTTTCCAAAACCAGGGATTCTAAATTCTGAAGACTCTTAATAACTCCCCGACAGGTTTTATTGCAATGTCTATGTGTACATTTTTATTTTTGTAATAGTTTACTGATAAAGTTTGACTGCCTGACAGCCAGCAGTTTCTAGCCAAGAAGTTACAGTTTGTGCAGATGCCCCAAGAATGGGCTCCAGGGATAGACCAGCAAACTGACCTCCCAACACAAATCCTAGCACTGCCTTCATGTGGAGCTTCTCCTGTCTCCAGGGCTATGGCTGCTGTCTCCACAGTTGCTGCTTCTGCTGCTGTTATCACCATGATCACTACCACCAATCTGGGCCCAGGTCCCATCCTGGCCTGTGCAGCTGAGCTAACTGCTTGGCATGCACATTGCTCATTGCACGCTATACCACGAGCCTGAGCCAACAAGGGCATGTGCTGCCACTTCACATATGCTCCATTGTCCCATCAGACTTAATAACACAAATCCAAAAAACACATATGCTCCATTGTCCCATCAGACTTAATAACACAAGTCCAAAAAACACATATGCTCCATTGTCCCATCAGACTTAATAACACAAGTCCAAAGACAGAATGTGATAGCTCAGTGACAGCATAGCATGAAACCAAACACAGGGCCCTTCCACATGCCGTGTGCAACTGTACAGGTCACTGCCCATAAACCAGCCCTACCTCAATTCCTCATTGGCAAGTTCTGGCACCATCCCTCAGATATCTCAGCTGTCTGTACTTAAATCTTGTCTTAGGAAGCTCCTAAAGCCTACTAGTATATTTTTACCAAAAAAAAAATCCCCTATTGGATAGCCACCACTGTATGCCCAGTCATTGCCCATTCTCTCATCTTCACTAAAAAAAAAAAAAAAAAAAAAAAAAAAAAAAGCAAAGAATGAAAAGTTATTCTTTTCAAGGGAACCATATGCCACCTTCCCAGAATTCCATACATCTAAAGGTAATTACGTGATTCAGTTATTGACAATGGGAAAGAAACCAGAAGTCTGCTAGAGATTTCTGGAAAATATCTGCTTTCCTAGTAGACATACAGCCTTTTCTGTTCTGTTCCTCTTCTTCTTCCTGCCAGGAATGCAGATGTGAGGCTGGAGGCAGTAGAGCCATCTCGCAATCATGCAGCAACAAGCAAGGCAGAGCTGGCATGTTGTTGACTGATAACATCGAGAAGCTGCTATATTAATCCTGGACTGCCAATCTCTGAACTTCTTGGTATATTGGGAACATAAACTCTTTTGGTTAGGCACTGCGTCAGATTTCTACTACATGCAGCCAAATGCAATCTAGATTGAAATACCCCTTTACCTAAGTTAGCTTTAGCTGTTCTCACAACTTGCTGTTTGTGCTCCACCCACAGCATATGAGATCCCTTTTGCCCACAGCACCCTCCCTCAGTGTGATGTCGTCCCCCAACCAGTATTTGCAGGTTTTTTGTTTTTTTTTTTTAATCACAAAACTGCTCTCAGTCTGCCAAATCTGTTGGCCCTAGAGCCAGAAGTGCTATCTCCTGGGAATTTTTTTTTTTTTTGAGACAGGATCTTGCTGTCATCCAGGCTGGAGGGCAGTGGCACACACTCCTGGGCTCAAGCGATCCTCCTGCTTCAGCCTTCCGAGTGGTTGGGACTATAGGTGAGTGCCACCACTCCCAGCTAATTGTTTTTATTTTTTGTAGAGATGGGGATGGGCAGGGATCTTACTTTTTGCCCAGGCTGGTCTTGAACTCCTGGACTCAAGCCATCCTCCTGCCTTGATCTCTCAAAGTGCTGGGATTACAGGCATGAGCCACCATGCCCGGCCTGGGATCTATTCTTAACCCTTGCCCTAGTCAGGGTGGTCTTCCTGCAGGATTAAGAGTTAGACTCTGAGACTCTGATATCACACCCTGGCTTGGCCTTCCCTTCCCTGTCCTACCTCCCCACCCTGCTACCAGTTTCTTCTGGAGATATTTCCTGATAGACTACAGTAGTCCTCCCTTACCTGAGGTTTAACTTTCTGCAGTTTCAGTTATTGGCAGTCAACTTAGGTCTGAAAATACTAAATAAAATATCCAGAAATAAAAAATTTATAAGTTTTAAATTGCATGCCGTTCTGAGTGGCATGATGAAATCTCAAACCGTCCTGCTGTATCCCACGTGGGACATGAATCCTGCCTTCATCCGGTGTATCAATATCGTAGATGCAAACCATCCATTAGCCACTTAGACGTCGACTCAGTTATCAGACCAACTCTCCATATCGCGAGGCTTGTGTTCAAGTCATCCTTATTTTTACTTAATAATGGCCCCAAGGTGTAAAGGTAGTAATGTTGGTGTGTTGTTATTTTACTATTAGTTATTGCTGTCAATCTCTTGACTGTGCCTAATTTATAAATTAAACTTTATCTTAGGTACATATGCATAGGGAAAACAAATTATATATAGGGTTCTATCTGCAGTTTTGGGCATCTACTGGGGGGCTTACCTACCCAAGGAAGGTAACCCCCGTGGATGAGGGGGGACTACTGTACTTGCACATGAATTTTCATCTCAGGGGCCACCTCTGGAAATTCAACCTAAGACACAAAGATCCCTGATAGAATAGGTATTAATAGGAATTTAAAAATCATTTAAAACTCAATCCATTTTGATGTTTCTTGTACATTTGAGGCTTCAGTAGGAAAAAAGGTATGAAATCCTCATCACTCTTCATATATCCCAACTGATAGCCTAGGAATTTTTTGACAGTTCAATCATAATTTGATAGTTCAAATAAATATACATTTATTTGTTTAAATATACCACAAATCAGGCTGGGTGCAGTGACTCAGGCCTCTAATCTTACCACTTTGGGAGGCTGAGGCAGGACGATTGCTTGAGACCAGGGGTTCAAGACCAACCTGGGCAACATAGTAAGACCCCTCTCTACAAAAAAAAGAAAACTGTTTTAATTAGCCAGGTATGGTGCCACACACTTGTAGTCTTACCTACTTGGAAGGCTGAGACAGGAAGATCCCTTGAGCTCAGGAGTTCAAGGCTGCAGTTAGCTATGATCACAATGCTGCACTCCAGCCTAGGCAACAGAGTGAAAGACCCTGTCTCTTTAAAATACAGATAGATAGATAGATAGATAGATAGATAGATAGATAGATAGATAACTCAAATATAATTGCCATAAGAAGAGAATGTCACTATTTTTATGCCAACAAGATGAATAAAACACACACAAAAAAAATAAAATATGTATCTGTCAAACTTTTTTAGGGCTCTGAGAACAGCTTTAGTGGAAAAAACACCCCGGCATGGGGCTGGCTCCATGGGGACCATAGTTTGTCACTCTGAGCCTCCTCATTACCTCCTAAGACTATAGTTTCCTAATCCTAAAATCCCGGTAATTTTGCTGATCTTTTCTGTTAGTGATTTGAGAAATGCATTTCAGGGCTTTGTTTTGCATGTAAAATAAAGCTGCTTTTTTTTTTTTTTTTAAGAGATGGGTCTTGCTCTGTCACCCAGGCTGGAGTGCAGTGGCAGGATTGCAGCTCACTGGAGCCTCCAAATCCTGGCCTCAAGCGATCCTCCCGCCTCAGCCTCCTGAGTATCTGGGACTACAGGTGTGCACCACCACACTAGGCTATTTATTATTTTTGTTATTATTTTGTAAAGATAGGGTCTCACCATCTTGCTCAGGCTGGTCTTAAACTCCTGGGCTCAAGCGATGCTCCCCCTGTGGCCCCTCAAAGTGCAAAGAAAACTTAACAGCTTTATCCACAGTGTTATTTTCTTTTCTCTTGATGCTGTGAATTATCCCCTTGATGTCAGTGAAGCTGGGGTTGTTTTGAAAGACTTAAATCAATACTTCCATTGAGAAAATTGGACCTTGCTGGCTAAAGATGAAAAGCTGGAACCCTTTCCAACAGCTCACTTCTGTGGGCTGAGATCAGGGGCAGATGGCTCAGTGTCCCTTGAGGTGATTTGATTACCCGTCACGGCCGGACGCCTGGTCTGGGTACGTGAAGAGAAGCACAGACAGGCAGCTGTAGTTACACTGTTTAAAAAAGCAGAGGTACTTTTTCAATTCAATGACAGGAAGGCAAAATACCCCTACAGGTTTGAAGGAAAAATAATTTTTTTCAAAATGGAAAATTTCTTCCTGTCTTAAAGGGTCTGTTTCAATAATACATGCCCTTCAGGCTGAATCTTTGTCATTCTAGAGTTCTATCAAGCTTGGTTAAGAAAATGTCCCAACAAAAACTCCATTAATTCCAAAGACTCGTAGAACTAGAGGGTTGAGGGAGAAACTTCAGGATCATACAATGCTGAGTTTAACTCTTTTGTTTTTCAGTAGGAAGCCAGTGACCTCCTGGCATTTTGGTAGCACATAACCATGCACTTTACCCAGTGGGGTGGATAGGAAGGTGCATGAATGTTCCATGAAGGCTTTTTGGTTGCATAATCAGAAACCTACTTCAACTACTTTAAATAAGGAAGAAAAATCAAGAGGAGGGCATGTGATGGAAAGAATCCTGGGGGCTCTCACAGAATCCAAGGACAAAGTGTGCATCTGAAAATCACTGGAAACTTGAGGAACTCCAGAGACTTCAGGAACCCCCTGAGCATCTTCCACCTCTCAGAAACCACAGGGCTTCTTGCATATCTGCTCCTTCATCTTGCACCTGCCCGCCCCACCTGCAGCCCCATCTCTCTGGCTTCAGCTCTCAGCTCCAGCGCTCACCATGGACAGACTCAACGTCCCAAGTACTCAAGAGGGAAACCCATTTGGTTCTCTCTCACTGTCATGCCAGCCTGGCCACTGGTGAGTCTACTGAGGGAACCCTTAGGTCAAGTGTCCAATTACAGTGCACTCACCAGAGGCTTGGAGCTGGGGAGGCAGGGCCACTTATTCAGCTGTGGAAGTGACCCAGAGGCAGGAAACAATTGGCATCTTTTATAACTTGAGATGGTTTGTTCTCCAGTCATTTTCAAATGACTGTCAAATACGAACAAAATTGTAGCATGTCAAAGTAGTTTACGGAATACAAAAGTAGTCTGGCACTTTTTTTGTTGTTTTATTGTTATTGCTGCAATATCCCATGTCTTTAAATTTAAAAATAAGAAAACATATCAATAGATACCAATGAGACATTTGGTAAAATTCAATAACCATTCATCATTTTTAAATGGAAAAAAAACTGTTAAAACACCATTCAAAAAGCAAATAGCAAGCTAATTAAAATATGTACTAGACAAGAGGTTAATATCTTTCATATAGAAATATTTCTTTCAAGATCGTTTTTTAAAATTATCTTCTCAATAGAAAAAAGTGGACAAAGCAAGTGGGCAAAAGGCAATTCATACATCCAAAAATACTCAGCCTTATAAGAGATTAAAATACAAAAACAATACTAAAGTATTATTGGTACTCATCAAGTAGGCAAAGACTGAGATAATGATTATACTTAAGGCTATATAGGGTATGGCAAAATACACATGCAATGTTTTTGGAAGCACATATTGGTAAAACTTTCTGGCTGGGTACAGTGGCTCATGCCTGTAATCCAGCACTTTGGGAGGCCGAGGCAGGCAGATCACTTGAGGTCAGGAGTTTGAGACCAGCCTGGCCAACATGGTGAAACCCTGACTCTACTAGAAATACAAAAATTAGCCAGGTGTGGTGGTGGGCAACTGCAGTCCCAGCTGCTTGGGAGGCTGAGGCAGGAGAATCGCTTGAACCTGGGAGGTGGAGGTTGCAGTGAGCAGAGATTGTGCCGCTGCACTCCAGCCTGGGCGACAGAGTGAGACACTGACTGTCTCAAAAAAAAAAAAGCCTTTCTGGATAGCCTTGTGATATTATTCAGCAAAAGCCTTAAAATTGATTATGTGATTTTACTAGGAATGTATCAGATGTATTCTGATACTTATGTAAGTAGATTGTACTATAGTATCCCTTAAAATAAAGGAAAATTATAAACAAAAATGCATAACAATTAGGAATTTCAATAATTTATGGCATCATATCAATAAAGATGACATGAGAAGCTGGATAGAAATATACATAAAATAGTTTACAGTTTTATTTTTAGGTAAAAATTTTCATATTACCTATGATTTTCATTTTCTTCTTTGTGCTTTTTCATATTTTCCAAAATTTTTCTAATGTATAGTAATTTTTCATCAAGAAAGAAAAAAATGCAACCATTTACAGAGATGCAAAAGGAAAATAAAAAATTTAAAATAGTGACAAATGGGGAAACATTGGAGCCAACCTCCTTGAAATCAGTACCAACAAAAATGAGAAATGTAGCAATTATTATTTAATATTTTTATATCCTGTCACTGTGAGAAATAAAAAGGAACAAAACAGAGATTAGTCCATGGAAAACAGTTTAGAAAAACTAGCCAGATGCAGTAAAACAGGCTTCTTGAATGTATCAATCACAGGCCAGAAAATGTAAAATAGTAATGAGGAAAATACGCAAATCTGTGACTCATAAAAGATAATCATATCTAACTTATATTCCTAAAGTTGTTGTAAGGAGTAAAAAAAAATAACAGATTTGAAAGCCTTTTGGCATTTTGTAAAAAGTGGTATAATAGGAATAATAATTATATGTCTGCGTTATTTTTTAAAAATTATAAAAATTATGTGATCCCTTCCAAACAATAGTCACTATTGCCCCTCTTGCCAAAAATCACACTTTCTGATATTAATATATTCTCATTATTGATGTCCAGCAGAACAGAGCTGTAAAAACAATGGCTTATGGCAGAAAAATGGTCACTATCCCTCTGCCCCCACGACCCTACACCTTTCTGAGTTTGGCACATATAGAAGCCCAGATATGAAGAGAAATCACTCAGTAGCGCAGTTCTAGAGAGAGCAAAGGACTTGGAGCATAAGAATCCACAGGAGATCCACTAGGGGTGAATGTGCTCTGATTGTCTTGCAGATACCACACATGCAATATCCAAGGTCATTTCCCCCAAACTCGATTCAGAAAGGGTGAGGGAGTGGAATTCTTCTCTACAGGCAGCAGAGGTCACAGGGGCTAGGAGAAATAACAGAGAGGAGACAGAAGGTTCAAGAAGAAATCAGAATGTCTAAATAGAAAGGGGTGTGCAAGAATGGGACCCTGGCTCTAAGGGCCGAGCCGAAGGACCAGCCCTCATTTAGGAGCTGGGAGACAAGGTGAACAGTGTATAGGAGCCACCTCTAACCACTAGCCCCCATCTCCACTCAGCTTCCTCCTTGGGCTCTGAAATGATTGAAAGACAAAGCTCAAACCTGAAGTTGAGTACTGTTTTGTGCCTGATTAACTCACATCCTGAATCAAGAGCAGTATCTCAAATACAGAATAATTAATACATTGATTTAAAAAAAAAGTTTCTGAGGACCTATTTCCAAATGTGTTTTACTTATCTGATACTCTCTCCTGCTTCTCCATCAATATCAGGATCGAAATTTAATGTCCTTCATCCCTCCATATATGTATGTCTATGCCATACCAAAAACCCAACTACTAGGTTCAAATCCCAGCTTCATCACTTTTACATGCATGATTTTCATTAGACCATTTAACTTCCTTGTGACTCGTTTTCTTCATCTGAATAATAGGGAGTAGAACACTTATTTTATGGGGTGCCAGAAAGGTGAGTAAGATCAGGCAAGGAAATCACTTGAGAGTGCTATATACTGGAAATTGCACCATAAGTAGTGGTCTTTAAAAGAATCAATTAACATTATTTTGTTTTTAACATGATACTTTGCAAGTTTCGTAACACCACTGTTAAAAATGTAATGACCTGTAAGCCCAGCACTTTGAGAGTCCAAGACGAGCAGATCATTTGAGGCCAGGAGTTCAACCAACCTGTACAACATGGTGAAATGCCATCTCTATTTAAAAAAAAAAACGAAAGAAAGAAAAGAAAAAGTGCAAAAAATTAACCAGATGTGATGGCATGCACCTTAATCCCAGCTACTCTGGAGGCTGAGGCAGGAGAATCCCTTGAACCCAGGAGGTGGAGGTTGCAGTGAGAGTGAGCTGAGATCGCACCACTGCACTCCAGCCTGGGCAAAAGAGAGACCTTGTCTCAAAAAAAAAAAAAAAAGGATGTAATGAGACAGAGAAACTTTTATTAAATGAGATTCCTCTGATGAAGTGCTGTCTTTTTATTGGGTAGAAATATTTTGATAAACTGATTGGCATTGAGGGTAAGACCTCAGGGTCATGCTTCAGGTGAGAAAAATGCTAAATTGAGATTCAAGAGGCAAGATGCAGAATTCACTCTACTTCTGAGAAAAAAGGAAGAGAAGAAAAGTAAAATGGGGTGGGGACTGGGGTGGGAGAGAGAGAGAGAGAAGGAGAGAGATAGAAAAAAAAAACTTTAGAATTTTATGCCCGGGTTACCTAACCCAATCACAGGGAGAGAGGGTATCCATGGCTAGGATGTCTAGAAGAAAACTATTTCCTCTTGGGATTTAAGAGGGGATTTTCGTATAGTTTTGTGCACTCCTCTCATTTTTCAGAGGGACAAATGCCAGGTCATTTATCCCCTGGAGGAACAGTTAGTTCTCATCTAGACCCTGGCTAGATCTAGATGAGAACTAACTGGCTAGGTCTAGATGAGAACTAGCTGGAGAAACAGGATTAAGAACTAACTGGAGGAACAGTTAGTTCTCATCTAGACCCTGGCTAACAAACTAAGTTATGTCTCCAGAACTACTAACAGGGCAATGTGAGTTACGTGAGTGTAGGATGAGAAGGGGTACTAGTTTGAAATATCCACTTTCATATAGAGATGGCCAATAGATTTTTCACTCAGTGCTGCCCTTTTTTATTTTCAGTCTCCCAAAGACCTATCACTTTAGGGAATTTGAGGTGTTTCACATGTCTACACACCCAGTTGGTCTAGGGTTCGCTGCACCTGCTCCTGTGTCTTCTGGTGTTGGTTTCTCCACCCCAGCATATTTACTTGATTTCAGCAAAGGCTAAACTGTTGGTAGTTTCACTTCTCTTGCCGTACATACCAGTAGGCCCATTAGGAAAAATGAGCTTCTGTTTATCAATTTACATTTAAATGTGTATGTCTTTAAATTTCTGTTATACCTAGTATTATAGCATTCAATTTCTTCACATCATTATATATGTTTTACCTATAAGATTTTAATAAATTGCATAATATTTAATCATATGTATTTATAGTAATTTATGTAACTAATCCATAATGGGTAATGATCATCCTTCTGTACAACTTTTTTCCCCATCTCACTTAAAAGATTTCCCTGGTCATGCACCCAGAGGACACATACACTATTAATGTTCGTAACATATAGTTTCTAAGTGTTTTCTAGGGGGAAAATGATACCAATTTATAATCTTACCAGATGCCGCTACAGCCCTGAGTGTTATCAAGTGTTTTAAACTTTTAAGTTTGCCAGACTTGGCGTCGTGGCTCATGCCTATAATTCCAGCACTTTGGGAGGTTGAGGCAGGCAGATCACTTGAGGTCAGGATGAGTTCAAGTCCAGCCTGGCCAACATGATGAAACACTGCCTCTACTAAAAATACAAAAATTAGCCGGGCATGGTGGCACATGTCTGTAATCTCAGCTACTTGAGAGGCTGAGGCACAAGAATCACTTGAACCTGGGAGGCAGAGGTTACAGTGAGCCAAGATTGTGCCACTGCACTCTAGCCTGGGCGACAGAGTGGAAAAAAAAAAGTTTGCCAATTTCATGTGCAAAAATATCTTGTTTTCATATTTTTGTGTTCACTTTATTTTCATTATTCATTTATTCAGTGAATATTTATTGTGCCACCATATGCCAAGCACAGCTGCAGGCCTTGAACGTACAGTAGTGAGCAAAGTGCCTCCCTCGTGGAGTCTGGGTGTGAGTGAGGGTGCCATTTTACATTAGGGGGTCAGGAAAAGTCTCTCTGATATGGTCACATATGATCAGGAACCTCAGTGAGTCCCCTCCTGTCACCCTGGAGCCTGTGGAGGCCTGCTGGGAACAGGACTTCTTAAAAGGAAATACGTCTGGAAGGCTGTGGTCTAAGTCCTTTTTTGCTGGCTATAAGCGGAGCCTCCAGAACCAAAGGGAGCATACAGCTCTTCTTAAAATTGAAGGTGGTTATGCCCAAGATGAAACTGAATTCTATTTGGGCAAGAGATGTGCTTGTGTATACAAAGCAAAGAGCAACACAATGATTCCTGGCAGCAAACCAAACAAAAGCAGAGTAATCTGGGGAAAGGTAACCCGGGCCCACAGGAACAGTGGCATGGTTGCTGCCAAGTTCCATAGCAATCTTCCTGCTAAGGCCGGCCCGGCGCGGTGGTTCACACCTGTAATCCCAGCACTTTGGGAGGCCAAAGCGGGTGGATCACTTGAGGTCAGGAGTTCGAGACCAGCCTGGCCAACAAGGTGAAACCCTGCCTCTGCTAAAAAATGAAAATAAAAAAATTAGCCAGGTGTGGTGGCGCGCACCTCTTCTCCCAGCTACTCAGGAAGCTGAGGCAGGAGAATCGCTTGAAACCAGGAGAAGAAGGTTGCAGTGGGCTAAGATCGTGCCACTGCACTCCAGCCTGAGTGACAGAGTGAGACTTCATCTCAAAAAAAAAAATAAAAAGAGAGAGTGAGAAGAAAAGAAACAGATACAGAGAGGAGAACACCAGTTAAAGACAGAGACACACAGGGAGAAGACAGCCACATGAAGATGGAAGCACAGATGGAGTTATTTGCCTAAAACCAAGGAATGCTTGGGCCACCAGAAGCTAGAAGAGGCAAGGAAGGAGTCTTTCCTGTAAACTTCAGAGAGAACATGGCCCTGCCTGTACCTTCATTTCAGACTTCCAGCCTCCAGAGCTGTGAGAGAATAAATTTCTGTTGTTTGAAGTCACACAGTTTGTGGCACTTTATTATAACTGCCCCGGGAAACTAATATACCCTCTTTATTATATATTAAATTATCTCATTGAATGGGATCTGTCTCTTGATTCCCTTCATTTATTATATCAATATAACACTATTTTATTACAGTGTTTTGATTTAATACTTCATACTTTTCCCTCATTACTTACCTTTTCTAAATTTTCTTAGCTAATCTTGCCCATTATTCTTCACAATAAGCTTTATTTTTAGAATAGATGTGTCAAGCTTAACGCTGTGTCTTGCACTTGTAATCCCAGCTACACAGAAGGATCCCTTGAGGTAAGGAGTTCGAGATCAGCCTGGGCAACACAGCAAGACTCCATCTATAAAATAACAATAATAATCAGCTGGCTGTGATGACAGGCATCTGTAGTCTCAACTACTCAGGAGGCTGAGGCAAGAGGATTGCTTGAGCCCAGGAGTTCAAGACAGCCATGAGCTGTGATCACGCCACTGCACTTCAGCCCAGATGATAGAGTGAGACCCCATCTCTAAGAGAAATTTCAAAATAAAGAACAAATGTGTCAAGTCCTGTTTCCTCCAAAACATAAACCTAATAATTTCCATATACAAAGTAATTCATTATTTAACAAAAATAAAAATTTACAGTGATTAAATTGAATAACAAAATTTTCTGTTTATTTTAAATTATTTCAGTTTTTACAATTGATTTACATTTAACAATTATATTTACTCCAGATAATTCGATCAATATGTGTTTTTAAAACACTTATGTGCTGAGGTTTGGGCACAAAATAAAAAGAAAAAAAATTATAGGTCTTAAAAAATAATAAAAAATGCATAATGCCTATAGTTGAAGAGAACTATTTATAAATAATAATTAGATTTATAGTTGTTATTATTATAGATAATGATGCATGTCTGATTTCCAAATTATTTAAAATTTTTAAAATTCTTTCCCATCACTTATTTCAAGTAAACAGTAAAATAGACATTCTGCCTCAAGGAATATTTCCACATTCACCACCCATGCAGTCCAATGCCCCAATTCCAATCATGAATGTTTGTCCAAAACATTCTGCTTTCCCAAAATCTTCCTCTTCCCTATATCATGGATGCTTGAATCCCACCAATCCTTCAAGAACCCCTCAAGAGCTGCTTATACCGTGCTAAATGCCCTGAAGTCATCCGAGTTAGAAGCAATTCTTCCCTCTGCTCAAGTTTTTACTTTTCGTCTATAGCTCATTTGGCACTTATCATTTATTGTATAATAATGTTAGTTATCTTTTATTTATGTTTATGGTTTGGACAATGACTTATTAAGTCATATTAGTTTGAACAATATCTTTTGTTTTATTGTGTCCTAAAACTTTTTAAAAATCGGATTGGCTGATGCCACTTACTTCCCCTGAATTTGTGCTTCCAAATAACCTGCTCTTGTATGGAGAAGATGATGAGAACTGGCCTCACCTAAGACATTTTTGTGATAAGGAATTCCCAGCATTTAAAATCCATTTTTGTATAGGTCAGGGTTGGTCCCTGTGGCTATTTCTCTGAATGCCAGATGCAGACATCAGTACTACCGTGATGTTTTCCAGTGTGCTTCAAATCTAGCTTTCTCAATGTGATAAAATAAGCAGTGGGCAAAGGGGCCCGAAAGACTGGATTCAAGCTCTGGCTTTATTCTTTTTTTTTTGTTTTTAGATGGAGTCTCGCTCTGTCGCCCAGGCTGGCACAATCTCGGCTCACTGCAACCTCTGCCTCCCAGGTTCAAGTGATTCTTTCACCTCTGCCTCCCAGGTAGCTGAGAATGCAGGCACGCACCACTATGCTCAGCTAATTTTTGTATTTTTAGCAGAGACGGGGTTTCACCACATTGGCCAAGCTGGTCTCGAACTCCTGACCTCAGGTGATCCACCTGCCTTGGCCTCCCAAATTGCTGGAAATACAGGCGTGAGCCACTGCGCCTGGCTTAAGCTCTGGCTTTATTCTAATCTTTTACTTCTCTGGGCCCCAGTTTCTTCATCTATATAATGATGTTATTGCACCAGATTACTAAGAGGTAAGGTTGGAATTCTTTGTTTTATTTTCATTTCAAAAGCAGTGGAGACTTTTTTGAAAATCGAAGTGGGACGGGGGCAGTGGATAACAGGGAGCTGCTCTTGTGGTAGCTGGGAGAAGGGCTAGGAACCTGCCTCTACTTCCCTCACAGCAGCCCTGGAATCTCCTCTTCAGCTGACCCCAGGATGGCTCCTAAGAACACACTTTGCAACCATTAAACTAGGTCCAAGTTTCCTAAGCTTCAGGCATTCACATGCTACCTTGTGATGTTTGCCGGAATCAGCATATATTGTGTGCTATTTATTCATTCATTCAGCCATTCAACAAGGATTTACTGAGGACCTACTCTGGGATGAAGATCCAGCTAAACCAAAGTCCCTCTGTTGGGGGTGTGGCTACATTCTTAGGAAGCCGTATCTCTCGGTGGTTAGGAGTCTAGGCTCTGAATTCAGACAGATCTATGTTCGTCTGGATTCACACAGGTCTGCCCTTTAAAATTTTGTGAATTGGACAAGTTATTATGCAACTCCTCTTTGCTTCAATTCAGTTTTCTGTAAATCAAAATTTAATTCAAAGGGCTATTGTGACGATTAAATGAGGAACTACATTCAAAGCACTTAGTACAAGACTCAGCACACAGCTCTTAGTAACAGCTGTTATCTACTTATTTTTTTAACTAATTTTTTTAGCCTCATTCTGAGCAAATAAATTTAATACACAAGATGTATATTTCTAACACACTTGAAGATATATGTACAACAATTTCATCTGAAAATGTTTTTCTTCAATTAGCTGGGCATGCTGGCATGTGCCTATAGTCCCAGCTACACTGGAGGATGAGGAAGGATGATCACTTGAGCCCAGGAATTCATGGCTGCAGTGAGCTATGATCACCACCACTGCATTCCAGCCTGGATGGGAGAGCAGGGCCCTGTCTCTAAAAAAAAACAAAGAAAAAGAAAAAAGAAAATGTTTGTCATCACACATGAAGTCATTTCAGAATACCTATGGTACAGGTGTGACACTTGGGAAGCATAATTACATCATTCCTTCTACTAGGACCAGTCCATGCTTGGGCTGCATGGACTATAAGACCTCATTTTGCTTTGTGTACTGCTATCACTCCTATTCATCTTAAGAAAACAGTCATTAGATGTGCTTAATTGCCTCAGCATTTCGTATCCAGGGAACGGCCTGCACCCACTTCTTTGTCATCCAGATAATGATCGCAGTTGCACAAGGTGTGATGAAACCAGGCCCAGATCATGCGTGCAACTCAACAAAGACAACAAGCCAATCCATGGACAGATACTAAAATATTTATACCATACAGTGCTTAGGAAGGATTTTTCAGGGATGGAGACAAGAGCAAAGCCCTATGAAGTTAGCGATGTTCAGCACACAAGCTCACCCATCTCCCCATAGTGCTGCTCCCGTCCCAGAGGGCCTACGGAAGCCTGCAATACTCCCTCTCCTGTCTCCCTTTTCCCCAAGATGGAGCCTGGGGACTCTGCAAGGTCAAGGACACCAGGCAATCCCCAGCCAGAGACCTTGCTAGCCTCCTATTTGCTGCCACATAAAAGCAGCCTTTTCTAAGGCCAGACACCAACTCCCTCCTCCACCCCACGCGCTACACACAAACTTTCATCACCATGAATTACCTGGCAGTTATTAAGTGAGTCATATGGCACACAGAGATAGAGTATGTCAGAGGTA
Source organism: Homo sapiens (assembly GCF_000001405.40). Lineage (NCBI taxonomy): Eukaryota > Metazoa > Chordata > Mammalia > Primates > Hominidae > Homo > Homo sapiens. The sequence continues at coordinate 136,969,583 of NC_000006.12, read as the reverse complement.
AACGCAGACGTTTTCCAGTGACTAGGCTGGGGCCAGCCCTCTGGGCAATTCAGGAACTCTCTGGACACCCAGTTTCTGCTTCAACACTAAACAGAGGCCACCACCTTCGTTACCCTCCTCACCCACCCTATAGCTTACAACCTGATGGGCAACCATATTTGGGTATAATCAAAGGGCTGTATCCTAGTCCTTTGTCTGTCTGTTACCAGCCAACGGCGTGACCCCAGACAAGTGTCACTCTCTCAGCCTTATTTTCTTCTTTTGTAAAATGAGGAGTGTGTTTGATGGGATTCCTAACGTCCCTTCCAAACTAGCATACTAGTTCTAGTTCTTCCGACCTGATTCTAACGACCTCTCTTCTCCATGACAACCCTTCCAACATTTAACTGTAGTGTTCAAGTCATCCCTTCCTCTGCAAACATCCCCTTCCCTTCCACACGTCCCTGTCACTCCTGGTTTCCAGATCCCTCTCTGCTCTGGTCATCCTCCTCTGGACGGGGGCCAGCTCATCAGCTCGGTTCAGATAAGGGGCACAGCAGAGCTTGCCTGGGACTTCTTCCAGAGCACCTGCTCATTGCCAGAACCAAGGCTGACTCAATTAGAACATCTGGTCACCTTCCCGTCCCCTGGCGCCTCCTCATCCTGTGGCAAAACCACTGGCTTCACAGATATAGTTAGATTTAAATTATTAGCCATTAGGAAAAGACAGAAAGGTACCCGCTGGCTAGGCATGGTGGCCCAAGCCTGTAATCCCAGCACTTTGGGAGGCTGAGGCAGGAGGATCACTTGAGCCGAGGAATTTGAGACCAGCTCGGGCAACATCATGAGAACCCCATCTCTACAAAAAAAAAAATAGAAAATTAGCCGATGTGGTGGTGCACACCTGTAGCCCCAGCTACTCAGGAGGCTGAGGTGGGAGGATCACTCGAACCTGGGAGGTTGAGGATGCAGTCAGCCAAGATGGCGCCACCGCACTCCAGCCTGGGCGACAGAGTGAGCAAGTTTTTGTTTTGGCGACCCTGCCTCAACACAAAAACAAAAGCAAAAAGTTACCCGGTAATGCATAACCTCATATTTTCCAAGGCATTCATTTAAGGAAAAAGAAAAACATGAAGAAAACTCTTTGTAATAAGTGCTGTGAGGCGCCTCAGCTCCTCAAACAGCAAGTCCCAGCGGGGAGAAAGCCATGGCTTCTGCAGTTACAGAAAAAGCACCCACTAGGCTAGGTGAGCACAGCCAAGAAGATATTGCTGCCACCGTGTGGCGACAGTTGTTATATTACCTCTGTCCAGCCCCGGAAGGACTTAGGGATGAACGGCTGAAGAAAATACGTATTGGCTGGTTTCCATAATTAGGAATCCTGAGACCGAAAATTAATGAAGACAGCACACTTGACCAAAATGTCACCAGATTGGTTCTCCTGTCTGCATTCTTCTCATCTCTCAGACCACTCACCTTCCTCCCAGCCCTCTTTAACATCGGGAACTAAATGTGCTTTGGACTAGACCTTGCGGCATGACAGTCATCCCTATGGTAGCAAGTGTGGCAGCATCTGACTGCCAATCTCCGACTCCCACCAGAGTGGGGAGTGATTTCTGAACCACAGAACCCATCTTTCTATCTCTCTCTCTCTCTCTCTTTCAGTTCTTAACCTTCTGTTACGTTCCTGGGACAGATCACATGTGTGAACCTTCTTGTCTCTTTGCCCCTACATGAAGGGGGTGTAAGCAGTGGCTAACTGAAGGGGGTGTAAGCAGTGGCTAACACCCTTTCTTGGTCATTTTGCACATCCCTTCAAGCTAGTTAGCTTAACCCCCTGGTCCCGTGCCCCAACTAACACCAATGTAGAGAAAATGTCTTTGTCCATAATCTAAGTGGAAGATGGAAATCTGACTTCCATCTCTGCAGGAAGATGAACTGCCCCCTGCCCCCTTTTTAATAGTATTATGGCCACAGATTGCTGTCCTGTGTGATCTCCACCAAGAACTCTACCTGGAGATCTCCAGGCTGGATGGTGGCTCCAAGGAGGCACAGTCATGGCATAGTGGCTCTAGGGGTGCACACCACAGCTTCCTATGGTAGGTCCCTCCAGATTCGGACCCTATGTGCCTGTGCCTGTGTCTATGCCGGTCAGCAGCATCATCTTCTTCCCTCACAGATGTGTCCCTTTTCCTTCTGCATGCCCCACTGCAGGGAAGTAGAAGGTTGGAGGACCAATGTACAGGAGCAGGGGTGACTATGTGTATCTGATCTAGTGTAATCCCTGGGTGTGGTTCTAGGAAGTTTGTCAACCTTAAACTAATTTACTTCCCTATCACTAATTCACGAGTTCTATTGACTGAACAAAAAGTGCAAAAAAAGAAGGTAGTGAATTCATCAATCATAGAAAAGGGCTATATTAAGCTTACTGTACAGCTCAAACTGATATTTACCTAAGCACCTTCCCCAGACAGCTATAAAAATAACTGTTGCCATCACAAAGAGAAAGAAAACGACCTAACTGTTCTGGTTAAAAGGTGATGAGGGGCCAGGTGTGGTGGCTCGCGACTGTAATTCCAGCACTTTGAGAAGCGGAGATAGGCAGATCACCTGAGGTCAGGAGTTCAAGACCAGCCTAGCCAACAAGGTGAAACCCCCATCTCTACTAAAAATACAAAAATTAATTGGGCGTGTGGCACATGCCTGTTGTCCCAGCTACTTGGGAGACGGAGGCAGAAGAATTGCTTGAACCTGGGAGGCAGAGCTTGCAGTGAGCTGAGATTGCGCCACTGCACTCCAGCCTGGGCAACAGAGTGAGACTCTGTCTCAAAAAAAAAAAAAAAGAAAAGGAAAGAAAAGAAGAAACAAGGTGATGAGGAGAAATCATCTAGAGAAGGGAAAGAGATGGAAACATAAACAAAATGAAACATACTAAATATTCACTACATGATCTGGAGCAGAGGATAGAATCACCTGCACATCACAAACCTGTACTTTCTGAGGAGAAGGATTTACAAACTAACCCATTCCCAAGTGAGGCTGCTTAGCCACATGCAAGATGTAGCGTCATGGGAATTCATCCGGGCAGTCGCCTCCCAGGTCTTGTGAGCGCCACCATCCTGTTCTGGTCCCTCGTGTGCAGTGAGGCACAGATAGATATATGAAATTTCTAGAATAAGATCTGGAAAGAGCCACATCAAATGGTGACAGTGGTTACCTTGGGGAATGGAGGTGGGGAAAATAAGAATAGAGAGAGATAATTAATGGGAACATTAACCTATTACATCTTTTTTTGTTTGCAAACAGAATGTATTCATTTATCACTTGTGTGATTTTTTTAAACACATTAAAGATATTACAAAATCCAGTAGAAGGAGTATGGACGTAAGTTGTACTACTTGGCCTACCTGGGCCCCAGCTCTGTCTATATCTTACTGGTGGGTCTAGCTTTGGGCAAGACACTAAAATTCTTGAGCCTCCATTTCCTCATCTGTAAAATGAAGGCATTAATATGTAACTCACAGGGTTGCTGTATTGATTGAGATTATAATAGCAACTGAAATACAGTTGGTCCTTAATAAATGCTTAAGAAAAGAGAGATCGTGGTTGGACACGGTGGCTCATGCCTGTAATCCCAGCACTTTGCGATGCCGAGGGAGGTGGATCTCCTGAGGTTGGGAGTTCGAGACCAGCCTGACAAACATGGTGAAACCCTGTCTCTACTAACAATACAAAATTAGCTGGGCATGATGGCACATGCCTGTAATCCCAGCTAACCGGGAGGCTGAGGCACGAGAATCACTTGAACCCAGGAGGCAGAGGTTGCAGTGAGCCAAAATCGCGCCATTGCACTCCAGCCTAGGCAACAAGAGCAAAACCTGTCTCCAAAAAAAAAAAAAGAAAGAAAGAAAGAAAGAAAAAGAAAAAGAAAGAAAGGAAAAAAAAGAAAAGAGAGTCCATTACCCAGATCAGAGGTGATGAAGGCTTATAAAGATGGTGGCAAAGAAGATGAAAAAGAAGAGAAAGATGGGAGAGACATTTCAGAGACATGACAGAAATGAAGGCGATTTGCCAACAAAGCCAAGGCTTAGGACCCTGCACCCCCATGCTATCCCAAGCTGACCTTTGTGCCTCTTTTCTCTTTCCAGGCTGCTAGGATGTTGCTGTTGTGTGAGAATATGAAGGGGGATGAGAAAAAAACAATGGAATGGAATGAATTCAAGACCAAATAAAGTCCGTGGTGAGACTTTTAAATATTCATATTCGTCAATGGCAATTTTGTAAAAGAATTTGCAATGCCCCTACTTTCTGTAAATGAGTGGGTACCCCCATCCTAGGGATATCCTCATCCTAATACCTCTCTTTAGGACAGCCTGTCTCTCCCTCTAAGCCATTCTTGGTGGAGATGATACCATCTTCCAGAAGACAAAAATTGTTCTTGGGAAACAAAAATATCTTACTATGTTAATGTGTAAGGCACAGATACACACAGAGTACACACGCAGATAAGCAGTATGTTTGTGGTATTGAATTTTGTGGGGAGGATATCAGAAAAAAAATCTAAAAAGGTTCTTTAGAGAGGTGACAAAAAAAGTCAGGAAACTCTAGTCTATACCCTAATCACCTTTGGAGCAGGGATTCTGAATTCACGTTCACTGTGGAATTCTCCTTTGGGAATGTCTCCATTGTGGAATGTCTCCATTGTGGAATGTCTCCACTGGGAACATTCAATGGGCTGAAATGATAAACAATGTGAGCTGGCTTCCTTGGAAGTCACTTAGGTAGTGAGGTGTTGTGGCCAATCTCGTGAAGTAACCTTATAAGTTACTTCCTCATGAAGTAACCTTAAAAGAGAGCACCTTCTGGAAGCTCCCCTAGGCCTCCCCTCCAGTATCGTCTCATTTGCCTGACTTGAATGAAGTGCCTTTTCCAGAACCAATCACAAGCAAGGGACTGAAATACCCCTGAGACCTGCAGGACCTGGACCTGGAAGTGTTGGCTTCCCCTGAGGCACAGACACCGCCCAGGGGCAGGGGAGTGGCAGGGACCCAAATAAAATGAGGGTTCTATAAGGAAGGAAAAAGGAATGAATAGACTTTGGTCTAGGTGGGGCAGAAAATGGTGTCCATGTAATTACTGACTCAAATGTTCCCAAACAGTTTTGTTAAGAGAAACAGGCTTCTACCTTGTTACCTCCATATTTTATTAGCTTTTGACAGAGCAAACAATTTTTAAAGTTGTGATTTTGGTCACATTTATTTTGGCTAGCTATTAATTTAGACACTCGAACCATAGTTGTATCTTTTCACATCATATGCATTTCACAGTATGTTGTGGTCTCTTATTTAAGCAATGTGAGAGGTGAGAGAGAGAGCACGCGTGTATGTGTCTTAGGATTTTTCTGGGGACAGGAATAGCATGTTAAATAGGGAACATGGATCTGAGAACCTGGGGACCAAGGCTATTATTGCCTTCACTTTACTGAGTTAAGTGGGTGACAGCAGGCAAGTTAAGTGGGTGGCACCCAGTCCTCTGAGCTTTGATTTTCTCACTTCTTATTAAATAAAGAAAAGATTATCAAAGTCTCTGCCATCTCCCAGATTCTATGTCTTGGAATTTGCTTTTTTTTTAAGCTATATTATAGATTATAGAAGTTTGTAGGGTTTTATTTATATTGTTGCTTTGGCTAACTATTTGGAAGCTTATTAGTAATTATTTCTGATATTTTGAACAGAAGCAAGCTCTCAATTATAATATTGTTTTGATGGAAAAATATAATCTATTTAACTATAAAACCTTGTCACATCACAGTATCCAAGAAGAAATATTTGCACCATCAGATGAAGCCTGCTATATTCAGTTTTAAATGAACACATTCAATCTTTTGGCAGGATGGATGGATGGATGGATGGATGGCTGGATGGATGGATGGATGGACACACAGATATCTGAATGAATACATGTTCTTGCTGTTTGATCTTAGGTATAATTCACAGGTGACACTGAGGAAATTAAGTGGCAGGTGTATGTCATTCAGCAATTAGGAACGGTTGGACATTGTCCCTATTCTAATAATAGGCCTATGGATGGTCTGCAGCTTGAGTCCACATCAGCAGCACACTCTATTTGTCAGCTTCCCAAAGGACATTCTGGCATTTTCATTAGACTCTGCTTTCTTTCTATTAACACATCTGAACAGAATGTGCCCTTGCAAAGGGAGGCCAGTGACAGCATTTAAGTCTGTAATGTCAAAGAAAATCTCCAGTGGTAGATACACTTCCCTGGTCTCTTTTCCCTTAAGGATTATGAGATTTATATACCTAACGAGTCAGAGTGTGTTTTCTTTCTATGCAGTATCCCATATCCAAATAAATAATGAAATAAATACATAAGCACAAACACCACATGCACCTTTTGCCATTTACTGAGTCAGTAAGATTTTGACATTAGTAAGAGCAGCAATGAATTATGAATGTTTCTAAGAGAAATTTTTAATCCAGGAGGACTTTTTAAAAGGCACTTTTCGATTCTGGCCTAATAGATTAGTATAATCAAATAGCTGTTGTTTAAATTATTTAGTTATTCCCAACTAATATATAAAGCCCAACTGACAAAAACCAATTCTAAAATCCAGGCTGAAAAACTCCACTGTCTACGCTTCCTCATACTCCCCATTCAGTGGAAGATCTACACTGTCAACACCACATTGTGATTGTTGCTTTAGCTGCCACTTCCTGCAGCTGCCATCTGGCTGATTAGAAGTGGGGAAGGCCTATGGTGACAAGCCCTCGGGGCATTTTTCCAACCCTTTAGGAAACAGAAGGAAACGCTTGGGACTCTAATTACAGACTAATAAATAGTTCAAGCAGCCTTAAAAAGAAGAGGTTGTGGGTCCGAAAGGAGTTGATCCCTTCATCTACCATATTCCACACTCTCTCTTAGTGCCCCTTTTTCATTTTAGAAGATTCCCTATTCTTTTCTTTTTTGTCTTTCCTTTCTTTGTTTTTTTTAAGATGGAGTCTCACTCTGTCCCCCAGGCTGGAGTAGAGTGGCACAATTTCAGCTCACTGCAACCTCCACCTCCCAGGTTCAAGCAATTCTCCTGCCTCAGCCTCCTGAGAAGCTGGGATTACAGGCGTGTGCTACCATGCCCGGGTAATTTTTGTATTTTTAGTAGAGATGGGGTTTCACCATGATGGCCAGGAGGGTCTCAAACCCCTGACCTCAGGTGATCTGCCTGCCTCAGCCTCCCAAAGTGCTGGGGTTATAGGCGTGAGCCACTGCACCCGGCCCTTTCTTTCTTTCTTTCTTTTAGTTACAAATCTGAATGGCCAACCCATGGCCCCACTGTTAGAACCTAAGCATTTCTGCTCTGCATCACGCCTATGACCCTACCCAATGATTCATTTATGAGTGTCTATTATGCACCAGGTGTGGAACTAAATGATGGGAATTCAAAGACAAAGTAAAATCTTGCCTTGAAAGTACTTAAAACATAATCGATCCAATACCCTTCACTATCTTTATTTATCTGCATCTCTCTCTCTCTCTCTCTCTCTCTGCCACTGTTTATTTTGGCTCCATGTAGCCCAGAAGTTAAGAATACAGGCTCTGCGCTCAAATGGGACTCGAATCTCAGTTCCACCTTCCATCCCCACACGTCCAGAGTTCTTGTCCTGTTCATATGTTCAGTAACTTACTCATGGTCACACAGCTTTTAAGAGGTGGAACCAGAAAGGGACAGAGCCATGATCCAAAGCCAAGCAGTCTGACTTCTGATTCCATGCACCAAACTACAGTGCTTGTTAAAAACTGGGGAAAATATTTCAATATCTGTATCAGACGAACGGTTAATATTAAAACCTTTTCTGCTTTTCCAAAATACACACATGCTATTTTTCACTTAAAAATGTATAATGTAAAGTTCCTTCCAGGTTCTTACTATACTTTTTTTTTTTTTTAAGATAGTCCCACCCAGGCTGCAGTGCAGCAGCGCAATCTTGGCTCACTGCCACCTTCACCTCCCAGATTCAAGCAATTCTCATGCCTCAGCCTCCCAAGTAGCTGGGATTACAGACATGCACCACCACACCTGGCTAATTTTTGTATTTTTAGTAGAGACAGGTTTTGCCATGTTGGCCAGGCTGGTCTCGAACTCCTGGCCCCAAGTGATCCTCCTGCCTCGGCCTCCCAAAGTGCTGGGATTACAGGTGTGAGCCACTGCACCCAGCCTTAATATACATTTATATAATTATTTTAATAATTTAAAAATCCTATATACATGTAATCCATATAGTCCAGCTATACATATATGTATAGCATACATATACGTATATCTACAAATATATATGTATTATATCATAGTATTTATTATTTATATGTTTATAAATATATATTTATATATTTAACCAATCTCCATTGTTGAGCATTTAGGCTGTTAACAATTTTCACTAGTATAAATCACAGTGGCCATACTCCTGATAAACACAGGTATATCTATGTCTATTTATTTCTTCAGGATAAATACCTACAAGTAAAATGCCAGATCAAAGAATATTCACTTTCTAATACTTTTAAGAGCTGAAGCCCAAGCGCCCTTCGGGAAGCCTCAAGCCAACAGGATGTAAGAGCATCTGCTTCCACCACACCCTTGCCAATGCTGATAAAATTTTGTCAGACTGAGAAGTAGAAGCTTTTCAAATATCTGTTTCTATTGATTAATAGTTGAACATTTCTTTGTTAGGTAATAATCATTTGTAATTCTTTTGCAAATTGCCTTTCCTGTTTTTTTTTCTAATAGAGTTTTGAAATTTTTCTTATCGATTATAATTTTTTCCTTATTATTTATATTAACCTTTTGTCTGATACAGATGTTGAAATATTTTCCCCCAATTTTTAATAAGCTTGGTAATGGAGAATTTTTTTGCCCTATAAAAGTTATATGTGGCTGGGCACAGTGGCTCACACTTGTAATCCTAGCACTTTGGGAGGCTGGGGTGGGCAGATCGCTTGAGCCCAGGAGTTCAAGACCAGCCTCAGCAACATGGTGAAACCCAGTCTACAAAAAATACAAAAATCAGCTGGGCATGGTGGCATGCGTCTGTGGTCCCAGCTACTCCTTCTAGGGAGGCTGAGGTGGGAGTATCACTTAAGCCTGGGAGATGGAGGTTGCAGTGAATCCTGATCCCGCCACTGCACTCCTGCCTGGGTGACAGAGCGAGACCCTGTGTAGCAGGACGAGCCGCAGACAAAACTCCTCTGACACTGGGTTAAAGAAGGAAGGAGCTTTATTTGGCTGGGAACTTCAGCAGACTTGCATCTCAAAAGCCAAGCTCTCCTCACTAAGCAATTCCTGTCCATTTTAAGGGCTTACAACTCTAAGGGGGTCCGTGTGAGAGTGTCCTGATGGATTGAGCAAGCAGGGGGTACTGCATGCACCAGTAATCAGAACAGAACAGAACAGGACAGGGATTTTCACAGTGCTTTTCCATACAATGTCTGGAATCTATAGATAACATAACCGGTTAGGTCAGGGGTCGATCTTTAACTACCAGGCCCAGGGCGCGGCACTGGGCTGTCTGCCTGTGGATTTCATTTCTGCCTTTTAGTTTTTACTTCTTTCTTTGGAGGCGGAAATTGGGCATAAGACAATATGAGGGGTGGTCTCCTCCCTTACCTGTACCCGCCCCCAAAAAAGAAAAAAATGATATGTGTGTGTACACGAGGCAGGATATTTGCCTGACCCCTTTGTGGGACTCGAGACAGGGGTGCATCGTTTACTCAGCCCACAGCTCTCCACTCCTCACAGGAGGGAGTGCACGAGCAAACAAGGCGGGGACTGGAGTGCACGAGGCCTGGAACTGGCCAGCCGCTTCGGCACCAGCAAGAGCAAGCTCTGTGCGGGCCCCATGGCAACATCCAGGTGGGGGTGCCTGTGACACCTGGAGCCCCAGAGGGCGTGTTACAGTGCTCTCTTAGCTCTGCTGTCCTCTGATGGCTTAAGTGTTAACAGCTCAGTGAGCCCTTTGCCTCGTCGTGTGAGACGACTGCCCTCCACCAGCGAGGGCAAAGGGCCAGTGTGACAGCCTTTTATGTCCACACTTGTGGCTCCCAAGCTCTTGTCTGGCATCCAGGAAAAATGAGGTCGCATGAACGAATTGAAGGATGGTAAATGCAGGGGATTTTATTGCCAAGGAAAGTGGCTCTCAGAGGAAATGGGAGCTGAAAAGGGGATGGGGGGTAGGTAATCTTCCCCTGAAGTCCAGCCGTCTCCTCTCAGTGGAAAGGGGAGCTGAAAAGGGGATGGGGGATAGGTAATCTTCCCCTGAAGTCCAGCTGTCTTTGGCCAGATTCTTCTCCAAATTCTTCTCTGAAGCTCAAGCTGTCCCTCTGAAGTCAAGCTGCTTCTCTCCAACTTCCAGCCCTAGACCCCAACGCCCAGCTGCTTCTCCTCTCTGTTGGCTGAGTCTGGAGTCTTCTATGCACAGGATAGGGGCAGAGTGGGCCATAGGTAGTTTAGGGAAAGGCAGCATTCACATGGGAAAACAGGGATAGAAGTTCTCACTTTGGACCACGGGTTTCAGGCTTTTTGGCTTGAGGGTGAGATTTCGTCAGGGACCACACTTTTCTGCCTAGAATTTCTCTGCCCCCGTCCCTATCATGCATATAAATGGCATTCTCGATGCCAAGATTATACCTATGTTCACTTATATTAGGATTGTCGTGCAACCACCAGAAGCATGACTGACATCAATAGAGGGAAATAAGGCATTGTAACCTAACCAGATAGAAATATGACTAAATTGAAGTATTTCCACTTTTTAAATAATAACTTTATTTAATTTTTAATAACTGAAAAGATGGGAAAGAAGCAAAATATCAGACTCATCAAGAAATGATTCCACAGATCCTTATCTGGCAGCTCAGAATAATTGAGTGACTTGGCCAAGGTCATGGTATTAATGGATGAAAGGGATTTGAACCATGACCACCTGGCATCAGAGTCTAAACTCTACATCATTTAACTTCTCTGAAAAACTAAGTCCCTTATTCTATCCCCACACCCTGTAGTTCATCCTTACTCTATTCATGGCTTTTAAGAGCTGAAGCCCAAGCGCTAGAGCCCAGAGCTAAAAGAGCACTGTAACAAGCCCTCTGGGGCTCCAGGTGTCACAGGCACCCCCACCTGGATGCTGCTTAATCGCCTAGATGCTTACTCTGGCCGGAGAAACTTTGACTTCACCTGTGGATGTCAAGCTCCTGCAGGTTCTTAGGAGCGTTCTGGTTGTTGGCAAGATTGCCTTCCTTTGGGCTTTTTGAGTTGCCGGCTTTGGTGGTGAACCAGTGCATTGGCTCCTGACTGCTACTTACTTTTCAGGGCTTAGTGAAAAATGACAATGTGGGGTCCCTTTTGCAAAAACCAAGAGAAAGGATTTTTCTTTCTCCCCCTCACGGTTTCTCTCTTGCCCCTTCCTGGTGCTTGTAATTTGCTATGTAATGCCACACGCCCACCGGCACAATACTGCAAGGTGAGTGCAGATCCTCAGAAGCAAGGGGTTGGCGTGGGGGGCAGGGGGTGAGCATGCGCATGAGACCACCAGGGCCTGCACTGGGGCAGGGGGTGGTTGCAGTGGGGGAACCTGGAACTGGGTGGGTGGATGGTGGGGGAACCCGGGACTGGGTGGTCGGGGGGAGCCTGGGACTGGGTGGGGGGTGGGAGGGGAGCCTGGGGCTGCATGGGTAGGTGGTAGGGGAGTCTGAGAGTGGGTGGGTAGGTGGTGGGGGAGTCTGGGACTGGGTGGGTGGGTGGGAAGGGAGCCTGGGGCTGGGTGGGCGGTGGTGGGGGAGCCTGGGACTGGGTGGGTGGATGGTGGGGGAGAGCCTGGGACTGGGTGGGTGGGTGGGGGGGTGGAAGGGGAGCCTGCAGCCAGGGCCAGGAAAGGCAGGGGGGTGGAAGGGGAGCCTGCAGCCAGGGCCAGGAAAGGCAGGGAGGTGGCGGGAGGCTCCAAGGTCCCAGCTTCTGCTCCATCATCCCATTAGGACTTCACTTAAAAGACACCATGTATTCAAAGATAAATCAGAATTCCAAGACGGTGGCTGCAGACATTGGGAGTGCGGGGCCCCCTTCTGGGCTCAGAGGCTGTGTGCCAGCACTAGTCGCAGGCCTATGCAGCCGGCCCTGCCCCAGCTCCTCTTTCTCCATTGCAGTGCCTCCTCCTTGAGCTCCAGTCGGCCTGCATTGGGCCGTAATTAACTTTTTTCTTCCTCCCCTCCTAACCACCCCAGCCCACAGCCCACAGCCCACTACCCACAACCACTGAGCTGGCTGAGATAAGCACAAACAGCCACAAGGAAAGCCAAGAGGCCCTTCTGTGTGAGGCCGACTAGAGTCCCAGAGTGCATTCCACTTAATTACCGGGAGAAATTCTCTAGAACTGCTTTGGATACTATTCCTAGAACCAATTAGCCCGAACCTTTCATTTACATGCAACTCGAAGATGCAAAAACAAATAACTATGGTACTGTATTTTAACAGCTTAAACAGCTCTGTTTGTTTAGCTAAAACAGATGAATAGCTTTCCAAAAATACACAGAAGAGCACTTCCGGCCTGATGAATGCATAACAATGACAGCTGCGAAGTCACAAAGGAAGTACCATTTAGGTGGCATTTGCTAACAAGTTGTATTTTAGGAGAGAAAGGAAAAAGTTAACATAATTAAAGTCAAAGCCAAAGTAGAAACCTTTTCCCATCTACTCGATTTTATAAATTAACAACTTGATTAGCAGTTTGAAATATGATCTGGTTGCCATCAGCCAGGAGCAGGGTAGAGCATTTCATAAGGGAAGGCTCCATCTCAGAGGACTTTTTTGACTTTACATTTAAATAGAAATTATATACATGACATTATTCTATAATTGTGTGACTATAACATTTGCTTTTGCTTTCATAAAGATATATGTTAACAATGGGATACAGGCCGGGCATAGTGGCTCACACTTGTAATCCCAGCACTTTGGGAGGCCAAGGCGGGTGGATCACATGAGGCCAGGAGTTCAAGACCAGCCTGGACAACATGGCAAAACCCCATCTCTACTAAAAATACAAAAAAAAAAAAAAAAAAATTAGTCGGGCATGGTGGCGCATGCCTGTAGTCCCAGCTACTAGAGAGGCTGAGGTGGAGGTTGCAGTGAGCTGAAATTACATCACTGCACTCCTGAGATCACGTCACTGTTTTTTGAAACAGAGTGAGACTCTGTTTAAAAAAACAAAGAAACAAAAAAAAAAAACCTATCAGTTACATATATATGCTTAGGAGCCATATTTAGAAAGCAGAATTTCTACAAATAGGCAGGTGAGTTTCTCAATTCCAGTGAATAGTTAAAAGCTATGCTAAAAAATATAAAACCAATTTTCAAATATTTTTATTTTAAAATTATGTGCTCAAAATAAGTTAAGAGTTTCATGAACTTTGAATTCATGCAAAGATTTTAAATTTTTATTTTGTTGTTTTACTTCTCATGTCTCATTCAAAGATGGCTTTTAAATTTTAACTTAATTAATTTTCCACGCAAAAAGCCTAATCTTACCAAGGATGATTTTGAATTACATTGGTAACAATGTAAACCTGATAGCAAACATTTCTTGCTATTAATAGAGATCTGTCAATTTGCAAATGAATAGACTTATCCGAGAAATGGCCTGTTTCTGAATGACACTCGAGATGTTCATGTGTATTACACACAAAATAAGGTTACACACAAAATAAAGACCCTTAGCCATTTTGAAAGTGCTGAGAGATAGTATACTCCAGTTTAGAGAGAACTGAACTACATTATTCCAGCTCTAAGGACAGTTTAATTTAATTTGGGAAGAGGAAGCAACATTTGCAGCTAAAACAATGTTAATGATGGAAACCGGGGACACAGAATCAAAGTGCCCAGGCTTTATCTTAAGTCCTCTCCCCTTTTTCCAAATTGTCCCCTTCCTATCTTCTGATCTTCACCTGATTTATAAACCTTGAATTCTAATCTTAATTCCTTTCTTGATTAAACCCCTGAATAAAAATCAGCCCCTCCAACACACTGTCTCACAACCAAACATGTATTATTATTTAGCCTGCTTTGGTGTTAATTGACAAAACAAAACTCAAGACAAAAACACTGGGTTCTAAATGTTGTGCTGGTGAGAGTGAGTCAATGGTCAGTTTATAACACAGAGGGGCCAGCCACAGTCAAAACTGAATTAACTCTTGTGTGCTCTTTCAGTTCTCCCTTATTTCCCTACTTGACTGGTACTCCCTTCCTCTTCCCCCACAGCCCTCTCTACACCCTACTCCCATCCTTGCCCATCCTATCGTTCAAAAGAGTTCTTACCACCTTTTTCATTAATGCATCCATCATGCCCTACATTGGTGATCCTCAAAATAGGCACATGTCGTATTATGGAAATCACTTCCCAGATCCTCATCGTCCTTAGGAGCTTCTGCCTAAAACCATTCTTCCTGAGAAAGAGCCTGTGTGTTTCAGGTGTCTTGCTGGTTCTCTGTTCCCATCTCCCCTTTCACAGGCACCCTTTCTTCACAAGAATAAAAAGGAAGGCACCCATCTCATCTACCAGGACTTGCCACCATGGAATGCCTCAGGGCTTAAAAGCCTCTGAGGTACCCAAAATGAAATTAATCTGAAATCCTTGTGTTGGTGTTGAGACCATAAAAGACTCCAACAACTGGGTAACAAATCCTTTTCCAAGTCAAGTAGCTTCCACCTATTTGGAGGAAGGGCTGATAAATCATTAAAAAATTTTTGGCTAGGTTCGGTGGCTCATGCCTGTAATCCCAGCACTTTGGGAGGCCAAGGCGGGTGGATCACGAGGTCAGGAGAGTGAGACCATCCTGGCTAACACAGTGAAACCCCATCTCTACTAAAAATACAAAAATCAGCTGGGCGTGGTGGTGGGTGCCTTAGTCCCAGCTACTGAAGAGGTTAAGGCAGGAGAATTGCTTGAACCCGGGAGGTGGAGGTTGCAGTGAGCCGAGAGCACAACACTGCACTCCAGCCTGGGCAACAAGAGTGAGACTCCATCTCAAACAAACAAACAAAAAAATTCACAATATATCACCATATGATTTTGTTAGGACATAACTTGGAGAAGTGAATGGCTTTCCTACAACAAAACACTTCTCATTTCCAACTACTTATTTTAGTGAACAAAGTTTCTCAACACTTACATATGTAAAAATGACAAATATGATGAGAATTGGAATGTAACCCTATGCCTTTCTGATTTTACTATCATTTGGTCCACTAATGCACTAGCAATATACCAGTGGCGATGAGATGTTGTCTGAGAAAGCACATTTCAAGGCCAGTGCACACTAATTGTTCAAAAAGACCCATGACACAGAATACTTCTCTTTATTGTGTCAGAAATGTTATGAGAATTGGAGCTGAACCCTATCTTTTTCTAAGTAATATTCATCCATGAATATATAAAATAACTTTGTTTTTTGCTTTTTTAATCCTGCTCCTCCTGCAATGAAATAACTTTTTAAATGCCCTATCTTGTTAAGAGATGTGGTTCTAATGGAATTGTATCTTTATATTTAGTAACTACTAATACTTGTAATATAATGATGTTGAGGACCTATGAGTACTAATAACAATTGTAATGATAACTAAATCCAAAAGAAAACCTTTAAACACTTGGAGTCCTATGGTCAAAGAAAATAGAACATCTATTTCAATTTATATACATATTTTTGTTTCAGAAATATATTTAACATTTTTAAGCACAGAAAATA
Organism: Homo sapiens; assembly: GCF_000001405.40. Lineage (NCBI taxonomy): Eukaryota > Metazoa > Chordata > Mammalia > Primates > Hominidae > Homo > Homo sapiens. Next base: position 136,953,803 of record NC_000006.12, on the reverse strand, counting down.
CTAGGATAAAATTCTATTGGAGAATGAAATTGAAATATGATTTCAAAGAGTTTAAGGAAAAAGAATAGGGTATAAAATTTCTCTCTCATGTCTACCTGTGCCTTTCTTATCATTATGCTACGTAGCCTCCATTGAATACATTAAAAATAATTTAACAATGTTATTTTAAAGCAAAAGTGGAAATTACCATCCTTTGCAATTGTGTAGATTTAAGTTGAATTTTTTTAATATCAATTTTTAAATGTTCAAAGAATACATAGCATTTAAAAATCCTCTTTGGGGACACACAAGCAAAAAATTTTAAGCCCACTGCTCCACCTCATTCCAGTGCACACCTCTTCCCTCCCCAGCGTTGCCATCAATAAGGTTCTGCTTTCAGCTATGGTGCAGTAGTTAGGAGCACAGGCTTTTGAGTCAGAAGGACGTAGGACCAGGACCAGGTGAGGCAAGCAAGGACCAAGGGTGCAAATCTTGAGACACTCATCTCCGGTTCAGGCTCACATCAACCCTGCACACACATGCACAGATCAGAGAGTTTGCCTCCCTAAGTGTTGCACTCTAGGTGCCCCTCTTGCCTCACCCCAGTCTCTTCCACTTATTACTGAGTGATCTCAGTAGATTATTTAGCTCCTGTGAACCTCAGTGATCCCCTTAATAAAATGGGGGAAATAATGCTATTGTCCAGAGTTGCAAGAGAGGATTAAATTAGAGAGCATGCAGCGAACTTGGCAAAGTGCCCATCTGTGGTCGCCAGTCAATAAGTGGTTGCTCTTTATTCTGACACCAAGGAAGTGTCTGATAAACAGTTCATAATGAGACAATGATCACTGGATGACTTAATGGATTATCATTCCCAAAAAGGTTGATTTTAGGAGGCCTTTGGAGAGGCAATATTTCTCTCTCTCTCTCTCTCTTTCTCTCTCTCTCTCACACACACACACACACACACACACAGAGCCAGAGTGGCCGACCGGTTAAGTCTGTAGGGGATAAAAGGTAATACATCTTTTCTTCACCACCGTGAGGTTTTCGACTGACACCCCCATAACGAAGGACAGATTAACAAGATAAAAGCATAACCAATTGCATTTAACCTAAGTTTTATGTGACACAGGAGCCTTCAGAAGTAAAGACCCCATGACCTAGGAGACACTGTGTGTTTTATGCTTAGGTTTGATGAGGAATTGACAGCATGTAGAAATGTGATTGGACAAAAGGGTGTGATCTCATGGTAATAGACTGAAGGAGGGATCCCAGTAAGGCCTGTTTGTTTAGATTTTTCTTGGTCCGGTTGTAGGGCAGGACCCTTCTGGAATGAGGGTTTTGTGGCCCAGTGTCAGGCGAGGTAGGTCAGAGAATCCCCTATGACCAATGCTCCCGGGAGAAGGTGGCAGAAGCCAGAGTGACCTTGCTTCAGTCATTTTCTCCATCGCCAAGGTGCCGTATTTTGGGATGCGTTCTGAGCCTTAACAGGGCTCTCCTCCTTTCCTCCTGTCTGTCTTCTGCTTACACTCCTATGTGCCCTCTCTGTGCTTGGGAAAATCCCTATCTTTTTTTTTTTTTTTTAATCCCTGTCTTTCAAAGCAAACTCGAAAAGGGCAGGAACCTTGCCTTTCCTTTGCAATTAGCGTAGACATAGGTTATAAGCACTCAGTCTGCATAATACTTTAGCATAATTATATTATAGTACAATATAACCTAACAACATGGTCTCCAAAAAGGCACTATTATGGAAATAACTAACATGTGTAGACAGGGTTAGCCTCCATGTGGGTTCAGTGAATAATTCTGTGAAAAGCCTAGTGAAGATTTAATAATCTCCTTTCCTGCCCAACTATTAGTATCTGCCTATAGAATCTGTACCCACCCTGAAGCTTCCAGTTACCAAACACTTAGTGTGGATCAGGCAGGGCAACCTACAGGATGCAGAGCTGAGGAAACCCAATGCTTGCCTGCAATTACCTTAAAATTGAAAGGATATATTTAATTTCTTCTCTTGGCTCTTTATTTTCTCTTTTCTAGCTTCACAACATCAAAACTGGTATTCTCATTTGTTTGTTTGTTGTTTGGTTTTATATGTCCGGAGTCACAGAGATACCAAGGGTTCACTCAACCCTGCTGTGTAAGGGAATTTTACTCATTCAAATATCCATTAGCAAATATTTTTGAGTGCTTAGACTATGTCAAGCAACTGTTTTAGGTGCTAAGGATGTAGCGGAAACAACAACAGAAAAAAAAAAAACCTGCTGTTAAGATGGAGTGAAGGAGGTGTCCTTTTTAATAAATTAAAACTGCAGCTGGATGTGGTGGCTCATGCTAGCACTTTGGGAGGCCAAGGAAAATGGATTGCTCAAGTCCAGGAGTTCCAGACAAGCCAAGGCAACATGGTGAAACCCCATCTCCACAGAAAATACAAAAAATTAGCCAAGCGTGGTAGAGCACACCTATAGTCCTGGCTACTCGGGAGTCTGAGATGGGAGGATGGCCTGAGTCCGGGAGGCCAAGGCTGTAGTGAGCCATGATCATGCCACTGCACTCCAGCCTGGGTGACAGAGTGAGACTCTGTCTCAAAAAAAAAAAAAAAAAAATTAATTAATTAATATCTAAATCCTCAAGGCTTAAGCAGACCGTGAGGGCCCGGTCTCTCTCCTGAGCTACCTGCTCCTTAGGCTTCTCTCACTTCAATTACTTCTGCCATCATTTACCTTGGGCCCCAGGGATGGGCCAGACCCCCTTAACTGTCTACTGTACACTGAGGCCAGGAGGCCAAAGCTGCTAGCTCTGTGATTTTGTAAATAATGTTTGGCTGGAACCCAGCCACAGTCATTCATTTATGTGTCATTTGTGGCTGCTTTCCCACTACAACAGCAGAGTTGAATAGTGGCTACAGAGACCATGTGGCCTGCAAGACCTAAAACACTGAAAATATTTACTATCTGATCCTTTAAGGAAAAATAACAAAAGGCTCCTGGTCTAGAGGCCTAACCCAAGCCTGCGCCTGCCCTGAGCTCCTCAGTGTATCTGAAAAAGGCTTAAACTTTCAAAAAGACCTTAGTAAATATATACAGAGAACAAAAATGGAAATGAATGCAGAGAAGAAAATAAGCATGCAAACATTCTGAGCCTGGGCTTTGGTCTCTGACCCTGTCATGGCTGACTCAGCATGGTTCACTGCTTGTGTCTTCAGTTCCTATCTTCTAATCCAGCCCCAATGGCAAACCCAGAACTGCAGATTCCTTCTCCTGCTCCCAGCCTGTTCTGTGTGGAGATCATCATCTCGTGGTCCAACATTTGGGAACTACCTCCGGGACATCTTGATACCCTCAGGTCAGAACCCCGGCACACTTCCATTCCACAGTCCTCCTGGGACTCTTTTTTTTTTTTTAAGAGCAGTTTTAAATTCACAGCAAAATTGAGAGAAATGTACAGAGATTTCCCATTTATCCACTACTCCCACACATGCGTAACCTCCCCAGTATCAACCAGAGTGGTACATTTGTTACAACTGATGAGCTTACATTGACACGTCATTATCCAAAATCCATAGTTTACATTAGGGTTCACTCTTGGTGCTGTACATTCTATGGGTTTGGACAAATGTAAAATGACATATATCCACCTTTTGTTGTCTGTTGTTGTTGTTGTTGTTGTTGTTGTTGTTGTTGTTGTTTTGAGTTGGGGTCTTGGTCTGTTGCCCAAGCTGGAGTGCAGTGGTGCAATCATGGCTCTCTGCAGCCTCGAACTCCTGGGCTCAAGCAATCCTCCCACCTCAGCCTCCTGAGTGGCTGGGACTACAGGCATGCAACACTGGGCCCACCTAAGTTTCTTGTTGTTTGTGTTTTGTTTTGTACAGACAGGATCTGACTATGTTTCCCAGGCTAGTCTCTAACTACTGGCTCTAAGCAATCCTCCTGACTCAGCTTCCTAAAGTGCTGGGATTATAGGCATGAAACTGTGCCCAGCCTATAGCCACCATGATAGTATAATACAGAATCGTTTCACTGCCCTTAAAATCTGTGCTGCACCCATTCATCCCTCTCACCACCCGGTCCCTGGTAACCACTGATCTTTTTAGTGTCTCCATAGTTTTGCTTTTTCCAGAATGTCATGTAGTTGGAATCACACAATATGTAGCCTTTTCAGATTGGCTTCTTTCCCTCAATAATATGTTTTCTCCACGTCTTTTCATGGCTTGAGTAAAATTTTAGGCCTGAGTAAAATTCCATTGTCTGGATGAACCACAATTTGTTTATCCATTTACCTACTGATGAACACCTTGATTGTTTCCAAATTTTGGCAATTATAAGTAAAGCTGCCATACATATCTGTGCGTATGTTTCTGCATGGACATAAGAGTTCAATTCATTTGGGTAAATACCAAAGAGTACAATTTTTGGATCATATGGTAAGAGTATGTTTAGTTTTGTAAGAAACTGCCAAACTGTCTTCCAAATGGCTGTATCATTTTGCATTCTCACCAGCAATGAGTGAGAGTTCCTGTTGCTCCACATCTTCATCAGCACTTGGTGTTGTCAGCGTTCTAGATTTGGGCCATTTTCATAGGTGTATAGTGGTATCTCATTGTTGTTTTAATTTGCATTTCCAGAGTGACATATGATGTAGAGCGTCTTTTCATATGCTTATTTGCCATCTTTATATCTTCTTTGATGAGGTGCCTGTTAAAGTCTTTTATTTCATTTTTTTAATCAAGTTGTTTCTTTTATTGTTGAGGTTTAAGAGTTCTTTGTATATTTGGGACAACAGTCCTTTTTTAGATATTTTTCACAAATATTTTCACCTAGTCGCTGGCTTTTTTTTTTTTTTTTTGAAATGAAGTTTCACTCTTCACTGAGCCTGGATTGCAGTGGCACAATCTCAATTTACTGCAATCTCTGCCTCCCAGATTCAAGCAATTCTCAGCCCGACGAGTAGCTGGGATTACAGGCCTGTGTCACCACACCTGGCTGATTTTTGTATTTTTAGTAGAGATGGGGTTTCACCATGTTGGCCAGGCTGGTCTCGAACTCCTGACCTCAAGTGATCCGCCTACCTCCTCCTCCCAAAATGCTGGGATTACAGGCATGAGCCACAGCGCCCAGCTCAGCTTTTCTTCTTATTCTCTTGACGTTGTCTTTTGCAGAGCAGAAATTTTTAATTTTAATAAAATCCAACATATCAGATTTTTTTTTTTCATGGCTCATGGCTTTGGTGTTGCATCTAAAAAGTCATCCCCAAGATGGGCCTGGCGGCTCACACCTGTAATCTCACACTTTGGGAGGATCACTTTGGCCCAAGGGCTTAAGTGAGACCAGCCTGGGCAACATGGTGAAACCCCATCTCTACCCAAAAAAAAGCTAGCCAGGCACGGTGGTGCATGCCTGTAGTTTCAGCTACTTGGGAGGCTGAGGTGGGAGGATCACTTGAGCCCAGGAAGTTGAGGCTGCAGTGAACTGTGTGATCTCTCCACTGCACTCTAGCCTGGGTGACAAAGCAAGACCCTGTCTCAAAAATGAAAACAAAAATAGCAAGTCATTGGCAAACCCAAGGTCAGCTAGATTTTCTTCTGTTATCTTCTAGGAGTTTTCTAGTTTTGCATTTTATATGTAGGTCTGTGACCCATTTTGGGTTAATTTTTGTGAGGAGTATAAGGTTTGTGTATAAGGTTTGTGTTGATTCATTTTTTTACATGAAGACGTCCAGTGTTTCAGCATCATTGCTGAAAAGATGATCTTTGTTCCGTTATTTTGCCTCTGCTCTTTTGTCAAAGATCGGTTAACTATATTTATGTGGTCTATTTCTGGACTCTATTCTGTCCCATTGATATATTTGTTTATTCTTCTACCAATACCACATTGTCTTGATTACTGTAGCTTTACAGTAAGTTTTGAAGTCAGCTAGTGTCAGTCCTCCAACTTTGTTCTTCTCCTTCAATATTGTGTTGGCTTTTCTGGGTCTTTTGCATCTCCAAATAAACTTTACAGTCAATCTGTTGACATTCACAAGATAACTTGCTGAGCCTCCCGGAACTCTTTCTCTCTGACATTTTCTATAAATATGAAGTGCTGCAGTTTTTTCTCCAATGACTGACCCAATCAATGACCTCACCCTTCATAAAAGGGCCATGTCCAGGCTACAAAATCAATAATATTAAAATTTCTGATAAAGATAATATCCCAGTGAAAAAGTAACCTTCATGTAGTAGCAGTTGGTTCTGTCACCTCCCAATTTCAGAATCCCCATCTCTTACAGAGGCTAGAAATTACCTGAGGAAATCAAACTTACTGATGGACAATAATCTGAGAACAACATGAAAAACGTCCAAACATAAGTGTAGGTATAAATGCAGTCGCTGAGGGCTCTGGAATGAAAGAATTATCAGAGGAGTGGAAAGAAGAGGCAGGGAAGGCTTCTTTGAAGGGGTGGAACTTGAACAAATGTGGGATAGGAACGGACGAGGAACATCTGTATCACTGAGAAACTCTGCTATGACTGTGCCGCTCTCCATTTCCCCCTCTACATGATTTCTTCCCTTTTCAATTGTCTCAATAGCGATGGCCACAGCAGCGGGTGGCTAGGGGCCTGGTCACAGCAGCAGAAGTATTAATGGCTGTGTTTACTGAAAACAAAACAACGGGGGTGGGGGGGGGACGGGGGGGCGGAGAGCATCAGGAGCTAATGGATGCTGGGCTGAATACCTGGGGGATGGGTTGATCTGTGCAGCAAACCACCATGGCACTTGCTTACTTACGTAGCAAACCTCCATATCCTGTACCTGTACCCCAGAACTTAAAATAAAATTGAAGAAAACAACAACAAAAGAAGATTTGAAGAGATCGTAACGCTATGGAGATAATTAGGCCTTTGGTAATCAAGAGTAAAATGGAGTTTCCTCAAAAAAATCACCCTTTCATTCCCATTTTATTAGTAAAACACCCACTAAAAATAGAGGAAGTAACTATAAGAGGTTTTCTCTCATCTAGGCAAGATGAATTTTTATAATTGTAAGGTAGCTGCTTACAGAAACTGATTTCCACAAAAAGTACAAAATTTCCCCAGTATTGCACACTTCCCCCCACCCAATAACTGGTTTTTAATTCATGATTTTCCTTCATCACACAGTCATGGAATAAATATTCTTTTCCTTATAAATTAAGTGGATGTAGACTTTGATGTAAGATAACAATGAGGAGAATTATTAATAAAGACAAGATTAAGCTTAATCATTTGCCTTTGGATTTTTATCTTCCACTCTATATTAGTATTTCTAAGAAGAAGCAGATGAGGTCAAAAATATATTATGACTAACATTTACTTTACTTCAAAGGAAAAAGAATTCTTTGTTTCTGTGGAATTGTTGGGCCCCTGTTCAGCATCAATTTCATTCTAATGGGCACTCTTTTCCATCTTGCAAATTACATTTGAATTCCATATATTTTACTTTGATGCATTTCCAAAGGAAGATTCAAATTGTGTTTTTTCTTTTAAGTGTAATATTAAAATCCCATCCTATGCCACTCCTCTAGATGCCTTTTAAAATTTTTTAAAAATCATCAACTTTCTTCTATCTGTGGAGGTTTATTGGGGTAGGGGAGTTGGAACAAGATGAAGGGGCTGCGTTCATTAGAGAATTGTTCCAGGATGAAAAAGCTCCCAGGAATATATAATGTGCTTCAGAAGAATTAAGGAGGAAAAAGCAATGGTTGGAAGGAATCTGATCTTGTGGGTGGCAGACGCACAGGAGAGACTGCTCATGCATGACATGTTTCAGATCTTTTGACACAGTCATGCAAGCAACAGAAAGTTATATGGTTTTTAGTCTTCTAGATAGCAGTGAAATGAGAACGTGGGTGGATCCGGAAAAAAATGAACTTCTCCTTATTTTTTATTTAAATGACTTTTGAGCTAGTTCTAGACTGTGGAAGAGTTGGTAAACCACCCAGTTCATACACACTCATACCACCCTACTCCTCCACACTCACATCAAAGTTGTCCACAAACCTTCCCTAGCCAAATCATCATTCACTCAAATTGCATTGATGCAATTTGACTGATACATGTGGTCATCGTGTTTATGCCCAGGGAAGTTAGATGAAAGAACCCACTATTTGCCTCTAATGAGAAAGTCAGACAAGTAGATTTAAAATGACACACAGAGCCAGAAGTCCACTGACAGGAGCAGGAAGTTAGGAACCAGGCACCTAACCCAGCTGGGGATGAGTGTGCGGGGGCTAAGGAAACCTTCCTAGGAGAGGTAACAGCTGACTGGATTTTGAAGATGGACAGGAGTTGTTCAGGAAAAGGAAGGACATTTCTGGCATTCTCAGCTATGCAATTCCCAGATGTAAGACATGACATGGGAAAATTGTGTTTTGAAAAGAAAGTAGAGACAAACACAAAGAGTCTTGGAGGCTACAGTAATTTTGGACATCATTCTGAGGTTGATGGGAAGCAATAACTAGGATATTTAAGAAGGGAGTCATCTGATTTGCATTAACAGCATTAGTATAGTCTGTCATCTCCTCCCCAAATGACTCGAATCAGGGAAACCAACTAAAGCAATGACAGGGCTGGAGAAGTGAGTGTGAAGACAAAGAAACACACATGATTCAAGAGATATTTATAAGAAAGGGGTGTACCAAATGGGTTGGATGTGGGTAGTGAGACAGCTAAGGCAACCACATAGATGGTTGCACAATTCAGGGGTCAGGAATAGGGGGCTTCATAGAGGAGGAAGTAGGGTGGGGGACAATGGTGGGCACAGTTTAGATGAGATGAGTTCAATCAATGGAACTATCCCATGGGCAATTGGATCTGAAGCTTAGAAGACAAGAAGGGTAGAAAGAAATATTTGGGTGCCATCCAGGGGATAGGAGCAGTCACTGTTGGGGATGAGATGGTCAAGGAGAGATATGGAGCCCACAACATTTACAAGGGACCCTGAGAGAGAGAGAGACTGAGAAGGGCAGATGGGCAGAAATAAACCATGAAAGCTATGTAAAAGCCAAGGCGAGAAATGTGCTTTAGAAATAGAGTGATCTACCATAGAAAAGTAATGAGATCAATATGAAGAAAGGACTTGGCTTTTGTAAGCATGACATCCTTGCGGATCTTGGCAGAGCAGTTGTAGTGGAGTGGTCAGGGTAGAACCCAGACCTCAAAGACTGAAGACCAAATGGAGATGGGAAAGCAGAGAAAGGAACAGCAACTGGAATCTCAAGAGGCAAAAAGGCAAGTAGGAAGAAGGGACAGAAAAAAGGAGGAGATCCAGGCCAAGGCGGGGATGGAGTGAGGTAGAGAGAGAAATTTGAGGTTTTCTTTAAGAGGATACCATCTCCTTCTCTTTCCTGCCCACTGAGAACTCCAGCACTAATCTAATCCAATTCTCAGGTAAAAATAAATAAATAAATAAATAACAGTGTGCATTGTCCAGGAATCAATACACATGGAATGCTTACTGCATGTCAGAAGCTTTATGTATTTTTTTCCCTTTTGTCATCCCAGCAGCTCTACCCCATGGACATTTTTACATTGTCTCACTTTGAACTTCTGAGGATACTAAATCAGGAAGGTTCACTGATTTGCCCAAAGGCCCACTGTAGGTAACGGTGGAGTGGGAATTTGGTTCCAGGTCTTCCTGAATCTAAGGCACTGATGGTAGTGAGAGAGAAGGCCAGCCACTCTACAGCAATTTCACCACCTAGGGTCTGTTTCCTTATATGTGAAATGAAAGCACTGGGCTGGGAGGTCACAATGAGGTACTTGCTTACTCTCTTTGGTGCACCTTGCAGTCAAGACTCAAGAGTTCTACTGAAGAAGCAAACCATTTGGCAAACAAACCATGTGAAAATCCATCTATTTTATTTTGCCACTCTGGCTTCCATCTACATACCTGAGCACACAACTCTATTATTTTCAAACTCTAATTTACGTGTAGGAGGAATTGAGGTGGTTTTAGTACCGTAAGTGGCTAGCTCAGCATGCCGAAGGCCCATTACACTAAACACAAATGCCTTTGTTAGGCAGTTTCAGAGGAGTTTTTCTGGGAAGGGTTTTGTTGTGTTTTGTTCTGTTTTTTGAAACAGGGTGGCACTCTGTCACCCAGGCTGGGGTGCAATACTGCAGCCTTGACCTCCTGGGCTCAAGTGATCCTCCCACCTAAGCCTCCAGTGTAGCTGGAACCACAGGTGTGCACCATGACGCCTGTGGCTAATTTTTTTATTTTTTGTAAAGATAGGGGGTGCGTGTGGGGGGATCTAACCATGTTGCCCAGGCTAGTCTCGAACTCCTGGGTTCAAGCAGTCCTCCCACCTCAGCCTCTCAAAGTGCTGCGATTATAGGCATGAGCCACCATGCCTGTCTGGGAATCTTTTTTCTTCACTTTATATCAGGTTTCTTAATATATATATTTAGATTTTAACTTTTCATGGATATGTGATATACATTTACAATAGTGAACACATCCTAAGCATTCAGCTTGAAAGATTTTCACAAGATGAACACACTGTTGTAACCAGCACTCAAATGGTTGACTCTTTTTGAAAATTATTTGTTCTTTGTTCCCACAGTTATAAAGCTTGCTTGGTAATTCAACTCTCTACCTCACAGTGAATTTAGAAGGGCTAGCTAATTATAGCTTTAAATGTAAAACACTTTGACAAACTTGAAGTAGGTAGAGAGCTGCTTAAATTGATTATAATGTCACATGGTTTCTACTTAAATTATTTCACCTGGGAGAATGTCAAACTGTCCTCATTAGCAGATCATGAAAGAAATGTGTTGGAAATTCACTTTAATGGAGACTTGCGAATTGGCGGCTCATTACCTGAAATATTCCTGTTTAAGTTCTCTGAGTCAGCCTCCTTCTCTTCCTATGCCTTTCTCTGTATTCTCTTTTCTATAGCAATGGGAAACTTTGCATTTGAAAATAATAGTGGTCCCTAAAACCTCCATGTATTATGAGTTGGTCATATATTGGCTGCCACTGATCTCCAGCCACAAGTCATAGATTTCAGGTGTTAATGATGTTTTATGCAAAGTCACATTCAGATTCTAACCATCTCCAAGCATGGACAACCTTTCAGAGTCCGATCTTCTTGTAGGTCATTTCTAGTCTGGAGGAGCATGGTTTGAAACAGCTAAAGTATCCTCTTCTCAGTGTAGAGGGAAGGAAACAGGAAAGCAACTGACATGTTTTGAGGACTCTATTTCCACTACCTTAATGGGCAATGGTGGGGACAGTGAAAGAGCCCTCTGTGACAATGATTCTGATGGTGAAATCTAGAGTCTCAGAGCAAACATCAAGAAGAAAAGTTCATTAAACTGTGCAATATTTTCATCCAAAAAAGTCAACAGCAAATCAGCCATTGTGGGAGAAAGATGTGAAGTGCTGGGGTTCAGAAAAATGATACCTGAGAACATTGCGCTTTGACATGCTGAGCTAAACAAGCAGCGCTAGCATCTCTCTGATTTTCCCACACCTCCTTGTTTATCTGATCCTCTTTCCAGAAGCACCAAGAGGCACTCTTTCTGGACATTTTCTTGTCTGACTAGGAAAAATTCTTTCCAAAACAAATGTCTTGTCTTAAGACCTTCTATGTAGAAATCTCATCAAATAACCAGGAAATATTAACCACTTGAGAAGAGAAGACTCTGGGAGTCATCACCATGCTCAGACAGACTTTTCTTCTAGTTTCCTGAGGGCAGCTCCCAGAGATTACCTAGGAGACTTTATGTAATAAGACAGCCTTTGTTCCTATGCATTCAGTCCCTCACCTTCCTATAACTTGTTCATCCCATCCAGCTTCCAAAGAGAAACATTTACAAAATAATGTCTGCCTCACATGTCCATATGACTCTGGCATGAAGAGAGTATTCGGGCATCAACCATCTGCCCCTCTTTGAGTCTAATGCTTTGTGTATGGCTCTTATGTTCATATGCACTTTTGTAAATTTTGTGTAACTTTCCCTTCTATGAATCTGCCTATTGTAAGTTCATTTTCAGTGAACCTTTGGAGTGAGGAAGGGAAGCTTTTCCTTGGTCCCTACGGATTTGAAGAAAAATAATGCTTCTTGTGGCACATAAAAAGGAGTCTCCTTAATATTATTTACTTACGCTGTTTGTGTCCAATAATTCCAACATGACTGGGAACTGCTGGAATGATTGGTTCCTGTATTAGTCCATTTTCATACTGCTATAAAGAACTACCTGAAACTGGGTAATTTATAAAGAAAAGAGGTTTAATTGACTGACAGTTTCACGGACTGAACAGGAAGCATGGCTAGGAGGCCTCAGGAAACTTACAACCATGGCAGAGGGCCTAGAGGAAGTGAGCACCTTCTTCACATGGCGGCAGGAGAGAGAGAAAGAGAGAGAGAAGGGGAAGGTGCTACACACTTTTAAACAACCAGATCTCAGGATAACTCACTCACTATCATGAAAACAGCAAGGGGGAAGTCAGGCCCCATGATTCAATCACCTCCCACCAGCCCACACATAGGGATTATAATTCAACATGAGATTTCAGTGGGGACACAGAGCCAAACCATATCAGTTCCCTTTCTGATAGTTATTTTGATAAATCTTTTTACATAATCTCTAGGAAATAAATTTTTCTTTTTTTTTTTCTTTTTTTTTGAGATGGAGTCTCCTCTGTCCCCCAGGCTGGAGTGCAGCGGCACGATCTCGGCTCACTGCCAGCTCCGCCTCCCAGGTTCATGCCATTCTCCTGCCTCAACCTTCTGAGTAGCTGGGACTACAGGCGCCTGCCACCACGCCCAGCTAATTTTTTTGTATTTTTAGTTGAGATGGGGTTTCATCGTGTTAGCCAGGCTGGTCTCGATCTCCTGACCTCATGATCTGCCAGCCTTGGCCTCCCAAAGTGCTGGGATTACAGTTGTGAGCCACCGAGCCTGGCAAGGAAATTAATTTTTCTTTACTTGCTACCTGCCTGGAAGATCTAGCACACAATCTAGATTTGTCTTCACTGTAGATAGATAGTTCCCATTCCCAAATTATGTGCCTCCAATCTTTCAAGCTTAGAGATTTACCAGGGGAGTGAAATTTAGCCCAGCTTTGGAAGTTACTAACTTTATTCTCTGTCTTGGAGCAAGCATCTATAGTTAGCAAATTCAGGGTCTATTGTTATTTTTGTTTTGCTTTGCTTTGCCTTTGGAACTGGCTTATGTACTATCTTGGATTCTTACATCACTTGTTATGAATATGTCTTATCTTCTCAAAGAGAATGATAGTTCCCTGAATGTAGAAAGTAAGTCTTATAATTCTTTCTATGCCCAAAGGGCCTTACGCAACATAGTGCTAAAAACTGTTTGTTAATTGGATGGTTGGTAAAGGGAGTAAAAAGCCTAATAGACCATATTAATATTTTTTACATTTAGGAATATGCTACCTGATTTTGAGGTTTTTCAAGCTGAAATTATTGTTGCAGACAATCAATGAATCAACATCCAATAGAGTATCAGAGGCAACAGCACCTTTCCTCTTACAATTCTAATGATAGCTTCAGATGAGGACCATAACCAATTCTGACCCACCCTGGAAGAGCTGAGGCTTTTTGCCCACAAGCAGCTAACAAAGACATCACAAATAAGCTGAATGCCTCCCTACAAAAACATTTTAGATTATATTCTTTCTCTCATTCACCTCGATCAATTTGTACAATCTCAAGAAATCATTTTACATATCTGACAATGAAAATTATTCTCTCAGCAAGTGTAACACCCCTCTTAAGCAATCCACGCAAGTGACATGAATAGAAGGAAATAAGAAAGGTACTTCTGAATGCATGTAAATGAGCAATGTAGGGGCTTCCTTGACCTTCTCAGAGAAGACAGTCTTTATAAATCCTGAAGAGTGGTATTATTAAGTATTTCAAATGCAAAATATGAATATATCTGTTTTGCTAATTAAGATGTCTGTTCAACCAACTACTTGGCATCTCATTTAAATAATTATCTAGTAGAGTATATTGCACTTCCATTTGGTATATTAAGAGTGTTCAGTCAGGAGAAACCCTAGCCTGCTTAGGAAAGTTTGTTAATTAAAAGATTTGAAGATTTAAATAGAGTACCTCCAGCTTTGGGAGAATCCTCAAAGTTAAGTCAGTAGAAGTTATAGCTCTTATTGTTCATCTGGAACTAACAATAAGCTCTGGCAGGCATTTGAACACATCCTCAGACAAATAGAAGTGGCTCCATTGAATAGGCCACTTTAGAATGCCACCTTTGCTATCCTCCCAGAGGTGGACTCTTCCTGCTTCTCCAGGTTTGCTCCTCTCCCCAAGGATCTTTTTCCATTACTGAATCTGAAAACAAAATCAAAAAAAGGTTTTTGGCCCCAGCTGTTCAGCTTATATAATAATGTCTTGCCCAGGTTTGAGGACAGCCTAATTTTCCAGTAAGAGATTAAGAGCCAACTTAATAAAAAGAAAAGAAGAAACTGGATGTCTGTGCTATAATTTGGTTTGAATATTTTGACAACAATCCAATAGCAGGAAATTCCTGAAGGATTTTCAAAGAGTTACCTGTTTTCAAGGTCTGCCATTGAAGGGTCTATGAATCCCCTTTAGCAAGTCTTTCATTCATTTTTATGATGAATGTTTTTTGGAAACTAAATTTAGTTTGGGGAAATAGTTTCAGGCTGGGCACAGTGGCTCATGCCTGTAATCCCAGCACTTTGGGAGGATGAGACAGGAGGATCACTTGAAGCCAGGAGCTTGAGACCATCCTGGGCAAGATAGCATGACCTTATCTCTACAGAATTTTAAAAAATAGGTGGGCATAGTGGCACACACCTGTAGTCTCAGCTACTGAAGAGGCTGAGGCAGAAGGATTGCTTAAGCCCAGGAAATGGAGGCTACAGTGAGCTATGATGGTGCCTCTACACTCTAGACTGGATGACAGAGCAAGACACTGTCTCTTAAAAAAAAAAAAAAAGAAGAAGAAGAAAGAAAGAAAGAAAAATTATTTCAAGAAATCAAAACATGTTTTCAGTGCACCAGAAGGAATTCATGCATTGAGTAAGCACTCACCAAATGCCTACTCACAAGGAATGCAGAGATGAACAACCCAAGCCCTGCTCCTTGGCAGCTCAGTCTAATGGGACCACAAGCACAGAAACATAAATAAAAATACAACACAGGATGCAAGTACTATGCCACGTGTTGAATAGACCCTTCTAGATAAGCTAGAGGAAATTGACTAGGCTCTTCAGAAAAACTGTTTAGAATACTTCTGTAAAACAGGCTGGGTGTGGTGGCTTATGCCTGTAATCCCAGCAGTTTGGGAGTCCGAGGCGGGAGGATCACTTGAGGTCAGGAGTTCAAGACCAGCCTGACCAACATGGTGAAACCTCATCTCCACTAAAAATACAAAAATTAGCTGAGTGTGGTGGTGTACATCTGTAGTCCCAGCTACTTGGGAGGCTGAGGCAGGAGAGTCGCTTGAACCTGGAAGGCAGAGGTTGCAGTGAGATCACACCACTGCACTGCAGCCTGGGCAACAGAGCGACACTCTGTCTATAAAAAAAAAAAAAAAAAAAAAAAAAGTTCTGTAATACGAACTATCTCTTTTATTAGAAGTTCACATTTTAAGCTTTAAAAAAAACAGCTGAGATGTACACATCATTCTAAAAAAGTAAAGCATGTGCTTCTGGCTTCCAGTCTTCATACAACTTCCTGCTGATATGACAGAGAACTTAGTAATTAGATTTGCTTCCTATATCAGCAATTAGGCAGTTGTCTTCTAAAGAAGACTTCTTTAACTTTTCTTATGGAACCATTAAACTTAAAAATCCTTCTGGACTGGGCGCTGTGGCTCATGCCTATAATCCCAGCACTTTCAGAGGCTGAGGCAGGTGGATCACTTGAAGTCAGGAGTTCGAGACCAGTCTCGCCAACATGGTGAAACCTCAGCTCTACTAAAAATATAACAATTAATTGGATGTGGTGGCACACACCTGTGATCCCAGCTACTCGGGAGGCTGAGGCAGGAGAACTGCTTGAACCTGGGAGGTGGAGGTTGCAGTGAGCCGAGATCACACCATTGCACTCCAGCCTGGGCAACAGAGCAAACTGGCAACAGAGCAGCCTGGGCTCCTTTACATTTGAGTCAGCAACCACATACTTTTTTCTCATTGTTTTATAATCCGAGGTTCTCTTGGGCATGACTTAGATTGTGTTGGCGCTGGGATGCACACTTTATAACACTGGTGCCCCTGAAAGCATCTTAGACATCATCGGAGTTACTGACTCCCAGCAAACTCTTATGCTATCCTTCATAAGACCCCCTTGCTTTCTCCTCATTCACCCTCTTCTAGGACTTCTTCCCACACTCATTTGATTCACTTTCTTGCCATCTCTTTTTTCTTATCTTTTTTTTTCTCTTTAGGTATTGCCTAACTCTGTTAAGATAGCGCAGCACTAACTTAGTACCCTCTAACGGCTCTGTTAAGACCCACATTCCTCCAAACTTGGATGAGGTTGACGAGTTTCCCAGGATGTCTTCTGCTGCGGGGCCCTGTTAGGGAGACTGCTGGCCTCCAGTGGGTTCAATCTAATCATTTCCTATTTATTAGTTATATTGATTACCACCCCCAGAGGAGTGACAGAAATCCTGGCACAGATATTAACTCCAAAATACAGAACAAATTTCATCTGCCAAAAGCTATTTCAAACACTGTTCAAAAGATTAAAGAAAGGCCAGGACAGCTTCACCCTTCATTTTTTGTCTGACCTATTTCTACCTTCCCTGTCTGAATTGTTAACAATGTTCTGTATTATTTTTCAAGACAGGCATCCTAGCCAAAAAAAAAAAAAAGTTTCTTTATGAACATTTTTATTGGATTGAGCCAGGGCAAGCCTCTTAAAACTTGCCTGTAGGGAGCTCCTGGGTGCCAGGGGTGCTGGTGAGAGCACTTCTGGCTGAGTGAATGTCCAAACACATGCACCAAGCCTTCCTGCTCCTCTGCATTTGTTTGTTTGTTTGTTTTGAGACAGAGTTTCGCTCTTGTAGCCCAGGCTGGAGTGCGATGGCGCTATCTTGTCTCACTGCAACCTCCGCCTCCTGAGTTCAAGCAATTCTCCTTCCTGAGCCTCCCAAGTAGCCGGGATTACAGGCACCCACCACACGCCCAGCTAGTTTTTTGTATTTTTAGTAGAGACGAGGGTTCACCATGTTGGCCAGGCTGGTCTTGAACTCCTGATCTCAGGTGATCCACCTGCCTCAGCCTCCCAAAGTGCTGGGATTACAGACATGAGCCACTGCACCCGGCCCTCCTCCACCTTTTATGCAGACTCTACCCAGCCCATTTCTTACCCAGTAGATCTAATTTATAGCATTTGATTTTCTAAGAATGGCACTATAGACAATTCAGACTTATCTATCAAGCCATCTTCAAGGGAGCTGTAGTTGCCAGTTGAAAGAGAAAACTATGGTTAGTCTGATTTCATGACTTTGATTTCTTTTGTCAAGCAGTCAACCAATATTTATTGAGCACTGGACCAAATTCCAGGTGCAGTGTTGGGCACCAGGGAGTACTGGAGCAGATAAGATAGCAGGAATGCCTGCCTTTGTGAGGTGTACTGTCAGGCCTCTGCCTCCCTTTCTACAATCATCTCTCCATATGGGTGTGGAATTAAAGAGGACAGTATTTGCTCAAAGTCATTCATCAAATGAAAAAGGCAGTGCTATCCTATGATTACAGCAGTGCTCTGGAGGGCTTAGGTAATATTAAGCAAAGTGAATTTCCCTTTATACCACTGCAATGACAGTAAGTGCCTATGGAAATGGCCGCTTACCAAGTCAGTAATAACGTTTATAAAATACGTTGCAGATTTTGGAAGACAGCCACTAGGTGAATTGCAAAATGTAAAACTTTTCTCTATTTGCCTACCCAATTCATCTGAAAATTGAATGCTACTCCTTAAGGAAAAACAGAAACTAGCCATTTGAACTGGGTTGCTTATTATGGACTGCTTTACGAGTGTAGCAGTTATTGACAAAAAAGCATAGTCGCCCTCCAGAGAGCCAGCAATCAGCGTGGATGCACTCTACATACAGGCAGGGCTTTTGAATTCCAGTTATGACCTGTGTTAACTCTCACTAATCCAAGGCAGGGATGCTATACAGCAGAGATTCACAACTGGTCATGTTCTATTAAATTATACAATAGATTAGCATTCTAGTCACACCATAATTGTATGAAAAGCCAGCCCCAAGACCAACAGCACCCCACATTCATTAAGAAGTCTTTGATACAAGGAAACACACACACACACACACACACACACACAGAGAGAGACAGACAGACAGACACAGTCTACATGAAGCCGAGTAACCAAACAAAAATCAACAAATTTGGTCTACTGCCCAGATATCTTGAAAGTTGATGCTCTGCATCAAGTCCCCAAAACATCAAGTTGAATGGGTTTTTACATTTTTTCCAACTAGGCTTTTTGGCATCAAATGATTGAAATTAAACTTTCTTCCATCACACCAAAAGAGAGCATTGATTCAGAGGCAGGAATGGATCCAACACATTTGGAATAATATCACATGGAGGGAAAAAAACCAATGGCATGCTTTTTTCTAATAAGTAATTGTTCTTTCCGTGGCAACAAGTTTATTTTATGGATTTTTTCAGAACGTATCACAGAGGTTAATCCATTGTCACATTCTTGGAAGCTTTGAAAATCTACCAAAGCTTACATTTAGTTTACATTTAGTTTACATTAAAGGAGGGGTTTGAAAAAATGATGGTTTCTCTCCTTTAGCTTTCATGGTCTCAAATCTTTTCTATGACGAGATAAAAGGAATAGATGACAAATACACATGCCTTCGGTGCCTTTTTTGAACATATCTATTATATTCAATTGACTCTCTGTTGGCATAAACCATGAACTCATCCTTTTTTTTTTCTTTTTTAAGGCTAGTCAAGTGAAGTAGTGGGAATGGAGAAGGAGCAAAGAAATCTGTAACTGGTTGTGATTAATTAGTTGCAAACACCACTGCATTCAGGCCACCCCATGAACTATTTCTTATTTGAGTTATA
Organism: Homo sapiens; assembly: GCF_000001405.40. NCBI lineage: Eukaryota > Metazoa > Chordata > Mammalia > Primates > Hominidae > Homo > Homo sapiens. The sequence continues at coordinate 136,934,737 of NC_000006.12, read as the reverse complement.
ATGTAGGATATTGTACTCATCAAAACTATCAACTATTAATAAAATCAATGAAAACATTAAATGAGCAGCTTACCCTCATATACAGTACTGTGCCTTCCACAGTTCAGTAAATTAAAAGCAAACTAATGTGGAGGGTACTGGGAGTGTGGAATCTGGGACATGACTGGTTACAAGCTGAGGGCTGGTCAGGATGAGGGAGGAAGAAGAAGAAATAGGGCAGGTAGAAGCCATCAATTACTGTCTCTTTGTCTTTCTCATGAGAGGCGAGGTGACAGTGGATTAGTTAGAATACGGGCCACACAGTTGAACTAAAAAGAACCCTACATATAAAAGCTCAACAGACAAAAGTGTATTTTCTCTCCTAATAGTCTGAAAGCAGGGATGGGGGTAGAATGGTAGAAAGCCTTGCTCAAAGGATGATCAGGGCCCCAGTTTCTTTCTGTCTATGCTCTGATGTCCGCTGGAGCATTGTCATGGCTGGGCCATTGCCACAGCCACGGTTGGGCTGTGGGACTGGAAAGAAAGGAAGGAAAGGACAAGCAGGTATCTTTTTTTTTTAAGTGGCTTTATTAAGATATAAATCCCATACCATACAATTCATCCATTTAAAGTGTACAAGTCAACAGATTTTAGTATTACATTATTAATATTTTTAACTGTGGTAAAATATATGTAACACAAATTTTGTCATTTTAACCATTTTTAAGTGTACAATTCAGTGGCAGTAATTACATCTACAATGCTGTACAACCATCACTACTACCTATTTCCAAAACTTTTCATCAACGAGCAGTTTTAAACAAGTGATACGGATGTTGTCCATGTTCCTTCCCTTCCGCTTCCCATTGCTGCTTGTACCTGAATAAATCTGGAGTTCTGAGTGCAAGGAAGAATTGGTGGGTGGAGGGTTGGGGGCGGTGACAAATGGGCAGACAACCAACTTTGCATTGGTTGTAACATTTTCCAGGGTAAGTCTCCACTCAGCATATGAGTTTTGCATAGTGGGACGGAAAAGGGGTGATGTTTTAATAACAATGACTTTTCCACATTCTGGGAAGTGACAAAGAATTATGTTGGAGAGTGTCTGTTCTTTAGTTTTAGAGAACACTGTTTAGCCTTTCTGGTTTCTTCTTGAGAAGATGAAGAACTGGGTCCTTGAGTCTAGAGTAAGAGTAATTATGAAAAAAGAATCTGTTCTGATTTACAGAGGGCCCAGTCACACAGCAGCAGGAAGGGCCCAAGGAGGGAGGACCGAGAAACTCCAAGCAGGGACTTCTGACATTAGCTTTCACGTTTTCCTTTTCTACATTGAGATGCCCTTATAGTAGGTGGCATCAAGCGTTCAGTAAATCTTGTCAACTGCATCCCAATGCCAGCTTTGTTCTGCAATGCTTTGGGTAAAAACAGGAGTGCAGGAGTAGGTTAAGAAAAACAGGCTGCAAAAACAATTTAGGATACCAAGAAATGATCAGTCCATATAGGCAGATCCATGGAGACAGAAAGTAAATAGTAATTGCTGGGGGCTGGAGGATTGGGAAGAAATGGGTAGTGACTTCCAATGGGTGTAGGGTTTTTTATTTTTTGAGGTGAAGGAAATGTTCTAAAATTAGACAGTAATGATGATTGCACAACTCTGTAAATATACTAAAGATCACTAGTTGTACGCTTAAATCAGGCAAATTTTATGGTATCTAAATTATATTTCAATGAGTTTTTTTTTTTTTTAATTTTTAAAAATAGAGACAAGGTATCATTATGTTGCCCAGCCTGGTCTCAAACTCCTGGGCGCAAGTGATCCTCCCACCTCAGCCTCCCAAAGTGCTGGGATTACAGGTGTAGCCACCATGCCCAGCCTCAATGAAGCTGTTTTTTTAACAAAGTGATCATTAGCACAACAGCCTGGAGCAGGAAGTAACCAGCAGCTCTGAGCTATGCTGCTAAGATAGGGCAGTGGTGCTCAAGGACGCCTTTGAAATGCTAGTGCAGGTCTGTGCTTTCCAAGGTTATGTAAGGTGAAGGAATAGGTTATATTATTTGAATATTAAAGGAGATATTGACCCCAAAGTTTGGATAGCTTGGGGCTATTGGTTATAATAACAATTGAGACCTTTCTCTACTCTGCTGTTTATGGTCCCTCAACTGCTTTCTTGGTTCCTAAGCTCTCACAAACAGAAAACTACACACACACACACACACACCACACGTTGCTTCTAATAGCGTTGTATCCTCTTCCCTTCTGAGGACAGCAGAAAGGAGTGAATGCTAGAGCCAGGGTCCTCATGGAGCTGCACAACTAACAAGCCCTGGAACTCCCTACTGCCACTTCCACCTCCAGCTTTACCATATCAGACTGAATGCTTCTCACTGAGAGGCAGAATGGCACGGTGGGGAAACATGGGCCCTGAAGCCAGACTACCAGGGTTCACGTCAAATCCCAGACCTCCAAGTTACTAGCTATAACACCTAGGGCAAGTTATGTAGCCCCTCCATACTTCAGTTTACCCCTTGAATGATTGGGCTAATATTCATACCAACATATAGCAGTGTTGTGAGAATAAAATGAATTTGTAAATATAAAACATTTAGAACTGAACCTAGCAAATAGCAGGCATACTAATAATAAGCACTGGGTATTACTGGTATTATTATATTATTTATAGTAGTATGCAATTTATAATATTCTGCAATCTCCAGTGAATTTGTGAAGCATAAACGTAGGAATCAGTTGACTTTTGCAAATTGAAGAGGAAGAGAGTAGGTAAACTCATGGGTTATTTAGGACTATGGGTGGTACATGCTAGACAGTGATTTGCAAGAGACCAAAGAGGCCTATCTAGTCCCTAGTTGGGCGCAAGGGACAACAGGGAGCCAGCTTGTGCTGCTTCGCTCACATCCCTGGAGAAAATCAGAACCAAAAACAAACAAACAATAACTCTCTTTTGGTCCTCTACCCAACCCTGTTTGATAAGAGCCATTAATTTATGTTTGTGTCACTTGGGACTCTTTGGGTTGCAAGTATCAGGAGTCCCAAATCAAACTGGCTTAAGCAATTAACAACAACAACAAAGACTTTGTTTTATGTAACTGACAATCTGAGGAAAAGTGCAAACTCAGGGTGAAAGTCAGCTTAATACCAGGGCCAATTAAGATCACTAAGACTCAGTCTCCCCAGAAACCCACACTCCACCCCATTCACCTTTCTGTGTTGTTTCCTTCCTGTTACATCTTTTCCTTGTGGCAAGATGGCAACAGCACCTCTGCTTCACCCTACTCCATTCTCCTATGTACAAATCCAGTGAGAAAAAAAAATGCAACCTAATTAAGTCTTGCTGAAAGCATCCTTGCACCTCACTGGCTCTGACCAGGTCCCATGACTGTCACTGAACTAACCTTGGTAGCCAAGTGGAGGACTTACTTTGGATTGGCTGGAATCTCATTCTGAGGGTGCAGGGATGGAGTCAACACCATATGAACCACCTGAGCTCAGAGTGGGAAGGGGATGGTTTCCCAGGAGGGATTTGGGATTCTATTTTACGGGTCGTGTGTCCTGGTATTCTGTTATACTCTGCTCTGCTCACAGGCTCTCTTCCAAACCCTACTGTTTTATCTTAGAAGCAGGACAAAGCTGACAGGGAGAGAAATATTTCAGAATTAGAAGTACCTGTGTTGTATGTAAGGAGGAGGGGACATAGCCAGGGAGAGGATACCGTTTCAGTAGATGCTGTGATGAAGTCCATCCTGGCAGATCTAACATGGTTTCTAGAGACTAAGGCAACAGATGAGTCAGGCTAGCAGTCATCACTGGGAAATTAACATGAAAAGTACAAGAGTCAGAGAAGGTGGTTGAAACATGGTAAAAGAAAATCCAGAAGTGGAAGAGACTTGTGTTATGCAGAAGTGAAGCACTCCAAGAAGGAGAAGGGGTAATTGATACTAATTACAGCTGTCGTGGCATGCCAATCTTAATATGCATGGACTCTTGCTCACAATGCACTTGGATTTGAATGTTACCCACATGCATATGTCACCATGGCTGAATGCGGAAGTGGCCAACACTCAACATGCAGTATGGAAAGGCGGGAGTTACAAGAACGGCCAGTAGATTTGGGCACTTTTGTTTTCTCTTGGGAGCTTCCTTAGGAATGTCTAGGTTCCCTTCACAACTTCTGTTTTTAGAGAAATTGAGCAGACTTTTCAAAAGTCTTCATCCAGGACTTCTGGTTACATCTCCAATATATGAAGAACTTAGAAGTGGTTACTTCCATCCTTACAATAAGAAAAAAGATGAACAAAAACTGAAAATCAATGACATTTCTTGGACCAATCAGAGAACTGAGGTCCAATTGCCACCCCTAAACCTGGAGAGAGGTAAATCCAGAAAGTTTATAGATGAGATCTCCTTATCTGGAGCAGAGGCCACTGGGGCCATTGGTCAAAACACTTAAATGGTAATTTTGATAAATTTCTGGAGGCTGAATATGGACTATCAAGAGAAGGAGAAATTCCTGGGGATCACGTTTTCATGGGCCTGACCTCCAGGAGCCCCACAGGTGGTAGAGAGCTGAGAAGGCACCCCTTACCCTTTTGATGGGGGAGGTGAGAGTAATCACTGTGATTACCAGAGCACTCCCCATGACAATACCGGGGCCAATTTTACTAAGACTCGGCTGGGCGCGGTGGCTCATGCCTGTAATCCCAGCACTTTGGGAGGCTGAAGCAGGTGGATCACCTGAGGTCAGGAGTTCGAGACCAGCCTGGCCAACATGGTGAAACCTCGTCTCTACTAAAAATACAAAAATTAGCTAGGCGTGGTGGCGGGCGGCTGTAATCCCAGCTACTCGGGAGCCTGTGGCAGGAGAATGGCTTGAACCCGGGAGGCGGAGGTTGCAGTGAGCTAAGATCACGCCACTGCACTCCAGCCCGGGTGACAGAGTGAGATTCCATCTCAAAAAAAAAAAAAAAAAAAAAAAAAAAAAAAGAAAGAAAGATTACTAAGACTCATGCTAGTGACTACCATGGTCAAAGGCTCACCAGAGCCTTATCCCACCTGGGGAAAGGGCATCTCTCCCATTCTAGGCTCCTCTAGCCTTCGTGTCTCATGTAAGGAGAGGGGGAAACAAGCCAGCAAACACTTGAGAAGGTCAGAGACTAGGGACACAGGCCCACTGAAAGGCTGAAGTTTAATAAGATTGCAGACCACTTCCCCTCCCCCAAACCTTACCACCACACCTGCAGTGGATTCCAGCTGAAAGAGTGGCAATGTGCCTAGCTCTAAGGAAGGAGGACTTCTCAGGGAAGCTCAAAGACAACAGGGAGACAAAAACAAGGACAGTAGAGGAAGTTAGCAGCCTCTGGCACCTACAGTCACAGCAAACATTCAACAGAACCTGACTTCTAGCCAGATTAGCATGAAAATTCACACTAGAGGCCTGTTTGCCTCAGTTTATATTTTCTAATACAGCATGTAACTGCCAGTAAAAAAACCTATAAGGCATGCTAAATAGGCGAGGAAAAAACACATCTGAAGAGACAAAGCAAGTGTCAGAACTAGATTCAGGTATAACACAGTTCTGGAATTATCAGACGGGGAATTTAAAATAACTGTGATTAATATGGTCAGGGCTCTAATGGAAAAAGCAGACACATCCAAGAGCAGATGGATAATTTAAACAGAGAGAAGAAAAACTAAGAATCAAAAGGAAATGCTAGAAGTTAACAAAGACACTGTGACAGAAATGAAGAATGCCTTTGATGGGCTCATCCAAAGACTGAACACAGCCAAAGAGAGAATCAGTGAGCTTGAACATCGGTCAATAGAAAGTTCCCCAACTGAAATGCAAAAAAGTTTTCAGTCAGTTAAGGACTTAAGAGTTTCACCCACTTTTGTCTTCGTGAAGTATTGCTGTTAGGTGCTTAGACCACTGTGTCCTCTGACAATGAGTGGTTGCTGTTGTAGGACTGCTGGTCTTACAAGAGTTCAGGTCAGTGCTCAGCTCTGCTCAGCAACCCCGGTAACATGCATGCATCCTCTCACCTACACAGTTCTGGCAGTCATTGCCTCATTGTTTCTTTATTATTTATTTATCTATTTATTTATTGAGACAGAGTCTCGCTCTGTCGCCCAGGCTGGAGTGCAGTGGCGCGATCTCGGCTCACTGCAAGCTCGACCTCCCAGGTTCATGCCATTCTCTTGCCTCAGCCTCCCGAGTAGCTGGGACTACAGGCGTCCGCCAACACGCCTGGCTAATTTTTTGTATTTTTAGTACAGACAGGGTTTCACCGTGTTAGCCAGGATGGTCTCGATCTCCTGACCTCATGATCCGCCCGTCTCGGCCTCCCAAAGTGCTGGGATTACAGGCGTGAGCCACCGCTCCTGGCCTATTTATTTATTTTTGAGATAAGGTCTTACTCTTGTCACCCAGTCTGGAGTGCAGTGGCATGATCATGGCTCACTGCAGCCTCAACTTTCCTGGGCTCAGGTGATCCCCCCACCTCAGCCTCTCAGGTAGATGGGATGATAAGCACACACCACTACACCTGGCTAATTTTTTTGTATTTTTTGTAGAGGCAGAGTTTCACCATATTGCTCAGGCTGGTCCTGAACTCCTGGGCTCAAGTGATCTGCCCGCCTCAGCCTCCTAAAGTGCTGGGATTACAAGTGTCAGCCACTGTGCCCGGCCTTTCCCCAGTGTTTCTGATTGATCTATTCCTCAATAATCGAAAGCTAGGCCCAGGCACAGTGGTTCATGCCTGTAATTCTAATGCTTTAGGAGGCTGAGGTGAGAGGATTGCTTGAGACCAGGAGTACGAGATCAGCCTGGGTAACATAGTGAGACCTTCATCTCTTTAAAAAAAATTTTTTTTAATTGCCCAGGCATGATGGCATGCAGCTATAGTCCCAGCTACTCGGGAGGCTGAGGTGGGAGGATCACTTGAGCCTAGGAGTTTGAAGCTGCAGTGAACTATGATTGCACCACTGAACTCCAGCCTGGGTGACAGAGCAAAACCTTGTCTCAGTAAAATAAAATAAGGCTAGACAGCATTTAGTGGGAGGGGGCCAGCAACAGGCCCAGCGTTGAGAATGTCTGTCTGACATCATGCTGTGTTTTAGAGACAGATTCTAGTTGGGAAGTGACAGGTGAGCATGAGGCTGGGCCTCAGCCATGAAGAATTGATATAGGAACAGGCTGTCGAAGCAGGGGCCCAGTTGGGCACTAGGTGGGGGTGTAATCTCAGAAACAAGGGAGAATCCAAGTTGTCAGAATGGGGTAGACTGACAAAGACTGGATCAGTCTAGCAACAATGGTGAGTGACTTCCAGTGGAGTCCCACCCATGCGAATATCCTGGAGCTCCTCAGAAGGCCCCTGCCTGCTTGATGCAAGGCCCTACCAGAGCCCTGACTCTGGTCAGGGTGGACCAGAGTCTTGGATTGCCTCCAGTACTACTGACAGTGGAAGAAGGATTACTTTTATGTGTCAACTTGGCTAGGCTGTGGTACCCAGCTGTTTGGTCAAATAGTAGTTTAGATGTTGCTGCAAAGACATTTGTAAGATGCGTCATCCAATTAGTTGAAGGCCTACAGACCAAAGAGCAAAGTTTCCAGAAGTAGCAACATCAATTCTGCCTCAAGACTGCAACATGGAAACCCTGCCTGAGTCTCCCACCTGCCAGCATGGCCTACAGACTTCAGACTGCCCCATCATTACCACTTACTTAAAATCTCACTCTCTTATGGGTTCTGTTTCTCTAGAGAAGTCAAATACAGCGTCTCTACAAGTTCATTGACAGGAAAGAGTTAATCCTTTTGCTATAAAGGTAAACTCACATTTTTAACCAAAGGACATTTTTTTTTTCAGTAAAAAACAATCATTCCACTTATCTGGCAGTGATAGCCACAAGAAATATATACTTCATCCAACTTTGCTGCTTTTCATTAATTCTCAGCTTTATATAGTTGCAACGCGATGTTGCCCTTTGGCATGTTAGCATTAAAATTAACACTTATTTTTGAAGAAGTCATCATAACCCTGGCAAACCATTTCTAACTGCAGTATGTGAGGTCTCCTGCATCTTAAATGGCTTGTGGAGGCACCTCTGGAAATAGTCAATTGCCTGTGGAAACCAGCAAACCAGGGCCAATCACAAACCACAATTACACTTGCTCAGCTGCTTGTGGAGCCAAACTGATGGAGCTGAAACTTCATTTTTGCTTCTGCTTTTTGCTTTGATTTGATTTTTAGAAAAGAAAGAAAAATATAAGATGCTACTATCTGAGAATCTCAGCAACATGCTGGCAGATCTCAGTGCCCCCTCACTCTCAAAGTATCTCTCCTGCCTAGAGCTCACAGAAGGCTTCCTCCTTGGTGGACATGACCATTTATTACTTCTCAGACTCCATGTTAACTGAAATCTGGTGTGGATGGCTTTCGTACCTCAGTGCGATGGAGTGTTTTATCATTTTCTGTTTATTTGTTTGTCCTGTTACCAGGCTGTAGAGCAATGGCGCGATCTCGGCTCACTGCAACCTCCACCTCCCAGGTTCAAGTGATTCTCCTGCCTCAGCCTCCCGAGTAGCTGGGACTACAGGCGCGTGCCACCATGCCCTGTTTGTTTGTTTTTGAGACGGGGTCTCGCTCTGTTGCCCAGGCTGTAGTGTAGTGACACAATCAGAACTCACTGCAGCCTTGACTTCCCCGGCTCAGGTGATCATCCTACCACAGCCTCCTGAGTAGCTGGGACTACAGGTGCACACCAAAATTCTTGGCTAATTTTTGGTATTTTTTGCAGAGATGGGGTTTTGCTACGTTGCTCAGGCTTGCTTGAACTCCTGAGCTCAAGTCATTTGCTTGCCTTGGCCTCCCAAAGTGCTGGGTTACAGGCATGAGCCATTGCACCACACCATTAACAGCTTCCTTCACTGGAAGATGCATTTCTGTTTTTGTTGTTATTTCAAACCAAACAGCTTTGTTAATTTAGGAAGTTTCCAATGGTGCGGCCCCTACACTCGGATACTATGACCACACATTGGAGGCAAACACAAACAACTATACAGCAACAATAGAACATGTGTCTAAAATAAATTTCTAACAATGTATCCTTTAATAGTTAGACTCATACTTTATTTTGACAAATTTAAGATAGAAAAATATCATAATGTGAATATAGCAGTTGCTCTTTTTGTAACATGGTTTGGGATGTGCAGTGAAACTTGAAAGGACTTGCTTTACAGGTGGTCCCTCTTCTGGCTGGGTTTCAGTTAATTCTGAATTATATTCCAGCCATTGCATTTGCTTGAAAGAATATTGGACACAGTAAAAAAAAGAACAGGTTTGGCATTCAATAATAAATATTATAAAGCAATGAACCAAAACAACTTTTAAAATAATTACTGAAAGCAAACTTCAGACTTCATGATTAAAGCTAAGAACTCATATTTTCAAAATAGCTTTAACAGTTTCTATCAATATATAATACAATAATAGGACACTTATTTTTAAAAAACAAGTGAGTAGAATCAGAGTAAATATGATATTTCAGATGACTATAAACAGTAAACATCAATTCAATATATTTATATATCATTTCAGCAATATACTCTTTGCCCAGCTGGCGATAAAAACTGTAGTTCTATCATCAAAAAATGCATCCCTGAATGTCATCTTTGAACTTACTAAGTGCTGTCATCATTTCTACACTCCATCTTTGGAGGGGGTGGCTTAGGGACTCTTGGTACATGCAGATATTTAGTTATGGTTATAATGACAAAAAGTAAATGTGCCAGGAGTCTGAAGCAGAAACGTTGCCTTACTTTGTTAAGTAGCTTCACATTCTTTTGTCTCTGTGATGCCTCAGGTGAAGTCACACTAAATAATTCACACAGGTGCTAATTTTGTTGCTCTGTGTCAGTACCTTTCAGCTTCTTTCTTTTCTTCCCTTCCCCACTCCTCAAAGAATAAAACGGGGAGGCCTCTCATTAAAACACGTCATTTCTAACATATAAAATAAGTGTATGCACATAGGTACGTACATGCACCTCCTTCTCAAGGACTGGGTAACTCCTCGTTTTCTATCAAATAATCCTTCTTCATATACCTGGTTCCCCTAACCAACCTCCATACCTCGAGGTAAGCATCTTTTAACGACCTCCTGCTCCCTTCTTCAGAGCTCCCAGCCACCAGCGGGACTCCTCGGGGGCTGCCCCTGACCTCTTGCCTGCTCTCCTGAGCGGGGCCACCTGCTGCCTCCCCACCTTCTGACCGGCCATTTCCTCCCTCCCCGGGCAGCTCCTCCATCACGAACGGCAGCTGGTCTCCACTTAGCTGCGCCTCCTCTCCCCGAGGCTGGGCCTCCAGGTCCTCGTAGTTGCTTTGCTTTCTGGTCTCCATGAACTTGGCCACACAGTAAATGATAGAGCCCAGGGTGTTCACCACCACGCCGGCAATGAACAGAGAGGTGGGCTCCACGTCGCTGAAGGCCACCATGCCCACCGTGATGGTGGCGATGCTCTTCACCACACCCACGAAGCTGGTGGTCACGGCCGAATTGATGTAGGTGCAGTGCAGCGTGGTGAAGTTCATGGCGCAGCCGATCAGGATGCAGGCCACGAAGATGCAGACCATGGCCGGGTCCTTCCAGCCCGGGAAGGTCCAGGCGTGGATGGAGTCGGTGCTGGCGAAGGAGCAGATGACCAGCAGCGGGGTGGCAGAGACGGCGATGACGTACTGCGCGGTGAGCGGCCCGTGCTCGGTGTCTGCGCTGGCCTTCTGGATGAGCACCAGGTAGGCAGCGTGCACCAGCACCGCCAGCACTCCCGTGACGTACCCGATGGGGTCGCCCGTCAGGTCGCCGGCTCCTGCGGCGCACGAGGAGGACGGCCGAGCCCGGGCGGGAAGGAAAAAGAGAGAAGACAGCAGGTTGGCGTGGGCGGGGACCCACGGGGAAAACGCGTCGGGTAGGAAAGGAGACTGGGTTCGCGCCCCAGCTCTGCCCACCGGATTCCTGAGTGACAGACGCCCGCCGTCCCTCGGCCACCCGTGTCAAATGCGACAGCCAAACTCAGTGCTCAGAGCGCCTTCCCGCCATATCCCCGGGTCACTCCATCTTCCTCTGTCCAAGACAAAGGCCCCGGAGAGCGCAGATGCCCTCGGGGCAGGTGCTGTGGCTTCCCCGAGCTGGCACCGAGGTCACTTGGGCGCGTGGTACCTGCACCCCGGAGCCCCTGCCCCGTGGGGCACCAAAGGGAGAGGGAGCCCCAGCCAGTGGCCTGCAACCCGGAGCGGGCCAGGCGCGGGGGAGAACGCCTGTTCTGGCCCCCAGTGAAGCTTCCCCCTGCCCAGGCTCTCGTCTCGCTCAGCACCTGGGTCGTCTGCCCCAGGGCCGCAGCCCCCTGCGCAGCACGAGACACCCCGCAGTAGCCCCGGGAACCCTCAGCTTCGCCCCCATCCCCCACCTCCATTCCAGCCCCTCGTGACCCAAGGAAGTTCACGGCCCCCTCCTTCCGGCTTGGTCCAGGCTTGGAGGACTCCAGCTCCCAGGCTCAGGCGGCCCTCCCACCTCTCCCGGAGAATGGGGTGACAGGGGAAGACCAGGAGAGGGGGCGACAGGAAGGGCGATGCCGGGTGAAGCATGGGCGAGGGTCGGAAGCCAGGACATTAGGGGGCAGGGGGACTTGGTGGGGCGCTGGGGAGCTCTCTGGGTCTCGGAAGTCCCTTTTGCGAGCTGAGCGACCACTCTCAAAGCTCTCCGGCTCTCTCTGCCTCAGTCTCCCCATCTGGAAGTGAGGTCGTTGAACTCAGTGATCCCCGCGGTCTCTGCCCGACGGAGCGGGGTGGGTGGGGTCGGCTGGGGGTCGGCGCGGGGGCCCGCTCACCTGCCAGGGCGGCGCCGCAGGTGGTGATGAGCACCGCCGCCAGCACCCCTGGCGAGGGCGCGCCGTTCTTGAGCACCAGGACGCCGATGAGCATGGTGACCAGGGGCAGGCAGCGCTTGAAGACCACGTACATGGGCAGGCTGAGGCCGCGCAGGGACCAGAGCGTGAGGCTGGACTGCAGCGTGGAGAGCACCGCGACCCCCGCGAAGGAGCGCGCCAGGCTCAGACCGAAGGGGGGCACGGCGATGAGCCCGAGGCGCCGCAGCAGCTCCAGGCTCAGCGCCGCGGTGGAGCTGGTCAGGCACTGCACCAGGGTCAGGAAGGAGAACTGGTAGCGGCTGATGAGGAACTTGAGCAAGATGTTGAGGGAGCCCGAGAAGACCCCGTGCGCGATGGCCACCGAGATGCCCAGCACGCGGCCCCGGCACAGCTGCCGCATCGCGCCGGCCTCGCCGCACCCAGCGGTGGCGGAGCTCCGCGACCTGCGCGCGAGGAGCCGGGAGCAGCGGAGTGAGGGCGGCGGGGGCGCCCGCCCAGCGCGGCGGCGAAGGGCAGGGGGCGCCGGCTCGGCTGCAGAGGGCAGCTCCGGCCAGGCGTTCTTGCGGTTAGGCAGCTCTGCGTCCGACTGCCCCGCAGCTCCGGGGAGGCAGTGACGAGGGCGGGGGACTCCGAAAAGTGGCAGAGGTGGCGGGGGGGCCGGTCTGAGAGGAGTGGCGGGAATCCTAGCGACAGCTATTTGTAAGTGGGTGATGAGCCGCGGTGGGTTGTGTCCCGCGCGGTTTCACCGTCAGGGAAGACGCTCTGCGGAGGGAAGCGGGCGGCTGGGCGCCCCGGGGCGGCTGCCGCAGGGCGGGACGGGGGCTCTTGGGGCGCGGCGCCCCTCTCCCCCCACAGAGCCAGCGGCTCTCGCTTGCCCCTTCCTCCTGGCCGAGGGGCTTGGGTTGGAGGGATCGGGACACAGCTAAAGATTTTAGAAACAGCGCATCAGGATCGAGCGCCGTTTATTGGTCGCAACAAGTGACGGCGCCCCCAGCCCCCTCGCCCCGGCGCTGCAGCGGCTTTTTCCACCCACTGTCCCTCCCGGTGCAGCGGCGGGACCTCGTCCAGCTGCCCGCCAGGGAAGCGAAAACCGTCGGTGCCGGCGGGCCCCCGAAGCTCCCGATCCCGGCGACGACGCCCGGGCATCGGAGGAGGAACCCGCGGCCCGGGGCGCTGTCCAGGGGGTGCCTCGGAGCCCGGAAGCTGGCTCCTTCCGGTGCCAGGCCACGCGCACCGCTCTCCGCACGCCTTCCAGAGAGGGTCCCGGGATTATGCGCGCGGCTCCGGGGAAGCTTTCAGGGGGTTCAGTGGTCTCGCCCAGCAGCGGGGCCTGGTGGCGGGGACACATTCGAACTGAGGCAAAGATGAAAATAAGCAAACGCGCAGAAACGAAGTCACTAACACGAGTAGCCACCACCAGGAACCGAGGAGCTCGGGGGCGACGCTTCCCGAAGCGTGGGAGGGGAGGCTGGCTGCGCTCGCAGAATGGGAGAGTAGAGGGGGAGGGGGCGGGAACCCGGGGCCCCTCACCCTGCAGGGAGACTCCGCGTGGCGTTCTCCGGATCCCAGGGAACTGATCCCAGGGAACCCTCACCCTGCGGGACCGTCGTGGGTTGCTTTCGGAAGCAGGACAACCGGCAGGCGGAGGGCGGGGAGAGTCACCACCTCCCTGGGCCAGGGTTCACACCTTTGCACCACAGGACTTGTGAACTGTGTGTTTCCTATATGACTAAGAGAAAAAGGGAATTCTAATTTTGGAGAGGGAGTAAGGCTTCGGTAACTCTTTGTTCTGAATTCAGTTCCCTGGAAAGTAACTCGCGCGGACCTGTAGTTAAATCAGCAGCAGCCAAGGGTTTCGCTCAGCCGAGGTAACCGTTAAGCGCCAGACAGTTTGGTTTTCAGGCGATTTGAAATTTGTGGCCTTGGCCAGGGTTTGGCTATAAGGGAAAGGTTCGAGATCGCTGCGCTCCAGCACCCCTTTCGTTCACCACCAGCAGTTTATTTCTCTTAGCCCCGGGAATCGTAACCTCCTAACCTTTTAGCGCTGCATCACGTTGCCTTAATAGACAGGATCCATTTCTCTCGTGGTTCTTCTGTTTTCTGCCTCTTACTTCCACCTCTGTGCTGAACGCGACACTTCAGCCAAAGTGCTGAAGTCGTGATTTACCGCAACAGAGGAAGAAAAAAAAATTACAGCAGGGATCAGCAGCATCACAGCAGCCCTTCATTTGGGCCAGCATTTGGGGCTCTGGATGCTCACTTTGGTGAGCTCTAGAGAGCTCGGGGTCAACCAGTCCACCAGCTTATGTGCCCGGTGCCTAGGAGGGCCACGTCCCTGCTCCCGACAGGTGGGCACTCAAAAAAAGTTTGTGAATGGCCCAGGGTGCCAACTTTCCAGGAATAGCTGGAAAGCATTATACTGAAACACGTGCTTCCGGTTCTCTGGGGAGCCCTTGGTTTTTGTTGCTAAAACTTGTGGTTACACACTATTGGCTGTTTAAGTGACTCTGTTTTTGTAGAGTTAATGTTATTTAGGAAATAATGAAGTCTGAAGCACCAGTTCAAATTATGTGTATGTGTGTGGTATAGTCAAAATATATTGATTCAAAACTCTGAAAATTAACTTTTTACAGATATCAGCAAATAACAGATTTCTGCTTCTAGAGACTATCCCAATAAAAGCATGGCTGCTTTAAGCCATCCTAAGTGCATATTATTAATATAAAGAAGTGGCTGCACAAACCTACTTTTGGAATGATTCATTTCTGCCCGCAATTATAATTGCATCCATTTGTGATACTAACATTAGGTAAAAGATTTGGGGCTGATTCAGCTATCTTACTCTTCTCATTTATGCAAGACAATTTAGCTTAATATTTGAAACCTACAGAGGCATAAAACCGCACATTTTCTCCACTTTGTTGCATGCAATTCTTTTGGAAAGAAAAAAACCTTAACCCCCATCTCCCACAAAACCAGATACTAGATGAGCTCCTTTTAAAAATTGTGAAAAATTAAGAATACCATGTTTAGCGAGGTTAAATGATCTAGATGAATAAAAATGTAGATCTAAAGGTTAAATAGCTATTTGACCTATTGGTATCAGGGTACCAAGGGTCTAGACTCAAGCACATCACCTTTGGAGCTACTTAATAAATATTAATGACATTAAATAAATCCTTTAGTTTATCCATTCATTCAACAAACATATAGTACAAGTATTTTGTGCTAAGTATTCTGTTAGCCACAGAGGACTTAAAGATGAACACAGCGCCTTCATCCTTAGCAACAGTGGGATTGTGTGGCAGAAAAGGGGGGAGCGCCAGGAGGGCAAGTACATCAGCTTGACAGCAGTAGCAGACAAAGCTTCCTGGAGAAGGAATTACAGTGTCTTTGAAAACTTACTTCATTATTTCTAATTATAAAAGTAACACAGGCTCATTGTGGTACATAAAAGAAAAACAAATTTATAATTAAGTAAACGCGCTCTCTTCAGTGTTCACCATCCCCAACCTTACTACACAGAGCTTGCTGTGTTCAGTGTGGAAACTTTCAGTCTTTTTTGTATGTATGTTTATACACACGCAAACTCCTCCTTTAAAAAAATAACAAAACTAGGATATCATATATATTTGTCTATAATTTCCTACTTTAAAAAGCGTATTATGGTAATTAGCCTTCTAGATAGTCTCCAGTGATACCCGCTTCCTGGTATTCACACCCTTATGTTAACTCCTCCCACGCTGTACCAGGGTTGGTCTGTGTAGCTAACAGAACCTGGCAGAAGTGATGACGGTCACTCCTGACTTTAGGTTATACTGAGACTTCCATCTTGTATGTCCTTTTTTCTCTTGTATCATTGAGTCTGGGGAAGCCGAATGCCACATTGTAGGGACATTCTGCCTATGGAAAATCCCATGTGGTTGAGTAATTGAGGCCTGATAACCATGTGAATAGCTGTGATGTCATGAGAAAACCTGAGCTCAAACAACTCAGTTGTTTCTGGATTCCTGACCATAGAAACTGTGAGATGATAAATGTGTGTTGTTTAAAACTACTAAGTTTTGGAGTGATTTTTTACATAGAAATAGCATATTTTTTCAAATGACTTATTCTTTTCAATAACTGTTCTACAGTATAACCTTTCTGTTGACAGGCATTTGGGTTTTAGCAAACGATGTAATGAATACCCTTGGACATAGCCATACTTCTACAGGTATTTTGGGAAAGGGGGAGAGAGGGAATCCTAGAAGTGGAATTGCTGGGTCAAAGGGTAATTTAAAATTTTGGCCGGGTACGGTGGCTCATGCCTGTAATCCCAGCACTTTAGGAGGCCAAGCCAGGTAGATCACTTGAGGTCAGGAGTTCAAGACCAGCCTGATCAACATGGTGAAACCCTGTCTCTACTAAAAATACAAAAATTAGCCAGGTATGGTGGCACGTGCCTGTAATCTCAACTGCTCTGGAGGCTGAGGCAGCAGAATCACTGAAACCGGGAGGTGGAGGTTGCTGTGAGCCGAGATCATGCGGCTGCACTCCAGCCTGGGTAAAAGAGTGAGACTCCATCTCAAAAATAATAACATAAAATAAAATAAAATAAAATCTTGATTTGTTACCAAATTGCCTTCTAACAAAGCATATAACAGTATTCTCACTTTAACCAATACTAGATATTATCAATATTTTTAATGTTTGCCAAACTGACAAGCAAAAATAAAAAGGGATCTCATTTTTAATTTGCATTTATCATTGAGACAGTCTGACTGAAACTTTTTGAAATGTAGTAAACATTTGTCTCTCCACTTCTGTGAATTATTTATTGATATCCTTGTCCAATTTTTGTCTGGTTGTCTTCTTAGTGATTTTTTTTTTTTTTTTGAGACGGAATTTCGCTCTTGTTGCCCAGGCTGGAGTGCAATGTCTCGATCTCAGCTCACTGCAACCTCTGCCTCCAGAGTTCAAGCGATTCTCCTGTCTAGGCCTCCTGAGTAGCTGGGACTACAGGCGTGCACCACCACCTTCAGCTAATTTTTTATATTTTTAGTAGAGACGGGGTTTCACCATGTTGGCCAGGCTGGTCTCGGAGTCCTAAATTCAGGTGATCCACCTGCCTCGGCCTCCCAAAGTGCTGGGATCACAGGCGTGAGCCACCATGCGCAGCCTTCTTAGTGATTTTTAAGAGCCCTTTGTAAAGTTTGGCTATTAACCACCCATTCTATATAAGTTGCCAGTATATCCTTTTGTTATGTCCTCTTTTAGCTTTGCTAGTGATGTGTTTTGCAATTTTAATTTTTGTATGTTGTCAATCTTATTCTTTAGTTATTTAATGGGATTTTTATTTATTTTTATTTATTATTATTATTTCTTGAGATGGAGTTTCCCTCTTGTTACCCAGGATGGAGTGCAATGGTGCAATCTCAGCTCACTGCAGCCTCCGCCTCCTGGGTTAAAGCAATTCTCCTGCCTCAGCCTCCCAAGTAGCTGGAATTACAAGCACTCGCCACCATGCCTGGCTAATATTTTGTAGTTTTAGTAGTGACGGGGTTTCACCATGTTGGCCAGGCTGGCCTCAGGTGATCCACCCACCTTGGCCTCCTAAAGCGCTGGGATTATAGGCTTGAGCCACCACGCCCAGCCTAATGTGACTTTTAAATTATGGGTAAGAACTTACCAAGCCAAGAGCAGGGCAGTCCAGGCACATGGACCAGCTGAAAACTTGCATCACTTACATGAAGAATTTGTGAGCACACTGGTTTTGTGTGAAGAGAAGCGGTGCTGCAGACAGAGGCAAGGGCTATCCCCAGAGGACCCTGGCTGCTTGGTTAGTAAGCTTGAATTTTTCCCCATAGGTAATCCTATAAGCAGAGAAAGGTTTTATACTGAAATTGATGTAATCAGATTGCATTTGA
Organism: Homo sapiens; assembly: GCF_000001405.40. NCBI lineage: Eukaryota > Metazoa > Chordata > Mammalia > Primates > Hominidae > Homo > Homo sapiens. The sequence goes on along the minus strand of NC_000006.12, from coordinate 136,916,919 downwards.
GATCCGTCTCCGGCAGCTGTGTTGAGGAGGATGGCTCTGAGGACACAGAACTGGAAACAGACACACCATTTAGGAAGCTGCTGCAATTGTCCAGAGAAAAGCTAATGATGGCTTGAACTGGGGCAATGGTGGTTGGATTGAGGGGAAGAGATATAAGGGAGCAGTGATGAGGGGGTAAAAAGGATCTCATTTGATGTGTGTGGAGAAGTGGGAATAAGGGAAGGACCAAGGATGGTGTTTAGGTCTTTAGCTTGACCCAAATGGATCTTTTGTTAACAGCTTGACTTTTGACAACAAATGAAAAGGCATGTGTAGGAGTAAAAGCTGGGTTAGTAGGCAAGTGAGTTTGGTTGGAACAAAATGAATGCAAAGGCTTGTGGGAAACCCAGGTGGGGAAGGTAGGTGTACAGATTTGAGAATATTATTAACATGAAAGTAAAAAACAATTAAGTGGATCAGCATATACAAGGAAAAGCCTGTTAAGTAAAAAATTCGAGTTCATTTTTGGAAGAGCCAAATTATTGCTAAGATACACAGTTAAGAAGTGCCAAAGGCAGAAAGGATAGCTGACTCTCAGCCTGGATCTCCCTGGGTGTGATGGACCTTGGTAGGGTCACTCCAGACTAAGGTTCAGCTTAGCTCTTGAGACTTGGAAACTCAATTCTGTCAGTTCTCTCAGGAATAATCAGGTACAGCCAGAGAGTTCTACATCTTAACTATTTCTCAGTGTGCTAATTTCTGTTATTCCTAAGAAAAGGAGGCTATGTGGCAGGACCATGGGTTTGGATTCAATCATTCCAGATTTCAAATTCGTTTCATTATTTTTTCGCTATTATGACTCCTGAGAACGTTGGCTTCCTTGTCCTGAAAATAAGGAGGGCTACCTTGCAGGGATGTTATAGAGATTAAAAGTGATAACATATATAAAGCATCTTACACGGTGCCCTGACCACAATCAGTAACTGAGTTCCCTGCAGGTGTAGGAGGAGCTTGTGGGGAGGCAGACAAGATGAAAGCTAAGAGCTCAGCAGCCAGGAGACAAATGCTGATTTCCCAACCCGGAAAGAATGACTGGTCATCCTCTGAAGTCCAAATGCTGCTTAGCTTGTGAGCTACCAAGGATTCAAAAATCTTGCACATTGTCTTTCAGGAGAGAATCCAGGTCTGCTCCTCAGAGTTTTCCAATTCTAGTTCCAGGGAACCAACTGGATAAGCATTCACCCACTCTCATATTGATAGACTCCAAGAACCTGAGTTATATATTATGAAGCCAATGATCTGAATATCTCTAACATCCCTGGAATAGAGGGAAAAGAATAAATCAAGGGAGAGGTTAGTTTTTAAATTACAAGTCTTTGTTTCGAAAGATACGTGATAGAACGTTTTGTTAATAAAAATCTCTTGCATTCTAGAAGGAAAGGAAATAATTTCATTTCATTGTAAATATTATCTGGGTTAGATATTTTCTGAGACAAGGTCTGTCACCTAGGCTGGAATGCCTTAGTCTGGGTCACTGCAGCCTCAACTTCCCAGGATCAAGCAATCCTCCTGCCTTAGCCTCCTGAGTATCTGGGACTACAGGCACACGTCACCATGCCTGACTACTTTGGGTTGGATACTTTTAGGGCCTATCACAAATTCTGCTGATACAGAGAACACCCATTGTAGACCCACTTTTACTGACCACACCTTGGTGTAATGCCATTAGTTCATATAGAGGCAAGCAGCAAGAAAAAAGGCTGTCAAACTCATCAGTGTGACAACTCTAAGGATGTGGTTAAGCACCATGTTCCCTGCAGTATACTTAGGTTAAGCAGTGTCCTCTTTATGGGTCCTCTCAAAAGCAATCTGTATTGCTGATTTAAGAACCAAAAAAAAGTGGGCACTGTGGCATGTACCCATAGTCCCAGGTAATTGGGAGCCTGAGGTGGAAGGAGGGCTTCAGCCTAGGAGTTCAAGACCAGTTTTGGGCAACATAGTGAGGCCCCATGCTGAGCCCCTTCTGTTGCCTGTGCCAGGCAGGGTGGTAGGGCCAAGCCTGGCACAAGGACAGAGTCTGCCCTCTAGGCCATAGGCACTGAACTGTGTAACTGTTCAGATTTCCTATTTATGAAGCTAGAAACCTTAGCGGCAAATCTTTGGCCCAGTCAGTAGTAACTTTACAGGACTTTGAGGTATGTATACTCAAGCCCCACTCTTGCCTCCACTTTCTGTCTTTGGTTCCACTTCTTAATTTATGCTGTTGTTTTGTTTTTATATCTTAAGCTGTCTTAAATTTTTTCTGCAACAAGTAAACAAGGAAATCTATAAAGAAGACAATATACATATATTTTAGTTTATTTTTGCTCTGATTATTATGAGCGTATTTTGTTCTTTAAAAAGAACTTAAGAATTATAATCTTTGCTATTTATAGCATATCTTAATATTATGTAGAAAATATAAGTGTTATGCAAAGTAGTTTGTTTTGCTGATTTTTCCTCTTTAACCAACTTTTTTTGTTTTTTTCAGTTCATCTGCACCTAGAGCTTTTTCAAGAAAACTTAGGGAGGTGGCAAGGAGCACGTATAGCTGTACTTAGGCCTGGTTTCAAGGGCAAAAGCTAGAAGCCTTAGTAGGACCTAAAACTTTTTGTTTAATTGACAGTTTAAAAAAATTTTGATATTAGAGAAGTGGGAAGACAAAATTATAGAGTCATGGGTACAATATCTAAAAATGTGTGAATAAATTCTAAGAAAAAAAAAAAAGTAAGCTCTTAGCTCACAGCATTCCATGTTCTTAAAAACATGGCACCAGTCCTTGACAGAATCTCATTGAGTCTATGTGTCAAGCACTGAGTAGATGCTCAATAAACAGCTACTAAATAAAAGAATAAATTAAATATATTCTAGTGTCCTGTTACTGAACCACAGATATATCTATATTATATATAGTACTATATTCACATATACAATGTATTAGAAAGAGCAGTCTTTTGGGGGAAGTTATAAAATGATAAATGATCAATAGATAGTTTATTTATCACAGCAGTGATTATATTTTACATCAAAAATGACAAATTAAAAATGAAATATATCACTATCTATATAAGTATAACCTACTGATCTCCCATATTTTAATCCATTTTATGACCCAGAGACATTTTAATAGATACTACAAGATATATCATAACATTAATTATTTCTTAGAATTTTAAATATGGCTTATGTATCAGGCTTAACGAGTCAGCTAAAGTCTTTATCAGCTCCCTCAAAACTGATTCCAGGGTAAATTGGAAAGATTTGAAATCTGAATAGCATATAAAAGCATAATGTCTATGTTTTCCATAGTTAATTTATTTGCTGTTAGGCAGTTCTTCAGCCAACATCCTCTGTTTCTGACCAAAGTAGTGTATCTCAAGCAGGAATAGTAAGACAAGCAGGGTCATAGATCTTTATTGTTTCATCCCAAGAACAGTCAGCCACCTAGAAAACAAAAATGAAGTAAGAAGAAACGTATTTAGACATACAAAAATTCAAAATTGACAGCAAAAACTCAAGTCATTTAGAGTGTCGTAAATCATCCACTAGTAAACATATTTTTGAATAGGGAAAACATAGGGCTACGTTTTTGATAAAAGGTCCATATTCCCTTTTTAGGATATACCTCAGGGTATTCCAACTGATTCCCATTGATTGAGTATATTCCAATTGGTATATTTCAATTGACTGAGGTTTCCTATAAGAATGTCCCCCACCTTCACTTCACCCAACAGCTACATAATTCCCTACTATCTGATATAAATGTCGAAAAGATACGTTCCAGACTGTGAACAAGATGCTGTGCTCAATATTGTGGGACTGGAGAGGAAGATAAAGTAAAGCTCTTGCCTTCAAAAAATGGCTCATTCAAGACTGAGTGTGGAAGGTGCACTAACAGAGACTCTTAGGGGGACTATATGATTCCAGCTGGGACAGTGTCAGACAACTTCACAATGCCATGGCATTCCCACTGGACCTCTGTAGGAGGCAGACATAAAAGACAAGGACATTCACATCTACAGAGCCATAGGAAAACATGAAGGGAAGAAAGTCCAGGGTGTTCAGGAACTATGCATTAAAAACTTAGTGAATATAGCAATGTCTCCGGGTATAAAATTAATATATGAAAACCACTGTGTTTCTATATACTCGTTTTTTAATAGAAATGGATGAGGCAATTTTTAAAATTTATGTGGAAATGCCAGGACTTAGCCAAAAGAATCTTGAAATGAAACAAAGCTGCACTACTTAACACTAGCTGACTTCCAGACTCAGCACGAAACTACTGTAATCAAGACTGTGCAGGATTAGGATAAAGACAAGTAGATCAAAGGAAGAGAACAGAGTTCAGAAATAGGCCCCACACTTGGACAAATGGCTTTCAACAAAGGTACCAAAACAATTAAAGAGCAAAAGGAAAAAATAGTCTTTTCAATAAATGGTGGCAGAACAACTGAATATCCATAGGGAAAAAAGTGAATCCTGACCCCAACTTTGCACATAAAAATGAATTTGAGATGCACCACAGACCTAAATATAAAAGCAAACTGTATAACACTTTCAGAAAAAAAAAAAGGAAAATATATTCTCAATACAGAGGTAAGTAAAGATTTCTTAGGGATACAAAAAGTAATAATCAAAAATTTGGTAAGTTACACTCAATCAAAAATAAAACTTTTGCTCATCAAAAGACACTGTTAAGAAAATGAACAGGCAAGACACAGTTATATAAAATATTCATAAAATATACACCTGACAACTTGTATCAAGAATACATAAAGAACCAATACAACTCAATAATAAAAGGCAATCTAATGAAAAATGATGGGCAAAAGTAAGCACATAAAAAAGTGCTCAACATCATTAGGGATTAGGGAAATGCAAATAAAAATGACAATGAGATACCACCATATATTCACATTATGGCTAAAATTAAAGATTGACAACACCAAATGTCAGCAGGGATGTGGAACAGCTGTGATCACATACATTGCTGGTAGGGAAGGTATATGGTACCACCATTTTGGAAAACAATTTGGCCGTTTCTTACCAAGTTAAACACATACCTATCTTTTGACCCAGTAATTCCACTCCCAGATATTTGTCCAAGAAAAATGAAAACATATGTTTGCAAAACAATGTAGACACGAATGTTCATAGCAACTTCATTCACGATAGCAAAAAATCGAAAACAAGGCTGGGCAAAGTGGTTCATACCTGTAATCCCAGCATTTTAGGAGGCTGAGGCAGATGGATCACCTCAGGTCAGGAGTTTGAGACCAGCCTGGGCACCATGGTGAAACCCCACCTCTACCTAAAATACATAAAATGAGCCAGGTGTGGTGGTGTGCACCTGTAATCCCAGCTACTAGGGAGGCTGAGGTGGGAGAATCGCTTCAACCTGGGAGGCAGAGGTTGCAGTGAGCCGAGATCATGCCACTGCACTCCAGCCTAGGCAACAGAGTGAGACTCTGTCTAAAAAAAAAGGAAAACAACCAAAATACCCACTAACAAAAGAATCGGTAACAAATTGTAGTAAATTCATACAACAGCATGTGCTCAGCAAAACAAAGGGAGGAATTGCTAACAGGCTCAGTACCACGGGTGAAGCTCACAGGTAAGAGGCCAGAAACAAGTGAGGACATACAGAAGAGTTCCTTATAGAATTCTAAGACAGGCAAAACTCATCTAAGGTAAACAAACAAACAAACAAAAAGTCAGAACAATGTTACTCTTCTCACCTGGAGGGAAGGGTGGGGATAGGGGAGATTGGAAAGGGGTAAAAAGGAAACTGGGGGCTTTCCCAGTTTCCAATAACTGGGATGATGTGAATTTCACAGACGTATCTATTTGTCAAAAATGTATATCTAAGATTTGTAAATTTCAATATATGTGAATTATACCTAAAAATAGTAAAAATAATGTTAGCGATAACTAAACGATGTGTGAGAGTACAGGAATAAATAAAATAAGAATGTTGATAGTTGTTCAAGCTAAGTAATGAAGTTCGTTATCTGATTCTGTTACTTTGTATGTTTTCAAAATTTTCCACAATTTAAAAAAAAGAAGAAAAGAAACAAGGTAGGCAGTAAAATGAAAGATGAAGTAGCAAGAGAGTGCTTTTGACCAAAAGTATTTGCACTCCATTTCCCAGCCTTTCATGCTTATTACAAAGGCTGAAAATTACACAAGAGAAACCTCGTTTTGACTAATGTAATTTCTTGGCTATCACTAATTTTGAATAGTGATAGCCAATCATTCACTACCAATATTCTGAGATCAGAATCCAAGCTACAGAGAGCATTATAGACTTTTTAGTCAAACTTTTAAATTTAAAAACCTCACTCTTCAAGATCTGGTTGTTCCCATTTCATTTCTCATTGCACCGGGCTCACACCTCAAATCCAAGCATGCTGCTTATGCCTCTTCGCTCTTGTTCCTTTACTGATCGCTTCCCTTTAATAACTCCTCTTCTCCCTCCCTTTCTGTCTGCTCCTCTGTCCCCTTTGCCTTGCTCTGCCAGAGATGTCTCTTTTTTAAAAAATCAGTTTAGGTATCATCTCCTCTATGAAGTCATTCATTGTACCCATAATACTTGATTGTACTTATTTTCCCAACTGAAGACAAAGAGTTGTCTTCAGCTCTTTGAGGGCATGGACCATGTCTTATTAGAACATAACTCAATGAATATTGGCTCAACAAATTAATTTCATAGATTACAATTTCAGAGGTTAACTCTGTCCTCATGTTCACAATAGAGTAGCAGAGCTACAGCCAGAACCTAAACCTGTTGAATGTATCCACTAAAACAGTGCCTCATAGAAAAGGCAAACTGAAAACCATTATTTGCCTAATCTTGCAGTTTTCAGTTTTTATACCATAGGACACAAAGATCATTATGTTAAATTACCCCTGTCTCATCTATGCCTATTTTTTTCAAGTGCTGGGCCTTCCCACATGTTAAGCATCCGCTACTGGAGAGAAGAGAATCAGAGAAATAAGACTTAGGTTTCTAGTGCAAGGTATCTATAAATTATGTTTCTGAAACCTTATTCGGCACTCTCCAATCCAGCTTCTTATTTATTCAGGACTTATAATAACTACCAAATGTCAAGGCCACTGATTCAGCAAATGTTCATAAATCTATACTTAATTGGATTAAGATAGATCTAAAACTGCAATGATATAGAATTATGAATAGATTAATTCAAATTGATGAAAATAGTATTCCTCTATTTGTTAATTAAGCCCTATCTGGTTCTACAAATTTAAGCAAGCTAACAATAAAGAAAATAATAATAAGGTAAGAAAAAAGCACTTTACTAACTAACAAAGAGGCTCTAGATTCTCCAAGGTTGCTATGTAGGAACTTCCTGGTAAGGAAAAACTATTGTGCCATGTGGTCCCCAGGGGACCTCTTATTAATTATCACTGCCACTGCAATGGCTTCTGGTAGCACTGCAAGATTTTGTTGAGTAGAGAGAGCCCCTCACATAATAAAAAGCATCCAATTAGGTGTGAGGTCAGAGATGTGGGTAAAAGCAACAAGTTTTATGGGATTTGAAGGATATATATTTTGTTTGTTTGTTTTTAATTTCAGGAATATTTAGAGAAGTTTCACAGGGAGCTTGCCTTTGTGTCCTAAGAACTGTTTGTCAAATATTCCTCAGAATTACAAAGCTATCTAAAAGATAATTTATGTATACACCTATTCATCCATTTATTCAACAAAGACTTATTAAGAACCTCCTCTGTGTCAGAAGTATGTACAGGTTACGACAATAAACACAAGGGTCCTGGTCTCTGGCTCCACAGATCTTGATTGTAATGGAGAGACAGGTAAGCAAAGAGACACCTATACTGTAGCGTAATATGTAAAATGATAGAGGAATTATGGGGTCCCATAAAAGTAGGCAAGGGGCCATTATAATCGAATGTGAGGGAAGTGCCTGCTTTCAGGTGGAAGTAGTATCTAAGCTGAGGCTTAAAGGAGGAACCCGCTAGACAGCATTTGTTGCTGTTTTTGGGTCAGGGGCACAGTGGAAAAAAGGAAAATGTTCTAGGCAGTGGGATACATCCGAGTAAGTGAAGAACTGAAAGTTTTAGTTTTAAGGCAATTTAAAAGTTATAATTGCATTATAACTCCTCTGACGAAACTCAATCTTTCGAGAGGCAGTTTTTTTCTGAATCCCAACTAGGGTTTTTTGAAGGCTGGGGTATCTCTTGTTTGACTCTCTTCCCTTACAGTATGAGTGTGCATGTGGACACTCAAGGGCAGGGGCCTCCAGGCTCTACTGCTTCCGCCCAAGGATACACAAGTGGAAAATGTATTCCTTTACTCACAAGCCCCTGCTGTGGTACATTTCATCCCTATGCCCTTCTGAATTTCCTTTAAGCTAAGACCAACATGCTAATCTTTTCATCAAAGTCAGAATTAAAATTACTGACATTACAGAAAAAAAAATGGTTTGTCAAAATGTTATATTTCTTAATGTAAAATTTGAAGAGAGAACCAATCTTATTATTTTAAAAGATGCTATCTACTAGGGTAGTAAAAAAAACTAAACTAATAGGGTAAGATGCCATATAAGTTCTATTTTTAATTATTTCATTTTCACTTTAATACAGCAAAATAGGTATTTCTGTTATAAGAATAAGCACACTAATCAGAAATACAAATTACTTGCTTTGAACTAATGTGTCAGTTTCTTCAAAACATATAATAAAGCTTGAAAAACTGAACAGAAATTTATGTCAATAAAGCCTATTAATTTCTAAACAGAGGTATGTATGGCATATACATTAAGACATCTTCATACATGGAATGCCAGAGAGCAACTCTATTAAACCAGTATTTCAGCATTTCCTATATGCAAAATACTGGACTAAATGCTACATAAATCCAAAGATAGTAAAGAAACATGCATTCACTAAGAAGACTATAATAAAAATTTACCAATAGTGGATCAAATCATATGTATTATAGAACATCTTCAATAATAATGGTCCCATAAATGTGGATTTTAGAGAAGGAAACATTAAAATGGAAATACAACACTTTAAATACGTGTAAAATTTAGAAAATGAATTTATATCCCTTAATTGCATCAATTCCCTCCACTTTATTAAAATATTTACACATGCAACTGATAAGGTAACTTATCTCAAATGATTTAATGTGATTGTTAATAATAATCAGGAATTCCAACTGACTCATTAGGAGCTTTACTTTATTAAGAAGTTTTCCATTTCCTATTTATCATTATACCCTTTTTTTCTCTATTTCGTGGACAATTGCTTTTGCCCTTGGGAAACTTGTTCAATCTACTGTAATTATCTTTATGACACATGGCCTCTTTAGCAAAAATGAATAATAGAAACAGGCAGAAAGATACAGACAGAATGAAAAAAAAAATCACAGTTAACTCTACATTTTGAAAAAGCAGCCAAGACATTATACTGCAGTATATTAAATTTGGGACTCAAGGAAGAAACATGCTTTACTTACTCAACCAGCTTACAATAGAAAGTGACTACAGGAGAGAATATGGTTTATTATGATAATCATTATGGAATTTATGCAAAAGCAAGGAAAGAGCTGACCAATAAACTAAAAAAATCCTTTTCATTAATTCATTGAATAGCTATTTAGCACATATGTATCAGGTGGTTGACATTAATCCACTGTGTATTTCCGAGCACTCAAGATATTTAGTTGACACAAAATATTTACTGAAGCAGAGAAGGAAAGAAGAGGAGGAGAGAAGGAAGAGAAGAACTTAATTCTGGAGTCAAAAAGGCAGAAATAATTTCCATAGGCAGAGGCGGAGGAGAGCAAGAGAAACGGGTAAAAACATGGATATGACAAATAACAAAATGTAATTGTTCTGCAATAGAGGATTACATAGGATGGTGAGAACTAAAATTAAAAAGGAAAACGGATTACACTGAATCCTGAAAGCAAGATTAAAAGTTCAGACTCTACACTGAAGGGAATTAATGGGCTTCCTCTTGAAGGTTTCTGAGCAAAGATGACAATGATAAAAACGACAATTTAACTGGATTGATTTGCAAATTAAAACTAGTACTTAATAGTATGGCAAGAGGTTAATGGTCAGAGTGGTTTAAAAGCATCACAGGAGTGATTGTCCAGGAATTTCAAAAAGAGAAAGATAGGTTAGGAGGCAAATATAGTAGCATCTGCATTGGATGACAAATGCCTTAAAAAAGGGACAGCAATAGGAAAAATGTATTCTGTTGCAGGCACATGATATGTCTGTCCATTTATTCCAGTCTTTTTTCAAAGGTCTCTTAGCAAAGTAACATAATCTTCTTAATCTGGAGTCCTGTATATTTTTAATTTTTTTCTTTGGGAATACTACACCCATACACACACACACACATGCACACACACACATACACAGTTGCTGCCTTGTAAAAGTAATTTTTCCCATTTTATTTTCTAACTGATAATTGTTATATCTATAGGTTATTCAATGTTATACATTTATTTTAACTGACTTTCTCATTGGACTCTCTTATTATTTTTAATAGGTTTAAAGTTGATATATTTAATACTTATTCAATTTGACAATCATGAATTACAAATGACAATAAAATGTTCTACCTTTAAAATTTTATATTCTATTTTGTTTTCTCCTATTTCTAACTGGCCACACAATTTTTAGAACCATGTTCATTTACAGTGGTGATGGTGGCAGTTCTCACCTTGCTCCTACCTTTAACGTATTTCAGGTCAAGCACTAACAAAACCAGATTTGCATTATGGAAACCTCTCCCTGGAGGCAACATGGAGAATCAATGGGATGATGGAAAGAGCTTAGAGACCAGGTTTGAGATTGTTGCAGTAATCCACGGTAAAGGTACAAATAAGTGCTTATCTAAGGCAGTGGAGGTAGAAAGGCATTGTCTGGATTTCAGAGATATTGGTGAGAAATAACTCATTAACTCAATACCAAGTTGAATTTAGGAAATGCGAAGAGACAGGAAAACTAGGATTACTTCCCAGATCTCTAGTATGGCCCCGAAATGCAATCAACTGACCAGGTTAGGAATACTGAAGGAAAAGCATGACATCTACTCAGATCTCACAGTAAAGTCTGCTGGATACATAGGGCAAGTATCACTAGCATAGAATTATACAACAGCTTTAAGGGGAAGTTGCACCAAAGTAAGAGGGCTAAGATTGAATATTGGAGAACATCTACTTTTGGAGGGATGGTGATGAAGATATGTAGCAAAGAGGTAAGGAAGAAGAGGTCAGCATGGTAGCATTGAAAAAATAGGACAGGAAGATTTTTTTCAAATATCAAAATTATATGGCTAAATAAGAAAAAAGTCTGAAAAAAGGCTAATTCGGGTTTCAGGAGTTTACTGGTGACCTTTTTGGGCTTAACTTCAATTGAATGATGAAAGGAAGACAGGTTTAAAAGAGAGTGTAGATTCTGAGAAACTAAAAGCAAGAGGTCAATTTACTAATTCTAGATATTTAATAATAGAAGAGAAACAGAACTTACTGATAGTGTGACAGGACAGTGGGGTAAGCCCCATAGAGCTTTGAAAACAGAAGAACCGATTGAAGATCTAAAAACAGTGGATAAGTGAAGAAGCAAAGATGTGGATGAGGAAACCAGCAAGAAAATTAGAAACCCACTGGAAGAATGGGAAAAAAATAGAGATAAAATGCAAACCTTTTGGGGTGACAGAGACGGAAAAAGATGCTCATTCCTGGGAACTCTCTTCTAACAGTAAGTAGAACATAAGGTCAAACGTCCAGATACTGACACTGAAAAAGGATGAGGAAAGATACAGTGGAGAATGGACTAAAAAAATAAAAAAGACTTCAAAGGTAAAATCAGAAAGACTTCAAAGGTAAGTTGAGTAGGACCAAGAGCCCAAATGAAGTTTTTTAAAAAGTAATCTGAAGTGTGCCTAGTCAGTATGTTTGGTGGGTTTTCAGAAGCAATGCTTCATAATCAAGAGAAAGGAAATTGAATAGGAAAGTGAGTGATTCAGGAATGAAAGATCAGAGGCAGATGTCAACAGTGAAGGGATGCCATAATTGCAAGGGGTATGTATTAGTCCATTTTCACGCTGCTGATAAAGACATATCTGAGAATGGGAAGAAAAAGAGGTTTAATGGACTTACAGTTCCACATGGCTGGGGAGGCCTCACGATCATGGCAGAAGACAAGGAGGAGCATGTCACATCTTACATGGATGGCAGCAGTAAAAAAAAAAAAAAAAAAGCTTGTGCAGGGAAACTCCCCCTTATAGAACCATCAGATCTCATGAGACTCATTCACTATCATGAGAACAGTGCAGGAAAGACCTGCCCCCATAATTCAATCACCTCCCACCGGGTTCCTCCCATGACACATGGGAATTGTGGGAGTTACAATTCAAGGTGAGATTTGGGCGGGGACACAGCCAAACTATATCAGGGTGTCTATGTAGTGCAGAGGGCAGCAGACACAGCCTAATACCATCCATCTAAGGAGCACACTGATATCCTACAGAGCTGGAACTGGGAAATGTTTTATGGCTTGGCGAAAACAACAAGGACTTGTTATATCATTGTAAGCTAAAAAATTACACAATTATGAAAGCATCAATGAGGAAACAGCAGAGACTAATGCCTGAGGACACCGACTGCTTCTGGCACTTGTTCTTTTTAACTCTAAAGCTAGTCTGTGACAGATGCAGAAAATATCACCTGACATAAAAGGTGAACAGGACACAAATATCCTAACTACCAATAATGCTTGCCATCTTCTAAAATCCAATTTTCTAAACTCATTAAAGAATTCTTAAATACTTTTATCTACTGTCAACCATTAAACCTGGTATCGAAGATTATGGCAATAGAGGTTTGAACCAAAACAAGAGCTGAATTTTTAAATGATATCTAACCAGGCACAGTGGCTCACACCTGTAATCCCGGTACTTTGGGAGGCTGAGGTGGGAGGATCACTTGAGCCCAGGAGATCCAGACCAGCCTGGGCAACACAGTGAGACCTCATTTCTACAAAAAATTAAAAAAAAAAAAAAAGTGCACACCTGTAGTCCCAGCTATTCAGTAGGGTAGGGTGGGAGTGGAGGCTTGAGATGGGAGGATCGTTTGCACCCAGGAAGTTGAAGCTACAATGAGCCATGACGTACCACTGCATTCCAGCCTGTGTGACACAGTGACCCTGTCTCAAATAATAATAATAATTAAAAATAAAAATATATCTAAAGAACTAGTTTAAATCAGAACCAAATCTAATCATCTTTTACTGAAACAAAACAAAAATATACAAAACTACTTCTACTCTATTAATATTTTAAAGAAAGCTCATTATATAGGAGCTACATGTTCCTAGCATGGACAGATTCAGATATTCATTCACTAAAGATTATCTTAGGTGGGGCATGGTAGCTCATGCCTATAATGCCAGCACTTTGGGAGGCCGAGGCAGGAGGACTGCTTGAGCTCAGGAGTTCTAGACCAACCTGGGCAACATAGCAAGATCCTGTCTCTATGAAAAAAAAAAAAAAAAAAAGAGAAAGAAAGAAAAGATTGTTTACCCAAACTTTGAAAAATACACACACAGACAGAGACTGGATGGGTGGCTACCACTGGGAAGGAGGGGTTCAGATTTGGGAAGAGGCTTCTGGAATGCAAGCGATGTTCTGTATCTCAACGTGGATAGTGGTTATACAGGGGTAGTCACTTCTGGATAACTAATTGAGCTGTACACTTAAAAATATGTGCATTTTAAAATATAAATTTACATTTCAATTAAATCTAAGAAACATAATAATATGGTAAAACAGAGATTTTTAAAAGAAACATAATAATATGGTATAAGAGATTCTTTCTCAAGTGGGGAAACTAGAGGTAATCTTTTTTCTTTCTTCTAAATGTAATTTCCAAAATTTTGTCATGAGGAAAACATTAAAGCTTATTAAACATACAGCAGCGACATCTGAAAGTGGTAGCGTTTACTTTAAAAGAGATTAAAATAATAAATAACTATGCCCCCAAAAGAATGTATAAAGATATGTAAACTTGTATCCAGCTTATAAATACTAAACTAAACATCACTGAGCATTTGGAAGAGCAGAATTGATACTGCAGAACACAAAGTCAGGAATTCTAAACTAATATAGAAATTCCAGTTATATAAATAGGTGTATTATAGGTCTAGAATCACAAGTCTACAAAAAGAAAAAGAGTATCTAATTTAGAAATAAGAAGGATAAGAAAGAAAAGATAAAATGTCAGAACTGTACAAATCATGATCAGAAAAAAAAAATTTTCAAAGAAAACGATGCCTTCAGCCTGGTTAACAAGAGAGGGCATAGAGCATTTCTCAGCAATTATCCTTAAAGAATGACCCCAGACATTTATTTGTCAAGTTTTAAACTTTTAAAGACAAGATCTTACATTCTGTTAAGAAGAAAGGTGGTGTAATATATGAATGCCCTTGACCTCATTTCTCAGATCTCTAAGAAAGGAGAAGCTAAAAAGAAAAAGAATTATACACAGAAGAACTCAGATAAATCTCTTTTAAGACTGAGAATATATAAAAACACAGAGCCTTAAAGTAACATCAGCAAGGTCCTACAGCTGCTAAGATCACAAAAGACAATAGGTATATGAAAGCAGATGGAAAGACACTAAGAGGTGAGAGAAAGATACTTTCTAAGGGAATAAAAAATGATCAAAGAGTAAAATTAAATTAACTTACAATCTGTAAATCTGACACATTATGAGACTAAAGGATAAATATAGTATGTTAAAAATAACTTGGCTGGGCGCAGTGGCTCACGCCTGTAATCTCAGCACTTTGGGAGGCTGAGGTGGGCGGATCACCTGAGGTCGGGAGTTTGCGACCAGCCTGGCCAACATAGAGAAACCCCATCTCTACTAAAAATACAAAATTAGCTGGGCGTGGTGGCACATGCCTGTAATCCCAGCTACTCAGGAGGCTGAGGCAGGAGAATTGCTTGAACCCAGAAGACGGAGGCTGCAGTGAGCCGAGATCACGCCATTGCACTCCAGCCTGGGCAACAAGAGCAACATTCCATCTCAAAACAAACAAACAAAAATAAAACTTAAACCACCTACTATACCAACACAGGTTAGTGTGGCAGATTTTAAGTGACTATGAATTCTTCACAGGTCCTCCCATCAAACGGTACAGTCTATTTCCCACTCTTTGAATCTGGGCTGGCCTTGCAACTTGCTTTGCAACAGAAGGAATGCTGTGTGGCTTCCAAGTCCAATTCTCAAGATGACTTGCAGCTTTTGCTCTTGCCCTCTTGTAAACACACAACTGTTAAGTGCAGAGACCTGGGCATACCTAGAGACACACGGCCTGGAAGACAACCAGCACTATCCACCAGACACATTGAACGAGGCCTAATAGGACCACCCGGCCCTAGTTAAGCCACCAGATGGCTGGAACCACATGGGTGGCCACAGGAAAGACCAAAAGAAGAACTGCTAGGGTGTGTCTGGTCCAAATTGCTGACTCACAGAATTGTGAGCAAATAAAATTGTTGTTTTACGCCACTAAGTCCTGGAAGTTGTTCATTACACAGTAATAGATAACTGACAAAAGTGAGAGGGAAAAACATGGAGATACATGTAGAACTTGATTCATATCTCCCCTAGAAAAGAGTTTGATGTGACTTGTAAATATACAAATTATCTCTCTCCTATAGCTGCCCAAGATGCCGAAAGAAGACCAAGGGCAAGACGGGGCCCCAGCCCCTGCTATCTTGAAGCAACAGGCCAAGAAAGTGGTGAATCCCCTGTTGAGTAAAGGCCTAAGAATTCTGGCACTGGACAGGACATCCAGCCCAAAAGGGACCTCACCCACTTTGTGAAATGGCCCCACTATGTCAGGCTGCAGCAGCAAAGAGTTATCCTCTACAAGAGCCTAAAAGTGCCTCCTGTGATGAACCAGTTCACCCAGGCCCTGGGACCACCAAACAGCTACTCAACTACATAAGCTGGCCCATAATACAGACCAGAGACAAAGCAAGAGAAGAGGCAGAGACTTGGCCCAGGCTGAGAAGAAAGCTGTTGGCAAAGGGGATGTCCCCACTAAGAGACCACCTGTCCTTCAAGCTGGGGTTAACACCGTCACCACCTTGGTGGAGAAGAAGAAGGCTCAGCTGGCGGTGACTGCACATGACGTGGATCCCATCAAGCTGGTTGTCTTCCTGCCTGCCCTGTCTCATAAAATGGGGGTCCCTGACTGCGCTGTCAAGGGAAAGGCAAGACTGGTTCACAGGATGACCCACACCACCATCACCTTCACACAGATTAACTCGGAAGACAAAAGGGCTTTGGCTAAGATGGTGGAAGCTATCAGGACCAATTACAATGACAGACACGATGAGATCTGCTGTCACTGGGGGGGCAATGTCCTTGGTCCCAAGTCTGTGGCTCACACTGCCAAGCTGGAAAAGGCAAAGGCTAAAGAACCTGCCACTAAACTGGATTAAATGTACACGGTTGAGTTTTCTGTACATAAAAATAATTAAAATAATACAAATTATCCTTTGAAAAATATATAAATTAATAATATACACAACTCAAATGTTTGTGTTTAAAATACTGGTTGAGATCACCATCTTAATTTGAATAAAATCTATTACTTAGGGATGTATGTCCTCTGATTAAGTCCTCTCATCACAAAGTTGCTTTTAATAAGGTAGGCCTACTATGTGTGGAGGATTTAGAAAACATCTGGTATTCTTCAGACCTGGGCGAGGAAGCGCCATAGCTGAGGAAATGGAGGCGCTGCAGCTGCTGCCACAGGTTCTAGTCTGGGCTCACAGAGGACAGGTAATAGAAATATATAAGGATGAGGATTGAATGAATATTTACTTAGGATCCTTTGTTTGGGGTGCCATATTTCAGTATGTACACTGTAACTTTTTAAGACTAAAATAGAAAACAGGTACAATTATTTTATTAAAATCCATCTATAATAAATGTATCAGAAAAGGAACTAGTTCATTTGAAACACATTATATTTATGCTGAAAAAATGCCATTTCACTCATCACTATTTCAGTTTTTTCTCTTATATCCTATTAAGTCATTTTAAATGATTATTTCTAATGTTAATGGGAACATTCTAATACCAAATGAGAATCGTTTAAACTCAGAATTACATCTTTAATTCCTAAAATGAAAAACTCATAGGCTGAGAGCTCATGCCTGTAATCCCAGCACTTTGGGAGGCCGAGGAGGGTGGATCACTTGAGGTCAGGAGTTCGAGACCAGCCTGGCTAACATGGTGAAACCCCATCTCTACTAAAAATATAAAGATTAGGCCAGGCACGGTGGTTCATGTCTGTAATCCCAGCACTTTGGGAGGCCAAAGCAGGTGGATCACTTGAGGTTAGCAGTTTGAGACCAGCCTAGTCAACATGGCGAAACCCCATCTCTACTAAAAATACAAAAAATAAGCCAGGCATGGTGGCATGTGCCTGTAATCCCAGCTACTCAGGAGGCTGAGGCAGGAGAATCACTTGAATCCGGGAGGCGAAGGTTGCAGTGAGCCAAGATTGCGCCACTGCACTCCAGCCTGGGCAACAGAGCAAAAACTCTGTCAAAAAAAAAAAAAATTAATTGGGTGTGGTGTTGCATGCCTGTAATCCCAGATACTTAGGAGGCTGAGGTGGGAGAATTGTGTGAACCTGGGAGGTGGAGGTTGCAGTGAGCCAAGATTGCACCACTGCACTCCAGCCTGGGTGACAGTGTGAAACTCTGTCTCAAAAAAAAAAAAAAAAAAGAAAAGAAAAAAAAAACACTTACATATTTATTTAAATTTCAGAACACATTAATGTGAAGTGGGATTTTCTTTTTGCTTAACTTATGAGAGTTATCATAAAAGCACAATTTCACAGTCATGCTCTACAATTTCCACATATTATTTTGTGTTTCATTGATATGCTGGTTCTTTCACACACTCTGTATTTAAAGGGCCTTATCACTCAACATATTGTAGTGTTTCTGATTGACTTTACAATTTCTAAAATGAAAAGGCTTTTTTAAAAAAAAAAACCTGAGGGATATTTAAAGTCCAAAGTGTCTACTCTCAAGTCCTCAAGAGAACAAAAAGGGAGACATATATTGTTTATTAACTTAAATAGCAGACATTCTATTTTACTTGTTCTCCATCAGAAGCCTCCCATTCGACACGTGGTGTGAAGACAAGGGTGACAGTCTTGAAAGGGTAGTGACCTGCCTGCCCATGGTCTCAACTGCCTAATGGGACAGCTGAGTCAGGACCACATGCTCCTGACTCCTGCCAACCCGTGGCGACAATCCTGCCATATTCCATCTTTCTCTTGTCACTTTTCTGTTGGGAGAGGCCTAGAGAAAGCCTTTAAAATGTTAGGATAATACCTCCTGGGAAGGTTCCTTTTTCTCTCAGGGAAATCAGTCTTTCAAGAGGAGAAAGGTATGTCAACTTTCTTGATACCTCTTATTCCCTAGTAGTTTAATGCTCAAACGCTCCAGCTTATATAGCTAAAATGGCAACAATTTTATTCATAAAAGCAATGCATGCCACACAGAGTTGGCTGTGAACTTGGGCAGAAGAGAATATCATGAGATTGTATCCGTTACCTGAGTGGGGCTCTGAAGACTGAAGTCTAAACCACAAGTAAACTCTGTATGATGCTCCACTGTTTCAAGAAGAGAGTCAGGCTTTGAAAAGTTCCAGAATCTGTGAAGATAAATAAAAGGGAATAATTTAAATGCTAAAACTACCAAAAAACTTATATTAAGAAAAAATAGATATTTGACATAGCAAAGATTTTATCCAAACAGGCTCAGCCAATTCATAAATACAGAACCCCACTATTAAGCCCTACGTAAAAAATCCAATAAGAAAAAAAAGTACTCCATCCTATTATATATATAAAAAAAAAACCCTACATCAATCTACCCTATAAAAGATTATTCTACTCCCATTAGTATACCTTTTAGGACAGAAGCTTAACAAGTTTTAATTTAAAAAATGTTTTTATATTGCACAAGGACATTGAGATGATAGTATGCTTTTGTAGCAATTTCTAAAAGCATTCATGGCTATAAAATAAGGATATTGAATTAAATGAACTCTAACATTTTGTGATTTTAAATATGACTTCATTTCTCAACAATTGACATGAAAGATCTTAGGCTTAATTTAAATTTCAACAGCAATTAGAATTCTTTGAAAAAAATCTGTTCTCTTATGAAAATCTCTGTAATTCTGAAACTATCTTTCTTCTTTTTTGAGGCACAGCCTTTCTTACAGATTCCACATCAATATAATTCCTAGAATCAAGAAAAACAGAAATGTATTTTCCTGAGCCAATATTATGTATTCTACTTAACCTCCATAGACTGAAAGTGGTAATATTTACCATAATCAAGCTCTCATTTGTACTGTGCAGACAAGAATTTGGCCCTGTTTTCAATACATAACATGGTACTTTATTTCTAATGCTTTATTTGCTCATCATCTTTTTTATTTGATTCTAAACATACTATAAAAATGGCAGGCACATTCAGGATCACAGAGTCATATCCTAATTCAGCTTCTCTAATGATCTACAACATGGCACACTGAAGGTTTAACAGATCCCTTTGAAAGAGAGTAAATACACAGAACCAAGAGCCACAGTTTGTTTAACCTGGTGGTATTATTTCCCTAATAAATACAGAGTTGGCCCTATTAAGTTTTGAAAAGGGTTGTCGCTATGGATAATCCACTGTGTGGGTACCAAAGAAACAATGAGTAAATAGCTCATTTATCAGATTACCAAAATCTACAAAATATTTGGGAAGAGTGATTTTACTTTTGAAAATTTGCCTGTTCAACCAAATGAGGGAACAAGCTGTATGCATTCTCAGAAATCCTAATAGTGGTCTCCACTGTCTTTGCATATTTGTTTCTTTGAATTCTAGAGACAGTGAATTATATCAAAATCTAATTTTCTGGGTCCCGATAATGTTGAGAGAAGCAAAAGTAAACATATAATTTTGTAATTTCATTTCTAAAACATGGTTATTCACTGATTTGCATTATCTGAAATAATAATCAAATGATTCTGCATGTGGCTACTATGTTCCAAAAAATACTCAAAATGATTTTAAAATAAGCATTTAATATGGCAAAAAATGAGTTAAAGGAAAATTAAGGGTAGGAAAGTAAGATGGCATCTGCAATGAGATTGGTACATTCCATGAAGTTCTATGTCCTTGACAGGGAAGGACCTCAAGATGCTAAGCTTTCTAGCAGCCAAAGGAAAAAGGGAGACAATCAAGACCCAAATGCATGGTGTCCACAACCAAACTGCTCCTGGAAAGCTCAGAAGGAAATTCTCCCTTGGGAGTTCAGTGACAAGAAACCCAATGTTTATGTAATAAGAACATCCTCAACATCTGTGAGGAAACATACAGATGCTTTGTCAGCTGCTGCTTATGAGTGAATGGCATCACCCTAAAGGGCAGTTTAAAAGAATGGGTCTAAGGGAAAGTCAATTTGATGTAATCCGGGTATTTAGCTCTCTGACTTCATTTGAAATTTAGATTTTATTTCAGCAGAATGGATACGCTAAATATTCTTTATGTAAACCATAAAAACTGGTTTCTTTTAGAACGTAAGGATAATACAAAACAACGAGAATTTATTTATACTCTCCTGATAAATTCCTGGAATGCAGCTTCTGTTGTTTTGAGCCAGCTTAGGACAAAGCTGCACTGAGATAAGATAAGGTGGGCCTTATGAAAATTAAGATGTCTCACAAAGACACATGTGTGCAGCTATCCAACTTCAGCCTGAAAGTGTGATGAGGGAAGTCACACATTCAGGAGAACTGTGATTCTATTCAAAAAGTCCACCTGAATTTGCTCTAATATACAGCTAATGGGTAGTCAAAGCCTCACAGAGTTCTACACCACAGAATCACAGACATAATTTTAACCTGGGAAAAACTATCCAGTATTTATCTGCATCTTGCAAAGAGTTCATCAAAGAAAATACATGCTGAAACTCTTTGGTGAAGGGAGGGTTAGTCTACTGAATGGCATAAAGACACTTCATTATACCATTTCACAGCTCTGGTAGAAATTATGTAACATACCAAGTGTATACATTATGGTGCCTAATCTAAGAGAGGTTCATTTCCAACAGAATGGCTGACCTGGTTTCTAGACCAACATTTTAAAAACAACTAAAAACCCTGGACGAAACATAAAAACAAATAACCAACCTTAAAACTTCATTAAAGCATTAGTGAGGAACACTATAGTAAAAACCAACACAAGACTGAAACCCAGAGCAGTAAATGGAAAAATGAAGCCAGCTTTTGCCTTGAGAGGATTTACTAAACAGAGACAACCTAAGCTTCAGATTTCTTCACCTCAAGGGGATCAGGAGTCAGGAAAATTTTTTCAATCAATATTAATATGCATAATTTAAAAATAATATTCAGTAGTGAAATATCAAAAATATTGTTAAATACAGTAAATTATACAAACTAAGTTGAGAAAACCAAATGCTAAACGGTATGTCAATATACTATAATTTATTATTTAATTGCTAATGGCTTTTTAATAACAAAAGAAATACATGTATTTCTTTCCCCATTCTCACTCTCTAATTAGCAACCATTGTTAACAGTTTAATGAGTATACTTCCAGAGTTTTTCTATGTATCTCTATTGAAGTTCCAGCCAGAAAGAGTGAGTTGAAAGGAGGGGCTAACAGGGAGAAAGTGGGTGTTTCTCCAAGTTTTCTCAAGTTTGCAGTTAAGGGAGTGGGCATGGTCTCTCCTTGCAACCTTCTTCTGGATTCAAACATCCCATAAGTGCTATATATCCAAGGGCCTTCATGCATCTATCGCGTAAGTAAAATGAGCTCCTTTTTGCTGCAAGAAGTCATACTATCATATATCATTAAGTGGTCAAATAAGGCACATTATTCTTAAGTGAAATGTTTGTTTTGATCCAGCATATATACTACTTGGTGCCTTTTTGTCTCTTTGCTGATGAAATCACTGACTATTTAATCTCCCTCATGGGAAGTAAATATACTGGATAAGCCTCCAATGATTAAAAATATTACAGAACTCTAGGAACATTTTTTATTTAAATTGTATATCATAATATAATGTCTTGGTTGAGTTATTTTTTGCTTTTTGGTTCCACAATTCTTTAACAATGCAAGTATACAGCACTGTATCACATCTCTCTTCTTTAAACATTTTATTATTACTTTTATTTTTTTTGAGATGGAGTCTCACTCTGTCGCCCAGGCTGGAGTGCAGTGGCGCGATCTCGGCTCACTGCAACCTCTGCCTCCCGGGTTCAAGCAATTCTCCTGCCTCAGCCTCCTGAGTAGCTGGAATTACAGGCGCACGCCACTACGCTCAGCTAATTTTTGTATTTTTAGTAGAGATGGGATTTCACCATGTTGGTCAGGCTGGTCTTGAACTCCTGACCTCGTGATCTGCCCGCCTCGGCCTCCCAAAGTGCTGGGATTACAGGCACGTGCCACCATCCCCTGCTAATTTTTGTATTTTTAGTAGAGACGGGGTTTCACCATGTTGGTCAGGCTGGTCTCGAACTCCTGACCTTGTGATCTGCCCACCTTGGCCTCCCAAAGTGCTGGGATTACAGGCATGAGACACCGTTCCTGGCCTATTATTACTTTTTTTGGAGACAGCTAAATCATAGGGCACTGCAGCCTCAAACTCCTGGCCTCAAGCAATCTCCCCACTCCACCCTCCCAAATAGCTGGGACTACAGGTGGGTACCACTATGCCTGGCTCATCATAGTCTGTATTAAATACAACGTCAAAATCATTTCAACAATTAAGCTGAAATTACTTACTTTCTACTTTAACTAAATGTAATTTGAAATCTCTATACTAACACTTTTGAAATTTAGCCAACAGGTGAATTCAGCAGAAGGTTTAAAATATTTTTTTAAAGTTCTTTCTTTTCCTTTTCTGTACTCAACTTATGAGTTAGTCATGAATTACTTGTAAGTCTTTCCTTACTATGAGAAAGGGACAATGTTCTGGCTATTTTTCAATGTCTTACATGTATATTAATTTTTGTTGTGTTTTTATCATTTTAAGCAAATTTCACTATATACTCCTCTCCATTTGCAGTGCTTGGGCACAGTAGTCTTTAGAGCAAGGAGCAAAAATGTCACAACACTTACTTTCACATCATTTAGTTATTCATTCAACAACTGATGAGTCCTTCCATGTGCCAGGTAGGTGCTAAGCACCATATGCAAGACAGACATGGCCTCAGCCCTCCTGTGCGGCTCATAGTTCAGTGGGATCAACTGACATGTTTTTAAAAATCACCAAAACACAAACGTAATGACAATTGACAAGTGCCCCAAAAGACAATGCAGGATGACTTAAGAGGACGTCCTGAGGAAGTGACATCTGAGCTGCAGATCTGAAGGTTGAGGAGTTAGCCAGGGAGACAGCAGAAGAGCAGCTTATTGCTTGTCTGCAAGGAGCCTGACAGTGTGTGACCAGAGGGCCCATGAGGCTGGCGCAGGGAAAGGGAAGAATGTTCCAGGACGTAAGCAGGGCCAGGTCAAACAGGTCTTGTAGGTCATTTGAAGAATTTGGGATTTTCTCTTTAAAAAAAGAAAAAAAAAGCCACTGAAGGATTTTAAGCAGCAACTTAAATTTGTGTGGTCAGTTTGCCTTATTTTAAAACATTTTAATAAACATTTTTCATTTAGAAAAGTTCTAAATTTACAGATAACTTGTGAAGATAGTGAAGAGGGGTCCCATACACCTCAACAGCCAGGTTCCCCTACTGTTAACATCGGTCTATGATCAGCTTTGCCTTCAAAGGTGTCTCTGGCCACAGTGAGAAGAATGGACTTGAGGGCTTGAGTGGGTATGGGAAGATCAGTGGTCCAAAAAGAGGTAATAGCAGCTTGGACTTAAGGTACTGACTGTGATGATGAAGAAAAGTTGATGGATTGGAGATTTATTTAGGCAGAAGAATTAATACAACCTGGTGATTAATGAAACAGAAGACATCAAAAAAGATTCTCATGTTTCTTGTTTCATTCATAGTACTCATAATATTTCCATGCATTTATTTATTTCTTAATACAAATCTATCCTCCTTTAATAGGCAATAAGCTCCTTGAATTCAGGGACAGTGTCCTATTCTTTGTATCTTTTGCATGTATAAAAGTGTCTGCCACATGGTCAACCAAAGAATTTATGGGCACTCATGAATGAATGAATGAATGAATGAGCAAATAAATATACAATGGGTATAATCCTCATTTCAAAGGTGAAGACAATATGATCCAAGAAATTAAGCAATCCATGGTTATAGAGCTAATAAATGGCAGCCCCAAAACACAGACTCTCCTGACATCATGTCTAGTACTTTTTCTACTAAAAAAGATGGCACCATACATTTTTTTCTCTAGGCCTAGGTCATGCCAGAAAATTTTAAATATAGGTGGGCAGGATCTGCAATTCTTCAGGCAGTTTTGATTAACACCCTGAAAGTTCAAATAGGCATGGACCAAGTCAGGTATCCCCTAAACTCTTCAAACTACAGAAAGAATTTCATAAGCCAAAGCCCATGCCAAGAGTCCATTAGTCAGCCACTTACAATAAAAATCCTAAGGAAATTATGAGCCAGAATACATCTGAACTACCATGGCAAGGACTTTGGGAATTTTCTTTTCTCTCTTTTAATATTTTTTATATGCACTTATTGCATCCTCTAGTCTACTCTGCTGTCTCTTTCTAACTTATGTATCACTCAACTCTCTTTCTATAATCACTCAGATTTCCATCCTTTTGCAATGAACCCCCTATAGAACACATGGACTCATGGGCCTATTACTTTACGATCTGTAACATTTTTGGAAGGGATTAAAAAATAGAAGTGGTCGGGCCCGGTAGCACTTTGCAAGGGCAAGGCGGGTGGATCACTTAAGGCCAGGAGTTCAAGCCCAGCCTGGGCAACGTGATGAAACCCTGTCTCTACCAAAAATACAAAAATTAGCCAGGCATGGATGGTGGTGGATGTCTACAGTCCCAGCTACTTGGGAGGCTGAGGCAGGAGGATCGCTTGAGCCCAGGAGGTAGAGGCTGCAGTGAACCGTGATCTGCAGTGAGCCTGAGCAACAGAGTGAGACTCTGTCTCAAAAAAAAAAAAAAAGGGCTGTTGAACAATTTTATAGAGTTAAACTATTCATTCACTCAAAAATATTTACTGATGGTAACATTCATTTATTTGCATGACTGGATTAAAAACTGTTTTTTGGTTTTGGAACTTGTATTAATAACAATAAAAATAAAGTTTAAAACAGAAAAAAACCCTAACTACCTGCTAAATGAAGAATACATGATCAATTGTGAAAAACTACTGAACAATTTTCAAAGGTGTCTCTTGGAATGCTCAATCACTAATACCCAGAAACTCCACAATTACAAACTTTGAAGGTTACATATGATAAAATTCTAGACTTAAGCTTCCTTCTCAAAATGAGTCCATCACAATATTTCATCGAAAACTCTAATCAGATCAGTATTTTAGAGAAGCAGACTTTACTTCATCACAGTAAACATTAAGCCCGGGAACCACATACCACAAAGCCTAGAGTACTCTGACAAATTAAAGAAAATCATCAGGCTGATGGAAGGCCTGCTCTGAGAGTATTTATGGCAGAGATCCACAGGGATGCTGGATGACTTTCTGAAGAATGCCACATCTCAATAAGAGGAGATAAAGGAAAAGAGGCAAAACTCCTATGCGGTTTGTGTATTGCTTACTGGTACAAATCAAAGAATCATGAAATAATTTTTGCAATACAGCTTCAAATAAATGCTTGACTAAAAAAGAAGTAAAACTGGAAGAACTCTACTCATGAAATAGTATCACTATCTTAAGGATAAGAATAGTCTGTGTACATCTGAAGCGTAACTGGTAGCACCAAAATGCACCCACCTAGAGCAAAAGAGCATTTCACCAGTGGATAATGTGACCACATGGGGTTGCTTTAGAACTTCACCCCACACCTAAATGTTGACAATCATTAAGCTTACAGCAGCTGCCTATGCTTTGGTCATTTATTAGTGACATTACCATGAAATACTTAATGTCCTCATCTCTGCAGCTAAGCATTTATGAATAAACCTACTCAGGCTGTCATGTAGTGGAATGTCTGCACTGCTTACAAGGATCTCCTTTATTTAACAACTCTCTCCTCAGCAGAGGGTGGACACGGTGATGGGGGTGAGGAGGGGGAGAAGACAGACACCGACAAAGAGAGAAAAAAACAGAGACAGAGCAGACCAAATAATTCTGTTCCTTTTCTTGTAACTGGACATGAAAGCTTGAGGTAAAAAAAGAAAAAAAAATCAGCCTGCAGGAGGAGGAGGAATGACAAAGTCGGCTGTACAGTTTCAATGCCTTCCATAGGCCACACTGCACACCGTGCTTCTGCCTTTGGGCTCTGGGGGACCCCATAGTCTGAGAAATATTTCCCTGTTTATATTTAAGCTATCTAAGGATGGTTTCTGTTTTACACATGTGTGCACAGACACACATACTGTAAATAATATACTGGAGAAAGATAAGGGACTCTGCTGAATTTTATTTAGGATGAAAATAGATGAATAATTACGGTTTTTTAAATCTCCACGTGGTTCATTCCATTAAGTCCAATGTCTAAGAATTCCATTTTAGAATATTTAGTGTTGCCACACTCTTGACTAGGGTTTCAGGACAGACCTCAAAGGGTGTATTATTCATCCTTATGCTCTCTGGGAACTGTGTAAACTACTACCAGCTGACTGGCAGTACCCAGTTGGTCTAAGTAAATAGGCTTACTATGTGTGCAAATAACGGAGAGAGGGAAAGACAGGTTTTTCTGCTCAATTATCTTTTTCTTAAAAACTATAATTGCACACATTAGAGTCAACTAATTCTACAAGGTTTGTAACAGAAAACAGCAGCTTCCTGCCGTACTTCCTCAATCTTTCACCTCAGAGGCAATCACTCTAAATTCTTTTAGTTGCTTCTTCTAATGTTTTACTCTATATTTCTAAAGAATATGCTCATGGAGCTCATTTATTTTGTCATTTTCAGATATTATCTTTTGACTTCCTACTACGAAAAATGAGAAAAAGCAGTATCTACATTTAAAAAATACAAATACATGCAACAAAATCTACTCAGTTGCCTTATTGAAACCACACAATAGGATTTTTTAAAAAGTATGATGCAAATTAATTTAGAAAGTCCATAAATGTTCTGTTGGAACTAATCAGCACAATTCAAAGTTCAAAGCAATGACTTATACTGCATTAAGCTAAGGCTTAACATTCCTTGTTCCTTTTAGATTTATCTATTTATTCATGTGCTTGCATTCAGTTATGAATTAGACACGGATCTGGTTTCATTCTTAAAGAAAAATGTTAGTAACAAATAATTCTGAAAAAGCTCTGCAGTTATAAAGCAAGCTATTTAAAATCAAAAGTCTTACAAGTTTCTTTCCAATTAATATATGTTGTTTCATTTTATAGGAAATTATTTTCATTTTCATCTGGTACTTAACTTACAAAAGTATACTTCACTTCATGAAAAGATCTTTCCAGTATGACAGTAATTAACACAAGAATTTTCTAATTTAAACAAGTCAAATGGAAAAACTCTTTCGGGACATATTAAAAAATGAACATATCAACAAACTTGGGAGTTATTGCTTCATACATATAAATATGTATCTTAACCCAAAGATATATGAAGCTTAGAGATGTGTCAGTATATTGCATATTACACTTGATTTGTAGAAAAAAATAAAAATGTTTATCTGTCACTTTAGTTAACAAACGCGATGGTCCCAAATGTGCTAAATAGTAACATTCTATTAGTCAGTCAGTGCTGACTTAACCACAACTGAACAGCAAGTCTTCTCCTTGGAAAAGATTTCTCATCCCAACAGGACTTTCTACTTTAAATTGTTTTATTAATGACTGCTTCAGAAATATTTAAAGTGGAAACCACATTAAAATACAAATGTTTGAGCTTCTACAGTCAGAGTGACCAAAGGGTATCACAATTTTTCATTTAATTCAAATTCACTTATATTTATAAACATGTACTTAGCATATCCACATCCCAGGAGCCAGGGACAAAACAATAAAACAGACAAGTCCTACCCTGTCATCAGGCAATGTGCTTTATTAACACAGAATAAATTCAGTACTAAAATATCCTTGCAAGGATTACACAAATCGGGGAATGCAAATATTCCCGTTCTTAAAAGGAAACCAAAGATGACTACATTAAGATGCTTTTCTAAAGTTATTGGTGAGGTGTGGTGAACCCATCTCACAAAGCAAAAAACGGTGATAGGGTTACAAAGACATTTCTAGCTAAGATATCTGAAGGCACAGAACATTTTGAAAATCTCTGATCATCCTAAGAATTTAACTGTAGTTCCTGCAAATGTTAACAATCAGTATCATATCATTAGCCACATGATTTCTTATGGTTTGATGAACAAAAGTAGAGGAATTAAAAACAACTATCTTAAAAGATGAGGTAAAATGATCATTTGAAGCTGTGTGGCAGCTCATATTCAGCCACATTTCTTATCTGTTTACTCTGACTGACCTTTTTTTGTTGGTAACGGGGACTAGGCAAAGTTGAAATGAAAGGTTTGTGAGGCAGAGTACATATTCAACTATACTATCTGTTTACTTTGGCTGACCTTTTTTTAAGGGGAAGGGGAAGAAAGAGAAGTATCTGCCTGTGGAAATCTCTGTGCTAATAAACATAAGGATCAAAAAAGCCCATCAGCCACACCAAAGTTAAGACACTTACTAGATAAGGGCAAATCCCATGAGAGTATCTGTGACAAAGATAAAAGGTATTTCTGCATCCTCTGCTTTAAGATTTTAAGTTTACTACAATCCAATTAAAGATCATTTTCCCACTTAACACAATATAATAAAGCTAGTTATCTTATTCTACAATTAAACTAATATCATTAAATAATAACATTAACTAGAAGGTATTTTAGGGTCTTATTTTGCATGAGTAAATACAGTTTGCTTTTTTCTCAAATGTTTTTATTTTGAAAATTACCAACCCACAATAAACCTCAAAGAATAAAATGAACACCCGTATGTCCTTTGTCTAGTTTACCAACTGCTAAAATTTTGCCACATTTGTTTTATCTTTCTCTCTCTACACATACGCATATGAAGGAATATTTTTGCTGAACCATTTAAAAATAAACTGCAGACATCATAATTTGTCTTTGTCATTTTGCTGGTTTTCAGCAACTTTGATCAGAAATATAAGAACATATTTACAGTGACATGACAACAAGTACAAAGTCTGAAGAATATATATGGGAATAAAAAATAAAATTCTGAGTGCCAGATATGGGCCAGGCTCTGTGGGAACAGCCTTGCATATATTGATATTTAAATCTCGTAGCAGTACATCTTATGACTGAGGAAACAAAGGCTCAGGGAGGTTAAGTCACTTTATGAGAGATTAAATGTAACTAAATTACATTAATTATATATTAAGTAATATACAATTAAATTATAATATAGCTAGTAATGGCAAATTCAGGATTTTAAGCTGTATCTCTTTTTCTATTACATCATGCTGCCTCCTTATGAAATAATTTTTTCAACAAATGTGTGTAGGTAATACATAATAATTTAGGGGAAAATTTCTAAATAGGTTGAAATGAAATAGAAGTGGTCACCTGGTAACAGGTTTTTTTTGTTTGTTTTTTTCAAGACAGGGTCTCACTCTGTTGCCCAGGCAGTACAATGTTGCAAACATGGCTCACTGCAGCTTCCATCTCCTGGGCTCAAGTGATCCTCCTGCCTCAGCACCCAAGCAGCTGAGATCACAGGTATGTGCCACCATACCTGGCTAATGTTTTAATTTTGTAGAGGTGCGGTCTCACCATGTTGTCCAGGCTGGTCTCGAATTCCTGGGCTCAAGAAATTTTCCCGCCTTGGCCTCCCAAAGTGCTAGGAATACAAGCATAAGCCACTGTGCCCAGCCCCTCTGGTAACAGATTTGAATCAAATGCCCAGACATATTCAACTTTGTATGGTGACCACTGTCCTGGTTCATGCTGCACCATATTCACTAGGTTCACTCTCCTACTTCACCTTCACAGTGCAATGAAAATTCCTATTCACAAAGCTCCTCAGTGGCTGTAAGCAATATAATTATGTTATTAACGTAATGCTAGGTAAGGCATGAATGATTAATATCTAGCTCTCCCTAAAGTACTTACATTTTAAAATGGGAAACATTATTACTACTAGTATTCTCATTTAAAACATCTGCTAGTTTTTTGAGCTCTTATTATGTGCCAGAGTATTTACAGATACTACTTCATTTAATCCTCTGAACATCCCAGCAAGGTAGATCACAGTATCATTTCCCATATTTCACAACTAGTAAATAGAGGAGTCAGCTTTTCACTTCAAGTATGACTCACTCAAAGGTCTACATGCTCACCCCACTACATAATAGATGTCTAATCTATAGAACGTTTCTAAATATCTCCAAAGAACAGGGATGTGGAAGGACAGAGCTGATTCTAGATAACTTCCTATCCCCAATTCGTACTTCTCTTTCACCTCCAAGGAGCAGAGGGCAACAAAAGGCTAGATGGGGCTGCTTGCTCTTACTGCTGTAAAATAAAATTACCTCACTCTTGAAGACTAGAGCGCTGAAATGGCCTCAAGCCCAAGGAGACAGCCTTCTGTCACCATCCATTCTAGCCTTAATAATGACAAAAGTAGCAAACACTTACATAGTACTTACTATGTACCAGTATTTGTGTATATTAGCTCTTCTAACCATCACAACAATCCCATGTGGTGGGTACTATTAGCATCTCCATTTACAGGGATGGGGAAACTGAGCCATCAAGTTTTAAAATAACTTGCTCAAGTTTATACAGCTAGTAGAAGGCAGTCTGGCTCCAAAGTCTGTGGTCCTACTATGTTACCTGGGAATGTGCCAACCCATAATTACTCTATTGAATATATATCTTCCAGTACTCCCTATTTACATTTGTGACTACATATGTCCCACGATACCAACAAAACTGACAGGCTTAGGGTTCTCCTAGGTGTGTTACTACTTGTCTCCAAGCCTTCATTTTTATCATTTCCTCAAAAAGACATTTCAAACTGTCTATTACAATGGCTGGCAGATAACAGACATTCTGTAAATATGCCTGAATTTTAAAGTAGAGTACAGTTGTACAATTTTGTCACCAAAAAGTAGCTTAACAGTTGAGTTGGAAACATTAATGTTGCTGACATAGGCAGAGAGAGACTCACATCACGCAAACTGTGGCTGAATACAGTTTGACAACACTGAAATTAAAATTCACTTTATATTTTTCTTGCCCCCAAATCCATATGTCTAAAAAAATTAAGTGCTTGGTCTGGCTTATTATTATCAAAGGCCATTAAGACCACTGATAAAAAAGTTTTAAAGGTTATAATATTTATAAAAGTATCATGAAACTGGAGTGTTACTCTGAGGCTAAACTGGTCATTTTAGCTTTATCAATTAAAATCTTCAGATATCTGAGAATTTGCTACAATGTGGAAGACACGGAATGCTGCTCTTCCTAATGAAAAAAACTATGAATTATAACAGCTTTTACTTTTGTTTGGTTGTCATACATACCTGGTTTGCTTTTCTGTTTATGAAATGATCTACTTGGTATGAAACCAAAAACAAGCATTTACAACTCAAATAATGCTTATGCACGGTTGGCACAACAAATGTGGCTTGGCAGGAAGAGAAGTTAACTAACTTAAGGGACAGTATATAGGAAAAAGATAATATGCTAAAATCTACGATGATAACATTCATGGAAGAATAGAAATAATCTACTATGAAACATTTTAACTTTAGTATTATCTTGAGTGAAGTTTAGAAAGAATCAAGATGTATTTTGATAGACTATATTGTCCACCAGCTGAAGGGAGTTCTGATATTCTTCATAAAAGTTGAAGTTTTTATTTAACATAAACCATACTAAACAATTTCCAATGCTATGTTATATATCACTTCTTAGATCTTCATTAGTTATTCTGTGAAATGTAATGAGCTACTACAGAGGTAAAGGTCTTAAAGCTTCTATTATATTTGGTAAATAGCAACATGAATTTCAAATAGAAATATGAAACTTACATTTTCTAAAATATCCACCATATCATCAGTTTTGATATAACACCCACCATATAAACAATTTTAAAATTAAATTTGAAAAATTTACAAACCTAAATATAACAATGGGCAACAAATTAAAAACTTATATTTAAAAAGCTTGTGTTGCAAATATTAGCCATCCAGAGAATCTAAAGGTAGTATCTGTATAGTTATCAGTCCTAAAAATTAAACAGGTTACTGTTGGTCTTATATCTGAAATCTTTTTCTTCTTGTTAAAATGGTTTTCTGACACTAAAAATATCATCAATCCAATCAGATTTAAAATTCTTCAGAGGATAAATTTAACTCATATCACATGGAGTAAAAATCCACCAAAAATGCACCTTTTCTGACCTTTCCAATCAGTGGTCACCACATTCAAATAATGAGACTAGACTCACACAGGCATTAGAACGATTAAAGTCTTATTCTCGACATGTGTTGAGAATTACAAATATATATACATGTAATATAGTCAAAAGTGAAGGGTTTTCAAATGATTTTGGCTTCCTTTTCTATTTATTTTCCTTGTTACAAGAAAGTCTTCGATAATCCTATATTGGAATATGCAATCACTAGCCTCCAGTTACATTTAGCATGGAGGTGAAACAGTAATTTAGTAGCTACAACGAATGTTAAAATTAAAATTATATTTCTAAAAAAAATGATGTTGCTTCTATATACTGCCTGTGAAGCAATGCTCCACTTCGTACTGGGAAAATGTTTACCAATTTTTCAAGAAAAAGGAGAATTCCAGGTTTTTGGCTTGTTTGAATAGGGATAAGTTTCCCATTAACTGAGATAAATAACACAGATAAACAAGCAAAGAAGGAGTTCAGTGTGAGATTCCTGTTTGGACACTCAGGTGCCTGTGTCCAGAAACAGCTGAATATGCAGGCCTAAGGCTCTCAAGAAAGGCCAGACCTGACACAGGGGCTGGAAATTATCATTTAGAACGGGCATGTAAAAAAAGTTCTAAACCAAAGGGAGACGACCAAGTTTAAGGGGAAGAGAAGGAGACTGATTCTATGATGAACCCTAAGAAGGAAGGGTCAGAGGAGAGTAAGAAAAACAAATAAACAAAAAAGAACATGGAATCCTTAGGATAAGGAGTTTCCAGAAGGGAAGGTATGATCGACGGTGTAAAACAGAAAAAGGTTCAGCATGACAAATGCTGACAAGTGGACTGGATTTGGTTTTACAGAGGTCGCTAGTGGCTTTTGCCAGAGCAATTTCAGTAAAGAAGGAGGGACTGAAGCTAGTTGTGCCATTAGGAAGAACCTTAAGTGCCTATGCCTATAAGCTTTCAAAGGTCTACAAAAATGCCTGAGACCTGAACATTTAAATTAAACTTAAAATAATTAAATTTAAAATTAATAAATTAACATTACTAATTGATAAACCTGGCACTCAGAAACATTTCATTCCACTCGGAAACAATTTCTAGGTTAGGGATGTTTCTTTTTTACTTCACATGAATTCCTTAGCAAGCATAATGATTGCCAAGAAGTCATAATCAATCATAAGTGACTTACTCAATCCAAATCACTTCAAAAGCAAAAGCCACAAATCTTTTCAAAATAATTAACCCTATTTAATCAGTGATGTAGATCCATTTTATAGGTTCTAGTGATCCAGGGTAAGACCTCCAACACAGAGTACGCTGGGACAGTGAAGACCTTAAAATGGCCCTGGTGAATGGAAGCTTATGCGGACACTAAAAGCTTGGCTAAGTAAAAAAGAGAGATGTAAGAGAGGAGTTAAAGGCAAATGCAGGATGAAGGAAAATGTTACAGGCTGAGGAAAAAGTCACTAAAGAGTTGGAGACTAAAGATATAGAGAGATATAGGGGGAGAACAGGTCACTTCACGGCGTAAAGTCCTGAAGAAAACAAGTACGAGGGATCAACAGCACACATGTCTAAGGGATCTAAATAACAGGAGGAATGAAGAGGTACAGATTTAGAGAAAATCTGCAGGCCCAGCTTAGAAATTAAGATAATTTGTGCTTGAGTCCCACAATTATTATTATTATTATTATTTTAAAGGTAAGATCTTTTGCTGAATGTGCAGGGAATAGGGTTGGAAAGATGGCTTTAGAAGAGAGGCAAAGGGCCAGGTGCGGGGGCTCACGCCTATAATCCCAGCACTTTGGGAGGCTGTGGTGGGCAGATCACTTGAGGTCAGGAGTTCGAGACCAGCCTGGCCAACATGGTAAAACCCTGTCTCTACTAAACATACAAAGATTAGCTGGGTGTGGTGATGTGTGCCTGTAGTCCCAGATAGTCAGGAGGCTAAGGTGGGAGAATCGCTTGAACCCTGGAGGTGGAGGTTACAATGAGCCAAGATCACACAACTGCACTGCAGCCTGGGTGACAGAGCAAGACTGTCTCAAAAAAAAAAAAAAAAAAAAAAGAAGAAGAAGAGGGGGAAAAGCAATTAAGAATTATCATAGTATTTTCAAGAACGTCTTCTCATATATTTCTTGTAATCACCCTGTGAGCTTGTGAGCACAGATATCACTAGTTGCCATATTACACATTAATAAAAGAAACCTGGACTCTAAGTTATACACGATCATTGATTTCAAATATCTTCTTAACTTTCTGTTTAACTTACGTTAAAGATCTCCTATTATTGAACTATAAATCTCAATTTTTCCAAGTGCTTACAAATATAGCTACAACACCTTTGATCTGGTCTCAGGACCATGACCTAAGCCACCTCCCTCCCCAGGGGCACTAAATATCTATCCCCCGCTCCCTGTCCTTGCTCAGGACTCAGCATTTAACAGTGGAGAGAAAAGTAAGACTGAAAGCCAAAAACTATGATGATTCTGAGCATGGTTTGATACTCCCAAGATTTTCAGAAATGTAGTTGACATCCAGTCTTAACAAACATTCCTGAGAACAAGGCATTTTCCCACAGGGTGTTTAGGGGTACTTAAATACATAAAACAGGGAGTGGTCAGTCACTAGGATTAAGATCAAAATGACAATTCTGAGAAGAAAGTCTCAGTAGTCATTAGATTTTTCTCTTTAATCAGAAACAAAGCACTGAAATGGATTTAAGATGTCCCAATTAAAACTGTTAAGAATACCAAATATGAGATCACCAAAAGATTAATGTCTCATCTCAGTTTATGCCTTCTTGCTTCAAATGCCAGAAAGGTGTTCGAATTCCAAGAACTAGATCCTATATGTGGATATCTTTTTGAATCCATGAGCGACAAAAAGAGAAGATTCCAAGTTCTCTCTTCATACTGCTTAACCTATCTGGTGGATCTGACATTACTGGCCATTCACACCTTGTTGAAAGCCCCTCCTCCCACAGCTTCTGTGACTATTGCATGCTCTAAGGTTTCCTCCTGTTCCTGGTGGGCTGCTCCTTCCTGCTTTCCAACATGAACTCCCTCCTGAAGGAGGGAATTTTTGTTCTTTCTCTACACTTATCTCCCTTTGGCTTATTCATTCTTATGGACTGAATTATCAGTGAGTAAATGGTGTCCAAATCTACATGCACAGCCTTAACCTCCAGCCAGTGATCTAGCTCCACAGTTCCAGTTTCTTCCTTTCTGTTGTGTTGCCATTCGTTAGTTCCCAGGCTGAAAACTTTATAATCACTACTTATTATTTTATATGGAATACTAAAAAACAAACAAAAGCCTGGTTAAAGTACACTTTTGAGAGCTGGGAGCCTCCATGTGATTATTCTTCCCAGCTGTCTGCCCGCTTGTATTGAATGAATCAAGAAAACCAAGTTAAGGCATGAAATACATCTCAAAGCATTGTTGTAATTTATTCTATTAGAAGTACATTTTATACAAACAAAGCTATATAGACTGGGCCATATCTAATACGGACTCAGAAGTGAGGAGAGAGGAGAGTCTAGGCAATGAGGCCATGTAAATCCAAAACTGTTACTGTATTCTTACAAAAACCAATACAGAACAACAAAGAGAACAAATAAAACTACACAAACCTCAGGTCTTCCACACATCCAAACTTCAAATTAACTGTAAGAAGAAAAATCAAAACAGAATCCCTATGAGCTCTCTTCCTTGTTCCAGCTGCAAGCCTGTGTGAATGGCAAGGACAGTGTGGGGAACACTGAATGGTACAGAGAGGGCAGGAGCTAGGACTAGGTCTAACGCTGACCTAAAACCATCATGAGAAAGAGAAAGTGCATCCTATGAGTGAAAATACTGGAAAAAGGCATAATAAAGATTAGATTACAGATTTTAAAGTACACTGGATACAGGGAGGTGATCTTAGAAAGTTGATAGTTTAGGGGTGAAAGAAAATTAAAAGGAAGGAAAGGTGCCAACCTCAAACCATCAACCCTGTCCACAGATATAAAGAGACAAAAAAGTCTTTATTTATTTTTAAAAACACACACATACACAAATAAATGGTTACAAGAATTCCAACAATTCATCTGACAAAAGCTTCCCTCAAAAAAAAAAATAGTGAAGTAGAAAACCGTAACATATTCTAAACTGAATCAAATTATCTTCAAGCAAGCATTTAGGGACATGGAAGAAAAAAAACCAACAAAACCCTTGATCAGGAACTCAAAAACAAAGAAAAGAAGTGGACAAAAACAGAAGAACTGAAACAGACCTGACTGAACTGAAGAAACACAAGAAAAAAGGCAAAATCATTTCACAAATAAACACAGAATTACATTGGGGCCCAAGAAGAGCAGATTCACACAAAAACATAATAAGGGCATTGAGGACAACAGGAAAACAACCAAAAGAATGAAAATGAGATAAAGAAATATAGAAGGAAAAAGTATCAGACAGAAAGTACCTGAGAGAGAAGACAGGTAAAGGAGAGTCCTTTTATACATAATGGGAGTTCCACAGAAAATAAAACAATTAAGTAGAACTATTATTTAAAATTGTAATTCAAAAAACTTTCTAGGAATAAAAGAAGACCCAAATCTATATACTTAAAGAGCTCACTGAGCCTGCAGCAAGAAAAACTGAAATGCAACAAGGGTTCTTTTTCCCCAGGGTCTCGAGGAGGAGGGAAAGGATTGATGGTTGGGGTCGGGGTGGTGCCAAACAACTTACAAGTAAAAGAGAGTTAGACTGGCATCAGAATTCTCAAAAACGACATAGAAAGCAAGATAAAAACATAGTAGCATTTTCAAAAACCTCAAAGAAAGAAATGTAAATCAAGGAGTTTATATTCAGCTAAACTATCCTCCAAGTAGGAAAGCTACAGAAAAATAGTTTTAAACATATGAGAGTTCATGAGAATTCTATGCCCATCAGTCCCTCTTGAGAAATCTATGGCATTTCCTGAAGATAAACTGCATCAGATAATGAGGGAAACTTAGGAATAAAAAACTGATAATGAGCACTTAATATATTTAATTATACACTTAAGACTAAAACAAAGGTAGAAACTAAGTAAAAATATATCATATGATATGTGCTATATGTTACATGTTGCATGTTCTAACAAAGCATAAATGAAACAAAATTTGATGGAAAAGGGAAAAAAAAGCGAAAGTAGAACAAGTTCACTGGTTATTATATAAGAAATAGGTGGGATTTCACAAAAATATAATGAAAAACTCACAACCAGGCAATAAACGGTTAATTTTTTTCAGAAAACTTATGAAGGCATTTAAAAAGTTGTAACACCAAAGGCAACCACTAAAACATATAAAAACTTACCTAAATGTCAAAAAAAATTTGTCAAAGAAAAAAACACAACAAAAAAGCACATCACACACAGAAACATAGCAAATAAAATACAAATAATAATCATAACATAAAATATGACACATTCGATGCTAAACATTTTTATCAAGAAATATGAAAGAGTTAAACTTACATATTCTAATAAAAAGACTATTTGTTCACTAAGCGAGATCCTAATATATACTCTATACAAAAACATACCTAGAACAAAATGGTTCAACAAAACTGTTTAAAAATAAAGGTATGGGGGTTCAAAATACACAAATCAATAAACATAACCCATCACATAAACAGAACCAATGACAAAAACCCCATGATTTTTGATGCACAAAAGGCTTTCGACAAAATTCAACACCCTTCATGCTAAAAACTCTCAATAAACTAGGTATTGAAGGAGAGTATCTCAAAATAATAAGAGCTACTTATGACAAACCCACAGCCACTATCATACTGAATGGGCAAGAGCTGGAACCATTCCCTTTGAAAACCGGCACAAGACAAGGATGCCCTCTCTCACCTCTCCTATTCAACATAGTATTGGAAGTTCTGGCCAGGGCAATCAGGCAAAAGAAAGGAATAAAGGGATTTCAAATAGGAAGAGAGGAAGTCAAATCGTCTGTGTTTGCAGATGACATGATTGTATACTTAGAAAGCCCCATCGTCTCAGCCCAGAATCTCCTTAAGCTGATAAGCAACTTCAGCAAAGTCTCAGGATACAAAATCAATGTGCAAAAATCACAAGCATTCCTATGCACCAATAATAGACAAACACAGAGCCAAATCATGAGTGAACTCCCATTCACAAATGCTACAAAGGGAATAAAATACCTAGGAATCCAACTTACAAGGGATGTGAAGGACCTCTTCAAGGAGAACTACAAACCACTGCTCAAGGAAATCAGAGAGGACACAAACAAATGGAAAAACAATCCATGCTCATGGATAGGAAGAATCAATATCGTGAAAATGACCATACCACCCAAAGTAATTTATAGATTCAATGCTATCCCCATCAAGCTACCATTGACTTTCTTAACAGAATTAGAAAAAAACTACTTTAAATTTCATATGGAACCGAAAAAGAGCCCATAAAGCCAAGACAATCCTACAAAGCTGGAGGCATCACACTACCTGACTTCAAAGTATACTACAAGGCTACAGCAATCAAAACAGCATGGTACTGGTACCAAAACAGATATATAGACCAATGGAAGAGAAAGGAGGCCTCAGAAATAATGCCACACATCTACAACCATCTGCTCTTTGACAAACCTGACAAAAACAAGCAATGGGGGAAGGTTTCCCTATTTAATAAATGGTGTTGGAAAAACTGGTTAGCCATATGCAGAAAACTGAAACTGGACACCTTCCTTACACCTTATACAAAAATTAACTCAAGATGGATTAAAGACTTAAATGTAAACCCAAAACCATAAAAACCCTAGAAGAAAACCTAGGCAATACCATTCAGGACATAGGCATGGGCAAAGACTTCATGACTAAAGCACCAAAAGCAATGGCAACAAAAGCCAAAATTAACAAATGGGATCTAATTAAACTAAAGAGCTTCTGTACAGCAAAACAAACTATCATCAGAGTGAACAGGCAGCCTACAGAATGGGAGAAAATTTTTGCAATCTATCCATCTCACAAGGGGCTAATATCCAGAATCAACAAAAAAAAAACAACCCCATCAAAAAGTGGGTGAAGGATATGAACAGTCACTTCTCAAAAGAAGATATTAATGTGGCCAACAAACATATGAAAAAAAGCTCATCATCACCAGTCATTAGAGAAATGCAAATCAAAACCACAATGAGATACCACCTCACAACAGTTAGAATGGTGATCATTAAAAAGTCAAGAAATAACAGATGCTAGAGAGGATATGGAGAAATACGAAGGCTTTTACACTGTTGGTGGGAGTGTAAATTAGTTCAACCATTGTGGAAGACAGTGTGGTGATTCCTCAAGGATCTAGAATCAGAAACACCATTTGACCCAGCAATCCCATTACTGGGTATATACCCAAAGGATTATAAATCATTCTACAATAAAGACACATGCACACATATGTTTATTGCAGCACTGTTCACAATAGCAAAGACTTGGAACCAACCCAAATGCCCATCAATGATAGGCTGGATAAAGAAAATGTGGCACATATACACCATGGAACACTATACAGCCATAAAAAATGATGAGTTCATGTCCTTTGCAGGGGCAGGGATGAAGCTGGAAACATCATTCTCAGCAAACTAACACAGGAACAGAAAACCGAACACCGCGTGTTCTCACTCATAAGTGGGAGTTGAACAACGAGATCACATGGACACAGGGAGGTGAACACCACACATTGGGGCCTTTTGGGGGGTGGGGGACTAGAGGAGGGATAGCATTAGGAGAAATACCTAATGTAGATGACTGGCTGATGGGTGCACCAAACCACCATAGCACGTATATACCTATGTTAACAAACCTGCACGTTCTGCACATGCATCCCAGAACTTAAAGTATAATAAAAAAAATTTAATCGGCCGGGCGCAGTGGCTCACGCCTGTAATCCCAGCACTTTGGGAGGCTGAGGCGGGTGGATCACGAGGTCAGGAGATCAAGACCATCCTGGCTAACACGGTGAAACCCCATCTCTACTAAAAATACAAAAAATTAGCCTAGCATAGTGACGGGTGCCTGTAGTCCCAGCTACTCGGGAGGCTGAGGCAGGAGAATGGTGTGAACCCAGGAGGCGGAGCTTGCAGTGAGCCGAGATTGTGCCACTGCACTCCAGCCTGGGCGACAGAGCCAGACTCTGTCTCAAAAAAAAAAAAATTTAATGAAAGAATTGAAAATATGATAAAACAAAAAAAAAGGTATGGGGAAAAGCATATCTGGAAAGTAAACACAGTATGAAAGCGAGGGCAATGATTCTGATATGAGACAAGGCATAACTGAAACAAAAAGCATTAACTGTGACAAAGAAGGATATTCTTTAATGCTAAAAGTCTCAATTCACCATAATATCTACATACCAGAAACACAGCATCTGTTTCTATAAAATCAAAACTACAAAAGATGCAGGGAGATATAGAAGCCTGCTAATGATAGGAGATTTTAACATACCACTCTCAGTAACATACCATTCTCAGACTAAGTGGACCAATAATAAGAAGGGATACAGAAGGCCTAAACAACATAATCAATTTGTAAGCTTATGATTATATACTGAACTTTACAGCCTGAAAATGGAGACTGTACATTCTTCTGAACTGCAAATGAAACATTCACAAAAACTGATCATTTATTAGGTTCCACTTCCCCCAAATTTCAATATGTTCCATAGAACAGAATGACTAAAATAGTATTCTCTGATTTTAATGCAATAAAAGTAGAAATTATTAACAAATTTTTTTAAGTTAAAAGGCATTTTCATATGGAAACTAAATAATTTCCTATTATACACCTCTTGGAAGAAAAGGCAAGTATAAACAGAACTTACAAATGTTTTAAAATGATAATGAAAACATTATATATCAGAATCTATGGGCTATAGTTTGAATAATAACCAGAAAAAAATTTATAGCCTTAAATACTTTAACAAAATGAAAGAATAAAAATAAATTCCTATCTCAAGAAGCTGAAAAAAAGAACAACAAAAAGAAAGTACCAAAAAGGAAATAATAAAAATAAAAGCAGTGATTAATAAAAAAAAAAAGTTCTTTTTTTTTCTTTTTTGAGACAGAGTTTTGCTCTTGTTGCCCAGGCTGGAGTGCAATGGCACGATCTCGGCTCACTGCAACTTCTGCCACCTGGGTTCAAGCAATTCTCCTGCCTCAGCCTCCCCAGTAGCAGGGATTACAGGCATGTGCCACCACGCCCAGCTAATTTTGTATTTTTAGTAGAGACGGGGTTTCACCATGTTGGTCAGGCTGGTCTTGAACTCCTGACCTCAGGTGATCCACCCGCCTCAGCCTCCCAAAGTGCTGGGATTACACGCATGAGCTACTGCACCCAGCTGAAAAAAGTAGTTCTAATTGATAAATTAAAATTCTGCCTGCTGAAGAAAAATAACAAAATAAACATACCACTAGATATTCAAAGAACTTATTAAAGATACAAAATCAGAAATAACAAGAGTAAAACAACCAATGAAAGAGAAGAAATCCTACAACATTCCTTTATAGACTTTTTTTTTTTTTTTTTTTTGAGGCAAAGTCTCACTCTGTCACCCAGGCTGGAGTGCAGTGGTATGATTTTAGCTCACTGCAATCTCTGCCTTCTGGGTTCAAGCAATTCCACCTCAGCCTCCCAAGTAGCTGGGATTACAGGCACCTGCCATCATGCGTGGCTAATTTTTCTATTTTTAGTAGAGACAGGGTTTCACCATGTTGGCCAGGCTGGTCTTGAACCCTTAACCTCAGGTGATCTGCCCACCTTGGCCTCCCAAAGTGCTGGGAATACAGGCATGAGCCACTGTGTCCACCCACTTTACAGACACCTCTACGAATAAATTTGAAAACCTAAAAGCAAGGGACAATTTCCAAACTTGATCCCGTTAGAGATACAAAGTTTAAACAGACTCACTTCCATGAAAGAAATGAAGTTATCAAGAAAGTACTCCACAAAAAGCACCATGCTCCACTAGTTTTGCAGAGCAATCCTACAAAGGATTCAAAGACCAAATAGCCTCAATGCTGTACAAGTTGTTCCAGAGCTTTGGAAACAAAGGAAAATTTCTTAATTCTTTTTATGAAGCAAGTAAAACACAGACACATTAAACAAAACGAGAAAAGAAAGAAAACTGCAACTAATATCACCTTTGAATATTGACGCAAAAGCTTTAAATAAAATATTAGCAAACACAATTCAACACCATGGTGAGAAAATGATACACAAAGAACGTGAGAGACTTACTCCAGGAATGCAAGGTTGGTTCAATCCATTAATATAATACATCATAGCCATATCTCTAAGAAGAAAAATCATGATTATCTCCATAAATGCTGGGAAAAAAAGCCTTCAACAAAACTTAAGACCCATTCCTAATTAAAAAAACTCAAGAAAATAGGAATTCATGCATACTTTCTTAGTATGACAAACAAGTAAACATATATAATTTGCATTAAAGTCAGAATCTTATTTTTAATAGAGAAACACTAAAGGCGTTTGTACTCATATCAGGAATCAGACATTCTCTATAAACTATTTAGCACTGTATTAGTGGTATTTGTGGAGGGAATTTTAAGAAAAATCAATTAGAGGCATCAGAATTGGAAATGAAGGTGTAGAACCACCTTTATTTGCAGGTGATAAGATCATACATCTGGAAAACCTTAATGAATCAATGATCTTTAGAAGGCAGAGAAACAGGTACTCTCAAACATTGCTACTGAGTATCAAAATTGGCATATTCCTTATGGATGGGAATTTGGTAATATCTAACAAAACTACATATGTTTACCTTTTAACTCAGCAATCCCACTTCTAGGAATACCAGACATTAATTCTCTAGTAACACAAAGCTATCATTCACTGTGGCACTGTTTATTTACAAAACATTGAAAACAAGCTAAATGTCCATAGATAGGAGGGTAGCCAAATAAACTATAGCACATCCACACAATGGTGTATTATGCAGAATGAGAATGATCTCTTTGATACAGAATGATTTCCAGGATATATTTTAGTGAAAATCCTGGAAACCTTTCTGAATATATCTTTATGTACATCTTGACTTTTGAAACCATGTCAATGTTTTGCCTAGACAAAATCAACAAGGATGGGAGGAAAACCCTAAAATTGAATACAAACAGAAACAAAGGAATCAAACCATGTTTCAAGTGAATAACATAACCACACTCTAACAGAGAAGAGGAGAATTAACCTAAGTAACTTCTGAATATAGTATTCAAACTAAAGACAAAAAAAACTCTAAGCAAGTGCTGAGCTCTAATTAGTAAGATTGTTTTTTTCAAAGGTATGGCTTTGCAATTCTGAACTACTTTCTAAGCATTACAGGGTTTAACACATAAGAAAATATATTGTGAATAAAATGGAAGTCAAGAGTTACAAATTTGGAAAGGGAAAATAAATCCTCTGTGGTATGGAACTGTAACTGGAAGTATAAATAGAGACCCACACCCACACACACTCTTATCTAGATATCCATGCACATATATACACATACATGTTCATATATCTACATTCACAAAAAATCATACACTCATGTTCATTGTTTTTTCATCTAAGCAATCTTAGCCTTACGACTCATATAATTAGACCTGAAGAAATGCAATTTCCAAATTTCTATATCTAAATTTAGAATATATTGGCTATGCCATCTATAGTGTAGGAAAGTGTTACCATAGGAACATCTATTAGAAAAGATGGCTTTTAAACAGAATAGCCAGGCTAATATTTGAAGAGAAAAAATTTACTCATATATGTGACTGGATCACGAAAACAGGAAAAATATAATATTAATCCTAG
Source organism: Homo sapiens (assembly GCF_000001405.40). NCBI lineage: Eukaryota > Metazoa > Chordata > Mammalia > Primates > Hominidae > Homo > Homo sapiens. The sequence continues at coordinate 136,872,385 of NC_000006.12, read as the reverse complement.
TAAATATTTAAATGTACCCATCTCAGATTATTTTCATGTTAGTAAGAGTAATCATATTATCTCTTATAAAAGTTGCAAAGATGCAAATGTTACCTGGTATTTCACAATGAAATGTATTAAAAACCACTGTACCTTACAGTAAAATCATACGAGCAAGAGGCCAGCACAGAAGCATGAAATGGTGAAAACTACAAAAAAAAAAAGAAAAAAAAAACCCTTTTTGAAGTCAGCTGTGATTATAACACTGCTTTCTATGATCATTCCATAAACATTATAATAAATTTAAGTTGAGTCAGAGCTGTCACTTAAAATTATGCTTTTTCAAAGCATATATGCTATAATTTGAGGCAAAAATCTTCTGGCCTTATAAGTATCCATCTTCAGGAAAAATATTTTTACATTCTCCAAAGAAAATTATCCCTCAAGCTTTTTAGAACTTATTTAGAATAAAATATTCCCAAAATGTTGCTATTCTGGAAAAATTAAATACAATTTCATATTGGCTATCCAAAAATGATTCTTACAGGCCAGATGCAGCAGCTCACACCTGTAATCCCAGCACCTTGGGAGGCTCAGGAGGGCAGATCACCTCAGGTCAGGAGCTCGAGACCAGCCTGGCCAACATGGTGAAACCCCGCCTGTACTAAAAATACAAAAGTTAGATGGGCATGGTGGCACATATGCCTATAATCTCAGCTTCTGGGGAAGCTGAAGCAGGTGAATTGCTTTAACCCAGAAGGTGGAGGTTGCAGTGAGCCGAGATCATGCCACTGCACTCCAGCCCCGGCGACAGAGAGAGACTCTGGCTCAAAAAAAGCAAAAGCAAACAAAGTAATAAACAAAAATGATTCTTACAAATATAAGGGATTTAAGTATATAAGAGTACAAATATATAATTATATAATTTACCAATTTTACAAATATATGATTGCTATAATCACGTTATCAAAATAAACATTTAAATGTTAAATAAAAACACCCTTAAGTTATTTTTACGTTATTTGTATATTACAGCTAATGGAAAATTATATCAAGGGTAAAAAGCAAGTTTAAAGACAAGTAACGTCTTCTAGATGAGTAATAATGTACTTAATAAGTTGACCTTTGCAATTACATTTCTTCAGTGTTTGTCTTATCGCACTTTAATAGTTAAATACACATATATAACTACATTTGACCAGCACTTAGTTTGCAAAGTACTTTCACTACATTACCTTATTTCATTCTCATAATCACTCTAAAATATACATAGAGCATATTTTTCAACTGCTAAAACTTGTCCAATTAAACAAATTTATTAAAAAATAAAACAGAGCACTGTGTCTCCTATGTTGCATTGCAGCCAGAGAAACTTAAAATATTAACTTAACTAAAAATTTAGAATTTTTGGCCAGGCACAGTGACTCAGCCTGTAATCCCAGCACTGTGGAAGGCTAAGGCAGGCAGATCACTTGAGGTCAGGAGTTCAAGACCAGCCTGGCCAACACTGTGAAACCCTGTCTCCACTAAAAATACAAAAAAATTAGCCGGGCATGGTGGTGCACACCTGTAGTCCCAGCTACTCAGTAGGCTGAGGCAGGAGAACAGCTTGAACCCAGAAGGCAGAGGTTGCAGTGAGCTGAGATCGTGTCTGGGTGACAGGGCAAGACTCCATCTCAAAAAAAAAGAAAAAAAAATTTAGAATTTTTTAAATAGTAGGAATAACATAATTACCTTATTAAAATAATCAATAAGGTACTTTTTTATCCTTAACGTAAAAAAACAAAAGGATGAAATTGGGAGATGTCACTTAATAAGATGTTTTCCACAGTCATTTAGCAGAACCTGCCTAAATATAAAAGCCAGGAAACCAACCTAAGTCATCTTATAACCCAGATAAATTTACTGAGACCATCATTAAAAATTTACCTCATCCTCTGCTGTTCACAGAGTAGAAAACTTTCTATATCCCAAACATCTGTGAACAGTCATGTATGTTATCATGTTAGGAAAAAGAAAGAATTAACCATCTCTTTACATCTGTTTCAACAAAGTAGAGACTCTCGCTAATTAGAAACTTATAAAGAACATAATACTAAAAGTGAATTACTATAGTTAAAAAAATATATTAAAGGAAAAACAGATTGGAGGTGAAAGAATGAGAAAAAGATTTTTATTTAACCTTAAGTATTGAATGTCTACATTGCCCAAATTCATTCAATCATTATTCAAATATTTTTGCCTAATTTTAGCTTTCACTACTAATTAATTGGGTAACAAAAACACATATAAAAAAGAATTAGTAACTCCAATCCCTAAACCCAGAACACTTTTTAATATACACTTCATTGATTATATTTATATAATTTTATTCTACATATAAAAGAAAAGATGAAAACTTACTTTCACCCTCCTAATAGCATAGGTATGACCAAGAAGTTCAAACACTGGTTGTCGTACATTCCTTAAGTCCCAGCCTCTCAAACTACAGTCAACCGCCCCGGTCACCAGCAAATTCTAAAAACAATTCAGAGAAACATAAACTGTGACATCTTTGCAATTAAACAGTATGCAGGCTTTCCTACTAGAAACAACATCTGCTTTCTGATAACTATTTAATATGAACCAAGGAGTCATTTTTGAGAAGTTGTATAACAAGTATAGACAGGAATCAACATAGACATTAATAGCAAAAAACTAATATGACTTGTGAGAAAAAGAACTCAATATGCTTTATGTACACGATGGAACACTACAGACAGCTGGAAAAGGCATAGTTCCAAACAGCATTGTGGATTTTCTAATTCAGCTTTAGAAGCGGCAGTAAATACATAGGGGATTAAAAATTTTATCTGACAAATGAGCCCAGCTTTCTCTTCAAAAGGTTTTCCCTGGAATTCCAGCACCTTGGGAGGCAAAGGTGGGAGGATCACTTGAGGCCAGGAACTTGAGACCAGCATGGACAATAAAGCAAGACCCTGTCTACCCAAAAAATTAGCCAGGCGTGGTAACACACACCTGTAATTTTAGCTACTTGAGAGGCTGAGTGAGGCAGGAGGATTGTGTGAGCCCAAGAGTCAGAGGCTACAGTGTGGTATGATCACCCCACTGTACCTCAGCCTGGATGACACAGCGAGACCCTGTCTCTAAAAAAAAAATAAAAATTTAAAAAAGGTTTTCAAGGCTGGGTGCGGTGGTTCACTCCTATAATCCCAGCACTTTGGGAGGCCAAGGCCGGTGGATCACTTGAGCCCAGGAGTTTGAGACCAGCCTGGGCAACAGTGAGACCTCATCTCTAAAAAACAAACAAACAAAAAGGGTTTCAACATACTCTGAGGTTTTTCCAGGCATTAAAAGGCAAGAGGTCTGTTCATTTAGGCACATCTGAAAAAGCAAAGGCTATGAATTAAATTTTTCCATGTTCTCTAAATCTAAATTAATCATTGTTTCCAACTCTCTTGGACCAAAATTCTTAATACGATATCTAATCATATCCAAGAATGTAATCAAATAGTGGTGAGTCTCTTATCTATTCCGGCTTTACAAATTCTGCTATCTAGAGCCCCAAGTGAACCCAGAGGTCCTGGCTGAATAGGACAAGTGCTGGGTCCACACTCAGTCCACCCCACATAACTCAGAACAGCAATGGATTTAAGTTGGCGCAAAAGTAGTTGCAGTTTTTGCCATTGAAAGTAATGGCAAAAACTGCAACTACTCTTGCACCAACCTAACATTGTCTGACTATGTTGGGCTTTAGTTTAAGCTAATTTGAAGAAAAGTTTCAGTTATTAGAAAATAATTTTTGTAAATCACTCTCAAATGTCTATCAGCATCTTTCTTTAGAGTTCCCAAACATCTAACATACAGGCCATAATTAATTTTCCAATATGAAACATTCATTTATGAGTTTGAAACTATAGTCATCAGCATTGAAATGTTTAGATTGAGTAATATCATTGTATATATACTATATTTTAACTTATTTTACTTATTTTTATTTAAAGAACTCTGCCAATACAATGTTCTTTTAACTTTAATTAATTTAAAACTGGGAAAAAAACAAAGCATACATTTTACCTATTTGTCACGGTCAACAGACCACTTCAGGGACATAAATACAGTCATGCATCACTTAATGATGGGGATATGCTCTCAGAAATGTGGCATTAGGCAATTTCATCTTTGCGTGAACATCACAGAGTGTACTTACACAAACCTAGGTGGTACAGCCTAGTACACACCCAGGCTAGATGAAACAGCCTATTGCTCCTAGGCTACATGCCTGTCCAGCATGTTACTGTACTGAATACTGTAGGCTACTGTAACACAATTGTAAGGCTTTCTGTATCTAAACATAGAAAAGGTATAGTAAAAATATAGTATGGAAGATAAAAAATGGTAGTAGGGTCCTTACCATGAATGGAGCTTACAAAACTGGAAATTACTCTGGGTGAGTCAGTGAGTGAATGAGTAGTGAGTGAATGGAAAGGCCTAGAACATTACTGTACACTAAATTTATTTTTTATTTCCTTTCTTCAATAATAAATTAACCTTAGCTCACTGTAATTTTTTGCTTCATAAACTTTCTAATTTTTTTTAAAGTTTTTTGTTGTTGTTGTTGTTGTTGTTTTGAGATGGAGTCTTGCTCTGTTGCCAGGCTGGAGTGCAGTGGCGTGATCTTGGCTCACTGCAGCCTCTGCCTCCCAGTTCAAGCGATTCCCCTGCCTCAGCCTCCCGAGTAGCTGGGACTACAGGCGCCTGCCACCATGCCTGGCTTTTTTTACTTTTTGACTCTTCATAATAACAAAACTTAAAATATAAACACATTGTAGAGCTATACAAAAATATTTTCTTTCTTTATATCCTTAGTTTATAAGCTTTTTTCTATTTAATTTTTTTTTTTACTTTTTAAACTCTTTTTTTAAAAACTGAGACGCACACATATTAGTTTAGGACTACACTGAGTCAGGATTATCAATATCACTGTCTTCTACCTTCACATCTTGTCCTGCTGGAAGGTTTTCGGGGGCAATAGGAATTTTTCAGCTCCATTATATCTTACGGGCCCTGTCACATATGCAATCTGTCACTGGCTGAAATGTTGTTATGCAGTGCATGACTGTAGTATATTAACACATATTTAATCCATTTCTATCTCTGATTCATACGCTCATGTGGTTAACTGAAGCTTTAAAAAAGTTGCACATGGACACTTATCTTACAGAGGCATGAAAATTGGTTAGGCTTAAAAAGGAAGATAAAACAGAAAAATTTAAAAACTGATGGACTGTCAAATTAAAAATCAAATTACAATAGTTCAACAGCCTGACTAGCAAAGTGAGAAAGAAATAAAAGCAAAAGATGATACAAAATTGCAGGGTTAAGAGCAATAAAGAAAAAAATTACATAAGGCAGCTTCCCAAAACAAACAAGTAAGCCTGCACTGTTGAACTTTGAGAATTTCTGTTTCTTATTTTGCCCGTTTCATGAGCACTTAAATCCAATTAATGCTAATGCAGGTCAGTCACAATCATTAATTAGAAAGGAAAGGGACAGAATTTAACTTAATGGTCCAGGAACACCACCAAAGTCCACATAAACAAAGACAAATAAAATTCAGAACATTTTAACATTAGGAAGGACAGCAGCATAGGATAGAGCCATACACTATACCTCATTGTATTTACACCAGTCACAACTCAAGATTTCTGCCTGATGTGCAGGAATCACGATTCTTACTCCTGCTGCCTTCACATCCCATATTCTCAGAGTCTGATCACCTAGTAAAAAGGAAGACTTGATCATTTCCCATCACACCACTTGAATGTGCAGTGACATAATGTGTTCACAATAATAAGTCAAGTAAAAATACACTGCTTTCAGTGTTAGGATATTGCCACCTTCAGACTTATTTTTTAAACCATAATAATGTATAGGAACTATTCAAATGAAGGAATACAAAAAGTGACGTTGCACCGTGATAATGCTATTAGGAGGAAAATTTGAATCTCACGCTGAGATAAACACAGTATTGACTAAACACACAGCTGGTGTGTGTTCGAGGCAGGAAAGGCCCTGAAAATTCTCGTGTTAGGAAATAAAGTGATCACTCTGTACCAGTGTATTGTACTAGAAACCAACAATAGAGTAACAATTTTACTGCTAAAGGCGGGCAAAGTCTACCAAGCCAAAATGGAGAATTTTTTACTTTTCATTGTCAAGTATACTATATTTTAACGGGCCAGCTATAAGTGTATTTTTCTCCTCAAAAAAAAAAGCTAAAAAATTTTATTTATTTATTTTTATGTATTTATTTATTTATTTCGAGACAGAGTCTCACTCTGTCGCCAGGCTGGAGTGCAGTGGCACGATATCGGCTCACTGTAATCTCCGCCTCCCAGGTTCAGGTGATTCTCCTGCCTCAGCCTCCCGAGTAGCCAGGACTACAGGTGCACACCACCACGCCCAGCTAATTTTTGTATTTTTAGTAGAGACGGGGTTTCGCCATGTTGGCCAGGATGATCTCGATTGCCTGACCTCGTGATCCACCCGCCTCAGCCTCCCAAAGTGTTGGGATTACAGGCATGAGCCGCAGCGCCCGGCCTATTTATTTATTTTGATATTTTTTTGAGACAGAGTCTTGCTCTATTGCCCAGGCTGGAGTGCGGAGGCACGGTCTCAGCTCATTGCAACTTCCACCTCCTGGGTTCAAGCAATTCTCATGCTTCAGCCCCCCAAGTAGCTGGGATTACAGATGTGTGCTACCACGCCCAGCTAATTTTTGTATTTTTAGTAGAGATGGAGTTTTAGCCAGGCGTGGTGGCTCACGCCTGTAATCCCTACCCTTCGGGAGGCCAAGGTGGGCAGATCACCTGTGGTCAGGAGTCTGAGACCAGCCTGGCCAACATGATGAAACCCTATCTCTACTAAACAAAAAATTAGTTGGGCGTGGTGGTGGCGGGTGCCTGTAATCCCAGCTACTGGGGAAGCTAAGGCAGAAGAATCACTTGAACCTGGGAGGCAGAGGTTGCAGTGAGCCGAGATTGTGCCACTGCACTCCAACCCAGACAACAAGAGTGAAATTCTATCTCAAAAAAATAAATAAATAAATAAAGAGTGAGAGAGATGGGGTTTCACCATGTTGGCCAGGCTAGTCTCGAATTTCTGACCTCAGGCAATCTTCCCACCTCAGCCTCCCAAAGTACTGGGATTACAGGTATGAGCCACCATGCCTGGCCAACAAGCTAAAAACATTTAAAGATTACACTTTGCATTATTACAAAAACAGTTTGCATTACTTAATTGCACAGACACCCAATTAAATGTTTTACATGTTGTTTGCCTCCAGTTTTTCTAAACTATGAGGAAACAAAAGATGACAAGATGAATAAAATCCAGAATATATATACCTACCTCAAAAGTAAAATATAAACAACTGATGATGTGAGAAAACCAGTTCCATGTAATGAAAAGCATGTAGTTTCTGGCATGATAGCAGGTGGGGACTTGAATGCCATTTTGTGGTTATAGGATACATACCCTGCATAGGATACGTAATATCTCTGAGACTGATTCATTCTAAAGGAGACACAGAATGCCCAACATGCAGCGCTGTCTAAGAATTTCATCACGTTTCTGTAAAGCACCTAGCATGGTCTCTAACACATACTAGAAACTGCCAAATACGGTATATAAAAATGCTAAATTTTTAAAGTATCTTTCACTTATCTACATATATTTTCCTATATTCCCAATTCTAAATCATATATTGTTAAGCTAAATTTAGCTATCCTAGGCAATTTTTTCCTGGCTTCTTCGGAAGTTGCTTAAGAAAGATAAGAAATGTGTTGGCAGTAATGAAATGCAGAGGTTAAGAACAGGGCCTTTGGAGTTCCTGAGCTTGGTTCTAATCCAGCTCAATCATTTGGTGGCCACTGATGCTTAATCAAGTTATTTCGCTGATCTTCAGTTTCCTACCTACAATAAAATAACTGCCTTGTAAGGCTGAAATGAGACAAGGTAGTAGCATGAGTACGGTGCCAGATACGCAAAAGATATGCAGTAAGCTCTCAATATGTGTGTTTTTTTTTTATGAGAAAAAATACCCATGATTAGAAGTTATTTATGTCCCCCCAATAATAACAACATGAATAATAGTTAATATTTGAGTGCTTCCAATGTGCCACATACTGTTCTAAGCATTTTATACATATTTTTTCTAAAAACATCACAACTACATAAAGTAGGAATTTGGAGATATAAAAGTAATTGTATAGTACTATACAAATGAGGAATATAGTACTATACAAATGCAGCATATAAAGATGAAATAACTCACCCAGGATAGTAAGCAACAGAACCAGGACCTGGAACCAGAACCCAAGGAGTCTGGGTCCCCAGCATGCACACTTTACAGCTTTACAACTACACTGCGCTGCTGCCTCCTTGTGTTGCTGGACGACAAATGCCATACAATCAATGTTGGCTAATTCTGGAGGAATTATTTTAATTCTTTTAATTTCCAGGCTGGAGTGCAGTGATGCGATCTCAGCTCACTGCAACCTCCACCTCCCAGACTCAAGCAATCCTCCCATCTCAGCCTCCCAAGTAGCTGCGACTACAAGCGCACACCACCATGCCCCTGCTAATTTTTCTATTTTTGGCAGAGACGGGGTTTTGCCATGTTGTCCAGGCTGGTTTCCAGCTCCCGAGCTCAAGCAATCCACCTGCCTCAGCCTCCCAAAGTGAGGGGATTACAGGTGTGAGCCACTGCATCCAGCCCTGTATTACTTTTTCTATAAATCGGAGAAAAATTTCTATTATATTTTCAATACCACTTCCCATCCTCCCTGCCCAGAGGCCACAACAGTCATGAATTTGGTCCACAGCCCTTTAGTTTGCATTTTGGTAATACTTTTATTATATTTTTATGGATCCATAAATACGTACTACTACTGCTTTGTATGTAGGATTTTTTTTCCTTTTTTGATTTAAAAATACTGTCCTGCTACATTAAAAAAAGGTTGAAAACCACTTTGATAGATGAGAGTAACAAACATTTTTGGACCTAGCTAAGGATGGTACCTCCGTCCATAGCACCTCATTCCTTGCTCAGACCACAGCTGACAGGCCAAATGGGGGTACTTGGGATTTTTCTTACTACAACTGAAAAATAATGTCAGTCCCTCTTCTATGGCAGAACTGACAAGTTATAAAATTCAGGACCCACTAGTGACAACATATCTCATTGTGAAAAATGAATGATAAGTTTGAAAGTACCAAAAGGAAATTGTTCAGAATTGGTACAGGTTAGAGCTTCAAATAACTCCAACGGCCCTCATTATAATCACTGTCTGTGGTCTAGCCACCAGTCAGTAGAATCTGCTTCTAGAATTCCAAATAGCTTTGATGAAATGATCTCTCATGACTTTCTCCAGCCTTCAGTGTATAATGCAGGGTGACGTGGATGTCCAGTGTTTGGCCTGCCCAGAAATACCCTTTTTCTAGGAACAGCATGTCCTTTTCTCACCAAGTGATTCTATAAAGACTTACACCTCAACACAATTGACTGACCAAAGGCAGGTCCAGGCAAGACCAACCACAGTACCTCATTCCCTGCTTTGACTACAGCTGAAAGGTCAAAGGCAGGTACTTGGGATTTTTCTGAACTATAACTGAAAAAATAATGTCTGTCCTCTTATGGTAGCATTTACAACTTATAAAATTCAGGAGGCTGGGCATGATGGTTTACACCTGTAATCCCAGCACTTTAAGGGGCTAAGGCAGGAGGATCACTTGAGCCCAGGAGTTCGAGATCAGCCTGAGCAACATAGTGAGATTCCAGCTCTACAAAAAATTTAAAAATTAGCCAGGCATGGTGGCACACACCTGTAGTCCCAGCTACTCTGGAGGTTGAGGTAGGAGAACTGCTTGAGTCCGGGAGGTCAAGGCTGCAGTGAGCCATGATCGCACCACTGTACTCCACCCTGGGTGACAGAACAAGACCCTGTCTCAAAAACGTAAAAATATGGCCAGGCACAGTGGCTCATGCCTGTCATCCTAGCACTTTGGGAGGCTAAGGCAGGTGGATCACTTGAGGCCAGGCGTTTGAGACCAGCCTGGCCAACATGGCAAAACCCTGTCTCTACTAAAAATACAAAATAAATAAATAAATTAGCCAGGCATGGTGGCACACGCCTGTAATCCCAGCTACTCAAGACGCTGGGGCATAAGAATTACTTGAACCCCAGGGGTGGAGGTTGCAGTGAGCTGAGATCACGCCCCTTAACTCCAGCCTGGGCAATGGAGCAAGTTTCTGTCCCCCCAAAAAAAAAACTATATATATATAATATATATATATATAATATATATAAAATATATATATATAAATACAGAAAAAATATATATATATAGCTTTGATGAAATGATCTCTCATGACCTTCTCCAGCCTTCAGTGTATAATGCAGGGTGACGTGGATGTCACGCTGCATTATACACTGAATATATATATAAACATAGTGAATTTATATATATTTATATATATATAAATTCAGGAGCCACTAGTGGCCATGTGTCTCACTGTGTGGAGAAAGCCAGTCTGCAGAGCCAAGTCAACAAGTAGAGAAAAGTCCAGATGAGAAACAGAATGTGTCCTGGGGCCTTTCAAACAGCCCTTCCCTTTCTGGAGTATGCTTTTTAACAAATTTCACAAAGATCTAACATAGTCCCAGTTCTATCACTTGCAGGCAAAGGAAATCACTCTTTATCATAAGGGAGCGAAGGGTATTCTCCTAAAGCGTCAGTCTCCTGAAACTAGCTAAAAAAAAACCATTTAATTAAGCTCGAGGTTTCCATTAAAACATACAAAATGCCTAAATAATATATACTAACTTTCAGGAATTTATATCTAATACTAGGTTAAAAGTATAAATTCTGCTATAGCTATAGCATTGTCTCAAGATCAATGAGCTTGGGTTCACCCTAATAAGATATGAGTATGTGAACTGACTTAAAGTACCAAAACAGGTCAGGCATGGTGGCTCACACTTGTAATCCTAGCACTTTGGAAGGTCAAGGCAGGCAGGTCGTTTGAGTTTAAGAGTTCCAGACCAGCCTGGGCAACCGTGAAATCCTGTCTCTACAGAAAATACAAAAATTAGTCGGGCTTGGTAGCATGCACCTGTAGTCCCAGCTACTCAGGAGGCTGAGGTGGGAGGACTGCTTGAGCCTAGGAGGCAGAGGCTACAATGAGCCAAGACTGTGCCGCTGCACTCCAGCCTGGGTGATAGAGCCAGACTCTGTCTCAAAAAATAAAAATAAAAAAATTTAAAAGTACCAAAACATTACAATGAATGCAGACTAGGAGATTAAGAACTGTTATTGTAGGAATAACATGGATGAGTCTCACAAGACATAATGTTGCATGAAAAAAACCAGTAACAAAGGTATGAAAATGGGCAACATTAATCCATGTTATTGGAAGGCCACACAGTGGTCACCTGGGGTGGGACGTGGTGAGAAGCGACTATAAGGATGGGAGGAGGCCCTCTGGGAACATTCTGTTTCTTCACCTGGGTGCCAGTTACAAGGATGTGTTCATTGTGAGAATTCACCAAATTGTATACTAAGATTATGCACTGTTCAATATGTGTATTATACTTCAATAAAAGATTAAAAAACACAATAACAAAGGTTGGGAGGTTTTGTTCCACACCACCACTTTCTTTCTTTTTTTTTTTAATTATACTTTAAGTTTTAGGGTACATGTGCACAACATGCAGGTTTGTTACATATGTATACATGTGCCATGTTGGTGTGCTGCACCCATTAACTCGTCATTTAACATTAGGTATATCTCCTAATGCTATCCCTCCCGCCTTCCCCCACCCCACAACAGGCCCCGGTGTGTGATGTTCCCCTTCCTGTGTCCATGTGTTCTCATTGTTCAATTCACACCACCACTTTCATGCAATATTTAAAAAAAAAAAAAAAAAAAAAGAGCCATGGCTTGAGCTGTCCCCTCTTGCAGTTAATTTAATGGGCACAAAAATGTGAAGACTGCTGGGCAGGAGCTGAGAATTCCACTTCCTTGACAGCAACTCCTGATGTAACCATTTGGCACTTCATCCTCGCCATTTTGTTTTCCAGGTAGGAAGGAGACCTAATGACCAAATGGTACAATGACTCATTCAGCTCTTTCAGCTGCCAGGACTTCTGTATTTATATTGTTTTTTCAATTGAATTTTCTAGACAACTGGCCTTTCATTGACAGGCAGACATTTATCAGGGCCCTGTGATGGTGCCATAGACTCACCTGAATTGCCAGCTTCTCTTATCAATTGCAGACCTGCCACTGACAGAACCAGTGAATTTTTTTTTCTTTTTTTTTTTTTCTGAGACAGAGTCTAACTCTGTCACCCAGGCTGGAGTGTAGTGGCTCACTGCAACCTCTGCCTCCAGGGTTCAAGCGATTCTCCTGCCTCAGCCTCCCAGTAGCTGGGATTACAGGCACCCGCCATCATGCCTGGCTAATTTTTTTGAGTTTTTAGTAGAGATGGGGTCTCACCATGTTGGTCAGGCTGGTCTCAAACTCCTGACCTCAAGTGATCCGCTCACCTTGGCCTCCCAAAGTGCTGGGATTACAGATGTGAGCCACTGTGCCTGGCCAGAACCAGTGAATTTAAATGTACAATATGGGCAAGGAAGTGCTGGCTGTTACTATGTCTAATTTCAAATTGCAGCAGGTACGAGGAAGTTGCATAAGGAGAATGAGTGTAAACATAAGAGTCTAAAACTGGGAAGTGAACTGAGTAGCAAAAGGGTACTTTGGGGCCAATATAACTTAACCGAAATGCCTTGTGCCTCTCAGATGTAATATGACTTTTTCTTACAGTAGAACGAGGTTTGCTTTAACTACTGGATCCCACACATTCAGGCATGGTTATGACTTACGCAACTAGATGGAGTCTGTGACAGCAATAATTTAGTTTTCATGATTCCAAAGATAATTTACTTCATATTAATCCTCTTCATAAAAAGAGCTCAAATATTCTTCCCTTCTATCTCATATAATTTAGAAATATGATGTCTGTACTAACACAACTATCATGAATTAGGCAAAATGCAATGTCTTTAGGCAACTCTGCTATGGAAGGTAAATCTAGATCTACTGGTAGTTCTCTAAAAACTTCCCCCATTTTGGCCTGTCTTAGCTTATCTAATGGTAACTAATTTGATGCTAGATTTGCAAAACTATACAACTTTGAAGATGACTAAATTCTTGGAGCAAACTAAATGCTACGTTCTCATATATTATCTTAAAATATAAATTGTTGTAATCTGTTGAAAGATATACTTAACTACATGTGTGCAACAGGATTAGACATAAAAATACATCTTGACTGCCTATCACATAAGCTTCCACTATGAAAAACAAGTATTTTACAACTATGGGTTCCACACTACAAACTTTGCAGTTGGGATTACTTTATGCAAAGATTATGTTATGTTTTATAATAAACACTCGTCCGTAAGCAAGAAGACAAAGCAAGAGAATTAATAAAGATAAACTCACTAGCAAAACTGAGAAAAAACTAAGCAGTTCTCCAACTAAAGCAACCACTTCTCTGAATTCGGCACTGAAACCATTCTGTAGATTTTTAAAAAAAGAGTTGAGTATATTCCTTTGAAAACAGACATGCAATTCCCATTACCTCAAATAGAACTAAGCTGTCAATTTGGCATCTCAAACACAGCTATTCCATAGACTAGTACAGTGCTTCCCAAATTGGGCTGTTCACTAGATTCAGCTGGGATTTAAAAATGTATCTCCCAGGGGTATTCTGTCTTTTTATTCAGCAAGACTTAAGATGAAGCCCACAATTCTGCTGCTGTTTTTTAATGCTCTCCCAATGGTTCTGATGATTAGCCAGATTCTAGAATCGCTGGACTAGTATGTTACTATACAACCATGCTTTCCAGCGTCTACCTAGAGCAAATTACCCTAGAGCTCCAAGAGTTTTAGCTCTTAGATAAGCACTAACTGTCCACTGTTACAGCACATATACACTGCAAAGGCCATTCTGATGGTCCTCAAGTATGCTCTGTTCTCTCCATGTTCCAACTTTTGCCTCCCACTTCCCATTTCCTCTTACTTGTCCATAAGGCAGCAGCTTAGACTATTTCTTCAGGGAAGTGACCTGACCAGCCAACCCTGACAAGCTCAGGAATCCATTTATACATTTCCACAGAATTCTGGGCACACGTGTTAATAATAACAGGTAATACTTAAGGTCGGGTGCAGTGGCTCATGCCTGTAATCCCAGCACTTTGGGAGGCTGAAGGCGGGAGGATTGCTTGAGCCCAGGAGTTCTAGACCAGCCTGGGCAACATGGTGAAACCCTGTCTCTACCAAAAATACAAAAATTAGCTGGGTGGTGGCGCACACCTGTGGCCCTAGCTAGTAGGCTGAGGTGGGAGGATTGTTTGAGCCCAGGAGGCAGAGGTTTCAGTGAGCTGAGATGGCACCACTGCATTCCAGCCGGGCAACAGAGCCAGACCCTGTCTCAAAAAAAAAGAGGTAATGCTCACAGAGCTTTTACTCTGCCAGTCACTGTTCTAACTAAGCCCTTTATGCACATTAGCCACTTAATCCTCCTCAAAACTCCATGATGTGGATACCATTATCACCCTGATTTTAGAAATGAGGAATGAGGAGACAAGAGGTTTAAATGGCATGACCAAAGAAAGTCTCCTAACAGCAGGAAAGTAGAACTTGATCTGAAGCAGTCCAGCTCCAGAATCCTTGTTCCTGACCACTGTGCTATATTACCTCTCCTTAAAGAACTTCACAGTCTTCATCACTAGCTGCTTCTAGATTTTGTCTTAGCATTCCTCTTTCCTACTGGACTATATGCTCTAAGAGTGCAGGAACTCCATCTGTTGTCTTCCTCACTGAATCTCCAATAAATGATGGACATTCAATAAATATCTGACTGACTCACTAGCAGCGTCCTTCTCAACAATCAAAATGAACTCAGTATGTTTTAAAAATTTGAATAAGATGGTTACTCCCATATCTTATATAATAACTATCAAAAATATTTTCGTGTTTGGCTATGTAAGGCATTCGGCTATGTAAAAGAATACACAAGTGTTATAGGAAATGTATGAAAACAAGTGAAGCAAAGAAGATCTAAGCACTGCATTTGCTTACAAACGCATGGTACACAGCCCAGTGAGTAAATGTTCTTGTCTCTGAAATGGCTAAGGCACAGTGAGAGTTTTGCAACTTGCATTGACTTTTTACTACACCCCAACTCATTCCAATATTTTTGCAGAGTGGAAGAAGAACTTTGAATCTTTTAAAAAGTACTAAGTAGACTAATATTTGTAAATCACCACAAAGGATTATTTCAGGAAAATGGCAAATGTTTGAAAAATCAATCTTCCAATGAGTTCCCTAAGTCATAAAAATTGGTAGAAAACAGCTTTACTGTATCCATTTCACAAGGAAAGTTTTTGAAGAACATATGTTAGAGCTTACAGGTCCAGTACTTGATTTTCATCAAATCCCCTCTGATTTATCTGAAGCCTTAGATGTGCAGCCAATTTAGTGAATACTGGCCCCTTCGACTCCATCCACCTACATTCACCTAATCTGGATTCACTCTTTCCATCCTCAATCCATGTTGTTTGGGTAACACCCTCTCTCATTTTCCATTCCCAACTGCAGGGACTAACCAAGCCTAAGCCAATCAAAATATTGTATCCCCCTCACCCACACACAGTGATTAGTTCAGGAACATCCACAAGGACGCATCAGAGCCCATGACAGAAAATGAAACAGTCTGGATGTCTGAGAAGGAATCTTTCACTTTCTCCTACTGGACAGAAACCAGAAAAGAGGTAGGTGTTGGAGCTACTACTATCTTGCCATCATGTGGTGCCTGATACCCTGATTCTGAAACCAGCACAACAGAAGACAGAGCCCTACATTCAACCATGCCTATAAAGCCAGATTTAATTCTGAACTTTTCACTTATGTGAGCAAATAAGTTATCTTCTTCCTTAAAGCACTTTGGGTCAGAATTTTTTTTTTTTTTTTTTTTTTTTTTACTTTCAACCAAAGAAGTCCTGGCTGATATGACCAAGATTTATATTAATTTCTAACACAACATATGAAGGTAATGTAATGAAACAGGGGTCTTCTACAGAAGCAAACAGTCATTCTGTTGATAAAAGATCACTTTTCTACTACCCACTTACACTGTACAGATAGTTTGAAAAGTGAAGTGTTGTGATTATAGCAACACTCTAGAAACAATTCATCTTCTGTTATTCAGTCTCATACAGTGCATATTCTACAGCACTATCCAGAGTCAATGCTATGTATTCCATGCTACACAAAGACCAATGTAAAAAGAAGAGGTGTGTGACTCAGCTCAAATGAAGGGCTAATACACACAATTCTGACTGACGTCCAAAAAATGCAGCTGTATTAGTTTGTGATTTTGTCACTATCAGATTTATATTTGGTCATACGCATAAAGAGAACAATGATTAAAAACAAATCAATACCCTCTTTCCACTTTGCCAACTGGATGTATGTCTTTACTGGTCATTCCAGTGGGGCAAACGAAATATCCTTTTTAAAACTCAGGCAAACTGGGTGTTTGTCATGGTCATGTATCCTGTCAGAGAAAACAAACTGAAAACAAACAAACAAACAAAAATGCCCAAATCAAGGCAAATTTAGAACCTTAAATAGGCCGGGCACGGTGGCTCATGCCTATACTCCCAGCACTTTGGGAGGCCAAGGCAGGCGGATTACCTGAGGTCAGGAGCTTGAGACCAGCCTGGCCAACAAGGCGAAAGCCCGGCTCTACTAAAAATACAAAAATTAGCCGGGCATAGTGGCACGTGCCTGTAATCCCAGCTACTCGGGAGGCTGAGGCAGGAGAATCGCTTGAAGGTGGGAGGCGGAAGTTGCAGTGAGCTGAGATTGCACCATTGTACTCCAGCCTGGGGGACAGAGACTCCGTCTCAAAAAAAAAAAAAAGGAAGAAGAAAAAGAAAAAGAAAAGAACTTTAAATAATAACAAACATCAACAAGATTACATAAAATAGAAAGGTAAGGAATTTTTTAAGACCTATCAATTGTTCAAGGAATTGTACTTACTAATACTTTTCCAAATATACAAAATTATATTCTCATTATTAATTTTAGTTTACTGTGTATGTTGCCAATTAGAGCTCCCAGCAGGTAAGTCTTCACTGTTTCACTAGAACAGAAGCATGCTTCAGTTCCTTTTTTTTTTTTTGAGACAGTCTTGCTCTGTTGCCCAGGCTGGGGTACGGTGGCGCTATCTCGGCTCACTGCAATCTCCACTTCCCGTGTTCAAGTGATTCTCCTGCCTCAGCCTCCCAAGTAGCTGGGATTACAGGTGTGTGCCACCATGCCCGGCTAATTTTTGTATTTTTGTAGAGACAGGTTTCACCATGTTGGTTGGCCAGGCTGGTCTCAAACTCCTGTTCTCAAGTGATCCATCTGCCTCAGCTCCCAAAGTGCTGGGATTACAGATGTGAGCCACCATGCCTGGCCTCAGTTCATTTTTGAGGTGGATCTATTCTACACCACTAATTCAATCTAGAGTTTGAAATGACTCCTTTGAAACTGTAGGATATAAGGCCAAAAGGCATCCCTCCCCTAAGAAAATAATGCTAATGTCAATCTAATTCACATCCTTACAAGAACTTTAATTCGACTTGGACTAATACTCTCTGTGGTAGAATCTTTCACCAACGGTAAAATTACAAAATGGTAACAGTATAAACCAGTAAACTGAACTGTGGTCAACTTACAGATCCGATTCACTATAAGCACAAAACTCATTACCATTTATACTAAATTAAAAACACAGGCCAGGCGCAGTAGCTCACACCTGTAATCCCAACACTTTGGGAGGCCAAGGCGGGTTGATCACCTGAGGTCAGGAGTTCGAGACCAGCCTAGCCAACATGGTGAAACCCTGTCTCTACTAAAAATACAAAAATTAGCTGGGTGTGATGGCGCACACCTGTACTCAGAAGGCTGAGGCAGGAGAATTGCTTGAACCCGGGAGGCGGAGGTTGCAGTGAGCCGAGATTGTACCACTGCACTCCAGCCTGGGCGACAGAGCTAGACTCTGACTCAATAATAATAATAAAAACATAAAAGATGATTAACTCAAGTTATACATGTAAATGAAAGGGTTAATTGATTCAAATTAAATATATTAATATTGCTACCACTGACTTAATGCACACTCAGCCTTACTAACCGTAAAGGTTAACTATGTTACAGAAGGATAAAAGACCAAAGAAGGATGCAGGCTTGGGAAAGGCAACATAAGAAGAAAAAATATATTACTGGTCCCATCCCAAAAGACTTCATATATTAGAAAAGATTTAATTCAGATTATGGACAAAAAAAGCTATGACTTAGCTTAAAAATTCAAAAAATAATAGTTTATAACCTTATAAGTCGACAGTGTGTACTGCTCAACATTCTAGAAAAGAAAGCTATTAATTTTTATCAGAGAACAAAAATATTTTTTCTTAAATTAACTATGCCTCTATACATAGGCATTACTAGTATTCATTATTAGGATCTCAAAAAATTACATAATCTTTCACCTCAGTCATGCTCCCTGTAAAAAGAAAGTTGCATAATCTAAATGGATATACTTGTCTGTATATAATTTACCTGAAGGTTTCCATTTCTGAGTATTTTCAACCTAATAGTACTTTCACAATTTAGGATGGTTTGGTCATTTTTTACTTTTAAAATTAAAAATAATGAAATAAAATGGGAAAAAAGTGTGTGATATTATATTTCCTAAGAAAGCCAATCAACATAATTCAACAACTCAGGGCATTGGTATAGTTTATTAGCAAGAAAGGAACAATTATCCTACCTATTGTCTATCTTTGGATGCTGCATAACTGAAAGAGGAGACACTATTAGGAGCACCACCTCCTCCTCTAGCTAATGTCTTCTGTTCTCTACTAAACAGCCAACTGCACAAAAGAGTTTCCACTTCTTACTCTCTCCTTGAGGATTTATGCCAGAGGTCAGCAAACGTTTTCTGTCAAGGGCCACAGGCGGTAAATATTTTTGGCTTTGAGGACCTTTCAGTCTCTCTCACAACTACTCAACTCCACCACTGTAGTGTGAAAGCAACCATAAACAATATGTTAATAAACGGGCGTAGCTGCATCCCAATGAAACTATTTATAAAAACCATCAGTTTTCTACATATGGCTAGCCAGTTTTCCCAGCACCATTTATTAAATAGGGAATCCTTTCCCCATTGCTTGTTTTTCTCAGGTTTGTCAAAGATCAGATAGTTGTAGATATGTGGCATTATTTCTGAGGGCTCTGTTCTGTTCCATTGATCTATATCTCTGTTTTGGTACCAGTACCATGCTGTTTTGGTTACTGTAGCCTTGTAGTATAGTTTGAAGTCAGGTAGTGTGATGCCTCCAGCTTTGTTCTTTTGGCTTAGGATTGACTTGGCGATGCGGGCTCTTTTTTGGTTCCATATGAACTTTAAAGTAGTTTTTTCCAATTCTGTGAAGAAAGTCATTGGTAGCTTGATGGGGATGGCATTGAATCTGTAAATTACCTTGGGCAGTATGGCCATTTTCACGATATTGATTCTTCCTACCCATGAGCATGGAATGTTCTTCCATTTGTTTGTGTCCTCTTTTATTTCCTTGAGCAGTGGTTTGTAGTTCTCCTTGAAGAGGTCCTTCACATCCCTTGTAAGTTGGATTCCTAGGTATTTTATTCTCTTTGAAGCAATTGTGAATGGGAGTTCACTCATGATTTGGCTCTCTGTTTGTCTGTTGTTGGTGTATAAGAATGCTTGTGATTTTTGTACATTGATTTTGTATCCTGAGACTTTGCTGAAGTTGCTTATCAGCTTAAGGAGATTTTGGGCTGAGACGATGGGGTTTTCTAGATAAACAATCATGTCGTCTGCAAACAGGGACAATTTGACTTCCTCTTTTCCTAATTGAATACGCTTTATTTCCTTCTCCTGCCTGATTGCCCTGGCCAGAACTTCCAACACTATGTTGAATAGGAGCGGTGAGAGAGGGCATCCCTGTCTTGTGCCAGTTTTCAAAGGGAATGCTTCCAGTGCTTCCAGAAAGCTGAAACTGGATCCCTTCCTTACACCTTATACAAAAATCAATTCAAGATGGATTAAAGATTTAAACGTTAGACCTAAAACCATAAAAACCCTAGAAGAAAACCTAGGCATTACCATTCAGGACACAGGCGTGGGCAAGGACTTCATGCCCAAAACACCAAAAGCAATGGCAACAAAAGCCAAAATTGACAAATGGGATCTAATTAAACTCAAGAGCTTCTGCACAGCAAAAGAAACTACCATCAGAGTGAACAGGCAACCTACAACATGGGAGAAAATTTTCGCAACCTACTCATCTGACAAAGGGCTAATATCCAGAATCTACAATGAACTCAAACAAATTTACAAGAAAAAAACAAACAACCCCATCAAAAAGTGGGCG
The DNA here is from genome assembly GCF_000001405.40 of Homo sapiens. NCBI lineage: Eukaryota > Metazoa > Chordata > Mammalia > Primates > Hominidae > Homo > Homo sapiens. The sequence goes on along the minus strand of NC_000006.12, from coordinate 136,851,826 downwards.
AAGGACATGAACAGACACTTCTCAAAAGAAGACATTTATGCAGCCAAAAAACACATGAAGAAATGCTCATCATCACTGGCCATCAGAGAAATGCAAATCAAAACCACTATGAGATATCATCTCACACCAGTTAGAATGGCAATCATTAAAAAGTCAGGAAACAACAGGTGCTGGAGAGGATGTGGAGAAATAGGAACACTTTTACACTGTTGGTGGGACTGTAAACTAGTTCAACCATTGTGGAAGTCAGTGTGGCAATTCCTCAGGGATCTAGAACTAGAAATACCATTTGACCCAGCCATCCCATTACTGGGTATATACCCAAAGGACTATAAATCATGCTGCTATAAAGACACATGCACACGTATGTTTATTGCGGCACTATTAACAATAGCAAAGACTTGGAACCAACCCAAATGTCCAACAATGATAGACTGGATTAAGAAAATGTGGCACATATACACCATGGAATACTATGCAGCCATAAAAAATGATGAGTTCATGTCCTTTGTAGGGACATGGATGAAATTGGAAACCATCATTCTCAGTAAACTATCGCAAGAACAAAAAACCAAACACCGCATATTCTCACTCATAGGTGGGAATTGAACAATGAGATCACATGGACACAGGAAGGGGAATATCACACTCTGGGGACTGTGGTGGGGTCGGGGGAGGGGGGAGGGATAGCATTGGGAGATATACCTAATGCTAGATGACACGTTAGTGGGTGCAGCGCACCAGCATGGCACATGTATACATATGTAACTAACCTGCACAATGTGCACATGTACCCTAAAACTTAGAGTATAATAAAAAAAAAAAAAATTAAAAATAAAAAAAAAATAAAAAAAAAAGACAGCAGAAATAAATATCTTTAGACAATGCAAAAAAAAAAAAAAAAAAAAACCATCAGTTTTGATCTGAGGGCAGTAGTTTGCCAACTTGTGCTCTATTCCAAGGTTTCTTTGACTTAGTCTTTCCTAGGTGCTCTGATTTACTGCAATGGCTTTAGTTACCAATTCTAAGCCAATGATACAATTTTTATTCATGAGGCCAGAGTTCTCAGCTCCAAGCTCAACCTGCTCATTGACAAGCAGATGCGTGTCTCACAGGTTCTGAAACAGTGTTGTAAAACAAAACTCAAGACCTTCTCTTTCAAACATGTATCATATCTCAGTTATAACATTACCATCCATGAATTTGTCCTTGCCAGAAATCTAGGAATTATTCTTTAGGAGTTGGAATCATTGAAAAGTAATCTGAACCACAGCTAACTCTTGTCAAGAGGTTGATGAAGTAAAGTCCTAAACATGGAAAGGAATAATCGGTACCAGCCACTGCAAAAACATGCCAAATTGTAAAGCCCATCGAGGCTAGGAAGAAACTGCATCAACTAACGAGCAAAATAACCAGCTAACATCATAATGACAGGATCAAATTCACACATAACAATATTAACCTTAAATGTAAATGGGCTAAATGCTCCAATTAAAAGACACAGACTGGCAAATTGGATAAAGAGTCAAGACCCATCAGTGGGCTGTATTCAGGAGACCCATCTCACGTGCAGAGACACATAAAGGCTCAAAATAAAGGGATGAAGGAAGATCTACCAAGCAAATGGAAAACAAAAAAAAAAGCAGAGGTTGCAATCCTAGTCTCTGATAAAACAGACTTTTTTTTTACAACAAAGATCAGAAGAGACAAAGAAGGCCATTACATAATGGTAAAGGGATCAATGCAACAAGAAGAGCTAACTATCCTAAATATATATGCACCCAATACAGGAGCACCCAGATTCATAAAGCAAGTCCTTAGAGACCTACAAAGAGACTTAGACTCCCACACAATAATAATGGGAGACTTTAACACCCCACTGTCAACATTAGACAGATCAACGAGACAGAAAGTTAACAAGGATATCCAGGAATTAAACTCAGCTCTGCACCAAGCAGACCTAACAGACATCTACAGAACTCTCCACCCCAGATCAACTGAATATACATTCTTCTCAGCACCACATCACACTTATTCCAAAACTGACCACATACTTGGAAGCAAAGCACTCCTCAGCAAATGTAAACGAACAGAAATTATAACAAACTTTCTCCCGGACCACAGTGCAATCAAACTAGAACTCAGGATTAAGAAACTCACTCAAAACCACAGAACTACATGGACACTGAACAACCCGCTCCTGAATGACTACTGGATACATAACGAAATGAAGGCAGAAATAAAGATGTTCTTTGAAACCAATGAGAACAAAGACACAACATACCAGAATCTCTGGGACACATTTAAAGCAGTGTGTAGAGGGAAATTCATAGCACTAAATGCCCACAAGAGAAAGAAGGAAAGATCTAAAATTGACACCCTAACATCACAATTAAAAGAACTAGAGAAGCAAGAGCAAACACATTCAAAAGCTAGCAGAAGGCAACAAATAACTGAGATCAGAGCAGAACTGAAGGAGATAGAGACACAAAAAACCCTTCAAAAAAATCAATGAATCCAGGAGCTGGTTTTTTGAAAAGATCAACAAAATTGATAGACCACTAGCAAGACTAATAAAGAAGAAAAGGGAGAAGAATCAAATAGACACTATAAAAAATGATAAAGGGGATATCACCACCAATCCCACAGAAATAAAAACTACCATCAGAGAATACTATAAACACCTCTATGCAAATAAACTAGAAAATCTAGAAGAAATGGATAAATTCCTTGACACATACACCCTCCCAAGACTAAACCAGGAAGAAGCTGAACCCCTGAATACACCAATAACAGGCTCTGAAATTGAGGCAATAATTAATAGCCTACCAACCAAGAAAACTCCAGAACCAGACAGATTCACAGCCGAATTCTACCAGAGGTATAAAGAGGAGCTGGTACCATTCCTTCTGAAACTATTCCAATCAATAGAACAAGACGGAATCCTCCTTAACTCATTTTATGAGGCCAGCAGCATACTGATACCAAAGCCTGGTAGAGACACAACAAAAAAAAGAGAATTTTAGACCAATATCCCTGATGAACATCAATGCAAAAATCCTCAGTAAAATACTGGCAAACTGAATCTAGCAGCACATCAAAAAGCTTATCCACCAAGATCAAGTTGGCTTCATCCCTGGGATGCAAGGCTGGTTCAACATACACAAATCAATAAATGTAATCCATCATATAAACAGAACCAAAGACAAAAACCACATGATTATCTCAACAGATGCAGAAAAGGCCTTTGACCAAATTGAACAGCCCTTCGTGCTAAAAACTCTCAATAAACTAGGTATTGATGGGATGTATCTCAAAATAATAAGAGCTATTTATGACAAACCCACAGCCAATATGATAATATTTACTGAATGGGTAAAAACTGGAAGCATTCCCTTTGAAAACTGGCACAAGATAGGGATGCCCTCTCTCACCACTCCTATTCAACATAGTGTTGGAAGTTCTGGCCAGGGCAATTAGGCAGGAGAAAGAAATAAAGGGTATTCAATTAGGAAAAGAGGAAGTCAAATTGTCCCTGTTTGCAGATGACATGATTGTGTATTTAGAAAACCCCACCGTCTCAGCCCAAAATCTCAAGCTGATAAGCAGCTTCAGCAAAGTCTCAGGATACAAAATCAATGTGCAAGAATCACAAGCATTCCTATACACCAATAACAGACAAAAAGAGAGCCAAATCATGAGTGAACTCCCATTCACAATTGCTACAAAGGGAATAAAATACCTAGGAATCCAACTTACAAGGGATGTGAAGGACCTCTTCAAGGAGAACTACAAACCACTCCTCAACGAAATAAAAGAGGACACAAACAAATGGAAAAACATTCTATGCTTATTGATAGGAAGAATCAATATCGTGAAAATGGCCATACTGCCCAAGGTAATTTATAGATTCAATGCCATCCCCATCAAGCTGCCAATGACTTTCTTCACAGAATTGGAAAAAACTATTTTAAAGTTCCTATGGAACCAAAAAAGAGCCCACATTGCCAAGACAATCCTAGGCCAAAAGAACAAAGCTGGAGGCATCAAGCTACCTGACTTCAAACTATACTACAAGGCTACAGTAATCAAAACAGCATGGTACTGGTACCAAAACAGAGATCTAGACCAATGGAACAGAACAGAGCCCTCAGAAATAATGCCGCATATCTACAACTATCTGATCTTTGACAAACCTGAGAAAAACAAGCAATGGGGAAAGGATTCCCTATTTAATAAATGGTGCTGGGAAAACTGGCTAGCCATATGTAGAAAGCTGAAACTGGATCCCTTCCTTACACCTTATACAAAAATTAATTCAAGATGGATTAAAGACTTACATGTTAGACCTAAAACCATAAAAACCCTAGAAGAAAACCTAGGCAATACCATTCAGGACATAGGCATGGGCAAGGATTTCATGTCTAAAACACCAAAAGCAATGGCAACAAAAGCCAAAATTGACAAATGGGATCTAATTAAACTAAAGAGCTTCTGCACAGCAAAAGAAACTACCATCAGAGTGAACAGGCAACCTACGAAATGGGAGAAAATTTCTGCAATCTACTCATCTGACAAAAGGCTAATATCCAGAATCTACAAAAAACTTAAAAACAAATTTACAAGAAAAAATCAAACAACCCCATCAAAAAGTGGGCAAAGGATATGAACAGACACTTCTCAAAAGAAGACATTTATGCAGCCAACAGACACATGAAAAAATGCTCATCATCACTGGCCTTCAGAGAAATGCAAATCAAAACCACAATGAGATACCATCTCACGCCAGTTAGAATGGCGATCATCAAAAAGTCAGGAAACAACAGGTGCTGGAGAGGATGTGGAGAAATAGGAACACTTTTATACTGTTGGTGGGACTGTAAACTAGTTCAACCATTGTGGAAGACAGTGTGGCGATTCCTCAAGGATCTAGAACTAGAAATACCATTTGACCCAGCCATTCCATTTACTGGATATATACCCAAAGATTATAAATCATGCTGCTATAAAGACATGCATATGTATGTTTACTGCGGCGCTATGCACAATAACAAAGACTTGGAACCAACCCAAATGTCCAACAATGATAGACTGGATCAAGAAAATGTGGCACATATACACCATGGAATACTATGCAGCCATAAAAAAGGATGAGTTCATGTCCTTTGTAGGGACATGGACAAAGCTGGAAACCATCATTCTGAGCAAACTATTCCAAGGACAGAAAACCAAACACCGCATGTTCTCACTCATAGGTGGGAAGTGAACAATGAGAACACTTGGACACAGGATGGGGAACATCACACACCGGGGCCTGTCATGGGGTGGGGGAAGGGGGGAGAGATAGCATTAGGAGATATATCCAATGTAAATGATGAGTTAATGGGTGCAGCACACCAACATGGCACACATGCACACACATGTAACAAACCCGCACGTTGTGCACATGTACCCTAGAACTTAAAGTATAATAATAAAAATAAAAAAATAAAAATAAAAAAAGAAGTAAAGTCTTAAGAACACAAAAGAATAGTAATATTCTCCTGTTTTCTCTCTGAAGCTAAGGTACACAGCGCCACCTAATGGTAAAAACAAGGCCACCATTCACTACAAGTAAGGCTTTTGGTAAATACAGAATAATTTACCTGAGGCTGAAGCAAAACAACCAGGGATGTGGGGAGACCAGATTGTGCTATAAATAATACTTTCATGGCCTCTAAAGGTGCACAGAGACTTTCCAACAGTTGGATCCCACTACAAATAAATGAATAGATCAATTACTTGAGGGATAAATTCAAATTTATGCTTTTACATATACTACATACACCAATAAACTATATACATTTATATATATGCATACAATATATATACAGATCTCAAGGATTTTTAAAGATCTGTTTTGATATAAAGCAAGACTGTATTTAAGGGCCAAACTAATGCTGAGCTAACTATTAGTTCACAGCCAAAAGATTAGAAAATTTTAAGTTCTAATAAGTGTTTTAATTTTTTTTTTAAAAGAAAGCTCAGCTGTCGAATCATAGAGCTACAGAAGTATGTTGGAAAAAGAGAAGAAAATTTAGTGGAAGCTCTAGAGAAGGGAATATTCGTTTTTGAATACAATAATGCTAACATACCAATTTGACAGTTTGATCCCATGAGCCAGACACCACAAGCTGTTCACCTCTGGTTTGGCTCCAATCAACACTATACACCTAAAAACATTGAAAAGTGTTTAGAAAGCAAAAGACCATCAAGTTCAACATTGCATTTTATCTCTTGTTACATAACAATGAGAGGCAGAACAACTAATTTACTATGTCAAAACATCAAATAATTCCTATCCATCTCAACAAGGTGTCTGAGAAATGAAAAGTTGATCTTGTCCATTCCTCCAGACTTATTCCTTACAGATAAGACTCCATTCTGCTTTCACAGAATTCTACAGTATACTTCCAAACCTTCTTCACTAAAACAAATTATACATATTTTAAAACCTACCAACAAATCACTGTTTGCAGCCCCACGAAGAAATGTCAAAGCAGATTAGAAAGTTAGTCATCTAAAAAAGCTTGCTGGGTCAATGTTTATTGGAAAGCATTAAAATTCAATTAATATCCCTATCTGGCCTTTCTTAGAAAAAGCTTGCAGGAACCAGGTGATCCTTCCAGATCTCTTGGTAAACAGTTTTAGTTATCCAATGCTGCTATTCTAAAGTATATGCTTCACTGCTCTCAGTGAACCATTTCAAATGAACTACTTGAAAACTTTTGGAAATGTTTTCATTCTTTCATTTTATACAACAGATTATACACAGATCACTGCTGTAAACTAAGTTCAACAAAATATGTGCATAATTATACTTTATGAAATTAGTCCTGACAAGGACCTGAGTATATGCCATTGGTATATCACATTGGTGATCAGCCAGCAGGTTACTTTGAATCTTACTACTCTCTCCCACATATACGTAGGAAGTATGAGTATCTGGGCTTAAGCCGCTTACATGTGGGTTACTTTCTCTCTGCTGCCCAGTACTATATTGAGCCATGTTGGAGGCTGAGGAAAAAAAACATCAGTAATACTGATCCCGTCACTTATAGGTGGAATCTAAAAAAGTCAAACTTAGAGAAACATACAGTAGAGTAGTGTTTGCCAGGGGCTGGGGGTGGGGGAAATGGGGATATGTTGGTCAAAGGATACAAACTTTTAGTTATAAGATGAATAATTTCTAGAGATTCAATGTACACCATGGTAACTATTATAAATAATAATGTATTACTGAATACTTGAAATTTGCTGAGAGTAGATCTGAAATGTTCTTATCTCACACACAAGAAAATGGTAACCATTCAAGTGATGGATATGTTAATTAGCTTGACTGTAGGAATCATTACTCAAGATATATTTAGATCAAAACCCTAAGCTGTACAACTTAGATTTTTCTTTTTTTTTTTCCAAAACAGGGTCTTGCGCAGTCGCCCAGGCTGGAGTGCAGTGGGCACAATCTCAGCTCACTGCAGCGATGACCTCCTGGGCTCAAGCGGTCCTCCCACACCTCAGCCTCCTAAGTAGCTGGAGTCACGCTTGCGTGCCACCACACCCAGCTAATTTTTTTCTTATTTTCTGTAGAGACAGTGTCTCACCATGTTCCCCAGGCTGGTCTCAAACTCCTAGGCTCAAGCAGTCCTACCGCCTCAGCCTCCCAAAGTGCTAGGTTTACAGGCATGAGCCACCGTGCCCAGCCTACAAATTTTTATTTGCCAATCATAATAAACCTGGAAAAAAGTTTAATAAAATTAATATTAAGCTTCAAAAAAAGTAAAATATCGATATTTTGTTCATAATGGGTTTTTTGCATTAATTTTTATTTTTAAAAACATTAACAAATTATCTTGATTATCAAGTTTTTTGGGGCCCCCTTAAATTGTGTACCTAGAGTGAGTGCCTCACACATTCTACCCTAGTCCTGGCCCTGCCTCTGCCCATATTCACGCAAAAGACAGAAGAGTAGTTGGAACACTAAAGGAAGCACAATCCAGCAACAGACAGCAGCTATAAAAGGAATAGAAGGGCCAGTGAAAACCAAAGAGCTGCTGTGGCCATCTGTTAGTTATGGATAGAAAAAAGGCTGGTTTGGAAGCAATCACTGAAGATCTTGAGAGCTAAAGAGTTTGATTTTATCCTCTAAATTTCGCCTACAAAGGACCATATAGTAAATGGTAAGTTTCTTCAAAAAAGGTACATTTCTTCTATAAAGGGCCATATGGTAAATACTTTAGATTTTACAGGCTATTTGGTCACTGTCACAACTACTAAACCCAGCTCTTATAGCACACACCAAGCAGCCATAGTCAATACCGAATGAATGCGCATGGCTTGATTCCAAAAAAACTTTATTTGTAAATCTAACTGCAGGCCAGATTTGGTCCTGGTCCACATGACGTAGTTTGCCAACCCCTGCTCTAGGCTGATGTAAACAGTCAAAAATAAAAATAGCAAACCTTTATTGAACACTCTGAGTGTCAGATCCTGTTCATAAGCACTTTATGTATTTTATTTCATTTAATCTTCATTTATATGAAGTAGATACTATATCAAGGCCCAGAGAGGTTAAGTAACTTGTCCAGAGTCCCAAAGCTAGTAAGGTGCAGATATGAAATCTGAACGTGGGCAGCCTAATTGCAGAGTCCACTTTTAATCGCAATGTGAGGCTATCTGTACAGCATGCTACTTGAGGGCACTGTTGAATCAGAACTTCTTGGCTACCTTAAGCCATGATATCAAGGAACTAAAGCTCTACCCCTGCTGGTTTCACCCTTTACTGGAGCTACATTTGGGCCTAGATTGATTCCACTGTGTTTTCATGAATTACCTATACACAGATCTTAAAGCCCCTCTCCACTTGTGAATTTCCATTTATCCATCAAGACGTGCCCCATTACATCCCTTACGAAATAAGCCTCCCCTGATAAGTCCTTCAATGAGTCATATGCTGCCTTCAACAGCAGCTCACACCTACTTCTAACTCAGCATTTACCATATTTTATTTACTAAAAAGAATGTTACATAACTCACATACCTGCTAGATTTTGGAGACTCCTAATGAGCAAAACATCTTGTACATCTATGTTCATCACAGTAAAATAGGCACTCAAACATTGGTTAAAATAATTTAACCAATTAAATTTTTCTTTACAACCTGAATCACTGCTAGGTAGGTACAGAGAACTACTAAGTAAATACTCATCATCAGCTCAGACTCCACTGCCTCCACACATTTCCAGTGTGATGCAGCAGGTGACACCTTATGACTACTCACCTTCTAAAACTGCAGGAGCCTCCACCGGCTCAAGAGAATCCAGCCTGAATCAACATCAAAGATAGAAGGTAAGAAAACCATGCTGATGGCATTGTTGCTGTCAGCTGTCTTCTGTTGCACAACCAAGTAGCAAGCATTAGGTCTCTATGACAGAGCTAAAGATAGGACACACATGGTGGTGAAGTTAAAAATGGGATCATAAAGAAGGAAATAGGCTGAGTGTGGTGGCTCACGCCTGTAATCCCAGCACTTTGGGAGGCCAAGGCGGGCAGGTCACTTGAGGCCAGGAGTTCAAGACCAGCCTGGCCAACATGGTGAAACCCCGTCTCTACTAAACATATAAAATTTAGCCAGGTGTGATGGCAGGCACCTGCAGTCTCAGCTACTCAGGAGGCTGAGGCAGGAGAATCGCTCCCAGGAGGTGGAGGTTGTAGTGAGCCAAGATTGTGCCACTGCACTTTAAGCTGGGTGACAGAGTGAGAACCTGTCTCAAAAAAAAAAAAAAGAAAAAGAAAAGAAAGGCAACTCAATACTATGTTTAAAATATTAGGACATGGGAAAGGAACTAACAGATCAGGAGACTGTGTGGGTTTTTTTTTTTAATTTAAAAAAAGAGTAATTACACCAGGCACGGTGGCTCATGCCTGTAATCCCAGCACTTTGGGAGGCCGAGGCAGGAGGACCGCTTGAGGCCACGAGTTCGAGACCAGCCTGGAAAATATGGCGAGACCCCCGTCTCTATAAAAAATTTTAAAAATTAGCCAGGTGTGGTGACCTATAACAGTAGTCCCAGCTACCCAGGAGGCTGGGGTGGGAGGATGGCTTGAGCCCACAAGGTCAAGGTCAAGACAGCAGTGAGCAGTGATCACGCCACTGCATTCCAGCCTGGGTAGCAGAGAAAGACCTTGTCTCAAAAACAAAACAAAACAAACTATAAACATAAGTACAAAAGGGGTGCTTGGATGGAAATTCAGCTTCGTGCTCAGAAGAGAAAGACTGAGGCAGGGCCCTGAGGGCTGGCTAAAATGTCAATAGGCAAAAAGCAGAGGTGAAACAGTAACCAGAAAACTTCCTCAAACACATAAATGGGAATATACAGCACCCTAGGGATCGGGGGTAGTGAACACTGCAAGATAACACCAAGGTTTTGTGCCTGAGGACTGTCAGTGATGGCAGCATTAACAAAAGTGAAAGACTGGAGGAAGGAAAATAATGTAATTTTATATATACTGAGTTTGAGGTGACAGCAAGACAGGGTTTGGGCATTAACCTCAAGCTCTGAAAAAAGTTCACAGCCAGAGAGATGTTTGAGAAACAGCTGAAAAGGGAAGAATGAATTCCATTATCCCAACTTCAATCAATTCACTCATCTATTCAACAAATATTTATTGAGCACCTACTATGTACTAGGCACGGGGGGAAAGGAGGTTACAATTTTAGATAAGACCAGCCCCCATGGATCTTATATTTTAGCAGCAGCAAACATGCTATAAATAAATGTATAATTTCAAGTTGCAATTTTTTTAAAAACTACAAAGAAAAAGCAGAGTAAGGAGAACAGAAAATAATGACAAGGGCAGGGGGTCACTTCTCAACAAAATGGCCAGGAAAGACCTCTCTGTGCAGAGACTTGAGTGCAGTTAAAGACTGAACTCTGCAGACCCGAGATGAAAGGCTCAGGTTACAGAGAACAGGGAAAGACCTTAACAGGGAACAAGCTTGCCAGATTCAGGGAAGAGCAAGGTTGAATAGCTGGGAGGGATAAGATCCTAAAGGGCTATGGCTAAGAATTTGTCTATGATTTCTCTTAAGAGGTTACAACCATCAACCATAAGTTACCACTTAGATTATAACATCCTTCTAACTGCTCTCCCCATCCATTTTTGTTTACCTCCAATCCATTATCCACACTGCATAAAAAGTAATCTTTAGAAAATACAAATTAAATGTCACTCCCCTGTGCAAAGCCTTTCAGTGGTTTCACACTATATGTAGCTCCAACTTAGCATCTTCGCTCAACATTATGTGAGATTCATCCATGCTGATTCTTACTACCCAAAGGTCAAAATCATGCAAAACTATGCATGACTTAGGGATGCATACATATGTAGTAAAAATAGAAAGAAAAGCAAAAAATATATAAATAGAAAATTCAGGCTAGTGGTTACTCCTGGGAAGAAGCGAGGAAGAAAAAAAAGCAGAGAGAAGAACGATAAGACTAGAAAGGGTAAGCAGGGGACGCTAATGGTATAGGTAATGTTTCATTTCTTAAGCTAGATGGTGAATATGTGTGTTCAATATACCATTTTTACATCTTACATGTATTTTATAATGTATAAAATATTTCATTGATTTTTAAAATCTGCAATGTCTTTCCACTGATCTTGGCACAATGGCCAAAACGCTGACAGCTCTAAGCACACAGGCTCTATCCTCTCTGGTCAAGCATGCTCTTTCATTTGCCTCTAACACTACTACCCTGGCCTCTCCACTTGAATAATTCATTCCAACTTCCCCTTTAGACCAAAGGATGCCCTCCCTGCCCCTTCCCCAGACAAATCCTCCCTTCCCATAACACTGCATACATTCACAGCGCTTACCACATTAGACATTAGACAACCAGAATCCTGCCTCCCCAGACAGTGCAAGGACCCCAGGAGGGTAAGGGCATGCCTAAGGTGTTTTGTCTTCCCAGCTAGCCTGGTACAGTATCTTGCACACAGTAGAGTTAATAAAAGTTTCTGGAATGAATGAAGGAAAAGAGAAACAAATCTGAATGAAAAGCACATCTTCTATTAGTCTCCTCTTCCATCTCTTCCTTATTCCCAACCTCCCCGTCCACACCCACTCAAATAGTGGGCATGGCAAATGGTCAAATTAAATATAAAAAGGAAGAGAGATATGCAGTGCCTGACTTTATGCTTTAAGAGCAGGGTCCTCTAGAGGCCTATCTGATTAAATTACTCTTGGCAGTGGTGAAGAAAATTAACCAGGAAAATGGGAAAAGAAAAAAACCCACCGCACAATGTTTTGTGCTGCTTTATGAAATCTGAACCTCATCAAAACCACAGTTTGAGAGGACAAATTTTATTACTGAAACCAATTCCCAAAGAGCTCATATTTAATCTACTGTAAAGCATTGCCCTTTTTAAGTTGGTCTACTTAATTAAAAATTGTCAAATAAAAAACTATGTCCAGAATTTTTATTATTATCTGTATGAATACAAAGGAAAGGGTCACTGACTTTTAATTACTGAGTGATTAGAAAGGGCTATATATTTCTTTTAAGGTGAAACTTAAATTTTCTCTTTTTTTTCTCTTTTGAGACAGGATCTCACTCTGTTACCCAGGCTGGAGTGCAGTGCCACGAACGAGCACAGCTCACTGCAGCCTCCACCTTCTGGGCTCAATTGATCCTCCCACCTCAACCTCCCGGGTAGCTGGGACCACAGGTGCACACCACAACACCAGCTAATTTTTTAATTTTTTGTAGAGACAGGGTTTTACCATGTTACCCAGGCTGGTCTCTAAATCCTGGGCTCATGTAATCCCCCTGCCTAGGCCTTCCAAAGTGCTGGAATTACATGCATGAGCCACCATACCCAGCCCTGAAACTTAAATTTTCAGGTTTTTTCATTACGGAAATTTTAAAACATGCATAAAAGTAGAGAGAATAGTATAATAAACCCCCAGGCACCCATTACACACCTTCCATAATAATCAACATGTTGCCCATCATGTTTCTTCTGTCCCATTACTGACTGAATGACTGACTGCTGGAGTATTCTAACATCAGACCTTTTATTCCTAAATACTTCAGCAGGTAAGGCTGGTTTATCTTTTTTTACATAAGCACAGGCCAATTTCACCCCAACAAGATTAACAATGGCTACTTAATATCATTTAACACTCAGTCCTTATTCATATTTCCCTGACTGTCCCAAAAATGTTTCTTTTACAGTCGGCTTATTTGAATCAGTACCCAAACAAGACCCACATTTTACACTTAGCTGTTATGTCTCTTAAGTATCCTCTAAGCTAGGACAGTCCTCCTCCTGACACCTTGCTCTTTCTGCCCCACATCCCATAACATTTACTTGTTGAAAAAACCAAGTTATTGGTCTTGTAGAATGTCTTGCCTTCTGGATTATCCCAAATGTTTCCTCATGGTGGTAATTAACTTTTTTCTCTACCCTTCCAATTTCCTTTAAATTAGAAGTTAGATCTGGAGGCTTAATCAGATTCAGTTCATGTTTTTTAGCTTCCAATTATATTAGGAGGCATATAATTTCTGGTTGACCCACTTTTAGTGATCCTAAGATTGTTCACAGAATGTTTCAATCTTAAACTAATGGTTTTAGCATCCACATGATCCCTGCCTAATCATTATTTCATTACGGGCTACTAAATAGTGATTTTCTAATTCTGTTATTCCTTCTGCATTTATTAGCTAGAACTCTATTAGCAAGAACTTTTCTTATCAACTATTTTATAATACCACAATAAAACTCATACAAGAAAGGGAAAGTAAATGCACTGATTCTTTACTTTTGTTTATCAATTTTCAGAATAATGAGCTGGATGTCCTAATAATCTTCAATGGTGACTACATTTTTCCTAATCACAACTCCATCTCCACGTAAGGACTGAAAATACATGTACGTGTGTGTGTGTGTGTGTGTGTGTGTGTGTGTGGCGTTTAAATTCATTGCTTTCATTCTTTTGGTTGTTCCAATAGTCTCATCTTCGGCCAGTGAGAGTCCCTTCAAGTTGTACCTTCTAAACCTTTGATATGTCTCCAGCGGCCTTTCATAGCTTTCCTGCTTTCTGACACAAGAAGATATCTTGCATTCCTGCTCAGCTCTGGAATAAATGACTTCTCCAAAGACACTATTCCTGTTAGTGGCAAACAGTATTTAGAGGCCATACTCAGGGCACTAAGAATATTCACTGCTACTCAGTTGTCACTGCTTCTAAATCTTTACTGTGCAAAAAACAAAGAAATATGTACTTTTTTTAGACAGAGAAAAATAAATCACAAGTTTATATAACTATTCCCCATTTAACTTTAAGATCGCTTCTACTTCTTTATTCTCATAACGCTTTTCTCTCACTTTAAAACTTTCAGTTTCTTTTTTTTTTTTTTGTGACAGACTCTCACTCTGTCGCCCAGGCTGGAGTGCAGTGGCGCGATCTTGGCGCACTGCAAGCTCCACCTCCCAGGTTCACGCCATTCTCCCGCCTCAGCCTCCCGAGCAGCTGAACTACAGAGGCCGCCACCACACCCGGCTAATTTTTTAAAATATTTTTTAGTAGATACAGGGTTTCACCGTGTTAGCCAGGATGGTCTCAATCTCCTGACCCTGTGATCCGCCCACCTCAGCCTCCCAAAGTGCTGGGATTACAGGCGTAAGCGCGGCTAAAACTTTCAGTTTCTAATGACATAATTACTGATATGCCTTATCCTACAAGGTACATATGAGTTTCAAAGTAACAATGTTAATTTTTTTGAATGCAGTTTCAAATTTCTTTCCAATTCTTTGTTTTTGTTTCTTGTGACAAGAGTCTCACTCTGTTGCCCAGGCTGGAGTGCAGTGGCATGATTTCACTCACTGCAAACTCTGCCTCCCGGGTTCAAGCGATTCTCCTGCCTCAGCCTCCTAAGTAGCCGAGATTACAGATGTTCACCACCACACCCGGCTAATTTTTGTATTTTTAGTAGAGATGGGGTTTCAACATGTTGGCCAGGCTGGTCTCGAACTCCTGGCCTCAAGTGACCCATTCGCCTTGATCTCCCAAAGTGCTGGGATTACAGGCGTGAACCACTATGCCCAGGCCTAATTATTTTTGTTCATTAGACTGATCTTATTAGGAATGTATAATCACAATACTGGGTTTTTAAAGTCACTTGAATAATTATTTTCAATACCTAGTTATGGCACCAATTTGATAGATCTTTAGATTAATGTGCTTGTTTTCAATTTTTAGCAATTGCTTTTTCTTTCCAACTTATTAACATATTGGGATTCTTAATTACATAAAACATTTCAATGGTTCCAAGGTCAAAACTATAATACAAGTTATATCTGAAGAAATCTTATTTCCATTCTGGTCCCCCTTCCCCTGCTTTCTACCTTACCCCCTCTTTCAAGGTAACCATTTTTATTAGTTTTTGAATTATTTTTCCATTGTTTCTTTTTGAAATGTATATACACTATATATATTTATAATATATAACAGCTATAGTTAAATATATATGCTTCTATTCCTCTCTTTATGTAAAACAAATTTTACATATATTTACATAGCTCTACCAATAATTTCACCTCATATTAGCTTGCAGCAAAACTAATTTCCAGTTTCATATAAGTTCTCAAATAAGATTGCATAATTCTCCTACATATGCTTTTTAATAGATTCTAAAATCAGAGATGGGGATTTTAATTTCTATCTACAATTCACTCACTAACTCACTTCAGAGACATGCATAGTGTTGACACCTACACTGTGTGTATGAGAGAGACTACAGATATAGTAGCAGCAGTCATGCTTCAAAGTCCTTCTCTATCTGAACATATTCTATTATAGTTTCCATCTATTTAAAACTATCATTTTCTCTTCTTTAAAAAATTTTAGAAACTTTGAGGTTAGATAATGGGTTGGGAATAATGATTTTGCAAGGTAAATCAAATCGCTCCTTTTATTAAAGGTTTTTTAAATCTATATTTTGAATATTGCAATCTCCAAATTACTAGATAACACACTTACGAAGGTCATTAGAATTGAACACTTACCAAGTCAAGGCAGTGGCTTCCAAACAATGCTGCACATTGAAATCATCTGGGAATCTTTAAATAATACTGATGTCTGGCTCCAGCCCCAGACACTGTGACCTGGGCATGAAGATATTTTAAAGCTCCTGGCTGGATGCAGTGGCTCACGCCTGTAATCCTAGCACTTTGGGAGGACGAGTCAGGCGGATCACAAGGTCAGGAGTTCGAGACCAGCCTGGCCAACATGGTGAAATCCTGTCTCTACTAAAAATACAAAAATCAGCCAAGCACGGTGGCACACACCTATAATCTGAGCTACTCAAGAGGCTGAGGCAGGAGAATTGCTTGAACCCGGGAGGTGGAAGTTGCAGTGAGCTGAGAACATGCCACTGCACTCCAGCCTGGGCAAGACAGGAAGACTTTGTCTCAAAAAAAAAAAAGAAAAAAAAATTTTTGTAAGCTCCCAAAGTGATGCTAATCTGCTGCAAAGTTTAAGAACCACAGACTTAAGGCTAGGGACAGTGGCTCAAGCCTGTAATCCCAACACTTTGGGAGGCTGAGGCGGCCAGAACACCTCAGGTCAGGAGTTCAAGACCAGCCTGACCAACACGTTGAAACCCCATCTCTACTAAAAATACAAAATTAGTCATGCCTGTTAGCCCAGATACTTGGGAGAGTGAGGCAGGACAATCACTTGAACCTGGGAGGCGGAGGTTGCAGTGGGCCAAGATTGCACCATTGCACTCCAGCCTGGGCAACAAGAGTGAACCTCCATCTCAAAAAAAAACAAAAAACAAAAAACTAAAGAGTTAAGACAAGCCTTTGCACACCTTTTTTATGTTAAGTATTAAAATTCCAAATGCCTGAATTGTAGTCTAGTCCTACCTAACAGCTAATACTTAAAGAAGCAGATTAAGTAGAAAATGGCTAATACTTACCTATACATGTATGTCCTGTTTTCTGCCCACAGTGTGTGGCCCAAAATCTACACAATCCATCTTTCTCCTGAATTTTCAAAGCATAAAGTCCAACCCCCACCATCCAGGTATTCAAGGCCCATTAGGATATGATCCTTACCCACCTCCATTACACCATCTCCTAGTACACACACTCTATGCTCCAGGCACATCAAAGGACATCTGGTTGTGTGGACATGCCACGCTCTTTCACAAATCTTAACTTTTGTAGAGGCTCTTCTCCATCAGAAATGTCCTTTTCAGTTGGGTGTGGTGGCTCATGCCTATAATCCCAGGACTTTGGGAGGCCAAGGCAAGTGGATTGCTTGAGCCCAAGTGTTCCAGACCAGCCTGGGCAACATGGAGAAACCCCATCTCTACAAAAAATTCAAAAATTAGCCAGGCATGGTGGCAAGCGCCTATAGTCCCAGCTACTTAGGAGGCTGAAGCAGGAGGATTGCTCGAGCTCAGGAGGCCAGAGGATTGCTTGCCTCAGGAGTCAGAGGTTGCAGTGAACTGAGATTGTGCCACTGCAGTCTGCCTGGGCAACAGAGTGAGACTCCATCTCAAGATAAAAACAAAACAAAAAATGTCCCTTTCCCTTAGGGCTACCTAGCAAACTACTAAAAACTACTAACTACCCAAGACTCAGGTCAAATAGCAACTCTTCTGTGGCAGTCCCTGGTTCTCCTCTCTGTGTACCTTCTAGATACCTCTTTTCAATATCTATCATGTTGTACGGAATGGTTGTTTTTTTTGTTGTTGTTGTTTTTTAATTTACGTGGGACCCTAAATGGTTTGTCTGCATGTCCCAAACTACAATCAGAGAACAGCACATGAGTCTTATTTATACCTACATCTTCAATGACTGGCACATGCCTGGCATATAATATGTGCTACAAGTAGAGACAGGTCTGCCTTTTTTAATACAAGTCTAAACTTTAAAATATAAAACAAAGCCAAAAGAAGGTAAATGCTTTTAAAACATGAGAATTGAAAAGTGATGACATATCACATCCTAATGGCAGTAAAATCCAAAAAGGGAGAATTGATTCAAGTGACATCTAACTAGAAACTATTTTTCTGTACAATCACAATCTTTACAGGGAAAAGCTTTAAATGGCTATTATCAATTGTAATAAAATCTTACTGCAGTAACCTATTCCAAAATGAATGGCTGGGCATGACTAAATATGCAAAAAGAAATATATCAAGTCCAACTATTTCCTCAATTTTTAAAAAAGAAACAGGATGCAAAGAAAAAAATGCCTTCAGTTGATAAATGTGTTGTGTAGTCTTAAACATAAATGCATTTCTGAAGAAAACACACTAGTTTTAAATGCAGGACTGGTTGTCATTCTGCATTAATATTTTTTATTGGCACCTGATACGGATCTCATCTTGAATTGTAATCCCCACGTGTCGAAGGAGGGACCTGGTAGGAGGTGACTGGATCATGGGTGCAGTTTCCCCCATGCTGTTCTAGTGATCGTGAGTTTTCATGTGATCTGATGCTTTTAAAAGTGGCAGTTTCCCTTGCTCTCTCTCTCCTGTCACCTTCTGAAGAAGGTGTCTGCTTCCACCATGATTGTAAGTTTCCTAAGGCCTCCCCAGTCATGCAGAACTGTGAGTCAATTAAGCCTCTTTCCTTTATAAATTACCCAGCCTCAGGTATTTCTTTATAGCAGTGTGAAAAAGGACTAATATAGAGAATTGGTACCAGGATAGTGAGGTACTGCTATAAAGATAATCTGAAAATGTCAAAGCAACTTTGGAACTGGGTAACGGGCAGAGGCTGGAACAGTGTGAGGGCTCAGAAGAAGACAGGAAGATGTGGGAAAGTTTGGAAATTCTTAAAGACTTCTTAAATGGTTCTGAACAAAATGCTAATAGTGATATGAACAATGAAGTTCAGGCTGAGGTGGTCTCAAATAGAGATGACGAACTTACTGGGAACTGGAGTAAAGGTCATTCATGCAATGCTTTAGCAAAGAGACTGGTGGCATTTTGCCCCTGCCCTAGAGATCCGTGGAAGCTTGAATTTGAGAGAGATGATTTAGAGTGTCTGGTGAAAGAGATTTCTAAGCACCAAAGCATTCAAGAAGTGACCCGGTTGTTTCTAAAAGTGTATAGTCACATGCATTCATGAAGAGATTATTTGAATTTGGAACTTATATTTAAAAGGGAAGCACAGCATAAAAGTTCAGAAAATTTGCAACCTAACCATGAGGTAGAAAAGAAAAACCTATTTCTTGGGGGGAAATTCAAACCTGCTGCAGAAATTTGTATAAGTAACAAGGAGCCAAATATTAATAGCCAAAACAATGGGAAAAATGTATCCAAGGCATGTCAGAGACATTTGCAGAAGCCCCTCCCATCACAGGCCCAGCGGCCTAGGAGGGAAAAATGGTTTTGTGGGCCTGAGTGGCCCTGCTGCTCTGTGCAGCCTCAAGACATGGTGCCCTGCATCCAGCTGCTCTAGCTCCAGCCATGGCTAAAAGGAGCCAAGGTACAGCTCAAGCCATTGCTTCTGAGGGTGCAAGCCCTAAACCTTGGCAGCTTCCATGTGGTGTTGGGTCTGTGGGTACACAGAAGACAAGAAGAGTTTAGAAGACAAGAGTTTAACCTCCACCTAAATTTCAGAGGATGTATGGAAACACCTGAATGTCCAGGCAGAAGTCTGCTGCAAGGGAGGAGCCCTCATGGAGAACCTTTGCTAGGGCAGTACAGAAGGAAAATGTGGGGTTGAAGGCCCCACACAGTCCCCACTGGGGCACTGCCTACTGGAGTTGTGAGGAGAGAGCCACTGTCCCCCAGGCCCCAGAAAGGTAGATTCACTGACAGCTTGTATTGTACAGCTGGAAAAGCCACAGGCACTCAATGCCAGCCAGTGAAAGCAGCCATAAGGACTGCACCTTTCAGAGCTACAAGGGTAGAGCTGCCCAAGGCCATGGGAGCCTACCCCTTGGATGTGAGATATGGAGTCAAAGGAGATCATTTCAGAGCTTTAAGATTTAGTAACTGCACTGCTGGGTTTCAGACTTGCATGGGGCCTGTGGCCCCTTTGTTTTGGCCAATTTCTCCCATTTGAAACATTTAGCTAATGCCTATAGCCCTACTGTATCTTAGAAGTAACTAACTTGTTTTTTATTTTATAGGCTCATAGGCAAAAGGGACTTGCCTTGTCTCAGATGAGACTTTGGACTTGGACTTTTGGGTTAATGCTGGAATAAGTTAAGACTTTGGGGGACTGTTGGAAAGTCATGATTGGTTTTGAAATGTGAAAAAGACATGAAATTTGGGAGGCGCCAGGAGTGGAATGATATGGTTTGGCTTTATATCCCCACCCAAATCTCATCTTGAATTGTAATCCCCATGTGTCCAGGGAGGAACCCGGTAGGAAGTGATCGGATCATGGGGGCAGTTTCCCCCATGCTGTTCTTGTGATAGTGAGGGAGTTCTCAAAAGATCTGATGGCTTTAAAAGTGGCAGTTTCCCCTGCTTTCTCTCTCTCTCTTTCTCTCTCTCCTGCTGCCTTGTGAAGAAGGTTATCTACTTCCCCTTCACCTTCTGCCATAATTTTAAGTTTCCTGAGGCCTCCCCAGTCATGTGGAACTGTGAGTCAATTAAACCTCTTTCCTTTATAAATTACCCACTCTCAGGTATTTCTTTATAACAATGTGAAAACAGACTAATACAATACCTATCATTATTGACTTCTCAGCTTCTATCATTATCAAAAAGTAAATAATTGATTCATTTTTTAAAGTAAACAAGATTTTAACTCTTGAAATGTATAAGCAAATACATTTCCTCCATAACAGAATACTAATAGTTGTATACTTAGGTCAAAAATAAGTTTTTATAAGCAATGCTCAAAAACCTCAATGGATCAAATATGTTATAAAAATTCAGCAAATTGATAAACCTTGTTATTTGACTATGAGAACAAATTTTAACTCATTTTTAAATTGTGATAAGCCAACTCATTAGTCTGAAAATTAGAAATTAATATATTACATTGATTTATGTCATCTTTAAAGTCACTTTAACTCACTCTCAGTAGCACAGTGTTTTAAGTCAGAAAGCAGTGAAATAAAATTGTCAATTCACTCTTATTTTTCTATTCTCACTGAACTTTTAAAAATTTTTATTATATATTCAGCAGCATTAGAATAAGCAAAGCCAAAGGCATTTTATGGGACTCAAAAGACATAATGACCTCTGCAGACACCAGTTAAACAATAGACAGAAGAATTTGATTCCTACTTCGATGCTAGGTTTAGCAACCATTCACACAGATAATGTCCATGTTTTTCTTTCTTTTCATTTCACCAAGACCTTCACTCCTCAAAGCCTAAAATATATCTAAATCTTGGATTTCTCTTTTTTGCTTCATCTGACAACTTGAAAATTGACTGTTGGACACATAGCCATCAAGTGGTAAAGTGGGTAACTGGAAAAGTTCTAACTTGTTTTACATTTTTCAAACCCTATTATAATAAGAGCAAATAATAATACTAGCTCATATTTATTCAATGCTGGTCTGTGATACAGACTACTAATAAACTTAGTTTGCAAATAAAAACACTCAAGTTTAGGAAAAATATGTGACATACGCAAGGTCTCACAACAGGTAACTTACAAAGCTGGGATTCAAATCCAAGATTGACTAAAACCATGCTATACGTCTTTATTATATACTCTCTTCCACAGAAGAAAATGACCCATTAGTTGCTCTTCTATTTCACAACACAGCTTCCCTGAACATACTGGTGGAAAAAAAAAAAACAGAAATTGGCTATGTTCATTATCAACTTTTTTTTTTAATAACTTTCTTTTAAGACAGGGTCTCACTCTGTTGTCCAGGCTGGAGTGCAATGGCACGAACTCAGCTCACTGCAACCTCCACCTCCCATGCTCAAATGATTCTTGTGCCTCAGCCACCAAATAGCTGGGACTACAGGTGTGCACCACCACACCCAGCTAATTTTTTTATTTTTAGTAGAGGCGGGGTTTTCGCCATGTTGGCCAGGCTGGTCCCAAACTCCTGGCCTTCAGTGATCTGCCCACCTCGACCTTCCAAAGTGTTAGGATTACAGGCATGACTCACTGCACTCAGCCTCATTTATTAATTTATTCAACAAATATTTACTAGCTCCTTAAAACTCTCATTTGAGCTTAAATCCTTTTAAGTATTTTTGAGTATCTGGCATATGCAATGGACTGAATATATCCCCACAAAACCCACATGTTGAAATCTTAACCCCCCAGTGTAATGGTTTTAGGACGTAGGGCCTCTGGGGGGTAATTAGGTCATGAATGTAGAGCCCTCATGAATGGGATTAGTGCTCTTATAAAAGGGATTTCCCAAACCTCTCTCATTCTCTTTCCACCACCTGCAGATACAATGAAAAGACAGCAGTAGTCTTTGACCTAAAAGAGGGCCCTCATCAGAACCCAAACATGTGGGCACCCTGACCTTGGACTTCCAACCTCCAGAATAGTAAGAAATAAATTTCTGTTCTTTATAAGGCACCCAGTCTATAATACTTTGTTACAGCAGCCTGAACAGACTGAGGCAGAAACTGGTGCCAAGAATTAGGGGTGCTGCTGTAACAAATACCTAAAAAGGTTATCTTCATTTATTTTTCACATAACCAAGCAAAATATGTGAAACAGTAAACTCTGACTGTTGAAGCCATTTAATTGTTTTCTATTACACTAACATTCAAGGCATCCTGATACAAACGCTTACCAAAAAGTGCATTTGAAAAGAAAACGAGGAAGTCTAACTAGAATAGCAGTACGCAAAACAAATTTAAAAAATTAAAAAACAGAAGTGTGTCTTCGGTTCAAGAAATCAGCTGCAAAATCACAGAATGATGTAAAACTGGTTTAATAGCAGTTCAAATAACAAAAGAGGTAAGTGTGTTACTAGCAGACTCAAAGTAACCTAACACTAAGACATGGCTGAGAACAATGTATAGCCACTTTAGGTAATATTATTAGAGCTAGGGGCTCAAGACTATGGTGGTAAAATCTTATAAAGCTTAGCCCTTCATCACATTTCTGGAATAAATTAGGTATATGTTGAAAGGGGAGTTGAAAAACAGGATTATCAAAGGAGGCTATCAGAAGGATGAAAGACGTACAGATCATGTCATCTGAGGACAGGACAATGAAATGACAAGTGCACAGTCTGGAAGAGAGCACGATGGCTATTTTCAAGAGGTTTCCTGGACAAGAGGGGCTGGACCTGGTCTTGCCACTTCAGAGAAAGACACTAAAAGCAGCAGTTGGTTGCTATAGAAGGTAGAGTTGGGATTACAAGAAGCAGTTTCTTAATAATCAGAACAACCTAAAAGTCAAATAAGTTATCTCAAGAGAAAGTGAAATTTACTTTCACTGACAGGAAGTAAAGACTGAGTGAGCATCCATCCAGGATATCCTAGAACAGTATTTTCCAGAGAGTAGTTACACCAGAGATTATTTTAACTGGTACATACATTTATTTTATTCATTACTTACTTATCTCAATGTACACTAAAAACAAATAAATGTACATACTAAAGTAGCCATCAACCCCATTGTTTCATGAATATTACTGTTTTAGGATAAATGAAGCAACGACTTTACTTGATTGAAAGAAAAACATTAAGTCAATATATTGAATTTACCTTAACTAGCTATATTATTTTATGATGTCAGTTATCATCCTTGAATTTATATAGATAATAAAAGGCACCAAAGATTTAAGAAAAAGGAAAAAAAAAACTTCTGAAAAGAAAAATATTTTTTAAAAAAGAAAGAAGGAAAAGAAATACATTATAATACAAGTGGTATAAAAAGATGTCAAACATCACAAAAACTAGCCTGGGCAACATAGCGAAACTCCATCTCTACAAAAAAAAACAACAACAAAAAAACACACACACACAAAAATTGGCTGGGCACGGTGGCTCACGCCTATAATCCCAGCACTTTGGGAGGCCAAGGCAGGTGGATCATGTGAGCCCAGGAGTTCAAGACCAGCCTAGCCAACATGGTGAAACCCGTCTCTACTAAAAATACAAAAATTAGCAGGGCACGGTGGCGCACGTCTGTAATCCCAGCTACTCGGGTGGCTAAGACATGAGAATGGCTTGAGCCCATTCCAGAAGGTGGAGGTTGCAGTAAGCCAAGATTGCACCACTGCACTCTAGCCTGGGCAACAGAGTGAGACCCTGACACACACACACACACACACACACACACACACACACACACACACAAATTCACACAGGTTCCACAAAAGTATCTGAATTTTGGACATACTGTTCTGTAGAGATTCGTGCATTGATTATCCTGAAACTAAAATTTCTCCTTTACCAAAATTGTCTTAATATTCAGTAATTCCCTGAAAACATAGTAATTTACAACTACATTTATTCAAATAGCTATCATAATTAAAATAGAAACTAAAATTTTTCATTATTTCAGTAACAATCTTAGAAATCTTGATTGTCAATAGCTACAGCTATAAAACATCTGGACCCCTCACATAACTAATCTTTACCACAAAAGACTGATATTCTTGCATCTAATAAGCATTTATTGAGGGCCTTCTCGGGCCAGGCACTGTGGTGGACAAAAATTTGAAAGTAGATTAGCAAGTTTTCATCTGAAGGATGTACTGCTCCCTTAAGGAAAATCTTAAAACATTTAAGGTAAAAACACAAAAAGAGGATGTCTTTATGTTCACTGAAAATATACATGTATGTTAGTACAACTGAAGCCCAAACTATTTTCTATGCTATACATACACACACACAAAATCTAGACACATGAACCAGATTTAGATATAAAATCCCTTCAGTAAGTTCTGCCTCATACTCAGTATTTTATGCTCTTGCTCCAATATACTCTGAAACACCTCGGGAATCTCACTGAAGCCCCAAAGGCAATCTTGTGATGTCTATGTGAAAAGTCCACCTACCTCTACCTTAAGGCACCATGTGGCAAGCACATTCTTAGAGCACAAAGAAAGTGATGGGCCTCTCAGGAGGAAATGGTGCCAGAGTACACTGCTGGAGGTGTTCTTTCTGCCTAATGAGAAGACTGACCTTTTCTTTTCTTTCCCCACTCCTTAGGCCAAGAGGTACTTTATGTTTGAATAATCAAATAATAAGTGACATCTAGTATGTATAAGAAATGCTAACGTTTAAACTTGTCCCCTGAAGATATTTCTCCATGTGTCCATCCCCAAATGGATTTCAACCAAAGTCGAAGAAAGAAAAATAATCAGCCCAGAAAGATTTCCCTCCTACCTCCTGAGCGTGTTCTTTATAGACTTGCAGTGGCCCTGCAGCTTTGGCAGTGTCCCAGAGCTGCAGCGAGCCATCGCCACTACAGGTGATGAGGACATGTTCGTTGTTCTCACTCCAAGTCACATCAAACAAACCATCATTCCAGTCAAAGCTACACTAGGAAAAAACAAACAACAAAAAAATACAACACTTACATAGGCAGCTACACAACAAAAAAAATAACAATTATGGTTTTTTTTCTTTCAATTTATCACACATTTTAACACGTATATCTCATGTAATCTGCACAACTACGGGAGTTAAGTAGAGTAGGTACTTGACAAATATGGCAACAGATTCAGAAAGGTTAAAAAAAACAGTCCAGTGGAATGTAGTAGTCCAAAAATGTAATAGTACACAGTATACTGCTCCACATTTTTTTATGTTTAAATTTTATAATTTATGAGTGGACACTAAGAGACAGGCTTCAGATTTGTTTTGTTTTTTATTTGAGAGAAAGAGTCTTGTTCTGTCATCCAGGCTGGAGTGTAGTGGCCCAATCACAGCTCACTACAGCCTTGAACTGGACTCAAGCAATCCTCCCACCTCAGCTTCCCAAGTAGCTGGGACTACGGCCTAAAAATTAAAAAAATTTTTAGGCTGGGCCCAGTGGCTCACGCATATAATACCCACTTTGGGAGGCCAAGGTGGGCAGATCACCTGAGGTCAGGAGTTTGAGACCAGCCTGGCCAAAATGATGAAACCCCATCTCTACTAAAAAATACAAAAATTAGCCGGGTGTGGTGGCGGGCACCTATAATCCCAGCTACTTGGGAGGCTGAGGCAGGAGAATCACTTGAACCCAGGAGGGGAAGACTGCACTGAGCCAAGATGGCGCCACTGTACTCCAGCCTGGGTGACAGAGCCAGACTCTGTGCATAAAAAAAAAAAATTTCTTTTAGAGACGGGGTCCTCCTATGTTGCCCACGAGGCTGGTCTTGAACTCCCGGCCTCAAGTGATCCTTCTGCCTCAGACTTGGGAATAGCTGGGACTACAGGTGCGCACCACCACAATCAGCTAAAAATAAGCTTCATCCTATGCAAACGCCAAGGTTCCTTTTATACTGTATATTAAAACATTAATCAAAGAGTCAAAACCTAATTCTATTAAGGCTTTAATAGCAACAATATATACCTTTAATAATTTCAGCCCCCTTACCTTCTAAAAAGCCTTAGCCCAGCTTCATCTGGATCCAATATTAGTAGGGTTCCACAGCCTAAAGAGAAAAAAAATCAAGGTCATCCCTTTGAACCTGCCAGGGTAACATCGAAAGTCAAGGAGTTATCAAGTAATTGATACCTGATTTTAATACCACAAATTTTTCCCCAAAGTATTTGGGACCTTGAATACCAAATGGTCAGGTGATCAATTTCTCCCTAAAGTTTTTGGGACATGAATACCAAATGTGTTCTCTATTTCTGTTTTTCCATATTGTACTTCAGTTACTAAATATTCAACTTCCCATTGCACCTATGATTGGAATTCAGACATGGACCTAACAGGGGGGTGAAATACTTAAGGGCCTACTCTGTAGCCAGACAAGGCACCAGAGACACAAACCTTCCAAGTTGGTGTTATCATTCCTACTGACAGATGAGAAACCTCTGGCTTACAGACCCCAGGGACTGCACTCCTCACCAGTAAATCTAAAACACATCTCACACAGGATTTTAAAACAAAATATGAATGCGGAGATACTTGGTGGGATTTACTACATAACTGGTGGTAATAAAGTGCTGAAAACAGTATTAATATGTTACCTGTCAAAGATTATTTTACCAAAGGGCCATTGTATTTTAAAAGTTATGTTTACTTTTTATAGAGACCAAGGGGGAAAATCTCTTCTATTTAAACATGACTGAATTTTTTTTTTTAAATACCAATTCCCTTTAAAGAGTTTTTGCATAAGATTTTAAGTAGCATTACAGGCCAGTCACAGTGGCTCACGCCTGTAATCCCAGCACTTTGGGAGGCCAAGGCAGGAAGATCGCTTGCACCCAGTTCCGGACCAGCCTGGGCAACATAGTGATACCCTGTCTCTACAAAAATAAAAAATCAAAAATTAGCCAGGTGTGATGGTACATGCCTGTGGTCCCAGCTACTGGTGAGGTTGAGACAGGAGGATCATATGAGCCCAGGAGGTGGAGGCTACGGTGAGCTGTGATTGCACCACTCTACTCAACCTAGGCAACAGGGTGAGACCCTGTCTCTAAAGAGAAAAAGAAAAAAGAAAAAAAGAAAACTACTACCATTATAGACTCATGAGTCTTCAGTCTAACTGGTGGGCCATGTAAATCTGAATGTGCAAGCACTAAGAGCTAATAATGAAAATAAATCAAGTATTTCTCTGAGTTTTAGAAGTAACATTTTTTTCTGCTGTAGGACAAAACAAAAAAATACAATAGACCACTGACATTATGAAATGAGTTTTTGCATCTCGCTTCAGTGCGTATAATAGCTAGGACATGAATTAAGGCAAAAGCGAGAATGAACCTACGCCTTTTCATCTAGTCCACGGACTAGATGGACTCTTTTTTTTGAGACGGAGTTTTGCTCTTCTTGCCCAGGCTGGAGTGCAATGGCACGATCTCGGCTCACCGCAACCTCTGCCTCCTGGGTTCAAACTATTCTCTTACCTCAGCCTCCCGAGTAGCTGGGATTACAGGCATGCGCCACCACGCCCGGCTAATTTTGTATTTTCAGTAGAGATGGGGTTTCTCCATGTTGGTCAGGCTGGTCTGGAACTCCCGAACTCAAGTGATCCGCCCACCTCGGCCTCCCAAAGTGCTGGGATTACAGACGTGAGCCACCGCACGGCGCTTGGCCTTTTTTCTTTTTAAGACGGGGTCTCAGTCTGTCACCCAGGCTGGAGTGGAGTGATGTGATCTCAGCTCACTGGGCTGGGGCAGAGTGATGTGATCTCAGCTCATTGTAGCCTCAACATCCCGGGCTCAAGCGATCCTCCCGCCTCAGCCTCCTGAGCAGCTTTAACCACAGGCTGAGCCAATGCGCGCGACGGGAGACAATTAACTGGAGTCTGTAACACCTACTTGCGAATGTGTGCATTCCTCGTTAGACAACTACAGGTAAGAACTGAACTTGATATATTTCATGGTGTCACCCGTGGGACTCCAGGCGTCCATTCAGGAGCATCGTCCTTAGGAAGGCCAGCCCGCAGGTCGCAGCTCAGTGCTCGAATGCAGACTGGGAATTGTGGGCCAACTCGCGAGCCCTGGGTCGGTTCTGGCTCAGACCGTCTTCCCCGTACTGCTGTGCCGAGCGGACCGATCCAAGGGACCGCGCAGGCTCCCCCGGCTCTCCCTACGGGGACGTGTGCCTGGGCGTGTGACACGTGGCGGAGGCAGCGCGGTCTCAAGGAACAAGGACACGGGCTACTAGGCTACACGTATATGCACTTGCACACAACTGGAAGATCGACTCCTGCTTCAGACCAACTCCTCGCACTCGGCAAAGAAAGGAGAAGCGCCGACCAGCGCCTCTTCTGCCCCCTGGCGTGGACCCGCGGAACCGTCTACGCTCAGAGGGGCTTTCCCTCGAGCGCGAGGAACTGGAGCCCGGCTGGCCCCCGCCTCCGCCTCCGCCCCCCGGCCCCAGCTGCGCGGCGCCGCCTCACCCGCGATGCCGTAGTGCTGCGCGGTGGCGCAGGCCAGGCGGCCCGGCAGGTACGGGGAGAACTCGGCGGCGTAGCCGTGGCGTCCCGGCGTCCGCAGCATCCGCGCCGCTCCACCGCACACCGCACTCATCCCGCCCGCCGCCCCCGGCCCTCGCTGCCCCGGCCGCGGAAGCCGTTCCGAGTCGGAGGCACACTGGCGCGGTTAGAGAGACCAGGCAGACCGGACGGAAGTGTGGGCCCCGTGCCCTGTGTTTGAGATTCTGATTGGTCCGCACAGGAAAGGGCGTTGACTCCGACGGAGACCATTTTTGTTTTGGGTGAATCCAAACTGAATTGCGCCTGCTGCAAAGATACAGATCTATCAGGGGAGTGATCCAGGGTTAGGTATTATTAATAATTACGACAGCTTTTGTCGTTGCATCTCAGCCTCCTCTGCGGTGCTATCTGGTTTTTATTTCATTGAGCGTTTGGAAGACTGGCATCAGGAACTTTTCCTGATGATTATAAAGTGAGAAAAGTTACAGCCGACTCTGAAACCACGCAGCGCGTCCAAAATTGCGTGCTGCGTTGCCCAAGGAAACTGGAAGCAATGAGAACTTAAGTCCGTGGAGTCACTGCGGTCTTTAGGAATAAGAGCGTGGGCTGGTGGGCTACTTTCACACTGTAACTGGAAAAGATGAAACACCAACTCCAAACCAACTCCCCATGCTTGGCAAGTGAGAAAAAGGAGCTGGCCAGTTCTAATGAAGCTAAGCAAAAAAGCAGCACATCATCATATACAACTTTTTTAAAAAGTATTACTATACATGTATATATTGTATGGTAATAAGTGCTCAGATGCTGGTGCTCATTCATTCATTTATTGCCAGGCATATACTATGTGGAGAATGACCAAATATAATTTATCTGCCAAACCAAGATACTTTTGAGAGTAAAGAGGGTGTAATTATTAAGCCAGGTCAACAGGCACAAACCAAGTCGTATGATCATCTTAACCATATACCAAGAACAGTACTAGGCATTTGGGATTCAAAATAATGGGATATGGTCCATGGCCTCAAGAGATTAGAGAAGAAGACTAAAAGAGAAGTCATGTAATTAGTTAAGTGTAATCAAAATACTGTAGAGGCTATGATAAATTTATATGGGGTATTTTTAAAAGGTGATTGTCCGTGCCAGAGGTATGGAAATTGCAGGAAAGGCTGCAGAAGAGAGATAAGTCTTTATGGTGATTGCACACAGATGAGTAGGTTTTCTTTAGGTAGACAAGAAGATGGAGATCTTTGTAGGAGCAGGAATAACATGAGCAACCCAGGAGATTTAAACCAGCATGATCCATAGGGGGTCGTGGCTGCCAGGACTCAGCCTGGCCAGATGGAAGGGATACGGTGAAAAAAATATTGGGTGGGGAGACTGTAGAGTGTTTTACTGGGGCTAGATCATGAAGAGTCTTATATACCATACTAAGAGAATTGGATTTCTACTGTAAACAGTGAAAAACAGTGGAAGTTTTCTAATGTGAGAAATTAAATGACCAAGGTTTTATTTTAAAAAGTCCTGCAACACTAATATGGAGGATAGAGTTTGGAGATGGGGAGGCCAGTTAAAAGACTTTTGCAGGCCGGGCGCGGTGGTTCACACCTGTAATCCCAGCACACTAGGAGGCCGAGGCAGGCGGATCACTTGAGGATCCAGACCAGTGTGGCCTCTATTATTTTGGATTTTTATCATATGTAGTCACTGGAATGTATGCTGCATGAGGGCAGAAATTTTTGCTTGTTATGTTCGCTGTTGTATCCCAAGGACCTGGTATTTAAGCATTCAGGAAATGTTGAGTGAATGCAGCCTAATACAGTGCCTAAATGATCAGTGTGTTTTTCGTAATACTACAAAAAGTAACCTGGAAACATTCTGGAGTTTATTGAAATGCTAAATAGGCGTTAATAAAATATCAAAGTAAGCAAACATGAAGCAGCTGGGACCTTGGCAAAGAGTTGTATATAAAGAGTTATCCAATCTAAGCTAAAAATAGTGTGGTATCTCTGGGAGGGAGAAAGGCTGGTTCCAGCTGGGGTAAACTATTTACAGTGACCTTGGACATACACACACACACACAAACTGAGCTATTACCTGCTCCTTACCTAACCATACATGATTATAGCATTGTAAAATATTTCATCCCACCTGTGAAGCTTTCTAAAATATAAACAACTAAACATATAAAAAATAAACCATACTCTTACACTAGATTTTGAGCATCTCGAAGTAATGTCCAAGTCTAATTTGTTTGTGTCTCCAGTACCTTGAAGAATGTCCAATATATAGTAAACACTGCACAAATGTTTGACAACTTGAGGTGAACTGGAAAATTAAGGAAAAGGAACATGAAATGCTCCTTAGATTCTCCTTGTCCCCTGCCCTTGCTCCACACCCCTTCCTCCACCCATGCTTTACTAAGTGGAGTCCAAGTTTGCTAGGGGTATGGATAGAATTGGAGTTAAGAATTGCCTGGAAGGGACGGGCATGGTGGCTTATGCCTGTAATCCCAACAATTTGGGAGGCCAAGGCAGGCAGAACACTTGAGGTCAAGAGTTTGAGACCAGCCTGGCCAACATGGTGAAACCCTGTCTCTACTAAAAATACAAAAATTAGCCAGGCATGGTGGTGGGCACCTGTAATCCCAGCTACTCTGGAGAAGGCTGAGGCAGGAGAATCGCTTGAACCCTGGAGGCAGAGGTTGCAGTGAACTGAGATCACACCACTGCACTTCAGCCTGAGCGACAGAGCGAGACTCCGTCTCAAAAAAAAAAAAAAAAAAAAGACTCTTTTTGTTGTCTTCCACCTGTTCTTGTCATTGTTTAGGAGTACTTGGTATTTCCCAACTGAGACAGAAACCATTTTTTATGAGCATTCATTACACCTCAGAGTTGTGTAACTTCTAAACTTGGCCAACTCTGTGGAAGACCATTTAACTCTGTGGAAGGCCTAATAATGTAGGCAGACATGGCTAGATGTCAGGTTTCTATAAGGATCTACAATTATATTTAGATTGTTTTGTTTTATAACTGCTATGGTGACCTCACAAAGACTCTAACTGCAAATATTTACCAACCCACATCATTTTTAAAACTAGTCTATCTTTCCCATGGAGAGAGACCAGAAGTAAAATAATTGAAATACGTGGTCTTTCTACCCAGGTGAATCATTATCCTAGGTAAATCGGCAGGCTGCATATGGTAGTTATGGGAAATAATTCCAAGAAAGGATGGATAATTTCATTGTTCCTTTTAGCTCTGCACAGCATTGTGCTGGGTACCTAGTTAGCCTTTAATCAATGTTTGCCAGAGGGTTAATGTAATCATCATCCAAGAACTTTAAGCACTATCTTCAAATATATGATGGATACTTGGACTGATGCACTTTAGAGACCCTTAAAGCTCTGAGAGTCTCTAATTATGGGCTAATTGTCTACCTTGCTCGTTTTATATCATTCATCACTTATTATTTTAGTTATACTTTCTTGTTAAAAATTTTAGAATCTGTGGTAATGTAAAATGGTGCAGCTGATATGGGAAATAGGATAGCAATTGCTTAAAAAATTAAACATAGAATTACCATATAATCTCGCAATTCCACTTTTGGGTATATATCTAAAAGAATTAAATGCAGCAATTCAAACAGATATTCGTACACTCCTGTTTGCAGCAGTATTACTCATAATAGCCAAAAGGTGAAAGCAACCCAAGTGTCCATTGGCAGATGCTATGGTCTGAAAGTTTCTGTCCCCCCCAAATTCATATGTTGAAATTTAATCACCAATGTGATGGTTTTAAGAGGTGGGGTGTTTGAGATGTAATTAGGTCATAAATGAGATGATTACCTTTATAAAAGAGGCTGGAGAGAGAGCCCTCTTACCCCTTCCACCACGTGAGGACACGGCAAGAAGTGAACATCTATGAACCAGAAAGTGGGACCTCACCAGACATAAACCTGCTGCTGATGGCTTGATGATGGACTTTCCAGCCTCTAAAACAGTGATAAATATATTTCTGTTGTTTATAAGGTACCAAGTTTATGATAGTTTGTTATAGAAGCCTGAACCAACTAAGACAATAAATGAACACATAAAGAGAATGTAATATATGCATATGGTGGAATATTATTCTTCCCTAAAGAGGAGGGATATTCTTACATGGATGAACTTTGAAGACATTATGCTAAGTGAAATAAACCAGGCATAAAAGGACAAATACCGTATGATTCCACTTATATGAGGTACATAGTGTAGTCAAATTGATACAGACAGAAAATAGAATGGTGGTTGCCAGGGGCAAGGGGAAGTGGGGAATGGAGAGTTATTGTGTGACAGGCATGGAGTTTCAGTTTAGGAAGATGAAGTTCTGGAAATAGATGACAGTGATTGTATAACAATGTGCATATACTCAACATCACTGAAATGTCTGCTTAAAAATGGTTAAAATGGTAAATTGTATGGTATGTATATTTTGCTACAATAAAATTAGAATCTTAACTAGAGTGTTGGTTTAGGACATACATTTACTGCACTTCTATGTGGAAGGAGAGAAAAAAAATATAAGAGCAATTGGTATAATCTGATCATAGTAGAAAATGCATTTAGTCTTTTCGTCTTTTTCTGGAAAGACAGCAATTAAGAGCATGGTGTTTAGAGTCAGAAACCTGGGATTGAAACCAGGCCTTATGCTTTTTAGCTTGTGTGGTGGAAAGTGTGTGACATCTATTTATCTACTTTCAGCTCTTGGGTAGGATTAATATTTTAGATGATGCTGCACATGTACTGACAGCTCCTTGATTCCCCACATGGCTGGATAGACAGGTGCCTCTTCTGCAGGCTCAACTCAACAAAACAACATGAGGTGTGATACATTGGCTGTTTCAAATCCATATGCTGATAACATCTCCCTCAAAAGGTTGTTGTGAGGATTAAATGGGGCAGGTATCATGTGTAACTGTAAGCCCTCAATTGGCAGGGGCTATCATTTTAGTTGTGTGCATTCTAACTTGGCTCAAGTATTAAAATTACTTCTTCATGGCAGAAAATTAAACCCTCTAGTTCCCATTTCACTCTTTTTCTTTCTTTCTTTCTTTCTTTTTTTTTTGTTTTTTTTAGATGGAGTCTCACTCTGTCACCCAGGCTGGAGTGCAGTGGCATGATCTTAGCTCACTGCAACCTCCACCTCCCAGGTTCAAGCAATTCTCCTGCCTCAGCCTCCTACGTAGCCTCCTACGTAGCTGAGATCACAGGCATATGCCACCATGCCCAGCTAATTTTTGTATTTTTAGTAGAGACGGAGTTTCACCATGTTGGCCAGGCTGGCCTCAAACTCCTGACCTCAAATGATCTGCCTGCCTTCATCTCCCGAAGTGCTGGGATTACAGATGTGAGCCACTGTGCCTGGCCCCATTTCACTCTTGATTCTCTCTCTTAACCTCTTTTGCTATCACCAAGAAGTAAGGATTTCTCAATGCTGTTAGTACTTTGCTAATTTTTTGGCTCATATACTTTATAATCATGATGAAGCACATCTACGTTTTAAGTTGCCCTCTAAAATGTTTTCTCGTAACTTTAAATAGCTGCAAATGACATAATTTCAAGTTTATTGAAAATTAATGTCACTTTAAAAGTAAAAATATTTGATCAACCTTAAATGTATCATATGGATTCTAAAAACAATAGGCTTTTGGTACTTATCATTATTATATTAGTTATCTATTACTGTGTAACAAATTGTCCTTAAGCTTCACAGCTGAAAACAACCATTTATTATCTCACAGTTTCTCTGGGGCAGATAAAAGTCTCTCACAAGACTGCAATCAGGGGGTCAGCCAGGGCTGCTGGGTGATCTGAAGACTTGACTCGGGGAGGATCTACTCCCAAGCTTCCTCAAGTAACTGTTGGCAGGATTCAGTTTCTTATGGACCATAGGGCAGAGGGCCTAAGTTTATGGCTGGCTAATGGCTAGTGACCTCCCTCAGTTCTGTGTCACATGAAGCTCTCCATACGGTAGTTCATAATATGGCAACTGGCTTTCCTCAGAGCACACAGAAGAGAGAGAGAGAGCAAAAGAGGAGAGCAGCATAGAAATCATAGTGCTTTGATAGCCTTATCTCAGAAGCCTCATCCCATCGCATTTGCTGTATTCTCTTTGTTATAAGCAAGTCTTTAGGTCAAGCCCACTCTCATGGGGATGAGATTACACAAGGGCATAAATATTATACCTGGGGGCAAGGATCATTGGGGGCCATCTTATAAAGCCTGCTATCCACTACTATCAATTTTTTAAAAAACATTCGAACAAGGTCATTTTTAACTGTTAGAAAAATTTGTCTAAATGACGAGTTAATGGGTGCAGCACACCAGCATGGCACATGTATACATATGTAACTAACCTGCACATTGTGCACATGTACCCTAAAACTTCAAGTATAATAATAATTTTAAAAAAAGAAAAAAAAAGAAAGCTGAAACTGGATCCCTTCCTTACACATTATACAAAAATTAATTCAAGTTGGATTAAAGACTTAAATGTTAGACCTAAAACCATAAAAACCCTAGAAGAAAACCTAGGCAATACCATTCAGGACATAGGCATGGGCAAGGACTTCATGTCTAAAACACCAAAAGCAATGGCAACAAAAGCCAAAATTGACAAATGGGATCTAATTAAACTAAAGAGCTTCTGCACAGCAAAAGAAACTACCATCAGAGTGAACAGGCAACCTACAAAATGGGAGAAAATTTTTGCAACCTACTCATCTGACAAAGGGCTAATATCCAGAATCTACAATGAACTCCAACAAATTTACAAGAAAAAAACAAACAACCCCATCAAAAAGTGGGCAAAGGACATGAACAGACACTTCTCAAAAGAAGACATTTATGCAGCCAAAAATACACATGAAAAAATGCTCACCATCACTGGCTATCAGAGAAATGAAAATCAAAACCACAAAACCACAATGAGATACCACCTCACACCAGTTAGAATGGCAATC
Organism: Homo sapiens; assembly: GCF_000001405.40. NCBI lineage: Eukaryota > Metazoa > Chordata > Mammalia > Primates > Hominidae > Homo > Homo sapiens. Next base: position 136,815,760 of record NC_000006.12, on the reverse strand, counting down.
ATTAAAAAGTCAGGAAACAACAGGTGCTGGAGAGGATGTGGAGAGATAGGAACACTTTTACACTGTTGGTGGGACTGTAAACTAGTTCAACCATTGTGAAAGTCAGTGTGGCGATTCCTCAAGGATCTAGAACTAGAAATACCATTTGATCCAGCCATCCCATTACTGGGTATATACCCAAAGGACTATAAATCATGCTGCTATAAAGACACATGCACACGTATGTTTATTGTGGCACTATTCACAATGGCAAAGACTTGGAACCAACCCAAATGTCCAACAATGATAGACTGGATTAAGAAAATGTGGCACATATACACCATGGAATACTATGCAGCCATAAAAAATGATGAGTTCATGTCCTTTGTAGGGACATGGATGAAATTGGAAATCATCATTCTCAGCAAACTATCGCAAGAACAAAAAACCAAACACCGCATATTCTCACTCATAGGTGGGAATTGAACAATGAGAACAGATGGACACAGGAAGGGGAACATCACACTCTGGGGACTGTTGTGGGGTTGGGGGAGTGGGGAGGGATAGCTTTAGGAGATATACCTAATGCTAAATGACGAGTTAATGGGTGCAGCACACCAGCATGGCACATGTATACATATGTAACTAACCTGCACATTGTGCACATGTACCCTAAAACTTAAAATATAATAATAATAAGATAAAATCAAAAAAAGAAAAATTTGTCATTTCTTTTTCTTCTTGAACTTGTAATTCCATTCTACTATTCTGTTGTAGAATTTTCTCTAATGTAATGTTCATTTATGCTTGAAATCATTTTATTGATCTCTTTATCATATTTATCACATTAGAAAATTACATACATAAACTGATGTTTTAATTTAATTTAATTAATTTTGAAATAGGGTCTTACTTTGTAACCCAGGCTGGAGTGCAGTGGTGCAATCATAGCTCACTGCAGCCTCAACCTCCCAGGCTCAAGTGATCCTCCCACCTCAGCCTCCTGAGTAGCTGGAACTACAGGCACCAGCCATCATGTCTGGCAAATTTTTTTATTTTTCATACAGAGGAGGGGTCTCACTATGTTCCCCAGGCTGGTCTTTAATTCCTGGGCTCAGATGATCCTCCTGCCTTGGCCTCCCAAAGTGTTAGGATTACAGGCATGAGCCACTGTGCCTAGCCTGAAATTTTAATTTTTAAAAAATTTCCTGGGGCCGGGTGTGGTGGCTCACACCTGTAATCCCAGCACTTTGGGAGGCTGAGGTGGGCAGATCACCTCTGGGCAGGAATTTGAGATCAGCCTGGCCAATATGGTGAAACCCCACCTCTACTAAAAATATAAAAATTAGCTGGGCGTGGTGGCGGGCGCCTGTAGTCCAGCTACTGAGGAGGCTGAGGCAGGAGAATCGCCTGAACCCAGGAGGCAGAGGTTGCAGTGAGCCAAGATTGCACCACTGCACTCCAGCCTGGGCGACAGAGCGAGACTCTGTCTCAAAAATAATAATAATAATAATAAATAAATTTCCTATAACCATATGGCTTTAAGGATTATATTTTTTTAGACTGAGTTATCATTAATGTATTGTTATTAGTAGTAGTATGAATAGCATTATTGATTAAAACTACATAAACATTTAATAAAATTTGATAAATATTATTATTAAATACAAAAAGTAAAGTGCCATTGGAAATATGTTGCTTAATGCAATAGGTTTCTTTTCAGTTAGTTCATTCATGCTCTCTTCTGTATAACTTAGAATGAGTGACGGCCACTAATAAATGAGGATCTAATGTTCATTAATGATGGTTGTTAAGTGCCTTATTTTCAGGACAATTCACATTATATTCCCATTAAACTAATCCAAAGTTAACAGATACATGGGAGGAATAATAAATGAGCAGAGAAATGGTTGCCACATGAGAGAGCACCAAAGTAAAAACTAATATGGATTTAGGGTATCCAATAAGCTTTTGGAAAAAAAAATAATGAAAATGTTTCCTTTGCAAACCTTTATAAATGTTTATGTAAATACAAAACACTGGCCAAGCATGGTGGCTCAGGCATGTAATACCAGCACTTCAGGAGGCCAAGGCGGGAGGCTCACTCGAGCCCAGGACTTCAAGAAAACACCAACTTACTTCCTAAAAAGGAAAAAGAATTCTGAAAACCTTTTCTCTACTCTAGCTGTACAGCAAAGATGTATTTTTAAAGGGCACAAAAGAGAAAATGTGTAATGGGGGAAAACATATTCCAGAGTTTCTTTTTTTTCACAAATTCGTAGTCACCAGGAAGAATGGAAATCATCACAACATGAAGTGCATTATTTTCAGGGTTCTTCTTTATTGAAATCACATGCTTTGGTTCAAAGTATGAGAGACTCTATTCAGCAGAGATACACATACATGCGGAAGTGATGCAGTCAGTAAGATCATAGCAAACTATAATTTCTGCATTTGGTGATAAATGGCCATAAATATTGTGATAAAGATGCCTCAACTTACTGGGGGAATAAACACAAAATGCTTTTATTTTCCAGTTATTACCACCAACTATTCCTTATCTAATCTTCTTCATGCTGGGTAACAGGACTACTGGCAAAAACACAATCTCTCATATGTGATTACGACCCTGAGTAACCTTGAGTACTGTATCTCAGACAGGTCTCAATCAATTTAGAAAGTTTATTTTGCCAAGGTTAAGAATGTGCCTCTGACACAGCCTCAGAAGGTCCTGTTGACATGTCCACAAGGTGGTTGGGGTACAGCTTGGTTTTATACATTTGAGGGAGACATGAGACATCAATTAATACATGTAAGATTTACACTGGTTTGGTCCAGAAAGGTGGGACACTCAGAGAGGGGGTGGCTTCCAGGTCATAGGTAGATTTAAAGATTTTCTGATTAGTGATTGGTTGAAAGAGTCATTATCAATAGAAAGGAACAACTGGGTTACTAATAAGGGGTTGTGGAGACCAACGCTTTATCATGCAGATGAAGCCTGGAAATGTTTCCTTTTTTTAAAATTTTATAAAAATTTTATTCAGGATCCAAAGCAGTATGTAAATGTTTCTCATCAGATTTAAAGAGTCTGTTCTATCAGTAATTCCAAAGGAGAGGAGGGTATAATGAGGCATGTCCAGCTCCCCATTCCCATCATGGCCTGAGCTTATTTTCCAGGCTAACTTTGGAATGCCCTTGCCTAGAGGAGGCGTCCATTAGGATGATTGCTGGGGGTGCTTAGAATTTTATTTTTGGCTTACAGTATTTACAAAGGATTACTAGTGTCACAAAGGCTGAGAGGATTCAGGAAAAGTTGATGGGAATAATGCTATGGAATTCATGCAAAAGCAGGTTATAGTAGGTCATTCCTTTCAGACCACAAGGAGTGATTATAAATCTTGGCAGAGGCTATTGAGTCAGTCTGCCCAGCACCCCTGACTTCTCTGGAAGCTAACATCTGCTCCACCTAACCTTCACTACACAGGCCTGTGCTTAGGACTGAGCCTCTCCTAACACCCCTACCTAGATACCATGTTGTCCCAGGACTACACGTGACCCAAGCCACATCAGTCAGAGTTAGTCCCTGGGACTTTTCTAATTATCTTCTACTTTGTTGTCGTTGCTGTTGTTTGAGACATGGTCTTTCTCTGTCACCCAGGCTGGGATGCAGTGGCACAATCGCAGCTCTCTGCAACCTCTGCCTCCCGGGTTCAAGCGATTCTCCTGACTCAGCCTCCTGAGTAACTGGGATTACAGGCACACACCACCACAGCCGGCTAATTTTTATATTTTTAATAGAGATGAGTTTTTGCCTTGTTGGCGAGGCTGGTCTTGAACTCATGGCCTCATGTGATCTACCTGCCTTGGCCTCCCAAAGTGCTAGGATTACATGTGTGAGCCACCATGCCCGGCCCTAATTATCTTGTACTTTGATGAGAAGCTAGCCTGAGAGAATACTCCAAAAATGATAGTTTTAGGATCACCAGAGTATGTACCTTATAAAAGTGCTGTACTACAGTGAAGGTTGTCCCATCTCTCTTAAATGGACTAAAGGCACCTCTCCAGGAGAGTTGAGATGTATTAAAATCCACCTCCTCATAGTCTAAACCATAGAATTTCAGAAATTGCAAATCAAAATAAGCCTAGACTACAAGGGTAAAGGAATTGGCTACATTTGAAAGAAAGAATCCCAGTGAATCAGAAGGCAGGAAGTAGATGCTAGATTTTAAATATTCATAAATGTTAAGACTTTGGTTTAGAGTATAAGGTAATCTGTTTTGCAGATAAAAGTTTCTGTTTTTTCCAAAAGGAGCTGGGAGCACTGTGAATCACACAAATGTATTAGAAGCCTCTTGAATTGGAAATGGCATTCAGAGAATTCAGGGCACAAGAATGAGATTTGTATATTCCAAAGATGATGAAACTGAAATTAGATTGGTAAAATGCATGATACACAAGGAACTGGAAGTTAAATAGTTCACCTGAAATTATTTTTAATCCAAAAAGGGTAACTATAAATGCATTCATATAAAGCTAAAAGTGGTATAAATTAAACTTTTAAAAACAATGTATTTTTTTCTGAAATTAGTTGTAAGCTCAGAAAAAATGAAATATAACAGGCTACAAGAGAAGAATAAAAACTTCAAAAGGACTTCAAAGATAGAAAATAGGCAAGAAACTTCAAAGAAAGAAAGGGGGAAAAATGGCAGTTTTAAATCATGTCTAACAGCAAAGTCTCTGGTTTTACCAAGATGGGGATTGAACCAACTACTCCTCACCCTTTTCTAAGTAAAATAATGATTTATGAATATTAGTTTCTTTAAAAAAATTCTAAATTTGGGTATTTTTATATTAAACATTTTAAATATCTAAAAGGAAAACATTCTACAATGAATCAGGGAGATTTAATTTTACCTTAATTTTAAAGGAATATAGTTTTATTATAGATTTTCTCAATAATGGTAAGTACAGTTACTAAAGAATATAAAATTGGTAATTGAGGCATAGAATGGCTTGTTTTTTCATTTTGATTTGTTTTAAGACAGAATCTCAGGGCTGGGCGCGGTGGCTCACGCCTGTAATCCCAGCACTTTGGGAGGCCGAGGTGGGTCGATCATGAGGTCAGGAGATAGAGACCATCCAGGCTAACACGGTGAAACCCCGTCTCTACAAAAAATATTTTAAAAAATTAGCTGGGCGTGGTGGCGGGCGCCTGTAGTCCCAGCTACTCAGGAGGCTGAGGCAGGAGAATGGCGTGAATCCAGGAGGCGGAGCTTGCAGTGAGCCGAGATGGCGTCACTGCACTCTAGCCTGGGCTATAAAACGAGACTCCTTCTCAGAAAAAAAATAAAAAAGACAGAGTCTCGCTCTGTTGCCCAGACTGGAGTGCAGTGGTGCCATCTCAGCTCACTGCAAACTCCATCTCTTGGTCTCAAGCGATCCTCCCACCTCAACCTCCTGAGTCGCTGAGTCGCTGGGACTACAAGCGTGTGCCACCACACCTGGCTAGCATTATGTATTATTATTATTATTATTATTGGTAGAGACAGGGTTTTGCCATGTTGCGCAGGCTGGTCTCGAACTCCTGGGCTGAAGTAATCCTCCCACCTCGGCCTCCGAAAGTGTTGAGATTACAAGCATGAGCCACTGCACCTGGCCAAGTATGTTTGACTGCATAAATAAATTTGGAATTGTGCACTAAAATTAAATAGTCACATTTATGTAAATATGATTTTTTAAAGAAATGTATGTGATTTCAAATGGAATTTATTGTGCTGAAAGTGTATAGGCACATGTATATTTTGTGAGTTGGTTTTAGCAAGAGTTAGGAAAGTAGAAAATTTTCTGAATCTATAGACCACTTTGATACTGGGCAAAATTGCAATGTTTAGCATTTGACACTTTTTTTTTTTTATGTGAGTGATTATATCAGTCAGGGATACAGAGAGAAAGAGATTTATATTAAGGTTGGCTCATGGGATTGTGGAGGCTGGCAAGTCTAAAATGTGTAGGGTAGGCAAGAAACTCAGTCAGGATTTCTGTGTTACAGTCTTGAGTCTTATTTGGGAAACCTCAATCTTTGCTTTAAGGCCTTCAACTGATCAGATGAGGCCCATCTACATTATGGAGGGTAATCCTCCTTATTTAAAGTCAACTGGGCCGGGTGCAGTGGCTCATGCCTGTAATCCCAGACTTTGAGAGGTCGAGGTGGGAGGATCACTTAAGGCCAGGAGTTTGAGACCAGCCTGGGCAACATAGTGAAACCCTTTCTTGATACAGGTTTGGCTCTGTGTCCGCACCCAAGTCTCATCTTGAATTGTAATCCAAATTGTAATCCCCATGTGTTGAGGGAGGGACCTGGTGGGAGTTGAATAGATCATGGGGGCAGCTTCCCATGCTTTTCTCATGAGACTGAGTAAATTCTCAGGAGATCAGATGGTCTTATAAGTGCCAGTTTCCCCTGTGCTCTCTCTCTCTCCTGCTACCGTGGGAAGACATGCCTTGCTTCCCCTTTGCCTTCCATCATGATTGTAAGTTTAATGAGGCCTCCCCAGCCATGTGGAACTGTGAGTCAATTAAACCTCTTTCCTTAATCTTTACTCAGACTCAGCTGGGCGCGGTGGCTCATGCCTGTAATCCCAGTACTTTGGGAGGTTGAGGTGGACGGATCACCTGAGGTCAGGAGTTTGTAGACCAGCCTGACCAACATGGAGAAACCCCATCTCTACTAAAAATACAAAATTAGTTGAGCATGGTAGCACACGCCTGTAATCCCAGCTAACTCAGGAGGCTGAGGCAGGAGAATCACTTGAATCTGGGAGGCAGAGATTGCAGTGAGCCGAGATCGTGCCATCGCACTCTAGCCTGGGCAACAAAAGCAAAACTCTGTCTCAAAGAAAAAATAAAAAATAAATTACTCGGACTCTGGTAGTATCTTTTTTTTTTTTTTTTTGAGATGGAGTCTTGCTCTGTTGCCCAGGCTAGAGTGCAGTGGCTCAACCTCAGCTCACTGCAAACTCTGCCTCCTAGGTTCAAGCAATTCTCCTGTCTCAGCCTCCCAAGTAGCTGGGATTACAGGCGCCCGCCAGCACGCCTAGCTAATTTTTGTATTTTTAGTAGAGACGGGGTTTTGCCATGTTGGCCAGGCTGGTCTTGAACTCCTGACCTCAGCCTTCCAAAGTGTTAGGATTACAGGCATGAGCCACTGTGCCCGGCCAACTCTGGTCATATCTTTATAGCAGAGTGAAAATGGACTAATACATGTCTCTACAAAAAATTTAAAAATTAGCTGGGTGTGATGACACATGCCTATAGTCCTAGCTACTCAGGAGGCTGAGGAGAGAGGATTACCTGATCCCAGGAGTTTAAGGCTGCCATGAGCTATGATCATGCCATTGCACTCCAGACTGGGTAGCAGAGCAACACCCTGTCTCTAAAAAAATAATAATAATAAAATAATAAAGTCAACTGGTTATAAATATTAATCACTCTACAAAATACCTTCACAGCAACATCTAGACTAGTGTTTGCCCAAACAACTGGGCATCGTAGTCTAGCCATATTGACACGTTAACTATCACAGTTATCAATTTAATTAATTAATTTAATTAATTAGTCTAGATAAAATCTGATTTTAAATAGTTTGTTGGCTTTTGGAGGTTTTAGTTCACAAACCACGAAAAACATAAATGTTTATATTTATTCAAAGGCCTCTTCTTAATTGGATTTCTATACTAGAGATTAAAGTTACCTGTAATTAAAATAAAGGTAGTAGAAATATATATGATATTTTGGCCCATACCTCAAAAGAGGAATTTAAATAATCTCAAGGGTAGCTGATATTTACATGCATCAATATTTCCTATTTACATGGAGTTCCAAATACCAAGATCATCTTTGATTTCCTACTGGAAAATGAAAGACTATAAGAGATATTGGGTCAAGATATTACTAATTGGGAGAGTTGTTTGGATTTATACAAAGCAAACTTCAAAAAATAATAATACATAGCATAATATTATGTAAAGTTGATAGGGGGATGTTTTGTCTTTTAAAAGAAGAAAAACTAGTAACTCAGAAAAAAGAGCAAAGTAAATGTAAAGGCTTTGATAACTGGCCAGGATTTTGTAAAATTAAAATATTATTAAATATATAAATATAGTTTTATATATTTATAAACACGTGGGAATTATAGGAGCTACAATTCAAGATGAGATTTGGGTGGGGACACAGCCAAACCATATCCCCTTACATCTGTCTTCTTTCGCTTTTGTCCTAATATTGCTAGAATTTAGATAATAGGAGAAATGATCAAATTGTTTAGCCAGAACTTTATATATATATAAAAGTTTATATACATGAGTCTTGCTCTTATAATTATACAGTAAGGTATTGAAAATGGACTAGATGATAGTAAGATGACATCCATCAAATCATAGAGTGACAAGTTAAGGCTATACAGAACCTTAAATTGCATGAGTTTCCCTATCAACTCAAAATGGAATATGTAGATGTTCCTTTCATTGTATGTGCAGATGTAAAAATATATCCACATCCTTTCTTCCTTTCTAACTCTATCCACTTGAGTGAACCCCAGAGTTTCTGGCTCCCCTGATGGGATGAACCCAACAGGCAACCCTAGTACTTGAAATGTGGCTTCTTATACCAGTCAGTCACTAAAAGGCATGAGTCTCTCTAGAAGGCTAGCTGATTTCGTGTTTGTGGCAGGGCTAGACTGAGCCTGGAATATCTTCTTTTACCACAAAGCAAGGAAACTTTCAAAGATTAATGCAGTGGTATCAAAAGGAAAAGGGTGCTACTTAAAAAAGGGCTTCATTGACCAAAGTTGTGACTTTGAGCATCAAAAAGAGAACCAAGGCTGTAGTTGATTAAAATATATGAAATCTGTGAAAGGCCCTAAGTTCATAATGACATGCCAAAAGAGAAAAGCATTCTCAAGGAAAGTGAATGGAGGAGAATATGGCATTGTTAATGGTCATACTGGTCTTATCCACATAGTTTAGAAAATAGATATAGAATTTAGTAAATATTCAATTACATCAGTTAAAAGATATTTTTGGCCCAGTGTGGTGGCTCACACCTATAATCCCAGCGCTTTGAAAGGTGGAGGCAGGCAGATCACTAGAGGTCAGGAGTTTGAGACCAGCCTGGCATGGTGAAACCCCGTCTCCACTAAAAATATTAAAATTAGCCGGGCATGGTGACACTGGCCTGTAATCCCAGCTACTCAGGAGGCTGAGGCATCAGCATCGCTTGAACCAGGGAGGTGGAGGCTGCTGTGAGACAAGATTGTGCCATCGCACTCCAGCCTGGGTGACAGAGAGAGACTGTGTCTCAAAAAAAAAAGAGATCTTCTGACACAAGAGCATTTCAGAAGAAAGAACATACTAGATCCTCCTTCCCTATATTTTACTCTTTTCATTTCTAGGAGTAAATACATTTCCTAGAATAATTATGAATCCTTTTTGTCCATGTTTGTCTGCCTTTTACCGCACATACATCTATCCATAAATAATACACAGTATTATTGGTTTGTTTTTAAAATGGATGTCCTTTTGCAACGTACTATTTTTCTCTCTCAGAGTTTTATTTTTTTGATATTTATTCATGTCGATGCACATACTTGCTCCCTTATGTGCACGGGGTCATTTCTGGGTCTGTTCCATTGGGCCATATCTCTATCTCTGCATTAGTATCATTCCGATGTTATAAAACCATACTTACCTTTGTAAAATGTCTTGATTGATGTCTACATTGAATCTGTCCTTCTTTACTCTTCAAATATTATCCTGGCTAGTCTCAATCATTTAGTTTCATATAACATTTTGGATCTACTCATCAGAAGTTTTGAGTTTTAAGTTGCTTGGGTTTGAAATGGATTGAATTTATAAATTAAGATTGCTATGAATTAATATATTTTAGGAGCCGGGTGTGGTGGCTCATACCTGTAATCCCAGCACTTTGGGAGGCCAAGGCAGGCAGATCACTTGAGGCCAGGAATTCGAGACCAGCCTGGCCAACATGGTGAAACCCCATCTCTACCGAAAATACAAGAATTAGCCGGCTGTGATGACCCATGCCTGTAATCCCAGTTACTAGGGAGGCTGAGGCACAAGAATCACGAACTCAGTTGGCAGAGGTTGCAATGAGCCGAGATTGCACCACTGCCCTTTAGCCTAGGCAACAGAGCGAGACTCTGTCTCAAAATAATAATAATATACTGTGGCATTCATTTTTCTCATAGATGTTTATAGCAAAACTCTCTATCATTTAAATATTGTTTGAAATCTTTGCAGATAATTTTTGTTTGTTTTTATAGTGGAAAAATTTAATATATGCAAAAGTAGAGAGATTACTATGATAAACCCTCATAAACTCATAATCCAGTAAAACAATTATCAATTTGTGGCCAATCCTACTTCATCTGTATTTCCATATATTCTACTACCCTCCTGTTTTATTTTGAAGCATATCCCAGACATCATATCATTTCATCTATAAAAATTTCATCAAATATCTCTAAAAGATAAGGACTCCTTAAAAATATATCCACAATACAATTATTACCACTAAAAAACCCAATAGGCCAGGCTTGGTGGCTGAGGCCTGTAATCCCAGCATTTATGAGACCCAGGCAGGAGGACCATTTGAGCCCAGGAGTTGGAGACCAGCCGGGGCAACATAGCAAGAGCTTGTCTCTATTAACTGGGTGTAGTGGCACATGCCTGTGGTCTCAGCTACTCCAGAGGCTGAGGTGGAAGAATCCCTTGAGCCCTGGGGGCCGAGGCTGCAGTGAGCCGTGATCATGCCATTGCACATCAGCCTGGGCAACAGGGCAAGACTTCACCTCAATTTTTCTATTTTTTTTGAGATGGAGCCTCACTCTGTCAACTGCAGTGGTGCCGTCTGGGCTCACTGCAACCTCTGCCTCCCAGGCTTCAGTGATCCTCTCACCTCAGCCTCCCCAGTAGCTGGGACTACAGGCAGGCCTGATCATGCCCAGCTAATGTTTGTATTTTTTGTAGAGACAGAGTTTCACCATGTTGCCCAGGCTGTTCTCGAACTTCTGGTCTCCAGCCATCTGCCTGCCTTGGCCTCCCAAAGTGCCAGGATTACAGGCCTGAGCCACTGTCCCCAGCCTATTATTATTTTTAATTGACACATAATAATTGTATATATTTATGGGGCACCAACCAAGATAATGAACAAATCTATTATCCTCAAAAGTTTCTTCATGCCCCTTTGTCATCTCTCCTTCCTGTGCTCCCCTCCTCCTTCCCCAGGTAATCACTAATCTGCTTCATTATAAATTAATTTGCATTTTTAAAGAATTTTACAGGTCCATCACCGTGGTTCACACCTGTAATCCTACGGCTTTGGGAGGCCCAGGTGAGAGAATGCTTGACTGGAGGAACTCAGGACCAACCTGGGCAAAAAAGTGAGACCCTGTCTCTACAAAAAATCAAAAGGTTAGTTAGCCAGGCATGGTGGCCCATGACTATGGTCCCAGCTACAATGAAAGGCTGAGGCAGGAGGATTCCTTGAGCCCAGGAGGTCCAGGCTACTGGAGCTTTGATGGGGCCACTGTACTCCAGCCTGGTCAACAGACTGAGACCCTGTCTCAAAAAAAAAAAACAAAAACCCAAAAAAATTTCTTTCACCTTGTTTTCAGCTTGTTTTTATGTGTATCTGCAGTCCATTATTTTTATTGTGTACTCCTTTTTGTTGTATGCATATACCACAATTTGTGCATTCAGTCACCCAATGGTGGACATTTGGGTTGTTTACAGGTTTTGCCTATGACAAAGCTTTGATAAACATTAATATGCAAATCTTTTTATGAATATATTCTTTCATTTATCTTGGCTAAATACACCAAAGTGATATGGTGAGTCACAATGAAGATGTGTGTTCAAGTTTTAAAGGAACTGTCAAACTATTTCCAAAGAGTTCTACCATTTTACATTCCCACCAGCAGTGTAAGAGTTTCAGTTCCTCCATATTCTCACTAACACCTGATGTAGTCAGTTGTCGTATTTCATTGTGATTTTTAGTATGTGTTTCCTTAATGACTATTGATATTGAGCATGTTTTCCTGTGCTTATTTGTCACTGGAGAAATATCTGTTAAAACCTTTTGCTTATTATTTACTGGATTTTTTGTTTTCTTATTGTTGAGCTTTGCGAATCATGTATTCTTAAAAGCCTTTTGTCAGATAGGTGATTTGCAAATATTTTCTTCCAGTTTGTGGTTTGTTTTTTCATTCTCTTAATACGGTTTTCCAAAGAGCAGAAGTTTTTAATTATAATGACATCCAGTTTATTGATTCGTTCAGTTATGGATCATGCTTTTGGTGTCTTATCTAAGAAATCTTTGCCTAATTCAAAGTTGCAAAGGTTTTCTGCTTTTTTTTTTTTAGACGGAGTCTCATTCTGCCTGTCACCCAGGCTGAAGTGCAATGGCATAATCTTGGCTCACTACAACCTCCACCTCCAGGGTTCAAGTGATTCTCCTGTCTCAGCACGCCCAGTTAATTTTGTATTTGTAGTAGAGACAGGGTTTCACCTTGTTGACCAGACTGGTCTCGAACTCCTGACCTCAGGTGATCCACCCGCCTGGGTCTCCCAAAGTGCTGGGATTACAGGCGTGAGCTATGGCGCCCAGCCCTCTGCTATGTTTTCTTCTAGAACTTTTCTGATTTTAAGTTTTACATTTAGGACTATGACAATTTTGAATTAATTTTGTATAATGTGAGAGGTATGGATCAAAGTCCATATTTGTGCACATAAATAGATGATTGTTTTTGCATATGGATATCTATAGTACAGATATCCATATACAAACAGACTATCCTTTCGCTACTGAATTGCTTTTGAAACTTTCTTCAAAGTCAGCCATCCATATACATGTACTATATATCTATTTCTGGACTCCATTCTGTTTCATGTCTCTATTTATCTCCCAAGTAGCTGGGTATTGATGCCAATACCACACTGTGTTGATTACTACAGCTTTATAGTCTTAAAATAAGTAATGTTTGTCCTCCAACTTTATTTCTATTTTTCACAGTTGTTTCAACTATTCTACGTCCTTTCCATTTCAATATGAATTTTAGAATCAGATTTTTGATTGGAATTATGTCAAACATATAGTTCAAATTCAGAAGAACTGGCGTCTCAACAATATTGGATATTTCCATTTATTTAGCTTCCTTCCTCCCGCCCTCCGTCCCTCCCTCTCTCTTTCTCTCTTTCTTTCTTTCCTCCCCTCCCTTCCTTCCTTCTTTCCTTCCTTCCTTCCTTTTTTTTTTCTAAGTCTTGCCCTTGCAGTGGCACACTCTCAGCTCACTGAAACCTCTTCCTCCCAGGTTCAAGCAATTCTCATGTTTCAGCCTCCCAAGTAGCTGGGATTACAGGCACACGCCATCAAACCCAACCAAATTTTTGTATTTTTCGTAAAGACGGTGTTTCACCATGTTGACCAGGCTGGTCCTGAACTCCTGACCTCAAGTGATGTGCCTGCCTCGACCTCCCAAAGTGCTGGGATTACAGGTGCGAGCCACGGCACCTGGCCAACCAAGCCTTTTCATTTTTATACAATGTCTAGGAACTGCATATATTTTAATCTTAAGTCCAATATATAACATTTTTATATATTTATACATATTTATATAACATTTATATATAAATTATATATTTATAATTTATTTTATTTTAGGTCATATCCAAGACATCTTTGCCTAACCCAAGTTCATAAAAGTTTTCTCCATTATTTTGTTCTATTAGGTTTGCAGCTTTTGCTTTAAATTTAGGCCCATGATCAATTTTTAGTTATTTTTGTGACTAGCGTAAGTAAGGATTGAGGTTCATTCTTTTTCTTTGTGGGTATCTGGTTATTCAAACACTGGTTTTGAAAAGACTGCCCTATCCCCATTGAATTACCGAGACACCCTTATTGAAAACAAATTGAACATATCTATGTGCCTATTTATGGACTCTATTCATATTCAGTCTTTTCATATTGTCAGGTTACCAGAGCTTTATAACAAGCAGTATAAGACCTCCTTTGAAAATTGTTTAGCTACACAAGTCCCTTTGCTTTTCATATGTTTATATATGTATTCATATCCTTTAAAAGTATATTTTAGATGTAGCTTATCAATTTCTACAAAAATAAGCCTGCACAAATTTTGCTTGACATTGTGTTGAACTTTTAGATCACATTTGGGATATCTAAATTGGGACTTCTTATTAGTCCTAGCATTTTTTATTTTTGGTGATTTTTTAAGATGTTATACATACACAATCATGTCTACAAATAAAGGCAGTTTTACTTTTTTAGTTCCAATATTTATTCATTTTATTACTTTCTTGCCTTATTGCACTAGCTAGGACTTTGGTACAAAAAAAAAATTTTGTTTTCTTTGAAACTGGGTGTTGCCCTATCACCTGGTCTGGAATACAGAGACACCATCATAACTCACTGCAACCTTGAACTTCTGGGCTCAAATGATCCCCCCACCTCAGCCTCCTGAGTAGACTGGATTACAGGCACGTGCCACCATGCTGGTTTTTTGTTTTGTTTTGTTTTTTTAAGAGATGGGGTCTGGCTATGCTTTCCAGGCTGGTCTCGAATCTGGCTTCAAGTGATCCTCTTGCCTCAGGCTCCCAATGTGTGAGGACTATAGATGTGAGCCACCATGCCCTACCTAAAAGTTATTAATCAGGCTAATATACTATTAAATAAATATATTTGTCCTTGACAAATATACTTGCATAAAGGCTAGGAAGGTGGATTTTGAATTTACAATTGAACTTCTTGGAGTTCCACACCCAAGTGCGGTAGCATGGAGAGAGTGACCTTTCTTGCCATCTTTAGCTCTGCAAGATCTTATAGACATTTTTGGAGACATCCCAGCCTCAGCAGCCAAACTCCATCTATAGCCCTCACAAATAGGCTCTGAAAATGGGCTTGATGATGCTTGAGCAGATAATCCTGGGGTCTGGGGTCTCCAGAGGGCAAATTAGAAGAGGAGGATTTTTCTGTGGGTTCATACCTCTGATTCTCTGAGAAAGGGACATGGCTGGGCCCTCCAAAACATAGAGCCCAAGGGAGGGGCCTCTCTTGTGCAAGCAGTACTGCAGGGCAAACTGAGTCACTCTTGCCCTGTTGTACTTCCATCTGCAGGCGACTCTCATAATGATTTACCATTGCTGTTTCTTTCCTGGGGTTATTGACCTTCATAAGGCTTCTCTATTAGCCATGAGCTGATTCCCCTGGTGGACTCTTCTCTGAGTCCACATATGCCCAGGCATGGCTTAATTTTCAAAGTAAAAACTGTTTAGGCTCTCAATAGGAACACTCACCACATTAAAATAGGTATTAATTAGGCCAGGTGCAGTGGCTCACGCATGTAATCCCAACACTTTGGGAGACCGAGGCAGGTGGATCACCTGAGGTCAGGAGTTCGAGATCAGCCTGACCAACATGGTGAAACCCTGTCTCTACTAAAATACAAAAATTAGCCGGGTGTGGTGGCACACACCTGTAATCCCAGCTACTCGGGAGGCTGAGGCAGGAGAATTGCTTGAAGTGGGAGGTGGAGATTGCAGTGAGCTGAGGAGCTGAGGTCGTGCCACTGCACTCCAGCCTGGGCAAAAGAGTCAGACTCCGTCTCAAAAATAAAAAATGAAATAAAAAGATGATTTGCATGAGACTATACACATGTTCTTTTGTGGTCAGAATGTTAAAACATTTTTCATATGAAAATGTCTTACATTCTTTGTTTCCATGGTTTTATTTTATTTAAACTTTTTATTATGAAATATTTCAGGCATATACAAGAGTAGAAAGACTAGTATAATGAACCTCATCCATGTACCCATTATAAAAAATCATTAGTTCGGGGCCAATCTTCTTTCATCTGTATTCTCACGCATTCCTGTACCTCCTACCATATTATTTTTAAGCCAATCCCAGAAATCATTTTACCTCATTTATAAGTATTTCTGTATGGAGTCTCTGAAATATGAAGACTCCCTTTTTAACATAAGCACAATAGTATTATTATATCTTTACAAATTAACAATCTTTTAATCTCAATGTTGCCCTCTTCCACCACTGCAATTTATTCATGCAAGAAAGTGAGCCATTTGTCTTATAGAGTTTCCTACAGTCTAGATTTTACTCATTGCATCTCCAGAGTATTTGACCCTGTTTTTATGACTTTAATATGTCCTGAAATTAACTGTTGAACCCAGGCCTTGGGTTCTGGGGCTTTGATAGATTCATGTCCACTGTTTTTGGGATGACTACTTCATGGTTGATGGTGTGTTCTTTCATCAGGAGGCATGCAATAATCTGGTCATCTCTCTTTTAATGATATTAGTGACTATTAATGATTGATATGTAGGCTGGGTGCAGTGGCTTATGCCAGTAATCCCAGCACTTTGGGAGGCTGAGGCAGGAGGATTGCTTGAGCCCAGGAGTTCTAGACTAGCCTGGGCAACATTGTGAAACCCTGTCTCTACCAAAAATACAAAAATTAACTGGGTGTGGTAGCACGTGTCTGTGTCCCAGCTACTAGGCTGAGGTGGGATGATTGCTTGAGCCCAGGAGGCAGAGGCTGCAGTGAGCTGAGATGGAGCCACTGCACTCTAGCTTGGGCAATAGAGCCAGAACCTGTCTCAAAAAAAAAAAAAGATTGATATCTGAATCCAAATTCATTAAGAGTTACAAAATGGTGATATTATAATGACATCAGGCTTTTGTATGCATTAGCTGGAATATTTCTGTAAAGAAAAAGTTCCCTTATTACTACATGGTTGCCCAGTGGTATTTTCATTCTTTACACATTTCAATTCAGTATAAGAACTGGAATCTTAACTAAATACTTAAAATAGCACATTGGAGCTTCAAAGGATTTTCAGTGGAATCTAATTCAACACTGTGTTTTGTGGATGAAGAAACAGGTCCAGAAAGGTTAAATTAGTTTTCTAATTTCTAAACGCTCATTAGTAGTTATCAGAGTCCCAACAGGAAACAGGTAGGATAATTTGAAGTGGGTTTATTTACAAAAAGACTAATTACAAAGCTGTGGAAGGGTATAAGGAGGCTTCAAGGAATTCTTCATGAGCTTGGGGCCAGCAACTTTATCATTTCTAGGTGCCAATAAACAACAAAGCAAGGGACAGTTATGAGACCCTGTTAGAAAGTGAGTCCCATAGGAGCTGTCACCTTGGGAAGAGCAATAACCTTCTGTTGAAGAACACAGCCAGCCTGTAGTGACTCATACAGAGTGAGTCCAGGAGAGAAATACCCAGCTCCCAATGTCCTTCCTCCTGCAGATCCCTGCCTGGACTCCCCACTGACCAAATCCAACTGATAAACAGAAAGGAAGGGAGCCCATTGACTTAATTCATAGCCTCCCAAGACAGAGACTCTGGGGGATATAAATGGAGAGTGAATCTAGAGGGGAAAATCAGAAACAGATGGCAAAAATTTCAGTTCACATTCTTGCTCTGATTCCACCATGCTACCGTGCATTCAAATATTTGCTTACATTTACAGATCTTATATTTGTAGAAATAATTCATGGCCCAAGATGATGTCATCTTCCTCTGGAGTGAATTTTGTTTCTCAAATGCAGGGAACTACCTTAATACAATTTTAGGGTTTGAGACTTCTTTCTGGGTTACTCAGATGAATGGAAGCAGGATTGCTGTCCACGTACGGGCCATCTAACCTATAGTTCACTCTTACTTGTAGGGTATATCATCTTTAATTTTGTCCTCAAGATGTTATCAAGAATTCAGTTCAGATAAACACAGGCACAAAAATCCTCAACAAAATACCAGCAAACTGAATCTAGCCGCACATCAAAAAGTTAATTCACCCCGATCAAATAGGCTTAATTCCTAAGATCCAAGGTTGGTTCAACATATGCAAATCAATAAATGTGACTCACCACATAAACAGATTTAAAAACAAAAACTAGATGAATATCTCAATAGGTATGGGAAAAGCTTTTGATAAAATCCAACATCCCTTCATGATAAAAACCCTCAACAAACTAGGCATCAAAGGAACATACCTCAAAATAATAAGAGCCATTTATGACAAACCCAGAGCTAACAAATACTGAACAGGCAAAAGCTAAAGACATTGCCCTCAAGAACAGGAACAAGACAAGGATGCCCATTCTCAGTATTCCACATAGTACTGGAGGTCCTAGCCACAGCAATCAGGCAAGAGAAAGAAATAAAAAGCATCCAAATAAGAAAAGGAGTCAGATAATCTCTCTTCCCTGAAGATAAGAATCTTTTTTTTTTTTTTTTTTTTTTGAGACAGAATCTCACTCTGTTACCCAGGCTGGAGTGCAGTGGCACGATCTCGGCTCTCTGCAACCTCCATCTCAAGTAGCTGGGACTACAGACTACATGCTCAGCTAATTTGTTTTTCAGTATTTTTAGTAGAGATGGGGCTTCACTGTGTTGGCCAGGCTGGTCTCAAACTCCTGGCCTCAAGTGATATACCCGCCTTGGCCTTCCAAAGTCCTGGGATTACAGGCATGAGCCACTGCGCCTCATCCCCTGAAGACAAGATTCTATACCTAGACTCCACCAAATGGCTCCTAGAATTGATAAACAATGTCGGTATAGTTTCAGGATACAAAATCAATGTATAAAAATCAGTAGCATTTTCATATACCAATAACGTTCAAGCTGAGAGACAAGTCAAGAACACAGTTCCATTTATAATAGCCACACACACACACACACACACGCACACAATCTAGGAATACATCCAATCAAGGAAGTGAAAGATCCCTACAAGGAGAATTACAAAACACTGTTGAAGGAAATCATAGATGACACAAACAAACAGAAAAATATTCCACGCTGATGGATTGGAAGAATCAATCTTGTTTAAATGGCCACACTGTCCAAAGCAATCTACAGATTCAATGGTATTCCTAAGAAACTACCAACATCATTTTCCACAGAATTAGAAAAACTATTCTACAATTCATATGGAACCAAAAAGGAGCCTGTAGAACAGCAGGAAAAAATAAAATAAAATAAAATAAAACCCCAAAAGAGCCTGAATAGCTAAAGCCAAAGCCAGAGGCATCATATTACCTAACTTCAAACTGTACTATAAGGCAACAGTAACCCAAACAGCACGGTACTGGTACAAAAACAGACACTCAGACTGATGGAACGGAGTAGAGAACTCAGAAATAAAGCCGTACACCTACCGCCATCTGATCTTCAACAAAGTCGATAAAAATAAGCAATGGGGAAGGACTCCCTGTTCAATAAGTGGTGCTGGCTAGCCTTATGCAGAATAAAACTGGACCCCTACCCATCACCATATACAAAAATTCACTCAAGATGGGTTAAAGATTTAAATGTAAGACCTCAAACCCTAGGAATCATAGAAGAAAACCTAGGAAATACCATTCTAGACATCGGCCTTGGGAAAGAATTTATGACTAAGTCCTGAAAAGCAATTTGCAGCAAAACGAAAAACTGACAGACGGGACCTAATCTAAACAGCTTCTGCACAACCAAAGAAACTATGAACAGAGTGTGGTGTTACGATATATATTGGTTTTCATCTGTGGTTTCTGGCTTGTAACTCCCATAACCCTCGTTATAGTCTTCTGTTATGTTGAGTGTGTTAGGCCTCAGAGGCAGGCCTCTAATTTTTTCCTGCTCTCCTTTTACCTGCTAACAACCCCCCACCTTTCTGACTGTGGGTCTTAAGACCTTCCCAGGAGAGGGTCCCATTGGATACACATGGACATAAAGATGGTAACAACAGACACTGCGGACGGGAGGGAAGGAGGGAGCAAGGGTTGAAAAACCAACTGTTGGGTGCTCTTTCTACTACCTGAGTGACAAGAACAATCGTACCCTAAACTTGAGCATCATGCAATATATCCATGTAACCTGCACATGTACCCCCGAATCTAAAATAAAACTTGAAATTACTTTAAAAAAAGCACTATTTTGCACAGCTCAGTGATTTTTAGGAATTCATGTGTGCCTTCACAGTGGGAGTGACTGTGCTCCTCCCAGAGTATTTTCTTCATGTACTTCTTCAAATACCTCCTACACTTCAGAAACTTCTCCAGATTTTCTTTATACCCTTCAACCAAAACAACATGCTGCAACAGCATGAATGTAGAAGCAGAAATGAGAATCCACTGTCATCTATTAAGCCAGACATTAAAAAGATTTGTGAAAATGCACAACGGTGTCACCATTCTTTTTGTTTTGTTTTGCAAAATACCGTTATTTTTCATTAAAAAAATTCACTTCAGCCTTTCAGCTGCCTAATTCAGATCCACAAAAATCCCACAGCCAAAGGGAACCCTGACTGTAGACTCACCCTCTGGATTCCTGTCCTTTCTTCCAGAATCTTGCCAGCTAGTTCCTCATTATCTCATAACCCTATGCTATGGAACATAAATTACCTAAACCGTGCCTTTTAGGTAGAGGGAGAATCTCTGGACCAGCTAGAAGCAGAATTTCAACATTGTATTGGGGTTTGGGTGCCTAACATAAAAAACATATTTAAAGTTAATAAATCAAAAAAGCCAGCAAAGTAAAACAAAAAATAAAAATTGTGTATGAAAATGGCTCTGAAAGGATCTGGAAGGAAAGCACAAAGTGAGAGGGTATAAAAAGTTACAGCTTTGGAAAATAGCTTGATATATAATTTCAGATTTTGTATTTCTACAGTAAAATGCTACTTGAGCATTTAGGCGTTTTAGTTTTCCACACATGAACCTCATCGATTTCCAGAGTTTGTGGTTCTTGGTGAGGATAGCGGGGAGGATTATCTTACTCCTACAAGGTTTTGGAGGTTTGACAAGTTGTTGAAAATATTAAAAGGCACATAACTATTACTAGCTCAGCAACATTTTGTTTCAGTATAATCACTGATTCACTACCTATTTTACTATTGATATTAATTCCAAAAGCTAGTGTGGGTCACATAGATTCCATTTTACATGAAGAATATAAAGTTTCCTTACTAGAAATTTACTTCTATTATTTTATACACCTTTAGAAAAATCTAATGTCACATTGATTCATTGATACAGTTGTGTAGCGGCTAGGTGTTTTTCCTCATGACTATTTCCTTCCTTCCTTTAATTATTATTTTTTTTTAAGATGGGGGTCTCACTATGTTGTCCAGGCTGATCTTGAACTCTTGGGCTCAAGCAATCCTCCCACCTTGGAGAAAATTAAAGAACTCTTTCCTTTAATTCTTTTTCTTTTTCTTTTTTTAGATGGAGTCTCGCTCTGTCGCCCAGTCTAGAGTGCAGTGTCGCCATCTCGGCTCACTGCAACCTCCACCTCCCGGGTTCAAACGATTCTCCTGTCTCAGCCTCTCGAGTAGCTGGGATTACAGGCGGCTGCCACCACGTCCAGCTAATTTTTGTATTTTTAGTAGAGACGGGGGTTTCACCATGTTGGCCAGGCTGGTCTTGAACTCCTGACCTCAAGTGATCTGCCCGCCTCGGCCTCCCAAAGTGTTGGGATTACAGGCGTGAGCCACTGCGCCCAGACTTTCCTTTAATTCTTTACTATTCAGCTATTTTATCCTTCCTTCTTACCCAGTTTGAAATGTAATTCATGGCTGGGCTGGGTGGTTCACGCCTGTAATCCCAGCACTTTGGGAGGCCGACGCGGGCATATCACCTGAGGTCAGGAGTTAGAGACCAGCCTGGCCAACATGGTGAACCCCACACCCCTCCCCCTCCCGTCTCTACTAAAAATACAAAATTAGCCTGGTGTGGTGGCGCATGCCTGTAATCCCAGCTATTCGAAAGGCTGAGGCAGGGGAATCGCTTGAACCCGGGAGGCAGAGGTCGCAGGGAGTCGAAATCGCGCCATTGCACTCCAGCCCGGGCAAGAAGAGCGAAACTCCGTCTCAAAAAAAAAAAAAAGTAATTTACATTTTCTTCTGCCTTTTTCACAGGACTCACTAGTCTCAGTTCCTGGAGATGGGAAGTACAAAACCTGTTTCTTTACTCAGTTGTAACTTGCACTGGCTTTCCTAACAATTACAGCATTCTGGGGTTCTCTGGGAACTTACACATCTGTTCTTTGCTCCCCAAATAAGCAGGTACTTTTTTTGATTGCTCTTAAACAATCTGGGTATTTCCCTCCCGGCCTCGCGTGATGCAGTTTAAAAAATAGAATAGGTCACGTTATTCCCCTGTTTCATCTTGTTGATAATTTGTGGAGTCGGGTAGAGACTCCATCTTCTATCTTAAGTATCTGGCGCTTGTGGGGGAATTAAGATCCTAAATGAGAATACTAAGTCCTTCGGCAGTTGGCACTAATCAATTACTCATTACTGATAACGGAATGAGCCACTGGAAATTTTAAAAGGAAAAGTACATGGGAGAACCTGATCAATTTAGCCAGCCACTTCTGGAGTGCCACAGTCACTAATGAAGCAACCTCCAGTGCAGGCCCTGGCTCCAGGGCGCTATGTACAACCTCCTGCCTCGCGCAACGTGGGTCTCCCGGAGCCTATCCTGCCAGCGCCGCGCACGGTCCCAGTCCACCAGGCCGCCAAGGCCCGGAGGGGGGCGCCCTAGTCGCGGGGAACACTGGAAATGCTTCAGGGGCGGACTCCGAAGACCGAGTATTGCCTCGAGGGACTTTCTGCGCCACCCCGTAATCGCTTGCGCTCCAGGTCTTCGTAGGTGGGGGCCGGGTGGGTGAAGACTGGGACCCTATGCCACGCGCAGCACTCAGAGGAGGGCTGGGGTCCCAGGGCCGCAGCGCGGTCAGTTCAGTCCGGGCTCGAGCTTCCTAGCAGCGCCCTCCTTGGGGGCTGGCCCTGACCCTCGGTGCCGCTACGAGTGGGTGGCCAGAAGCTGGTGGTGGAGAGGGAGAGCGTCTGCAAGGAACGACGAGGCTGGCGCCGGGACCACGCGGCGGAGGCGATCGAAAGAGAAACGAGGCCAGGCAAGGAGGAGGAAATCCACCCGATGAAGGCGAGCTGCCGCCTAAGAGGGAGGAGGGTCCTTTCGGCTGCCGCTGCTGCTGTTCCGGGACGCCGCCTGGGGAGCCAGCCCGCTCGTAAGGTGCGCGCCAGGTAGCTCCGCACCCAGGGGGCGCCCTTCCTGGCCCCTCCCAGAGCGGCCGGGACGGAAGGAGCTGCGCGGCGCGGCGCGGCGCGGCGCGGCGGGTGGCGAGGGCGGGCTGCACCCCGAGCGCGGCGCCCTTGAGCTGCACCGCGGCGCAGGTTTGCGAGCCGACTTGTCAGCCGGCCAAGAAAAGGAAGCTCCGTCCCTTCCCGCTCACCCGGCTTCCCCACCCCTTGTACTCTAAACTCTGCAGAGGGCGAGCGGCGCGGCCACGGAGGCGCCGAGGAGGAGCGAGCCGCCGCCGGGCAGCGGCGTGCCCTCGGGGGAGAGGGCGCCGGAGAGGAGGCGGCGGCGCGGCGGCGAGGGCGCGGCGCGCGATGGCAGCTGCTTAGCCCGGCGGGCGCGGAGCAGCCCCGAGCTGTGGCTGGCCAGGCGGTGCGGCTGGGCGGGGGACGCCGCCGCCGTTGCTGCCCGGCCCGGAGAGATGAGCACGGAGGCGGACGAGGGCATCACTTTCTCTGTGCCACCCTTCGCCCCCTCGGGCTTCTGCACCATCCCCGAGGGCGGCATCTGCAGGAGGGGAGGAGCGGCGGCGGTGGGCGAGGGCGAGGAGCACCAGCTGCCACCGCCGCCGCCGGGCAGCTTCTGGAACGTGGAGAGCGCCGCTGCCCCTGGCATCGGTTGTCCGGCGGCCACCTCCTCGAGCAGTGCCACCCGAGGCCGGGGCAGCTCTGTTGGCGGGGGCAGCCGACGGACCACGGTGGCATATGTGATCAACGAAGCGAGCCAAGGGCAACTGGTGGTGGCCGAGAGCGAGGCCCTGCAGAGCTTGCGGGAGGCGTGCGAGACAGTGGGCGCCACCCTGGAAACCCTGCATTTTGGGAAACTCGACTTTGGAGAAACCACCGTGCTGGACCGCTTTTACAATGCAGGTGCGTGTGTGACCCCTTTCCCATCCCGCGCGGTCGGGACCCGCGTTTAATCTGGCGGTCTTCGGGGCATTTCATTTTTCTGGGCGGGAAGCATTTACTTCTTGCCCCACTTTGGGGGCAGCGAGCGCCGCTGCGTGACTGCTCCTGTCGCTCGCCGCTCCGGAGAGAGCGTGTGTGCTTGTGCAAGAGTCTGTGTGTACTTGTGCGATAGACCTATGGATCCACCCACCGCCCAGCGCTGGAGCCCTGGGTCCATGCGATCGACTTGAACTGTTCTCCAGCAGTGTGAGATATTTGCCCCAGTCAGTCTTTCTCCTTTCAGTGTCTCGGTTTCGCTTCTGTGAGGTTTGGTCCCTGTTTTCTTTCTGCATATACCTGTGACCGTTTTAGATGAGGTTCTCCTTTTCTCTGTGTAGTTTTGAGAGTACGGGAACGATGACATACCATGCACGCAGAGTGTAACTATATTAATTTGCATGCCATGTGATGATCTTCCCAACTCACCTTACCTTCGATAAGTTTTAGTAGCTTGAATTTCCTCTCACCAACCCAGACTTTGAAGTAATTACAGTGCTTCCAAAGGCAATAACATTACAACTTACACTGAACTTGTGTGTTATCTTTGTAAGGATTTTGGTGAAAGAACCAGGGCCTGTTTTTTATTACCCCATAAACCATGGTGGGCTAGAAAGTTTGTAATTTAACATTGTCTAAAACACCTGTATGCTATCCTAATAATAAGATTAGTTTCGCCATTAAAGTGATTGCTAGCATAATCCATGAAAGAAATGTATCTTTCAACCTATCTCAAATTTCAGAAAATGTTAAGGCAGTTCTAGTAACTGAAGCACTTAGCTGTTAGCAAATGTTAGGAATAATACCATATTATGGAAATTAACCTTTAGTCCCCTGTACGTCCAGTGTTGAGAATATATACATATTTATGTTTACATTTGTGGGTAAAAACTTGGTTTAGTAGTTTCAAAACAATACACTTCTTGCATTTGTGATCACATAAAAGGCTTTATTTTCCAATCTTGTTTTCAATTCTGATTCTCTTTAGTGTCTTCCAAACACCTGAAGTGGGCTTATGTCAGTTTTGGAATTCAGCCAAAGCTGAATATTTTGAGAACAACAAGACCTTCATGTTAAGGAAGCCAGACTAAATAAACTAGGACTTTCTCGTTCTGGTATTTTTAAAATAGTTTTGGTCTTCATAACTGAGCATGGCTATAATATAGCTTGATTCTTTGGGTAGCTTGCTATAAAAGTTACATCAACATAACTTTTCTAAAAATTGTAGCACTCTTATTTTTGGATTATAATTTGGAAGAAACTTCAAAGAACTAAAAGATATGAGAGGAAAATACCCAACTGAACACTTGAGCCTATTTTTATTGCACTGATTGGGCGTTTTTTTCCTAGGGCTCTAGAAAAAAAATGTTAAACTCTAAGCTAATTTGAAAGAAACTTTCCTAACAAGGCTTGGTTTCTGTTATTCTCCAAATACTGTCTCTGGGAAAGGGAGAGAGAATGATTAGAAGGGAGCTGAAGTTTGAGTGTATTTCATTGAATCCTCCAAACAAGCCTGTGAAGGAAGTACTTACCTTCTTAGGTGAGAAAACCCAGGGATCCCTAACTGGCCCTAGGATTCATAGGGAGTAAGTGGCCAATGCAGGATTCCACTTCAGGTGGCTGACCCTAAAAGGTTGTGCTTGGGCCAGGCGTGGTGGCTCACGCCTGTAATCCCAGCACTTTCGGAGGCCAAGGCGGGTGGATCACCTGAGGTCAGGAGTTCCAGGCCAGCCTCCTGGCCAACATGGTGAAACCCTGTCTCTACTAAAATGACAAAAATTAGCCAGGCATGGTGGTGCACACCTGTAGTCCTAGCTACTCAGGAGGCTGAGGCAGGATAATCACTTGAACCTGGGAGGCAGAGGTTGCAGTGAGCTGAGATTGTACCACTGCACACTCCAGACTGGGTGACAGAATGAGACTCTGTCTTAAAAAAAAAAAAAAAAAAAAAAAAAAAAAGAGGTTGTGCTTGGCCCTTGCTTCCTCCATTTAGGTGGGCTGAGTTACTCTCAGAATCAAGGGAAGCTCCCTATCTTGGAATCATGTGAGTGAGCTGGCAAAGATCTTACCAGGCATTTAGGTGTGTATGGAATAGTGGGGAGGGCATGCTCTCGGAAGCCTCTTTTTCCTGCGCCCACTCTGTCCCTTCGTACTGCTTCTTTCAACCTAGACAGGTCTCAGTTTAACCCCTGCCCATCTGGATGGCATGAACTCCCAGGATGAGTGCCCTCTCAGTCAGCATGAAAGCATGAAAATGTGACAGAATGAAGGTAGTGCATCAGTTTTATCCAAACCCTTTGTTTCTATTTTATTTTATTTGTTTTAGAGACAAGGTCTCACTCTGTTGCCCAGCCTGGAGTGCAGTGGCATGATCATGGTTCGCTGCTAGCTCGAACTCCTGGGCTCTAGTGATCCTCCTGCCTCAGCCTCCCGAGTAGCTGGGACTACAGGCATGAGCCACCACGCTGGGCTAATTTTATTTTATTTTACTATGTTTTTTTTGTAGAGACGGGGTCTTGCTATGTTGCCCAGACAGGTCTCAAACCTGGCCTCAAGCAGTCCTCCTGCCTTGGCCTCCCAAAGTATTGGGATTACAGGCGTGAGCCACCGCACCCAGCCTCCCATCTTTAAGTTTACTTGTACCCAATGTTTAGCTCCCACTTATGAGTGAGAACATTCAATATCTGGTTTGGTGTCTTTTTGGTAGAACAATTTATTTTCCTTTGGGTATATACCTAGTAATGGGATTGCTGGGTCGAACGGTAGTTCAGCTCTTAGTTCTTTGAGAACTCTCCAAATTACTTTCCACGGTGGCAGGACAAATTTACATTCTCACCAACAGTGTGTAAGTGTTCCCTTTTCTCTGCAGCCTCGCCAACATCTGTTATTTTTTGACTTTTTAACAAAAGCCATTCTGACTGGTGTGAGATGTTATCTCATTGTGGTTTTGATTTGCATTTCTCTGATGATTAGTGATGATGAACATTTTTTCATAAGTTTGTTGGCTGCTTGTATGCCTTCTTCTGAGAAGTGTCTGTTCATATCTTTCGCCTACTTTTTAACGGGGTTATTTGTTGTTTTGCTTGTTGATTTGTAGACCTTTCTTAAATGCGTAGTTTGTGAATATTTTCTCCCATTCTGAGGGTTGTCTTTGTACTCTCTTAATAGTGTCTCTTGTTGTGTAGAAGCTCTTTAGTTTAATTAGGTCCCATTTGTCATTTTTGTTTTTGTTGCAATTGCTTTTGAGGACTTAGTCATAAATTCTTTCCCAAGGCTGATGCAGAATGGTATTTCCTGGGCTTTCTTCTAGGACTCTTATGGTTTGAGGTCTTACATTTAAACCTTAATCCATCTTGAATGAATTTTTGTATATGGTGATAGATAGGGGTCCAATTTTATTCTGCATATGGCTAGCCAGCACCATTTATTGAATAGGGAGTCCTTTCTCCATTACTTACTTTGTTGACTTTGTTGAAGATCAGATGGTGTTAGGTGTGTGGTTTCATTTCTTGAGGTCTCTTTCACAACTTCTCAACTCTGCCCTATTACTCAAGAGCAGCCATAAACAGGACCTAAACAAATGATCATGACTATGTTCCAACCAAACGTTATTCGTGGACACTGAAATTTGAACTTCATATACCTCACAAAGTATGATTTCTTGTTTTATAACCATTTTAAAATGTAAAAACCATTCTTAGCTTGCAAGCCATACTCAAAAACAGGTGGCCCACAGGATTTGGCCCCTGTGCCATGCTGACCTTTGCTCTACACCCATGACCTGTACTTGAAAGTTGAATTTTTATGAGATAGTGGGAAGAACATGGTCCCTCATATTAGATCCGAGTTTTCATCCCAGCTCTGCTGTGAACCATGTAATTGTGAGAACGGCCCTTCATTGCCTCCAGTGGTGTTTCTTTGCCTGTAAAATTGACCAGGGTTAGAAGTGAAGGGGGAATTGAACACATTTTTTTAGGATTCCCTTATTTAATCCTGTGAATTTACAAAGGCAAGGTGGCATGGGATGCAGGCACAAAGCATTAGAACAGCATTTTCAAGGTTTGGCTTTGGGTCCTGATTCTTTTCTAACTTGGAGCAAGTCATTTAAAGCCTCAGAAAAGAGTGGAGTGTTGGAATAATTGGTATCTGAGATTCCCTCCAGCTCTCAAATTCTGTACTTTAAAATGACAGCATTATTAAGACAAATGAATCATTTCAGCTCGTAGAGATTAAATGAACTGCTTGTATATATCATATTCCTGCCCCTGAAGAGCTCAGAGTTGGTGGGGAGGGCAGACCAATGCCTTTGCCTTAGCAGTGCCTCTGTGCCAGGATGCTGGGCTCCCAGGAATCAGCTTCAAAAATCAGATTGAGGATACAGTGGGTTCAAGGGTAGCTTCTTATGCTTGTTTTTTGTTTGCTTTTTTCCTTTTTGTGGAGAATGGGGTCTCGCTATATTGCCTAGGCAGGTCTCAATTTCCTGGGCTCAAGCTATCCTCCTGCCTCTGCCTCCCTAAGAGCTGGGATTACAGGTGTGAGCCACCACACCTGGCAAGGGGTAGCTTCTTAAAGGTGGTGACACCTGAAGTGAAATGGCAGGGTAAGCAAGGAGAGCCTAATGAAGGTCTCAACGTTTACATGGGAAACAGTGATGTTCGAATAGCTCAACCTAACGGAGTGAGTAAGAACTTATTCCCAGCTACTCGGGAGGTTGAGGTGGGAGGATCCCTTGAGCCTGGGAGGCTGAGGCTGCGGTGAGCTGAAATCGTGCTACTGCAGTCCAGCCTGGGTGACAGAATGAGACCCTGTTTCAAAAAAAAAAAAAAAAAAAAAAGAAGAACTTAAAGTTTGGTAACATTTTTAATAAACTTTCCCAATCTTTGTGTACTGATGTCTTTAAAAAGAATAGGTTGCAAGTTAAAGGTTTTCACTGATTTTTTCTTGATCTGTTTACTATTTAACTATATTTTAATTTCTTCTTTGACTACAGTTGTCATTTGCTTTTTCATTTTCTTTCTGAGGTGAAGCTAATGCTCTGTCAATGCTTTTATGAAAATTCATCTTATTTACGTATACAAGAGACTGTCACTCAGAGACAGCAAAGCCAAGCTGACAATACCCCTTCTTTGCCCTCTGCATTGTAGGCAGAAAATTCCGTAAAAGCTAAGAGATGTCAATACTATCGTGTTGCCCTGTGTAGGTGGACAGATCCCAAATGGGAAGCTTTCCAAATTTTTTTTTTTTTTTTTTTTTTTGAGATGGAGTTTTGCTCTTGTCACGCAGGCTGGAGTGCAGTGGCTCGATCTCGGCTCACTGCAACCTCTGCTTCCTGGGTTCAAGTGATTCTCCTGCCTCAGCCTCCTGAGTAGCTGGGATTACAGTCATGTGCCACCACATTCCAGCTAATTTTTTTGTATTATTAGTAGAGACAGGGTTTCATCTTGTTGGCCAGACTGGTCTCAAACTCCTGACCTCAGGAGTGATCTGCCTGCCTTGGCCTCCCAAAGTGCTGGGATTACAGGCGTGAGCCACCGCGCCCAGCCCTAAATTTTTTTTAAAAGACATCAATGCTGCTATTCTCTTGTTTTGCTTATGAAAACACTGAACCGTGAAGAGGTTATATTCATTCATTCAGGTTAAATGTTTGAAGGTTCTTGCTTGGAGCACACTTTTCTTAGAAACAGTATTGCACATGGTGGTCAGATTCTGGGACTAGCCTGTAAGAAGCCTGGTTAACACAGTTTATGGAACCATTCACCATTTTAAACATTCGGGAAAATTCTGTTTCTGAAACCTAAAACCGGGACTTTTCTTGTATTAGAGCAGTGACTTTTGCTTTCATCCACCTCTGAGTAGCATCTTGGCCAGATGTAGGAGAAGCATCAACTTGGAGTGGTGAAGGTGGTGGGGCTGTGGTGAGGAAGGGGACAAAGGGAAGATCAGGTGGCTGCAGGGAGAACCGGGATGCTGTGTGAAGGAGGAGGCAATGCCAGCAGGAGATCCAGCAACACTTTCACTTCCTTTAGGCTTCTTCCCTTTCTACTTCTGGCCGACGTAAGACCCAGGGATGCTGCTGTGCTCAAGGCCACCTCACTCCTTCAGTGGACACAGGGTTAGCTTGGCTGCCTGCTTCCCATTTCCTTACCACCAGCCTTCACATCCGCCCGGGCCTTTCAGCTTGGCTCACTGCAGATTGCAACCGCTTACTCAGCCTTTCACCCTGTAGCAATCATAGGTAACAGGAAGGAAGCACATGCTAGTTAAAATTGTAAGAACTTAGCTTTTCTATTCTCATCCATGGTATGTTCCCACTTTACTTGAGCTTGTGACAAAAGTCGCCCATGTGTTAATATGCCATCTTGCTGGAGAGGCATCTGACCTTGCCAGGCTTTGGCTCCAACTTGCTTCCAGCAAAGCTCCTTAGGACTTCTAATCTTATTTGGTAAAACAATAAAACAAAACAGAACATAACCTTGTATCCCATCTATCCCAGATGGAGAAGTTCTTGAAAATTGTCCAGCCCACTTCTGCATTTCTACTTTCAATATACTTTCCGAGTATATTGTCTCATATATTTTGAAGGAGAGAGTAAAGTCTGTATGTCCTAAATAGTGGTTCCCACGAACCAGTTAAAAAAATTTGGAGGACTGACATGTGTTTGCCAACATTTAAATTTTTCCAAGTAAGAGTATTATAAGTAGAGAAAGTGAGGAAAATCGAGAGAGAGAAAGAGAGACAGAGAGACAAGAAAATCAACAACCAGCCACCTATTGCCATGATTTCTTAAAAAGGAAAGTTTTATGTTAAAAAAAAATTAGTGGGGGACATAACCTTAGAATGAAGGGCAGATCTTCACATACAGAAAATGTGTGCAAAAACTCATGACTTGTTATTTATTTTTCCCATTTCTCCAAGGATGAGTGAAAACTTTATCACACCAGTCAACAGAGTTGTGTTTGAGAGCCTCTGATTGGAACCGCCCTGCAGCCCCTTCCCACCTTTCAGCCACTGCTTCACGTGAGAAACGAACCTTAGTAAAATTATCAAAAGAGCAAACGTAGATAAACTCATAAGGGAAAACTCTAGTTAGGGAAGGATTTTTTAAAAAAATCCCAGTGGTGTCCAACACATGGTTTTTCTCTGAGCTGTTCACGTTCCCTGGCACACCATTGTAGCAGCTGCCACCCACCGCACACAAACTGACAGCACTGCTGCTTCTTGCTTTCTTGGATAATGGGTCAATTAAGGCAAAACTATAATTTTTTTAAAAGAGCTTAACTAGAAAATCGGACGGAAAAAAGCAAAATCAAAAAGAAAACTCCAGAGCACAAAATTAGTTTTTAGAGTACCAATTTCTTACCCCACATCATCAGCTGCATGTTGTCATGACCGGCTCTGCTTCCTGGGCTGCCAGGATCCTGGTTTCTTTCCTTAATTTGGTCACCTGTTGTCTGCTTGAGACATTATCAGTTGGTAGTTCGAGCTGGTTCCATCTCTGGGTGAAGCCTGTGCATTATATAAGCGCATAACACAGGCTTGTCTCACCCGTGGCCTTGGCTGGAGCCAGCCTTTTGGGAGTTCTCTGTTTATAGGGCAGTTCCCCTCTGGTGGCTATAAGAACTGTGCCCTACTTCCTGTTTCAGAGGTCTGGTTAGAGGCCCATTCAGTTCCTGTTTCTGGTTTGCAGGATAAAATTGGTTCACACTTTCTTTGTGGAGCAGTGGGAGATGGACAAGCACAAAGTCCGGGAAATGTGCAAGTCTCTCCAGCATGAGGTACCAACCGTGCCTGCTTTCCAAGTACTTCCTCCAAGTGGTCCCTTCAAACACCACTCCAAGCCAGGAAAGTAGAGAACCATAGGAAAATGCATTATTGGCTACTGACTCCAGGGCTGACAGTGTGCTGTGCAATGATGGCCCCTCCCAGGAGGCCATTCGAGGGCCTTTTATCACACGCTCCCCTTTCTGTCACCCATGGAAGCCTCACTGTGGCTGTAGAACATGCCAGCATTTGCCCCGCTCCACCTGGGGCAAGATGAGAGTGGGAAATGTGGTGGAGGTGGGCAGTGTTGCAGGAACCCACAGCTATGTGGTTATCAGAAGAAACTGGGAACCCACAGCTTTGGGAAAAATATATCTTGAAGACAGCCTCATCTTCCTGTAATTTGGATATAGGTAGGTGGGGAAACTGGCTAGATATGAGAAAGATACCCTCATTTTCAGGGAGTAAAATTAAACTTGAAAATTTTATTAGTGGCATAAAAGGGAAATAAAGGAAATCAAGGCAAAATGATAAATTAAAAATCCATTGGTGACTCTGATATATTGGTTTGTGTAGTTGTGGGTTTTTTTTTTTTTTAAGAAGATCTTGCTCTGTCACCCAGGCTGGAGTGCGTTGGCATGATTTCGGCTCCAACTGCAACCTCCGCCTTCTGGGCTCAAGTGATCCTCCTGCTTTGAGCACAGCCAAGCCTGGCCAATTTTTGTATTTTTATGTAGAGATGGGGTTTTACCATGTTGCCCAGGCTGGTCTCAAACTCCTGGACTCAAGCGATCCTCCTGCCTCAGTCTCCCAAAGTGCTGGGATTACAGGCGTGGGCCACTGCGCCTAGCCTAGTTGTTTTAATGTATTAGTTTTTCTCTTTGGCTAAAGGTATTGACTAGAGACACTAATCGAAATATGTGCCAGGTTAGTGGAAAAGCAGGAAGGATATGAGACAAAGCTGATTTTCAAAATCTTGTCTAAGTGTTCAAAAAATGTAAATAATTGATAACTTACATTTCATATGAATTTTATTTTGTAGTGTTTTTGGTTTTCCAAAGGAAAACAGAAATAACTGAAACTACATTGTGATAATTTTCTTAGGGGAGACAGGAGAGAGAATTTTAAATATTAAGGGCATTTCCTATTTAATAAAATCATAGTAGAGCAGATCTGTATAACTTAAATGCCACAGAAGTTGCACAGGGTAACAGAAAACATTCCACTATAAGCAGACCTTTTCTGTTACAGTAGTTCATCAACAATGAGGAAAGCAATTGCCTTTGGTATATGATTCATACAGGAAGTAAGTTATATTCCTTTGTACTGGCAATCTCCAAAAATGGTTGAGACCAGTTATACCAGTACTTTCCAATACTTGTAGCCTCTTCTACACCCGTGAACTCTTAAGAAACAGAAACATGGAGGAGAGCTGCCATAGTCAGTATCAATCAGCATCATCTTACCTGTCCATTGACCCCAAGCCATATAAAACCAAGTCTTTGCCTAAGCCAGAGAATTCTCTCTCCTTTAAAAATGTTGATTACTTCTATTTCTTTTGTTTTTTCTTGTCTTTTTTTTTTTTTTTTATTTTGAGATGGGGTGTCACTCTCTCTCCCAGGCTGGAATGCAGTGTCTCAATCATAGCTCACTGCAGTCTCTAACTCCTGGATTCAAAGGAATTTCCCACCTTAGCCTCCCAAAGTGTTGGAATTACAGGCATGAGCCACTGTGCCTGGCCTAATTACTCCTATTTATTATTTTTAAAAAGTCATCCAAAGCTATTACATGTCAAATACCCTTTTTTTTTTTTTTTTTCCAGTAGAGACAGGGTTTTGCCTTGTTGCCCAGGCTGGTCTTGAACTGCTGGGCTCAAGCAATTCACCTGCCCCTGCCTCCCAAAATGCTAGGATTACTGGCATGAGCCAACATGCCCGGCCATGTCAAATACCTCTTAATGTCACGCTCAAGTTTTGTAATATGGTCATTGTGACAAATGTCAGCTTAAAGCTGGGGCAACCAGGACAGAAGTGCTATTTCTGCTGTCCAGGGGCCACCGCTTTGGCCTGTAGCTAGATATTTCCCAATTTATAATTTGATCACTCTGAGGTTGGGGTGATTTTATGCAGTTGGGTCAGAATGATAGTATCAATGAATCAGTTGTTCAGTGCTACTCCTCCTCCTTTGATTATCTTACTCTTCAATGAGATGATCCTATTTCTTATAAAATAGTAGGCATGGCAGTGTAATTAACTATATCTTATAGTTGGAAAGGCTATGAGAGCGGCCAGATTAAATCAAGTGGTTGAATAGGAGGTCTTCCAACTTCCAAACAATACAGATGTTTCGTTCTCTATACTACCGTTCCACCTGCAGTGAAAAACATTTCAAAACATTTTGAACTACATATTCTGTTTAAGAGGATCAGTTCTAATATTTTGTTCCACGATGGCAGTTATTATTATGAGGAAGAGTCATAGTAGTCACACAACTTCTGATTCCCTCTTGCTAGCAGATTTTAGTGACATCTTAATCAGAAAACTGACTTACCTTTTTCGATCAGTGTCAACAAGGGAGCCAACTCAATAGTGGTTGCCAGTTGCTTGGCCTTAAGTTGTAAGTTGGGCTTTCTTCAGGCAAGTCTTGGGCTGTTTCCTGGGCATGATGGTTAGATGGACTGCGATAGACCAAAACTAGCCTTTCTCTAGAATGATCCAGAGAGCTGGGTTTACAGCACAGCCTGGGGACAGTTCTTTCCTTGTTTCCCTGAGATGTGCTGGCTCTGGAGTCTGATGCAGTTTCCCTTAATGTGATAGCATATTCCTACTAATTAAATTTTGTAAGCATTTATTATTAATTGCCTATAATATGCCTCTTACTGAATCAGGATGTATCGAAGAACTAAGAAGCAGAAGAAGGCATAAATCTTCAGGAGTATAAAGATGTATAACGTGTATCTGTTTGCATGGGAAAAACTGAAGCTAAGGGAAGCAGTCAGGAGGAACGACCTACATTCCCCATTCCTCTCTACCAGACTCATTCTTTTTAGAAAAAAAGTTAAAAAAATTTATGAAACATTTTAGTTATAAAGAAAGTATATAAAATAGTTTAACAGACACTTATGCATCTACATACTACCTAAATGTAATAGTTAATAGCAGTTAAACATTTTGACATACTTGTTTTACTTCTCTTTCTTTTTTAGAAAAATAAATCATTCTGGGCAAAACTAAAAGCTCCTTTCTAACTCATCAATTTCCCTTCCTGAGAAAGTGCATTCTTCACAGGAAGCGCCACATTACAATGTTCTAAACTATAATTTACGACAATCTAAAATAACAACTCTCTACAAATATAAACATATGCCAAATATTGAATTAATTCATTATATAATGAGAAAAACCAGAAAGATATTAAAACTGGTTGAAAGGAGAGTTCGAAGAGCAAATATGGTATACATACATACAAAATCAGGAATGGTGAAATGAATTTGCTAATAGATGCAAAGTTGGTTAATATTTTGTAAGGCAATTCTATAAGTATAAATGTTGGAGTCATCTATTCTAAAGGGTAGAAATCAATTGTATCTCTACCAAACCATATTCATTTGTATTGCTGTGGACAAAAAATATTTGCATTACTATCAGTTTTGCATAAGGTAATATTTACCCCAACAGCATTGTAAAATAGCCAAATCACTAGGAGGACAATCAAAGGTACACACCCCTTTAAAATCTGATAATTCCCAGAGGGAGTGCTGCACTAAGCCCAGCCCTCCACTGAAAGGATACTCAGTACCTTTTGACCTTTTCCAAGTCTTTGACAACTCTTCCCTGCAGAAGGTTGGTCATTCTCAGCAGGCCCTATGCCTGTCTCTCCAAGTGCTTTTAACTCAACCTGACTTAAAGGACCTGTTGTCTCTGCTACTCTGCCATCTGAAGCCGTTTGCCCTGAGAGGGTCCCAGAATACCTTGCTTTAACCAGGGTTCCTAGTCATGGTTATTTTAGGTCAGGGAACATGTACAAATTGACAACAGGATGTCAGTCCTCTAGGTTTTGGATGTGAGAAAAGATATAAGCCATGTGGCCATAACCAAGTCAGGAATATGCCAGTGGTATGCCTGTGGTGTCTGGAAACCCAACTTCATTCTTATACTAGGAGAATATAATTGCTACTATGGGACCCTCAGTAGTTTAGACTGTTCCAAATAAGCCTATTTTATGAAGGAAAAAGGTCCTTATATTTTAGAGGGCTAGCAAACTGCTGTAAGATTACATAAGCTGACAAGCTGAATATATGACACTTTGGTCTTATAAATTAAAGCAAGCCATACACAAACAGCATGCATTACTGTGTACTAGGTGTATGTGCTAATCACTCTATCACACTATATGTATGACCTTATTTAATCTTTTTTTTTTTTTTTTTTTGAGACAGGGTGTCACTCTGTTGCCCAGGCTAAAGTTCAGTGGCATGATCATGGCTCACTGCAGTCTTGATCTTCCAGACTCAAGTGATCCTCCTGCCTCAGCCTCCCACGTAGCTGGGACTACAAGCATGCGCCACCACACTGGGCTAATTTTTTATGTTTTTATTTATTTATTTATTATTTATTTATGTATATATTTTGAGACAGGCTCACTCTATACCCAGGCTGGAGTATGGTGGTGTGATCTTGGCTCACTGCAACCTCTGCCTCCCAGGTTACCATGCCCAGCTAATTTTTTGTGTTTTTAGTAGAGACAGGGTTTTGCCATGTTGGCCAGGCTGGTCTCGAACTCCTGGCCTCAAGTGATCTGCCCGCCTTGGCCTCTCAAAGTGCTGGGATTACAGGCGTGAGCCACTGTGCCAAGTCTTATTTTTATTTTTTGTAGAGACAAGGTCTCACCATGTTACCTAGGCTGGTCTCAAACTCCTGAGGTCAAGTGATCCTCCCGCATCTGTCCCCCAAAGTGCTGGCACTGGCATTACAGGCGTGAGCCACTGCACCCGGCCTATTTAATCTTTAAAACAACTTTATGAGGCAGATAGCATCAGTCGATCAGTTTTTTTGTTTGGGGAAACAAAAACTGAGACCCTGAAACTGTTACCAACAGTGGTCTCAGTGTCACATAGCTACTGAGGGGCAGAATCCAATTCTGAACCCAAGTCTGTCAGATTCCGGAATCTATTCACTTATAACTTATGTTCTCCTGTCTCACAGAAATACATTTTCTATTTGAAAAGATTGAAATAACTATTACTATCATGATTACAGGCATCACATCAGCAGACATTTTTTGGCTACTTAAAATCTGCAAGATATCTAAGGTCTATATAAAATTAGGTTAAAAAGGTGTGATTTCTGCCTTTTATTATTTTACAGTCTATTATTTGAATTCAGCAATTTAATAAATAATTGTTGGGAGCCTACAACATGCAAGATTATATAGTGAACTAAGTAATGAATAAGTAAAAAATCTGAGGGAGTATTTTAAGGACTTCATAATGTAGATCATTTCATTGAACTGTGCACTTGAGAACAGGGTTTATTACTGCTATAAAAGATGTGAAAATGCATCAAAAATAAAAATCTTTCACAATAGTATAATATGCATTAGACCCCCACTTATTTTTTTAATGAAATCAGTATCATAATGAAAATTACGTATATAAATTCCAAGATTGTATTAAAAACCTTTCAGATCTCTTATAAATACAGGTAAAATATTATTAAATTTACTTCCAAGAGGGGTATTATGATTCTTTAATTAAGAAGAACTTGTTTATACTGACTCTTAGGGAAACAAATAAGAGTTATTGCCTGAGATTTAGAACCTTTTAAAAAATATATTATTTTCCTAGTAGTGGAATTTGAAGTCCTTTGTATTAATCTTTTCAGCTTGTGAAAAAATCTAGGTTGTTTTAGATAATTAAAATATGCCAACAACATAATTTCAATTTGGTATTTTTCTCACCCGTGTTACATAATAAAATTGTGTTGCTTGCTTGTTGATGATGTGGAGTGTGTGGTTCTTGGCTGACAGAAAATTGTCAACCTGAATGCCAAGCATTCGAAGGCTGGGCCAGAATAAGAATAGAAAATAAACAAACCAGGTTCCTTTAGATAATAAAGGCAGATGTAGTAGATGCGTTGTCAATGCAGAACCATATCTGTAATTTGATATACATAAAACATGTTCTAATGGAGAAATCTGGGCTACCTCTGAAGGTTCTAAGTCACATTAATGAATGTATACTTTATATAACATTTCTTTTTTAAACATTTATGTAACATTTCTGATTGTTTTTGAGTCACATACATACAGTTGATGTGCGTTAGTTCTTCCATGACATCTCCTAGATTTTTAGGAAATTGGTCTTGGGAAACTAGCTTTGGTTGATCCAGGGAAAATTCGGGTTTCAAATATGGACAGTAGGATTTTAATTTTTCAGGCTGCAGTGAGCTGCAATTGCACCACTGCACTTTAGCCTGGGCAAACGGAGACCCTGTCTCAAAAAATTAAACAACAAAACACCTCCTGGTCAGTTTCCCAGATACAGTGACCCAGTGTTTACTGTATACATAGAATTTGAATAAGAAAAAGATTTGTAGATACTCTAGAGGAGCCTGGAGTCTGGTTTTAAAAACTGATATATCTCTTAGCGTGTGTATATTATTGCAAAGCAGGGTTGGGGCACAAGTTGCTTGGCTTGACCTAGTGAAAGAGAACAAGGTTGTAGCTTGCACATGAGTTATGACAAGAATAGTTGGCTTGACTTTTCTTGCTGAGCAACTCAGTGCTACCAATATTTTATGTGTTTGAAGTACACTTGGCAGTTGGTAAATCTGAAATAAAATTGGAAAAGAAATACTATCCTAGACTGTTAAGAGAGTTCCAGACTCTTCTTTCCCTTATAAAACCAGTAGTATAGAAAACTCATTTAGCCATTAAATATGACATATGAGTGGGTTACCCAAGGACCGATCCTGCCGTGATGATTAGAATGTCATTTTGCAGATCTGCGTTGTCTGTATTTCCAAAGTCTAAAAGTAAGGGCTGTCAGCATTAAGAAATCTTTGCAGTCACTTACAATTTTGACTTGATTACCATTTAACTTACAGGACCATTGTGTTAGTCTTACCAATCCGTTCAGCATATATTCAAATAAAGGGCAACAGAGGGCAGGCAAAAGGGAGACAACTCCAAGCTAAAGAATTTGTCGGTGTTGGAGGTTTGAGCTTAAGTAACCTTCCAGGAGTATTACGGTTAAATTTATAACATCCTCACCTGTGGCTCATTTGGTGCCCATTTGTGAAATCTTTAAGAAGATTAAACCTTAATAGCAGCCAGGTGCAGTGGCTCATGCCTATAATCCCAGCACTTTGGGAGGCAGAAGCTGGTGGATCGCTTGAGCACAAGAGTTCAAGACTAGAATGGGCAACGTGGTGAGACCTCTTCTTTACAAAAAATATAAAAATTTGCTGGTTGTGGTGGTACACACCTGTAGTCCCAGCTACTCAGGAGGCTGAGGTGGGAGGATCACTTTGAGCCAGAGAGGCAGAGGCTGCAGTGAGCCATAATTGCGCCACTGCACTCCAGCCTGGGTGACAGCAATGTCCTGTCTCAAAAATAAATAAATAAATAAAAAATAAAAGACAACCCCAAAACCATAATAGCATACAAGTGACACTCTTCTACTTTAGACGAATCGTGTATACACTTGGAACTAAAATTAAGATATTGATGTATCTCCTTGGTTTACCTGAAGAGACATTTTCACTGCTGGGTGAAATATACATAAGTAATGAGAAAGTACAGCCTCACAATTTCCAAGCTTCATAGAACTCAGGACTCTCCACTTAGTGTAGGTTTTATTAACGAAATAGGTTTTTATCATGTTAAATAATGAACACTCTTCTTGATGGATAATCTCTTGATTATTCAGGATTGGATCTTCTTATCATTACCTGTTTGCAGGCAAGTTAACTTCTAATTTGAAGTAGCCCAAGAAGGGCCAGATCTCATCTTCAAGTGATCCCAGAAGGGAATGCATTGTACACACAAAAGCTGTTGCCACCGTGTTGTGACATCGCTTGAGAATTTTCAAGCAAAATTGCACTGTGGTATTTGTATATTGCCATGCCTTAGTTTTCCCAGGCCACAACTATTTAATAGGCTTGTATGTTCCTCTAAAAACATCATTAGACACATTGGACTAAGTTTGCAGGAGTGGATGTATGAAGCAATCATGATTTTTCTGTTTTCACACTGTATGTTCTTTGGGTTATTCTCCATGGTTTATTATCAGGGGAGTTAGGTGCATGTTACCCAAAGAGTTCTGTGCCAGAGGATATGCCACATTTAATATGAGGAGGTTTTCTGAGAGCATAGAAGAAGAAAAAGGCTATGACAGGAGAATTCGAGACTCTCATCTGCTTTCAGTTTTCAGTTACCTGGTCTACGTGCCGAAAGCCTAATTTGAGACCTGGACTAGGTTACAAGCTTCTAATGACTTAATATTTAGTCTATGAGAATTATTTTTTCAAGACTTGTCATTGTCCCATTTAGCCACAGCAAAAAGTATTACCCAACTTTTGAGCCATAATCTATACCTAATATGTGGTCACCAGGTAAATTTCTTCCTGAATCCAGCACATTGCCTAGTTGCTTATAAGCTTGACCTTAGCATTCTTTTTCTTTTAAGGTATGAATAATCTTGGAACTATTTATCCTTCTATTTTTATTCTCTAAGATCTGAATTTTTTTTTAATTCATATTTCTGTTAGCAGCCCTATCTATTCCCTCTTGAAATGACCTCTGAAGGCTGTTAAATAAATTTTGATTTGCTTTAAGGATTCAGTATTCAAATCATGCTTGATTCTTTGGGAGATATAAAGAAAGCTGTTGCTCCATAGGTCTTGCATCATACGTGATATGACTAAGAAGGAACAACTGAAAAAGTCAAGTCCAATTTACACAATAATGAAAAACCTTTTGTTAGAAACATCTGACAAACAAGGAGCAGTTTCTGGTTTTTTAAAGAATCATTAGAATATAGTTCCATGTCTCTTTTTCTGTCTTGTTAACCCTGCACCTCTAGTACCTAATGGAGTGCTTGGCACTTGATACAGATTGATTGATTGAATGAATATCACACTTTCCCCCCAGTGGTGTTTTAGTTATTGGTTTTGATGTCTGCTTTTTCTGCTTAAGTGTGAGTTAATGACAAAGATCACATTTTATGGTTCTTGACATGCCCCAGGTCTTCTGTATCAGTGTGTGACCTGTAGATGACACTTAATGATGTTTGTAGAATACAATTCAATGATGTCATCCCTTTCCTGGAGCGGCTCACAGTCTGGTAAGGGAGACCAGCCTATGAACGTATTATATATATTGTGCTAATTGTTTGTTGTTGTTGTTTTTTAAAAAATTTGAGACTGAGTCACTCTGTCACCCAGGCTGGAGTGCAGTGGTGCGATCACAGCTCACTGCAGCCGTAACCTCCTTGGGCTCAGGCGATCCTCCCACTTCAGCCTTCTGAGTAGCTGGGATCACAGGTGTGTGCCACCATGCTGGCTAATTTTTTAATTCTTTTTTTGTAGAGATGGGGTTTTGCCATGTTGCCTAGGCTGGTGCTAATTGTTATACTAGAGGTTTATGTAAGGTTCTTTGAGAGCACAAATCATGGAGGATTCTTCAGGAGGAGAAGGAAGTGTGGAGGAGGTTGGCTAAGACATTGGACAGGAGGTGACATTTGAACTGGGTTTTGAAGGATAATGATGAAAGCTAACATTTATTGAGCACTTAACATGTGCCAGGCATTTTATAATAAATCATGGAAAAAATGAGTCTCTCCATAAGGAAGGGGTAGGATAAAGAGAAGGCCTATGATAGAACTAAGGAAACACTGGCATTTAAAGATGGACGGCGGGGCATGGTGACTCATGCCTGTAATGTAATCCCAGCACTTTGGGAGGCTGAGGCAGGCAGATCACCTGATGTTTGAGACCAGGTGTTTGAGACCAGCCTGGCCAACGTGGAGAAACCCCATCTTTACTAAAAATAGAAAAATTAGCTGGGTGTGGTGGCACCCGCCTGTGGTCCCAGTTACTTGGGAGGCTTAGGCATGAGAATCACTTGAACCCAGGAGGCAGAGGCTGCAGTGAGCTGAGATCGTACCACTGCACTCCAGCCTGGGTGAAACAGCCAGACTCTGTCTCAGAAAACAACCAACGAACCAACCAACAACAACAACAACAAAAAATGGGCAAAGGAAGGCATCATCTAGTGAGAAAGGGAAGATGGTAAGATGGCACAACAGATGAGAGAAAGTTCAGAGAGGGAGAGAGAGAAGGGATTAGCTCTAAAAGCAATGCAAAGAGGGC
Organism: Homo sapiens; assembly: GCF_000001405.40. Classification (NCBI taxonomy): domain Eukaryota; kingdom Metazoa; phylum Chordata; class Mammalia; order Primates; family Hominidae; genus Homo; species Homo sapiens. Next base: position 136,773,500 of record NC_000006.12, on the reverse strand, counting down.
TTGTCCGAAGGTCAGTGAAGTTGAATGTTTCAGAGAAATAACTGGACTTGGAGATCAGAAAACCCCTGATAACTTTGCCAGAGCAGTTTCAGGAAAGCAGGTGGTGGTAGATGTCAGGTACGGTGACTTGACTGATTTCTGGAGAACAACAGAAGGCATGTAACAGGGAGTGTTATTTAAAGAAATGTGTTCACGAGGAAAGCAGAGAGAAGGCAGTCTCTGGAAGCGGTGCAGGCTACTCCCAAGGTAAGGCACGTGGCCTGGCTGCTGGTATTCATGCCTCAGATGGGATGAGGTCAGTAGGCCTTTGTGGGCTCAGGTGTTATTTAACAGGGTTTCCATGGGAATGTGGAAGGCAAATTCCCAACCACTTTCTTATGAGAATAACTTCTGGAGCATGACCCTTTGTAAATGTACTTGTTTTCTTGCTAATTTTAATTGACTGAAAATAGAGTTGTTTTTCCTTCCGAGAATCTCTTAACTTAGAGAAATTTGAATTCACACTGATACAGCTTAAGTTGAGAATTCTTGACTGGCTTGAACCCAATTTACAGAGGTGTAGGACTTCTTCAGGAAGGGAAAGTGCCCATCTCTCAGGCCAGTTAAGTCTTCCATGCATCTGTCCCCAATGGCCAGATTTCACAGGCTTTTGAAAGCTCAAGAATAGGAACTGGAACCTGAAACGCCTTTCTTGTTTTCTCAACCACTTGAAACACTTAATTGCTCATAATGCTGGCTGCATAACAGTGAACATGATTCATTTTTAAAAATGAGATTTATTTTGCTCAGTTTGCCACCTTACTTTGTAAACTTACAGTGGAAACAGTTAACATTTTTTCAAAACTCGGCTTGATTTTTAGGTTTTCTTCATCTTAAGCTTCCTAACCCCTCCTCAGTGGAGGGCTGCTGTCAGTAGATTACTGAAGTAAACCCTGGATTAACCTGCATTGTCTCACTACTGTATGTGCATTCATTCATTTTCATTGTCTGTTCATTCATTTCAAAAAGAAGCCCCCCGCCACTGCCCCCAACCATCCTTTTCTGAATTATTTTACTGCACATCTTGGAATGAACTCCCTTCTGCCTTATCTGTATACAGAGAGGTGCACAGTATTGACTGCTGTTTCTGATGATATCTTCTACAGGGTCTTCTGTGCCATGCTTACCACAGTAGGGTAGGAAGGAACACATTTGCATAGAAACATTTCATATACTTAATATGCTAGAGAATTACTTTACTAGGGACTAAGGTCTCCCCCCCCCTCAAAATAATGGGAGACCACAGGCTGGGTGTGGTGGCTCACGCCTGTAATCCCAGGACTTTGGGAGGCCGAGGGGCGCAGATCACCTGAGGTTGGGAGTTCGAGACCAGCCTGGCCAACATGGTAAACCCCCCCCCCCCATTTCTACTAAAAAATACAAAAATTAATTGGGCGTGGTGGCACACGCCTGTAGTCCCAGCTAGTTGGGAGGCTGAGGCAGGAGAATCGCTTGAACCTGGGAAGCAGAGGTTGCAGTGAGCCACTGCACTCCAGCCTGAGTGATGGAGCAAGACTGTGTCTCAAAAAATAAAAAAAAAATAAAAAGGGAGACCATTATAAAGCCAAATATTTTGAAAACCTATTTTGAAAATCAGCTCTCAGGTTGGAAACATGGATTTTCAAAAAAGAACATATTTTAAAATATCGGGTTGTTGAGATAGAGCTGCTGCAGGGTAGGCGAGACCCAAAGTGGAGCTTAGCCCATGAGGGTTCTTGGCTTTGCCCAGGAAAGAATTCAAGGGCAAGCCAGAGGTAGAAGAAAACAGCTTTATTGAAGAGGCAGTGTTACAGCTCTGTGACTGCTTCTTCAGAGCACGCCTACCCAGTAGGCAGAGAGTAGTAGCTCAGGGCAGCTTTGCAGTCATATTTATACCTACTTTTAATTGCATGCAGATTAAGGGGTTGTTTTTGCAGAAATTTCTCAGGAAAGGGTAGTAACTTTTGGGTCACTAGGTCATTGCCATGGAAAGGGGTGGTAACTCCCTGGTATTGCTATGGCAACAGTAAATTGACATGGCACACTGGTGGGCATGTCATTTTGTTGTTGACAGCTGCTTCTGCTCTGGCTTTGTTTTAGCTAGTCCTCAATCTGGTCCGGTGTCCAAGCCCCACCTCTGGAGTCAAGTCCTGACTTCTACCTCAGTACAGAGTGCTTTTTGATGACAGCAATAATAATGATAATAATAATAATGAGATTAGTGTAGTAAGTTGTCTGTTTGCAGTAGGGGGAAATCAGCTAGGTTTCATTCCTTTGGTTCATGTGAAATGAAGAAAATGCCTTTTTGAGTATCGGATGACTCCCTAATTCATATTTGTAGCCCAGACCTCAGAGCTGTAGGTTAAGCATCTGCTCTACTCTCCATACCTGCTGGCTGGCCCACAGGAGCCTCAAACGTACTTTCATACAGAAATTGGTTTCCATGTCTAGTTCCTAACATCACATTAAATGACATCTAGTGTTTAAAACCAGAAATGTGCTTTAGATTCCTTTAATATAATAAGGAGTTGTATACATATTAAGAATATTATCCCTTTGTTTTTAAAAATTTATTATATTTTTCCTCAGTTTTATGTTTATGATAATTTTTGTGTGAATTCCTGACAGATTTTTTAATTAGTCAAAATTATCCCTTTTAAGTGCAGATTCTTGCTTCATACATATATCCGAGAAGTATTCATTTGTGTTTTATTTCATTATTTTGAGAGACAAAGTCTTGCTGTGTTGCCCAGGCTGGAGTACAGTGGTGCCTTCATAGCTCACTGCGGCCTCGAATTTCTGGGCTCAGGCAATCCTTCTGCCTCAACCTTCCAAAGTACTGGGATTACAGGCGTGAGCCACTGCATCTGGCCTATATTTTATTCTATAAAGTTTAATATATTTTATTTTTACACTTGACTCTTACCTCCATTTTGAATTTATTTTGTTGTATGATATAGGAAAAGTAATACGTCTGTATTGAAATGTACTATGATTGATGAGAAGAAACAATTTTTGGGCTAAGTGAAATTTATAAACTTAACATTTCTTTAAATAACACATAGTATTTGGTCATGGCATGGTCTGAAATATATCAGTTATTTGTATGAAAAATCTTTTCCCTTGCTTTTAAGGATTATACTGAAGATAATTTAACCTTTTCTACTTTGCCCAGAATTGCTATTATAAACAGTGCACTGTTCTGTATGTATTGTATTATACTGTAATATAATTTGTGAAAGGGGCTTAGAGTTCCCTTTTACCATATGCCTCAGTCCATCCATTAGGGGAGAGATGCCCCAACATGGTCTCAAAAAAATAAACATGGTCTCTGTCTCAAAAAATAAAAATAAATAAAAATAAAAAGGGAGGCCATTATAAAGCCAAATATTTTGAAACCTATTTTGAACATGGTCTCCCCTTCCATTGCAGGAAGAGGCAAACTGAGTAGCAGTCTTTTAGTCACTGTTAGTGTAGCATAGGACTTACTGATGTATATAGTAGCTGTCTATTTTAAACTTCACCTTTTCCTTCCTTCCTCCCACTGTCTCTTTTTCTCTTCCTCCTTCCCTCCCTCCCTTTCTCCTTCCTTTCCCTTCCCTTCTCTCCACTTCCACTTCCCCTTCCCCTCCCTCCCTCCCTCCCTCCCTTCCCTCCCTCCCTCCCGTCCCCTCCCTCCCTCCCTCCCTTCCTTCCTTCCTTCCTTCCTTCCTTCCTTCCTTCCTTCCTTCCTTCCTTCCTTCCCTTCCTCCCTTCCTTCAGTGCACATTGGTTGGGTCAGCCTTGTGTGCCAGTGCCAGACGTTAGGGATAAAAAGTGAATGTGATATGGAGCCTGCCCATTGAATACTCAGTGCTGGTGGGCTTCCCTCTTCCCTCTCCTATTTGTTTTTCTGTTTACTGTTACCCCTAACCCACTTCTGTATACTTCTCTCTTCTATTTTTAAATTTATTTTAAAAATTGAGAGATAACTTATAGACCATAAAAGTAACCATTTTAAAGTACTGTGTACAATTTGGTGGTTTTCAGTAGACTCATAAAGTGTGCAACCATCACCAATATCTAATTCCAAAACATTTTTGGCACCTCAAAAATAAACCCTGTACCAATTTGCTGTTGCTCCCCATATCTCCCTTCACCCAGCCTTTGGCAACCACTAATCTGCTGTCTCCGTAAATTTGCCTATTCTAGGTATTTCTTAGAAGTGGAATCATACAATATGTGGCATTTTGTGACTGGCTTCTTTCACTTAGCATAATGCTTTCGTGCTTCATCCATGTTGTAGCAGGGATCTGTACTTCATTCACTTTTCTGGCTGAATACTATCCTGTTGTATGGTGCTTGAACACCTTTTGTTTATCCATTCATCAGCTGATGGACCTTTGGATTGTTTCCACTTTTTGACTGTCATGAATAAACCATGAATATCCATGTCAAGTTTTTGGGTGGACATGATTTCAGCTTGCTTAAGTATATATCTAGGAGTGGAATTGCTGGGTCATACGGTAATTCAATGCTGAACTTTTTGAGGAATCACCAAGCCATTTTCTTTCTTTTTTTTTTTTTGACATGGAGTTTCACTGTGTCTGTCACCCAGGCTGGAGTGCAGTGGCACGATCTTGGCTCACTGCAACCTCCGTCTCCTGGGTTCAAGCGATTCTCCTGCTTTAGCCTCCCAAGTAGCTGGGATTACAGGCACCTGCCACCATGCCTGGCTACTTTTGAATTTTTAGGAGAGATGGGGTTTCAGCAAGTTGTCTAAGCTGGTCTCGAACCCCTGACCTCAAGTGATACACCCACCTTGGCCTCCCAAAGTGCTGGGATTACAGGCGTGAGCCACCATGCCTGGCCACCAAGCCATTTTCTAAAGTGGCTGTACCATTTTGTCGTACCAACAATGAATGAAGGTTCCAGTTTCTCAACATCTTCACCAGTGCTTGTTATTATCTTGTCTTTTATTAAGCCATCCTAGTGGATGTGAAGTGGTACCTTACTGTGGTTTTGATTTGCATTTACCTAATGACTAATGGTGTTGACCTCTGTTCATGTGTTTGTTGGCCATTTGTATATCTTTGGAGAACTGTCCGTTCAGATTCTTTGCTTATTTTTAAATTGGTCATTTTATTCCTGAGTTGTAATAGTCTGTATCTATTCTGGATACAAGCCCCTTATCAAATATATGATTTGCAAATATTTTCTATCATCTTGTGGGTTGTTTTTCATTTTCTTGATAATGTCTTTTGAAGCACAAAATGTTTTAATTTGGATGAAGTCCGTATTTATCTGTTTTTTCTTTTGTTGTTTGTGCTTTCGTTGTCTTACGTAAGAAAGCATTGCCCAATTCAATGTCACAGAGATTTACACCTATGTTTTCTTCTAAGAGTTAGATATTTTTGCTCTTACAGTTAGGTCATTGCTCCATTTTGAGTTAATTTTTATCTATCATGTGAGTTAGGGGGCCAGCTTCATTCTTTTGCATGTGGATATCTAATTGTCCCAGCATCATTTGTTGAAAACACCATTCTTTTGCCATTGGATTTTCTTAGCGCCATTGGATTTTCGTATCACCCTTGTAAAAAATCAATTGACCATAAATGTGTGAGTTTATTCCCATAGTCTCCATTTGATTTCCATTGATCTATGTTTTTGTCCTTATGCCAGTACCACATAGTCTTGATTACTTTTGCTTTGTAAAAAGTTGTGAAATCAGGAAGTGTGAGGCCTCCAGCTTTCTTCTTTTTCAAGACTGTTTAGGCTATTTTGGTTACCTTGTATTTCCATATGAATTTTAGGCTTGTTAATTTCTGCAAAAAAGGCAGTTAGATCTTCCTCCTATTTTTAACTGTCCCCGATATTCTTTCTTTTGTCATGACATTTTTTTTTCCTTTTTGTTTCATTTACATTTCTTGATTTTCATGACAGCTGGACTCAAGTTTTGCTTCTTACCTAGTGACTACTGAACTGATCAGTGAATTGTAGATTGCAGTTTTCAGGTTTTCAGGGTTTTGGGATTTATTGTCATTTATCACAGCCCAGCGGTGGGTGGTTTTCCCTCCCTGCCCTCCTCTCTTCCTTCCTCCTTCCTCACCCCTCCCTTCCTTTAGTCCCCTCCCTCCTCCTTCCTCCCTTCTTTCTCCTTCCTTTCTTTTCTTCCTTCCTTTCTATTCTCTCTCCTTTATTTCTTTGCTCCTTCCCTCCTTTATGTTGTCTTCCTTCCCTCTTTCCCGTGGGTTTAGTGCTTATGAATTATGGGTGTTAGTAGACTCTGGCTTTGAAATAAATGAGAATCACCACTTACCTTATCTACCTCTTACCTAAAACTTAAATATTTCAGTGTGGAAAGTCAGAATATTTTTTGAAAGATTTATTATAGAGATAAACTTGTCCTTTGTGATTTAGTTTCTTATGCAAATATATATACATATATGAAATAGAACTTTAGAGGTCATATAATTTATCACCTTATCTAATGCATAAATCTACCAAGTGGCTTTTAAATGTGCTTTTACTATGTTTCTATATTGCCTTGTAAATTTGATAGTGGAAATCTAATGAAACTTCCTAATTTTTGTTAGGATACTGTGTAAAGACTCTGATTTTTGTAAGAAAAAAACTTATAAAAATTAATTTTCCTGTAATATGCTTACTAGTTCATGCTCTTTCTGGAAGTAATTCCTATCTGTGAATATATCCAGGGTGCATAGTTTAGCATCCTGTGTTTTGCAGAGTACATTTTAGCATTAAGATACAAGATGAAGAAATGGAGTTTATTATAGATTTAAATTGGTTTTATGTTGATCTGATATGAAACCTTCTCTGAAATGTTACCTTAAATTTGGAGATCACACTGACATGCTCTTTGCTGTGTAAATCCTTTAATGACCTCTGTTCCCAACCGCAAATTCTGACTTGTTCAGTTTTGTTGAGCCAGATGTCCTTGTACTCAGTACCCTAAAACCCAGTTGTTGGCTGGTATGTCTGGTAATGAAGGGAAGACGTCAGAACTTCAGATAACCTACCCTTCTATTCATGACCCTGAATGAATTCAGATAAAGCAGATATGAATTTGTAGAACTGGCAGGGGCCACAGCCTTGACCTACTTGGCTGTGGGATCAGTGGTGCCCAGCTATTCTGGTTTTTAAATTATGAAGTGTTTCCAGAGGTCATCCTTGTAGGCATTTCTTTACGGAGTTATTGCTTGGCCTTGTTCTGAAAGATAAACTAGAGCTGCAATTCAGAAGTTTATTCCATAGAACAGTTGGTGCAGATTTGTAGGCTTAGTGTTTATACACTCAGTCTCCAACTTCTCCCCAGGGTGGGAAGTGGAAGTTGGCTTGGGTTCTGGCTTTACCTGCAGCTTCCATGGTTTTATGCTGTACCAGATAGATTCTTGCACACCTCATGACCTGTGGTGCAGCTGGGATGGCTCTTTGGGAGTTGGGACAATTTCTTGGAATATGTATAATCCAAGCAAGTCCACAAATTATGTTCCTAGTGCAGGAATGGAAACTGTATATTTTATGACAAAATTTAGACTGTGGATCTGGGAGACCTGTGGTGTTTAATCTTGGCTCTGCCACTTACTATTTCTGTGTTCTTGCTTCTCTAAGCCTTAGTTTTCTCATCTATAAGGTGGAGATAAAAGCAGTTACTGCCGGGCAAAGTGGCTCACACCTGTAATCCCAGCACTTTGGGAGGTGGAGGCGGGCAGATCACCTGAGGTCAGGAGTTCGAGACCAGCCTGGTCAACATGGTGAAACCCTGTCTCTACTAAAAATACAAAAAAAAAAAAAAAAAAAAAATTAGCCAGGCATGGTGGTGGGCACTTGTAATCCCAGCTACTTGGGAGGCTGAGGCAGGAGATTTGCTTGAACCCAAGAGGTGGAGGTTGCAGTGAGCCGAGATGGCGCCACTGTATTCCAGCCTGGGCGACAGAGCGAGACTCTGTCTCAAAAAAATAAAAAAATAAAAAAAGATAAAAATAAACAAATAAAAAATAAATACATAAATAAGTTAAATTAGCTGCTCACGGTGGTGTTTGCCTGTAGTTCCAGTTACTCAGGAGGTGGAGGTGGGAGGATGTCCTGAGTGTAGGAGTTTGAGGTTAAAGTGAGCTGTGTTTGCACACTGCATACCAAGCAGGGTAACAGAGTAAGACCCCAAAGACCTCTAAAGAAAACAGTTTCTGCTTTATAAGTATAGGCTTATTGAGAAAGTTAAATGAGATCATGCACGTAAGGAATTATGCACAGCGCTTGGCAGGTCATAGATTGCTGGAAGAAAAAGGACTTCAGAGTTTGTATAACCCATCATCTTATCTGATGCATGAATCTACCAAGAGGCTTTTAGATGTGCTTTTATTATGTTTCTGTACTGTCTTATACATTTGATTGGGGGAATCTAATGATGACTTCCTAATTTTTGTTAGGATACTGTATAAAAAGTTCTCCATTGCCGCACATTGGTGGCTACATGATAGAAGAGCATGATCCTGAAAACACACATGGTAATACTGATCCCCAAAGCAGATACATGTTCAGAGAGCTGAGAATTGACCCCGCAGAGTCACTTGTCCCAGCTTCTGAGATGCAGTGAGACAAACACATCAATTAGGGCCAGGAAGTGTGCCTTGAGTTTCAGTTCTGCCTCTTACATAATCTCTCTGCCATGAGAAAGCTGATGTCTTAGCATAGTTTTGAGCATTAACTGAGAAAATATATATTAAAGAAGCAGGCCTATAGTGGGTGCTTTGCTAAAATTTATATATTCACAGTGTGGACTTGTGATTTTGAGAGGTCTGCGTTTCATTTTTCTGTTGCGGCATAACCACAAAAAAGTGTAGTGGCTTCAAACAACAACCTGTTATTATCTCTCACAATTTAGTGGGTTGAGTGGGTTCAGCTGTGTGACTCTTCTGTTTCACATAAACTTGGTTGGGTCTGAAGCCATCTGGGGGTTTGACAAAGCTGGAACATCCAATAAGGTTCATTCCCATGACTGGAAGGTGGTGTGGGCTGTTGGGCCTCAGTTCTTTTCCATGTGGCCTCTCCACATGACCCGGTTGGACTTCTCTCATGGTATCTGTGTTCTGAGAGGGAGCATTCTATGAGTGAATGTTCCAAGAAGAAGGACATGGAAGCTATCAGTCTGTTAGGTTTTGATCTCGAAATTCTCAGAACATTATTTTTGTCTGCATCCTATTGGTAAAAGCAGTTACAGCACCAACTCAGTCTCAAGGGAAGGGGGGTAACTGAATGGGAGAAGGGGCATATGCATGCACAGGGGTAAGGACTTGATGGGGGCCATCTTTGGAAACATCTACCATGGTCTGAACATTCTTGCATATGTCATCTGGGTGTGCACATGTACAGGTGGCTGGCTGATCAGCAGGGCAGTAGCTTAGTCCATTTTCTGTTGCTTAAACAGGATTTCTGAAACTGAGTAATTTATGAGAAATGAAATTTATTTTGTACTGTTCTGGAGGTGGAGAAGTCCAAGGTCAAGGGGGCGCATCTGGTGAGAGCTTCCTTGTTGGTGGGTACTCTCTGCAGAGTCTCAAGGTGGTGCAGAGTATCACATGGCAAGGAGGCTAGCTTAGGTCTCATTTCCTCTTTAGTCACCAGTCCCACTCCTGCGATAACCTGTTAATGGATTAATCCATTCATGAGAGCAGAGCCATCATGACCCAGTCACCTCCTAGAGGCCCCACCTCTCAATACGCCCATATTGGAGATTAAATTTCACCATGACACTTGGAGGGGACAACTGTTCAAACCACAGCAGTAGCTCTGTGCCTGTTTTGCATCCATCAGATAGCCAAGTCATAGAGGGAAACTGAGGCCTTGAGAACAGTCATCAGATTTTGAAAAAGTAGCAATTGAAATTCAAAATAGAAGGTACCTGAATAGATTCAGCAAGAATAAGCTTTGCGTGAAAACTTTTTTTTCCCTCTGTAAATTTTCAGTTTCTATAGATAGGGTGGGTAGAAAACACACTGTCAGAATACTGCACCTGAGACTTTTTGCTAACCAGTCAGAAGAGCATATGCTTGTAAACTGACCTGTTTCCCCACATCTTTGGGCATATTGAGATTAAATGGTTGAACAGAGACAAGACAGCTAAAGATCTACCCTGCTGATGTTTGAAGTAGAGAAGGCAATGAACAATCTTGTAAAAATCCTGTTTACTCATCCAAGACTTCATCTTAGATGACTAGTTATGCAGGAAAACAGAGATGGTTACCTTTTAAAAAGATACACCAGGAGTTTGAGACCAGCCTGGGCAACATAGTGATGCCCCGTCTCTACAAAAAAATGAAAAAATTAGCTGGGCATGGTGGCGTGCACCTGTGGTCCCAGCTATTTGAGAGGCTGAGGTGGGAGGACGGCTTGAGCCTGGGAGGTGGAGGTTGCAGTGATCTGTGCCACTGCACTCCAGCCTGGGTGACTGAGTGAGAGCCTGTCTCAAAATAAATGAATAAGTAAATAATATAAAGTAAATAAAAGATACATAATGCTAACATGCATCCGGTATGTATTATTTCATTGCAGCCTTGGAAATAGGCAGCATTTGCCATTTTTATTCTCTAGCTGTGAAGAGGGCAAGGCAATGAAGGGGTGGATTCACAGAGAGTACAAGGGTAGCAATGGTGCTAGAAACCTCCAGGAGACTGGGAGGAGGAAGGGGGAGAGGACTTTCCCCAGGGGCAATGCAGACATTGGCATGTGGTTTGTGGACTGCTTTAATTCACCTGCAACCTGCCTGTCCCTAGAGGAGCTTGCAGCAAGCATTATAGTTTCCAGATAAAGACAGAGGACAGGAAGTGTACTTTCCCTGGTATAATTTCCCTCGGTGCTTTACCCTGTTTAATTCCACTTGGCTTTAGAAACTCAACTAGGAGTTTATTTTTCTTTTTATACTTTTCTTGAACTAAGCTCTCTTCCCCCCTTACCCTCACACACTCACTGTCTTATTTCTGATGCTGCCCATTGCTGAACCAGTTGAGGCACATGAGCCACCCTCTCTCCCTAATCTTTGTCCATGGAACACCTGAGGGTCATGTGCAAGCATGGGCAGACAGCTCTTGGCTGTGTATCCTATCAAATGTACTGTCTATATTTGGAAAAAGCATGGATTCCTCTACTTGGTGAACAAAACATTTACAGCTTTAACCGTACAAAGTCAGGAGCTCTGTTTTCTGTGTGCTCATTCCCATACCCTCTCCCTTCCCATTTACCTCTCTGTCTCTTCTCTTCTCTTCTCTTTCTTCCCATTTTTCCCTGGCTGGGCATCAGGATAGACTTCCCTTTCTTATTTTTGTCACTTACTCCAGACTGACAGTGTTGTTCTCTGCTAAAATTAGAAACAAAAAATATTTGCATAACTTTCTGTAGGGTCATGGATTTTAAATTTTAAAAGGCTGCAGAGTTCATTTCAAGATTATGTTGTTTCCTTTTTCTAATATTTGGTTGGTGAACAGACGCTCTACTCATTTTAATTTTCGGCAGGATTGCTGTCTGGTTAGGAGAATGCCCAGTCCTCCCCAAATGCGTTATATCTGCCTCAAACTTTTGACCTTTTCTGGTCTCAAGTGGGCCATTCAGTGGCTTTCCCTTCTTCCCTTCCTTCTCCATCGCTTCTCTGTGCTGTCGGAGTAGTTACTATGAAATTATCTTCTGATCAGTGCAGTTTCCTGCTTAGAGTTCACTGGGCTCCTGACCAGCTGTGGGAGGAAACTAAATTTGCTAGCACAGCAGCAAAGCCTTTTGAGGTTTGGCATCCATCTGCCTCATCGCAGCCCCTCTCACAAGGCCCCCTTTCTGTGACCAGCCCCAGCCGCAGGGTTGCCGGTCTTTTCTCTAATAAAGAGGTTGGGATCTCCTCACCCTGGTGCACATCTGTCCTTCTGTGCTTATTTTCCCATTTTCCCCTTTCAAGTTCTGTAGTTTTATTGTGTTGACAGTTGCTGGAACCACTGATTTGGGATGCGAGAACAATTCCCCCAGGCTCCTGGCTTCTTCCCAGGCTGCGTGGCATCCTGCAGGACAGCTCTGAGAACCTTCTGTCCTCCACACAGCCCTGCCCAGACACCTGGGATCTACTCTTCTGTCTTCCCACAGTGCCTGCTGCATGCACTCTTGCATTTTAGTGGCCAGCCTCCTGGCTGACTGTTCGTTTTTTTTTTTTTTTTTTTAAAGTTAGGGTCTATTTTCTTTATTCTTGTGCCCGTAGTGCTCACATGTAATAGGTGCTCTACAAGTATTTGTCCTATTCAGTTCTGGCTGCCATAATCTCCCATAAGCGAGGTGGCATATAAACATCAGCAATGTATTTTCTCACAGTTGTGGAAGCTAGAAGGTGCATGATCAAGGCACCAGCAGATTCAGTGTTTGTGAGGGCCCACTTCCTCATAAATAGCTGTCTTTTCTCTGTTATCGCATGGGGCAAAAAAGGAGAGGGATCTCTCCTCTCTGGAGCTTCTCTCTGGTTTTTTGTTTTGTTTCGTTTTGTTTTGAGACAGAGTCTTGCTCTGTCACCCAGGCTGGAGTGCAGTGGTGCAATCTCAGCTCACTGCAACATCTGCCTCCCAGCTCAAGCCATTCTCATGCCTCAGCCTCTCGAGTAGCTGGGATTACAGGCCTGTGCCACCATGCCTGGCTAATTTTTCTATGTTCAGTAGAGACAGGGTTTCGACACATTGACCAGCCTGGTCTGGAACTCCTGACCTCAGATGGTCCACCCACCTCAGCCTCCCAAAGTGCTGGGATTACAGGCGTGAGCCACAGTGCCTGGCCTGGAGTGTTTTATAAGGGCACTAATCCCATTCATGAGGGTTCCACCCTCCTAACCTAATCACTTCCCAAAGCCCTCACCTCGTAATATTATCACCTTGGGGGGTGAGGATTTCAACATATGGATTTTAGGGAACACAAAAATGAGACCTTAGTAGTATTTATTGAATCAATAAATTAACAAATAATACCATTAATTACATTCACTGAATATATGTGAATTAAGGACTTGATCATTTTCATAAATAATACCTCATGTAAGAGCTTTATTTAGAAAATCTTTTGCCTTTTCTTTTAGTTGTTATGGCCCAAAGAGAGAGCTAATTAATATATAAGATGGCATGTGCCTTGAGATTTATGATAGGATTTACTAGTACTAAATGGCCTTATGTTTGTTGTTTCTATAAGGAAAAAAAATTGTAGACTGGTGACAATTATATATATAACTGACTGCTGACTAGTCTTTACTATTTAAGCATGAGACAGCATGTTTATGCCACCTTATTGCAATTGGACTATCCTAATTGAAGAAATTAAAAAATACTCTATCACTCTCCACAAGATGACAGAGGACAAATCAACAAATTGAATAGTGCAATGTGCATTCTGTCCTGCTTTCTTTGATGTCTGTAAGAACAGGATTCAAAAATTATTTTCATTTCTCTCTTAAACTAATATGGATATTTACCATGATAATATTAGATAGAACCTATTCTTTGAAAATAGAGGGCTGGGTCCCTTGAGAATGCACTTTGTGAGATCCACCCACTGCCCCCAAAACATTGCTCTTAACTCCACCGCCTATCCCAAAACCTATAAGAACTAATGATAATCCCACCACCCTTGCTGACTCTTTTTTCAGACTCAGCCCACCTGCACCCAGGTGAAATAAACAGCCATGTTGCTCCAAAAAAAAAAAAAAAAAAAAATAGAGGGCTGGGTGCGGTAGCTCACACCTATAATCCTGAGGTGAGCAGATCGCTTGAGCCCAGGAGTTTGGGATGAGCCTGGGCAATATGGCAAAAACCTCGTTTCTACAAAAAATAGAAAAAATTAGCTGGATGTGGTGGTGTATGCCTGTAGTCCCAGCTATTCAGGAGGCTGAGGTGGGAGGATCGCTCGAGCCTAGGATGTAGAGGTTGCAGTGAGCTGTGATTGTGCCACTACACTCCAGCCTGGGTGACAGAGTGATACTCTGTCTCAAACTTTATATATATATATATATATATATATATAGTTTTAGTATAAAGGTTATTTTAGGAAGCTTTCTTCTTTGAAGATTTTCTCAGGATCATATTATTCTTAGGTTACAATGTGGGTTTTTGTTACTGACTTTTGCCTTTTTATCTTTATAGGAACATGGTACATTCATGAATCAACTTCTTGTTCGTCTTTGCCTGTATTGTTCAGCCTATGTTCAGGCACATAATACTTAGTCAATAAATATTTTTTGAATGAATAAGTAAGGCTATATAGAGTAACATTTTACTTTCAAAAGTCTATTCTTTTATTTTATTTTTTTTAGACAATCTCACTCTGTTGCCCAGACTGGAGTACAGTGGCGTAATCTTGGCTCACTGCAACCTTCACCTCCCAGGTTCAAGTGATTCTTGTGCCTCAGCCTCCTGAGTAGGGATTACAGGTGCCTGCCACCACACCTGGCTACTTTTTTGTATTTTTGATAGAAACAGAGCTTCACCATGTTGGCCAGGCTGGTCGCAAACTTCTGGCCTCAAGTGATCTGCCTGCCTCGGCCTCCCAAAGGGCTGGGATTACAGGCGTGAGCCGCCATGCCTGGCCAAAAGTCTATATTTAATACAGGTTTGACTCATAGAAACATAGGCAGAAACAGGATTCCTACTGTGAATGTAAGATGTGCAAAAACTCAAAATACATTTTTATTTTCTTGGATAGACTAACAGTTTTAATCAAGGCAGAATACACTGATACCTAATAATTGATTCCTTGTAAATTATTAAAGTATAAACAGAGTCTTCACTTATGAATTTGTCATTTGCTTCCTGCTAGTCTCTTTTATTGATTTTTCTAATCCATAGGTAAAGGAGGGGTAAAGAGGATTTGCTTCTGAAGTCTAAGAATCTAGATCTGGATTGACTGCCCACACTGCAAAAATGATTTGGCATGCCACTTGAAAGTGGTTGAGGGGGTGGGCAAGGCCCATGGCTTTTTTAAAAAAATGGGAAACGAAAGATATATTTATGAATTTGAAGTCCTGGAAGAATGTCTCTTGAGAGGTATAAATGCAGTGTAAATTCAGAGACTGTTGTCATTTTCGTTCAGTTTTCATCATATGTAAAGTTATGAGACTAAAAATTCTATCATGGGAACATCTTAAAGGATAAAAATTAGTCAAAATAATAAAAATGAAAAACTGCAAGGCTTTGTTATGTAATTTTTTTTAGTGCTCTAAAATATTATATAAGAACAAATTTGCAGGGCAAAGAAGATTACTTTTAAAAGGCATGAAGATTGTTGAACCTTAAATTTTAGTATGACATGATGACATTGATCTGCAGTGTATCTAAGAGAAAGTAAAATCAAAATAGCATTTGTTCCTAAATTACCAAAGTGCCTAATGTACTCTCAATATTTTAGCAAAAGTTGTGCATTGGGTGCTGGTATTAAAATAAGTTTTAATTATTTACAGAAAGGCTATTTAGTTCTAATACTTTTATATAACTCTCCTATTACCACTTTGCCACTTTAAATGGTTTTATTTTTGTGTTCCCTAAAATATATTCAGATATTTCAGTTATGAAAAGAAGCCTCTAAGATCTATAAAATGAGGCTGGGCACAGTGGCTCATGCCTGGAATCCAGCATTTTGGGAGGCCGAGGCAGGTGGATCATCTGAGATCAGGAGTTCCAGACCAGCCTGACCAACAAGGTGAAACCCCATCTCTACTAAAAACAAAAAATAGCTGGGTGTGGTGGCGCATGCCTGTAATCCCAGCTACTTGTGAGGCTGAGGTAGGAGAATCGCTTGAACCAGGAGGTGGAGGTTGCAGTGAGCCAAGATTGCGCTACTGCACTCCAGCCTGGGCAGCAAGAGCGAAACTCCGTCTCAAAAAAAAAAAAAAAAAATAAAAAATAAATAAATAAATCTATAAAATGAGTTCTCTGATTAATGTCTGTTGATCTTCTCATATTTCCAATTGGTAAACACAGTAATAGAAAGGAATCTTGCTAATTATTATGAACATTATTTACAAATCTGTGATGCTATCTGACTAGACAGACAGCTCATAAATTCTTGCTTCCCAACACAGAAACATCTCCCTTGAGCTTATTTCTCCAAAGACCCAGCCCTGACTCTCTTACTTCCTGTAAACTGTGTTGAAACTGAGATGCTGTTATAGTTGTATTTGGCTGGGTTGCTAAGGAATACCACAATCTTTCCCTGGAACTTATTTTCTTGAAAAGTCCTAGAGGTAGGTATGTAGTCAGAAAATAAACCAAGGCAAAGCATCTCTTGATTATTGCACGTGGCTCTTGCCCCACGTCCCAGCATAAAACTCTGGTGAGCCAGGCTGGAACCCTACGACACCTTCCCTGGGCTAGATGACTTGAATGGTCTAGAACCAAAGCAGGCCAAAGTCTTCCTATCGATTTCTACTGCAGCACTGAAACCTGAGTTTTCTCGGGTGTTCACCTTGATTTGCTGGAAAACCATAGAGATACTGGAAAGCCAAAATGAGCTTTGCTTCTGAGCTTCGTGTGGTTCTGAAGAGAAAGCCTATGCACACTTGAGAAAGTGTCTCTTGGAGTCTTGGGGTCAGTCTTCCTAATGAGATGGAAGAGGAAAAGGAGACCTTATCCACATGCACCGGGCCATCAGCCCCTCAGTGCTGACAATGCTCTGATAATCTAGAAAAAGTGACTCATGTTACTCACCTAAGCCTTGCAAGTGTCTCTCTCCCATCAGTTTGTGGAAACTGTCTTGTGATGAATCGGCAGGGCCTTTAAGCATCCAATAGTATGACCTTCAGGCTTAATTTTCCTTGACAGGAGGGTAAAGGGGCTGACCACTCCTTTTCTCTTGAAGAATTGTTCTTTCATTATTTAGGACACTTATGATAAAGAGATGAGTACAACACAGGCAATACCCTTCCGGGAGGCGGAGGTTGCAGGGAGGCGGAGGTTGCAGTGAGCCGAGATTGCGCCACTGCACTCCAGCCTGGGCGACAGTGAGAGAGACTGTCTCAACAACAACAGCAACAAAAAGGCAATACCCTTAAGGAGCTTCTAGTCTAGTTGGAAAGACATATTCAGAGAGATCATTTCATTGCACTCTGACTTAGCTGTATAGCATCCATGCCCAGCTCAATGAAAGTGACCTGCATTTTGTTTTTTTGAGACAGGTCTGGCTCTGTCATGCAGTTTGGAGTGCAGAGGTACCATCTCAGCTCACTGCAACGTCTGCCTACCAGGCTTAAGTGATCCTCTCACCTCAGTCTCTCCAGTAGCTAGGACTACAGGCATGCACCACCATGCCTGGCTTATTTTTGTAGTGTTTTTTTTTTTTCTGTAGAGGCGGGGTTTTGCCATGTTGCCTAGGCTCGTCTTGAACTCCTGGGCTCAAGCGATCTGCCCATTTTGGCCTCCCAAAGTGTGACAGTGACTTTCAAGTACATATTTCTAGCCCATTCTTCTCTCCTTAGCTCCATTTCTACTTTTCCATCAATCTGCTGAACATATTTTTCAACTTCCAATTTTAATGTCATAATTTTTTCCTTTTAACTTACACCCCTTTGCTTACCAGTGATAGTGTTTTCTCTCTAGTCACCCTGACTAGAAACCTCAGTGTCATCTTTGACTCCTTGCTTCTTATTCATCTGTTCATCTAATGAGTGCCTTCTGTATACAAGATACTATTCTAGCCTGTATGGTTACGGTTAGCCTGGAGCAGAGGGCACTTGTCTAGGGAAATTGTCATTAAAAAGTAGCTTTTCAACTTTAACTTTTTTTTTTTTTTTTTTTTGGAGACAGAGTCTTGCTCTGTCACCCAGGCTGGAGTGTGGTAGCAAGATCATGGCTCACTGCAGCCTTGACCTCCCAGGCTCTTAGCTGTGACCACAGGCGTGTGCCACCATGCCCAGCTAATTATTTCATTTTATTATATTTTTTGAAGAGTCGGAGTCTCACTATGTTGCCCAGGCTGATCTTGAACTCCTGGGCTCAGGCGGTCCTCCTGCCTGGGCCTCCCAAAGTGCTAGGACTACAGGCATGAGCCACTGCACCATGGCTGCTTTCCAGCTATTGAATTACAAATTATGTGCTCAAAGGGAAGTTTAGAGGGCTGGGAGAGGAGACCCTGTGTCTGAGGGCCTAGGTGAAGAGTGAGGAGCATTTCTTGGGGTGGCGGAAACAGGGAAGAGCTGAGTTGTGCATGAGGATCTAGGAGGAAGCCAGGGAGCAGAGAGGAGCTGGATGCGGCTGGAGAGGGAGGCAGGAACACAGCTAAGCAGGGCATTAGAGACTAAAGTGAAGGGTTTTCAGCCTCTTTCTGAGCCATTAAAGGTTTTTTTTTCATGTAAGAGAATGCCATTATCAGCTTAGCATTTTTAAAAAGATCAACATGAATTTTGTGTTGCGAATGGAGTGGAGTTGCATGCGTTAGGAGACCAGATGGGCCATATAGATAGAGAGGAGTAAATGGACTCAGCAGGAAGTAGAATTGATGGGACTTCATGATTCAGTGGATTGAGGAGGAGACGACAACCTCATATTTCTGGAATGGGCAACTGCGTGAATAGAATAATGGTTTCCCCAACATCTGAAGCATCGAGATCTTGTCAGTGGACCCCAGGAACGTGCCTCAGCCCCGTTTCCTCTGTTCCATCTGCACTGACATCATTCTTCCCTAGGCTGCCGAGGACCTCCATTGAGGCATCCTCTGCAGATTTGCTCCTCTCTAGTCCAGCATGTGGGTGTCCTGTTCTTCCCGAAGCATTCTTCTGGACATCTTACTGTGCCCATGCAAAACCTTTGATCAATCTCCCTTTTCTGCAGATTAAGCATAGGGTGGGGGAGCCCTATAATCCACCTTCAAACAGGATTTTCTTTTCTTTCTTTCTTTTTTTTTTTTGAGAGCGGTCTCTCTCTGTTGCCCAGGCTGGAGTGCAGTGGTGCATGCCATCATCACTTGCTGCAGGCCTCGACCTCCCCAGCTCAAGTGTTCCACCCGCCTCAGCCTTCCGAGTAGCTAGGACTATAGACATGTGCCACCACATCTGGCAAATTTCTTGTATTTTCAGTAGAAACAGGGTTTCACCATGTTGCCCAGGCTGGTGTTGAATTCCTGGGGTCAAGCAGTTCCCCCATGTCAGCTTCCCAAAGTGCTGGATTACAGGTGTGAGCCACTGCACCCAGCCTGGGATTTTCTTTTCTTTTTTTTTTTTATCGAGTCTTGCTCTGTCTCCCAGGCTGGGGAGCAGTGGCACAATCTTGGCTCACTGCAACGTCTGCCTCCCAGGTTCAAGTGATTCTCCTGCCTTAGCCTCCTGAATAGCTGGGATTACAGGCGCCCGCCACCAGGCCCAGGTAATTTTTGTATTTTTAGTAGAGATGGGGTTTCATCATGCTGCCCAGACTGGTGTTGAACTCCTGGACTCAAGCGATTCTCTGTGTCAGCCTCCCAAAGTGCTGGATTACAGGCGTGAGCCACTGCACCCAGCCTCGGATTTTCTAGTACTCCTCTTCCACCAAACTGAACTTGCTGCTTCTCACTAGCACCTTTCAGTTTCCCGCATCTACCTGAAATGCGCTCGTCACTTCAGCAGGGCTGCGTTCTCCCTTTACTTCAAAGCCCTGCCTGACGCTGCTGTTCTCCTTGTGCTGAAGCACCATCTACCCTCAAGTGCATCCTCTTTGCCTGTCTTGTGGTATTTGGGGCTTTCAGACAGGCCTTAGCATTATTTATGATGATAAGCTACCTGAGGTCTGATTCATCTTTGTATTTCACTCAGACCTAGTACAAATGCCTGAATGAGACATGATGGAATATTTGTGGAGAGTGAATAAGCATTCAGTGGATACTTTTTCACCTGACCCAAGAATAATTAATTTTCAGGTAATTTAGAGTCCATCAATTTAATACCATGCCTTTTTAAAGTATTTTAACAAGATTATCAAAATGCTTTCTGGTCCTTTTAGATTCCGGAAAAAAAAAAATACTATCTGTGGTGATGTTCCCTTGCTGCCACAGAATTTCCCTTTCTATAATTTATAACTTGGCAAGGCCAAGAGAGATTCATGCCCCATCCTTACCATTCTGCATGCTGTACCAAAAAAGGTGTTTTCATCAACACCATGTTGCTGCCTAATGCTAGGTTCGTATACTTTTGTGGTAAAAGAAAGTCGGGAATTCCTGTGTTCACTTGAAAAAAAAGCAGTAAAGGCCTATTATTGTTTTAATGGACTGACAACTCAGATGTATTTAAATACAGTCTTCCCATGTTAAAAACAAAAGTACTTAAAGTGTAGACATTCTTTTTTTATGCATCTGTGGGTCCTAAAGTGTGTGTTAGAAAAATGTCACCCAATAAACAGGCAGATAAATAAATTAATAGTGGGTTCCTGTTGGGATAAGTACCAGGAAGGAAAGAGAAAGTGTTGGAGGGCACAGAGGTAGGCTAGAGCTAGGGATTATAAATTTGGGGGTGGGGCATGTGGGCAAGAACTATGGGGTGGTGGTGTTGGTAACCAGGCCTGAGTGGTGTGAAGGAGCCATGCAGAGATCTGGGATGAGCATGTACCAGGCAGAGGGAGCAGAGTCTGCCTTCTAAAAGCTGACCTTTGCACTTGCAGCCTGACCCCTTTCTCTTTCCCCTCCAGCCATTGTCCCAGCCACGCTGAACTTCTGCCCTTTCACAGCTCTGTGCTTTTGCATAACTGCCTTTATCTGGAGTGCCCTTCATCTTCTTCCTGGAGTAAAGTCACACTCAGAACCCAGCTAAAGGCTGGGCCCAGTGGCTCACACCCATAATCCCAGCACTCTGGGAGGCCGAGGAGGGCGGATCACCTGAGGTCACGGGTTTGAGACCAGCCTGGCCAAAATGGCGAAACCCCATCTCTACTAAAAATACAAAAATGAGCTGGGTGTGGTGGCACGCGCCTGTAATCCCAGCTACTCGGGAGGCTGAAGTAGGAGAATCGCTTGAACCCAGGAGGTGGAGGTTGCAGTGAGCCAAGATCACGCCATTGCACTCCAGCCTGGAAGACAGAGCGAGACTCCATCTTAAAAACAAACAAACAAAAAAACCCAGCTGAAATGGCAGATATGACCCACCTTCCCACCCAGCTCCCAACCTTCCTCCTCAGGAAGAGCTGGGCTCTCTGACTGTGTTGTTTCCTCGGCACCATCCCTGTTTCTAATACAGCCCTTATTGATTTGAAAGGTAGGTGGTGTGCTTAAAAGTCTCCTCCCCCACTAACTGTAAGTCCCTAAGAACAGGGACTATGACTTGATCATCTCTGTAGTGCCAGGGCCTAGAACCTTGCCTGGGACAGGGTAGATGCTAACTCATTGTGGAGTGCATGAATGAATGAGGGAGAGAGGGAACGGGAGAAGGAGGGATGGAAGTAGGAATGAAGGGAGGCAGAGAACCAATGTAAAAATTTTTTTTGAACTCTGAAGCACACTGAGAAAAAGGCTCTAGAATGAAAAGTAAATTAAGATGACTTAAAAAATAATACCAGAGATGTTTCTATAAATTTAACTAGAATCCAACTGATTACTGTGGTCACTGGGATTCTATCAAGCCATAAATCAAACTGAAAGTTCACCTATGTCTCAAGGGTGGCAACCTTCCGAAAGTAGGAGTGGCTTGGCTTCGTTCTTTTAAGTTCATGTGTTTTCGATATTTTACATGTTTGGTGGCTTCGATTACAAGAATGCAAGCCTAAATCTACTTTCTGTATAACCACATCCCTTTAGCAGCCTGCATTAGCAAATCATACTCTGGGCCAGAAAAAGAGAAGCATACCAATATGCTTTCTTCCTCTTAAGCAGTCTTCACAGTTTTTCTAGGCTGAGGTCACATCTTTAAACTTCATAAAACATTACTGCCTGATTGTTGAGTGGGATGGGAAGGGAGCGTTTAATTCAGCACCTGCAAGCTGCAACTGCCAGCAGATTTCTGCATTCAGAGGCATTTTGGTGTTTGTGTATGCATAGGACAGAAGGAAGAAATAAGCAGGCCTTTATCAGTATGTTCTTTTCTAAAGATCATTACTAGATTTGACCAAAGTTCTCATAACTATATTTAACAGTCTATCAGTGCTTTCTTGAGTGTTTCCTTAATGCTAGTAAATTCTAACTCTCACAAATTCCCATGGGCTACAGCAGTGCCATCTGGAATTTAGTTCCTTTTACTAATCTGTGATTTAAACATCAGAAAGATATTGCCATAATTCCCAAATAAACACTTAACATGTGTGGGAAGGTTCAGGATAATGGGCCTTCTGATGACCTAATAAAAAATGAAGGTGGTAAAATCATAAGCCAAAAAAAAAAAAAGCAGCCAGAGCCCACAGAGAAGCAGAGATTATCAGCAGATTTGTGCAGAGAAATCTGCATTAGAGCAAAAGAATGCTACTCGGGGATGAAGTGGTGAAAAAGTGGGGAAAAAAACAACTCACTGGGGTTATAAGTCATGAGAAAATTTGACCTCAGAAGGGTCCCAAAAGAGAGGAACGTATTCTCTGGTTAGTCATTCTGATGAGCTGAGTTGAAAAGTTATTTCAGAAAAAATTTCTGAAGAAACTCAGAACTTTTGACATCCCGAAATACTAAGTAGGAATATTTGTGGAAATTTTTGCATTTTGTAGTTGATCCTTAGGAGCAGGAGACAATTGTGTAAACACACTGCAGGACTAGGACTCAGGATGACTTTCTTTAGAAGGAGGAAGAAGATGAAATGTGTGAGAATGACAGGATTTTCACAAGTTTAAGACCTTTCTCCAATTGAAACGAAAGATAAATTAGGGGAAAAGGCTGAAGTTTTTCATCTAGATTCAGAAATGCTTTCAAAAAGCAACACATTCTAAATCTATCTAAAGATGCCACATGATCTTGTCGAAACGGTAATTTGACAAATTATTTTTAACAACAAAAATACTCAAGTGCTACATGAACAATTCACCCCTTCATCGTTGAAGAGAACTGCTGGTTCTCAGCAGTCCTGCAAAACACCTCACTGGCATGAGAAGAGGTATTTATGGTCTTTTAGAGATCTGCAGGAAATGTTTTTGAACTAATCTGTATTAACTACTGAAAAACTGGCAGGACAAGGCTGGGTGCGGTGGCTCACGCTTGTAATCCCAGCACTTTGGGAGGCCGAGGCAGGCAGATCACTTGAGGCCAGGAGTTCGAGACCAGCCTGGCCAAGATGGCGAAACCCTGTGTCTACTAAAAATACAAAAATTAGCCAGGCGTGCTCGTGCACGCCTGTAATCCCAGCTATTCAAGAGGCTGGAGCAGGAGAATTGCTCGAACCTAGGAGGCGGAGGTTACAATGAGCCGAGATCATGCCACTGCACTCCAGCCTGGGTGACAGAACGAGACTCCATCTTAAAAAAATAACAAAACTGGAAGGACAGAAGGCCAATGGGGTGTGGAGAGAGGATGACCACACCTTGTCTCTAATTTCTGCTTTGATGAGTACCTTGGGCAAGGGCATTTGGATAATGACTGGTTGTTTGCGGGTTTATATGTTGGAGGAGGAGGAATTTGAAAGCAGCATCAGTAGGTGGTTTACCGATATAGCTGCTCACCGTGAGCATTAAATACTGGGTGGATGAGTGTTGCAAAGCACAGCCTGCCCCAGGTTCCTCCATATGCTTCCTTCCTCCCTGGCTGCTGACTTCCAGCCTTATTCATCCTGGCCCTCAGTCTTTCAGTCGACGTCCATGTGGGCTTATAGACATCAGATGAATTAGACTTGCCCCCTGCCTGAAAGTTCACATTCTATTGGACAAGACTGATTAAAAAAATGACAGATTTTAAGTTCGTGGTAATTGCAAACTAGATATGGTGCTGTGGGTGTCAGGAAATCTCGTAGGAGGCAATGTTTGAGCCCTCCCTTTTGAGAGATGAATGAGCATTCCCTAGGTGCTGATGAGCATTTCATTTTGAAGGAGGTTATCTGGCCGTGGGTGTGACAGTGGTCCTGAGATATTGGAGTCATATTAGACAGCAAAACCGGCCAACAGAGTATCACGGAGGCATTGTATTTTCACTGGCGACCTTCACGCACCCTAATGGAGCCCTCATAATTCCTTTTTTTTTTTTTTTTTGATACAGAGTTTCGCTCTGTTGCCCAGGCTGGAGTGCAGTAGCATGATCTTGGCTCACTGCAACCTCTGCCTCTCAGGTTCAAGCGATTCTCCTACCTCAGCCTCCTGAGTAGCTGGGATTAGAGGCGCGTGCCACCATACCCGGCTAATTTGTGTATTTTTAGTAGAGATGGGGTTTCACCATGTTGGCCAGGCTGGTCTCGAACTCCTGACCTCAAGTGATCTGCCAGCACCCCTGACATTTTCTTCTCCAGGTGACAACAGCTTTGGCCTCTCAAAGTACTGGGATTATAGGCATGAGCCACTGTGCCCGGCCAGTCCTAATAATTAAGGCAATTTGACTATAAGTTTTGAGCATATTATATAATTTTCTTTCTTGTTCCAGTTTTATTTCTTAACTAAAATCAGGAATTTATCTATAACTGTATCTGAAAGATGCTGAGTAAAACAACAGCCACTGGCTGATTTTCTTCTCCTTAATTATACAAAATGAATTGCCTATGCAGTTATCCAAGAGCCTTAGTCAGTGTTAATCTAGTTAAAGCTACCTAGTTAAAGCTGTTTTACAATATTTTACACTCATTTCTTAGAAGTTATTCTCTTACCTTTGACCACAATTTCTACAAAACATGTACTTCAACTTTTAACTTCTAAAAACTTGCCTTCAAGTTTTAATTCTTTATTTCTAAGGTATCTTATTGTACCATGCCAGGTGTTAAATTCTGTAATTTAATTGCATCTTTATTCTTCAAGAAACTAATCTTATAGTCTTTTGTATATTTTCTCAGGTTTTATTTGCCCTGTGTCTTGTCTTTGCATATGTTTTGCGAAGAACACTCCCCCATATTTTTAGAACAATTTTCTTCATTTTTTTTCCTGAACAAATACATATTTGTGTGAGCATACATATATAGACATTTTGGGGGATTTTAACCCATTTATGACTGAGGTTGCAATTTTTTGAATTTTTGCAATCAGACCTTGGTGATGACCTTGAGCAGTAGGATATAAATAACTCCTACATGCTTGGTGTTCCAATAATGGAACACTAGGTATAAATTAATACGGTTCAAATGTGGCTGTGTAGTGATAAATATTGACATTTTTCCAAGTGCCTTCTTTATCTGAATACATTTGAGAAGCTTGTCAACCAAGATAATCCACACCTGATTCAGAAAAGTGGGATTAAGTCCACTGACTAAGGATGTGAAATGGATAATATTGTATACTCTATGCCTACATGGACACATTCACAGCTCTACAGATGACTCAAGGAATACTGCTTTATTTAGGATTTCTCACTTTGGGGCAGAAAATGGAAATTTTGTTTTTTTTTAGAGATCATTTTGAAATCCATCTCTTAGATCATGGTAATAAATAATGGCCTCCAAAGAACCACCATATATCTGATAGACCTAGGTTCTTAAATACAGCAATATTTTCCCTGTTGGCTAAAGTTGGCTTCATTGTATGCTGAAAGCATTCCTTTTTACCCTGTTTATGGATTTACAATATGGCCGCTGCTTGGAGATCACTTGACAATAGTCTACACCCTTGCTACTCAAAATGTGGTCCCTACACAGCAGCATGGGCATCAACTGGGTGCTTATGAGAAAGGTAATCATCACCCCAATGTCACACAGCTCAATCAGAATCTCTTTTTTGACACAATATCCTGGTGATTCATGTACACATTAAATTTGAGAACACTAGTCTGAACTCACAATTTTTGCCTCATAACCTCCCACTTATTCTTCAATCCATTGTTTTTAATCTGCCAGTCTTGCAAAAGACACTCATGACCTGTTAATAGCTAAACATGCACCAGGCTTCTCAGCCTTTGCTGTACATTTCCAGCATATACTATTGTGGTGGGTTTTCGGTTCTGTTGGTTCCTTTTAGAGTTATAGTTTGTTTCGCCCCAGAAAATTCTTTTAATGGGCATTGGCTCCCTGTACATTCTTTGGCCAGAGTGTATCTAGACAGCACCCGTACTAACAGGACTAGAAGCCCTGCTGCCCTATGAAGGGACCAGAGATGTTGTAACCTGGATAAGAAAATGTCATGGATGCCAGGATTACTGTTCTTAAGTGTCTGAAGGTTTCTGGAAGAGAAGGAATTTGAGTTTTTCAGTGAAGCTTTAGGAAAGCAGAAAATAGAAGCAATGGGCCAGACATGGCAACTCATGCCTGTAATCCCAGCACTTTGGGAGGCCAATAAGACCAGGAGTTCAAAACCAGCCTGGGCAATGTAGCAAGACCCTGCCTCTACAAAGATTTAAAAATTAGCTAGACATGGTGGCGCGTGCTTATAATCCCAGCTACTGGGGAGGCTGAAGTGGGAGGATCCCTTGAGTCCAGGAGTTTGAGGCTGCAGTGAGTTATGATTGAGAGAGCAAGACCCTGTCTCTCAAAAAAACGAAAGAAAATTGAAGCAGTGAATCAGTAGAAGTTAGAGACAGATTTTGCATTTGTATAAAAAATACATTTTTAAAGAATTTGAATATTCTAACAAGAAGTGTAATTCTTTCAACTGTATGTAGCAAACTGACCATTCTTAGAGCACAGACGGTGTTCAAACCAAGGCCACCAGAGGTACTGAAGAGTAGGGGTCAGAAAGAGGACTGGGGGATTTCCCCTAATTTTTCTCACTAATCCTTATTGCTTTTTTATTGCAAAAAGGAAAGAATATTGTTATGCATACTCAAATTGTTTTTTTTCCCCTGTTAAACCATGATTATACATAGATTTTGTCTCCCTCTCTCGTGGGTATTAGAACCCTGCATGGTTTTCTCTGTGTGGTGGGGCCATAGCTTTCTTCTAGGATAGTTATTAAAATGCATACCACTTTCAATTGTGTATCCGGCATTCTTTCCGTGATGTTCAGTGCCTCGCTAGTCATTTTCATTTAAAGAGACCCAAATACTTCCATAGAACAGTACATAGAAATTCCTGGGTCAATAATTAAGTTGTAACTAATAGCTCATAGTCAGACATCATGTTATTACAGGTAAGATTATCTTCCACCTGTATCGTTTTTCACAGACCTACAGACATGAACGTATTTGTATTTTCCTGCCCCCCCCTCAAAATTTTATGAAATTTATTTCATTTGAGTCCTTTATGTCTGGTTTTTTCATTCTGTAAACCTAGAGAATACTTATTAACTTGAACATTAAGCCATAAACCTGCTGTATTTACCATAGTTGGTATTTGTTCTATTGGGGAAGTCAAGAGTTAAGATATTAAATCATTTGAAGTATCTGACACTCTTCCAAAACTGCCACCATCCTAGTTCAAACATCATCAGCATTTCGCACCTGGACCCATGCAGCTGTCTCCTAACTAGTCTTCCTGCTTCTTCTCTTGACCCTGTTTCCAGGCTATGCATGCTCCTTACCAACTAACATCCCATAAGCAGAATCAATCTGGGTTTAAGGGAGAAGCAATGTTAGACATTAAGCTAACGTTAGGATGAGACTTTGGAACGTGACTAAGAAATCTCTGGGTTATGCTAACTCTCCTCGGAATTATCTAGATTAAATTTCTTGCTACCAAAAAAGACATTATCTATGCCTTTATTGAAAATATTGTTAAGTAGCAGATACAGATGTGAGCTCTTTTTCATGTCCACGGGCCCTTCTTCTGTGTGTGTAGCTGGAAGGCTTTGAACAAACAAGCAGCGGAAACATGCAGAATGCCTGCAGAAAAACTGAGGCACAGGCAGCGGCACAAGGAATTTTATTTTTAGAGTCCACCCTGTGAACAGGGTCTTGTGATGTTCATGGGCAGGATGGTAGGTGTGCTGGGAGTCACTGCATTCCTCTACTCCCAGCTCAAAGAAGGGGAGAAAGAGCCATTCAGTGGGGAGCGTTCCCAGCATCCTCCTCCCTGCCACAGCAGCCAGAGGCAGGGAGCTGGCCGGCCTTTCCTTTAACTCTTTGAGTGCCCTGACAAAACCTTTTTTCTAGGTCACGTCAGTGTTCTTGTATTTTCAAAAAGTGTATTCGTGTGTTGAGAGTTGAACATGGAGAGAAAATTAATTTTCTTCCCAACAATTTGTGTTGGTGAAATACATGATTATATTTATCCCATTTTTAATACTCTGATATAGGAAAGGGAAAAATAGTCATCTTCGTCTATTCAATTTAAAGGAACTTTTCTAAACAAGATACATAATAGATGCCGAAGCTCCAATTAAGTTGCTCAAAAAAAAAAAAAAAAAAAAAACTTTAATGACTGCCAAGTGTATGCCCGCTGCTGCCCTGTCAGTATTCTGAACAGGAAACATTATGTTCCAGCCAAATACCACTTACACTGGTCTTCATTTTAAGAGCAATTTATTTCCATTAATGTGAAAATGAATATTTGTTGCCAGAATTTCTAAGGAGCATGATAATGGATCAAAATGCTAAAATAAGCAGTCGGTGCTCTGCGGCATGGTTGATGGATGAGTGTCTTTAAATCAGCTTCCAAATCTGTGGTTCTTAGTCTTATTGAAAATTAGAATCACCTGATTCCAAAAATCCTGATGGCCACCCTACACCCCAGACCAAGTAAATTAGGATCTCTGGGCTGAGGACTCAGACTTGCTGCTTTTCAAAGCCCCCAGGTGATTACAATGTGCAGCCAAGGCTGTGAATTATTCTTTAAGTGACTAGGCTTTGCAGCTGCACTTCATTGAGCCGTAACTTCTCTAACCAGAACTCCCTGGTGTAGGTGCTGGTGAGGGGTGTGCAAGGTGTGGATACCTGTCCATGTTGGAGTGCATGGGGTTGGAAGTTCTACTTTCTGCTGCTGGATTGGGAGCTGCTGATTTCCAAACTGTGGTGGCATGGACTAGGTCCTCCTTCCAGCACAATCTCAAGATATCTGTGGGAGTTCTTTGGCTTCTGTCAAAGTGTCAGGAGCCTTCCTTATAACCCTGACACCATGAACAGAGACTTTTCTGGGCATGGGAGAGTCAAGGGTTCTCATATATACATATATATATGTATATATGTATGTACACACACGTGTATATATACATATATATGTGTATTTCAGAGCGGTTTTAGATTTACAGCAAAACTCAGCAGAAGGTACAGAGACTGCCCATAAACTCCTTACCCTCCCACAAACACAGCCTCCTCTGCTGTTAATATACTGATCTAGAGTGGTGCATTTGTTACAATTGGTGAACCTTACATTGACACATCATTATCACCTGATGCCCATAGCTTACATTAGGGTTCATTCTTGGTGTTGTGTATTTTATGGGTTTGGACAAATGTATAATGACATGTATCCACAATTATAGTAGTATATTGTACAGCATAGTTGCACTGCCCTAAAAATCTTGGTTCTCTGCCTATTCATCCCTCCTCACAACCCTTGGCAACCACTTATCCTTTTGCTTTTTCCATAGTTTCTCTTTTTCAGAATGTCACAGCCTTTTCATACTGGCTTCTTTCACTTAACAGTGTACATTTAAGTTTCCTTCGTGTCCTTTCATGGCTTGATGGCTCATTTCTTTTTAGCCCTAAATAATAATGAATTGTCTGTCTGTACCACAGTTTATTTATCCACTTACATCCTGAAAGACATCTTGGTTGCTTCCAAGTTTTAGCAATTATGAATAAAGCTGTTATACACATCTGTGTGCAAGTTTTGTGTGGACATAATAATTCACTTCATTTGGGTAAATACCAAGGAGTGCAAATGGTGGGTTGTATAGCAATAGTATAAACGTTTAGTTTTATCATAAACCACCAGACTGTCTTGCAAAGTGGCTGTATCATTTTGCATTCCCATTATCAATGAATGAGACTTCCTGTGGTTCCACATCCTTACTGGCCTTTGATGGCGTCAGTGTTTTGGATTTCAGCCATTCGAATAGGTGTGTAGTGGTATCTCAATTTTTTTTTTGTTTTTGTTTTTGTTTTGAGACAGAGTCTTGCTCTGTTACCCAGGCTGGAGTGCAGTTTCGCGATCTTGGCTCACTGCAACCTCCGCCTCCCGGGTTCATGCCATTCTCCTGCCTCAGCCTCCCGAGTAGCTGGGACTACAGGTGCCTGCCACCATGCCCGGCTAATTTTTTGTATTTTTAGTAGACACGGGGTTTCACCGTGTTAGCCAGGATGGTCTCGATTTCGTGACCTCATGATCTACCCGCCTCGGCCTCCCAAAGTGCTGGGATTACAGGCGTGAGCCACTGCGCCCAGCCGTATCTTAATGTTTTAATTTGCAATTCCCTGATGACAGATGATGTTGAGCATCTTTTGTTCTTTTTCTTTTTCTTTTTTTTTAGAGACAAGGTCTCTGTCACCCAGGCTGGAGTGCAGTGTCATGAGCATAGCTCACTGCAGCCTTCAGCTTTCTGGGCTCAGGTAGTCCTTCTACCATGACTCCTGGCCTTAAGTGATCCTCCTGCCTTGGCCTCCCCAAGTGCTGGGATTACAACAGTGAGCCACTTTGCCTGGCCCCATGAACATGTTTTCATATGCTTACTTGCTATCTGTATATCTTCTTTGATGAGGTATCCATTCAGGTCTTTGGCCCATTTTTTAATCTCATCGTTTGTTTTCTTATTTTTTAGTTTTAAGTATTCTTTGTATATTTTGGATAACACTCTTTAACAGATATGTCTTTTGCAAATATATTCTCTCAGTCTGTGGCTTGTCTTCTCATTCTCTTCACAGTCTTGACAATTTTTTTTGCTGAGCAGAAATTTTTAGTTTTAATAAAGTCCAGCTTATAATTCTTTTATTATGCCTTTGATATTGTATCTAAAAAGTTATGATGATACCAATGGTCATTTAGATTTTCTTCTATGTTATTTTCCAGGAGTTTTATAGTTTTTCATTTTACATTTAGAACTATGATCCATTTGAGTTAATTTCTGCAGAGGGTGTAAGGTCTGTATCTTTGTGTTTTTTTTGTTTTTGTTTTTTGTTTTTTTTTTCATGTAGAGGTTCAGTTGTTCCAGCACCGTTTGTTGAAAAGATTATCCTTGTTTCATTATATTGCCTCTGCTTCTTTGTCAAACATCAGTTGACTGTGTTTATGTGGATCTATTTCTGGGGCTTCTATTCTGTTCCGTTGATCTATTTCTGTAGTCTTTCACCTACACCACACTGTCTTGTTATAGAGCTTTAGAGTAAGTTTTGAAATCAGGTAATGTCAGTTTGTTCTTCTTCAATATTGTGTTGGCTCTTCTGGTCTTTTCCCTCTCCACATAAACTTAGGAATCAATTTGTCAATATCCACCAAATAACTTGCTGGGATTTTGCTTGAGATTGCATTGAATATATAGGTCAAATTTTGAAGAACTGACATCTTGACAACATTGAGTCTTCCTATCTATGAACATGGAATATCTCTCAATTTATTTAGTTCTTTTTTGGTTTCTTTTATTAGGGTTTTATAGATTTCCTCATATAGTTTTTATCCGTATTTGGTGAGATTTATACCTAAGTACTTCATTTTTGGGGGTGCTAATGTAAATGGCATTGTGTTTTTAATTTCAAATTCCACTTGTTTATTGCAGACATATAGAAAAGCAATTTACTTTTGCATATTAATCTTGAATCCTGAAACCCTGCTATAATTGCTTATTAATTCTAGGAGGGTTTTTGTTATTGTTGATTCTCTTGGGTTTTGTACATAGATGATCCTGCCATCTGTGAACAAAGACAAGTTTTATTTCTTGTCTCCATCAGTATACTTTTTATTTTTTTCTCATTTTATTTCATTAGCTGGGATTTCCAGTATGATGTTGAAAAGGAGTGGTGACAGGGGACAGCTTTGCCCTTTTCTTCACCTTAGTGGGAAAGCTAGTTTCTCACCATTAAGTATGATGTTAGCTATAGGGTTTTTTTTTTTTTGTAGGTATTTGAACACTTTTATTATTTTGATTTGACTGCAAATTATCAACATCTTATTCAGGCTTCTCCAGCTGTGAAGTTAGCAATTAGAAGTGGTTGTGATTGAAACATTATCTATAATTCAATTTTGAATTGATAATATATAAATCAATAATTTGAATTTTGCTCCCATACCAAATGGGCATGTGTATGTTTATTTGTATGCATAATAAATTGTATAGGAAAACGCTTAGAGTGAAATACCAAAATGGTTAGTATCTCCGTGTGCTAGCTAATAACAGGTCATTTTAATATGTATATTTATTTGCTACTAAGGACTAAATATATTATATTTTTGAGGGTTGTCAACCATTAAATTGTTTATCATTTGCCTGGATATAGTTTCATTATTTCTTACATTTAGTTAAGAGGCTCACATTGCTACTGTCATGGTCTATATCGACAACCAAGACAGTCTTATTGATGGAAAAGCAAGTGCATATATTATAATGAAATGTGGTGAGAACTATTGGGAATTCAACATGAAGAAGTAAATAGTCTCTCCAGGAGTGAAAAAAATTCACCATCTTAATGTGACCCTCATTTTCAAAACAAGTAAAAAATCTAGCTCTCGTACAGAGCAGTAGGATCCAATTAAATGGTAGAAAATTGCCCCTTTGTAATTTAGCACTCAAGCTCCTTCTCAGAAGTCTGGTTTATTTATGATGACAGGCACAAAGGGAAGATTCAGAGCAGTTTAAGAAAATAACTTATGTAGCACTTTTTCTAAAAGTAAGCTAACATAAAAACTCACTCGAGAATCCAAGGAAAAATGTCATCTGGTTAATGGTGGGATTATGGATGGTGGAATTTCAGGTAACATTTCTTCTTTTTTTAAATCTTTCTTTTTTTTTATTGTCTCAGTCTTGCTCTTAAATAAATCACACGGAGGTAGAAAGAGCTGGGGAGAAGTCTTTCAGATATGACGACCTGGTTTAAGCCAGTTTCCAAAGAGTATTTGGGACTTTTAGTCCAGGACTCAGGGGACACGTGGTCTGCATTATAAAACCAGCTCTGGCTTGTTGATGTCTAAAAGAAACTTGACGTGACATGAATATTTTCAGTAAGAAATCATAAGTAAACAGCAGAAATTCAAGAAGACAAAGATCAGCCCTTGGAGGAAGATGTAGATTCCAAAAAAGGAAAACCAAGATTAAAGGTGAAAGAGGGGGAAGGTAAAAAGAAGGGAAAAACACTTCACCTCCCCCGTCCCCAGCCCCGCTGTGCACACTCCCACACAAACAAGAAATGACCAAAGAAAAGACGAAAAATTGCAGCAAGATGAAATGCAATTTACTGTGAAGAGCGAGGGCTGGAGTTTAAAAGCTGTCTGATTCTACTCCATGCCATTTGTAAAATTTCCATCATTACCTTGGCTGGGAGATTTGGAAAAAGCAGCTTGTGTCTGAGAATAATTTGAAGAACATGCAGGGCTGGGGTCTTCATCCTGTGGAAGCCCCGGGGCCAAGCCACCTAGAGTAGCAGCTGTAAAGAGGGGCTCCTGCTGAGTTTCTTGGCAGCTACAGGCCCCTGCTGCCACTGCCCATGGAAGGGACAGCTAATGGTGCAGGAACTGCCGCTTGCTTAGGGCCCAACCAGGACACTTGAGAATGAATGGGGGGATCTACTAGAAATGACAATGAGATCATACATATCATGGGATAACAGACATCTAAGACTGTTTGAAGCAAACTGGAATATTTATTCAGCTGGAAAATTTCTGCACCTTCTACGGGGCTTGCCATTAGCTGCCCTGGTCTGCCCCCTTCAGACCCCCCAAAATAGTGACTGCAAATGTTGGTTGTGTCCATATGGTCTAGGACCTCTCTTGAAGATGCTCTTTAACTACAGACTTTTTTAAGGCACTAAAGGGTCTACTGAAAAGAATGAAACTCATCTTACTGATTCCATACTTCCTGTTTATCGAATAGGAAAAGTATGAGAAAAAAGTACAGGAAATAAGAAAAATGTCTGTAAGTGATTGACAGTACCCTGGGGTGGGAGTGAGGGGTGAATGTCCCCCTGACCCATGGCCCACTCTCTAGTCGTGGCTGATGTTCATTGACACCTCTTTGTTGTTAAGCCCTTTCTGTGACAAAGACTATTGTTATTGTTGGTTGACAGGTGAGGAAATGGGCTCAGGGTGTTGAGGGCTGCACAGAGCAAGTGTGGATTTGGGCATTCTGACACCAGCCAGCTACACCCCAGGCATAGCAGGCAGGAGCGACACCATGGCCATTTGTAATGCCTGGTCAGCACTGACTACTGATAGGCCACATTTACTTCTACATCCCTTTATTTCTATATCTCCTTCAGACACCATTACTTTGTCAGGGGAGCTCCACTGACGAATCAGTTCTGTCTGTTGTACTGTTCAAAATGCCCTGTGTCATGTCGTCAACACACTTACCACAGTGTGCATTTGTTTTTGTACGTTTATTTGATTGTCTCTTCTCTTGCTAGATCATAAGCTTTCTGAGGGCAGGAACCTAGTGTGCATGGGTGTGTGTGTGTGTGTGTGTGTGTGCACGCGTGTGTGTGTTTGGATGACTTTTGTATCCCTTGGACCTTAGCACTTAGTATCCCTTGGCACTTAGTAGGGATTTCATGAACATTGGCTGCACTGATGACTGAACCGGTCCCTGCTTTGGAGCTGACGTGGCTACAGGTTCCTTAGGCCATCAGCCGTCTGTTCCAAGTAGAGCTAGCTGTATGTGGTACCCTGACTGTTCTCACCAGCACTTCAGCTCATTAGCTCTTTCTGTTTCTGATGGCTAATATACATATAGAAGCGAATGCTACAAATTCAGGAGCTTATATAGTCTCCTTGAAATGAATAATTTTGCTAATGCCTTTGCCAGATCTGCATTTTGTGCTCCTCATTGCCTCCAAATACTGTCTGTTGCTGTGGTGATGATCTGTGGACTCTTGGGCTGAGTGCCAGTTGGAAGACTCTTTTTATTATTCAGAAGCCTTTTCCACAGGTTGTCTTCTGTTTGTTTGTTTGTCTCTCATTTTAGCAATGTGAATTAGAAGCTGTCTCCTTACCATCAAATGCCTCCTCTGCCGGGTATTTCTGTTAAAACAGTCAGGTCCCTTGGAGGACACAGACAAGCAGGTCCGCAGCTATAAGGTCTCAAGTAGAGAGAGCTTTGCCAGGAAGAGGTACCGAAACTCCCCTTGGACCAGGGAAGTAGGGGATCCAAGCGATACGTTACAGGAGAGGATGCATTTAGTCGGGCATGGTAGAATGCATAAAGACACAAGTAAAATGAAATTTCTTTCTCCCTAATAAGAAAAGTTTTTACTGAAAAGTGTTCCCAAAAAATGATTGTGCAATTTATTTTTCTCCCTGTAAACTTCCTGTGGAAAGACCAGCTGGGCAGAGCGATAAGCCATTTCTCATTCGGTGGGTGGTGGTGTACATGTCCATTCTTAGGTAGTGGAGCAATTTTTTCTGGTAAAAAGAAACTCCTATATTATGCAATTGCAAAGCAGCCAGGAATGTCCCTTCTTCCCAGGCCCTGCATCCTGAAATTCTACCACTTCTCAAGGCTTACTGTGAAGCTGTTGCCCTGAATGGCCTTCTCCATTACTCCTGTAAGAATCAGCCACTCCTTGTCCTCTGCTCCCAAAGAACATTTACATCTATTTCATTTGACTTTGCACTTCTGCTGCTCACATGTCCAGCCATTGCACTTGAAGGTTATCAGCCCATGAAGGGCTGATGCTGATTTCTTTGACCCCTTCTCAGTACTTTGCACAGTATAGACAATCATGTGTGTTAAAATCAACATGTGGGAGAACAGAGTAAAGGGAGTTCTTAATTCCATGGTGCTATGATGGATGGAAGCTGAGGCGAAGAAACCGGAGCCTCCTGGGCAGCGTGATAAGAAGCCGTCAAAGGGCTCCTTGGAGGGACTTAGTATGTGATACATGGCGGGGGCTGCCCTCTCCTTTCCTTTCTGGTCTGTTGTCTCTATTCAGCAGGCTTATCTCATTTTCCCCATTGTGGGGCTGGTGAGGGTCTTTGGTTCCCTGTCTTCATCTCTGTGTGGCTGGCCTTTTTTTCAACTTTTATTTTAGTTTCAGAGGATACATGTGCAGGTTTGTTACGGGGTGAATTGAGTGTCACTGAGGTTTGGTGTACGAATGATCCCATCACCCAGGTGTAGTGAGCATAATATCCAATAGGTAGTTCTTCAACCCTCGCCCCCTTCCCACCCTCCCGTCTCTAGTATCCCCAGTGTCTATTCCTATTTTTATGTCCATGTGTACTTAATGTTTAGCTGTCATTTACAAGTGAGAACATGCAGAATTTGGTTTTCTGTACTTGCAGTAATTTGCTTAGGATATTGGCCTCCGTCGATAGCCTTCTTTTAAAGAGACATTTATATAATCACATCTAAGTTTATATATATATATATATATACACACACATATATATATGTAAAATTAATTTGTCACATTAAAAAAATAACAACATGGCTGTACACAGTGGCTCATATCCGTACCTGTAATCCCAACACTTTGGGAGGCTGAGGTGGGAGGATCACTTGAGTCCAGGGGTTTGAGACCAGCCTGGGCCAATTAGCAAGACACTGTCTCTAGAAAAAATATGTAAAACATTAACCAGGAGTGGTGCTGCATGCCTGTAGTCTCAGCTACTTGGGAGGCTGAGGTGGGAGGATCAGTTGAGCCCAGTGAGCTATGACCATACCATTGCACTCCAGCCTGAGTGACAGAGTGAGACTCTGTCTCTAAAACAACAACATTAGTTTTCCTAGAGTATGCGAATTCCTTTACTGATAGATTTAATCAATTGGAAGAAAGAAAGAAAAAAGAACCAGACTCTTTCATTATAGTCAGTGAAGTCCAGCCACCTGTCTGTCAGCAGTTAAAAGATCAGTTAACAATGAATAGTTTTAATCTTATTCATTTCCTCTAATAATTCTCAAGAAAGAAGTCTCAAACCCCCTTAAATGGATTGTTGGACTTAAATGGAATGTCAACACGTACGCTAGGAATGAAATTATTTACTGGCAGAATCATTTATACATCTGTCATGTCAACAGAATTACAGATACTATTAGAAGAAGTAAATTTGAACAAAAACTATTGCACATTTTGACTAGATGAAATTATTAGGTGTCGAAAGTGAGCTTAACAGAGTAGAAAGAAAGGGTATGGCCTCTTTTAGAGATGTTGAATCCTGACTGTGAGAGGTTTCCATTCGTTGACACATTAAGAATCTTGGAGCACTGTGGAGCTCCCAGGCGCTCACCCACACTTCTTAGATCCAACTGGATTTAAGACCACGAGAAATGACAGCCATAATTACAAGAGGAAAACCCTCCAAACTAGCTTGCTTACCAGGATGAGCAACGATTTCTGCCCATAAATAGTATGCAACTGGATTTCATTTAATTTAGTTTCTACAGGAGTAGAAAGAAAAAAAAATACTGATTTTCTTTCTACAGCAATAATGGTATAGTGTTTCTTACTTACAATTATATTTCTATGGCATGCAAGATAATGCTTTTTTGATAAGGAATGCATACATCATGTGGTGCCAGACATTAGCATTCTTTATTTTTTAACATAGGATGAAATTATCATGCTTTTTTTGTTTGTTTTTTTAGAGATAGGTTCGTGCTCTGTCACCCGGATTGGAGTACAATGGCACGATCATAGCTCACTGTAACCTTGAACTCCCGGGCCCAAGCCATCCTCCTGCCTCAGCTCCTTAGTAGCTGGGACTGCAGGCACGCACCACCACACCCAGCTATTTTTAACACTTTTTATAGAGATGGGGTCTGACTTTGTTGCTCAGGCTGGTCTCAAACTCCCGAACTCAAGCGATCCTCTGCCTCAGCCTCGCAAAGTGCTGGGAATTACAGGCTTGAGCCACCTCACCCGGCCTATCATGCTACATTTTTCTTCTCTGAAAGATAAGGACTCCTAACACAGTACCTTATCATACTTAAAATAATTCATTTCTTGATATCATCAAATATCCTGTCAGTTTTCAAAATTTTGATTATCTCATAAATGCCATGATTTTTTAAAGTTTACTTTTGTAGAATCCAACCAAGGTCCACACATTACAGTTGACTATGTTCCTTAAGTCTCTTTTAATATCTAATTTCTACTTTCATCTCCTCTTCTCCCCTGTGATGTTTTTGTTAAGGAATTCAGGTCATTTTTCCTGTAGAATTTTCTAGAGTCTAAGTTTTTCTGTATCACCATGTTACACTGCTTTAATAACTATTAATGCTTATGTAAACATAATTCATATAAATGACAGTTATTTCCCTAGCCAGAGTGAGAAATACCTCCTCTTAATCAGAACAACCTCAAGCATGAGTTAAACTACCATAGCCATTTTTGCTACTGAACATCATCAGAGAATGTGAAGTTCTCCCTGTCCTCTTTCTGTTTTCCATGTGAAGAGGTTGTAGAGGTATAGGACGATTAGGTAAGAGTATGTCACTCAGCATCCACATCTGTGAGGAACAGTTGGATTTTCTTCAAAAATTATCACAAATCAACTCCTATAACCTTATGTAACTTAAACAAGTGCCAATTAAATGAGGCAGATTATTGGTTTGGGTTGTGAGGGAGGATGCTCCCATAAGAATCTTACAGTTACAAAGGGCTACTCTGTGTGACCGAGGAACTTCACTGAAGCATAAATGAATGAAGCTTTGATGGTTTAATTAAAACTAAATATGAGAGACCAAAAAAACAAATGACATAGACCTTAACCACAATAAAACTGTAATAAGCTTCACAAAAGCCTGTTCATATATTCATGAGCAGCCTTTTCAGTATCTAATTAAAATAGATTTATTACTTAAGGACTGAAATGTTTTATACAAAATGAGTTTATAGAGATCTAAATTTATGCATATAGACTCAAACCCAGCACACCTTCATGAAATATAACCATTTCAAGGAGAAAAATAGTTTGCCGTGGCGATACAGAAATTTTTACCAACAAACTAGCCTCCTATCCCATTGCCTTTTTTTTTTTTTTTTTTTTTTTCCGAGACAGAGTCTCGCTTTGTTGGCTAGGCTGGAGTGCAGTGCCATGATCTCTGCTCACTGTAACCTCCGTCTCTCGTGTTCAAGCAATTTTCCTGCCTCAGTCTCCCAAGTAGCTGGGATTACAGGTGTGTGTCACTGCACCTGGCTAATTTTTTGTATTGTTAGTAGAGACAGGGTTTCACCATTTTGGCCAGGC
Source organism: Homo sapiens (assembly GCF_000001405.40). NCBI lineage: Eukaryota > Metazoa > Chordata > Mammalia > Primates > Hominidae > Homo > Homo sapiens. Next base: position 136,734,223 of record NC_000006.12, on the reverse strand, counting down.
TGGTCTCGAACTCCTGACCTCAGGTAATCCACCTGCCTCAGCCTCCCAGAGTGCTGGGATTACGGTGAGGTGAGCTACCGCACCCAGCCCCCATTTCTATTTATAATGTATAGCATGTCCCTGTCACATAATAAACTTTACGGTTCATTTTGACTTATACATTTCTTATATACTCTTTATAGGTCATTGACCTGTTGTATTGCTGTTACCATGACATTAAAACATAAATTTTTGAATGGATAGGCAAAGTCTGGAGGATTTTTAGGGCAGAGGATTTTTAGGGTGTTATGGTCTCATACTCTGTATGATCCTATAATTATGATACTTTAGTGGTAGATACATATCATGATAAATTTATCTAAACCCAAAGAATGTACAGCATCAAGAGTGAACCCTAATGTAAACTATGGACTTTGTGTGACTATGATGTGTCAATGTAGGCTCATCAGTTGTAAAAAATGTACCACTCTGGTGGGGGATGTTGACAATGGGGGAGGCTGTGTGTGTGTGAGGGCATCAGGTATATGGGATGTCTTTGTACCTTCCTCTCAATTTTGCCATGAACCTAAAACAGCTCTAAAAAAAAAGGTTTTTTTTGTTTGTTTTTTGTTTTTTAACTTAAAGACAAAAAAAAGTTAAGGCATAAATCAGGCTCTGTTTTAACTTGGAAGGAGAATAACACTTTTTTGGGTAGGACCTATTTGTACTTTTCTAATAAGCAAAATTATGTAGGAGACTGCTATGCTCATATCAGGAAAATATCTCTTCATAAAGTACTTGGTATGCACCAGAAGATATAAACTGTGATTTACCCACTTTTTTTGTGAAGTGATATGAGGGATTCACTTGAAGACAACCCAGTGACAGTATTTGCAGGGCTCCCTCAATAGCACTTACTAAACCATCATCGAATGCTGTGTGCTTGAAGCTGGACGTGGTGGCTTATGCCTGTAATCCCAGTACTTTAGGAGGCCAAGAAAGGAGGACTGGTTGAGACCAGGAGTTCAAGACCAGCCTGAAACATAGTGAGACACTGTATCTACAAAAAATAAATAGAATTAGCTGGGCATAGTGGTGCATGCCTATAGTCCTAGGTACTTGAGAACTGAGGTGGGAGGATCGCTTGAGCCCAGGAGGTCGAGGATGCAGTGAGCCGTGATTATGCCACTGTACTTCAGCCTGGGTAACAGAGCAAGACCCTGTCTCAAAAAAGAAAAAGTACTATGTGCTTGAAAGTGGATTTTTTGTTAGTCCAGTCCATTTTGTGACCAAGAACATTCATTTGTAAGATTGGGATTTTAATGTCTATTTAAGGCTTTTGCCTGTGGCCACTAAGCAGAATAAAGTTCAAATCTAGTCTAGATCTTCCCTCTTTTCATATTTTCCTTTACCTCTATTGTAGGCAGATAAGAGTTCAAAAAATGGTGTTTTTGATGCTTAGGAGGCTTACATCTTGCTTCTGTTGCTGTAGTTGTAAGCGTTGTTACTATCACAAGTAAAAGGAATGCTAAAATGAATTCCTTTTAGTGAAAAAGAAGACAAATTGGCGTCACGACATGCAGAAGCTCAGGTGGTGCTACTTTCAGGCACATTTCCAGTGATGTCACTCAGGCGTGTTTCAGCTGTCCCTGGAGAGGGCTTTCCTTTCTGTTGGCTACCAGCTGTCTATCAGCAAGTCACTACCTGAAGTGAAGGAGGAGATCGGTGTTCTTCCTTTCACCTCATCACTTCCTTGTCTTTGCCATTAATTACTTCCCTCCTTGTTTTCTTTTTGTTTGTTTGTTTGTTTTGTTTTGTTTGAGACGGAGCCTCGCTCTGTCACCCAGGCTGGAGTGGAGTGCTATGATCTCAGCTCACTGCAACTTCCACTTCCCGGGTTCAAGTGATTCTTCAGCCTCAGCCTCCCTAGTGGCTGGGACTACAAGCGCCCGCCACTGTGCCTGGCTAGTTTTTGTATTTTTGGTAGAGACGGTATTTCACCATGTTGGTCAGGCTGGTCTCGAACTCCTGACCTCGAGTGATTTGCCTGCCTCAGCCTCCCAAAGTGCTGGGATTACAGACGTGAGCCACTGCGCCTGGTACTTCTCTCCTTCTTACCTTTAAAGTATCCCTTTTCCCCCATGGTTGACTTTTCTCCTCTGTCATAGAACCCAACCCATCTGTCTCATCTGAAAATACAGAGATCGCCTCCATTAATTAGCACTCCCTTTAAAATCTTTCTCTTTTTTTCTTCTTTCAGCTTGACTTCAAAAATGCGTACAATCTCCACTTGTTCTAATAATGTTCAAGTACACCATTCTAACACTAAAAGCTTTTAGATCTTTCTGTCCCATTAAAGTATTGTCTGATCTCTTGCTTTCCTTACTGATTGTAAAGGTGCCTACCATGGACCTTGGAAAACGTTTATCACCTTTTGTTCTTTGCCAGTCTTTGGAGAATCCTTTGGGCTCATTCCCTCCATTTCCTCATCTTGTATTCAGCACCTTTTGTTCTGTTGTACTTACCTTCGTTATCATGCAGCTTCTTTATAATCCTTGTGGTAAGCTAAAATTTGTCCCTCACCTCCCCTGCCACCCTAATATCTATGTCAGAACTGGAACATGTGCATGGTACCTTATTTGGAAAACGAGTCTTTGCAGATATGATGAAGTGAAGGATCTTGAGATAAGATAATCCTGGATCATCTGGGTGTGTCCTAAATGCCATCACAAGTGTCCTTGTAAAAGAGGCAGAGGGCGATTTGACACCACATGCATACACATCACAAGCCAAGGAGTGCCGAAAACTTAGAATCTTGAAGGGGCAAGGAACTGATTATCTTCTAGAGCACTGCCTACACCTTGATTTTGGACTTCTGGCCTCTAGAACTGTGAAAGAAGACATTTCTGCTGTTTTAAGGCATCAAGCTTGTAATAATTAGTTACAATGGCACAGGAAACTAATGCAATTCTCTTTTAACATTCTGGGCAAAATGATCGGTTAGAAATGAGTTAATTTTCACAAGGCAAACATGCCAGAGTAACCAGCACCTAGATCAAGAAGTAGAACTTTACCAGCACCCCAGAAGACCCCTTCAAGCCCCCTTTAGCCATGGCCCATCCTCTCCAAGGCGTGCGCCATTGTGACTTTTAATATTGCAGAATCACACGGTGCCTAGTCCTTTGTATCTGGATTCCTCCTCCCAAGAATGCATTTGTGAGATTCATCCATGTTGTCACGTGTGGTTGTAGATTTTTCATGCTCATTACTGTATAGTATCCATTGTTTCTACATAGCATGCTTTTTAATTTCTTCTGCTGTTAATGGTTTACAAATAGTATGGCTATGAACATTCATTACATGAGCACATATCTGTGTTTCTATTGGGTATATAATGAGGAGGGGAATTCCTGAGTCCAGGAAGCCTCATTTCTTTCTGTACTCTAAGTTGACAACCTCATCTACATTCACTGTTTCAGTGGTCACCCATTGCTGTGACTCTTTTTTTTTTTTTTTTTTTTTTGAGGCAGAGTTTCACTCTATCTCCCAGGCTGGAGTACAGTGGCGCCATCTTGGCTCACTGCAAGCTCTGCCTCCTGGGTTCACGCCATTCTCCTGCCTCAGCCTCCTGAGTAGCTGGGACTACAGGCATCTGCCACCACGCCTGGCTAATTTTTTTGTGTTTTTAGTGGAGACGGGGTTTTACTGTGTTAGCCAGGATGGTCTCGATCTCCTGACCTCGTGATCTACCCGCCTCTGCCTGCCAGAGTGCTGGGATTACAGGCGTGAGTCACCGTGCCCAGCCTGCTGTTATTCTTAGATCTTTCTGTTTTTTATCTCTCTGCTGAGGTTCAAAAGGACTGCTATCAGTAATATATTCACTCCCACTCCCCAATTTAGTGTGTTCCAATATGAACTCAAGCTCCTATCAAAAAAAAAAAAAGTTTGGCCAGTTGTGGTGGCTCACACCTGTTATCCCAGCACTTGGGAGGCCTAGGCGGGTGGCTCACTTGAGCCCAGGAGTTTGAGACCAGCTTGGTCGACATAGTGAGACCTTGTTTCTACAAAAACAAAAAACAAAAAAAAAAAAACAACCAAACAACAAAAAAACAGGTATGGTGGCGTGTACTTGTGGTCTCAGTTACTCAGGAGGCTGAGGTAGGAGGATTGCTTCAGCCCAGTAGTTGGAGGCTGCAGTGAGCCGTGATTGCATCACTGCACTCCAGCCTGGAAGACAGAGTGAGACCCTGTCTCAGAAAATACCACAAAACCTCCCTTGTGTCCTTTACTATGTTAATGGCAAATCATTATCCTTAATTATGACGTTCAAAGCAGAAACGTCTTTAATTCTTTCTTTGCCTGTAGCCACCAAGTCCCTGAATCCTGTTGAGTTTCCCCACATGTTGTCTGTGTTAGTTGAGGGACACGCTCTCTCGGATGACTCCCACACAATCTCCCAGCCCCCGGTCTGTGTAGTCTATCATCCATCTACAGATTCTAGCTTTATCTTTCCAAAGCGAAGCTTAGATCCTGACATACCTCTTCTCAAACCTCATGGACATGGATGGATCCATCCATTGATTATAGGATCAAGTCAAAATTCTTTATGTTGGCTTTCTATGTTTTCATAAGTTTGCCTTCAATATCATTTCTATGAGAAATTACTCAAAGCTTTATCAGGAGGTGTTGAGTTGTATAATAGCATTGTCTTCGATCACATTTTAATGATACATTGCTCAAAGGGTCTCCTCTGGGCATTTCTTGTCCCGGCTCTATGTGATTACCATTCATGGTGAGTTTACTGTGCCTAGCACACATGTAATCCTTATAGCAGTTTTGTGCAGTAAATACCTAGGTTGTTATTCCCAATTTATAGTTGAAGAAACCACAGCTCAGAGAGTTCGAGGTATTGTCTGACGTCATCCATCCAGAAACACAACTGGGATTCAAACACTGGAAGTCAAAGAACAGCTTGTCTGTTATTTACATGCTCATTACTCTTCTGGAGATGAGAGTGTTTCCTTTCCAGCTCTTCAGCTCTGTAGAGTGCTTTACTGAGGCTGTGTGTCCTCCTGGCATTGAGCTGTGGCTCTAGGTCCTGACCTTCTGGTCTGGTCACCTCCGAAGGATGTGTGCTTTCTCTGCCTTCACATTCTCTAAAGCTGAGCTCTTGCAGCTATTGCCTGGGTAAGGGGTCTTTAGTTATTATAACACCCATCTTAGTTTTGCACCCTCCTCTGTCTCTGTTTCACTCCTCCTTCCTCTCCCTTTTTTTCTGTTCTGTCCCTCCCTCCACACTAGGTTTCTCCCTTTTCCTCTCTTCCCTTTCCTTTTGTAAGTGTAGTGGCTCTCAACTCTTTTTAAGGCCAACCTCTGGAAGTGCAAAATATCCCTCTGATTACCTCCCTACCAGCCCTCACTTAGCAGATTAACAACAACAACAGAAAGCCAGCAAAACACTTGAGTGTAATACAATGTCACCAAATAAGAAAATTAGGGCTGGGTTGGGGAGGTTAGGAATAATTTGCTTTGGCAATATGAGAATGATTTATGTTTGAATCACCATGCATACATTTATTAGAGTTTAGTGATGAGGAAATCATGGACCAGAATATACTGTTGATATATATTTGCATCATTTTACATGGTATAATTAACCAAATAACACACAAGAAATTAAAGGGAGGCTGATGAAGCTAAAAGAGTAGTCATTTATAGTAGGGATTGCCCAACTGTGACCAGTTCAAGACCTTGATGATAGATGATTCTTATGTCCTTCTTGAAAATTTCAACATTCCTAGCTGTATAACAGGACTTTTGCAGTTTCCCGATGTTATCTACTTGCCAAACTTTAGAAAACTGACTTGGAGTCTTTAGGAGACTCTAACAGGACATGACTTTTAGGTCAAATTTCAGAAAATACCAATTAACATCTTCCCTCAACTCTTCTCTTCACAAGCAGCAGCAACTCATGTGAGATATTTAACTAACAGATACCTTATTATGAAGGGAAAATTCAATTTAAAAACCCCACAGACTACCAGCCACTGCCATTCGATGACCAAAATGCAATTAAGCTTAATAGCTTAATGTTATTACCCTAAAAATTTTATTATGCTTTAACAAACCCCTGATAAACCTTGTGTTATCCTCCACTTAACATTAACTCAGTCAGAACAAGGAAACAAATTATACCTTAGGTAAAAATGTAGGAGATTTTTGTGTCTTTGTCTATACTTTTAAATGACTAACTTTCTTAAATTTCTTTTTTTTTTTTTTCTTTGAGGCGGAGTCTCGCTCTGTCGCCCAGGCTGGAGTGCAATGGTGCTATCTCTGCTCACTGCAAGCTGCGCCTCCTGGGTTCACCCCATTCTCCTGCCTCAGCCTCCCGAGTAGCTGGGACTACAGGCACCTGCCACCACGCCCGGCTAATTTTTTTTGTATTTTTAGTAGAGACGGGGTTTCACCGTGTTAGCCAGGATGGTCTCGATCTCCTGACCTTGTGGTCCGCCCGCCTTGGCCTCCCAAAGTGCTGGGATTACAGGTGTGAGCCACTGCGCCTGGCCCTAACTTTCTTAAATTTCTAAATGTGGCAGTTTTACTCACAGTATTATTACAACAACTCAATTAGATAATTATTAAGTGCATTTACTCATGAAATATACAATAAGACTGGTATGATTTGATCCCCAAATCTATTTTCACATCTCACTTGTGTTCTGAACTTGTGAATTTCTGTCTCCTGTAAGTTTAGGAAGTGAGTCAGTGAAGAGTTAAAAGAGCTTGGACTCTAGAGCTGGATTGCTTGGGTTTGAATTCTGGTGGCAACACTTTCTAGCTGATCTTTGGCAGATACATTCTCTGCTTCAGTGTCCTGAAATAATACTACCAATCACAAAGGGGTATTAGGAAGATTGAGTTAATATTTGAAAAGCATATACTGTCTGACACATAGTAAGTACTGAATATATGTTTATAAAATGAAATGGATAAACTGTTCCTCCTATAAATGGGGCTCAGGAATTCTTGAGTATCAAGTGTTTGTTTAATTTATTATAATTACATCTTAATTTGTATTTTTAATATGTCTTAGGATCATTTCACAAGGAAGATAATTTTCACCTGTTTATTTTACTACTTTTGAGAAGGTACCCAGCAGAGTCAGAAAGTAGCCACAGATAATGTTTTCTTTAGTTAGGTAATGAAATATTACTGTTTAAACAGTGCTGTGTTACTGGAAGTCCTAGCGAGTATAACAAGGCAAAAACAAACAAAAAACAAAAGGCATACAAATCGGAAGGGAAAAAACAAAATCCCTTCTAGTTGCAGATTACGTGACTGTCCATGTAAAATAATACATATAAAATAATATATATGAAAAAAGCTTCTAGAAGTTATAACTGAGTTCAGTTAAATTTCAGGATACAAGATCAATCTACAAAAATTATTGTATTTTTATATGCTAGCAATGAGCAATTGTGATTTGAAATTTTTAAAAACAGTACTATCTATAGTAGCACCAAAAAGAGAAAACATTTAGGTATAAATTTAACAAACTATGTGCAGGATCTACATGTTGAAAATTATGAAATACTAATTAAAAAACGACGGCCTAAGTAAGTGGAGAGATATTCCGTATTCTTTTTTTTTTTGAGGCAGAGTCTTGCTCTGTCACCCAGGCTGGAGTGCAGTCATGTGATCTTGGCTCACTGCAGCCTCTGCCTCCAAGGTTCAAGTGATGCTTGTGCCTCAGCCTCCCAAGTAGCTGGGATTATAGGCATGTGCCACCGTACCTGGCTAATTTTTGTATTTTTAGTAGAGACAGGGTTTCACCATGTTGGCCAGGCTGGTCTCAAACTCCTGGCCTCAAGTGAGCCACCTGCTTTGGCCTCCCAAAGTGTTGAGATTACAGGTGAGATATTCTATATTCATGGATTGAAAGACTCAATATTGTTAAGATGTCAGTTCTTTCTAAAGTGATTTTTTAGATGCAACACAATTCCAATCAAAATCCCAGGATTTTTTGGTAGCTATCAATTGATAGATATCAACAGCCAGCTGATTCTCAAATTTACGTAGGAAAGCAAAGAGAACAACTAAAACAGCCAAAACAAATTTGAAAACAGAATAGAGTTGAAAACCAGAATAGAGTTGACCTACCTGATTTTAGTAGCTACCTTAAAGCTGCAGCAGTCCAAACAATTGTTGTGTTGACAAAAGATAAACACATAGATTAATGAAATAAAACAGAGAATCCAGAAGAAAACCCACCAAAGTGTAGCCAGTTAATGTTTGATGAAAATGCAGAGGCAATTCAATGGAGAAAGGACAGTCTTTACAGCAAATATGAATCTTGACCCATGCCTCACACCATATACAAAAATCAACTCTAAATGGTTCATAGACTTAAATTTAACATAAAGCTATAAAACTTCTAGAAGAAACCATAAAAGAAAACTTTTGTGACCTTGGGTTACGCAAAGATTTTTTTCAATACCACACCTGAAGCACAATCCATTAAATAAAAAGTTGATGAACTGGACTTAATTAAATTTAAATTCTCTTGTAAAGACACACTTAAGAGAATGAAAAGACAAGTCATTATCTGACAGTATCTGCAAATTGCATATCTGACAGAGGAACAATATTCAGAAAATATAAAGAACATTCAAACCTCAACAATAAGAAAACAAACTCAACAATAATTTTTAAATGGGCAAAAGCATTGAGTACTTAACCAAATAAGATATACAGATAGCAAATAAGCACATGAAAAGATGCTCAACCTCATTAGTCATTAGGGAAATACAAATTAAAACCATAACGAAGTACCACTACATACCTATTAGACTGGCTTTAGAAGAAAAACGGACAATACCAAGCGCTGACAAAGATGTTGGACAGCTGAGATGCTCCTCATACTTTGCTGGCGGGAATGCAAAATGTTTGAGTCACTTTGGGAGAGCTTGGCATTTTCTTATTAAGGTAAACATACCCTTACCTATGACCCAGTAATCCTACTCCTAGGTCTTTACTCAAGACAAATGAAAGCATGTGTCTATATAAAGACTTGTACATGAATAGCAACTTTATTCAAAATTGCTCAACCTGGAGACAACCTGAATGTCCTCAAACCTGTGAATGGACATCTATGGATGAATCTCACATGCATTTTGCTAAGTCAAAGAAGCCAAACCCAAAAGGCTACATACTGTATGATTCCATTTATATGACATTCTGGGAAAGGTAAAACTTTAGGGACAGTAAATAAATCAGTGGTTGCCAGGGACTGGGATTTGGGGTGTGGGGAAGACTAACCTCAAAAGGGCAGCATGAGGGAGATTTTTGGAGTGAAGGATCTATTTTGTATCATGACTATGGTGGTATGTACGCATTTTTCAAAGCCCATTAGACTGTACATCAGAGACAAAGAGAATGAATTTTGCTCTATGACAATTAAAAAGTAAATTTAGGAAAGAATAGAAATGTCTTAGAACAAGTCACTTATTTGAATTTGAAATAGAAAAAAGCCAACCTTTTTCTGAGTTACCATACTGTATTACTGTATTTTAAAATTATACCAATAAGCACCTTTCAGTGTTCTTTATAGCATCCAGAAATGGATCTGTTCCTGTTTAGATGTTTAGAGGTAATAAATATACCTTACTTTGCTTGCACCATTTATTTTAAATGTCTAGGCTGGGCACAGTGGCTCATGCTTGTTATCCCAGCACTTTGGGAGGCTGAGGTGGGCAGATTACCTGAGGCCAGGAGTTCAAGACCAGCCTGGCCAACATGGCGAAACCCCATCTCTACTAAAAATACAAAAATTAGCTGGATGTGGTGGTGCACCCTGTAATCCCAGCTACTTGGGAGGCTGAGGTAGGAGAAACACTTGAACCCGGGTGGTGGAGGTTGCAGTGAGCTGAGGTTGTGCCCCTGCACTCCAGCCTGGGAGACAGAGTAAGACTCCATCTCAAAAAAAAAAAAAAAAAAGTCAGTTTCTCTCTTAATCCGAAAACTTTCTGCAGTGTTTTTATTTTATTTTAGCATCTAATTCCACATGTCAGTTCTCTGGAAAAATTTATCCCCTCCTTTCATTACTTTAACTTAGCTAGTATTTTTCTTTGCATGTCTCTTATTTTTCATCAGTAAGTGTTTTATTTGGTTTCTTCCAGCCCCACGTTACACAGCTTCTTGATTTTAAAGCAATGTGATTGACTGCTGAGTGGCTGGCACCTGTGGGAGGAGGAAGCTGTGTGGGTGCAGGAGGCAGCTGGGCTGTGTGGGTAGGATGCAATGACTCACTTTTGTCATGTGTTGATTTTTGATGCAGAAATGTTGAGGACCCCAAAAGAAAACTCTTTATTTGTATTAAAGAGCCCTTAAGTCATTTTTAGCCTTGAGGGGGGAAAAAAAACTTCTGAAGCTCCTTTGACCTGTCTTCCCATTTCATAAACTTCTGTGTCTTTTACCTCCATTTCATCTGATTGATTTCTCATTCACCAAAGTTTAATGCTAATTTCATGCTCATTAGACAAGGTGGACTTTGCACCAAACAGCTTCTCAAGCATCTGCAGTATTTTTATGTGCTGCACTTTGGTTTTATATTCCATCACACAGGTCTTGAATGTTGTTCATTTTATATTTTGATAGATTCCTAAATTGTGAAAGTAATCAATGTTCATAATAGAAATCGTGGGAAATATAGAAGATATAAAATAGAAAAATAAAATAATTCATAATCCCTATAACACAGCTATTACCAACAAAAGTTGGTGTACAACTTTTCAGGTATTTTTTATGCACATGGATATATACATGAATGTAAACATCATAATGCACTCATTATAATGTATACATTATATTTTTAATGTATATGCTATACCTGGCAGTATGTATATTATATTTTACTTTTTATTTTTACTTGATATAGTTTGGATTTATCCCCTGTTGCTAAGTCTTATTCTACTTTTTTCTTTTTCTTTGGTTTCATGATATCCCATTATTTGAAATTATTATATACATATATATCATTATTACATATATACACATACACACGTATATAAACATTTTCTTACTGATAGGTATTTAGACATTTTCCATTATTTTATTGTAAAAAAATATTTTTTCAATGGACGGGTAAATCTATTCACATTTATAATAATTTTCTCAGAGTAAATTCCAAGGAATGGAATTATTGGGTCAGAGTGTACATAATTTTTAGGATTTAAGCCTTCTAGAAAGTTTACACTTGGCTGGGGTGTGGTGGCTCATGCCTGTAATCCCAGCACTTTAGGTGGCTGAGGCAGAAGGATTGCTTGAGGTCAGGAGTTTGAGACCAGCCCGTGCAGCATAGTGATACCTGTGTTTACAAAAAATTTTAAAAAATTAGCCAGGCATGGTGACACATGCCTGTAGTCCCAGCTACTCAGGAGGCTGAGGCTGAAGGATCGCTTGAGCCCAGAATTTTGAGGCTGTGCATATATAGTGAGCTATGATTTTGTCACTGCACTCTAGTATGGGCAACAAACTGAGAACTGTCTGCCTTAAAAAAAAAAAAAAAAAAAGGAAAAAAAAAAGAAAAGAAAGTTTACACTTCCCACAGCATAAAAGAGTGTCATTTCTCTGCATTTTCATTGACTCCTTTACTTTGCCCACTTCTTAGGCAAAACAATTGGCATTTTATAGTTGGTTTAATGTGCATTTATTAGAAGCAAGATGGAGAGTAATTTCTCATATATTTATTTACCATTTTAAATTTCCATGAATTTGCTTGTTGATGTCTATAGCATGATTGTCTAATGTAATGTTTTTATCATTGCTGAGTTATTTTAAATTGATCATAAGAGATGATTTATAAAGATATTAACCTTTCATCTCTCACATATTGCATATATTTTTAAGAAATTATCTTCTTTTAAATTTGTTATATATTAACATTTTCATTGTAATTATGAATGGCTTCTGTTTTATATTTCCTAAATGTTTATTGCAATTGCAAAGGAAGCTCTTTGTTTTCATAATAGTTTTGCATCTTGATGCCTTACTAAATTGTATTATTACTTCTAATAGCTATTCAGCTAAGTCTGTTGGGGTATTTGGTTGACATCCACAACATCTGCAAATAGAGATAATTATCTATTTTATTTTCTAGAATTATATCTTCTTACTTTCTAGAAATCTTATTGCAGTGGCTGGGATTTTCAGAAAGCCATTATATAGTAAGTTGTGGGAATAGATGACAGCCTTTATTTCTGATTTTCATGGGAATACCTAGATGCACAAAGTTGGAAGTTGTTATGAAACATATATTCTCTATGTTAAGGAAATGCCCTTATATTTTTAATTTGAAGTTATTATTTTTTAATTTAAAATTTTTATTCTTCTTAGAGCTAGGGGTCTTGCTCTGTTGCCCAGGCTGGCCTCAAACTCCTGGCCTCAGGTGATACTCTCAACTCAGCCTCCTGAGTAGCTGAGATTACAGGTGCGTGCCACTGTGCCCAGCTCAGCAATTATTTTTAATGAGAAATGGATTGAGAATTTTAATTAATGTACTTGGAGCATGTTCGAGATGCTGATGAGTTTTTTCCATTGAGCTATCCTTGCATTCTGCAAATAAATTTTAAACTCACGATCTAGGTCTTATAACACTTGGTACATTTTGTTAGTTTTTCTTTCATATTTTTGTTTATAGCCATAAAGGAGTTTTAGACTAATCTAAATTTCGTTTTTGTGACATTGTCAAATTTTGATATCAAATTTCTACTACCTTGTTACTGGTCATCTTTGAGCCTTGGATGGATTTGCATCTGTGGTTATATTCCCCTTTGTTATATTTTCTATACCTTTTTTCTCTCTTTTGTTCTTGATTATACTTACCAGGGACTTACTAGATATCAGTTATTTAACTCTAAAACCCAGTTCTGGATTAACTAATAAGCTTACCTATTTATTTTTTAAAAATCTCGTTTTATATATGTTACTGCTATTTTTTAATGAATCTGTTTTTTTTTTTTTAATTTCCTTATTTGGAACCTTAGTTAACGTGTTTTAATGTTGAAATTTATGAGAGAGCATTAGCCCCTGCTTCCCACCGTTGCAAATTCTCCTCGGTTTCCAGTAATCACATGATCTCCTTCTTCTTTAAAAAAAATGCAGGTTTGGGCCAGGCATGGTGGCTCACACCTGTAATCCCAGCATTTTGGAAAGCCGAGGCAGGAGGATTATTTGAGGCCGGGAGTTTGAGTTCAACCTGGGAAACATAGGAAGACCCTGTCTCTAAAAAAATTTTTTAATTAGCTGGGCGTGATGCCACATGCCTGTAGTCCCAGTTACTAGGGAGACTGAGGTGGGAGGATCATTTGAGCCTAGGAGTTCAAGGCTGCAGTCAGCCATGATCATGTCACTGTACTCCAGTCTGGGTGACAGAGCAAGACCTTGTCTCTTAAAAACAGAAAAAGGAGGTTTGTTACATTTTATAAAACCACTTCCAGGTAGAGCTGCAAATTCAAAATTCAGTGATAAATGAAGAGAGAAAATCCCTATCGTTTCCTTATTTCCTCTTTTGAATACTAAGATAATTCAAACCAAAATGTGCTGATTGGGCATTATTTGGGTGTCATTCTTTGGGGGACTTTGTTTTCTGTTTGCAGATATTGCGGTGGTGGAGATGAGCGATGCCTTCCGGCAGCCGTCCTTGTTTTACCACCTTGGGGTGAGAGAAAGTTTCAGCATGGCCAACAACATCATCCTCTACTGTGATACTAACTCGGACTCTCTGCAGTCACTGAAGGTACCTCCCTTGTTTACTGAATGTTTCATTTTAACATCAGCATTTCAGGGATACCGGTTTGTCATCCAAACATTTTAAGTAGCTTTTATTTGTGAAAGACTTTTATATGTTTGGTTAGTATGCATCAATTACTTGTCAAATTGGGAGGTTTATCGAGAATTCACTGTAGAAATTTGATGACACGAGTAGGAAAAAAGTTCACACTGAGTTCTGAGTTTCAGTCATGGTTGTAGCGGAGGAGACTGTGTTAATAGGAAGTCATTAGCGCCGACGTGGAGAAGGGAGATTGCATAAGGTATGGTCAAGCCTCCATGCTTTGTCACTTTTGGGAGCTTCATGGTGCCCACCAGTCTCCCAACTAAAAGTACACTTCCTACTTGAAAGTGCTCTGAGAAATTCTGAGTATACCCAAATAGTTGCCTTCCTCTTTCACTAGGGTATGATTTAAACTAAGATGGGAGAAAAGGAGGAGAAACTTACTATGTTTGTCTACAAAATTCAACCTGTCTCGATGTCATTCTCTCCAGTAATAGGAGCTTACTGCTATAAAGGCATTTCCTCCATCCAAAGAAGTTTGCCTAAAATGCTTTTTGCAAGGCCAAGTGATTTTACACTGTGTGATTCTTTGAAAAGCATCCCACAGTTCAGTGAATCGCATGCTGAGCTTGCCATCATCCATTTCCTTTGTGAAACTTCCAGCTAGCTTCATGTGGCTTTTTCTCAGCTCTGTCTTCCAGTTCCCAAATCTGAGCCAACCTTGGGACATTGAGCTCTAGAATCCTTAACCATATTACTAATGACTTAGCAATTGTTATATGAGTATCTCTAACCCATATTTCATGCAAAAAAGTCAGTAGTATTTTGCATTCTGAGTATTTAAAGCATGTGTGGCTTTCTTTGAGAAATCTGCAGAACTTCATTGAGCAAACATACCTACTACATGCCAGGCATTGTGCTGGTGATTGACAGGTATATCCCTTTCCAGAATACTCTGAAACAGTTCTAAGAGATTTGCCCCTACTTGTCCTAAGTCTGTTTTTTTATCCTAGAGCAATCCTTTACCTGGAGCAATCCTTAAGCCCCTCCTTAATTTTCCTCCAGATTTACCCCTTTAATTAGTACATCATAAAATGTTGTAACTCATTTTTAATTAGACATTTTGATTTGCTGCTATTTGCAACCCATATTAGCATTTGATGAAGGAATTATTTTATTTAGCTCTTTTCATTTTTCTTTGGGTTAAGTTTATGTATGTATGTATTTATTTATTTATTTAGACAGGATCTCGCTCTCTCACCCAGGCTGGAATGCAGTGTCGTGATCACAGCTCACTGCAGCCATGACCTCCTGCGTTCAAGTGATCCTCCCTCCTCAGCCTCCTGAGTAGCTGGGACTACAGATGCATGCTACCTCACCCAGCTAATTTTTCTCTTTTTTGTAGAGATGGGGTTTTGCCATGTTGCCCAGGCTGGTCTTGAACTCCTGGGTTCAAGCGATTCTCCCACCTTGGCCTCCCAAAGGGTTGGGATTATAGGTGTGAGCTGCCACACCTAGATCACCTAGATAGATTAAGTTTATTTAAGCAGGCCCTATTATGTTGGAGATTTTTTACTTTCTACATTTTTTTGCTCTTGCTCCTGCTAGTATCTGGTGGTTTAATTTTGTGCCCATTCTTTCCTAGGGAAGTATTTTTAAATGAAGCAAACTTACATTTGAGAGAAAGAGATAAAGCTAATCTTACCACACATATGTCCGGGACAAATAAACTGGCTTATTGTTTTAAGCTAGCCTTTGTCTAGGAGTGTTATTGGCATTTGATTGAAGTAGTTCCTTAAAAAGGCTAATGATGTCTAAACTGTGCTCATTTATCTTGTACATATTATCTGCTTCTTATTGAGTATTCACTATGTGCTAGGTACCAAGTGCTTTATCTGCATACATTTTCAAATTCTTAAAGGAGAGGCTGGGTGTGGTAATCCCAGCACTTTGCGGAGCTGAGGCAGTTGGATCACTTGAGGCCAGGAGTTCAAGACCAGCCTGGCCAACGTGGTGAAACCTTGTCTCTACTAAATACAAAAATTAGCCAGGTGTGGCAGCACATGCCTGTAATCCCAGCTACTTGGGAGGCATGAGAATCTCTTGAACCCAGGAGGCAGAGGTTGCAGTAAGCTGAGATCACACCACTGCACTCCAGCCTGGGCGACACAGCAAGACCCTGTCTCAAAAAAATCACAAAACAAAGAATAATAATAATAATAATTCTTAAAAGAGCTCTGTAAGATGTATTTTCTATTAGCATTTTTTTAGTATCACAAACCGAAGCTCAAAGAAATTCAATCATTTGCCTAAGGTGATATAGCTAGGAAAATTTGGGATTACGACTGCCTGACTCCAAAGCCTGTTGCCCTTGACTGCTAAGCATTATTGTTAGTTACTTCTAGTTAAAATTATATCATATATTCCTGCTGAGTGTGTTCATTTAGAAAAGCCTATCAGCTATGCCTCCTGAGTTTTCCTAGGTAACATCCTTCTTTTTTTCTTTTCCCTTCTCCTTTCTATTAACTTAAACTTTTGCTGTTTTCTTATTTAGACTATTCCTAGCCTGGTAGGTCATGTGTCTGGTTGCAGAGGACAGAAATATCTGGGATAGGAAGCATATTTGGCAGTCTAGCAATTTCCTCTGAGTCCTGAAAGTTCCTCAGGTCCTATGCTACCGAAAAGAGTTGGTGTGTGTGTGTATTTTTAGTTTTATTCATTTCTGGTCAATTAGTTAAAGATGTAACCCTTATTCCTGCCATTGACCAACAGATAGGAAAACTGCCATGAAAGAAGCAGAACAAGAGATATTTAAAATAATATATCATGTAAGGATTAGCCAAGTGAAATAAAAACAAAGCATTTCTCTGTTTTCACAGGGCAAAGACAGTTTTAGAATGCTATTCTTGTCATATGTTTAGTTTCACTTAGGTTGATTCTTTGGCCATCTAGAAAGTACAGCTGCACAAGTTTTATTTTAATCTGCTGCTCTTTGTTGAAGACTGCAGTTTCTCTTTGGTGGCAAATTCTCAGGAAGAAATCGTAGAAAAAAATTTTTTTTTGTTTTAATTTAAGCTCCTGGAAAAGTAATGGGAGCTATGAAAGTACTTTAAAAATCTATGTCTGAAGTATCATTTGAAAGGATATTTAGAATCTAGTCATAGCATTTAATTGTAATAAGATTTATATCCATTGTTTTAAATCACAAGTACTATTTTGTTGTACTAAGAATGAAAAATTTTAGTATTTTTTTCAAGAGAAGATGATCATTACACTTTGAGAGAAGGAAGTTGATTTTTTCTTTTTTTTTTTGCTTTTTTAGTGCAATGGAGCAATCTCAGCTCACTGCAACCTCCGCCTCCAGAGTAGCTGGGATTATAGGCACGTGCCACCATGCCTGGCTAATTTTTATATTTTTAGTAGAGATGGGGTTTCACCATGTTGGCCAGGCTGGTCTTGAACTCCTGACCTCAAGTAATCTGCCCACCTCGGCCCCCCAAAGTGCTGGGATCACAGGCGTGAGCCACTGTGCCTGGCCAATTCTTTTTATTTTCTTTAGCATTGTAACAACACTTTTATTTTTTACAATTTTCTTTAAGTCTCATGAGAATTTCTCTCGTGCCTACTAATGTTTATTGAGAGAATATCTGTGCCAATATTTACATTGGTTTAAAATAAGAAATGCTAGTAACAATTATTTTCTGATTTATTTCATGCATTATGAAATGATCATACTTCCACTTGGGGTCTCTCAGTAAGTGGTGAGTAAGTCTGGACACTCCTGGTCAATGAGCTGTGGTGCAGATGCATTAAACACCTCTGATGACTTAGGAGAAATGAACCTGTTTTGTGTAGAGTGAGGAAGTTGTTTTAATGAACCATCTCTTATCACTAGAAATTCCTTTATAACACCAGCTCTCAGCTTATCTTCTTGTGATCCTTTCCTCCACTCCCTTCCTCAGCTCCTCTATGTTCTGGGCCACTCCCCACTCACTTTAAACAATGCTACTTTTAAAGGAAGCAAAACAACAGGATGAAACATGACTGCACGTGCCAGATAGTTGAGAATTAAAAGCTCTTATACTACAGATGGCCAGATTGTGGAGAGTGGGAAACCTACACACTGCTGGTGGGAGAGATACTACCTTCTGAAGCGCAATTTGGGAATATTTAATAATATCAAATGAGCATATCACCAAGACTTAGTCATTCCAACCCTAAATGTATACTGTAAAAAAAGTCTCTTGCATGCATAAGGAGATATAATCAAGAATGTTTATGTTAACATGTTTATAATAGCTCCTCCTCCCAAGGAAATGGAGAATTAATAGATACCTTCAGCTGTAATTTTTTTTTTTTTTTTTTTTTTTTTTTTTTTTTTTTTTTGAGACGATCTTGCTTTGTCACCCGGGCTGGAGTGCAGTGGTGCTATCCCGGCTCACTGCAACCTCCACCTCCTGGGTTCAAGCAATTCTCCTGTCTCAGCCTCCCTAGTAGCTGGGATTACAGGCTCCCGCCACCACGCCCAGCTGATTTTTGTATTTTAGTAGAGACGGGGTTTCGCCATGTTGGCCAGGCTGATATCAAACTCCTGATCTCAAGCAATCCGCCCCCGTTGGCCTCCCAAAGTGCTGGGATTACAGGTGTGAACCACCATGCCCAGCCAGCTATAATCATTTAATGGAATATTATAGAGCACTTAAAACAAATCAGTTAGTGCTTCAGACGTCAATATCAATATATCTCAAAACAACAGTGTTGGGGTAAAAAAATTACTTGTGTACAGTATCATACCATCTATATAAAATATTGTCAGTGCAAGAGGATGCTTTTATACACACTTGTGTTATAAAAGGATAGACATGTGCATGGAATTATAAACAACATTCAGAATAGTTACCTCTTAGGGGATAGGAATGGAATAAAATTGGGAAGGGAAGATGAGAGTCTTCAACTGTATCTGTAATGTTATAGTTCTAAATCTAGGTGGTAGATTATGAGTGCTAATTTTTGTACTTTTTATATACTTGAAATATTTAATAATTAACCTTTTTTAAAAAAGGAAAAGGTTGCTATATTCTTTTATTTTTTGTATCCACCAGGATAACGTATATGCATTTTGGACACTGGAATCCCAAAATATTTTTAGTGTCTTTTTTCTATGTTCTGGCTGTGGTTAGAAAGCTTCAGATATTTGGATATTTCCCTTTCTGCACTCAAACAGACTTTGTTCTCATTTTATCCATTATAGAAGTAATGTTTCTTGATAGGTTGGTAGGCACATCAGTTAGTGGTGATGCAGTTTGTGTTGAAACGTAATGATTATGTTAGATTATTTCTTGTTCAAAAAATTTAGTTGTATTTTTATCTTTAACCATTGGCTGAAAAGTTACTTTATGGATGGGATTTTCATTAATAGACTATTCTCTGTGGCAACCTGTCTACACGCTTACTCCTTCACTATCTCACTGTATACAGAACACACATATGTGATGCTTGAAACCCTTACTCTGCCTCAGTGCATCTATTATTTTCTAGATTGGGATCTGGCTAGCATGAAATCTTAGGTGCACAAACCAAAATTTGTAACATTTCACTAAATTAGCCCTTAAAAATCAGCAAATTTTAATAATACGGCAGCTCCCCAAAACATTAAAAATAAAATTACCACATGATCCAGCAATTCCACTTCTGGATATATACCCAAAAGAACTGAAAGCGGGATCTTGAAGAGGTGTTTATATACCCATGTTCATGGTAGCATTATTCTTAGTAGCCAAAAGGTGGAAGCAACCCACATATTTATCAACAGATCATTGGCTGAACAACATGTGGTATATACATATAATGGAATATTATTCAATCTTAAAAAGGAAGGAAATTTTGACATATGGTACAACATAAATGAACGTTGAAAACTACTGCTCATTTGAGCAGTTCTGTGATACCTAGACCCATGATCTTTTATCTGCAGGCACTGAGGGACTCAATCTCCTTTAGAACTTAAACACGGAGTCTTGTCTTTCTGGCACTCATTCATATCCATTTGAAGCAAATGGTTATAGTTTTGAAAATAGCAGTGATGTCCATGTGTAAATTTTGATGATTATACCAGTTTGTAAATTGGTGAGGACACCTGGTAATTTGTTACAAATACCTCACACTTAAATTGAATTCTTACCTGTATTTGGAGAATCTACTCGGATTCCAGAGTGTTCTTAAACCCATAAAAACATTTTATCTTTTTGTTTTTACAAACAAAAAACAGTACTTCCTTTTGTTAAAGTTTTGCCTCCCTTATCAAAGTAAATAAGATGAATTTGGTTTTAGCTTGAGTTGTGCATGGAATTAAAATTTTTATTTTTCAAAGGTTTAGGATTCTTTTAGTTTAACAAAGAATTTTTGCTGGATTCTTTTCAGCATTTTAAAAATCATCAACTTGTTAGTGGTACAAAGTACACACTCAGTAAATGTTTTTTAAAAACATCCTTGGAAAATATGATCCTATAAAGTGGTCTCACAATTTGTGAACTGGAAACATTGGCCCTACCCCTTTTTAATAGTGCTGCCTCTGGACATCTCTGAAAGTCTCTAGCTTACTTTATAACCAGCTGTTGATTTAAAAACCCTGGGACTCTACTCTTCCTGGTTCAACGTTGCTATCCCTTACACTTCTTTTCATTTGGTAGAGACAATCTTGTTCCTTTATTTTATTTATTCAGAAATGATCTAACTTTCATCTAAGCTATAATCATTCCATCTCAAATTGGGGAAGGAAAGAGGTAATTTGTGGGGAGGAGCAAATAAGCAATTCATGTAACACTGCTTTATGAAGGTTTTCTCTGAAGATCTTGAATTGACAAGCTAGATGAATGATTTATTTAGCAGGAGTTGACTTCCCAATTGTAGAATCCCTGAGGTTATTAAAGGGACTCAAGACTGGAGAATTCAGCTTTCTTGGATGTCAATTAGCAATAGTATACCTTCTAAGGAATTATGTATAGACTGGGTAAAATATGCCCTTGCTTTCTCCTTCCTGATACCTCTTTAACCACCCTCACTCCTTGCCCACTGTTTTGAATCTCTTGTTACCATTTTGTCTAAGAGGCGATGCACAATGCCATTATATGACTGTGGGCACCAGCTATTTTTCTCATTTGTAGTGACTCTGGTCGTAGGCCTATGATTTTGAATACCCTTAAAGAGTAAGAAGGACTACTTCTGCACACAGAGGAAGGAGTGGGGCAAGCCTTGCTGAATTATCTTTATTTTCACTTATGCTATATAAATGACTCTTTCTGTGGAAGTTGATCTTTTTGGCATTGTAACCCATCACCCTCTTTGGGCCTTTTTAGAATATATCTTTGAAACTATTACTGAAATATGTGTGTGTATTAGTTCATTTTCATGCTGCTGATAAAGACATACCTGAGACTGGGTAATTTATAAAGAAAAAGAGGTTTAATGGACTCACAGTTCTATGTGGCTGGGGAGGCCTCACAATCATGGCAGAAGGTGAAAGGCACATCTTACATGGCAGCAGACAAGATAGAATGAGCCAGGTGGAAGGGGAAACCCCTTATAAAATCATCAGACCTCGTGAGACTTATTCACTACCACGAGAACAGTATGGGGGAAACCACCCCCGTAATTCAGTTATCTCCCACCAGGTCCCTCCCACAACATGTGGGAATCATGGGAGCTACAATTCGAGTTGAGATTTGGGTGGGGACACAGCCAAACCATATCAATGTGTAAAGTATGATTTACTGTAGAAAAATTCACTATACCTCCAACTTTAACAATACAGTTTAAGAAAAGTAATACATGCACTTGAATAATGTGACCCAATTAGGTGTTGCTGAAAGAAACAACTGGTTAAAAAGAAGAAGAAGTTAATTATAATAGCAACACAGTATAAAGTGAAGTTTGTGTTAAGAAGCTCTGTTAGGCCGGGCACAGCTGTAATCCCAGCACTTTGGGAGGCTGAGGCAGGTGGATCACCTAAGCCCAGGAGTTCAAGACCAGCCTGGTCAGCATAGTGAGACCCAGTTTCTACAAAAATTAGCTGGTCATGGTGGTACGTGCCTGTAGTCCCAGCTACTTAGGAGGCTGAGGTAGGAGAATTGCCTGAGCCTGGGGAGGTTGAGGTTGCAGTGAGCTGAGATCATGTCACTGCACTCCAGCCTGGGTGATAGAGTGACAGAGTGAGACCCTGTCTCAAAAAAAAAAAAAAAAGCTCTATTAAATGCTTTATGTATAAAATGTCATTCATCAGCATTCCAGCCAGTTTAGAGACAGATACCTACTTACGGCAGAGTTCTTCCACCAAGATATACTTATTTAAATATGAAAAGAAATTAATAGGGAAAAGAGAGGCTAGAATTCCTTTTAGGATTACTTTCCAGCTTTGATATAATTTAACCTGATTTTTGGTACAGGTTGTTTTAATTGATAGGTGTTCATATGCAAGAGAAGGATGTGTTCTTAGCCCCCGTCATGAATAACAGAGGTGTAAAAGGTCTCTAGACCTGGCAGTGCAGGAATTGAGTTGGAGTTGTTTGCTTTGGTTTATTAATACCTCCTCCTATAAATAGCTTTAAAGTACTGCAAGTAATTTCATTAACTTACTCCATTTGGCCTTTACATAGAACCCAACGAGACAGACAAGTTAGATATTATTTGGATTGGAGAGATAGAAGGTATTTTCTTTTTCTTTTTTCTTTCTTTCTTTCTTTCTTTTTTTTTTTGAGAGGTCTGACTTTGTCCACCCAGCCTGGGGTGCAGTAGTGCCATTTTGGCTCAGTGCAACCTCCACCTCCCAGGTTCAAGCAATCCTCCCATCTCGACCTCCTGAGTAGCTGGGTGTATAGGCACATGCTGCTACACCTGGCTAATTTTTGTATTTTTTTGTAGAGATGGGGTTTTGCCGTGTTTCCCAGGCTGGTCTCAAACTCCTGGGCTCCAGTGATCTGCCTGCCTCTGCCTCCCAAAGTGCTGTGATTACAGGCATGAGCCAACGCTCCTGGCCAGAAGATATTTTCTTTACAGAAGAGAAATGAGACGCGTGATGACTTGTTTGGGGAACACACACAGCTAGTGTCGGGGCAAGGATAAGCCCTATATTCTTTGACTTGTCATCTGGTACTTTCCTCTCTCAGTCTATCCACAGATTTCATATGTTCTGCAAAAGGATGATTTTCTAGGTTTTTTTTTTAAGATTATTGAGATTTTTTTCTTTTAAAGCTTGAGCTTTTATGTAGGCATAACATGTAAACACAAAAGTACTTTGTTTCCTATCTATCTTTAAAGACTCTGTGTCACGGCTCTATGACACTTTTGTTGGATTACTCTCCCTGAGTCTGCTCAGCTTGTTTTAGCAGTGTGCAGAAAGGGTACGGGGGTGTTTCTCCTTCTCAGCAAGGCCTAGGAGGCCCAGACAGCCCATCTGATAGTTTCTTGTTTTGCTTTTTTGACACATTGAAATGAGTTAAGAAGATGGAGCTGAGGAGTATAGGGATTATTCTTCTTTTCCCCAACTTTAATGGAAAACTTGCCAAGTTCCACTAGGACAGAAAGATGGATCAGAACGGAAGACCCAGAAAGTCACCAGCCAGGGAGAGGTTCTTTCCCTGGGCAAGAACTCCAAGCCTGCTCCTTTCTCTTCTTTCAGGAAGGTGAAATCCTGGTTCCTATTCCTGCTTCTCCCACCCCAAGTTTGATTTGACTTGGCCACCCCATGCCTGCTATTCCCACTTCTTTCGCTGGCTGCAGTTACCTAAATTTTAGGCACAAAAACTTTCTAGTGGTGGAAATACTCCATTTAGTTATCCCTGAGGTGACCTTTTCAAACACTGTCCCAGAGAGCTATCAAAAGTTAGTCTTTGCCTTCAAATGAGCCTTGGACTAGATTTTTTTTTTTAGTCTTGCTCCCCTTAATTGGTTATCAACCAATACCAGAAAATCAGGAAAAGAATTTTTTTGAATGTTTCTGGTATAGCCGGGGCTACACTGACCAAAAGCCCCCTAAATACCTCAGACAAGTATGGAGTTGTAGTGGGGTAATGCATCTTCAGAAATGTGCCCCTGGCAAGGAACTGGAGTTTATATTGATTTTATCTTCTTATTCATAGGTACTTGAGAGGAAAATTTCCATGAGCTGATGTGAAATAGAGCAGTTATGTCTTAAATTTATTCCCTTTCCTTCCCACCCCTCTTTAGTGGATTTAATACAAATTAAGCATTCTCTGCTCTAGATACCTTTCAAGGTCTTATTTGTTATTTATTTGGATTGAGTTAAATGAACAAACAGTACCTTTGCTCCATTAAAGTTGATGCCTCCTTTAAGGTTACATGATAAACTGTGAATAAACTCTGTCTCCTTCAGGAGAACAGGATTTGTAGCCCTTTAGCATCTACAAAGCATAAACAATAGCTAACAAGAATTCAGATGTTACACGAATGATTTTTCTTTCTCTTTTTAAGAGATGGGACTCTCTTGTCACCCAGGCTGGAGTGCAGTGGTGCGATCATAGCTCACTGTGGCCTCGAACTCCTGGCCTCAAGCAACCCTCCTGCCTCTGCCTCTTGAGTAGCTGGGATTACAGGTGCACACCATCATCTGGCTCAGGAATGATTTTTATAGTTTGCAGGCACAATCTGCAAGCATAATCTAAAATGCATGCATTATAAGGTATGCATAATCTGAAATGAAGATGGAGGAGACATGTAAGAGGGTTATTATTCCAATGAGCAATTCATAAGGAAGATATAGCATATTGGCACTAAGCCAGTAGTGGCCATTTGCTTTTCTATAGAGCCTTCTGCTCACTCAGTACTCACCACTGCTCCCTTCCCTGCCACTTCCATTTCTGTGCCTGGTGCATCAAAAACAGAGTCAAGGGTAGAATATCTTGTATGCTGGGGGAGCATGAGGGCATCTCTCCTTCTAGCAGCACAAGGACAAGACTGACTATGAGAGCCCTTTAGGCAAAAGCAATTGATGAACACAGCATTAGAAGAGACTAGCAATCACTTAGTCAAACTCTCTTAGTGTCACATTAGAGAGAAGTGAAATGGCTAGCTGGGAGCAGAGCCATATCTTACATATATCTACCCCTAATTCATAGTCCAATATTTTATACATTCATTAATTTATTCATTTATTCATGCTTTTGTAGTACCCGCTGTATGTCATGACATTTGCTAGACAGTCAGTCAGGATACAAATATGAATAAAATACATGGTCTTTGCACGCGAGGAAGTCATGATGTAGGGTGAGAGAATCATAGGAACAAAAATGTGCAATGTAGAAAATGAAGTGCTTTCGAGGAGATGTGTGTGAGGATTAATGACAACACAGATAAAGACATAATCTACTTCTGTTGGGGGTGTCACAGAACACAGTGAAGGCCAGCTTCACAGAAGACAGGTTTCTTATACATTGCACAGAGGATGCTGCACAGAGAGGACGGAGAGGGCATTTCCTCGTTACTCAGAGGGGAAGAGAGAAGGATATTCTATCAAGTGAGAGCCATATTTGCAAGCGTATGGTTTGCTACTCTGGAGAGATGCTCCATAGATCAAGTTTGAAAAATTCTGCATACTGTGTTCCTGGCTTTGTGATTATCCAACATTTTTCAGCTTCCTTGTTCGTGAGCCATTTCTGTGTGTGCGCAATATTAACTATTTGAAACACCTGCAGGAAAAGCCACTTTCAACCTTCCTCTACAATGCCACTCATCTGTCCCTTGATTTCCATTCCTGGAGCACCCCCATTGACTAAGCACTTACTATGATGTCTCTGGACTTTTTCAGTAGCCACCTAAATGCTTTTCCCCATCAAATACTAAGTAATGGCCAGGCACGGTGGCTCACACCTGTAATCCTAGCGCTTTGGGAGGCTGAAGCAGGCGGATTGCTTGAGCCCAGGAGTTAGAAACCAGCCTGGGAAACATGGTGAAACCCCATCTCTACTAAAAATACAAAAATTAGCCAGGCATGGTGGCAGGCACCTGTGGTCCCAGCTACTTGGGAGGCTGAGGTGGGAGGATTTCTGGAGCCTGGGAAGTTGAGGCTGCAGTGAGCCATGATCATGCCACTGCACTCCAGCCTGGGTAACATAGCGAGATCCTGTCTCAAAAAATTAAAAAAAAATAATTAATACTAAGTAACATCATCAAATTAGTCTGTGTAAAACTTTAACAAGGTTTACCTTTTATTTATTTGTCCTAAGGTAATACATTCACTTGCTACAAACATTTAAAAGTACAAAATGATATACAGTGAAAATTTATTATTTTACCTTTATCCTCTAGTCAGCCAACCGACTCCATTGGCAACCACTGTTTTTAGTTTCTTATACATCCTTCCAGAGAGATTTTATGAATTTACAAATTAGAATTTCATTTTTCTCTCTTTTATACATAAATAGCAGCATAGGATAAAAAACTGTTCTCTATTTTGCTTTTTTTACTTAGCAGATCTGGGAGATCCTTCTCTATCACTTCATTGTTTGTTTGGTTCTTCATTGTTTGTTTGGGTGTAATGTATTCCAGTGTATGGAGGTACTAGTGTTTATTCAACTAGTTTTTAGATTATGGCCATTTATGTTGTTCTCAGCCTTTACTAGTACAAATGGTGCCCCAATACGTGCTGATACTTCTTTGAACATATCACTCACCTTAAAAAACACGTTGACTGCCAGGTGCTCACAGAGCAGAGTACTTGATTGTAGCATTCAAAGCCTTCTTCAGTAAGGCTCCAAATAGCTTTCTAATCTTACTTTTTGTATGTGTCAAAATGAACTTTCTGCTTTAGCCAAATGACTACGTTCAAGGGGTTCCCCCCCCCCCCAAGTACCTCTTTAATTCACTCTTCCATAGGTCCCCAACTGAACTGTCTTCTTTAGCTCCCTGTGATAACGTTTATTGTTCCTCAGATGGGCCTTTGCTTTACCTAGCTCTCCGGCCTGGATCCTCACCTTCGGGCTTTGCCTTTGGAGGTCGTGTCTGTCCTTCACAGCTCAGCTTGAGTTCCACCTTCTCTGCTGAGCTTCCCAGGCTTTCTCAATCTTCAGGAACATCTTTCTCTGATAAAGCATAGCCCTTGCTGTCTCTGTCATTCTTTTTACTTTTAGCAATTGTGCGTATACACACATTTCCATCCAGACTTACATAAATATTAAATGTGTACATGTCCCTTTTCTATCAGCAAGATTGTCAGGTATTGAAGAATATCTTTTAGTCATTTTTTTTTTGAGTCAGGATCTTGCTCTGTTGCCCAAGCTGGAGTGCAGTGGCACAGTCATAGCTGACTGCAGCCTCGATCTTCAAGGCTCAAGTGATCCTCCTGCCCCAGCCTTCCAAGTAGCTTGGTCTATAGATGTGAGGTGTGTGCCACGACACCCAGCTAATTTTTAAATGTTTTCTAGAGGCAGAGTCTCATCATGTTGCCTAGGCTGGCCTCAAACTCCTAGTCTCAAGTGATCTTCCGGCCTTAGCCTCCCAAAGCGCTGAGATTTACAGGCGTCAGCCACGGCACCAGGCATTTTTAGTGTTTTGTGTACATCTTCATGGCCCTCAGAACTACCCAGTGCAATTCTTTCCTCTGTCAGTTTTTGTTTTCTCATCTGCTATCCTTAAACATTCAAAAATCTTACATGCTCCTTTGCATGAAAGTCCTTGTTGGTTCTTCTTTGCCCCATGTGGATTCAGCATCCTGGTCCTGGGCTGAAGATGATGGCCACTCAGCCGGGCCTCGCCTGGCCACACTCTTCCCTCCCAGATCTGGCTCCTTGCCTCAGCCAGATGGACTCGCCCTTGAGGCTCCACAAATGCCTTACTATTTCTGTTTCCATGGCAACATTCATGCCATCCTTTCCAATATGCTGTTCCCTTTTCCCTTTTCTAAATGATGATTCCCCAACCTCAGTGAAGCCTTGATACAACAGGCTTTTCTAGATCGTCTCTCCGGTGTCTGTAGTCATGGTGAGGTATAGGAATAACAATACTGATAGTTAGCTTATATTGAGAGCTTTTATGTGTCAGGCACTGTATAGCTATATTATTTGTATGATCTCACTCAATCTTCACAACCTAGAAGATGGGCACACTGCCCACACTGTGTACTTATCCCATTCTTTTTTTTTTGAGGAGTCTCACTCTGTCACCCAGGTTAGAGTGCAGTGGTGCGATCTCAGCTCGCCGCAGCCTCCGCCTCTTGGATTCAAGTGATTCTCCTGCCTCAGCCTCCTGAGTAGCTGGGATTACAGTCATGCAGTCATGTGCCACCATGCCTAGCTAATTTTTGTATTGTTAGTAGAGATGGAGTTTCACCATGTTGGCCAGGCTGGTCTCGAGCTCATGACCTCAGGTGATCCACCTGCCTCCACCTCCCAAAGTGCTGGGATTACAGGCATGAGCCACTGCACCCGGCCATTTATCCCATTATATTTCTCAATGAAAAACACACAAATTATGACTATTTTTTGTCAGATGTCTTGATTATCTGTGTGTGGATTTGCCGGTGGCCAATACCCTTTATTTCTAGCTGCTCAGGATGTAACACACTGTTTTTTCCCCTCCCAGAGTGTGAGAGACATTGTGCTTAGGGAAAGCAAACTCGTTTTAACCTCCTCCCAAGGAGATGGTGGCTGATCAGGTAATCTGCAGAAATTATTTTTAGGTTATTCAGTTTGGGGATTTTACATATTAGTGCTGGTTTTTTGTTTTGCTTTGTTTTGTTTTTTAAACTGCAGACAATACTTTCGTATTCTCCTGTCTCCTCCGCAGATTGTAAACTTTTTAGGCCGGGCATCGTGGCTCGCACCTGTAATCCCAGCATTTTGGGAGGCCAGAGTGGGAGAATTGCTTGAGGCCAGGAGTTGGAGACCAACCTGAGCAACATAGTGAGATCTTGTCTCTACAAAAACAATTACTAAAATTAGCTGGTTGTGGTGGCATGTACCTGTAGGCCTGTAGTCCTAGCTACTTGGGAGGCTGAGGTGGGAGGATCACTTGAGCCCAGGAGCTTGTGGCTGTAGTGAGTTATGATTGTGCCATTGTACTCCAGCCTGGGCAACAGAGGCAACCTTTTCTCTAAAATAAGTAGGTAGATAGATAGAAAACTTTTCAGATGCAGGAACTGAATCTACAGTTCCTAAAATTTCTAATTGCTAATATCATTGTTAATACAAATTTTCCCACATAGTTCAATAAATGTTGTTGAATTATTCAGTTTTGTATTAACTTGTGGTATATTTTTTTTCTTGTTTTTCAGGAAATAATTTGCCAGAAGAATACTGTGAGTACTTTATTTAACCTTCCAGAGTTTTAAAAATATTTTCTTTTCCATTAACTAATCTTTGGTATTTTTAAAATCTCCACAAATTATTAATTTATATCTCTATTTTTCCTCTTTAGATTTTCTGATGTATCAATATAAATATGGTTATCTAAGTACTTCATTGTAGTGAAACTTTATTTTTCATAATGAGAGATGGCACTGATACCTGTCTTTTTCTGCATATAATTATGTTTTGGAAGAAAATGTTTCATAGTATATTCAGGCCAGGTATGATGGCTCATGCCTGTAATCCCAGCATTTTGGGAGGCAGAGGCAGGCAGATCACGTGAGGTCAGGAGTTCAAGAACAGCCTGGGCAACATGGTGAAACCCCATCTCTACTAAAAATACAAAAATTAGCCAGGTGTGGTAGCATGCTCCTGTAATCCCAGCTACTCAGGAGGCTGAGGCAGGAGAATCGCTTGAACCCGGGAGGCGGAGGTTGCAATGAGCCAAGATCATACCACTTCATTCCAGCCTGGGTGACAGAGTGAGACTACATCTCAAAAAATAAATAAATAAAAAGAAAATCTTTTATAGTGTATTCAATGTTGTGGAATTATGAGTGGCACTAAAGCAGCCTATATCCACACACAGATACACACACATATGTGTGTATGTATATGTGTCTATAGTATGTTTCCATGGCAGCATTCATGCCATCCTTTCCAATATGCTGTTCCCTTTTCCCTTTTCTAAATCGTGATTCCCCAACCTCAGTGAAGCCTTGATATGACAGGGTTTTCTAGATCGTCTCTCCAGTGTCTGTAATCATGATAAGGTATAGGAATAACAATACTGATAGCTAGCTTATATTGAGAGCTAGCTAGCTCAATATAGTATAATTACATATACACTGATATATAGATATCTTTATCTATTTTCTACTTGAAGAGATTGATGTAAGTTCCTAAGTATTGTATTCTGCCTCTGAGACCACACTACAGAATTCCTACCCTCCACACAGAATTAAACAAATGTGAAAACATGAGAAAAGTAAATTTTAAACTTTAAAAATGCTGCGTGAAGAAGAATTATAATATAAAGTGGAAACAGCCTTGTTAGGCCAATGGTTGTGGCCAATGGTTGTACATTTATTTCAGAAAGTAAGCCAGTATTTAAAAACCTTAAAGAATGTACCTCTGCAACTCGGAGTGAAGATAATATACAATATATTATAAAAGCCTGCACAAGATTTGATTTAAGACGACAAAATTAACAATACAATTGCTAATTTCTCCTTAAATCAGAAATTTTAAGCCTTTTTTTATAGTAGTGATTATACAACTCTGAAGTAATTTTGAAACTTATGCTTAAGATTTAACCAGGGCAGAGGCATATTTCAGCATAAATAATGTTGCCATTATAAACTCTTATCCTTCCTATCTCAACAGGAAATGAGCAATTATTGCTTCATGCTTCAATGCACTGTTTTAAAATACTGTTTAATTTGTTAAAGGTGTGAAACTGTTTAATTTATCTCACACGTTTTTTTAAACAAATACTGATTGGACATGCGCTGCACGCCAGGCTTTGGGCTTGGTACCTCAGGGTTCTCACAGGGGAGGCTGGAAGTGGAAACAAGCACATGTGTAACTGTTGTGTAGACAGTCTAATTGGTAGAAAATCAGCGAACAAAGAAGCAGACAAATTAGAAAATGAACGTAAGGTGATGTGCTAAAAAGAGGGTAGCCATTATGTCAGTGTCCTTCAGAGAAGGTAGCACTCCCTGAGACCGGAATGGCAGAAAGAAGTCCATCCTGCCTAGCCCAGCTTGGACTTGTGGAGAAGCAGGCTGATAAAAGAACCAAATATTGTACATTTTGAAGAAGTTGCCCGCTGACTTGAGAGAGAGGTGTTGCGTTTCAGGTGCTGAATGTCCTTATAAAAAGTTGAATATTTCGAGCATCTCTATCAATACATTTGAATGCTGAGAGCTTTTCCTTCCAGAAGCTCATGTCATTTTCAACACACACTTCTATTTACCTTTATGTAGTTTCTAAAAATTGAAAACCAGAATTGGAGGTTTTTTTAAAAAAAAAGAAAGAAAAAACGGTGAAAATAATTAATTAGGAGCCAGGGCAGTGGCTCATGCCTGTAATCCCAGCACTTTGGGAGGCTGAGGCGGGAGGATCATTTGAGGCCAGGAGTTTGAGACCAGTCTGGCCAACATGGTGAAACCCTGTCTCTACTAAAAATACAACAAGTAGCCAAGTGTGGTGGCGCATGCCTGTAATCCCAGTTACTTGGGAGGCTGAGGCACGAGAATCACTTGCACCCAGGAGGCAGAGGCTGCAGTGAGCCGAGATCATGTCACTGTGCTCCAGCCTAGGCAACAGAGTAAGATTCTGTCTTAAAAACAACAACAACAACAAAATGAATTAGAACAAGACTAGATTTTGAGCTGTGGGATTTTATAGCATGTGTTGTTATTTCATGACCATGCCTCAGTGTTTTGAAATTTAAGGAAACAAGGTCTTTGAAGCAAGTTTAAATATTTTAGAATGAGTACTTTATTAATAAAAGGCAATTGTTCCACTTAAGGTGTCTGTTCTTGATCACATAGGGGTTGTTTTTATTTTCTTTGGATTATCAGCTATTTCAAACTATGGGTTTGGTGGCAATCTGCACACAGAAAATACAGAAATAACATTTCTAAGTTACACGTGAGCCAACTTGGGAAATAAATGTTCCCATGCTATTAGTTTTCATTATTTTGCAAAAGTGCTTTTCTGGGCAATTATATCTTTTTGAAAAACACAACTTTTCCTCCACTGCATACTCACTGGGCTGTCTCTTAGCTCAGGCCCAGTTGTATCCATGTGGCTTCTGCAGCTTATCACCCCCCTTTTTTCCTGACATTGGCAATGGGAAATTGAAAAAAAAAAAGATTGCCTTAGAAACATAGGAAAGAAACTCTAAAGAATGCACTGAAGCCTAGAACTTGGGAAAACCCTTAGCATGCTTAGGTATTTTCAGCGAAGACTCTGAAGCCTTATACCATGGGGTTTGTTTCAGGAACTGCTTTTCTCTGCTGTTTGCGTAGTCATTATTACCCCTTTACCTCTCCTCTGCCTAACACACACCCAGACATCTGATAGTCATTCTCTCCCAGAATTAGTTTTACACAGGTGCAGTATTCCCCATTGCCCCGTATTTCAATAATAATATCTGATAAACTAATATATGTAGTATCAAGGTTTCTGAGGCTACATAATTTTATCCAGCAGCTAAAACTCTGATACCACTTTCTGCTTTATTGGCTTTTTGGCTCTTTGTTCTCATTTTGTGACTTGGAGGATTCAGATAATTTTCGTTTGTAATTTTGAGTTACGGTGCTTGTCTACAATAGTGTTTGATTCTGTTGTTCTTTTAGAACAATTCTCATAGTTGAAGCTTTAGATGCTTTGGAAAGCAGCCTCTTTGGTATCCTTGCCTTTCTTTTCTGCTTCGGCAGTAGCTTGGGTAAAAGGATTAAATTGGGCGGATGTGCTGTGGGATCTTGGTAACATTTTAGAAGCAGGACATGTTCACTTTCCCTTTTCCAATTATTGTTTCCTCTTCTAATTATTGTTCCATGGAGGAGAACTTGAGACAGGAACAATTTAGCATACTTGATTTTCAAATCAAATCTCACTCTCTGGAGGTTCTTCTTGTGCTTTAACTGGAAGTGAGGTTTGGTTTCTGCTTCATTACCTGACATATGAGAAGCAGCCTTAAAGGATAACATAGTCATAAATAATTAAGTCCGGTCATAAGGGCATTTGGCATTTCTTGCCTGTTTTCTGTGAATAGTCATTTGGCTCATACAGAGTTCCCGTAGAAAGTGACAGAAGGTTAGAGAGCAGGTGTGTCTGCTGTAAAGGCCACTCAGGAGGGTGCATAACCCCCTAGTGGGAAGGACATGCCATCTAGAGAAAGAGTCCCTGGGCTGGAGTGCCAAACATGTCACAGACCAACTGTACGATCTCTCTAAGCCTTACCTGTCTCCTCACTTTTAAAATGAAGGCCACAGCAGCTTCTTTGTAGGTTGTGACCCACTGACTTATGACTGTTCATACCCTGGCACACACACATGGTGAATACATGTTTGTACTTATTACTTAAGTGCTAAGGGTAAGAGAAATGCTGTATTATTCTCCGTATGCTCATATGGCTAGGAATGGATAACCTGGACTTTTTTTGTTCCCCATAACGGCAGTAGTCGGGTGTCCCACGTATCTCTTTCTAGTTCTCAGCCTCTGCCTTTTTCTATGATTTTTCTCATAGAGGTCTCTCCCACTTCTTTTGATTCTACCATATCCAATAATTCTCAGGTCTGTATTTTGGCTTGAAACTATTTTATGTTTCAATCACATATTTCTAGCTCTCTTTTGGACATTTTCACATTAGGTGTTGTGCCCCACCTCAATCCCAACCTCTTTAAAAGTGACTATTTCACCCCATCCCACCAAATTCAAATCTCAACCTTTTGAAGTTCTTCTCATATTTTAACTAGAATTCAGATTCTTTGATTAATTACCTGATATATGAGTGTCTTGAAGAGGCATGTGTTCATAAATAACTTAGTCTGGTTCTGCTTTCTGAATTCTTGCTTTCTGTTAATGATACCACTCTGTATAGGTAGTCGCCCTTAGAAGTGCAGAATTGCCTTTGATGCCTTACCCTTTCTCAGGTTGTTATCAGTTACCAGATCCAGCTGATTCCTTCTTCTTCAGTCACGCACGTGTCTGTTTCTCTATCGCCACCTCTGCCGACCTGGTCATGCCACAGCATGACTCATCTCCTCAAACCTCATATCTCTTCCCTTTAGTGCATCTTGTTACCTGCCCAGGCTGCCAAAATGCACAGTTTTGATTGTGTATTTTGATTTGTGCATTTTGATTGTGCATTGTGAAAATGCACATTTCTTCCTCCCTCCCTCCTTCCTCCCTTCTTCTTTCCTTCTTTCTCTCTCTCTTTCTCCTTCTTTCATTTGTTCATTCTTTCGTTCTCCTGACAGAGTCTCGCTCTGTCACCCAGGCTGGAGTGCAGTGGCGCAATCTCGGCTCACTACAAGTGATTCTCGCACCTCAGCCTCCTGAGTAGCTGGGATTAAGGGCGTGCACCACCCCACCTGGATAATTTTTGTATTTTTGGTAGAGACGGGGTTTCACCATATTGGCCAGGCTGATCTTGAACTCCTGGCTTCAAGCAATCTGCCCGCCTTGGCTTCCCAAAGTGCTGGGATTACAGGCGTGAGCCATCACACTCAGCTGATTGTGTTTTCTTTCCTGCTGTGGATCCTTCTATGATTCTGCATTGTCCAGAATGTACAGTCTAACATCCTTAACTTTGCATTTAATTCCCTTCCCTGAGCTTCGAGCTCCAGTCAGATTTGCTTACTCAGGGTATCCAACTCACTTTCCACTTTCATCCCTGCTCTGCTTTTGTTTGCACCAGTTTATCCTCGCTTGGGCATCATCCAGGAACCAAGAGAAGGTCAGTGAGCCCAGGCTGTAGTGGGCGAGGGGAGAGTGGCAGGGCTGAGGTTAGAGAGGGGCAGGATCTGCGTAGTCAGGCCCTTGTACGTTGCATTGCAATTTCTTCTTTCTCCCAAGAGCAAGAGATGGGGCTTTAAGCAGCTGTGGGAAGTGATCTGAGGGACAGTGTTGAAAGATCACTCTGATGGCAGAGTGGAGAGTAAATTAGAGGACAAGAGTGGAAGCAGGGGGACCAGTTAAAGCTGATGGCAGTGGCTCAGGCCAGGTCCATTGGTGCATGGACTAAAGTGTTGGCCGAGAAGATGGAGGGAAATGGACAAATATGACATTATATTTTGGAGGCAGGACAGATGGGACTTCGATAGGATGTGGAAG
Source organism: Homo sapiens (assembly GCF_000001405.40). Classification (NCBI taxonomy): domain Eukaryota; kingdom Metazoa; phylum Chordata; class Mammalia; order Primates; family Hominidae; genus Homo; species Homo sapiens. The sequence continues at coordinate 136,699,210 of NC_000006.12, read as the reverse complement.
GGGAAGGGAATGGAAGCATCAAGGGTAACTTCTGGGCCTGTAGTTTTAGTAGTGGGGAGACAGAGAGAGAGCAGCCTCCCGGGGGGTGGATTTGAGCGGGATCTACTTGCGGCATCACCTTACATGTAGGAAGCCCTTCAAATGTGAGCTTGTAGCATTTTCATATGTGTATGCTGCGCCCTGTGACTAAATTATAAGTTCCCTGAAAGCTGAAGGCCATGCTTTAAACTACTTTTTCCAACAGCAATAACTTAGTGCCCTAGCCTTGAAAGATGGTGAATAAATATTAAATTGATGGATAGAAACTGTTCCACTCTTTTTTTGGTATCATCTGTAAGTCCTAATTATTTGAAGTATGCAGTGAAAGGAATTGGGGAAATTTTCATTGTCGTAGGTCATAAATAAATAATGAGGCTTTTCTATTTCCCTTTGCATTTGGAATTATTTAAAATGAGTAAGACGTGGGATTCCATCTGTGCCGTGTCTCCAGGCCAGCTCCCCACTTGCCGATGCCTCCTCTCTCCGCAGATGTGCACTGGGAACTACACCTTTGTTCCTTACATGATAACTCCACATAACAAAGTCTACTGCTGTGACAGCAGCTTCATGAAGGGGTTGACAGAGCTCATGCAACCGAACTTCGAGCTGCTTCTTGGACCCATCTGCTTACCTCTTGTGGATCGTTTTATTCAACTTTTGAAGGTGGCACAAGCAAGTTCTAGGTAAAGTTTAATTAATAATGCCATTTGGTGATGACAATAAAGTGTTATTCTACATCTTTATTTGTGCATGATATCAGGTGCTCCTGAGATATCAGTATACAGCTAAGAACTAGGGGGAAAATGTTTATTATCCTCCAAGTAGATAAAATAGATGCCACATAATACATTTTATTCACAGAACAGCAACTTGAAATCAGCAAAAAATTAAAAAGTCTACTAACCGCTTTATAGTGATGGTAGAACTAAAAATATATACAAAGCAAGTACAGAAACAATACCAGGATAAATGTCCAGGGACTTCTAGTGTAAGGGCAAGAACAATTCAACTTTAATTAACTCTTAACTCTAATTGTTCTTTCAGTGAAGAACAATTATTTATGTTAATAAATGATAGGCTGAGTCAGGAAGTTAAGGTTATATTATGTTCAAATCATAGGTACATCACGGCCAGTGCCGTGGCTCATGCCTGTAATCCCAGCATTTTGGGAGGCCGAGGTGGGCAGATCACTTGAGATCAGGAGTTCGAGACCAGCCTGGCCAACATGCCGAAACCCTGTCTCTACCAAAAATACAAAAATTAGCCAGGTGTGGTGGTGCACACCTGTAATCCCAGCTACTCACAAGGCTGAGGCAAGAGAATTGCTTGAACCCAGGAGATGGAGGTTGCAGTGAGCCAAGATCATGCCAGTATACTCTAGTCTGGGCAACAGAGTGAGACTCTGTCTCAAAAACAAAAACAACAAACAAACAAAAAATCATAGGTACATCTAATTTATTTAGAACAATTTGTACTGGAAACAGTAAAATGGAAAACAAAGTTTTGGCATTTTAAGTGGTTTTTTGCAGGAAAATTTATTAATATGGAGTACCTTTACCTTTAATTCTTTCTGAAGGCAGAGTAATAAAAGAAATACATTGGCTTCTAAATTTCTTAATAATGCCAGATATGTAAGATATTTATTTAGGCATCTGAATGAACTGAAAACTACAAATGCTTTATAGCTAATGCTGCAATATCATTCATGTCTTTATTAAAATTATTGCTTTTCATTGAAATTGTTTCTAATGTCAAACTCTTTGAAATGTGTGTGTTTTTACCAGCCAGTACTTCCGGGAATCTATACTCAATGACATCAGGAAAGCTCGTAATTTATACACTGGTAAAGAATTGGCAGCTGAGTTGGCAAGAATTCGGCAGCGAGTAGATAATATCGAAGTCTTGACAGCAGATATTGTCATAAATCTGTTACTTTCCTACAGAGATATCCAGGTGAGAAGATGTTTAAAGTGAAATCTTTGTTGTGTAGCATGTTGGAGGGATAAGGGAGTATTAACCTCAAATTTCAGTTTGCTGGTAAGCAGTTCATGTTACTACACGTAATTTTTTATTGACTCTCTTAAGCTTTCCATCCTATAATTTTATGATGAATGAAAAAGACTCATGTGAGTTAACCATCAGTGATTGTGAAAGACTTGTATGGTAAAGGCCTGACTTTTTCCTCCAAAAGAACAAAAAGAAAAATCTGCTGGCACAGCGAACCTGTGGACACAGTCTATTCTACTGTTAGCCTCAGGCACACCTGTCAGTGAAAGCTTTGTTTTGGCAAATAGCAGACATTTTTAGAGCTTTCTGGACATACCTTTTATCCCTTGAAATTGTATTGCTTGAAATTGATAGTGCTGAATCTAACTCGCCTGAAGGAAAAAATATGTAATTGATTACCTACAGAAATAACTTTAAAAATATGTAATGTAAAACACACTAACAGGTTATATCATTTTTATTGACATGTCTTAAAATTTTAAAAATAGGGTAAGTGGAATAAAATCCTCTCCAAGTTAGGGATTTGCTCTTAGGTTTTAATAGTAAAATTTAAATGACATCTGGTTTCTCCTTTCCATTCCTAGCCTTTCAGGTCTGTGTAAAGGCTTCATGTGCTCAAGACAGACTCACATCCATGGAGGGCTGTGGCACATAGGATCCTGTGGCTAGAGTGCTTACTCATGTGACATGAAACTGTGTTGCTACTTGTAACAGAAGTTCAACCCATTGCCTCATGTCCTTGACATTTTTATTTCCCTGAAATTGTTAGAACACTGCATACCGGGAATCTGGCTCTATGGGGAAATAAATCACCCATATTTAGACAGTAGAGCACTATCATGCTTGGTGTTTTTGTTTCTTTTGCTTTTTTAGTTTTTGTTCAACATGGTAACTGTATGTTTCTAATGTTTTTATATATACGATCTAAACCTTTTAGAAGAAAAACAACAAAAACTGTTTATTCTAGGTTCTTCAAAGTGTTCTGTGGATTCTAGTGTCTTTTTAATGTGTTTCTTGAATTCAGATATCTGGTTGTCAAAAGACACGTTATTGTGAGAATTTTCTCCTAATGGTTTAATTCTGTGCTATTCTCATCTAATTTGAAAGGACTATGATTCTATTGTGAAGCTGGTAGAGACTTTAGAAAAACTGCCAACCTTTGATTTGGCCTCCCATCACCATGTGAAGTTTCATTATGCATTTGCACTGAATAGGTAAGAAGAAAAAGTTCCCTTCCAGAATGCGTTAACATATTATTGTGTAACCTGCAATTCTTTACAGAGAATGTGTTCACTGCAGCATTGCAAGAAGTCCCTATTAAAATGTAATATTAGCATATCTGCTTCAGCCCCATGAAATATAGGAAGCATGCATTCTCATTTTTTTCTGATTTATTTTTCAGTAAAAAAAAAGTCGCACACTGTTGGTATATTTAAATTCTTACAGGTTTTCTGCTCTGTCAAAGTTTGTATTTGCTATTCATATTTTTTAGAATTGTAAAAGTTACATGAATATGATGTTATCTTTAAGCAAATACACTCAACACCAGATGGTCATTCACACAAAAGTTTTCACTAGAGTAAGGATGGTTATGTCTAGGTGAACATAGTGTTAGATAGTTATTACCAAGGATAAAAAGGAATTTCTTGGACAGAAGATTTGAAGTAGTAATTGAGAATAGAAATGATACCTTTTTTATAATAGCTTTATTGAAACATATTTCACAGGCTGGGCGTGGTGGCTCACTCCTGCAATCCTAGCACTTTGAGAGGCCAAGGTGGTCGGATTGCCTGAGCTCAGGAGTTCGAGAGCAGCCTGGGCAACACGGTGAAACCCCGTCTCTACTAAAATACAAAAAAATTAGCCAGGTGTGGCAGTGTGCACCTGTAGTTCCGGCTACTCGGGAGGCTGAGGCAGGAGAATCGCTTGAACCTGGGAGGCAGAAGTTGCAGTGAGCCAAGATCATGCCACTGCCCTCCAGCCTGGGCAACAGAGCAAGACTCTGTCTCCAAACAAACAAACTAAATATATTTCATCAAAACAATAAATTTTAAAACATTTTCATCACTCCACAAGGAAACCCTGTACCCATTAGCAGCCCCCCTTCCATTTCCCTCCCAAATCCCCCAACTCTAGGCAACCACGAATCTACTTTCAGTCTTTACAGATTTGCCTATTCTGGACATTTCATATAAATGGAATCATACAGTATGTGGTCCCTTGTGACTGACCTCTTTCACTTAGCATAATATTTTCAAGGTCTAAGGAATGATAACTCTTATAGAATTTTTATCTGGTTTTGTGAACTGTCTACACATACTATTTTAAAGCATGCTACATAAAGCAACTTCCTTAGATAATCAGTTAGTCACACGTAGAAATCAAGCAGTTCTTGGGTTTGATTTGATTTTTGGTATCATCTGTGAATGAGTTTGCTAAGTTTTGGAGCAAAAGCCATTGAAACCTAAGGTCAGGGTTTTGTCCCTACTTGGCTTTATTTACTCTACCCTATTCAAAGACACAGACTACAACTCTAATCTCGTTTCACCAACTTGAACCTGCATATAGGCTGCAGGGAAATTGGAAGGATTGTGGATGAGTAAGTACAAATCCATCACCATTATTAACACAGAAACTCAAAAGAAATCCTTGTTAGACCTAGTAGACATACAATGGGATAAAACAAAAAATTAGGCTTAGGACAGAGGTTTACAGAGGACTCTCAAAATCTAATTGTTTCTGTCCTGGCAAATTTCTCTAATATGAATCAACATGTTAAATAGGGTTTTTAAAAAAGAATTGATCTATATTGCTTCTGTAATGTATATTGAAACAACAATGTTTTCTGCCTTAGGAGAAATCTCCCTGGTGACAGAGCAAAAGCTCTTGATATTATGATTCCCATGGTGCAAAGCGAAGGACAAGTTGCTTCAGATATGTATTGCCTAGTTGGTCGAATCTACAAAGATATGTTTTTGGACTCTAATTTCACGGACACTGAAAGCAGAGACCATGGAGCTTCTTGGTAAGTAAATAGTATATAAATGAGCTACTTACTTAGTAAATCCATGGCATAAAAAAGTATTTGCAAATGAGAGTGTTAAAGTATTATTATAATCCATAAGATTGTGTATTATGAACTAAACCTTAGATTTTATTTTATTTTATTTTATTTTTGAGATGGAGTCTTGTTCTGTTGCCCAGGCTGGAGTGCAGTCATGTGATCTTAGCTCACTGCAACCTCTGCCTCCCAGGTTCAAGCGATTCTCCTGCCTCAGCCTCTCCAGTAACTGGGATTACAGGTGCCCGCCACCACGCCCACTAATTTTTACATTTTTAGGAGAGACGGGTTTTGCCCTGTTGGCCAGGCTGGTCTTGAATTCCTGACCTCAGGTGATCCAACTGCCTCTGCCTCCTCAAGTGCTGGGATTACAGGCGTGAGCCACCGGGCCAATCTTAGAGTTTATAACTTTAGTAAATAATTTGATGAAATTCATTTAACATAGTATAGTAAATTGGGATAAATAGATGAAAAGATAATTTAAGAAATATAATTTTAAAAAGATATTTTAAATAAGTAATATAAATAATAAAATATAATTTTGTAGAAAAATTTATATAAAGACAGTTTAAAAGACCTGAATGAAAGGAAAAAATATACCGAGTTTGTAGATGAGAAGGCTTGATATTTTAAAGATTTTAATTCCCCCCAGCAGGGGTTTTCATGTGATTTGACAAACCAATTCCAAAATTTATTTGAAAGAATAAAGGACTGAGAATAGGCAAAGCAATTCTGGAAAAGCACAAGGTGGAAGGACTTGCTCCACCAGTTAACAAGACTCATTATAAAGCTGTAATGATTAAGATATTGCAGTATGGCTATAGGCATAGACAAACAAAGCACTGGAATACAAGAGACAGCCTGGAACAGACTAAGATATACATGAGTCTAGATTTATGGCAGAATCAGCTTCATGAGCTGTAAAGGAAAGGATGGAATCTGTAGTAATGATACTGGGAAAATTTCTTTATCTGCTTGGAAAAATAAAATAAAGTTCTATCCCCATTTTAAGCCATGCACAAAAAAATGAAATCTAAGTGAGTTAAATACCAAAATATGAAAAAATACTTTAGAAAAATATTTTTAGAATAAAGTGTACAAATTATGTATGACTATTGGATAAGCAAAGATTTCTTTCTTTTTTTTTTGAGACAAGGTCTTGCTCCGTCACTCAGGCTGTAGTGTAGTGGTGCAATCTCGGCCCACTGCCACCTCCACCTCCTGAGCTCAAGTGATCTTCCCACCTCAGCCTCCTGAGTAGCTGGGACCACAGGTGTGTGCCACCACGCCTGGCTAATTGTTTGTATTTTTGGTAGAGAGAGGGTTTCACCATGTTGCCCTGACTGGGGCAAAGATTTCTTAAACAAGGCTTAAAAACGCCATATACCATAAAAGATAAGACTGGGAAAATGGTCTACATGAAAATTGGCTTCTGCTCATCAAAGTAGTAGCTTTTGGAAACAGCAGAGTAGATTCTATTGTGCTTATCTTCCTGTTGATAACAATTATAAATGTTGGAAAAAAGTTGGAAAGCACTGAAGAGTGATTAAAAGTAGCTAGAAACTGGAAAGGTTTTCATCCTTGGATGAAGGGCACCGCATAGGATAAACTCCACATTTAAATGGCTTTTCCCTCAAGACATTCCCTGGTCTGCAGGGAGCAGGACAGATAGAACTCTAGCAGGAAATCACAGTCTTATTGGCCTGAGAGTGAGTTTGAGGCTGCCGGAGGACCTGGACATTGAGTGGGATAAGCCTTTGTGTGAACAAGGTGAACCACCAATAATTTATTTACCTTTTATTAAAAAACTACATACTCTTAAGAGGAGGAGAACAAATCCAAACTCTCTACAGCTTATCATCCAAAATGTCTAATACACCATAAAAATTACTAAGCAACCTGGGTGTGGTGGCATGTTCCCATTGTTCCAGCTACTCAGGAGGCTGAGGTGCGAAGATGGCTTGAGCCTAGGAGTTCAAGACCTGCCTGGACAATATAAAAATACCTTGTCTTATTAAAAAAAAGAAAAAAAGAAAAAAAAGAAAGAAAAACTCTCAACTACTAAAGTGGTGAAGAAATAGGAAAGTGTGATTCATAATTAAGAAAAAAATTATTCATAGAAATAAACCCATAGATAAAACAGAGTTTAGAATTACCAGACAAGGACATAAAAATAACAATGATAATTATATCAAAGAATCTACTTGAAAAGATGAACATAATGGGTGAAAATATGAGGAATTATAGGAGATATTTGGAAACTGGAAATAACCAAATGGGAGTTCTAGAACTGAAAAGTACAATATCTGAAGTTGAAATGTCATCAAATCAGATTAACAGCAGATAGGACACAATACGATAAAAGAGCAATAAACTTCAAAACAGATTATTAGAAATCATTGAAATTGAAGCAGAGGAAAGAAAGAGATGAAGTCATTAATAATTCCAATGACCTGTGGCATTTAGTGGTCTAAATACTTTTTTTTTTTTTTTTGAGACGAATCTTGCTCTGTTGCCCAGGCTGGAGTTCAGTGGTGCAATCTCACCTCACTGCAACCTCTGCCTCCGGGGTTCAAGCGATTCTCGTGCCTCAACCTCCCAAGTAGCTGGGATTACAGGCATGCCCCACCATGCCCAGCTACTTTTTGTATTTTTAGTTGAGTCCGGGTTTCCCCATGTTGTCCAGGCTGGTGTCAAACTCCTGACCTCAAGTGATCCACCTGCCTCGGCCTCCTGAAGTGCTGGGATTACAGGTGTGAGCCACCGTGCCCAGCCTTGAGTGGTCCAGATACTTTTAATTAGAGTCCCAGGAGAGGAGAGATATACTGTTGCAGGGATAATAGTTGAAGAATTAGTGGTCAAATATTATCCAAATCTGTTCAAACAAACAAACAAATAAAAAACAGCTCACAGATCTAGGAAGCTCAGCAAAACCCAAGGAGCATAAATATCAAAGAAAATTATCTCTTGGCACATCATAGTAAAATTGGTGAAAAACAGAAATACAAGAAAAGGTCATAAATGCAGCCTAAGAAAGAAGATACATCAGGGGAAAGAGTGAGTGCTGAAGGAAGCCAAAAGATAATGGAATAACATTAAAGTGCTGAAAGAAAAAAACCCAATCAAGCAAGAACTCTATATCCACTGATAATGTCTTTAAAATATGGGGGTGAAGTAAAGACAATTCTAGATACATCAAAACTGAGATAATTTGTTGCCAGCAGAACTTCACTACAAGAAATGTTAAAGTCTTTAGGCTGAAGGGAAATAAAACCAAATGGATCTATAGGAAAAAGCATATAGCACTGGAAATGATAAATATATGAATAAATATAAAAGATACCATCAACAAAGAAATCACAGGGAACAATGCATGTAACCAATATAGGATATGTATTCAGTATATATAAATAACTCCTCAAAATATCTTTAAGAAAAAGAGATTAAAAAATGCATAGGATATGAACAGGTTATTCACAAAAATGGAATCACAAATGGCCAATAAACATATTTTTGAAACTTATAAAAAGATTATTTTTATACTACTTTACACTATTCAGATTAACCAAAATTTATAAATCTGACAATATCAATTGTTAGCCAGGATGTTAGAGAAATGTGAGTCCTAATGCCTGCTGGTTGTGCCATAAATTTCTATACGCACTTAAAAGATTTTGGCATTATTGAGGAAAGTTGAGAACTTGCCTCCCCTAGGTCCAGCAGATTTATATACCCTAGAGTAAATCTTAGACATTTCTCTACATTAAAGTTTTAACATAAAAAAAAACTTTAAAAAAGTTGAGCAAAGTAAGCAAGTGGCAGAAGGATACAGAGTACAGTATCATTTATAGAATGTTTAAAAACAGTCATAGAGATTTAGTATAAGTATAGATGCACGGATGGGCATCATAAACTCCAAATTCAGTATAATGGTTACCAGTAGGGAGGAAGAAGTAGAAAGAGATCCTGGAGTGATTCACATGCAATTTCAAGTATATTAAAAATATTTTATTTCTTAAGCTGAGTAGGAAGTATATCGGGGTGTTGCTTATATTATTCTTTTGTACTTAGTATGATAGGGAATGTACCTATCACATTCCCAAAATAGTCCTTGATTTTAAAAAAAAATTCAAGGAGGCCAACTTAGTTTAGGAATTCCTGTATGGTAGCTATAATTTTTTTTTTAAGTTTTGAAACAGAAATCTTAGCTTTTAGAAATCTTAGATCATTTTCACACTTTAGAGGGACTGTTTAGTTCTTTTATGTGCTGCCAAAACAGAATACAAGAGACTGGGTAATTTACAATTAATACACATGTACTTCTCATAGTCCTGGAGGCTGGGAAGTCCAAGATCAAGGGGCTAGCATCTGTCAAGGGCCTTCTTGTTACATCAACTCATGGCAGAAGGGGAAAGAGAGAGTGGGCAAATGGGGCTGAACATGTTCTTTTAAAAGGAGCCCACTCCCTCTATACAGAACCGATTTCTGATGTAACAGCATTAATCCTTTCATGGGGTCAGAGCCCTCGTGGCCTTTCACCTTTCATTAGGCTCCATCTCCTAACACTATTGCATTGGGGATTAAGCTTCCAATACATGCTTTTGGGGAGAAACATTCAAACCATAGCAAGAACTGAAAGTAGGGTAATGGGGAGAAGGAGAAACACTTGGGGACAGTAGTTTCCTAGATCCTTTAGGGAAGCTTTGGTCTGGACTTCTAAATTTGTACTATGAATTTTTATTACACTGCTAAGAGTTTCACAGTTTATCTTAACCAAATTTATTTTTAAAACTTTTATTTTTTAGAAATAGTGTCTTGCTCTGTTGTCTAGGCTGGAGTACAGTGACACAATCATAACTCACTGAAGTCTGGAACTCCTGGCCTCAGGCAGTCCTCCTGCCTCAGTCTCCTGAGCAGATGGGACAACAGGTGCACGCTATAACACTTGGCTAATTTTTGAATTTTTTGCAGAGATGCGGTCTTGCTGTGTTGGCCAGGTTGGTCTTGAACTCCTGGCCTCAAGTGATCCTCCTGCCTCAGCCTCCCAGAATGATGGGATTATAGGCATGAGCCACTGTACTTGGCCTTAACCAAGTTTTTTTTTTTTCTGCTATTACAAAAGAGGAGTGTAATTGTGCAGCCCTTTTATTATCCTGATGTTTACACTTTATGAAAATTCTTAGTTGTGGGAGATTTAGAATCAGATATTTGAGAAGCATTATGCCCAGTATAAATGCTTTCGTATGTGACAATGAAATGCATAGGTAATCCAAAAAGGCCTGGTTTTCAAGGTGAATGAATTAAGATAAAAAACATCTCCTATGAAGTTAGAATGCATTGTGTACAAGGATAAAATAGAAGTGTTTTTCCATTTGAAAACAAAATAATTTAGAAGACTGAGAGCTTTCAAGGTCGCATAAAGTTCAGTTAAGGAGCAGAGTTTTTTCTGGTTTTGTTTTTGTTTCAATTTTCTGTACTTACAAATTCTGGCTCTTTTATTTTAATAATTCCCATTTAGCCTAGGAACATTAACTGCCTCTCAAAAGAGCTTTGTGTTCAAGGTCTTCAGGTCAAATTGAAGATGTCAGGATTTTTGTGATTTCATTTTAAGCTATCTTATTTATTTTCTATTAAGAACAGAAAATGGTGTTAGAGCTCAAAGATTTCTAGATTTTTTTTTTAAATTATACTTTAAGTTCTGGGATACATGTCCAGAATGTGCAGTTTTGTTACATAGGTATATATATATGCCATGGTGGTTTGCTGCACCCATCAACCCGTCATCTACATTAGGTATTTCTTCTAATGCTATGCCTCCCCTAGCCCCCTACCCACCAACAGGTCTCAGTGTGTGATGTTCCCCTCCCTGTGTCCATGTGTTCTCATTGTTCAACACCCACTTATGAGTGAGAACATGCGGTGTTTGGTTTTCTGTTCCTGTGTTAGTTTGCTGAGAATTATGGTTTCCAGCTTCATCCATGTACCTGCAAAGGACATGAACTCACCCTTTTTTATGGCTGCATACTATTCCATGGTGTATATGTGCCACATTTTCTTTATCCAGTCTATCATTGATGGGCATTTGGGTTGGGTCCAAGTCTTTGCTATTATGAACAGTGCTGCAATAAACATGTGTGTGCATGGGTCTTTATAGTAGAATGATTTATAATCCTTTGGGTATATACCAATAATGGGATTGCTGGGTCAAACGGTATTTCTGGTTCTAGATCCTTGAGGAATCGCCACACTGTCTTCCACAATGGTTGAACTAATTTACACTCCCACTGACAGTGTAAAAAGTTCTTATTTCTCCACACCTTCTCCAGCATCTGTTGTTTCTTGACTTTTTAATGATCACCGTTCTAACTGGCATGAGATGGTATCTCATTTTGGTTTTGATTGGCGTTTTGTAATGACCAGTGATAATGAGCTTTTTGTCATATGTTTGTTGGCCGCATAAATGTCTTCTTTTGAGAAGTGTCTGTTCATATCTTTCACCCACTTTTTGATGGGATTGTTTTTTTTCTGGTAAATTTGTTTAAGTTCCTTGTAGATTCTGGATATTAGCCCTTTGTCAAATGGATAGATAGCAAAAATTTTCTCCCATTCTGTAGGTTTCCTGTTCATTCTGATGGTAGTTTCTTTTGCTGTGCAGAAGCTCTTTTGTTTAATTAGATCCCATTTGTCTATTTTGGCTTTTGTTGCCATTGCTTTTGGTGTTTTAGTCATGAAGTCTTTGCTCATACCTATGTCCTGCATGGTATTGCCTAGGTTTTCTTCTAGGGTTTTTATGGTGTTAGGTCTTACATTTAAGTCTTTAATCCATCTTGAGTTAATTTTTGTATAAGGTGTAAGGAAGGGGTCCAGTTTCAGCTTTCTGCATATGGCTAGCCAGTTTACCCAACACCATTTATTAAATAGGGAATTCTTTCCCCGTTACTTGTTTTTGTCAGGTTTGTCAAAGATCAGATGGTCGGAGATGTATGGTGGTATTTCTGAGGCCTCTGTTGTGTTCCATTGGTCTATGTATCTGTTTTGGTATCAGTACCATGATGTTTTGGTTACTGTAGCCTTGTAGTATAGTTTGAAGTCAGGTAGCATGATGCCTCCAGCTTTGTTCTTTTTGTTTAAGATTGTCTTGGCTATATGGGCTCTTTTTTGGTTCCATCTGAAGTTTAAAGTAGTTTTTTCTAATTCTGTGAAGAATGTCAATGGTAGCTTAATGGGGATAATATTGAATCTATAAATTACTTTGGGCAGTATGGCCATTTTCATGATATTGATCCTTCCTATCCATGAGCATGGAATGTTTTTCCATTTGTTTGTGCCCTCTCTTATTTCCTTGAGCAGTGGTTTGTAGTTCTCCTTGAAGAGGTCCTTCACATCCCTTGTAAATTGTATTCCTAGGTATTTTATTCTCTTTGTGGCAATTGTGAATGGGAGTTCACTCATGATTTGGCTCTCTGTTTGTCTATTATTGGTGAATAGGAATGCTTGTGATTTTTGCTCATTGATTTTGTATCCTGAGACTTTGCTGAAGTTGCTTACCAGCTTAAGGAGATTTTGGGCTGAGACGATGGGGTTTTCTAAATATACAATCATGTCATCTGCAAACAGAGACAATTTGACTTCCGCTCTTCCTATATGAATATCCTTTCTTTCTTTTTCTTCCCTGATTGCCCTGGCCGTAACTTCCAATACTATGTTGAATAGGAGTGGTGAGAGAGGCCGTCCTTGTCTTCTACTGCTTTTCAAAGGGAATGCTTCCAGCTTTTGCCCATTCAGTATGATATTGCTTGTAGGTTTGTCATAAATACCTCTTATTATTTTGAGATACATTCCATCAATACCTAGTTTATGAGCTCAAAGACTTCTAATGGGACAGTCTTCAGGAGTTGATCTTGCACATGACACTTACTGATTTATTTAGTAATGTAAGAATGCCACTTTTACTGTAGAGGACCTATCCATAACCTGCCATTATTGTCATTATATCCATTTGTCCTATTTAACACTAAAAGGGAGCCCCCACTCCCCAATCTTAAAATGGATGCCTTTTCATGCTCTTGCTTATAAAGCTATTTTGGTATTTCTTAGTGTTTTGTCCAGTTTCCGCTGTAGTGCAAACATAGTCTTATTTCTGTTGGCCTTGTCCCCAACCTCCCTTTCTGTTGGAGCTAAGAAGGAAACCTGCCCTGTCAAGGTGCTCACAGGGAGGAGGGCTGCTGAGGTTGTCAGGCATCTGGCCAGATATACCCAGGATTATGCCCCTCATTAGTCATGGGTCCCAAAGGGATGTTTCAACTGACCCTTGTTTTTTTCTTTTGAGTCATAATCCTCTGGGTTTTCATTTCTTAAATGCTGTTGCTGGCATAAGGAGTGAGGTGTTAGGGCAGGTAGTCAGTCCCTCAGGCTTCTTTCCATGGACTGAATCATTTTCTGTTGACTTGAATAAACAGTAAGCCACTGATCATGGAAAGTTTAAGGATAAGAGTTCCAACTCAATGGAAAGAGAACCCAAGCAGTTGTGATTACAATGGCTCATCGAACTCTTTCTGCAATTCTCTTTTTTAATAATATTAATAAATGTTCCTGACCCACAGTGGAGGGAGGAAGTTTTACTCTCCTGGGCATATTATCTGATTCAAGTACTAAATGGCAGCGTTTTAGTGCTACAGAGAGTCTCTAATGTGATCTATTTTCCGATAGCTTTAGTTGTGGGTTCAGAATGTGAAAACAGAAAATAGGGGGAAAATGGTTTAGATTATTATTATTATTATTGTTTTAGAGCAGGATCTTGCTCTGTCATCCAGGCTCAAGTGCAGGGGTACAATCTTGGCTCACTGCAGCCTTGAACTCCTGGGTTCAAGCAATCCTCCTGTCTCAGCCTGCTGAGTAGCTGGGACTACAGGCGCGTGCCACCATGCCCAGCTACTTTTTGTATTTTTTTTTTTGCAGAGACAAGGTTTCCCTATGTTGCCCAGGCTGATCCTGAACTCCTGGGCTCCAGATCCACCTGCCTCACCTCCCAAAGTGCTGGGATTACAGGCGTGAGCCACCGCGCCTGGCTGGTTTAGATTTTTCTAAGTGTGCTGAATTACAGTATATTGTTGCAACAAACTGTGATTCTTGACTCTTATGTGAGACAGAGAGTGAATGGTTTGAATGAATACATCCTAATTTAAGCATTAAAAACATAGTTCTCTAACATTTGATGTTTTGCATTGTCATTTCCTTAGTTATTTTTGTTCATCCCAGCTCTTGAGAATGGCTGAAATAATGCAATTTGTATTTAAAAGGCTGTGGCATTTTTCTCATAGCTTTTCAATATAAAGATTTAAATCAGTTAAAGGCAGCAGTGGTGCCCGTCACATGCTAGTTAGAGGACAACTTGGGCTGCAGGAGAAGGAGCAAGATGACAGCAGAGAGGGTGAGAAGCTGGGAGGAGAGCCAGCTTTCAAGGGGTGAGAATTTGTGACTAAAGAGCTGAGACTTACATCCTAAAAAACAGCCATCAAGTTTCTGAAGTGGCAAACTTAACCCCTGGAGATGATCCAAGGAAGTGTTAGGGACAAATCACCATGCCTTAGAGGACCACAGAAGTTCTCATTGCCAGATTATCTCCACATTTTCTTTTTTAAGCAAATCTAAAAAGAAATAACCATGAAATGGTTATGCTGAATTCCTATGCAGTATGACTTATTTAGAAAATTTTGTTATATGCAGTATTTGCTCACATAGGTAGAAATATTAATAATAATTGAGCCCTTAACCCTTAGAGTTCACACAACGTTTCTGTGCATGTTACTAATGAGGGAGGCTTACAGGAACCTTGTGAAGTAGGCAAGGCTGACATTTTTCTTCCTTTTTTTTTTAAAAAAAAAATTGAGATAGGGTCTCATTCTGTCGCCCAGTGCAGATCACAGCTCGCTGCAGCCCTGAACTCCTGGGCTCAAGTGATCCTCCCACTTCAGCCTCCCAAGTAGCTGGGACCACAGGTGTATGCCGCCATGCCTGGCTCATTTTTTATTTTTTGTAGAGATGGGATCTCGCTATGTGGCCCAGGCTAGTCTCAAATACCTGGAGCAAAGTGATACTAACACCCCAGCTTCCCAAAGTGCTGGGATTACAGATGGGAGCCACCACACCTGGTCACTTCTTCCCATTTTGCAACTGATGAAATTAAAAATCAAAGAACTCCAGTGAATTTCGTGTTGCCCTGTGATTAATAAAATTTCAGATCTTATTTTTTCAGATCCAGTGTTGTTTTTACTGTATCCTAGGCCCTCCTTCCTGAAGTTTCCAGGAATAGACATTTCCAGAAATGTCTAGATTTCAGTTTTGTTGAAGAAGTATGAACTAATGGGAGACTCACAAGGGATCAGTGTTTACACAATACTTGGAAACAGTGTGATCTTGGGCAAATTACCCTTAGAATATTCTGTTTTATTACTTAAAAAAAATTAACACTTGCGTAGATGAGTTAGAATGCTCTTGGCATATTGCAAGTAGCAGAACACCTTACTCCAATGGATTTAATCATAAGAAAGTGTATCTCCTAAAACATGAAGTTCAGAAGTAGGACTGGCTCAAGTGCAGGTTGAACCAGCAGCTGAAAGACATCAGTCAGGTCCTTTTTCTTGCTATGGCCATGGGTGGCTTTGACCTTGGGCTGCCCCTACTCGGGATTGCAAGATGGCTATGGCCATTCCAAGACCAACCCAGATTAGCTGCACCAGTGTCGAGGGGAACTGAGGCAATGTTTTCCTGTATCTTTCTCTTAGGACTGAGAAAACATGCTTGTAAAAACTTACTCCAGACTTTCTTTATGCCTTCATGCTTCTAGTATTTCATCAGCCTCAAACTACACAAATCACTAGCAAAGAGGATGGGATTATTACAACCGGTTTAGACTAACCTCTTTGGGATGAGTGCTTTGTTGTGAGGATTAAATGAAACAACATATGTTAAAGTCCTGAAATTTAGTAAGCCTTTAGTGTTATATCCTTGGTGTTAATACATCTTTAGTGAATAATTTTGTATTTTTTTCTGCTCCCCCGCCATTTTGTATGTCTTTACATATTTGATATATTTATCCATGTTCAAAATGGACATTGACTATATTAAATTTCCCTTGTTCTAAAATATTTCTAAAAGTCTTTTTTTTTCTTTCTGGATGTAGCTAAACATTTTAGCTAATGAGGGAAAATGTATAGAGTCTGCATAATTTTTACACAGGCCCTGTCTGAATTTCATATATCAGGGCTATTGTGGCACCATGTAGGATAGGCAGTACTTGCCTGAAATCACATTTGATTTTGGAGAAAACGGTGTTCTCATTCTTAAGGGAAGATATGAAGTCATTTTGAGAACTCTGAAAGGAAATTAGGTGCTTGTACTGTATTAGCATAATCATGTCTTTCTTGTTATAATGCCAAAAAAGATCCATAGCCAGGAAATTAAAAGCATTAAGTCTGTTTTTAGCATTAATATGTTCATTTTTCCATAGTAACTTGGGGAAGAACAGCGAGCCTGGCCTTATCAACTAGTTTTCTTTTACGTCAGTGACAGTGCTATTCAAACAGTAATGTGTGCCTAATAAAGATTTAGTTTTTACATTATTAATGGGGTTGGCTCTACTTTGGAAGAGTTATATAACAAACTAATCAACAGACAAATAAAGACCAATGTCAATTTTCCATTTGCCAGATTAGCCTTGTTTCCTTTGTCTTGGCTTCGAGTTATGTTTCTCAGTGTTCTCTTCATTTTTACCACCCTCCTTCCCCCTCTCTCCCCACCTCCAGAGTTTTATCTCACTGTTGTTGCATTAACATTATTTTTGCTTAGTCCTTTATTGTGTCTATTATATGAGTCCCCAAATTTTGGATGATTTTTATTTTTAGAACACAAGGCCTGAAAAGTTTTTAGTAACTCAGCATGACACCAGCTCATTGGTGACCAGATAGATGTACAGGATTCCTAAGGGATCGCTAGTTCCAGGATGACCTAGGAACTTGGGTAAAACACACAGTGTGTCCATAGCTGCTTTGTAAACAAGTGCCCTGGAACATTGGTCTCATGCTTTGACCTTGATTTAATACCACATTCAGCAGATGATGGATTGGATGAAGCTGTGTTATGGCATGACCAAGTTGAGGTCTAAGAATTCATAATTTTTTTTTTTTAAAACAGAGTCTTGCTCTGTTGCCCAGGCTGGAGTGCAATGGCACGATCTTGGCTCACTGCAAGCTCTGCCTCCCAGGTTCACGCCATTCTCCTGCCTCAGCCTCCCAAGTAGCTGGGACTACAGGCGCCCGCCACCACACCCGGCTAATTTTTGTTTGTATTTTTAGTAGAGACGGAGTTTCACCATGTTAGCCAGGATGGCCTCGATCTCCTGACCTCGTGATCTGCCCACCTTGGCCTCCCAAAGTGCTGGGATTACAGGCGTTTCGTTTTGCTTTGTTTTTTGAGACAAGGTCTCGCTCTGTCACCTAGGCTGGAGTGCAGGGGTGTGATCATGGCTCACTGCAGCCTCAACCTCCTGGGTTCAAACTGTCCTCCTGCCTCGGCCTCTGAAGTATCCATGACTACTGATGTGCACCACCACTCAGCTAATTTTTCAAATTTTTTCTAGAGATGGGGTCTCACTGTGTTGCCCAGGATGATCTTGAACACTTGGGCTCAAGTGATCCTCCTTCCTCAGCCTTCCAGATTTCTGGGATTACAGTCGTGAACCATTGCACATGGCCAGAATAAGAGTATTTACTATGTCTCTGTAGAGGTCTCCTAATTGACTAACAAAGATGGAGCACCTAAGGAGAGAAACTAAGGCTTGCTTTATGTAATTCAGTTATTAGAGAAATGAGTGAGAGAACTAGATATTTGCCAGGCATTATACTGAAAAGGAAGGAGAATATGGAAGAATAGGAGTGATTTCACTTAGTGAACCAAAGCGATTGTTTGCAAATCTGGCTGAGAACATCAGAATTGCTTAGGGAATTTTTTAACAATGTGAAATTGTTTGCCCTGGAAGATTCTGCTTTCGTGGTTCCATCTGACAGCATAGATTAATCATAATAGGTTAATGTGACTATTCCCCTTGCATGAAATATTTAGATTTTCCCCATATTTGCTGTCACTCCCTTCCTCCTAAATCTTTACTGTTCTTCATAGCCTCCAAGATTAAATCTACACCCCCAGCCCCGCCCCTTCCTCCCCTGCAGAGCTCTTCCAAGGGTATCTCTTCCCATCTTTCCAGCCTTCTCAGAATATGGGTTTGCATTGTTGTTTAAAGAATTGGGGCAGTTATTGCAAGAGTAAGTGTACATATGAAAACTATTCACCCTTAAGAGTAATCAAATTTGAGCTATTCTTTTTTGTTGTAATCAATTGGCAAAGATGAGAAGAGATGAGAATAATTTATTTTTGCATGGGTACACTGTAAAAGTCACTCTCCTACACTGCTCTTGAGAATGTGAATTGGTAAAGACCTTTCTGGAAAGCAGTTTGGTATTGTGCATCAAGAGCTTTGAAATAATTCATGTTCTTTGATCCAGTTCTGTCACTGGGAAACTATCCTAAAGAAATGGTAGATATGGAAACAAAGATCTGCAATGGTGTTCATGACACTGAACTTTATGGTAACAAAAAATTGGAAGAAATCTAAATATCCAAAAATAGATAAGTTGTTAAGCAAAGGATCACGTTTCCAAAGGATGGAATATCATTTATTCAAAATTTGGTGGTAAAATATATATAACATAAAATTTACTCTTTTAACCATTTTAAGTGTACAGTTCAGTGGCATTAAGTACATTCATATTGTTATGCAACCATCATCACCATCCATCCACAGAAAATTTTTTCATCTTGCATGACTAAAAGTCTGTATCTGTTAGACAACAGTTGCCCATTCTCTCCTTCCGCCGGCCCTGGGCACCACCATTACTTTCTGTCTTTCTATAAATCTCTCTGAATTTGACTACTCTAGGTACCTCATGTAAGTGGTATTATATTTGCTTTGGGTTTTGTGTGTGTGTGTGTGTGTGTGGCTAGCTTATTTTGCTAAGCATAAGGCCCTCAAATCTTCCTCTGCATTGTAGCATATGTCTGAATTTTCTTCCTTTGTAAGGTTGAATAATAATTGTGTTGTATGTATATACCACATTTTGTTTATCCATTCATCTCTTGATGGACATTTAAATCGTTTCCAACTTTTTTGGCTATTGTAAATGATGCTACTTTAAACATTGGTGTATAAATATCTCTTTAAGGTTCTACTTTTAATTATTTTAAGTATATACCCAGAAGAAAATTGTGGTTTTGAAAAATGTTTAATAGTAACATGCGTCATGATATTTCATCAATTAAACAGCAGATCATAAAAATAGGGTGATTCTCTTTTTTTGGAAAAAAAATATGTGCGTGGTAAAAGGACTGGAAAAACACAGTTAGAACTTGGGGTTCTTTTATTTTTGTTCCTGAGTTTTCTATTATAACAAGATATGTACACAAATAAGTAGTCTGAATTGGAGGGTTATACCCCCACCAGCAGATCACAGCAGCAGGGTGATTCAGCATTAGTTTCTTCACATGCTGTCCTGCTTTGTTTCTGAGTTATTTTATGAGTGTTAATTTCAGAAATATCCCTAGAGATAAAAAAAAACATGAAATTCTAATTAAATTACCTTTGTGTCTCATAGAAAGAATCACAACTGTTATATCACAAACAAGGAAAAATAGCAAGAACTTGACTTGAGCTCAGTGTCTTCTTTGTTGGAAAGTACATATTCCAGCTAGAAATGATCAGTCCAAGAATATTTCCTTTATTTTTGATTTCTGTTGAATGTCTCAGTGCGGATGCAAAAAGTGAAAAGTCTTTTTTTGTGAAGACTTCATCACTCTATATCAAAGACTTAACTGCTTTTAAGCTAGTTTGCAATCAGGTGACAAATACAGTACTAATCATAAGGCAATTCTGGAACAAAAACCTATTGCTTTGAAAGCTCAAAAGAGAAGTTTACATCTTTTAAATGAAATAATGAATTAAATAGTGCAAATTATTTGCCCCCTTTTGGCTGGGTGCAGTGGCTCATGCCTGTAATCGCAGCACTTCGGGAGGCCGAGGCATGTGGATCACCTGAGGTCAGGAGTTTGAGATCAGTCTGGCCAACATGGTGAAACCCCATCTCTACTAAAAATACAAAAATTACCTGGGTGTGGTGGCACATGGCTGTAGTCCCAGCTACTCGGGAGGCTGAGGCAGGAGAATTGCTTGAACCTGGGAGGCGGTGGTTACAGTGAGCCAAGATAGCGCCATTGCACTCTAGCCTGGACGACAGAGCGAGACTCCATCTCAAGAAGAAAAAAAAAATTATTTGCCCCCTTTCAACAAATATTTAGTGCTAAAATAAAAAAAAAATCAACAGGAGTGGAAATAACTTCGTATGGTTACTCAAAGATAGCCACTAAATTTCTCTTAATATGTAAATGTATAGTTCTCTAAGATTTATTTCCTTCTTAAAGTCTTACCCAATTTAGCTTCATCATTTTATTTCTCTATCTTTATAGATAGTTTTGCACTTTTAATCATTGTTTAGATTTCTTTATGTATAGATTTACATATTGTTCATATTTATGTATCCTTTTGCTAAACTGTGACATTCTCAGCATTATAAAACTCGTTTGGTGTGTTTTTATGGGTGCATTTCAGCAGTACTGCCATGTAAGTCTTTTTGAAATATTAGTCTTTTGTTTTATGAGAGTGATCAAATATATTGTGAAAAATACCATTTTTTTCTTAGAATATATCAGCATCTGTTTCTGTTGTATATAGAATACAAGTTTTATCCTTAATATAAAAGCAATACAAGCTTTATCCTTAATATAAAAGCAATATTTATTTTTCCTGTTTAATTCAACTCCCTTTTATTAAAAACAAAAATAAAAAAAACCCAGAAAATAATGAAAAAGAACTACAAAAATTGTTAGTACAAACCAAAGGGTAGGCAGAGCCATACAAAGAAAAGGGCCTAGGCTTATGGAATCCAGCAGAACTGGGTAGAGTTCCTGCTTGACCACTTCCACACTGCATAACTTAATATTCCTGTGCTTCAATTTCCTTGTTGGTAAGGAATTCCCCCTACTTTAAAGAGTTGTCAGAATTAGAAGTATTATGCCTGAAATGTCTCATTCAATGCCTTGTACCTGGTAGGTGCTCAGTAAGCAGAGGCAGGTACTATAGATTCTTTTACCATTTGATGTTAATCACAGCTTTCTTTGATAGAGACCGTCATCTATGCTGTTGTATTATTGTTAGAACTACACTGTCCTCATTTGTAGGAAGATTAAATATTCCCACCCTTGACACCAGACTTGGTTGTGTGTCTTGATTGATGTGCATTCTAAGCAGAAGCTTTGAGAGCAATTTTGTGATTGTACCACATGTACTTTTTCCTTGGCCATTTCCATGAGAAGGCTGCTCCTTCAGGCTGGATCCCAGATGGAAGACAATGTGGAGCAGAGCTGAACCATGACACAGAGTTCATGACACAGACATGTGGCATGAACAGGAGTTGCAAGCCACTGGGATTTGCAAGTTGTTTGATACTGTAACACTCTTACCCTAAAATGTCTGAGATAGCATCTTCAGTTAAAGTGGAGATTGCCAGGTACGGTGGCCCACGCCTGTAATCCCTGCACTTTGGGAGGCCAAGGCAGGCAGATCACGAGGTCAAGAGATCGAGACCATCCTGGTTAACACGGTGAAACCCTGTCTCTACTAAAAATGCAAAAAATTAGCCGGGCGTGGTGGCGGGCACCTGTAGTCCCAGCTACTTGGGAGGCTGAGGCAGGAGAATGGCATGAACCTGGGAGGCAGAGCTTGCAGTGAGCCGAGATTGCGCCACTACACTCCAGCCTGAGCAACAGAGCGACACTCTGCCTCAAAAAAAAAAAAAAAAAAAAAAATGGATATCATCATTATTTTAACATCTACAAAACCAACAAAATGAGCCGGGCACAGTGGCTCATGCCTGTAATCCCAGCACTTTGGGAAGCTGAGGCAGGTGGATCACAAGGTCAGGAGTTCGAGACCAGCCTGATCAACACAGTGAAACCTTGTCTCTACTAAAAATACAAAAATTAGCTGGGCGTGGTGGCGTGCACCTGTAATCCCAGCTACT
This sequence comes from Homo sapiens, assembly GCF_000001405.40. NCBI lineage: Eukaryota > Metazoa > Chordata > Mammalia > Primates > Hominidae > Homo > Homo sapiens. The sequence goes on along the minus strand of NC_000006.12, from coordinate 136,676,917 downwards.
CGGGAGGCTGAGGCAGGAGAATCACTTGAACCCAGGAGGCGGAGGTTGCAGCAAGCTGAGATCGCACCACTGAACTCCAGCCTGGATGACAGAGTGAGACTCTGTCTCAAAAAAAAAAAAAAAAGAAAAGAAAAGAAAAATTAACAAAATGATAAAATACATATGAAAGTTAACACAAAGAAATTAGAGAATGTAAATATGGCAATAATAAGTATCAACATGCTTGCTATGACTAAGCTTCAAGCCAATATGCTTTTTAGTGATAGAATGAAAAAAAAAATCATATACCAATTCTTCAGAGGAAGTTAAACTCTCCCTAGCAGTAAATTAAAGGAATTTCTCATGACAGACCCTGTGTAAATAAAATCTACATAAACAACAATCAATAAAAGCTATATAAACAACATCAGTATTTTTATTGAAGTCGTGAACTCCAGTAACATTAAGATGTAACACAGTGAATAATGTAACACAGTGAAAGTGATATGCAATTCACTTGTTTAAGGTGGTCCAAGGATGTAGTTTCTAGTAATATAGTTTTATCAAGATCAGAGTTTAGATCACTGAAGGAAGTTAAAAGATTATTTGTATCTTGTATGAACTGACGTATTTACCAGTTATCTCAGCCTGGTTCTTGGTAGGAAGTGGATGCATTCTTTCTTCATTTCACAAGTATTTCATAATCACCTGCAGCGTGTCAGGTATTCTGATGATTCAAGTACCGGAGATTCATTGGTCAGCAAGGCTGTTAAGGTTCCTGCTCTTATGGAGCTTACATTCTCTTGGAGCAGATAGACAACAAAAAGAAGAATTTCAGATTATTATAAATTCTGTTAACAGATATGGAGCAATTCAGAGTCTCCATTTTTTCCTTGTGTCATGCTTACATGTGATTTTAAGAAATTTTTTCATTTTACCCATGTTGTTATATTTATTGGCATAAAGTTGTTCCAAATGTCCTTTGCTTTTAATGCTCTATCATCTGTACGGATGACCGTCTTTTTGTTTATGAGGGCTTAGCGTTAATTTTTATTTCTCTCTCTTTCATGAGAAGTCTGCCTAGGAGTTTATCAACTTTATTAATTTTTGTAAAGAACCACATTTTGACACTATTTTCTTTATTGCATGTTTGCTTTTTATTTCACTGATTTCAGCTTTCTTTATTATACCCTTCTACTTTGAAGATGATATGCTGTTCGTTTACTAGATGAAAGCTTGGAGCATTGATTTTCAACCTTGCTCCTTTTCCAATATCTACATTTAAAGGTATAATTTGTTCTGCATCCCAGACATTTTATCTATTAGACTTTCATTACCTTATATATAACAACATATATATATTGTTCAGTTTAAATACCTTCTAATTTTCAGTATGATTTCTTCTTTGACCTTTGGGTTATGAACTGAGTTGCCCAATTTCCAAATATATCTTTCTTTATTGTTCTGTGGTTTAATTATATTATGGTGAGAGAACACATTTTTCATTATTTCAGTCCTTTGAAATTTGTTGAGAAGTACTTTACGGCCCAGAATATGGTACACAGTTGTTAGGTGTAGTGTTCCAGGTAAGTCAGTTAGATGAACTTGGCTAATAATGTTATTCAAATCTATATCCTCACTGATAATTTTTGTCTGTTTGTTTGATCATCACTGAGAAAGTGTTTTAAGATCTCTACCTATGATTGTAGATTTCTATATCTGCTTTTTTAGTTCTGTGCATTTTTTTCTGTATATGTTTTGAAGCCATGCTATTAGGTACATTTGGGACTGTTATATTTTCCTATTGAATTTACCTCTTTATCATTATGAAACGTTCCTTTTTTCTCTTATAATAATTTTTATCTTAAAGTCAATTTTGTCTGATATTAATATATAATGATAACATTTATTTAATATTTGGATGGTACATCTTTATGCATCATTTCACTTTCAACCTACCTGTGTCCTAATACTTAAGTATCTTTTCTATATAAAATGCTTGGGACCAGAAGTGTTTTGGATTTTTTTTATATTTTTGAATTTGGGAATATTTGCATTATAATTGCCAGTTGAGCATCCCTAATCTGAAAATTGGAAATCAGAAATGCTCCAATGAGCATTTCCTTTGAGCATCATGTTGGCACTCAAAAAGTTTTGGATTTTGGAGCATTTTAGATTTCAGATTTTTTTATTAGGGTTACTCAACTTGTATTTACAGTGTGCCTTTTTAAAATGAATATACTTGCATTTTTTGCTGTTATTGTTCAGTCTAATTTGAAAAATCTCTTATTAGGAATGATTAGATCATTTACATTTAATGTGGCAACTGATAGTTGGGGCTATATCAATAATATTGACTATTTGTCTTATTTATTTTTTATTGGTCTTACATGTTTTTTGTTCTTTTAGTCCTCCATTCTTGCTTTATTTTTATTAACTTAGTATTACATTTTCTCCTACATTAGCACTTTAGTAATAGTTTTCATATTATTCTTTGAGTATTCCCTAGAGATTACAACCTGCATCCTCGACTTTTATAGTCTACCTTACATTTTGTATTTTACTGCTTCCTGAACAAGGAAAGAAACTTGGAGCAGTTTAAATAATCAATAGATTTTAAATAATTTTTATATTTTAGATCTAGTCACATATTTACTCTTTCTGATGCTCTTTCTTTCTGAAGTTCAGTGCTTCCAAATGAAATCACTTTCCTTTAGTCTGAAGCACTTTTAGTATTTTTTTATAGTTCAGATCTGCTGGCAACTAGTTCCCAGTTTTTGTCTGAAAATATCTTTTTTAGACTTTTTTTTTTCTTTTATTACTCTAAAGATGTCACTACGTTGTATTCTGGCTTCCATAGTTTGTACGGCAAAGTCTACTGTCAATTTTATTGCTCCTTTGAAAGTAATGTATCTTTTTTCTCTGGCTGATTTTAAAAGATTTTCCACTGTGTTTTCGGATTTTGGTAACATGTTTTGGCATTTAGACTATAATTATCTTATTTTATCCTGCTTGAGTTTTGCTGAGCTTCTTGAATCTGTGGGTTGATGTTTTCATCAGTTTTGAAATGTTTTTATCCATTATATCTCACATATTTCTTGTGCTCCATATTCTCTTTCTTCTCTTTCTGGGGCTACAGTAATACATAGGTTAGACCATTTAACTGTGTCTCCTCTGTTTCTTATGCTTTGTTGTTTTATGTGTGTGTGTTTTCTTTTTTTTTTTTTTCTATATCTCTGCTTCAGTTTAGATACCTTCTATTGACATGCATTTTAGTTCACCAAAACTGTTTTTCCACTTTGTTGAATTAACTTGTAAGCCCATACATTGAATTATTGTTTTCAGGTATTGTATGTTTTGGTGCTAGATTATGTGATTTCTTTGATGCTGATTCTTTTTTGAAGTTGTTTATATCTTTTATCCATTTTATCTTTTTCTCTATATTCTTTACCGTATTTGTCATAATTATCTTAAAGTCCTTGTCTATAAACTCCAGCATCCGAATTATCTGTAGGTCAGCTTTTGTGTGTGTTTGCTTTTGTTTATTGGTCACAACTTGCTGGCTCTTTGCATGTCTCGTATCCCAGACATTTTGTATTAAAAAACTATTGAGACTTGGAGATGATTTTATTTTCACTCACAGAGATTCTCCTTTTCCTCTGTTAGCCAGATAGGGTAAGAAGCTGATTACTTCAACAAATGCAGTTGAGTCGGGTTGGGTCTGGGTTTTCATTTTCATTGACCTTATCTGTTTCTGTTTTATCTCTGCTTCTTAGCTGTGACCCTCTTGAACTTTTAATTGATAGGCAGGCATATTTCTATCTTCTTATCCCTTAAATACTGTCGGAGATTTCTTATCTGTCCTTGAGAGTTTTGTGTTTAGCTCTTTATTCTCCAAAATTTGGTAGATTGCTTTTTTTCTTTTTCTTTTTCTTTTTTTTTTTTTTTTGAGATAGAGTCTTTCTCTGTTGCCCAGGGAGGAGGGCAGTGGTGTGATCTTGGCTCACTGCAACCTCCACCTCCGGGGTTCAAGTGATTCTCCTGCCTCAGCCTCCCGAGTAGCTGGGACTGCGGGCACACACCACCATGCCTGGCTAATTTTTATATTTTTAGTAGAAATAGGATTTCACCATGTTGGCCAGGCTGATCTTGAACTACTGACCTCAAGTGATCCGCCTACCTTGTCCTCCCAAAGGGCTGGGAGCCAGTGCACCCAGCCCAAAATGTGGTAAATTTCTTAAAGGGAAGACTTTTTTCCTATGGTTGTTGTAGACTTCTTTCCCTAGTGGGACTTTTCTCCTAAACACTCAGGAGATTTCACTCTGTCATCCCAGCTCTACTCCACACCCTAGCCTCCTGTACAACTCAGCATTCAACGAATGTCCTGTGAAGAAAACAGCAACACATTTGGGACTCCTTCGGGTTTCATTCTGTCGTGCCAAACCACGCAATTGTCAAGAAATCCACTAGTTTCTCTTTTTCTTGGTAAAGTTTAAAATAGACAGAGTTTCTCTGCCCATGCCAAGCCCAAGCCTAATCTCAGGGTCAGAATCAGCAAATGCCCCATGAAAGACAACAGCAATTCAGCTCATCTTGGAAGGCCACTTCCCTCTTTGGAGTTTATTTCAGTGATTTTTTTTGTTGCTTCCATAGATCTCCAGTGTCTGCAAAAATGTGTTTTTGATATGTATTCTTATTTCCCCCTAATTACTGAAGCAGAAGTAATGGCTCCCAAGTAGACGACTACATCTTACTTGGAAACACAAGCTTTCCCCCTCACATTTAATATTTGTCCACAATACAAATGGCTATGTAGGTTCCCAACATTTGTATAATATTTTATTCCATGTTATACTTTATAGTATTATTGGAAATTTAGGGTAATTTTTCATCTTGTAACAAATGCCCTTGTAATGAAACTTCTGATTACATGTTTAATGTTTTTTCTTGGTATAAATTTGTAAATGTATAATTGTTAAGAGTTATACATAGTTTTAAAAAATTTCTATAGTTGGCCGAGTGCAGTGGCTTACACCTGTAATCCCAGCACTTTGGGAGGCCGAGGTGGGCGGATCACCTGAGGTCTGGAGTTCGAGACCAGCCTGACTCACATGGCAAAACCCCATCTCTACTAAAAAAAAAAAAAAATACAAAAAAATTATTCGGGCATGGTGGTGCATGCCTGTAATCCGAGCTACTCGGGAGGCTGAGGCAGGAGAATCGCTTGACCCCTGGAGGCAGAGGTTCCTGTGAGCTGAGATCGTGTCACTGCGCTCCAGCCTAGGCAACAAGAGTGAAAGTCCATCTCAAAGAAACAAACAAACAAAAATTCTATAGTTTTGATATTGGCAAATTTCTGCCAAGAATACTGTACTTCTTTGCTTTTACAGTATGGGAGAATTCCCACTTCCTGCAGTGGTATACTAATGATATATGCCAGGATTTTATTTCTTTCGTAATATACCTACATGCTCTTTTAATCTCCAGAAAACATTAAGACTTTTTCCTCAATACAGTACTCAATTTAGTCTCATGGATTGAGGGGAGCTCAAGAAAAATGTGAATTATTAATTTTATTGGTGTTTATCTTTTCATTTAAAATACAAAAATATATATTGTTTGTGGTAACAGAAAAACAGATATAAACCCAAATATTCATTTAGGTTGGTTTTGGCACATAGGAGATATTCAGCCAATATTTATTGATTCATTTCGATATGTCTTCATTTTTGCATCTTCCTTTTCATATCTTTAAGAGACATTTCATGTTCTTTGGTTTCAGGGAAAATGCCATAATGTATTTAATGAAAAATATTACGTATCTTGATATGAATTGGTAGAAAGGGAAGTGTCTACTTCTTTCTTCTCCTAAATCCTTTTTTGTTGGGACATTATACTTGCCTCTGAACAAAGACAAAGAACTTTGAGACTTATGTTAGTCTAAGACCTGTAAGTTGTGACTTGCCTTGATATAGTTTCGAATATCTGTAGTCTAGGTGTATATACTTTTTTCATTTTAGAATGGAAACATGTATACTTCTGGAAACATTAAAAAATGCTTTTTAATCACCTATGGTGATGCAGTGGTACCTTTTTTCATATTCCATAGGTACATAACTATCAGAGCCAACTAGTTAAGATTCATAGTTATTTTTGCTTCCATTCAGAGATGCTTGTTCTAATTAAAGAGCAAGACATTTAAAAAAGAGACATGGTCCTCAATATTCAGAAAAATATATTTTTTGTTTTCATTTGATGTTTAATTTATTTTAAATTATGGAAAATTTTGAGTATATATAAAAGCCAAGAATATACATTTATTGTGCCTACAATATACACTATTGTGCCTATCACTATGTTTACTATTCCTGTCTTTTATTTACACAGTTATGACTTAGGTGAGAATGCTTTTATCTTGGAATTATAATGTATTTCTTCCCACATAACCTTTTTTTTTGGTGTCATCAAATGGTCATTTGTTAGATATTTAGTTCTTATATTTTCTTCAGCATGATTTTTTTAAAAATAAAAGTTTCATTTTTCATGCATTGGCCTCAGGCAGTTCCTCTTAGTCACTAGGGCATTTATTTTATTTTTCTCGTTTTACATATACCTAAGTGAAATTATATTGAATATCGTTGCCCGTTTAATGATGCATGTGAGGAAACCCTTAAAAGTATCCTAGGAAGTATTACCTTGAAAATAAAGTAAATATTCAAACACTGAAGTCCTTTTAAATATTGAAGTATTTTCAAAGGTTGATACTCGGTTTTATGCATATTCAGAAAAGTCTTTTTATAACTCTCTGAGCCAAAATTAGTATGTAGAGACATACTCTACATCTCTGCTTTTCTTAATTTCATCCTATAATTGACAGTTTATTTCATTTTTATATCATTCTTATGGAATTGATCATTTCAGTGTGTTACCTATCCTCAGTGCTCTGTATATTTTTAAGAGTTTGTAAAAACTACTTTAAAAAATATGTGCGGGGTTCTCATTTTTAAATGTTTATTGTACACACACACACACACACACACACACACACACACACCCTGAATGATGGCTTCCAAGTAGACGACTACATTTTACTTGGAAACACTAGTTTTCTTCTGACTTTTAACATGCTTCTACAACATAAATGACTACATAGCTTTCTAACATTTGGAATATATGTTATTCCATATCATACTGTATAATATTATTGGATATTTAGAGTAATTTTTCATCTTGTAACAAATGCCCTTGTAACTAAATTTTCACATTCACATATTTCTGGTAGATGGTTGAAGAGAGGATTTTTTTAAAGACTAGGGTTACTAGGTAGGTTGAGGGTGAGCTAAGCGGGGGAAAGCAACAGAGCTGTGGACAAAGATAAGCAGTTTCTGAAGCGTTAAGTCCTAATAGCACACCAGATTCTGGGGTGAAGGCCAGTGCAATATTTTTACTTGCTCAGGCATTGGAGTTATACAAACAGAAGCTATTACACACCCAGGGTTTCATGATTGAGAAAGTTAACTTGTACATTTGTGGTTTTTTATAGGTTCAAAAAGGCATTTGAATCTGAGCCAACACTACAGTCAGGAATTAATTATGCGGTCCTCCTCCTGGCAGCTGGACACCAGTTTGAATCTTCCTTTGAGCTCCGGAAAGTTGGTAATTACAACTTGATATTTTACATGGAAATCAAGAAACTGGACCCAACTTGGTGCAAAGAAAAAGAATCATGAATAGATAAATCTTTTGCTTTCTGTCTTTTCATACTTCCCAAAGAGAAAAAAGAAACTTATTATATCTCCTTGTTTGGTGTTTCATACTGTTGTACAGAATCCTGATATTAGGACATAATTCAGTTTTTAATTTATCTTACCTGTTTCTAAAAGTCCCCCTGGTTAATATTCCAGCTCAAACTAATATTGAGGATATGGGTTCTGCATTCAACCCCCAACTCCTAAATAAGGTTACTGTTTTGTGAGACATCAGGAATATTTCCTATTTTAGATTGCGCTTTTGTGGTGCTTTTTTTTCAAAAACCTCTGCTGTTTCCTTTATCTGTTTCTCAAGCACACCTTTCCCTATGATTTCACCGGTGTTGGGGGAAGAGCCTCCCAAAGCCCCAGGAGCAACAGGTTAAGCAAATGGTGGTCTTGGTAGGAAGTAGGCTCCTCAGACCATCTCTGAATCATAGCCATCGACAGAATGTGCTTTTGTCCCTTTTATCTGTAGACATTATCTCATCTGCTGCCTTTCCCTGGGAATTTAAAGAAGTTAGGGCATCTTAGTGAACAAATTTCAAGTGATTTTCTTGGTTTTGGCTTTGATCACATTTTTTAAAGATTCTAGATACTGGAATCCTGTCTATGGGAATCATATTTTGCTCCGTTGGGTGTCTAACGACCTCCTTTCAGAGAATCTTTCCAACTCTTTTAGGAATTACTACAGACATAGAAATATTCAGCCTTGTTTTTCATAGGGAAAAAATAACACGTTCATCTTAGTGAAGCTATGAATTGTAGAAGAAACTTTTTCTTCAAAATAAAAGAAAAATTTTTTTGGAAACCAGGTTTCACTCTGTCACTCAGGCAAGGGTGCAGTGGTGCGATCATAGCTCACTGCAGCCTTGAATTCTTAAGCTCAAGTGATCCTCCCACTTTGGCCTCCTAAGAAGCTGGGACTGTAGGCGTGCACCACCACAGCTGACTAATTAAAAAAATTTTTTTTTATAAAGACGTGGCCACACTATGTTGCCCAGGCTGGTCTTGAACTCCTGGCTTCAAGCAGTTCTGCCACAGCCTCCCAAAGTACTGGTATTACAGGTGTGAGCCACCGCACCGGGCCCACTTTGGCGAATTTCTTGTTACTTTTCTTAAAGAGAAATGAATCCTAGACTTTAAAAAAAAGACATTATTTTGGAAGAGCTTGTATCTTTATGTAATGTTCTGGAGAATCTCTGAAGCTAAATAAAGTCAGAATATTTATTTGTTTATTTTTTTAAATGCCCAGACTAAAAGAATGATAAAGTATTTATTACTGTGGGATAGCAGGGGTATTAAAGGCATAAAGGTCTGTTTGAAATAATTTTTTTTTTCTTCTGAGACAGGGTCTCACTCTGCTGCTCAGGGCACAATGGCACAATCACAGCTCACTGCAGCCTCGACCCCCAAGACTTAGGTGATCCTCCCACCTCAGCCTCCCGGGTAGCTGAGACTACAGGCATATACCACCACACCCGGATAATTTTTTTGTATTTTTTGTAAAGATGAGGTTTTGCCATGTTGCCCAGGCTGGTTTAGATTGTGCTTTCTTAGTGCTTTTTTCAAAAACCTCTGCTATTTTATTTATTTATTTATTTTTAAGGTTGGCTCTCACTCTGTCACCCAAGCTGGAGTGCACTGGCACGATCACGGCTCACTGCAATCTCAACCTCCTGAGCTCAGGAGATCCTTCCACCTGGGCCTCCCAAGGTGCTAGGATTGCAGGTGTGAGCCACCTTGCCCAGCCTGAAATAATTCTTTTGATTGGTTCAGTGAAATCGGAGAAGGTACATTGCAATTTGTGCTGTTCAGAAATTATGATTATAATAAAATTTTGTGTCTAAGACTAAATTAAAAACTCTATACTAGCCAAAATCCCTATATCAGTGTTCTAAAAATATTTTTATTGCTCCTTTGTTGCTTTTTTCATTGTTTTTATTGATATGCAATAGATATATATTTTTCAGTATATATGTTCTATTTTGATACAGTCATATATTTATTGTTCTGTTCTTAACTCAAGGTGAGGTTTTGTTGAAGCCTCTAAATTGTTGCAGGAATTGACAGTGATTTGCATATGTAGGCAAAGCAATGACAATGGTTTGAAAATGTACTTATTCTAAATCTCATTTTGAAGGTAAATACTTATTAAGATGGTCAGAACTCTGAGGTTTGAGGAAATGTGATTAATATGTAAAAGAAACATGTTAATTTTTTTCAGGAAGAACTCACTTGTAATACATGTTAAACAAACATTTGAAAACATACAAAGTTAGTTTAAAATTTTAGAAATTGCATAACATATACAGACTTAAAATATGGCTTATCAGTGAATTTTTAGCTATCATGAGAACTGTTTTAGGCTTCTAAAATACTGTGATATGCATTCTAAATTGTATTGTCCTTCAATAATGAAAACATAGTTAAAACTCACTAACTTAGATTCTATTCAATTGTAAATTATGCTAATCAACATAGATTGATCTAAAGTTAATTTTTATATGGTAAGAGGATTAAATGGATTTTCGAGGAAAGACAAGTTGGTTAAATAAATTAATAGTTTAATATAATAATGATGTTAATTGATAGTATATAATAAAAATGAGACAATATACTTGGCATATTTTAAAGATACACCTAGTTTCATTCTTTCTTTAAATGCTCCAATCAGCTTTTCCAGTAATTTATACCTCCCATTCCTCCTGTTGGCCTCTGCAAACATACAAATTATTCCGAATTACCGAGTTCTTATAATAACCAGACATTTACTTATGAAGTCCCTTCTTTAAGATGCTTTTTGAAATTTTGATTTATTTATAAAGGGTAAACAATTAAGATGAGCACTCAATCTGAAGCTCCCTAAATGTATTATCTTAAGATCTCAAATGTAAGAAATGATTCTTAACTGTCATGCTGTGTTGCCCAAAGACTCTTAATTCTAGTTGTGTGTTTGTTTGCGGTTATGACTAATTGCTTCATGGATCTGTGTTTTACTTTTCCAGTTTTTGAAGAATCACTGATGCTTAGGCTATTTAGAGCTAGGATTTAAAAACACAGAGCCATATCCTACATCTTCTTCCTGTTTTCACCTTTGCAAGCCTTAAAAATAATATTCAAACTTTAGCTAAATAACAAGATGATGCTTCCATCTTCTGTGGAATTTTCCAATTGTGAGACATTTTATGGGTGAGAGTCAGACTTAGAGGTTTGAGTCTCCAACAGTAATGATGATACAGTAAAAGAACACTATGTTTGGAACTTAGACAACCACTATTTAAATATCATTTTCAGTGAGCATTAAAAAATATTGAATAGAAAATATATATTACTGTACATAAAAATCCATGAATCAATAGAGATAATCAAGGAAAAGTCATCAGAACAAAATCTATCACCAACCACTGAAAAACTCCTTTGTCACCTATGGAAGTGACCAACTTTTCCGAAAATTAGAAGTTATAAGGAAAGAAGTAAGTACTTTTCCTTCCTCTTTCAGAGATACTGTAGTTCATCCCGTTGATGAAATATAGCACTTCTTAGGCTGGGCGTGGTGGCTCAGGCCTGTAATCCCAGCACTTTGGGAGGCGGAGGCGGGTGGATTACCTGAGGTCAGGAGTTCAAGACCAGCCTGATGAACATGGTGAATCCCTGTCTCTACTAAAATTACAAAATTAGCCCGGTGTGGTGGCATGCTTCTGTAATTCCAGCTCCTTGGGAGACTGAGGCAAAAGAATCGCTTGAACCCAGGAGACGGAAGTTGCAATGAGCCAAGATTGTGCCACTGCACTCCAGCCTGGGCGACAAGAGCGAAACTCCATCTCAAAAAAAAAAAAAAATACAGCTCTTCTTGAGCTATGCTACATAGTAAATGTATTATTCTTCCAGAGAATGTATTCTTCAAAAGTACACTATTATAGTTAATAAAGTAATGATAAAGCTGATAATGAGAGTGATGTTGAAATAATTGATTCTGGCAAGGATCATCAATTTGAACTAAAAGTATTAAATTGAAATGCTTATTTAAAAAAAATTTACATTTTACCCCTTTTACATGATACCAAAGCTAACTCATAGATAACTTGTTAGTCACAAAGGAACAAATGTACCTGTAGAATGGGAAGACCCAGCTGTCAGTGATCCATCCTTGTATCACTAATAATAGGGTGGCGAGACATGTGCCCTTAGGACTTTATTATGATAACTGTGAAGTGTACAGCAGCTCTTCTTTTTGATTTTTTAACTTTTATTTTTTGAGATAGAGTCTCACTCTTGTCACCCAGGTCTGGAGTGCAGTGGTGCGATCTTGGCTCACTGCAACCTCCACCTCCCAGGTTCAAGCGATTCTCATGCTGCAGCCTTCTAAGTAGCTGGGATTACAGGTGCGTGCCACCATGCCCAACTAATTTTTGTAGTTTTAGTAGAGACAGGATTTTGCCATGTTGGCCAAGCTGGTCTTGAACTCCTGGCCTCAAGTGATCTGCCCACCTGGCATGAGCCACCACATCCGGCCGAGTGTACAGCAACTCTTGTGAAATATTGTCACCAAAAATGTTTAACTTGAATCTTAAGATCTAAAGTTCTCTTAATAGGAATCACAAGCTCTAGAGAAATAAGTCAAATAATCCCAAGAAGTTACATCAGACAGATCAGAAGGTGAGCACACTAGAGCAGCAGTCCCCAACCTTTTTAGCAATAGGGACTGGTTTTGTGGAAGACAATTTTTCCATGGACCAGGGGTGGGGGGTGGTTCAGGGATGATTCAGGCACATTACATTTATTGTGCACTTTATTTCTATTGCATTGTAATATATAATGAAATAATTATACAACTCTCCATAATGTAGAATCAGTGGGAGCCCTGAGCTTGTTTCCCTGCAACTAGATGGTCCCATCTGGGGGGATGGGAGACAGTGACAGATCATCAGGCATTAGGTTCTCATAAGGAGCGCACAACCTACATCCCTTGCACGCGCAGTTCACAATAGTGTTCACGCTCCTATGAGAATCTAATGCTGTTGCTGATCTGACAGGAGGCAGAGCTCAGGCAGTAATAAGAGCAATGGGGAATGGCTGTAAATACAGATGAAGAAGCTTTTTGCTCACTTGCCTGCTACTCACCTCCCGTGTGTGGCCCCATTCCTAACAGGTCACAGACCAGTAACTGTCCATGGCCCTGGGATTGAGGACCCTGCACCATGGCACTCCTTGTCTTTTCGAAAAGTCAGGGTCATAAAAAAAATGTGTAGAGGGATTGATTAGATTAAAAGAGATTGAGGCCGGACATGGTGGCTCATGCCTGTAATCCCAGCACTTTGGGAGGCCAAGGTGGGCCTCACTTGAGGTCAGGAGTTAGAGATCAGCCTGCCCAACATGATGAAACCCCATCTCTACTAAAAAAAATACAAAAATTAGCCGGGCGTGGTGGTTCACACCTGTAATTCCAGCTACTTGGGAGACTGAGACAGGAGAATCGCTTGAACCTGGGAGGTGGAGGTTGCAGTGAGCAGAGATCATGCCACTGCACTCCAGCCTGGGCAATAGAGTGAGATTCTTTCTCCAAAAAAAAAAAAAAAAAAAAGTGAGAAATTTAGAGACATAAAAACTAAATGCAATTAATGTTCCTTGATTGGATTCTGGTTTGGAAAAAAAAACTATAAGAGACATTTGGGAGTCAATCCAAGAATCTGAATCAGGACTAGATGATAGATAATATCAGTGAATTGTTTTTGTTAGGTGCAATAATGGAATAGAATATATAGGAAGATATTTTAGGTATATGCTGTAATATTTCAGAGCGGAATGTCATGATGTCTGTAATTTAATTTGAAATGGTTCAGCAGAAATATTCAGGGAGATGAAGCAATAGCAAAATGTTAACGATTGTTGAAAATATGGTCATTCATTGTAGTTTTATTTTGATGTATGTTTGAGATTCTTCATGATGGAAAATTAAAAAGGATCTAACCTCCACCACTTATAAGGTGTATGGCTTTAGACATGTTGCAATCCTCTCTGGGCTTTATTTTTCCTTACTACAAAAGGGAGATAATCTCTAACTCATCGTGGTGGTGTATGGATTGAGAGAGTTAACATTTTCAGTACACACAGTGCTAGGCATCTGAGTATTCAGTAAAGTCTGCCATTTTCCACTAAAACAGCCTTGAACATAATAACAGCTGCAAGGTGATAAGACTATGACAAAAAGTAAATGATTAAAAAATCCTCAGTGTAAGTCAACCAATTTTAATGACAGCATTGTCAGCATTTAAATTGCATAAATATGCAACTGAATCAAATAAATGGTGAAGTGGTTGTTAACACAGCAATGACATACTGCTCATTGCTTAAAAATTCAACCAAAATATTTTTAAATAGAGAAAAATATTGATCTGGAAGGACTTGGTTAAAAAGGTACAACTGAACATCACGAATTGTGCTTTATTAATTTTTCTGTATGGATGAAGAGCCTAAAAATATTTTAGTCTGGAACCAAGTATAACAGTACTCCTGAAATTCTATCCTATGGAAAAAATCCTAAATACAAAACAAATTTGATGCACTAAGATGTTTATTTCTATATTCTGTGTGGGTGTGAGAGAGAAAGAGAGAGGAAGAGAGAGAGAGAAAGGAAGAGAGAGAGGGAGAGAAAGGAAGAGAGAGAGGGAGAGAGAGAAAGGAAGAGACAGAGAGAACGGACTTCTAAATATAAAAAATTAGAGCCATGTTCTTAACTCCATACTTAAAAGATTAATGTCTTCATGTAGAAACAAGTTTGTGCAAAGAGCATAAATGCTCATTCACAAAAGAAATACAAACATGAAAAGAGAGCCAATCTCAGCGGTTAAAAAAGACAATGTTCCTTTTTTTCCTCTGTCATATTGGTAAAGATGAATGCACGTGATAGTCCCCCTCACTGGGAAGGGTGTGGGTAAGACCTTATTGTCAGATGCCTCCAGTGAAAGTATAAATTGGTACAGCATTTTCTAAGGGCAATTTGGCAAAAATGCATCAACACTAAAAATGGGCATGTCTTCTGTCCCTAACAAATCCACGTTTAGAACTGTATTATAAAGAAATAATTGAGCAAATACACAAAGCTGTGTGTACAAGAATGTTTAGAGTAATAAAAATGGCCACCCATCTGCATTTGGGTAAATAAATTATGATACATCCATATGCTAAAATACTAATTGACATCAAAAATATACATTTTATCCAAATGCTGGCTGGGTGTCACAATCATGTGATAAATGTATGGCAAGGCCAAAACCAAATATCACCACCACAAAATGAACTTCTGAGGTTCAAGAGTGCATCTGAAATTTTATTTTAAAACTATTATTGGGTCAGGTATGGTGGTTCATGCCTGTAATCCCAGAACTTTGGGAGGCCAAGGCGAGAGGACTGCTTGAGCCCAGGAGTTCGAGATGAGCCTGGCCCACAGAATGAGACCGTCTCTACAAAAAAATAAAAAGTAGAAACTACAAAGAAATTTAATTAGCCAGTTGTGGTAGCATCTGTTATCTCAGCTAGCAGGTCTAAGGCAGGAGGATCACTTGAGCCCAGGAGTTCGGCTGGGCAACATGGCGAAACCTTGTTTTTCCAGGAAAAAAAAACAAAATTTAGCTAGGTGTGGTGGCTCATGCCTGTACTCCCAGCTACCTGGGAGGCTGAGGTGGAAGGATCACTTGAGCCCAGAAATTCAAGGCTGCATTGAGCAGTGATCGTGCCACTGCACTCCAGCCTGGGCGACAGAGTGAGACCTTGTCTCAAAAACAACAACAACAAAATTATATCCAGATAGAAGACCGTGGATGTTGTCCTATGCGTGTGTAATATTTTTTTTTCATCTCGTGAAACAGCAGTGGCAAAGCTGTTCTCTCTTTACCCTCACAAAATGTGAAGAATTCCCAAATGGACATTTTCCTGAAATACTTGTGGTTTGAGTGGAATTATACGATAAAAAGTAACATGAAAAATTTTAAATGTTATTTTGTTTCTTTCACAGATAATTTTCAAAAAGCTAAAATCATGACTCTCATCAAATATAAAATGGACACATATAAAATCATGACCCTCAGCAAATATAAAATAGACACATAGAAAATATTTTATTTAACTCAACTAATATGGAAACTAGTAAGATGGAATGTCCAGTTCAAAAAACATTTCTATTCATAGACAACAAAGAAATGTTAAGATAAGATATCTGAGTTTGATTAAGGAAAAAAAAAAAAGCTGTTTTGTGTCCACAGGCCATAAATCTTAGGGATTTATCCATTCCACTCTACAGAAATTTGCATCTCTACTGGACAAAAATCTGCAAGTTAACAAGTAAACTTCTGTAAGTCTGGGACCTTTAATAAGTAGTACATAATGAGATGAACTAGCGTCACTTTCCTGAGATAGTCCTTGAGTGGCCTTATCTTCCCATATGATATTGAAATGATATATCCTACCTTTTTGCCTTATTTCTAAATCTCAGATAATTTTCCCAACAATTTAATGTGATGGATGTTAGTGGCACCAAACAATGCTACAAGGATATATTTTTTTAAGCAAACAAATACTTATAAAATGCAAAAATAATACAAGACATAGTAGAATTGAAAATATATAATGAAACATTAAGAACATAGAAGTGCCAAAACAGTGTTGAAAAAGAACAAAGTTGGAGTATCTACATTACCGGATTTCAGGACTTTTAAGACAGTGACATAACAAGACAGTATTATCTGTCAGTCTAGTTCCTTTTTTTTTCTGTTTTTTCTTTTTTTTAGATTTTAAATTTTTTTTCATGAGACAGAATCTTGCTATGTTGCCCAGGCCAGTCTAGTACTTCTGAGTTCAAGCAATCCTCCCACCTCGGCCCTCCGAAGTGCTGGGGTTACAGGTGTGAGCCACCGTGTCAGGCATATTTCCTTATTTCTTTAATGTTTTAAGTGTATAATTTTTGTGTCTAAAGTTATTATAGCATTTTATTCTTGCGAAATATATATACTGTATGCATTTATACTTCAACTGATAGAATTTCAGCGTAAAAAAGGTAAGATTTTCCTTTTAAGTTATTTAAGAATCCATGTTGTAAAAAGACAAAGAAGAAGGTTACATAACAATGTTTGTATTATGACCTTTTAATTTATGCATATACTGACATATATAAAAATTGTAGATTTATGTACATTAAAGTGACCATAGCAGTTATCCTTGGGTTTTCAAATTAAAGGTTAATTTTCACTTTCTTCTGTGTACCTTTCTGGTTAGTCTGACTTACTATTGTTTTTTTACCAAAGTTTTTATTGTGATAAAATGTACGTAACAAAAATTTCCATTTGAAGTGCACGCTTCAGTGGCATTAAGAACATTCGCACTGTTACGCAGCCAACACCACTATTCACCTCCCGAACTTTTTTATCTTCCAAATTAAAACTCTGTACACGTTAAACTATCAGTCCTCATTCCCTTCTTCCCCCAGTCCCTAGTAACCTCTATTCTGCTTTCCACGTTTAGGAATTTGACTGTTACAGGTACCTCTTGTAAGTGGAATCACTCAACCTTTGTCTTTTTGGGTCTGGCTTATTTAATTTAGCATGTTTTCCAAGTTCATCTATGGTATGTATCAGTGTTCCATTCCTTTTTATGACTTATTTTTACAGTGAACTGAAGCCACCTTAATAATCAGAAACTTAACAAAGCTGTTTTAATCTGAAAAGAGGAATGAAAGCTTAATTTTACTTTTTAGTGAAAACCTGGTTCTACCTGTGTGGGGTGCATTTGTAACATTCTACTTCCTGTTTGTATTCTAGGGGTGAAGCTAAGTAGTCTTCTTGGTAAAAAGGGAAACTTGGAAAAACTCCAGAGCTACTGGGAAGTTGGATTTTTTCTGGGGGCCAGCGTCCTAGCCAATGACCACATGAGAGTCATTCAAGCATCTGAAAAGCTTTTTAAACTGAAGACACCAGCATGGTAATAATTAGCTATTATATGTTGATACAATTAATAAACAGCTCCATATTGTTCCCATATTATATTTATTGAACTGACAATTAGATGATTTTATTTGCTTATAAAATAAAATGCAGAATATAGAGGAAAATTGTGATATTCATAAAACGTGTTACACATCAATTCTGATGACTTTGGACATAGGTGATGTCAGCAGGTTCCTGACTTAGCCTCTCCTGCACATTGACCAACCCACTGGCCCAGATTGGCCAGTGTCACCCATGTGAATCATGCAGAGGCCATGCATTTTGCACCTGCAAATATAACTTATGTTCGGGGCCTGAGACCACATTTCCATTGCAGCTGTTAGACCTCTACTCCAAACATATGCCCTTTGTTTCCTCTGTGATCTAATCTCAGTTTTGGAATTCTCATTCTTGATTTTGTTTTCTTCTTACTTAGGATTTGACTGATGACACATTTGAGTGTTTCTTATATTTGTGTGTTTTTCTAATTTGAAATTGTTCTTGGAGTGCACCCAAATCTCATCATTATTTTTGTGGTAATTGGAGAGGTGGAAACAAAATTCCATCTGCATTCAGGACCATATTGAAAAACAGTGTTGGCCGGGCGCACGGTGGCTCACACCTGTAATCCCAGCACTTGGGAGGCTGAGGTGGACAGATCACTTGAGGTTAGGAGTTTGAGATCAGCCTGGACAACCGGGTGAAACCCCATCTCTACTAAAACTACAAAAATTAGCTGGGCATGATCGCGGGTGCCTGTAATCCCAGCTACTTGGGAGGCTGAGGCAGGAGAATCACTTGAACCCAGGAGGCGGAGGTTGCAGTGAGCCAAGATTGCGCCACTGCATTTCAACCTGGGTGACAGGGCAAGACTCTGTCTCAAAAAAAAAAAAAAAAAAAGAAAGAAAGAAAGAAAGAAAAGAAAAAGAAAAAGAATTTTTATTAGCATCACATGTAGCGATTAACCATTAGCTATAAAGATTTTAAAAGGCTAACCATGATATAGTGGAAGCCTGTTTCCAGAGCCGCTCAGAGCCCAGGCCACCGACTCGGCTGTTTTCATCACAGAAACCGTGTGAGGAAGAGACCACCATGTTAGGCCCTCATGGCTGTTTAAAGAATTTTCCTCATGTTCAGGTCTCCTTTAGCCAATCCTCCCCAGGGATCTTTCTAAAGATCACAGTGATCTTTCAAAAGTGCACACCTGACACTTCTCCTGCACTGAAATCCTTAAATCAATATAGTTTAATTGTTCCTCACAGCCTAAGGAATAAAGTCCATCATTTTGTCTTAGCAAACAAGATTTGCCTTTAGCCATTCCAGCCTCGGCTCTTGTCACACTCCTGGGTTTACACTGCTGTCTCTTCATACCACACTGCTGGTTTCATGCATGAGTGTCTGAGCACGTGCTGAGCATGCCTCTCAGAATGCACACATTCTCCGAGGAACACTCATCCATCACACCAGCTCACAAAGCCGACCTTGACCTAGAGCCCTTCCTCACACCCAAGTCCCTTCTTTAGTGTTTCTGTCATTCTTTAGTTATGCTTCTCTTGATACTGAGTGTATAGCTTTTTAAGTTGTCTCTCTGTTTAGTCATATCTCCATGGATATTTATTCTTGGTGTTATAATACCTTTTGATATTTATCCCCACAGCACTGTGTGCAGCAGTAGGCATTCAGCAAATGATATGAAATAAAGGAACCAATAGATGCACGCATGATATTGAGTCACATTTGCTATTTCTTTACAGTGACCATTCTGATGGCAGTATTTTAGGCATCCTGGTTTTTTAACAAGAAAACAGGCACTATTCTATGCAATGGTACTCGCAGCCACAAAACAGTGCCTTAAGGTTCCACTAACTTAATTTTTATGGAATGTTAACTTCCATGTTTATAGTCCATAAAGCGCCTGCATAGCCATTATCACCTATAATTATCCCACTCCTCATTTTTCCTAACTTTTTCTTTTGAGGCACCATCTGTCTTATTAGGTTTGAGGGTATTTGTATAATATATAAGCTGAGTTGCTTCAGAGCTAAATAATGATCTCTTATGAAGTGTCTATTTAGGAAAGCTTCCTCAAAGAAGCATAATTAAAAACAAATGCATTAACCGCTTCCTTGAATAGAATATACACATTTTAAAGTTCAAGTTTTAACTAGATGTATGGCCCTAGTCCAAGTTACCAAGCCCTCTAAGCCTGTTTCCTCCTCTCTAAAATAGGGATAAAATAACCAACGTTATTGAGTTTTTGTGAGATAGAAATGAGATAATGTGTGAAAGCACGGCTGGGCGTGGTGGCTCACACCTGCAATCCCAGCACGTTGGGAGGCCGAGGCAGGTGGATCACTTGAGGTCAGGAGTTCGAGACCAGCCTGGCCAACATGGTGAAACTCCATCTCTACTAAAATTGCAAAACGTAGCCAGGCGTGGTGGTGCATGCCTGTGATCCCAGCTACTCAGGAGGCTGAGGCAGAATGGCATGAACCCGGCAGGCGGAGCTTGCAGTGAGCCGAGATTACACCACTGCACTCCAGCCTGGGCGACAGAGCGAGACTCTGTTTCAACATTAAAAAAAAAAAAAGTGTGAAAACACACGATATGCAACAAATAACGAATAACGGTGAATCTGAATGCATAACTATTAATGTCATGTATAAATTACATTTACAGAATTAGACTGGGATACATGGGAACAGGTGGTTCTAAATTTGTCTGTTACATGTTTTATATCTTTTCCTTCTCAGGTACCTCAAGTCTATTGTAGAGACAATTTTAATATATAAGCATTTTGTGAAACTGACCACAGAACAGCCTGTGGCCAAGCAAGAACTTGTGGACTTTTGGATGGATTTCCTGGTCGAGGCCACAAAGACAGATGTTACTGTGGTTAGGTTTCCAGTGAGTACTCTTCCTTTAAATCTAAGTACATTTCTTTATTTAAAGAACATCTTGTACTGTGATTGTATCAGTGCTTGGGGGCTGATTTTTGGTGCCTTAAAACTGCAGTCATCTGGTTAATATCTTTATTTCCTGCACATTGGTTTGCTTTAGCTTACTTTTAAAAATAACTTCTCAAAATCAGAGAAATGAGATCTATTTTTATGTTTTTGCCATGGAATTTGGGTGGTTCCTTTTGATAAGTGGTGGAGTGTACTTCCTAAGCAATGCAAAGACTGTCTCTTGGCTTAGCTTCATGCCAGCCCGATGTATGCTTTTCCTTAATACTGCAGTCACGTTGACACAGTCTTCAGTATTATCTCCCGTATTGTGGTGAAAAGTATCAGGCTTACCTGCATTGTTATCCCATCCCCACCACCCATTACCCAGGTGGGTCAGAGTTAGATGTAATATCCCCAATCACTATTTACAATGTTTTAGACCATGGGAAATGACTTGCAGTTTCTGGTCTGCAGCTCATTTTTGCTGGTCTCTAGTGGACTTCAGACATATAGATTTAAATGTATAATACACACACACACACACACACACACACACACTTTAAAAAAATTTATTGCTCTTCTCAGATGGTGCCATGCCCCTCTGGATGGTTCTTAATATCGTCCAGCATCCAATTCAAGAATTACTGGCAACTCCCTGTATGTACAAATTTCTTTCCACATCAAAGTGATGCCATAAATCTCTCTGAGCTCTCTAATCTCTATCTTCCATACTTAGAGGCGGTGACAGTTCTCAATTCTTTTTGTGAAATCTTGTTTTCTAGTTCTTGTTGATAGGATCATCTACTTCACTTAATTAAATCCATTGCTGACATGAGCATGCTTTACTCTTGCTTCCAGATGAAGCCTTGAGCTCAGCAGGGTCCTTAAGCGAAAGCCTTTCTAACTGAAACACTTCACTTTATTTTCTAGCCTAGATAATGTGTAGCCTAGGAAAATACTTACCTTAGAATGAGCTGGCAGCTTGCCTGTAGCTGGTGCTCTCAGTAGCAGTAAATGTAGTGAAAGAAGAGAACATAGAATTCAGGTATTTAATTGACTATTGACTTGATTGACTAGAAAACTGGCTATGAAAGGAAACCATTCAAATTCGTCACTTTGAGCCCGTTTAGATTAGTATCATATGAATTTGTCTGTCATACTATAAATATAAGTGAATATAAAAAATATTTGACAGAATTTGTCTGTCATAAATATAAATAAGTGAATGTAAAAAATAAACCAGAAAATATTGAGAAGTTAGGAGAATATAGGTATAAACACCAGTTGAGAGAGGCATCCTTAAGCAAGAAAAGGACTTATAAGACCTAAAGGAAAATATTCACCAACTTGATTTCACTAAAAAATGGATATTTTTGTTTGATTAAAAAAAAACACCATGAACATGCCAAATAGGAACTGCTAGGCAGGGAGAAAATGTTTTATAAAACTGTGCAAAATTGTCAATTTGCCAAATATGCAAAAAAATCCTATAAAGTGATAAGCAAAATAAAATAAGAAGAGGCCAGGCATGAGGACTTATACTTGTAATCCCAGCACTTTGGGAGACCGAGGTGGGCGGATCACCTGAGGTTGGGAGTTTGAGACTTTCCTGACCAACATGGAGAAACCCTGTCTCTACTAAAAATACAAAATTAGCCAGGCATGGTGGTGCATACCTGTAATCCCAGCTATTTGGGAGGCTGAGACAGGAGAATCGCTTGAACCTGGGAGGCAGAGGTTGCGGTGAGCCGATACCATGCCATTGCAGTCCAGCCTGGGCAACAAGAGCAAAACTCCATCTCTAAATAAATAAATAAATAAAACAAAATAAAAATAAAAAGAAGAATAAAAAATTTATATGAAGAGATAATTAACTTCTGGTTAGTCAAGAAAATGCAAATTAAGTGAGACACTATTTTTTTGCCCATTGGACTCAAAGAATTAAAACATTTTACAACAGTTGACACCATTGTGGAGACAAGAGCATTTTTAGAGCCTGCTGGTGGGCATAGGAATTGCTGAATATTCTGGGATTCTATCTGGGAAGGGGATGATAGGATTGTGTAAGGGATCCTGAGGACCTCAACTTTATTTGCCACATTTCATTTCTTTAGAAAACATTTCGAAGCAAATATGACAGCATGTTAACACTTAGTTATCTGCGAGTGGTAGGCACATAGGTGTTATCTTGCCAACATATTTTTGGCATATTTGATTTTTCTCAGCAATCCATTTCCTTCTTGAAACTTTGTGGCTTATTTGGGGTCTGTCTTTTTGTGACAAGACTCTAAAATGCAGTGTTTTCCCCCTCATCTCTAAATACTACTCCTACATCAGAATTCATAACTCAGCTACTCAAAACTTCTTTTCTATAGTTTGTTGTTACACAGAGGACAAAATTGTACAATTTTGTAGTCCTTCTTGAGTTTTCCTACAACGACTTCATTTGTGTCTAGAAAATGCCAGTCTACCAAGAAGCTCCAAATTTAATGGAAATTGCTTTAGGATTAACCGCTTGATTGTTTTCTTATATTTACATGTATGATAAAGCGTTGCAGAAACTGTAAAGATACTGCTTTAAAAAATAATGAAAGCCATATAGATGATTTTTAAATCTCAGTATACATGATAGCATAGCAGAAAAACAGGACAAATATTTGGGTAATAAGTTGTAACCACTTCCGGAATTTGCCACCCGTGCTCTCCCTCATAGAGAAAGGCAGCCTTTTAGTACCTGTGGGGCGATCTTGGTCGCTGCACCTTGTCATGTCCTTAGCATAGCATCTTCCGTGGCTCACACTACAAAGGTTGCAGTAGGTGTTGATTAGGATGATAACATTATCCTTCTTTTGAAATGCATCTAAATAAAATCCAGGATGGCCTATTTTAGAAAATATTTGATTGTTTTTATTTATCTCAATACTGTATTCATTCTCATTTCTCCAAGAATTAACTGTGACTCTGGGCAAAAGAAAATTGAAAGTTTATTTGGGAAATGATTTGAATGGTACCATCATTTATCACTTCAATTTATTCTTTTTTCTTACCTCTCCTCTTGGTATATTTCCTTTCCTTCTTACATTGAAAAGTTTGGAGACCATCAACTCATTATCTAACGTCGGGAAAGAGGAAGGAGAGACGTATGGTACTTCAAAGACCCTGTAGAAACTTAAACATCTGGTTAATATCTATCCTTTATAGGCCTTGCAGTCTTCCTTTTTGATTCAGATACATGAAATTAGCAGTTAATTATAATATTAACCTAAAAACAAGGAACTAAAAGCAAGAATATATAAACTCATAAGTGAGGTATATCTACCTTTAAGACTTTGTCAAATTGCCTCCATTCCCTGGTCTGTTTCCCAGCCTTTCTGTGACCTCTGTAATGTGTGCTATGCATTTCTCACATTTTGTCATTTCAAGGATAGAGCAAAGAGCTCAACAAATATTAGACAGTGATAGTTACAACCTTGTTTTTATTTCCTGTCTCAAGTTAGGGACACATAGTTCAGATTTTATCTGTTAGAAATACTGAGATGACAATAAAGACATAATTTAACAAGAGAGGAGTTAGTGCTTTTCTTTTCTTCTGTTGAGTATAATAGTGTGCCCACATAATTTGGGAATGGAGTATATTCTCACTTGTCAATGAAGAGAGTTGGATGATGTTTTGGGAAACCCACCTTTTATTCTCTATTGTTTTGATTTCATATACATTGCGATACTCAGATATGAGAGCACCATTTCTGCAAAGTTTAGATGGGAAAATGATTTTCATTATTCATCATTACCGCTTATGTCTCTGTTGATTGGAATTAAGATTTTGATTCACTGGGTGAGTTTGTTCCTGAGTCAGAATATGTTCACTTATGGGCTCTCACTGTGTGTTTATTTGTTGCATAGCCCATCTTATTTTCACAGCTAGAGACTGACTGAGAATTCTTGGAGCCCTTAACGTTTTTAATATTCAAAGAGTAAAGAAAAATTGTTTTTTTCTACCTCCCTTTCTCTAGTTCCCTGTACCTTAAGTAAATGCGCTGTTAAGGTAAGTTGAGAGTAAAACAAATATGCCCAGATTCTTGTGCCTGCTTTCTGAGAGTGCATTTCATGTTTTACTGTATTATGAATCTGTAATTCCTTATGGGTGGAGCCTTCTGAAGGAGTTTTCCTCCACTTTTATTTGGAAAACTTGCTTGATTCAAGATTAGTTCTAAAGATAATTTTCTTGAGTGTTAAGCAGTAGAGTAGAATGATTATTCCAGTTCCTCTAATAGTTAAGTATTGACTTTTCTTTTTTTAAACATTCCTAGTGAAGTCTGCCTAGGAAATTTGGGCCAGGAAGATGCCTTTAAGCATCTATACAAGTAGATAATGAATCATAGCACCTTTGAAATCAGGGCATGTGTGTTATTTTAGTATTATTCACTCCAAATGTGAGATATTAGTAATAATATAATACTTCATGCTGTCCTTTGATGGAGATTCTCAACTCATTTATCACATACCCCTTATAGAGCTTCAAAATAGGAACAAATTTTATTTCTCTTTTTCTCTTAC
The DNA here is from genome assembly GCF_000001405.40 of Homo sapiens. Lineage (NCBI taxonomy): Eukaryota > Metazoa > Chordata > Mammalia > Primates > Hominidae > Homo > Homo sapiens. Next base: position 136,651,708 of record NC_000006.12, on the reverse strand, counting down.
AAGGCTAAATGTATCATTATTGAAGACGCCAGTTTCATCTGGAAGGCAGTGCAAAAACGTGTTTATTATTTCATATAGCTAAGTTTGTTTCTTTGGTTTGTATATAAAACTCAGGAATAACCAAAACCATTTCTAAGTTTATTTACATGGGTATGAAAACCATACTACTACATCTGTATGATAAAGTGTGATAGCAGAAAAACTAAAATAAGGATGTGACATTCTATGTATGGACCTTTTCTGTCTTTCTTTGACACATTTATATTTATAGAAATAGCTTATGTAGTACATGATAAAATAGAAGATTTTTTAAAGTTATCACTAGTAGATTCCCTGAGGATAGCTGAACCCATGTATGGACTTCAAAAATTTATTTCTAACCTTATTAGCAATACAAGGTGATGCATTATTGAACCTTATGATAATTGATAAATAATGTAAAATGCTTGAAGGATTTATAGGAATAACAGCAATCAGAAGTTGAAATGGTTTACTCCAGGAACAGATTCAGAAGCTCATGCAATAATCCTCTACGTTGGTGCTGGGGTGTTATAGCAGCTCTAAGTGGTTTCAGTCTTAAGTCACTGATATTAGTTTCTTTGCCGTATCTTTTCAAGGTATTAATATTAGAACCAACCAAAATCTATCAACCTTCTTATTTGTCTATCAACAATGAAGTTGAGGAAAAGACAATCTCTATTTGGCACGTGCTTCCTGATGACAAGGTAAATTGTGCAGTTATTAACACAAGAGCATTAGTAACAAGGGACTTTACACCCTTCTAGCATTTACATACTCCAGCAAATGTCTGTGTTAGTTAAGAAGAAATAGCTCAGCTGTGTGTCTGTCTTGGCATAAATGCATTCCGTATTATAAAACTTGTTAAATTTGAATTATGAATTTTTATCAGTATTAATAAAATATAATTGAACTATTTGGATTTTTATTATAGATGGCATAACCATCCAAAGCATACTCAGAATTGGAATATTTCTCTTTTGTAAATTCATGCCGTAAGTTATGCACCGAAGAACTAATACTTAAAATACGTGACATAAAAGATGCATATGTTAATTTTAGGAAGCCTGTCAGAATGATGCCACTTTTAATCTTACACTGGTACCATTATAGTTATCATTACATCTAGCTGTTTTGTTATCTAAGTAGTTGCCAAATCTCAGATTAGCCACTGACTCAGTGTGCTGTGCACAAAGTGAGGTGGGCTGTGCGACCACCTATTTTGAGAAAGATCTTAAAACAGTCTCACTTCCGCTCATAGCAGTCATGTGGATAAGCCTTTCCACTTCTATATTCATCAGTTTTAATGCATGTGCAAATCATCCTACTATTTTTTACAAACAGACATTTTCAGGACCTGGCTTCAGTCCACAGGATAAACCAACAGAAATGAGAGAAGTCTTGTGGAAAAATAGTTCATTTATTTTCTTTCTCGTAACTGTTTCCCAGAATGCCCTTATAATTTTATTTAACCATCATTCATCAACTTACTCATTTAATAAATGTTTATTGAGCACTTACTCTGGATCAGGCACTACCAGACACGGTGTTAGACCCTAGGGAAACAGCTGTGTCCAAAATGAGTGAAGTTCCTGCCTCCATGGTGCTTGCTTTCCACTCAGATAGGGCAATAAAGCAATAAATAAATGTATAGGTATATTCAATGGTGAGAAGGGAAAAATAAAGCAGGAAGTGGAAGCAGGAAGTAAATTTGGGAGTATGGGCTTGCAGTTTTTTACATGTAGACTTGAGTCAATAGACCTGGATTCAAATCCCACCACTGCCCTTGGGCAACTTGGCTTCTCCAAGCTATGGTGTCCTCATCTGTAGAATGAGATAATAATATCCATCTCAAAAGGCTGTTGTGAAGGTTAAATGAAATAATTTGGTAGAGTGCATTTCACAGAGCCTGGCATATAATAGATGTTCAATATATCTTAACTACAGTAACAACAAAAACAATTATAAATCACTGCAGTGTGCATATTATGTGGACTAAATCCTAACTTTGAAACCCCAGAGTTTAACCCTGCTTTGCCCTTTAAATGGCATGGGAGTAATCATTTGGGAGGTTGTTGGTGTTGAACTGGGGCACAAACCTGGCTCTGCATCAGAATTATCTGCAATACCCTGGATCCCAGGAGACCGACTTAGTTGGAATCCTTTATACTTAGAGTGAAGCTTGGACACATGCATTTTTATGAAGATTTATCCATGATTCTGATGTGCACCCATGGTTGATAACAACTTTAATAGGGATGTAAACATAGTAATTACTCAATTGTAGTAGCTCAAGAATTATTACATCCTTGACTTTATGGCTAAGCTGGTTCCTGGGGATGCTGCTTTTCAAGATGTGGTTCCCTGGAACACCAGCATTAGAGTCACCCAGGGAGCTGGTTTAATTAAATGGCAGATTCCAGCTGGGCACAGTGGCTCATGCCTATAATCCCAGCACTTTGGGAGGCCAAGGTGGGTGGATCACTTGAGGTCAGGAGTTCGAGATCAGCCTGGCCAACATGGTGAAACCCCATCTCTACTAAAAATACAAAAATTAGCCGGGCGTGGTGGCACTTGCCTGTAATCCCCACTACTCAGGAGGCTGAGGCAGGAGAATTGCTGGAACCCGGGAGGCAGAGGTTGCAGTGAGCCAAAATTGTGCCACTGCACTCCAGCCTGGGCGACAGAGCAAGACTCTATCTCAAAAAATAAATAAAATAAAATAAATTGCAGATTCCTAATCTGCATGTCAGACCTACTGAGGACAATTCTATGAGGTAGACTTTCAGACCTCACGTATGTGAACCACCACCTTAGGAAGTTCAACAGGAAAACAACACAGCATGTCCATAATCTAGCAAGAAGAATGTCCCGTGCTTTGATGTGTCCAAATCAGCTGGGACAGATCCTTCCTGGATGTCAATCATGGCCAGGCCCTGTGACCTCTACCAGAGTGGCAAGAAATCACCAGTCCCGGTGCTATAGTTTCTAGGAAGGGCAGTATCTTGTGTTTAAAATGAATAGATACTAAGCAGCACCCAGAATGCATGTTATTTATATTTTAATTTGTTCTATGTTTAGATAAAGTTGGTCACGTTAAGTCTTGTAACTTAGTATTTTAGCAGGCACACTAAATGTTGGCAACATGAAATTACATAATAAGCATGGAGAAAAACATCCATTCTCATGCTCTCAACACCAAGTCCATCTAGTAGCACTGAGCAATACCGAGCAGCATCTTTCAGAACTGTGGTCTTTCTCCAATCCCAGTTTGTGAAACACTGTCCAAGCTGACACTTTTACAAGTCAGTTTGGGACTGGCTACATCCAAAATTTAGAGACACTCTACCAATAGGTTGTGGTAACTTAAGGATCTTCACCCAACAGGCCCCAGATTACACATGCCAATATTTGCCACTGTGTGCAGAGTCAGAAGCTTGATTCTTTTTCATTATTAGAAGTGTCAATTGTATGGAAAAACACTTGAAAAAGTTACTTGTGATACTAATTTATTCATAACAGAAAACTTCCTTGCCAAAGGACTTTGAAGACAGGCTTTCAGCTAAGACATAGCTTCCCATGAGACTCACTTCCATGAGTGCAGTAAATAGAGGGAAGACTTTGAAAGAAGTCATTGCCCCAGCAACCCCATCAGCAACATTTCTAACATGTCATTTTAATTGTGTTAAAATGCATCATGCTACACCCGAGGAAAGCACTGTTGAGATGATGGTAGAGCAAATCAATCTACCAGCGTTCTTTTGAGTTCTGTGGACTTTGGGACTGTGCTGGTTCCTGAGGAGGACATTATGGGTTCTTGGTCTGTGGCGTTCAGTGAGGAGGAAGATCAGTGAGGCATGGAGTCCTTCGAGAAGGCTTGCTAAAGGAGGTGGAACCTGGACTTTGGCTGTGGGTAGAACTAGAAGAGATAAATGAACACGGGAAGACAAACTAGATTAGAAGAATAAGGCAGAATTCCAACCAAGGCACCAAAGTGAAAGCAAGCATGGGACGTTCAGGGGCCGGCAGAGTCTGACTCATTCTACAAGGGGAAACGTGTTGAGGGAGGTGGGAGATATGATTGGTTGGGCAGGATGACATAAAACTCTAGAGTGCTATGTAAGCTAGGAAGAAGAATTTTAAACATGTGTCGGTAGGAAACAGGATGTCACTGACGTTTCTGAAAATCTGAGAGCTGGCAGGAAGGCAGAACAGAATGTGAATTATGAACCCAGGGTCAGCATCAAAGTGCATAGGTGTGAAGGTTGATGTTAGCTCTTGCATGCTTCGTGGCCTAGGCATGCGCTTCAACTCCTCATGCTTTAGTTGCCATGTATGTAAAATGAGAATAACAGTACCTCATAGAATTGTTGTGAAGATTAAGTGAGAGGATGAATGGAAATCATTTAGCACAGTGCTAAGTGGCTTGGAACAAGTGCTCCATAATGGTTGCTAGTGTAGCTATAAGACTGATCTGGTCTTGACATTTGATTTCTGAAGTCTGAGGCTCTGGAGGGTCACAGAGAAGACTGTTAGAGGAACTAGCTAGATATGAGGCAGGTAGAGATCCTAGAGTGGAATAATACAATTGTGACTGCAAAGGGACAGATGATTTGATTTGGAAAGAAAAGTATACAACTTAATCACAAATTAGGAAGAAGGATTAAAAAGAGGGAGTAAGTGTAAGGTGACTCAAGTTTTGATTGCATTGATAAAGGTGGTAGGATTTTTAGAAGGAAAACCTGAGTTGTAGAGGAATCATGAGGAATTTCATTTTGGACGTGTTTAGTTGAAACTAATGGCAAGACTCCAAGTGGAATCATCCAGTGGCAAAATTGGGAATAATCAATATAACTGTCTATATACATGTTAGTGATATTGCTTTAAAGTGCAGTGCAATATTTATATTGTTTTGCATGTATGCAAGTATACACATACATGTTCTCACAAGCTGAGATACACTAATCATCCAGTGGAAACTACAAAAACTAAGAACAGTTAGGAGACATGAACATTATGGAGACGAGAGCAGGACTGGAGGAGGAGATTTTCAAAGGCTTGATTGAAAAGAGCAAGGTTATCCAAGGACACTTGGAAACAGAGTGAGGCTAGAGGAATTAGCGATTAGCAAGGCCTAGAGAATGAGTAGAGAGCCAGAAGAATTTGGAAGACAGAAAAAGAACAGAAAGTAAGCCAGAGATTTTTGGAAAATGAGTACTATTTCCAGCAATTTGTTATTGTTTTCTCCTTCCTGGAGGTTCTTTGCTCAGTAAAGTGAGCCTCGTTTTCATTCTCTTATGTTTTGTGACAATCATAGAGACAATTTTTATATTATGCTAAGAAATATTAGGATATATATTAGGATATAAACAAGTGCATTAAATAGGGTTACAAATTTAAGTTATGTACTGTCCATTTTCCATTTTCACCATCTTTTGATCAGGAGGAATTTTATTTATGTTGTCCTTATTTCCTATAACTTTTAGTGCTAAAAAATTCTCCTTGTTCAAAAATTGAAGCTTTCTTGTATCAGTTTCCATTCTGAATTTATGTCAATTTCTTTGCAAACCCTGATTCTATCCATAGTGTATTCATTATCACTACCATTTTCTCAATTTTTTAAAATAAAAGTGGTAAAATTGGAAGGAGGACAAGCAATAAAAACAAAAAAACTTTATTATTACCATGTTACTTTAAAACAACTATAAATAACAGAGAAGCAACCAGTTTAATAGGTCTTATGTTAAACTAAAAATGGGTTGTTTTTATCACAGAATGTTTAAAAATTTTTCCTAAAATTAGAATAGAGAATGTAGCTTTTCATTTATCATGTTTATTTCTTTAGTCACTCCTCTCACTATTTTTATTCTAACATATGGAATAAATAGCTCTGTGAGCTAGTATATACTTTATACTGCAACTTTCAAAACTTGAAGCACATTATATACCAATTCCCAAGGACTCTTAGAGAGAGCTACTCTACATTCAGGGGTAAAATTAATTGAAATCCCGATCTTTTAACAGTTCTCTATTTGTTGAATGAATGGTTGCTGCTGAAAAGTAAGTTAGTCCTTGAAGAAAGTCTGCATGTGTACAATGAAAGAAAAACTTAAGATTGAGGAAGAGAGAAGTTATTTGCAGGGCGTTTTAAATGGTTATTTAGAATTTCCCCCCCTTTTGGGGGTTGAAGTTTGGGCACCCTTGGCCTACCTCACGGATTATCAAGCAAAGGCAGGGGCCTAGTGGAGGACTAAGTGCTGACTCTCCTCCCTCACTTCAGCTCCAGCCAGTGGCCACTCACAGAAGGCCCAGGAAATTTATGAGGGAAACATGCTTACCCCTGATTCTAGATTAAGATGATTTGATGCTGTCATCCACCAAGGATGCTTTCTGCTACAAACTCCCTGCCAAAAGCAGCTTAAATAAAGAAATGGTATTTCATATTACAAGAAATTACAGGCCGAGCATGGTGACTCACACCTGTAATCCCAGCAATTTGGGAGGCCAGAGCAGGAGGATTGCTTGAGGCCAGGAGTTCAAGACCAGCCTGAGCAATGTAGCAAGACCCCCGTCTCTACAAAAAAATTTAAAAAAATTAACCAGGTTTGGTGATATGTGCCTGTAGTCCCAGCTGCTTGGGAGGCTGAGGCGGGAGGATTGCTTGAGCCTAGGAGATCCAGGCTGTAGTGAGCTATGATTACCCCACTACACTCCAGCCTGGATGGAAAAAAATAAATTTTGAGGTGGGGTGATTCTGAGGGTAGTTTCAGCATCAGGATTCTGAATTCTGGCTTCTCTGCGTACTCTTGGTGTTAGTCTCATGTTCTTAAGTAGCTAGCTATTCCAAGAAGCACCTCACACAGGCGGCATCCCGGGGAGGAGGGCCAAGCCCTCTCCTTTATACCATAAGTTGTATCACATGACCATGCTTACACCCATCCCCAGCAAGGCAAATGGACTTACCGTGGCCAATTTAGACTAATCAGTTTCACCATTCATAAACATTGCCACCTGAACCTGGGCAAAATTTATTTTTTTGTCAGCAGAGGAGAAGGATGGAATGACAGTTGCTGAGGGAGCTGACAGTGCCTACTACAGTATAACTCCTGCCACCTTCAGTCAATACAGTATTAACTTCCAGCTCCTATTCTAGCCCTAACTGGGGCCTGGGATCTGAGGCTAACCCGTTCCTAGAAAATGGTGCTTGTGCTGATTAAATTAGGTTGAGTGTTGGTTTGAGGCCTGTTGGGGCTAATTATAGCTAGCGCTGCGTTTGGCCTTGCTGTTTTCCCTGATTCCCAGACAGATCCCAGGAGCCTTTAAACTACCTGTTGGCTTTACAGCTCATCAGCGCCTCCTTGTGGTGTGTCCTACAGGTAGGTGGGGAGGGAGGCCTCCTTCCACCTTCCATCTCAGGGCTTGGGCTTTATTTACATCACTGAAATGGAACGTTCCCTGGCAGCACTGGCAACCTTTCAGGAACCAAGCATTCTGGAAATGCTCCCCTCCTTTCCTACAAAACCAGTCCACAATTTTTACTTAGCTGTTCCCAGAAAAGGACTGATAGAAGATGGGTTTTACCAGTGCTGTCTTGTTAGTATTTGCCAGTTGCTGTGTTCAGGGGTGGGTTTGCATACTGCCTCAGCTCTGCACTTGCCTCCCACCTCCTGCTCCTGGACATGGTCTTGGAAAGCAGCTCAGCTGCAGGCTCTGAGGATAAGGCTGCATTGTATGCAAGTAGTGTACAGGTAACAGCTGCAGCTCCTGGGTCATATATATATATATATATTTAGAAGTTCACCTGAGGCCAACAGGATTTAGAAGCAACTTTCCAAATTACCAGCTGAGGCTGCAGTCTGCTATTTTAATTTCACTCCCTCTGTACTCTGGTTAAGACAGCCACCACATACCTTTTTATGGTATCTTCCCTCCTGGACTTCATGCAACAAAATTTGCTCTGCGTTCATTCAGATCACATCCCCATGACCTGACTGACATGCACTGAAACTAGCTTTTTAGTAAATTCACATCTGACTTGAGAGGATCTATTTTTACTTTAAGTTGCATGGACCTAGCAAAGAATTATGGGCTGTAGATATAAATTGTCGCTTTTGAGTTGCTTTAGCCAAAAGGAGGGTTCTAGGCCACCTCAGAGCCACAAGGCTTTGTCACCCATTTTATTAGCCCAGGCAAGACCTCAGCCTCCTGGCAGTGGGTGGGTAAGAACTCCTTTTCATGGTTGTTTTAACTTTACAGAATTGAATGTCAGTGTCAGTTTATTGCCGTACTGTACTTGCTCAACTTAGACACATGGATAAACTACTTTGTTTCTGTAAAAATATTTATGCTATTTTATACTGTTGACATATTTTTAAAGGGATTATGATCCATTTTGTTATTTATTTTAGGGACATATGAATTTGATAATAATTTTATCTTAGCTTTAGTGATAAACTCAAGAAATAAATTCCCACATTTTTCTTTACCTTGGCTCTGCAAATCACCCATGTTTATAGTATGACAATCAAATTTTTGATGTTCATACTTTATTAGCATATGGAATTTTGCATAAATTAGGTAGCAATACCTTGTAGTTATGATGGGCACTGTACACATGTGTGTTCACATACATTCTTGTTCTACTAGTTTCTAAAGAAATAGAACCGCCTATTTAGTTGGAAATCTTAACTAAAGATAATTCAGAAATAGTTATCTTTAAAACCTTGCCGAGATGTTATTCAAATTAATGTTTATCTTTCTCGGAAAAGAAGTATTTCTCAACTGTAATAATAGAATTACCTTGATCATTGACTTTTTTTACTTAAAAATTAACACACAACAGTTATTACTAGATATCAAGTTTTAGAATTTAATGAGACTAATTCTCCTAGGCTCTTTTGGAAGCTGTTTTATTGAAGTACAGGAATTATTAAGTAGAGTAATCATTACCCTTGGGACTTGAGAATGAATTGTGCTTTCCATCCAGATAATTCTTTCATGAAAAATAGTGTACCAGGAAAAATGGCTGTGTATATCACTTTAAAAATAATTAAACAAAATTATTGTTGTTATGTTATTTTCCATTTGGATGACTCAGTATATTTTCTTGTTGTTGTTCTAGAAAGGTATACATGAGTGGAATTTTAGTGCCTCTTCTGTCAGGGGAGTGAGGTAAGTTTCCTTGGTACATTTTGTTAACTTATAAGACATTTTTCTCCACTATTCATGGGCTGGATAGAACTTCTAATCATGATTTTAAAATACAAGGAATGTCAAGAATCATTCAATTGGTGGAAATGCCCAGCCTTCTTCAGTGTCACTATCTCCTTTAGGAAGAGATTTGCAACAAAATGTTCACTGCTGGTTGAACTGATTCTGTGCTCCTGACCTACTTAAAATGTAACTGTGGGGTCAATGTGAACTATGGACCAGAATCAAAATGTAGATTACACTCAGCCATGTGGAGGTCCTCTTTAGCTGAGCTGTTGGTTTATGTAATAGGATGATTTCTGTCCTTTTGGTATACAAGGAACTCAGCTCCCTTTGTGTGGATACAAAGCACACATGCCGTCTACTACACTGTGTCCTGCCACTAATTTTATTTTATTTTATTTTATTTTATTTTATTTTATTTTATTTTATTTTATTTTATTTTATTTTTATTTTATTTTATTTATTTTATTTTATTTTATTTTATTTTGTGAGACAGAGTTTTGCTGTTTTCGCCCAGGCTGGAGTGCAGTGGCATGATCTCAGTTCACTGCAACCTCCGCCTCCCAGGTCCAAAATGTTCTCCTGCCTCAGCCTCCCAAGTAGCTGGGATTACGGGCGCATGTCACCATGCCCAGCTAATTTTTGTAATTTTAGTAGAGACAGGGTTTCACCGTGTTGGCCGGGCTGGTCTGAAACTCCTGACCTCAGTGATCCGCCCGTGTAGGGCTTCCAAAATGCTGGGATTACAGGTGTGAGCCACTCCGCCCGGCCCCTGTCACTAACACTAATGACTTCAGATGATAAGGAGTCCATTAAAAAAAAAAAAAACCTTCTGTAAGGTCACTTTCCTGCATTGATCTTGAGATTACAGTGGTGAACTTCAGTTTGGTTCAGTTCTGACTGCTGTCACAATGCCAGTAGCTTAGAAAATGCCATTTCTTGGGATTTAGAAATAATATATATATATTTTTTTAAGAATCAAGAGTCAGTGGTTAAGTCTTTAAATAATTGTTCTATTGAAGCTCATGCTAAATCAACTCTTGCAGATTTCAAACCAAATTAGATGTGCTAACTACTGTTTACCCCCACGTCATAGCAATGAGAGACAACAGATTTTTGCAGCCTGGTTATGCAATATCCTGTTGCTTTTGGAATAATAATAATTGGTTTTATTAGAGCATAAATTGGTAGAGCGGTCTGAGTCACTAATAATTGGAGTTCTCCTGGTAAAGCTACCTGTTACCTCATGAATGATCTGAACAGAAACAAGCAAGATGATGGACTGACTCATTATATATCTTTCAGTCGATACTTTCTCAAATAAAACTGTACTCTTAATATTTAATTTTTAAAGCCAGTCATTAGCAAGGCACTCACTATTTATTGCTGCATTTTTAAGCAATCCACTTAAGAAAGTATGGTAAATGTAAATTTCACTTTATCATATCTGTTTTCCAATGAATAAATTTTCTTTAATTAGGTATGGTAGCCCTATGTAACAGTTGTTGTGATTTATGACTTATACATAGGCTGCTACTATCTATCTTACTATTGCTGGCTTATATGCTGAGAAACTTGAGTTGTAGTCTGTGACTTCAAAGAGAGCTCATTCTTCCTGGCCTCCTCCTCCACAAAGAAGAGATGACAAACTATGGAAGAAAATCCAACTAGGTCAGCAGCTTGCCTTGCGTCACCTCAGAACTTGCACAGCTCGAGTTAGTGGGCATTAACTGAGCATGAGCTGTGTGTCAAATGTTGAGTCCTGTTCTGCCAAAGATACAAAAATGACTAAGACATCAACTCCTCTCTTGAGGAATTCACAGCCCAGCAGGGAGAGGAACAGACATTTAACAACTCATGACAATACAGTGTGAGAAGAGCAATGAAAGAAGTATACTCAGAGGACACAGGTGTAAGAGGAAGTCTTTCTGTTTAGGGCAGAAGTAGGGCAGGGAGAGAAGGTGAGGTCTAAGCTGGGCCTTAAATCGTGAATAGAGTTTCTTTTAAAAGTAAAAAACGACATGCATTCCAAATGGAAGGACCAGCAGGCACAAAGGCACAAAATAAGGATTGACAAACTGTGCCCCCTGGACTACATCTGGTCCTTCACCTGTCCTGTAAATAAAGTTTTATTGGAACACAGCCATGTTCATTCATTTATGCATCCTCTTAGGCAGCTGTCATGCTTCAGCAGCAGAATTACATAGTGTGGCCTGAAAAACCTAAAGTATTTTACTATCTGGCCTGTTACAGAAAATGGTTGCCAATCCCTGGCATAAAACAGCATGGCCTAGTGGGTCAACTGAAAACTGTTTCATATTGCCGTAAAGTCAGCCACTCACTGAGTCCTAACCGAGTGCACTTGCACATTGCTTCACTCCTCTAAAATCTCTATAATGAATGAGGTGCTTTTACTGCCTCCACAAATTGACTGCCTAGCTTTGGAAACATTTCATTGTTCTACAGATTGCATAGCACCAGAATCACCGAGGTTAGCCAGCCAGTTGGTATTTATGCTTTTCCTCCCAGCACACAGAATAGTGTAGTAGGCAGGACACCTTTCCCTGCTCTGTTGAAAGGATGTGTAGTTTACGTGTGCTTGCAACACCCTAGAGCAGCCCTGCTCTGCAGAGATGAGGAGGAGGACACCTCTCGGAAGAGTAAATCATTTTAGTAGTGTGGTGCAGGAAGTATCACTTTTTAAAGTGCTATTTATAACTTCTTGTTATAAACAACATTGATATAAATGGGATTGAATTTAAAACATTTCTTTTTCATCATAGGACTGTAGAAGAATTGATAGTTCTCTGAATAATGCCTTTTTGTTTGTTGGTTTCAGTATTTCTAAATTTGAAGAAAGATGCTGCTTTCTTTATGTGCTTCACAATTCTGATGATTTCCAAATCTATTTCTGTACAGAACTTCATTGTAAAAAGTACGTATTAGTCATTGTGTGTGAAAAAGATTCTTCTTACCTGATCATTATTTTCAAGTAATGAGTGAACATGTACCTCCTGTGAAGAATGCATGGCTATGTGGTTATATAAATATTTTATTTGGGCTAATATTTTATAATTATATCATAAATTTAACAGATTTTGGGGGGGGGTTTTCTTTAATAAGTCAAACTTTATCTTAGTCATAACTTATTTTCCCACAGATAAAACATTAACTAAGACTTATTGGTTAATTGTTAAATATTATAACTCATATTTTAAGTGCTCACTTACTGTATATGATTACCAGAATTTTCATTCTCAAATTCTTTTAAATCGTCTCAGTATTATCTACAATAGTACCTCTTTACCTTGGCTCATATTAGTTAGATCCACCTGGTAGGCTTTAAAAAAACATGCATGGCCCCCACCTCAGACTAATTATATTGGACGTTCTGGTGGGGGTGAAGCCTGAGTTAAGAGCCACTGATCTGATCTATACCAATAAAAGAGATCATCCAAAAATCCATGGACTGCATTGTATGTTTGTGTTTTTCTCCATTGTATGTTTCTCTTGGGCTAATAATTAAATTCTTCTTACTTCTTTAGAACACTATGATTGACTGTGGGAAACTAGAGAAGTGAGTGATAATTTAGAAGCCAAAGTGTAGGTGAAAGTTAGTTTGGACTCAGAATTTTGCTGGGGATTGTTCTTATTTAAATAATTACTATTTGAATCCATTATAAATGACTGATATGCTAGCTACAATATACAGTCGTTCATTTTTATCTTGGTGTGAAAAAGAAAAGTGTTTGTTGAATCCACAATTCTTGGCTCAAGCTTTATTATCATAAAACATATGGTGGGGGAAAAAAAAACACTTGGAAATAAGAAAATTCCTAGCTCTTGTATGGACTAATTCTCTACTTACACTTAAATTCTCAAGTCTGTTGACCTGTTTCTATGATAATTATAGCTAAAATTTATGAAGTGTGTGCCCCAGAACTAATATTTGTTTCAGTCTTCAAAGAAACCCTATTAGATGGGTAGTATTAATATCTTTATTGAAAAGAATTAAAAAAGTAGTCTTGGAGAGTATAGCCTAAAATCATGTAGTCAATAAGCATAAAAATCTGGGGTTTGAACCAGGCACAGGAGACTTCAGAATGGAAGCTTCTAAAAATTACGCTAGTGCTCCCATCCCACTGTCGAGTGTTATATTCTGCCTAGAGATGTTCATATTGAAAATTTTTGCATGAGTGGCTGATGCAAATCCTTAACCCAGATCTTAAATCATGTCTGTAACACCAGATTTTTTTTTGATCTTTCACTTTATTCTTCCTCTTGGTTAAACTAGCTTTTCTCTCTCATTCATTGTGCTATTTAATAGCGCAAACTGTTATTCCAATCAGGCTTGGGAATTTTTTTTCTTGTCATGGACCTCCAAGAAATGTGTGTAGAGACAGGAAGAGTGAGGAAGTTGATACCACATATGAACTCCATCAATGGGGTCCAAATTCCAAGATAGACTTTGTTCATCATCATGCTCTCAATGGCCAGAACAGTTCTTTATCCTAGTAGACACTCAGTGAGTATTTGTTGAATGAATGGATGGATGGGTGGGTAAGAAAGGTTCTGAGTTGTGTTAGGGGAACTTTTCTTATCACACCATAACCTGCTCTTCCCTTAAGCTGGCATCGCATAGCATGACCTGCCTGTGGGATCATCAGCCCACGTTCACAGTGCTTCCCGGCTTTATGTCTGTGAACCATCAGCCTCCTCTCTGAATGGCCTAGTCACAGCGAGCAGGATGCCAATCTGTTTCTCACTGTAATCACTTTGCTTGTCTCTGAAATGGTCTCTAGAAGAAAAAAAAAAAACTTTACAAGAAGAGTTCCTGAAGAAAAATGTATTTGAAGTGAGGCATTAGGTTAGAAATTTCTAGAAAATCCTACCAACCTGCATTTTCTTTTTGAAAAATTGTATTTTTCACATGATCTTGATAGTGTGTTATTGCCTGGTTCTGGAGACTCTCTTAGCTCTCAGTTTTGGTTCTGAAGTCACTTTGAGATGTACTTGCTTATATTTACTATTGTTTGTGTTATGAATGCTCACGTGCTAACTTGTATTGTAGGTTTTTTGAGATGGTGAACACCATTACCGAAGAGAAGGGGAGAAGCACAGAGGAAGGAGACTGTGAAAGTGACTTGCTGGAGGTAATGACTTAGGTGTCCATTTACATTTAGAGCTCATTTTAAAACAAACTATTTGAAGCCTTACTGAGGCAGGAGGCAGGGTGTATGAGGGGTAGGAGACTGTCTGTAGGCTTTCCTTTAGTGTTAAAAGCAACTTCCAGAATTCCTTTGGTAAAAAGGGGCTAAAAAGTAAACATTGGAGAATTCTTATTCCACAGCACCAAGCGTTAGCATTTTACTTACCTGATAGCGAGTAACTATGCTTTATCTATGACAGTGTCAATGCATGGGCCACGGTGTCCTTACACATTCTCTATTCTCCTCTGAGATATGTGCAATTCAGACAAAGAAGATTCACTGAAGATTCTGGTTGATAGCACCCTTGTGGCAGGCATTAATATGCTACACAGAGAACCTGAAACCATGGAAGATTAATGGAATTAAGAGAGGAGGGAATAACAATGACTTCAAATGTTGTTCCTCTCAACTGGAATCCTTTTATTAATGTCTAATGGACACAGAGCACTATGGATACCTACTTTTATATGGTTTTTATTTTTATTTTTATAGAGACTTGTTCTCGTTATGTTGCCCAGACTGGTCTTGAATTCCTGGGCTCAAGCAATCCTCCCACCTCGGCCTCCCAAAGCACTAGAATTACAGGCGTGAGCCACCGCACCCGACTGCTGGACACCTACTTTTAGTTTGTGTCCATTTTCTCTGCCATGTCTGCTGTGTGAAGAAGAGCCTTCCTCCACTGCAAGGACCAATGCTGGAGTGTGTCAACAATGCTGACTCCAGCATCTTCAATGTCTGAAGAATGACACTTCTCCAGGCTTGACACATGGCCACCATTTTCTCCAAGCCCTTCCCAGTGTTTGACTTGGGAGAGAACTCTGAATCCAAGTGACTTAGTCCATTGGGCTGCTGTAACAAAATACTGTAAACAATGTGGCTTGTAAACAGTAGACATTTATTTTCTTATACTTCTGGAGGCTGGGAAGTCCAAGATCAGGGTGCTGGTAGATTCAGTGTCTGGTGAGGGCCTGTTCCTCATAGAAGGTGCCCTGTTGCTGTGTCCTTACATGGTAGAAGAAGCTGGCTAGCTCTCTGTGGTCTCTCTTACAAGGCCACTAATGTTACCCTGCTCTGCCTTCAAGACCTAATCACCTCCCAAAGGCCTCACCTCCTAATAACTGCACCTTGGGGTATGATTTCAACATAGGAATTTGGGGAGGATACAAATATTCAGTCCATAGCACCAAGCCATACTGAAAATTATATTTTTAATGTTAAAGTGAAAATGAAGAATCTATAGCTCACCAGTCTAATTGGCATACTTATTTATTAGATCACTTTGATAATGTCATCTCATAAACTAAAATTTTTATAGAAACACTGAATTAGTAAGGTAACAGTTGAGAAAAAAATTTAATATAATAAATTGTTTGTTTTTTGAGACCGGCTCTTGCTGTGTTACCCGGGCTGGAGGTGGAGTGCAGTGGCACAATCACAGCTCATTGTAGCCTCTTGACCTCCTGGGCTCAAGCAATCCTCCCACTTCAGCCAGAGCATGCCACCACACCTGGCTAACTTTTTTTTTTTTTTTTTTTTTTTTTTGGTGGAGACGGGATCTCACTTTGTTGCCCAGGTTGGTCTTGAACTCCTGGGCTCAAGCAGTTCTCCCTCTTCGGCCTCCCAAAGTGCTGGGATTATAGGGATAAGCACCATGCCTGGCCTATAATAGCTAGTTGTTAACTCTGCCCGTAGTTAAGTTCTATGATTATCTAGCAATTGTATAGCTTTGATATTTGTAGTTAAGCCTAAGCCTCTTTCATTAAAGATGTAAAAAGATGACAGGCCTAATTTGGAAAAAAAGATTTCCTGTGCATTAGCTTGCTGTCTATAGAAGTAATAGATACTACTTCTTATTTATGTATGTTTTATATTTTACAATTTTTTATTTCTTATTCAAGTGATTGTTAGGAATTAGCTTTCTTGACTCCTACTTCAGGGCTCGTTTGATTATACCTTGTTATCTTTGTTTCTGTGTTAAATTTTGCATCACTTGATACATAGCAACTTGCCAAGGTAAAACTTAAAGAAATTGAAAATGAAACAATTCTATCAATCATATAGAATTATGAAGGGGATGACTGGAAAATTCATGAAGTATTCTTCAATGTTACAAATTTCTGGCTTTTTTTTTTTTTTTTTAAACCAGAGATAGCTATCCTTTGTTTCATGCCCTCCTTTCAGGAACTAACTGCATCTTACCAAAAATATGCATAGCCTAGCCAGGCTGTGGTGGCAGGTGCCTATCATCTCAGCTACTCAGGAGGCTGAGGCAGGAGAATCACTTGAACTCGGGAGGCAGAGGTTTCAGTGAGCCAAGATTGTGCCACTGCACTCCAGCCTGGGTGACAAGAGCAAAACTCCGTCTCAAAAAAAAAAAAGAGAAGAAAAGAAATTATTCTGAAGTCAGGTGTGGTGGCTCATGCCTGTAATCCCAGCACATTGGGATGCTGAGGTGAGTGGATCACTTGAGGCCAGGAGTTCGAAACCAGCCTGGCCAACATGGTGAAACCCTGTCTCTACTTTAGCTGAGCATGGTGGCGTGCACCTGTAGTCCCAGCTACTCAGGAGGCTGAGGCAAGAGAATTGCTTGAACCTGGGAGTTGGAGGTTGCAGTGAGCCGAGATCGCACCACTGCACTCCAGCCTGAGCTGCAGAGTGAGACTTGGTCTCAAAAAAAAAAGAAAAGAAAAACATAAGAAAAACATTCTTACATTTCTATCCTTTGCATTTCATTAGAATAATGTAAAATTTCTGACAGAGAATGGCTTCTACAGTATTCCCAATGGACTTTAGAGCCTGTAGGAAGAATTCAAGCAGACCGGCTTCAAGAGTCTTGGCTTAGTTTGCCATTGTGCCAGCTAGTGATATTGCTGATGTTTTTTGTGGGTGTTCTTTTAGCAAAACGTGAATGAATGCATGTTTACAGGGATGCTCTGGACTGGAGGATGGTGAAATCCATCGTGGTTGTCCCTCTCCCTGAATGTCCTTTTGTAGCCAGGGCATCTTTCCAATATGAATTATTAAGCCTTAACTTACATTTTTGCATAACTTATAACTCTCCATTATATATTTGGTTACATTTCTTAGATGTTTTCAACATTCTTTATTAAAGTTATTTTATCAGCATCCTGCATATTTGATTAAAATGAATTCTTTAATTTCATTACCACAAATTGAACTCAAACTTCAGCCCATGAATAACAAGCTAAAAATAATTCCTCCACTTCCCATTCTTTACAGTGGAAACAAAAAGAATGACTTTAGAGATCATCTGAACACAGTGATTAAGATTTGTATGCAGAATAATTATTTTCTGATGTTTACCTCAATTGAAGGTAGAATTAACATTGTTTCAATACATGCGTCAATTATTCCTGAAGCCTTTGGCTACCTTGGCCCAGAACAAAATAAAAATGTTGGAAAGGCCAGGAAATGCTACTTAATGTTTTTAACTTCACTTAGGGTGTTGTCAGCAGTCAGCAAAACAGTAACTATTAATGTGATTCTATAAACTACAAATGTGAAACTAATTCCTAGAATTTGAAAGACTTCTTAGAAGCCCAAGGCAATAACTCCTTTTCTTTTTGATTGGAACAATAAGGTTTATTTGAAGCAGTACAACTGTGGGTGGGATTTGGCTTCTTTCAGGTCACCAGCCCCTTCTTCCTTCTGATTCAAGCTGGATCTACTAAGAACTCCAGGCTGGGGTCAGGAGCCTTGGGCCCTGGTTCTGACTTTGCCAACAGTCAGTTTCATAACCCCAGACAAAGTTCATACTCCCGCTGGGCTAAGATGACTTCATTCCTTAAGTTAGAGTTGAAAAGAATATATATATATATATACATATATTTATTTTATTTTATTTTTTTTCAGACAGAGTCTTGCTCTGTCACCCAGGCTGGAGTGCAGTGGCATGATCTTGGCTTACTGCAACCTCCACCCCCGGGTTCAAGCAGTGCTCCCACCGCAGCCTCTTGAGTAGCTGGGATTACAGACGCCCACCATCATGCCCAGCTAATTTTTGTATTTTCAGTAGAGACAGGGTTTCACCATGTTGGCCAGGCTGGTCTTGAACATCTGACCTCAGGTGATCTACCCACCTCGGCCTCCCAAAGTGCTGGGATTATAGGCGTGAGCCACTGCGCCTGGCCAAGAGCAAGAGGATCTTTAATGTCTTTTCCTACCTCTAATTTTTAAAATAATATTCAAGATTGGTATAAATTGTACAAGGTTATTTCAAATATAATGCAATACCACTTCTCAGAGAAGGATTTTCTGTCTTTTAACAGAAAGAAAATCAATTTCTTTTGATTCAAGGCTATGTTTTTTGACTCAAGGATGTATTTTGACGTGGAAGGGTAATGAACTCATATCTCAAGTATTTTAATATGTTATTATTATAATACTTTTATATTGAAATCATCAAACAATTGATCAGAGTTAACCAGCCTTGGTCTCCATTGTTCTTCTTCCTGCCTTCCATGTCTTCATTAAAAGTAAAGGCATCCAGCAACCCAAGCCAGATTCCTGAGAAACCCCTCCCAAACCCGTCTTAATCCCTCATGCCCGTTCTTTCCTGCAGCCCCTTCATTTCATCTTCTTGGTCACTCCCCTGATCTCAGGTCTTCATCCTCTATCATAGCCTAACATGTCTCATGCTTTGTCTCTGTTATCATCAGAGAAATCTCTCATACAGATTTAATCCTGCGACTCCCCAGATTAAAAACCTTTGATGCTCCTTTTTGTTTTTTGATACAGAGTCTCACTCTGTCACCCAGGTGGGAGAGCAGTGGCGCAATCTCGGCTCACTGCAACCTCCGCCTCCTAGGTTCAAGCAATTCTCCTGCCTCAGCCTCCTAAGTAGCTGGGACTACAGGCATGCACCACCATGCCCAGCTAATTTTTATATTTTTAGTATGGAGTTTCACCATGTTGGCCAGGCTGGCTTTGAATTCCTGACCTCAAGTGATCTGCCTGCCTTGGCCTCCCAAAATGCTGGGATTACGGACACGAGCCACCATGCCCAGCTGATGCTCCTTTTTGTAGAAGGAAGTATTTGCACCATACAACATTCTCACCCCCTCTGGCTGTAGCTTCCCCTTTCCTTTCCACTCTGTGGTCCAGCGGTGCCAGCCTCCTTTCCACTTTCCAGGTGGCCATGCTTCTCCGGCCTCTGGGCTTGACATGCAGACGCCCAACCTCACAAACTTTTCTCCTCAGTCCCACTTAGTGACCAAAGCCTTAATTTTTCAGATCCAGGTCCTGTGTCCTTTTCTCTTTGAATCATTTCTCAACTCCCCTTCTTGCTTTTCTCTGTTCTCTTAGCATTTTGGCCCACTCCTCTGGCCTAGCTCTTCTCCATGCATTGTAATCTGGTAGCCTGCACTGGACTGGACTGTTAATGTCCCATGGCAGGATGGTGGCTTTTTGCCCTTTTTAATCACATGAGCTCACATGGTGCCAGGTGTCCAAGTAAAAGAGATTCAATCTGAAGGGTTTGAAGCTGGGCAGTGACAAAATCAGAGTTGTTTTAATATTAGGTTGTAGCAATAATGGCAAAAACCACAATTACTTTTGCACCAACCTAATATCTCAAACTGGGAGGAGAGAGATATGGATGGGAGAAGGCCTCCAATCCATATGGACCTCTCTGCTTGAGCCCGAGAGGTCAAGGCTGCAGTGAGCTAGGATTGCGCCACTGCACTCCAGCCTTGGTGACAGAGCCAGACCCTGTCTAAAAAAAAAAAAGAAAAAAAAAAGTGACATTATTTTCATTTGACTCAAATATCTGCAGGAAGATGGAAGACCTTACTGTTTTCTTTTCTGATGATTGGCCTCATATACCTTAGTAATTATGGTTCAGAATTTATTTTAGTCAGTTTGGAATCATCATGTAGCAAACTCTTTTTTAACATCCTATTTCTATTTTTGTGCAGATATGAAGCTGAATACCCACAGTTACTTCCCTGCCTGAGAAAATACATCACTTATAGTGTTGTATGATATGAGTATCAATTTGTTATTCATTCATTCATTCTGTTGGGAACGGGGAAAAGCCTTTTTCTTGTACCAGCTTATGTTCAATGGTCAGGGGCCTGCAAATTAACTGACAAAAGACAAGTTGACAGGAGAGCAGACAAACTTTATTCTTTTGTTTTGTTTTATTTTTGAAACAGAATCTCCCTCTGTCCCCCAGGCTGGAGTGCAGTGGTGTGATCTCGGCTCATTGCAGCCTCTATCTCTTGGGCTCAAGCGATCCTCCCACCTCAGCCTTCTGAGTAGCTGGGACTAAGGTGTGCACCACCATGCCTGACTAATTTTTGTGCTTTTTATAGAGACAGGGTTTCACCATGTTGCCTAAGCTGCTGCCTTGGCCTCCCAAAATGCAGAGATTACAGATGTGAGCCACCATGCCTAGCCAAAATTTATTCATGTAGTCAATGCTAAGTCAATGAAAGAGACTTACACAAAGAATTGGCTCCCTAAACAGCTAGAGTTGAGTGTTTATATATCATCTTAGTAAGAAAGAGGGTTAAGACTTTAAGAAAGTGTATGGTGGGAGACTAATGAGAAATAAGTGTGAGGAACAGAAAGTTTTGATAAGGTTTTGTTTATGCAACATCTCCTCTAGGTGCAAGTGGTCTATCTCCTCTTTGGTCATTAACCTCCTGGAGAGGAAATAAATGGCAGATGTATTTTAGGAGGCATTGCTTATGTCCGCAAAAGAAATTTAGATAAGGTTTTTTTCTGCTGCTGCTGTTTTTCTGATGTTTTCAGCCTAAAATCATCTTCATCCACATCAGTGGGTCCAAATGGATCTCACTAATGCACTCACATATTTTTGGACAGCTATTGAATGGTAGGCACCATTCCATGTGCTGGAGAGATGGCAGAGAACAAAATGGAGAGAAATTCCTGCTATCACTGAGAGCTTACATGCTCTCATCTAAGTCTTAATCGGGCCCAACTCTGCTTAGCTTCCGAGATCAGAAGAGATTGGACGCATTCAGGGTGGTATAGCTGTAGACTCAGGTTACTTTCTAATGAGAGACGGACAATAAACACAAATAAGTAAAATACCATCTATAGTATGTTAGATGGTGATCAGGGTTAAGGAGAATAATAAACCAGGGAAGGGTTTAGGAAGTTACAGTGTAGCAGGGACGTGCAATTTTAGATAGGAAGGCCTGGGAAGCTCATTAAGAAGGTAAGATTTAGGCCGGGTGTGGTGGCTCATGCCTGTAATCCCAGCACTTTGGGAGGCAGAGGAGTTGGATTGTTTGAGGTCAGGAGTTTGAGACCAACCTGGCTAAAATGGCGAAACCCCATCTCTACTGAAAATACAAAAATTAGCCGGGCATGGTGGCAAGCGCCTGTAATCCCAGCTACTCGGGAGGCTAAAGCAGGAGAATCGCTTGAACCTAGGCACTCCAGCCTGGGCGACAGAGTGAGACTCTAAATAAATAAATAAATAAATAAATAAATAAATAAATAAATAAATGAAGGTGAGATATGGCCGGGCGCCATGGCTCACACCTGTAATCTCAGCACTTTGGGAGACCAAGGCGGGTGGATCATGAGGTCAGGAGATTGAGACCATCCTGGCTAACAAGGTGAAAGCCCATCTCTACTAAAAATACAAAAAATTAGCTGGGTGTGGTGGCGGGCACCTGTAGTCCCAGCTGCTCGGGAGGCTGAGGCAGGAGAATGGCGTGAACCTGGGAGGCGGAGCTTGCAGCGAGCTGAGATTGTGCCACTGCACTCCAGCCTGGGCGACAGAGCGTGACTCCTTCTCAAAAAAAAAGGTGAGATGTGAGTAAAGATCTAAGGGAGGAGAGATCCATCACACTAGATATTTGTACCTGCAGTGTTTTTGGCATTCTATTAATGTTATTAGTAGTTATTAATGTTTTGGCATTTACATATAAAGAAGGCCATACAGACTGAACATTAACAGAGCTGCCATTTGGGTCTTTGAGGTGATTACTCACCTAATGTGATTAAGCCCCCGCCGAAAGTGCATGGTTTTTTCTAAGGTGGTTGTTTCCTTCGAGAGTGCAAGGACTCAGTGAGTCACCACTTCGTTGTTTGGCCTTGTCAATGTTGCCTTCCTACACTGATTCTCTTCCCGCTACCAGTTTTGATTGTTCTGAGCAGACAGCAATAAAGAGATGATTCTAGAAAAATTCTCATGATTGCCTCAGAATGAAATTCTTGTTTCCCTTAGCAACAACCTGATTTGCTAACCTATTACCATAGAAATAGAATGCAAAATATATAAGCAATGTAATGTTACCTTTTATTTTTTAAAACCCTCTCTTCTACTATTCCTGGACATTACATAGATGATTCTCTGTCCTTCTAGGCTGAACCAGTCTCTTGTTTCTTTTCAGCTTTCTTTCAAAACTGCCATTTCAATTTCTATCTTTATCTCGTAAGAATAGAAAGGGGAGATAGAAAAACAAAGCAGCAATTACCCACAGAGATGGTTTTACTTAAATAACACTGCTCTTTTTACAATTCCTTTTCATTTTACTATCACCATTTTGTTTAACAGGAGTCAGCTTCTATATCTAATCTTCTATATCTAATACATAATCTTTTAAATCTGTATCTAATACGTAATCTTTTAAAAAATAGTCTTCTGATGCCTTAGATTCCTAGGGGAAATTAAAACTTTAGCAGCCTCATCAAGGTTTATGTATTCTTCACTCTTCTATATAAGCATACCTGTTGTAGAGCTGGACCTGGTGGTGTGCACCTGAGTCCCAGCTATTTGGGAGGATCACTTGAGCCCAGGACTTTGAGTCCAGCCTGGGTAACATAGCAGGACTCCATCTCTTTAAAAAAAAAAACTGCTGAGTATGATGGCTCCCACCTGTACTCCCAGTGGTTGGGAGGCCGAGGCAGCAGGATCAGTTGAGGCCAGGAGTTCAAGGCCAGCCTGGGCAACATAGCAAGACCCCATCTCTACAAAAAATAGAAAAAATTAGCTGGACATAGTGCTGTACACCTGAAGTCCCAGCTGTTGAGGAGGCTGAAGTGGGAGGATTGCTTGAACCTAGGAGTTCAAGGCTGCAATGAGCTATGATGGCACCACTGCACTCCGGCCTAGGCGACAGAGCAAAACACTCTTTAAAAAAAAAAAAAGATTTAAATATATCTATTGGAAAAATGCTTTCACCCAAGAATAAACCAATAATGACTCTAAATGTTTTGTTTTGGGATCTAGTTCTTTTCTAAAAAAGTTCTCATCACATTTTTCTATAACTTGATTAATTAGTTAAGCAAATAATTACTGAGCATCTACTACAAGCTACATGCTAAAACTGGGGATAGAGTAATTAAGGATGAAGTCCCAAGTCTCGAAGAGCTCAAGTGTCCAGACGAGGATGACAGAGGTAGCCGTAAGATCTTGAAGGGCATTGTCTTGGTCCATCCAGGCCGCTATAACAAAATGCCTTAGGCTGGGTAATTTATACCCAATAGAAATGCTTTGCTCACAGTTCCAGAGGCTGAGAAATCCAAGATCAAGGCACCAGCAGATTCAGTGTCTGGTGAGGGCCTACTTCCTCTAGATGGTACCTTCTGTGGGTGCTCACATGGCTGAAGGCTCAACCAGGCTCCTTCAAGCCTCTTTCATAAGGGGACTAATCCCATTCATGAGAGCTCTAGCCTCATGACCTAATCACCTTCTAAAGGGCCTAACTCTTAATACATTGTGATTCGGTTTCAACATACAGATTTTGAGGGCGCTGAAGAGGGGGGTACGCAAACATTCAGACCATAGCAGGCATTTATGCTGTGCTAAGGAGTTTGGATTTCATCCGGAAAGTAACAAGCTGCCAATAAAATAGATGCAGTGGCACTGACATGGAAAGTTCATGTGGAACTTTGGACTTTGGAAAGTTCACTGTCAATTTAGTGGAGAATAAATTGGGGAATGGAGCAACAAGAGAGGAGAAAAGCCTCTGAACTTTTTTTTTGCAGAGAAGTGCTTTTCTTCTGTGCTACTTCTACAGAGATTCTGAGGCAACTCCGGTGAGAATAAGGAGGTAAAATGGATTTGTGAGATTTTAAGAAGAAAAATCTGAGAACAGTTGGCAATAAATTTGAAATACATAGTAAAAGAAGGAAAAAAACAAAATTCTAAGAGGACAGTGGCTACCAGATGTCTGCTAAAAAAAAGCAAATGGATGTTCCATGGATATTAACAATATACTGTAATATCTTTATAACACTGGTATTTGGAAACAACTAATAATCACCCTGTAAGCTCTTATTCTATGATAGGGTTTCCCTAATGCATAGGTAGTGGAAAGGATACAAAATCTGGAATCTCACAAGCTGGTTTCAAACCACAACTCTGATATATTTTCACTGGAAAAAAAAATTTCTGATCATTTGTAAATTGAAAGTAATCAGAAACCTATTACACATGCTTATGATGATAAGTGAGGTGGGTTATTGAAAGTTGGTTTTTTTTTTCCTTTAAGATTATAAAGCATTGTAGTGTAAAATGGTGGTGGTACTAGATGGAGTGTATAGGTTTCTAATCCTTTGAGAGGGCACATCGGCAAAGTTGAGCTTCTTTACCTGCTGCTGGCTGGGTCCCACTGGTGGAATTCCAGCGTGGCAGGCACAGCATTGCAGAAGTCTAGACTACAGGAATTGGGTGTGGAGACTTGGGCTCCTTCAGGTGGCGTTGTTTGGATTATGCTTCCTGTCTCCTCGCAGGAGCCCAGTTTTAACTCTGAGTTAGAGCATGTTGCTAAATGATCCCTGCTGCCTGTTCCTTCCCTCTGATCACCTATCACCTGGTCACTCTGATCATCTACCCTGGACCAAGACAGTCTTCAGCTTTATGTTAGGCAGCCAGAACAGGGCTATTCTCTAATGTGCCACTGGATACTTGGCAATGGGTAAGTAGTCATCTCCCTTCCAGAGCTTGGCCTCTGTCCTGAGCCAGAGAAGAATTCATGCTAAGGAGGCCAGTGCTCACTCCAGCCCTAGCATTGTATTAGGCATAATTTTCCCCAGAAGACACCACCCGACTGCCTTCTATAAGGGCCTGAAAACCTGTTGGAAACAAATAACCTGGAGCTGGTAGGGACATGCTCCACCCCAGCCCCATCCTCTCGAGTCATGCGTGTGTACCCAAGAGTTTGCAGAGCGATCTGATGAGCTACCTTTGTAGGTAATTTGCCCTTTTATGATCTTTTTGTCTTTCGTATTTTGTAGTTTCCCTATGTCATATCTCAGTGAGTTTGTTTTTATTTTTCCTATTTAGGGCTGAATTTCTGGAAGTTGTATTCAATTCTCTTTCAAGTCTGGCCTTTTTTAGAATATCTTATCTTCTCATTTTTAAATATTTTATATCTTTATGTTAAATGTACATATTTTATAACTATATTCTATCATTTCTGACTTAATGAAGTCTTGAGGATTGAGATTTGTCATATATGTTTTCACTGATGTTGAATTGTTTCCTTACATAGTTTATATTTTTTGGATTGTGAGTTCAACTTTAGTGGTGCATTATCAGTAAGAATTCTGCATAGCAAACTTCAAGGGGTCTGCCATGAAAATGTTTTTGCTTTGTTTCTGCCAGGCACTCCAGGGATATCCCAGGCTCAAGAGCAATTATGAGTATTATAATAAGTGTTAATTTGAAGTTCAAACAGCACCAGGATCAGCTGTGGTTGAAAGTGTTTAGAGAAGACCTATTTTTGCTCCTCCAGAGCTCAGTCTTGAGACAAACCAGCTTTCTTTTTGTTTCACAGTGTAGTGGGCTGACTTTTCTGATCTACCCTTTCACCAAGGGCCTGGTTTTGTGTGTTTCTGCTCTTTGCCTGGCGTAGGCACTAGGCCATACTTCCTATCCCCTCCTGGGCATTAAGACCCAAGCCCCACATGAGAGGTCAGCAAACTATAGCCCCAGGATCAAATCCAGCTCACTCTTAATCTTGGTAAATAAAGCCTTATTGGAACATAAGCATGCCCATTTGTTTATATATCAGCTGGGCTGCTTTCACATCACAATGGCAGAATTGAGTAGTTGCTACAAAGACTAGATGGCCCTCAAAGCTAAAACATTCACTATCTGACCTTTTACCAAAAAAAAAGCAGACAAATTCCCGCCCTAGATTAATGAAACTGAAAATCTTGCCTTCATCCCCACCCTTTGGGCTGCAGGAGTTCTTGTGATTACCTGCTAGTATTCCTTTCCTCTTCATTTCTAGCTTCTGCAGTCACCTTTACTCTTTAGTAAGCCCAGCTAGACATTTAAAAGTATGTCTGTTTTATTTTACCTATGTGTTTTTAGCAGGAAGGTTCTCAGGTATCTGGTCTACCATCTTGCCAAATCCAGAGCCTCTCTTCTACTGTCTTGGTAGCAATATGTTATTCTTTTTCTGTTTCCTTGACTTGACCATTAAACTTATTCATGTTAAATTTTTATTTTCTAATGGATTTTTTTAAGATCATGAAATTTTTCATCTACCTAACTCCATATCTATGGAATTTGATAAATAATGTTTTTCTTCTCATTTAAAAAATTACTGTGTAATTCCCATGGTCATTTCCTTTTTAACCCATTGGTTATTTTAAAGGAAAGTAAAATATACTTTTGGCTGTCTTATTTTTAGTATTCTGTGCTCAGAGATCATGGTCTTTATGATATCAGTTCTTTGGAATTTGTTGAAATTTTTCTTTGTTGTCTAATATGTAATCAGTTATAATATATTTTTCATGTATGCATGAAAGGAATCTGTATCTGGATACAGAGCTCTCTCTGTAGATGTTATATCAAACTTGTTCATTGTGCCATTAGATTCTCTATTTTAAAATCTGTGTGCCAGATATATTCCTTTCTAAAAGAGTTCTGTTAAAATCTATTGTGGTTGATATTTGTGTATTTTTCTTTGAAATTTTATCAACTCTGCTTTTATATTTCAAGGCTATGTTGTTAAAGAGCATAAAAACTCATGATCATTGCCCTCTTCATAGATTACTCATCAGTATTAACGTTAAGTTTGTTGACTTATACATGTTATAAATCATTTTTTTTTCTTTGAGATGGAGTCTTGCTCTGTTGCCCAGGCTGGAGTGCAGTGTCGCCATCTCAGCTCACTGCAACCTCCGTCTCCCAGGTTCAACCAATTCTCCTGCCTCAGCCTCTTGAGTAATTGGGATTACAGGCGTGCACCACCATACCCAGCTAATTTTTGTATTTTCAGTAGAGACAGGGTTTTGCCATGTTGGCTAGGCTGGTCTCAAACTCCTGACCTCAGGTGATGCACCTGCCTCAGCCTTCCAAAGTGCTAGAATTAACAGGCATGAGCCACCACACCTGGCCAGAAATAATTTTTTTTAATGGCCAACTCAGACCCTGCTGTGAGGTGAATCTAACTATGGACTGCCAGTTTTAAACTCCAGCAAAATGTAGACTATATGAAAAGCTTGTTCTAATGTTCTCTCCCAGGGGTCTGTAGTTTTATGCTGGGTTTCTACAGGGACATGCCTTGATCATGTGATGGCCCTAAATCATTTAGTTCCAGTCCAGCACAAAGGATGTGGCTTTGGGGTGATGCCTCCAGATCTGAGGAGGTCTCTACTGAATCCTTTCTGTAGATCCGGTTTTCCATATTTGGCTGACATACTTGACAGTTTGGAGTTTAGAACTATAGATATTTCCTTTCTACATCAGAGATCAAAATTTTCCTCTATTTTTCACTTAAAAAAATGTTTTTGGGTCTTGGGGAAACGGTGGGGAGTGGTGAAGTAAAATAATCCTGACTTTATCATTGGCACCTGGTAAGATGTCAACATTTTCTTCTTACCCAAAGCCTTTCGGTGGTTTTATTCTCCTGGCAGTGTGAAATGCTTTAACAGCATCAAAAGCTGAATAACAAAAGGAAGATTTATTAGATGTGATAGACATTGATAGATGTTGATGCTAGTTATACACTGTTTCACTGATCTCCAGAATCAATGAAAAACAGGACTGAGTGGGTAAAAGAATCCACATGGCTTTTGGAGAAGCAATTCTATGAAGTTAACTATGTAATCCCCACTGTATTTGTAACAGTTTGTGAAAACATAAACACAGTATCTGCTTTATGTTGGGAGCATTTATTTGTTCATCCTTGAAGCTGCTTCTTAGAACTTCAGCCTGTTAATGCCATCTGATAAGATAAGGAATAATGCTCTTGGAAAAAAATTTGATGTTTGAAATGTAGAATGAACTAATGTTTTGATCTTTTCTCCCCGTTTTTCCTTTTGTAGTATGACTATGAATATGATGAAAATGGTGACAGAGTCGTTTTAGGAAAAGGCACTTATGGGATAGTCTACGCAGGTCGGGACTTGAGCAACCAAGTCAGAATTGCTATTAAGGAAATCCCAGAGAGAGACAGCAGGTACAGTAATTGTAGCTACTAAAAGCTGTTCTGTAGTACTTTGGGTTGTTGACAGTATTTTAGAAAATACTTGATGATATTCTAATGAATGAAACTGTGAAAACTTCACTCTGTGAATTAGCTCCTTCTGAGGTTTCGCTGCTGCATCATTCAGTGTTTGAAGTGCCAGACTGGTGGGGAAGAACGGGGCTTTCAAAGACTAGAAAAGAGAATGGCCCTGTGTGTGTTAGGCTCAGGTTGTCTTGGATAAAGGTGGATGTATTATGTGAATAGATGAGGAATAAGCACTATCAGAAATCGTTTAGGTTGGAACCAGTTCTAGGTTCCAGTCGGGCATGTGAGGAGCTTGGAAGTTGTCATTCCATCTTAACAAGTAGAAAGCTGAAGAGACTGAAATCAGTGGCTCTTCTTGGATTCGTCCGTGAAGTTGCAAGGGAGGCAGCTGCCCCTGAAATTGGAGAGACTGGAAAACTGAGAGACTCATAACTTACTGAGCAGAAATCCATGATCTGCTCACCTCTGTGGGAACCAGTGCTGGGGTAGGAAAACTGAACTGTAACTGACAAATCTCTAGAGGCCCACTGTGAAGTCTGAGTTAAAAACTCCAGTGGGACCCAGTCACTGAGGGCTGGGGATGAGGGTCACACTTTCATGAGTTTTGGAGCTTTACCAGGTCCTCAGAGAGACTTGAAATAAGAGAAATCCCATTGTGCTTCTGGCAGCAAGAAAGGAAAAGTCACTATTTCTTTTTTTTTTTTTTTTGAGACGGAGTCTTGCTCTGTCACCCAGGCTGGAGTTCAGTGGCACGATCTCGGCTCACTGCAAGCTCCACCTCCTGGGTCCATGCCAGTCTCCTGCCTCGGCCTCCTGAGTAGCTGGGACTACAGGTGCCTGCCACCACGCCTGGCTAATTTTTTGTATTTTTAATAGAGACGCGGTTTCACCGTGTTAACCAGGACGGTCTTGATCTCCTGACCTCGTGATCCGCCCGCCTCGGCCTCCCAAAGTGCTGGGATTACAGGCGTGAGCCACCATGCCCGGCAAAGTCACCATTTTTAAATACGCTGAAGCATTCTGTTCTTAACAAGGTCTGTCCACAAGAGACTCTATTTTACCGGAGCCTAACCAAACTAGGGGAAGTGGAGTACCAAATTTAGCCCAACTCTAGCTGTCCTGTCTCACCTAAGGGGGCTAAAGCTAAGGAGCACTTGTAAAATTCACAGCCCAGGGGCACTGGCTCACTAAAAGACTGAGACCTAATCACAGACCTGTCGAACTCTTCCCCTCCCTGACTGCTTCCCACCACATCACTAAAGGCCTATTTACTGCAGCACTTTCACCTAGGATATCATGTCCACCTTTCTATAGAAAACTATAAGGCATACTGAAAGACAAAAAACACAGTTTAAGCAACATAGCAAGTGTCAGAACCTGAACCAGATATGGCGGGGATATTAGAGTTATCAGATTGTGAATCGTATTCACATGCTTAGGGCTCTCATGGAAAGGTAGAGATTGTGCAGGAGCAGATGGTAATGTAAGCTCAGAGATGGAAATCCTAGGAATAATTTTTAAAAATGCTGGAGATCAAAAACAGTAATAGAAGTGAAGAATGGCTTTGATGGCTTATTAGTAGACTGGGCACAGTTAAAGAATCTCTGAGTTTCGGAATATATCAGTAGAAACTTTCAAAATTAAAAAAGCAAAGAGAAAAAAGACTGAAAAAAAAAACTGGGACAATATCCAAGAACTGTGTGACAACTACAAAATGTATAATATATACATTTTTGCCATCAAAAGTAATTAATGGCAAAAACCGCAATTACTTTTGCACCAACCTATGCTTGAAGAAATGAGTTGAATCTCACATAGTGAGGCCTTGTGAAAGGTGGAATCTTTTTTAGGAACAAAAATGTTCAGGAAACTGAAGCGCTCTGGTGATAGGATTATCTGTTGCTCACTGCTCTTGTGCTCTGCCTTATGGTTTATTTCTCCAACTAATAATTCTGTCTTCTCTCAACCTCATGATTTCTGCTGCCTTAGGGCTTCCCTTACATCTCTCTGTAAGGCAGTGCTCCTGTAATTAGTGCAACGCAGTTGTAGTGTATGATACACAGTTGTGTGTGTTGTGTATTCAAAGTCTGAAAGAGAGAAGATTGGATTATTTAATAGATGGTTATTATTATCCATATTTGGCCAGGCTTTAATGCTGGGCTACATCATGGGCTGACTCTGGCTGCCCTTGACTCCACGTTCTGTGGCCGTGGTCATAGGCCACATGACCAGCCTTCCTTAGGAAGGACCCACCCCTGAGCTCCCCAGGTTACCTGTCTACCCCACATCTCCAGTTATAGATCTCAAAGGCATCTCAAGGTTAACAGGACCAAAACTGAACCTGGATTTTTTTCCTTTTTTAACTTTTATTTTAGAACCAGGGGGTACATGCGCAGGTTTGTTACAAAAGAATATTGTGTGTTGCTTAGGTTTGGAGTACAAAGGAATCCATCAAATATACCTAGGTAGTGAGTATGTAACCCAATAGCAAACCCAGATTTTATTTTTATTTCCTTATTTCTTTAAGTCAGAGACTCACTCTGTCATTCAGGCTAGAGTGCAGTGGCCCCATCTCAGCTCATTGCAACCTCCACCTCCCGAGTTCAAGCAATGCTCATGCTTCAGCCTCCTGAGTAGCTGGGATTACAGGCCTGCATCATCATGCCTGCCTAATTTTTGTGTTTTTAATAGAGACAGAGTTTCACCATGTTGGCCAGGCTGGTCTCGAACTCCTGCCCTCAAGTGATCTGCCCACCTCAGCCTCCCAAAGTGCTGGGATTATAGGCGTGAGCCACCACGCCAGGCCGTGAACCCAATTTTTATTCCCAAATGTACTCTCCCTAAAGTACTCCTTGTGTTATCAGTTACTGTCTCCCCATGTATCCAGCTGCTCAGGCTAACCTCCAGGATTCATTTGATTCCTCTCTTTCTCTTGCACTCCACATCTACTCCATCAGTAAGTCGTACTGTTTGTTGTATCAGCCTCTGCAAGATATTCTGAATCTCTCTACTCTTTCTGATCACCACAGCTGCACCTCTAATCTAAGCCTTCAGGCCTGTCGCTGGGACTCCCTTCTAGTCTCTGCAATCACCTCCTAACTGGTCTCTGCTTTCGCTCTTTCCTCCACTCCTAGTCCATCCTTCTTTGAGGAGTCACAGAGGTCTTTCTGAAGTTAAAATCAAATCATGTAGTGATAATGATGTGTCAGTGAAGGTCCATCAGTTGTAACAAATGGACTACTCTGGTGGGGAATGTTGATAAGGGGGGAGGTTGTGCATGTGTGGGAACCAGGAGTGTGTGGGAAATCTCTGTACCTCCCTCTCAATTTTTCTGTGAACTTACGAACTGCTCTAAGAAATAACATCTATTTTTAAAAATCACATCACGTCACTACTGCCTAAAACCCTTCAGTGGATTCTTATTGCAACCAGCATGAAACCCAGAACCCTTACTTTGAATCACAAGGCCATAGGTGATCTGCTTCCTCTGTGGCCTCACTTCCACTCCAGCCACACTGGTGTCTCTCTATCGGGCATACCAAGATCAACCCAGACCTTGGCAGGATTGCCTCATTTTCATCACTTAAGCTTTAATTCAAATGTCAAGCCCTCAGAGAGGTCTTCTCTGACTGTCCCAAACTGAAAAAGACACCCCCTCCCATGCAAGCACTGTGTCCGGTCCCAGCTCTTTATCCTTAGTGCGTGACTTTCACCCTGCCTCCAGGCTCCATATGTCAGTCCAGAAGGAAAAGGAAAACAGAGCTTCCCAGAACTGCCCAGTATACTTTCTCCTCTGTTGCACTCGCCCAAAATGCCTACCCCTACCTACAAGGAACTAGGAACTCCGGCTTTTTAGCCAGCCATTTGTTTCTCCAAACAAAATCATAGAAAGAGGGAAGAATAGATACTAGGTAAGCAAACAGCTGTTGCTGCCTGCCGCATGTGTAGTTTCATTCAATTTCATATTTGTTTGGTGTCGTTCCAGAGTTTCCTCTTAGTTAATTCATGAGACATGATTATGGATTCTTATGAAACAGTAATAGAAATTACTCATTAAATACCTAGGTAATATATATAAAGTTGTCATCTTAAAATTTTTCTTTTAGTCCTATGTGTTCTTAAGGAGCATATGTATAGATAGTGTAGACTTTGAAACAATATGAAATTTAACGAGGTCATCACTATCAAATTGCTGCAGCCAAATTCACTAACCTTTAGCCACAGCTCCTCTCTTCTCTACTCCTGATGGATTTAGGTGAACACTTGGAAGAAACTCACTTTTAAAATCACCCTGTAGTTTAAGTTTATTCAAATGCTACTATACACACACAAAGCACACCAACACCAACAAGATGTTTCAGCTCCTGTTCTGTAACAATGCAGTTGGTATATGTGATTTGCACATGACAAGCCCTTAGCTTGAACAGCTGGTGCAGGGCATCTTCTTATTGACAATGTAAAGAGATCGCAGACAACTCTATTATTGTGAAGATACAGCAAACAAAGTTGTTTCTATCCATGTAACCTGGAGGGGTGTGGACGTTCTGTTGAAAAAGATAGCAGTTACAGTTACAAAGCATAATTACAAAAGTAGTGTGATGTGAATAATGCATGATACAACCTGAGTGTACACTAAACTACCATCTGTAAAGAAGGATCAGAGCAATGGAAACAATTTCTCCTCTGTTTCCTTCATGTTCTAAAACCACTTTGTTAGAGAATCAAAGTGGTTGTAAGAGGGAAGAGGTAGATTTAGTATGCTCTCATCATCCACCCCCAACTAGTTGTTAATCTCAGGTTGGCTTTCTCTTCTGATATTCTACATATCCTGAACTGGTTATTTTTATTTTATTTTATTTTTGAGATGGAGTTTCATTCTGTCGCCCAGGCTGGAGTGCAGTGGCGCGATCTCGGCTCACTGCAACCTCCGCCTCCTGGGTTCAAGTGATTCTCCTGCCTCAGCCTCCCAAGTAGCTGGGATTACAGGCACCTGCCACTACACCCAGCTAATTTTTATATTTTTAGTAGAGAGGGGGTTTCACCATGTGGCCAGGCTGGTCTTGAACTCCTGACCTCAAGTGATCTGCCCACCTTGGCCTCCCAAAGTGCTGGGATTACAGGAGTGAACCACTGCACCGGCCGTGGACTGGTTATTTCTATGTCATTTTTCACCCAGCTGTATATGAGAGACAACAGGGGAGCTTTTAAAAATACTGATGCTCAAGCTCTACTTCTAGAAATCCTGGGGTGGTCCTGGACAATTAGAAGCCCTCTAGGAGATGTAAATATCCAGTCAAGGTTGGCAACCACTGGTCTAGATGGTTAGCAGTAGGGATTTGACTCAGAGGGGATGTCTGGCGATACCTATGGATTAATAGTTTTGTCAAAACCAAAATATGTAAGTATCTCTGATTATCTAGGCCATTTCTTCTTTCCCTTGTTACAGGTAATTGAGAAGAAATATGATTTTCTTATAATTCTCATAGATAAGAATAATTTGTTGATGTGAACAAATTATAATTCCATCCTTGTTTAATGCTTGGCACTTACACTTAGTGAAAATGCTGGGTGTTTGTAATATTTTTTATATTGGAGAAGAGTACTTGTCCTTAGCTAGGTTGGATTCTGACTATTATTGCAAATTTTGAGCTATCTCCTTAGTTTAAGTAATGAGGTAAGGATATTGCTTCTCCAGGGTCTTAAGTTTAAGCATTGATGTTTTGATTTTCAGTAGAGAATCAGGAGGTGGGAGTCTTTTGATTAATAATTAACTGAGGGCCCGGTATGGTGGTGCATGCCTGTAATCTCAGCACTTTGGGAGGCTGAGGCTGGCGGATCACTTGAGCTCAGGAGTTTGAGACTAGCCTGGACAACATGGTAAAACAAAAAATACAAAAATTAGCTGGGCATGGTGGTGCATGCCTGTAGTCACAGCTACTCGGGAGGCTGAAATGGGAGCATTGCTTGAGCCTGGGAGGCTGAGGGTGCAGTGAGCTGTAATCGTGCCACTGCATTCCAGCCTGGGTGACAGAGAGAGACCCTGTCTCAAATCATCATCATCACCATCATCATCATCATCATCATCATCATCGAGTTACTTGATTGTTTCAGATTTTTCTTTATCTCTTAACTCTGTAGAATACAGAGGCACAGTATTTGCCACTAATCTATATCAAGAGCAGTTATAAGCCAGGTTTGTTGGCTCACAGCTGTAATCCCAGCCCTTTGGGAGGCTGAGGTGGGGAGAGGTGATCTGTGGTCAGGAGTTCGAGACTAGCCTGGCCAACATGGTGAAACTCCGTCTCTACTAAAAATGCAAAAATTAGCCAGGCATGGTGGCAGGCGCCTGTAATCCCAGCTACTTGGGAGGCTGAGGCAGGAGAATCACTTGAACTCGGGAGGCAGAGGTTTCAGTGAGCTGAGATCACGCCATTGCACCCCAGCCTGGGCGACAAGAGTGAAACTCCATCTCAAAAAAAAAAAAAAAAAAAAAGAGGAGCAGGTATGAACCAACATCAAAGTGTTTTAACCCTCATGGAAGAAGCAACTTGTAAATACCCTTATAGTTGAGAGTCATTACCTAAGTATCTTATTGGTAACACTGTATATTGATATTTCTGGTGTTATCTCACTCAAGCAATTATCAAAATGTTGTTGCTATCTCTAACTGGTATACTATTAAAGTGCTCATTTTAATACGTGCCCTTCATAGTTCCTGAAGTAATTCTAAAGAAAAAAAGAATAATCGATCTAAAATACAAGTCTTTTGTTATTGTTATTGCTGTTGGCTGCTTTCTGGAAATATTACACAGATAATAAAAATTAATTTAAATTAAATGAATTTAAATGTTTATAAACTAATTGCTTTAGCTAAAGCACTTACTCTAAAAAGCTTATTGAAAATAGCATTATTCAGCATTAACCAATGGATTTGTCAGTGTAAGATCTAAGGATTTCCTACATGTAGGACTGAAGCAAGTGTGAGACACCAGGTTTGCACTAATGTGAATTATTAGTGTATTTCACACCTGTAGCCTCCATTATAGAAGATATATATATATTCAATTTAGATTATATATAGATCTATATCTCGAGGAATTGCTTTGAGTCTGTATTTATTGTTGCTGACACCCTACAATATTTAGCTTCTTAAGTAAAATTTGAGGCTACTGATTTGGACTGAGCTCCTGCACTAGGCTCCAACAGACCAGCCTGTGGAACCATGCTAGGGTTCCACATCACCAAACCAAAACTAAGCAGTTTACTTGTAAGATCTGACCTTCTGAAAAATCAGGAGAGAGATGATAGCCAAATTCTCCAACAGGCCAGTTTTCAAAAAACAAAAACAAAACAGAGTCACAGGGACTGATCAAAAGGCACCCAGCCAACCTGAGCTGGCATGAAAAGAAGTCCCCTCTGCTTTAACCCCTGCAAGGGAAGTAACCTGAACTAACCTAACGTTAACCACTTGGTTTTTGCTCTGTGTTGTTTTTCTTCCTGCTCAAGCTACCTTAGGAAAGAAAACCCACTGTTTTGCCATGCCCAGCGGACCTCCTATTTTGATTGGATACTGCCTGGCTCATGAATCATGAATAAAAGCCAATTTGATTTTTAAAACTCAATTTGCTGAAATTATGTTCTTTGGCAAGCTGTACAATAATTACATTAGGGCTACATTAAATTCAGGGTGGTTAAGAGTCTATAAAGCTTTACAGTACTTCCAATAATCATCAAAAGTGTTGTTCTGCTCCAGAAATATAAAATAACTTTTATAATTTGAATCAGCAACATATATCAAGTACATAATTTTGAAGTCACACTTTCAATGTGGAGGCTTCATGAGGATTAGGTAAAAATCATGATATAATAGAATTAGTGGATACAGTAAGGTGAAGATTTTGACGCAAGGGGCTCAAAGAGATTTGACATATGAGTGGTTTTATGTTTGCTATTGAAAAATTGACGGGCCTTTCAGGAAGTTCTGGAATGTACATTATGCAAGTTTTGTCTTCCTGGGCAAGAGTCTCCTGATTAATAGTAAATTGTAATAGTAAAGTTTTATAGTCAATAATAAAGTTGTGTTGATGAGGCCAGTGGAATAGAAAGTCATGTTAATATGTTAATATGGAGAGTAAACTGTGGACAATTTCCGTTCTCCTGGGTTTGAATCTTAGCTCTGTCACTTAATAGCTTTGGGATCTTGAGCAAGTCAGTCATCCTCTCTGTGAATCAGTTTCCTCATCTGTAAAATGGGCATACCAATACTACCTTCTCATGGAAATGAATTAATGTATACAACTGGCTTAGTACCTGACACATTTCCCCTCAGATCCTACCACACCTTCAACCTCATAGAATTTACCTTAGGAGAAATAAAGGCCTTAAGTGGTTGTTTTGGTTTTACATATGGACATATATTTGGCTGACATTTTCCATTTGTATTGTTTAAATTTATACAGTAAAGTCTGGCTACATAATTAACTCATTGACAATTGCATGTCTTTTAGATACTCTCAGCCCCTGCATGAAGAAATAGCATTGCATAAACACCTGAAGCACAAAAATATTGTCCAGTATCTGGGCTCTTTCAGTGAGAATGGTTTCATTAAAATCTTCATGGAGCAGGTCCCTGGAGGTAAGAGATATTTCTTTCTTTAAAAAGTGTGAATGTTTAGAGCTTCGGAGGGGAGTAAAATTGAATGGGATTTACTAGCGTACAGGTCTTAATCTGTCTAAACTGAAAGAAAAATTGGACATGTGACATTACCTCCAGTTTGTTAGGAGATGTCAACCATAAATGATGAGATTTAGAAAATATCCTAATGTATAGAGTTTATTCCAGTGCAAAGCTTGAGGATAGCCACCCAGGAAACACAGACTCCAAAAGAATGGGCCAGTGTTCCAAAGTGAGGAAGTTCATGTTTCACTTATATAAGCTGAAGACTAACAGGGTGGCAACATCTTCTACCCAAAGTCATTACATTTAAGTGGTTACAGCTTGCTGTATTCCAAGGCACATTATTTTAATGTTCCATAAGGAGGGGTAATGGTCTCGGGGGATCTTTTCTTTGGCACCATTCAGTCTTCTCCAATCATTTACAGGACAAAAATGCGGAAGAGATTTAGCCTATAATCGCAGAATCAGAAGTTACAACTGAATGCTATATGACTCAGGCCACAAAGTCACATTCCTTAAATAATAAGGCTCAAATAATTTAAAGTTCTAGAAGCTTTACATGTGAATTATGTAATTTCACAGAGACAATACATAAATATGGGAACCATTTCAGTATCTATCATCATGACTTGAATTAAAGTTGGCAATTGACATTGGCCTTTTACTTAGACATATTTGATTACAAGCATCTTTAGAGTAGGGATATTTGCAAATTCATGTTTGAGCCCGATATCCAGTATAGCTCCTGGGCCACTGTGAAGAACCAATGACTGTTAGCTTAAATTACTGTTACATTATTAATACACTTTAAAGAGCTCATTTGAATGAGGATTTATTTACTATTTATCCCTACTTTACAGGAAGTCTTTCTGCTCTCCTTCGTTCCAAATGGGGTCCATTAAAAGACAATGAGCAAACAATTGGCTTTTATACAAAGCAAATACTGGAAGGATTAAAATATCTCCATGACAATCAGATAGTTCACCGGGACATAAAGGTGAGGTACACCAGCATTCATTTTCATGAGTTCTTTCTTTGCTGGGTTATTATTTTACTTGCAAAAGTCATATTGTGTTATGAGTATTAATTTAGAATGGTGAATAAGTAAATCTTAGAAACAGCAGAAATATAAAATATCGTTCAACCCTGAATCAGTTATTTATGTTCATGTCTTAACGCTTCTGCTCAAGGAACACACTGCTTAACTGCGTTCAGCCAACAAGATTGTGCTCCCACCACACAATGTTTCCTAGGAGCTCTGTGGTGTGGGATGCAGCTGTCAAAAGTTAAACAGGAGATGGCCCCTGGTCCTGAGGAGCTTATAGGCTGGTTAATCTTTGTATCCTTGCCCATAGTAGCTACTCAGTAAATACTTATTGAATCAATGGATGAATGGTTAGAAGAAAAAAAATTCCTCTTTTCTCACAAGTATCACATATTCATTGATTTAACTATAATTATAAGGTATAGATTCTCTAAAATAAGCTAAAATAATAACTTTACATTCTCTTTTTAAAAAGAAAATTCAGAACTAATACATTTTTTACAAAGTCTGGACTGTTGAAAATAAGTTAATATTAGTACCCTAAAATCAACCAAAAAGCCCATTTATCTATCATGTCCCTACATATTCCAGGAAAAGAAGTAAAGAAACATAGAAAAGAAAGTAAGGTAACTGGAAAGTTATGAAAATCGTAATTTAATTATACATACATCATTATATATCTGTAAATAGCAACAAGCTCTAACCAATTAGGAATCATATTTGATCTTGTGATCTGAGTAGCAGATTATGAAGAACTTATAACCATCCAATGAGTTCATGTTGCCCACTGACCAGATAGAGCTGATTTCTCAAGATGTAAGAATTGCAATTGAGAAAGAGTTTAATACACATAGAGATGGCCAAACAAAATATTGGATCTTATAATTATTCAAATCAGCTTCTCCAAAAATTTAGAGGCTAGGGTTTTTCAAAGATAGTTTGGTGAGCAGGGGGCTAGGGTCTGGGTGGTTGGGGATGTAATTATAGGGGTGTGGAAAATGGTTCTTGTGTGTTGAGTCCACTTCTGGGTAGGGGCCACAGGACTGGTTGAGTCCAGAGTCACAGGTCTGGGTGATGCCATCTGATAGTCAGAAATGGAGAAGCCTGTAAAGACATCTCAAAAGGCCAGTCTTCAGTTCTACAATAGTGATGTCAATTATAGGAACAATTGGGGAAGTTGCAAATCTTGTGACCCCCAGAATAATGGGCTGATAATCATTTGACTGTGCCTACATCTTAGCGGACTTTAGGCCCCTCTCATCCTCCTAACCTGGTGGCCTTTCATTAGTTTTACAAAGATAGTTTAGTTTTGGGGAAGGGCTATTATCAACTAAACTATAAATTAAATTTCTCCAAGTGAGCTTGGTCTACACCCTGGAATGACCAAGGGCAGTTTGGAAATTTAAAGCAAGATGGTGGTGGTTAGATCAGATCTCTTTTACTGTCATAATTTTCTCACTGTTGTAATTTTCGCAAAGGCGGTTGGTTTCAAACTGATAATATGTAAACAAAAAATAGTGTCAAGAATGCACTATTGAGATAAACTATTAATGAAGAATACAGAATTAATGTCGTTGGTAGCTGTAAGGACACCTTTTTTTTTTTTAAATTGGACTTACCAAGTCAACAACAGACAGTATCTGAAGAAAGATAACAATTGTGATTAAAGTCCTCTGTTCTCTAGGGTGACAATGTGTTGATTAATACCTACAGTGGTGTTCTCAAGATCTCTGACTTCGGAACATCAAAGAGGCTTGCTGGCATAAACCCCTGTACTGAAACTTTTACTGGTATGTTTTTGCAATGATGATACAGATCTTATGTAATTAAAGAAATAATTGCTGAGTTTGAGCACAATGTGAGAGAGAAATTCAGTTGGTGTTCTCACACACAGTAATGTTGGTATCTTTTTTCTTTCTTTTCTTTTCTTTTCTTTCTTTTTTTTTTTTTTTTTTTTTTTTTTTGAGACAGGGTCTTGCCCTGTCACCTAGGCTGGAATGCAGTGGTGTGATCACCTATCACTGCAGCCTCAAACTCCCAGGCTCAAGCAATCCTCCCACCTCAGCCTCCTGAGTAGCTGGGACTACAGGCATGCGCCACCACGCCCAGCTAATTTTTTTGTATTTTTGATGGAGACAAGGTTTCACCATGTTGCCCAGGCTGGTCTCAAACTCCTGGGCTCAAGCGATATACCTGTGGCCTCCAAAAGTGTTGGGATTACAGGCGTGAGCCACTGCGCCTGGCCAATGTTGGTATCTTTTGATGCTCACTGAAAAATGTGTTACAGAATTTGATTTGGCCCTTTTCTCTTCCTGTATTTATATGACTTGCTTAGTTAGTCTCCTGCTTAATGCCACTGAAGATTTTTTTTTTTTTTTAATTCTCAACTTGTTACTTATTTTTCTTTTCATGTAATTACTTCTTTCCTGGTTGGCCTACAATAACTCTAGCAAGATTTTTTTTTTTTTTTTTTTATTAAACATTTCCTTGGCCCAACCTCTCTGTGATGCTTACTCATACCCTAATCACTTCCCATTTGGACGATGAATTCCCTCTTTTACTGTTTACTCTCTGTGGTTGACTCCCCTACTCCACAATATAAATAACCCTAGGATTTCAATTCAGAAGAGGAAGTGACTCACCGACTCAGAAGAAGGGAGGGAGAGAGCTTTCCTGAGAAAGTAGGCAACGCAACCACTGAGCTGCCTCTGGTGCAAAGTACTGGGAGGGTGGAGACCAAGTGATTTCCAAAAAGGTAACAGTAGCCAAGAGGAAGCTCAGACTCAAGAGATTCATGACTGCCCAACAGTTATAGGGAGGGTGTGTGAGACTTCAAACCTGATCTCCATTTAGTTCTTATCACTCCATCATGCTAATTCTCATGAAGTGTTAAGTTCTTCTTATAGAGAGAAATTTAGCAGGAAAAAAAAAAGGGTAAGGGGAAGGGAAGAGAAAAAGATCATGAATAATCTTTGGTCTAATATGAAGCAACATGGCCCCATCTCAATTCTGTGAGGTAGGTGGGAGTACCTCCATTTTGTAGATGAGGAAATTACCTGGGAGAGAAGTGACATTGCAGTCAGAAGTCACAGCAGTGTGTACCGGATAGAACTCAGACTGGTTTTTTGTTTTTGTTTTTGTTTTGAGACTGGGTCTTGCTATGTTGCCCAGGCTGGTCTTGAACTCCTGGGTTTAAGCAGTCCACCCACCCCACTCTCCTAAGTATCTAGGATGTCATGCCTGGCAAAACTGTTTTTTTGTTTTTGTTTTTTCTTTTGAGATGGGTTCTCGCTCTGTAACCCAGGCTGAAGTACAGTGGTGTAATCTCTGCTCACTGTGACCTCCCCTACCCCGGGCTCAAGTGATTCTCCTACCTCAGCCTCCCTAGTAGCTGGGACCATAGGCACGCACCTCCATGCCTGGCTAATTTTTTGTATTTTTGGTAGAGACAGGGTTTCACCATGTTGCCCAGGCTGGTCTCAAACTCCTGACCTCAAGTGATCCACCTGCCTTGGACTCCCAAAGTGCTGGGATTACATGTGCGAACCCCCACGCCTAGCCAGAACTCAGATTTTGTATCTACTGTTTGCTCTTTGCTTTTACCTTCTGGCTCTAGTCCATCTTTCTCTCTACCTTCCTGCAGGAGGAGAGAGAGACATTCTGTGTAAGTTTTTTCCCTAGAGCATTCAGTCAGCAATACCCCTGGCCCAGCTCCCACCTCAGGGCAATGGATATTTTAGGGTACAGAATTAAACACATTTTGAATATATTTTTTTGAAAAAACTAAATTCTGACCTATTAATAACTTCAAATGTCTTTACATTTCTTTCCTCTTACTCTTAACTTGGCAAGCAGCAGTTTCAGTGCTGTCAAGACTCAGTAATTTCTGAGAGGAAAATCCCTCGTTTCACACACTTTGTGGGACAGGATGTTAACACAGTATCTTCTGCTACTAATCTGGGGAACATCTTTTTTGTAAAATCTCCAAAGGAATTGTAGGAAAGCAGTCCTCACAGAGCCCTTTTCTTGGACCTCTTCCACTGGTGTCACGTAAGAGTGACGTGTGTCACTAACATGTATAGATCTGTCCCCAGCACCGGTCCCGAGGGCCCTGCACATCATAGGCTTCAAACGTGAACTTGGTGGTCACTAAGTCCCAGGTGGGTTAGTCCCAGGTGCTCAGTCAATAAATTGGTCTGCATCACCTTTTGGTGATTTTGATGAGGGAAAAGGCAGCAGTGATCACCATTTATGGAGTGCTTACTGTGTTACCTTGCTCTGCACTAAGTGCTTTACATATGTTGTTTTATTGAAATTCATACATCAGCCTTAATCATTAGGTATCATTATCCCAGTTTGTGGTGAGAAAATGAAGGTTCAAAGAGGTTGAATAACTTGCCCAAGGTCACAAAGCTAGTTGGTAATAGAGCTGAGACTCAAGCAAGACTTAACAGGCCAAAGGGAATTAATTATCTTCTCCCAAACCTGTCCCCGGCACACTCTTCTGTCCCAGTTGGCAGCCACTCCCGACATTGTTATCCAGGGCACTTCTCTTTTCTCACACTCCAACCCAGTCCGTCCACGAAGCCTTCAAAACATGTCCAACATTGGGCCGGTTCTCACCACCTCTGCTGCTGCCACTCTCATCGCTCACCTGCATTTTCGGTGGCTTCCCCAACTGTGCTCCTGCTTCACTTTTGCCCCCTACTGTCTACTCTCAGCACTGCAGCCAGAGTGATCCCTCTGAAACATAAACCAAGTCCTATTGCTCAGAGCCCTCAGTGGCTTGCTTTTTTTTTTTGTTCAGAGTAAACAAATGTCAGAACCCTCATAGTGGGGGACAAGGCTCTGACCTGATTCGGAGTCTGTTCCCTTTCAGACCCCATTTCCTACTCTTCTTCTGTTATTTACTCAGAGCCAGAAACGTGGACCTTCCTGCATTTCCTCCATGACAGCAGGCAGGGTCCCATCACAGGGCCTTTGCACAGGCTTTTCCTCCTGCCGCTACCCCAGCTGTCTGCATGGGTAACTTTCTTACCTTCTTCCAGTCTCAACGCAGATGTCCACCTCTGCAGTGAGACCAGCCATGAACACCCTATTTACCATGGCAGCCTTCCTGCTGATCCTCTTCACTCGGGTCTATATTTTTTTGGTCATAACATGTCACTTTCTAACATGCTGTATAATTTACTTACTGTGCTGATAATTTATCATCTGGCTTCTACTGCAAAAACATAAGCCCAGGTATTTCTATATGTTTTCTCCTCTGCTGTATTCTAAGTGCCTAGAACAGTGCCTGGCCCATAGTAGGTCCTCAGTGTGGATCTGTTAAATGAATGAGTGAATGAATGAAATGTGACATTAGAGTTTAATTAACCACTAAGCTGTACCACCTCCCTGGGTAGTTGCAGCAGCAAAGAAATTCTACAATAGATATTTCAAAGCAATTTTTTAAAAAAACTTTAGAATGCAGATATGTGAGGTATGAGTTTTAGAGCAAATACTCTCATTGATTTTACTTAAGCCAGTGTTCAGGTTGGCTCTCATCTTCATTATCCAGCTTCGTAAATTGCTTTGTTTAAAATATTATGTGTCATGTATTTGTGGAGTAAAAAGAGGAGCAGATAAGAACACATGACTCAACCTGTTTTTCTGGCACTTGCTCAGTGGGGGATAATTAAACACAATTGGCAGATGGTTATCTGACAAATCAAATATTGCATAATTTGTTGTTGACATTACTTGAATTGTCTAATTTACGATGTTTAAAAATTAAAAATTTCCAAATTTTGATCCACTATAACTCCCACTTAGCTATTAGTACAACTTAAATTCTCTCATTAATTCTATTCTAGGCCCCGAGACAACAAAAGGGGGTGGTAGGCTTCGATGCATTTTCGAAAAGACCATTTGAGCTTATTTAAATCATACAAAATTATCACTTGGGGAAAAGCTACAAATGAAGAGAAATCATACCAATTTTGTAGTAAAGGTGGGCGAGCGTCTTTGGGGAGCATGGTTGCCTTGTCTT
The DNA here is from genome assembly GCF_000001405.40 of Homo sapiens. Taxonomy (NCBI): domain Eukaryota; kingdom Metazoa; phylum Chordata; class Mammalia; order Primates; family Hominidae; genus Homo; species Homo sapiens. The sequence goes on along the minus strand of NC_000006.12, from coordinate 136,607,040 downwards.
TGGCCAGGTGAAAGGCTTTCTGAGAGCAGACATGTGCAGTTGTATGTTAGCGTGAACTACTGCTATGCAGTGATAAGGTCTGCAGGATAAACCTAGAAAGACTGCAATACATAACAAAAATGATACACTTTTATTTTTGTAAACAATAGTCCATTTCTCACCTATGATAGTGCTTTTCAGAGGAACAGTTTGCAGGAATTTTACACAATTGTTTTCACCTAAAACCATGCATGAGGCATTCCTAAAAGGTGTCATCTGTATTTATCAAAATGTCTGTCACTTTGGTTATGAATCAGAAAATCTGAAGCAGTTCTTTTGGCAAACACCTCATAATTTGAAGTAATTCAACATGGCATCTTGGATGAGTTCTTGTTTGCTGACTATATTATTTGTATATCAGAAGCAGGGTATGCGGTGATATGTTTCTATTCATGCTCCTGACTCATTGCTAGACTTTAGGAAACCACTTTATGGGGTATTCGAAGTTCAAATCCAGCCTCTCATTTAGGTTAATGAGGTAGTTGTACTTAAGTGTTTACCTGGGGTATACTAGGCCAGAAGCAGACTAAGGGCTCGTGGCCCCCTCCACTTAATTCTTTCTATTATACCACACTCTCCACCTCTCTGATTCCATGCAGGCTTAAAGCTCTTCCCTTTTTCATTGTATTCTTTTTGTTTGTTTGTTTTTTTGAGACAGAGTCTCACTCTGTTGCCCAGGCTGGAGTGCAGTGGCGTGATCTCGGCTCACTGCAACCTCCGCCTCCTGGGTTCAACTGATTCTCCTGCCTCAGCCTCCTGAGTAGCTGGGATTATAGGTGCCCGCCACCAAGCCCGGCTAATTTTTGTATTTTTAGTAGAGACAGGGTTTCACCATGTTTGCCAGGCTGGTCTCAAACTCCTGACCTCGTGATCCGTCTGCCTTGGCCTCCCAAAGTGCTGGGATTACAGGCGTGAGCCACCGCACCCGGCCTTCACTTTATTCTTAGTCACTGTATCTGATTATGTGTCTATATGGATGGCTCATGGCCTGTCTTTGATCTCTTAAACCTGTTAGTCCATGGACCACAGACAGCAGCAGGAGTCATGTATATTTGGATTACAGAATAGGGCACACCAGAAATTTATTTGCATTAATTTTCACAATGGCTTTCAGAATCTTTATGCTGTCATGATTAAGAAATAAGAATGAAAACAGAAGAGTTAAAGCATTCAATTTAGGAACTGAAAAATAGAGATAGAGCTAAGGAAATGGATGAATGAACTATATTCTCTTCTGGAAAAGATTAGAAGTTTACATAATAACAGTCTTCATGCACTTCAAGAAATGTGTACTGATGTTATTGTTCTCAAAAGACTAATTGTTAGAAGTTTCTAAGAAGCCCAATGAAATGATGCCTCACTTATACTCCACTGTCTAGGGAATAAGAGCGTACCTATTCATAACCAGATAATATGGGTAAAGTATTTTTATGTCACTGATGAAATCCATTATAAAAACTGCTATTTCCACTTTTATTAATAGCAGAGAAAACTGGAACTCACAAACGATATTAGGACTTGAATCATGTTTTTACAGTTGTCTCATTTCTGTTGAAAAATTCTGTTGAAAAACTGTCATTAGATACCCTTCTGTTTTATCTTTTTAAAATGGAAATGTGTTTGAATTGTTTCCAGGTACCCTCCAGTATATGGCACCAGAAATAATAGATAAAGGACCAAGAGGCTACGGAAAAGCAGCAGACATCTGGTCTCTGGGCTGTACAATCATTGAAATGGCCACAGGAAAACCCCCATTTTATGAACTGGGAGAACCACAAGCAGCTATGTTCAAGGTCACACTTCATTTCTCTTAAAAACAAATGGATAAAGCTTTTTATAGCTGTTGGATGTTCTGTGTGTGTGTGTCATATTTTTTTAGATAAAGGGTGCTAAGTAAACACAACTTAGAACACATTAAAGGTCAAGAAGATTCTCTCTCGGTTAGAACCAGCGCTGGTGCCTCACACAGTGGATCTCTCTGTGCCTTAGTTTTCTCAGCTATAAAGTGAGATTCAATGTAACTTCCATTGACCACCTTTTAACAACGCAGTATAAATAACACATGACTATACTGAAGATGATTTAAGCCCTTTGGGAAACAGTCTGAAAATTTTCCGTGAATGAAGATAGAAGAACTTTTTTTATAATCCATTTAGGAATTAAACCAAAATTAATAATTTCCTTTACTTCTCTACCATAATAGTTTGAAGGCTTCATTTTTTTTAAAAAAAAAAGAGCATAATTACCATTTTAAGTAAATCAGTCTTATTCTCATATACCTACTCCTCTAGCTTGTTAATTTGCCCATCAGTAACTCCTATGGGAGGAGGAAGAAGCCCCACCTTTTGCAGTAGGAGGTACCTGATAATAGAAATAGGCTCATGAGAGCACAAGTGCCAGCATTTTGAGATCTGGGGACTGAGCATGGCTATGACCTGCATCTTGAATCCCTGCAGTCCTCCGCTGCCAGACTGCCAGGCCAACAGGAAGTTTGAAATGGAAACATGCTTCCCAAGTAGTAAAACTCACACATCTGCTACTTTCTAAGGCAGAGGACTTAAAAAAAAATTATTTATTTATTTATTTATTTTTTGTGCTCCCCTGTGGGATCCAAGGCAAAGGACTTTTTCTTTTCTTTTTTTTTCTTTTTTTCTTTCTTTCTTTCTTCTTTTTTTTTGTGGAGACAGAGTCTCGATCTATCACCCAGGCTGGAGTGCAGTGGCGCGATCTCGGCTCACTGCAACCTCCGTCTCCTGAGTTCAAGCAATTCTCGTGCCTCAGCCTCCTGAGTAGCTGGGATTGCAGGCACACACCATGACACCCAGCTAATTTTTTATATTTTAGTACAGACGGGGTTTCACCATGCTGCCCAGGCTGGTCTCAAACTCCTGAGCTCAGGCCCTCCGCCTGCCTTGGCCTCCCAAAGTGTTGGGATTACCGGCATGAGCCACGCGTTTGGCCTGAGAGGACTTTTGATGGTAATTGTTATTCCTCTCCCTGCTGCAGACCATGTTTCTAGCTCTTATTCCATCTGTGCATAGCCTCTTGTGAGGGGCCATGTGTTGTTACAGACCTTCTGCTTTTGTGCAAAGCTTGGCTTTATGCTTGAAGACAATCTGATAGGACACTGCTGGTATAAAAATGAGTAGTGTGACCAAACCTCAGAGAGCAATGGCAGGTGCCAAGAGAGGTGCCTTTCTTGCCATGAGTGGATGTCTTTCTCTTCTTGGCCAGTCTTTCAGGTTTTCTCCAGTGTCTAGGACTTATCTGAAATGCTGCTTTATAATTCACGAATGCAATGATTATTATACCATGTGTTTTTTTGTCACATTAGGCCAGTCTAAGCTGTGCACAGGAAGTTGCTATCTTAGAGAGATGACATGACATAGACTGTGGCACCAGTTTACAGTGTTTGAATCCAGGCTCCAACATGGTCAAGATATTTGAGACTTTGAGCAAATTATTTAACCTGCTTGTGCCTCAGTTTCCTCATCTATAAAATAAGGATAAAAATAGTACCTGTCAGCCAAGCGTGGTGGCTCACACCTATAATCCCAGCACTTTGGGAGGCTGAGGCGGGCAGATCACCTGAGGCCAGGAGTTCAAGACCAGCCTGGCCAACATGGTGAAACCTCATCTCTACTAAAAAAAAAAAAAAAAAATTAGGGGGGCACAGTGGCAGGCACCTGTAATCCCAGCTACTTGGGAGGCTGAGGCAGGAGAATCACTTGGACTGGGGAGATGGAGGTTGCAGTGAGTCAAGATCGCACCACTGCACTCCAACCTGGGCAAAAAATGAGACTCCATCTTAAAAAAAAAAAAAAAGTACCTGTATAATAAGAGCTTTTTGAGGAGTGTATGAGGTAAAATGTACCAAGCACTTAGAACTGTGTCTGACACATGGTATCGGCTATATAATTCTTACAAATAATTATATATTGTTTATATTACAATGAATTTACATAAGCTGTATAAGAACAAAAGGATTTCCTTTGAAAATTTGCTCTGTACTAAAAAATGAAAATACCATTAATTTTTTTTAGAATAGCAGTAATAAGTAAATTCTAATTGTTATAAAAATATTGTTTAATTTTAAAGTGCTTTTAAATATCTCTTTTAATGCAGGTGATTTGAGACAGGGAAGATATTCACAAATCATGTAATAGGGAAAAGAACATAGGCTTTAATCCGAACAATTCAGGTTCAAATCCCAGATCTCCCTTTTCTTAGCCTTGTTACCTCATCCTTTCTAAGCCTTATTTTCCTCATTGGTGTAACAAGGAAAATATTTAATCCGCTGGATTGTTGGAAGGATTTGATGAGATCTGTAAGTGGAGAAACCCCAGCACAATGCCCAGCACTTAGCTACTGTGAGCAACGCAGTGGTCTCAGCTCGGTGGCTGAGCATGGTGGCTCGTGGCTGAAATCCCAGCACTCTGGGAGGCTGAGGTGGGTGGATTGCTTGAGCCCAGGAGTTTGGACCAGCCTGTGCGACATGGCAAAACCCCATCTCTACAAAAAGTACAAAAAATTAGCCAGGCGTGGTGGCATATGCCTGTAGTCCGAGCTACCTCAGGAGGCTGAGGTGAAAGACTCGCTTGAGCCTGGGAGGTCGAGACTGCAGTGAGCTGAGATTGCACCACTCTGCACTCCAGCCTGGGTGACAGAGTGAGATCCTGTCTCAAAAAAAAGAAAGAAAGAAAGAAAAATAAAGATCCTTTTTGTGTGCCAATGTACCAATATGTTCTAAAGCTTTGAAGGACTAAATTATTACTTCATAGTGCTGCCTACTGTCTTCAACTAATTATTCTGCCTGTGCCATTGGTAAAGGTACCAAGGCACTCTGTTGATCTTCTATAACCTGCAGCAAACACATCTTATCTCCCTTTGAGAAAAGCCATAAGTTTGTGTTGTATGATAAGGGATCTTGTTGCATTGGGGGGTCAAGTTATGGAAGCTGGAGTTCAGGTGCTGAGATGTTCACTCAGAAGGCACATTGCACTTTTTATATTTATGTCTTAGGTGGGAATGTTTAAAGTCCACCCTGAGATCCCAGAGTCCATGTCTGCAGAGGCCAAGGCATTCATACTGAAATGTTTTGAACCAGATCCTGACAAGAGAGCCTGTGCTAACGACTTGCTTGTTGATGAGTTTTTAAAAGTTTCAAGCAAAAAGAAAAAGACACAACCTAAGCTTTCAGGTATGTGGTTGCATTGAAGAGGATATAGTCTGAGTCCTTCAATCCTAAGCTTTTAAGATGGAAGAATTTTCCGGAAGTAAACTAACCTGTTTACAGATATCACTGGAAATTGGTATAAATATTAGCACAGTGTTCTCAGGCATTTGGTTGCAGTATCAGGGAGCTGTATTCCATCAATTTCACAAGTGCTGGGACCTCATACATAATAGTCTTCAATCACATAGTTAGTAGGTAGTTAATATGTCACCATCTATATCACTCTAACATTGTGGATACTAAGGTTCAAGTGTAAGAGGGGTTAAATTTAGCCTTTTAGAGCTGAAACCCCAGATTACCACAAATGGGCCTACAGAGCCATTATAGAGCTGTTGGATTTCCAAGCCCTGTAGGTAATAGGTTCTTTTAAGGCAGTAGAAAATACCTGTTGCCTCTTAGGGTATATACTTCTGAATAATTACACCCAAAAAAAGGCAAGAAGGAAAAAGAAAGAGAGAAAAGATTGCCAGCTATAAATAAAACAGTAGTGTAAAAATATAAGTACATTATATTTTTGCAATAATTGTCTATAACTCAGAAAAAAAAGTAAAGGTTCCAATTGTTCTTGGCGTTTTTTGATGTTTATATTGGAGGAGAATGGGCAGATTGAATGTTTGGAAAGGACATTGACCCCATTTCAGGCATTCATTTTTTGTTGATTTCTCAGTTTAACAACAAACCCAGCACGTGCTTATTCATGGCTGTTTGCTTTTCTTTCCACAGCTCTTTCAGCTGGATCAAATGGTGAGTTTGTTTTTACTTTGCCCATTGAGCTGAGACCTGGTGTCTGGTGTGATAAACTCCAGACTTCCCATCAAGTAGCCTCATGCTCTGCTCCTGGCTTACATGGGGGGAAAGGAGGGTGCGGTACTAGATACTATAAGGATGTGTGCAGCTGCAAGCCTGGCTGGGCTTATTCCTTTGGAAATCCTTCATCTTTCTCTTTCATGAGTGGGGATGGCTTAAATTTTTTCTCCCTAAAAGCAAGATGGTGACTGTGTTTTTGACAGCTTCAATTTGAGTGAAGTAAATGCTTCTTTATCTAGGAACCAGTTGACTACCTAATGTATTTCTTGTGGAAAATGTAAATGCCAGATACCTTCCTCTGTCATCTTTGGGGTGATACATTCTATTTTTAGTGGCCAGGAGTTATTGTGCCTTTGTTTTCTAACGTTGGCTTTTGCGGATCATAACTAGGAAGGTAGAGAAAGTAGATTTGCTCTAAGAAGATCCATTAAAGCATTTAGAAGAATAATAAAGAAATGAACATGAGGCTGGGCATGGTGGTTCACGCCTATAGTCTTAGCACTTTGGGAGGCCGAGATGGTCAGATTGCTTGAGCTCAGGAATTCAATACCAGCCTGGGCAATATGGTGAGACCCCCATCTCTACTAAAAATACAGAAAAATAGCTGGGTGCGGTGGTGCATGCCTATGGTCCCAGCTACTAGGGAGGCTGAGGTGGGAGGATCGCTTGAGACTGGGGTGGTGGAGGTTGTAGTGAGCCGTGATTATACCACTGCACTCCAGCCTGGGTGACAGAGCGAGACCCTGTCTCAAAAAAAAAAAAAAAAAAAAATTAACAGCATGGTGTTGGATTTTCCTAAGTTGGATGTGTGGTTGATCAAACAGTTCAGGGGGCTTAATGTTCATTGTGCATGGGTTCTGCAGGCCAAGGGCAGGTTTTTGCAGGTTCCTCTGATGCCCCAAAGCCAGTCAGCCCAGAGTAGAGGCCTGTTAATTGGGGTTTCCTGGGTACAGCCTCTCTACTTTTTCTTCTTCCATTTCTTCCATTCTGAGAATCTGGGGAAACTCAGAAGAAGACAGGCACACCCTTGTACCTCTTTTCTCCACAGACAGCCTGGGCTCCGGAAGGCAGCCTTGCATTGTCACAAAGTCGGCCCTGCAGTGCTTGGCAACCTTCTGACCAGCCTGCTTCTGGTGTCCTAAAATGGGCACTGACTTCAGAATTACACAGAAGTGGGTTCTGATCCCATTGACCCACTTTCTAAATATGGGACATGCATATTTCTTCTGTCATTCGGTGCTGGTAACATTACCTACTTCACAGATTTGGTTCTGGGAATAAAATAAAATAATATCCTAAAAGAGCCTTGGAGCTGTGCCTGGAAGTTTAATCCATGATTGTTTTATCCCTTCCACATGGCTTGGTTTTTGTTCGCAGGAAATAGTTTCCCATCACACACACGCATTTAACTTCTGTGAACTCAACCATACACACTTGGCAAGAGCGTGCATATATGAGAGAGAGAGAGAGAGAGAGAGAGAGATCCTTTAAGTGGACAGTTCTATGTCTTCTCAGTGACTATGTACCTTGGGGTGAGCGTGAGATGGACGGTGTAAACCTGCTGAACTCTAGTCAGTCAGGTTCCCACTGCCCTTTCGCCGTTCTTGCTTACATATGGACTTGGGCCTAGAAAAAGGGGCAGTCCCCAATTCCCTGCATGATTAAACTGTTCAGACTCTCAGCTAAAACAATATCATTACATGGATGATGTGCCTCCTCCCTCTCCTTCCTAGGAGAGCAGGACAGATGTGCTAACCAAATTAGGAGCTAAAATCCACGCCCCCCCCCCCTTTTTTTTTTGAGACGGAGTCCTAGGCTGGAGTGCAGTGGCATAATCTCAGCTCACTGCAACCTCTGCCTCCCAGGCTCAAGCGATCCTCCCACCTCACCCTCCTGAGTAGCTGGGACTGTAGGTGCCCACTACCACGCCCAGCTAATTTTTGTATTTTTAGTAAAGACGGGGTTTCGCCATGTTGGCCAGGCTGGTCTGGAACTCCTGGCCTCAAGTGATCTACCACCTCGGCCTCCCAAAGTGCTGGGATTACATGTGCCACCATGCCTTGCCTAAAATCCCATTTGATTGTTCCCAGGTATTATAGGAAATGGCCTGCCTCATGTCAATTGAAACAATGACCTATTAGCTCGTCTTACTCTCCTTCTAGATGAGTACAAGATACAGGCCTCTTCCTTCCCCAGGTACTTTCTATAGGCCATATATGTGTTTCTGTCCAGAGCACAGGCCCACCTCTCAAGGTTCTCTACCTCCCATAACTGCACTTGGCTTCCCCTCAAGAGGGGAGTAAGAGGGTGGTGACAATGAGACCCCCTTCCCCTTTAGAGAGGGACATGACTTGTCTCATCCTGACTGCTCTTCCATGGCCACACACAGACCCAGAGATTTAAGTAATTCATGTCAGCTTAAATATTAATTGTACAGTTATGGTGTGCACAGGAAATGTGCTAGGCCCTGAACGTATAAGGATGATAAAGACAGAGTTCCTGATTTTAAAGAGCCATTGACCTTATAGGAGAAAAACACTGGAAAAAATCATCTCCACCATAGTATAGTTTAGTCTGTGCAGAGGAGTCAAAAGGGAGAGACAGTGACTGAAGTCAGTCTGAGAATGCTGTTTCAAGGCAGACTTTCCAGTGAGGTGCACCTGATGAGTAAGGACAAATATGAACTTAACAGGTGAATGGGGAGTGGAGATCCAGGTGAGGCGACTTCTCGCATGAGTTAATGCCAGGATGTGTGAAACTTTACTGTGTGTTAAGGGAGGCTTGCTGGCTCAGCAGCACTGGTGCTTAAAGTAAAAGGGGAGGGATGATGCTGGAGTGGGGAGCAGGCTCAGATCCCAAAGGGCTCCTTATGAAATGTTAAGGAATCAGCAAGGAGGGTTGGGGAGCCGGGGAAAATTTTTATCTGAAATAATATTATAGACCAGCACTGGACCTATGATTCTACAGTAAGAGAAATGTCATTTATCTGCCCTGTCCAATACATTAGCCACTAGTCATATGTGGCTATTAGACACTAAACATGGCTACCATGGCTGAGGCACTGAATTTTTATTATTTAAATGTCAGTGTTAATAACCATATGTGGGTAGTAGTGACCATATTGGACAGTGAAGCTATTGATGGATCATTCCGATGGCTGTGTGAGGATGGTTTATTTAGTAAGATTTATTCCATAACATTTTTAACCCTCTGCTATGCACTTGGCACTAGAATGTAGGCACAAGGCACTAGGAATATAGCTATGCCTCAGTTGGTCCCAGATCCTGCCTGCATGGATCTCTTGCAATGCTTGTTAAAAATTAAAATGCCTGGCCCTTCTCAGAATCTGGAGGTGCAAGCTGGAATTCTGTACTTTTAAGTAAACCCAGATGATTCTTGTCATCACTGCAGTGTGAGAACCACTATTCTATGTTTGGCCAGTTGGAGACTGGAGGCAGGATGGCCAGTTAGGAGACTCTGTGTTGTGGCCAGACTGTTCCTAAACTGTCTAGGAGAAGGAGAACCATAAAGATCCCTAGTGATCATGAATAGCTGTTAGGATCTGAGGCCACCCTCACAGCAATGGAAGGGATTTAGAAAATCCCCGTTTTCCCAAAGCAGGAATGTATCTAATTCCTTAAAGGTCGCACTGTCTCCCTTCCATAGATGGGAGCTCCCAGCAATCTGGAGTCCATAGGGTTGCCAGTCACCCCTCCTGACTCCAGCCTACTCCTGGCCTCTTGGTAAAGCTATCTCTTAGGGGATATGGGGCTCACACCCCTTCCCATCAGCCCCTGAAATAAGGCAATGAGAATCATCTCCTTAGAGACACACCTTTGACATGTCCTATCCTCAGAGAGGTTCATTCAGCCTCTTTTAGACTCTTCGTGGTCAGCCCCATAGAGGAGGGCTTCTTAATACCTGGCAAGATATCAGCAGTAAGGCTGCCTGTGACTGGAAATCCTGCCAGGCTCCTCTCTTGCAGCCTGGGGTCCCAATCACTCACGTGTATGAGCTTATGTTCGAGGAACTTGTAACCTCTGTGATATCTGGAAACTGTCACCGTGCTCCCCTGGAAATAGTTACACTTGAGCTTCTTCCCATTTACAGTGACACAGAAAGGCACTACGCATTCTCACTTGCCTGGAAATCGTCATAACTTAAGAAGGTAGAAATCTCAGGCGTGGATTTGATCATATTTCCACCACAAACGTATAAAGCAAACTGTCTCAGCACCACCTGTCTTGCTCTTTCCACCCCTTACAATAGAGAAAACATCCATTTTCCTACAGAAGGCCAATCCCTCACAGATGAGTTCTGGCTCCTGTGGAGCCCCCGTGACTCCTCCAGCTTCTGCCTCTCCCAGTGAGTTCCATATACACATGCTCTAATGTCTTTTGTCCTAAACCCGTCCTTCCCCTGATCTACAAATGGCCTCACTGGCTGACACCACCACCTTTTTTTGCCCCACATCACAGCTTCCCGTCTTGAAGTACAGTGTCTCCAGATCTCCACCTCTTCCTTCCCACCCATGTAGCGTCTCCCCTTCCACGCGATCACTGGGCCTGCTCTGGCCAAGATCTAATGAGATCTCTTTAGCCAAATCCAACAAGTGCCTTTCTCAACCTACTCAACTTCTCAGTGGCTCTCAGCCTGGATGACTGTTCTCTCTTACTTTCGCCCTCTCCTGTGTGGGCTTCCATGACACCCCATTTTCTCTGTTTTCCTCCAACCTCATGGCTGCTCCTTGTCATTCTCCTTGGCTGCCTGTTCATCCCCTTCTTTTCCTCTAAATATTGGCATTCTTAAGGGCCGGGTCTATGCTGTCTTTTTATCTTTCCCCAAATTATGTCATCCTTTACTTTAAATACCATCTCCAGCCAGGTAGGCTGCTGAGGTTCTATCTAGCCCAGTCTTCTGAGCTCCAGACTCATATCCAATTGCTTTTTTCTTTTTTAGATGGAGTCTTGCTGGCGGCTGGAGTGCAGTGGCATGATCTTGGCTCACTGCAACTTCCGCCTCCTGGGTTCAAGCAATTCTCCTGCCTCAGCCTCCTGAGTAGCTGTCACTACAGGCACACACCACCATGTCAGGCTAATTTTTGTATTTTTAGTAGAAGCGAGGTTTCACCATGTTGGTGTCTTGAACTCCCAACATGAGATAATCCTCCTGCCTCAGCCTCCCAAAGTGCTGGGATTACAGCCGTGAGCCACCGCGCCCAGCCGCCCAATTGCCGTCTTCATTTTTCAAACTGAACTGTCAAATAACACCCCTTATCCACTAAAAAGAACTTTCCTTTTTGGCCTGTATTATTTCTCATCTTAGAATATAAGTACGATATGCATCCATTCAGTTTCTTAGGCCAGAATTCTACTTTGGAGTCATTTTTGATTCTTCCTTTTCACACTCTTCACTCCAGTCCATCAGCAACTCCTGCTGGCTACCTGACATATAGTAGATGATCCACAACTGTATGTTGGATGAATGAATGCATGTGCCTAATAGAGAAGGGGACTCAATCTAGAATCAGGTTCACTCATTTAAAATCAAGCAGGCCGGGTGCGGTGGCTCAACACCTGTAATCCCAGAACTTTGGGAGGCCGAAGCAGGTGGATTACTTGATGTCAGGAGTTTGAGACCAGCCTGGCCGACATGGCGAAACCCTATACAAAAATTAGCCAGGGGTGGTGGCACATGCCTGTAATCCCAGCTACTTGGGAGGCTGAGGCAGGAAAATCACTTGAACCTAGGAGGCGGAGGTTGTAGTGAGCCAAGATCATGCCACTGCACTCCAGCCTGAGCAAAATAGTGTGACTCTGTCTCAAAAATAAAATAAAATCAAACCGAGGAGGGAATCAGGGCTCTGCACATAGAACATGCAGAATATCTGTAAGTCCCTTTATTTCCTTAACGAGCCATAGTGACAGGCACTCGGTTCCATCCTTAAGCATATACAGTTTTACCTCATTAGGCCTCCTTTTAGGCAGTCGGTAGTCACAGCAACGTTAAAATTCACAGGCGTGACACAAGTCCTCTCATTACTGGATAATCAAACCACATGATATGACCAAAAAGCCAAAATACAGGATAATTCAAGTCCTTACTCCTTCTCTTCTTTAGATACACATACATTTACCACACACACACACACACACAAACACGGAAACACACGATAGGAATCCCTCATCTTGTACTCTTCTAGTCTAGTCTGTACTAGTCTCTTTACTCCCAAGAAACAACAATTTTGTCTTTGAAATATGAATGATGCACACCTCCGTTTCTGAGTGTGGCATGCATCTCATAAAAATGGGCTGGTGAAGAAACTCACCAAGTCTGAAGGATCAGCAGTGAGTTCCACTGCAGGGCTTGTATCCCTTCTTGTAAAGAGATCAGCTACTCAGTCAAGCCAAGAGCTCTTCTTCAGCTGTATTCTTCCATCAGTAACATTTAACTTTAGGGACTTGACATCTCATAGCAGTGAAACTCTTTCTCCCAAGCAGCTATTTTTTTCTGTTCTAAAGTCCGTTCCCCCCAAATAGCGAGATGTTGACTCTAAAGTGAAACAAGGCACACTATAGACCTTGACCTTCCCCAGGAATGACTCAAAAGCAGTTTGGTGTTTGGGCCCCCCTTCAAACCTTTCTTCTCTCAGACAACCTTACTATTACCAGCAAGGAAGAGGTCACCCATTTCCTTTCTGCTGTAGCAGCACTGCCCAAAATATGGTCCGTGAAATGCTAGGCCCATGAGCTGCTCCAGAATATGTGGAAACAATACATGCCAGGCATTTCCCCTGCCATATATCATTTGCATACTGGTACTTAATTGGTCAATTCAGCAACTCTTTGTGGCTTCCTCTTGCTTCCTGCCTTCTAGTGATTCAGCTACAGAACTATTTAAATAACAGCAGATAAGTCAACCAATTCATCCTGGGGAGACTTTCCAGTTACTGACCAGTAAGGTGGTTTCCCCCGAGGTCAGCTGTTCCTGAAAGCTGTATGTACTTCCGTCTTTCTCGCTACAGCTGAAACCAATGTCATGAGTCCCCTATCCTTGAGATCAGGGCAGTTGATTCAGTTCAGCCCAAGAGGAATTAAGTAAGAAGGAGATTCCAGGCAACAGTGGATTTCCTTTTCTATAATTTTATACCTTCATTCTTTATTAAAATGCTTTTGTAGCATTAGGATGTGTGTTTGATAAAGATGTTTCTGGCAAAAACCACTTTCTTTTTTTTTTTTTTTTTTGCATATCTGTCCATAGGATAGATCATGGACAGTATTTTATTGTGATTCAGATACCCGTTTCTCTCATTAGGAGTGAGGCTGAGAAGTTTTATATACATTTGGGAGCTTTTTGTGTTTTTCTTTCTGTGAACTGTTCAGGCATACATATACAGAGACTGACTAGCTGTCCTCCAGACCTGTTTCCTTTTCCTTCTGGGGTTTCCCAGCCTCCTGGCAAGTAACTGTGGCTGGTGGACTGAGGCTTGGGCAATGGATGGTGGGCCCGAGTGGCAACTCACCCAAGCATGATTCATAAAAACTTCCTATGAGATCCTCCTACTCTTTCTTCCCCATCTGCTGGAAAGATGTTGACACCCAGAGCAACCTATGAAGCTTTCTTTAAAACCAATGTTTGAGGAAATATAGGCAACTCCACTGTCTTATTCTCCATCCAAATAAAGAAGCAGCTCATGTCTACTAGAGAATCATAGTATCTGAGAACCAGGACAGACCTAAGAGATCATCTAGTCCATCTGTTTCCAAAATTTGTTTTCAGTGATGAATCCTTTTTTATATGAATCCTTAAGCAGAACTGTGATATATGACAGTCAGCATATTTTCTCTGGTTTCAGGTATAACAGGATTGGAACCTGTGGTCTAGACCTACAGCATCCCACTCACTCATCCCAACCAAGGCAGCCCCAAGATGCTAATGGAGACACTTAAGCCCCTGAAGAACAGGCTTAAAGATTATCAATCTGACCCTGAATTTGATAAATATGAAAACTGAGACCCATAAATAGAAATAATTAGTAGTCAGTAAAAATGAGGGGATCAGACCCTCAGTAGACCCACTGAACTTGGGCTTCCTTGACTGTTTTGGTACCCCAGAGATATCCCTCCCAGGGCCTGGGAGGCCCTTTCCTGGCTACCCTGCTGTATGGGTTATGCTGAGCAAGGGAGGCAGTCATAACACATGACCGTTCCCTTACATAGCATAATTATGCTGCTCATTGCAACAAGATATTTGACAAAGAATATGGCCTCTTTCAATGGGTGTTTCAGTATGTGTACATTTTTTAAAGTGTCAATTATCTTTTCCCTCCTCTCATCACAAGCAGAATATCTCAGGAGTATATCCTTGCCGGTACCTGTGCTGGTGGAGGACACCAGCAGCAGCAGTGAGTACGGCTCAGTTTCACCCGACACGGAGTTGAAAGTGGACCCCTTCTCTTTCAAAACAAGAGCCAAGTCCTGCGGAGAAAGAGATGTCAAGGGAATTCGGACACTCTTTTTGGGGTAAAGACCTGACTTACTTGGGGTGAGAGAAGTGTGTTGTTAAGTGTGTCATTTTATAAAGGGAACTGTGATTTATGCTGCATAAATTTTCTCAGCATTCCAGATGAGAATTTTGAAGATCACAGTGCTCCTCCTTCCCCTGAAGAAAAAGATTCTGGATTCTTCATGCTGAGGAAGGACAGTGAGAGGCGAGCTACCCTTCACAGGATCCTGACGGAAGACCAAGACAAAATTGTGAGAAACCTAATGGAATCTTTAGCTCAGGTAAATCCTCTCCCAGGTGCTTCATTTCCCAAAGGTTACATATTTTATCTGTGTCCTAACCGCCTGCAGCTGTCACAGATGATGTGAAAGGCAAGAGGAACCTGTAGTGATCATCATGATAAACCTACCCCACAGGAAAAAAGAAGGCAAACCCTATGGTAGGGAATATATTAATATGAAAATAGGGAAATGATTTTTTCATTGCATTTTTGAACATAAGCTATTTTTAAGTCAGAAGCAAATTTTTCACATTGGTGACATTCCAAATAGCCCCTACAAGCCTCTTTTACTCTTCATTCATTTGTTTATTCATTCCATCAATAAACACACATTAAGCCATGTGAGTTGCTAATTCTGACATTAGCATGAGGCTACCTGCCAGTCGCTCCTCTCAGCATTTGGGAAACATCAGCAAATACAACAGAACCCCTGAGCTTGTAAGGTTATATTTAAAAGGAGGGTGAAGGGCAAAGGGAAGTAAATTGTAGTGAGTCTTCACTTAATGTAGTTGATAAGTCCTTGGAAACTGTGACTGAAGCAAAATTACATATAACCAAACCAGTTTTGCCGTAGACTAATTGACATAAACAAGAGTTAAGTTCCTATGGCATATTTCTGGTCACAAAAACATGACCAAACTCCTAAATAAAGACTAAAACACTTCTAATATTCTACATTGAAATAAATGTGAACTCTATATACATTTAAGAAAGATGAATAAAAACAAGATAACTATCTACCCAGTTCAAGGCCATGGGTGGCCAGAGCCTATTCTGGCAGCTCAGTACCAGGCGGGCACCCGCCCTGGAAAGGACACTATTCCACTGCAGGGTACATACACACACACACCCACACTGAGACCACGTAGACACACAAATGAACCTAACGTGCACATCCTTGGGATGCGGAGGAAACTATATGTATTAGTCTGTTCTCATGCTACTAATAAAGACATACCTGAGACTGGGTAATTTATAAAGGAAAGAAGTTTAACTGATTCACAGTTCCACATGGCTGGGGAGGCCTCACAATCATGGTGGAAGGTGAATGAGGAGCAAAGTCACATCTTACGTGGCGGCAGGCAAGAGAGCTTGTGCAGGGGAATTCCCATTTGTAAAACCATCAGATCTCATGAGACTTATTCACTATCATGAGAACATCACAGGAAAGACCCACCCCCATGATTCAGTTACCTCCCACTTGGTCCCTCCCATGACACATGGGGATTATGGGAGCTACAATTCAAGATGAGATTTGGGTGGGGACACAGCCAAACCATATCACCAGAGTACCCCAGGTAAGGCCACACAGACATTGAGAAAATGTGCAAATTTGCCAGGTGTGATGGCTCATGCCTGTAATCCCAGCACTTTGGGAGGCTGAGGCGGGTGGATCACGAGGTCAGGAGATCGAGACCATCCTGGCTAACACGGTGAAACCCCATCTCTACTAAAAATACAAAAAATTAGCCAGGCGTGATGGCGGGCGCCTGTAGTCCCAGCTACGTGGGAGTCTGAGGCAGGAGAATGGCGTGAACCCTGGAGGCGGAGCTTGCAGTGAGCTGAGATCGCGCCACTGCACTCCAGCCTGGGCGACAGAGGGAGACTCTGTCTCAAAAAAAAAAAAAAGAAAAAGAAAAGAAAATGTGCAAACTCCACACAGACAGTGGCCCCTACCAGGAATCAATTCTTTTTTTTCTCATCAAGGTTAGAAGGAAACAACATTGGGCAAAACAGTGTTATTTGAGGATCTGCTGTATGTAATAGTTTAGAAGGCCATATGTACTCTGAAGAAAACAAAAGCTTGTCAGTGAACCTATCATTCCTTGGTATAATAGTTTGCTAGGGCTGTGTTTTAGTCCATTTTCTGTTGCTATAATAGAATACATGAGACTCAGTAATTTATAAAGAAAAGAGGTTTATTTGGGCTCATGGTTCTGGAGGCTAGGAAGTCCAAGATCCAGTGGCCCATCTGCATCTGGTGAGGGCCTCATGCTGCTTCAACTCGTGGTAGAAAGTAGAAAGGCAGTGGGGCTTGAGTGGAAAAAAGAGAGAGACAAGGAGAGCCAACTGGCTTTATGACATCTTGCTTTCCTGAGAACTAACCCAGTCTGTTGAGAACTACATTAACTGCATTAATCCCTTCATGAGCCTCATGACCCAAATGCCTCTTTAAAGACTCTGCCACCTCTCAGTATCATTACATTGGCTATTAAAGTTCAACATGAATTTTGACAGGACAAATCACATCCAAACCAGGGCAAGCAACCATAACAAACTGTCACATACTGGGTGGCTTACACAACAGAAATGTATTTTCTCACAGTTCTGGAGGCTGAAAGTCCAGGATCAAGGGGTTGGCAGGTTTGGTTTCTCCTGAGGCCTATCTGCTTAGCTTGCAGATGGCCACCTTCTTATTATCATGTGCTCATATGGCCTTTTCTGGTGCACTTGCAGCCCTGGTGTCTCTTCCTCTTCTGATACGGACACCAGAAACATCAGTTCAATTGGATTAGGGCCCCACCCTTACGACCTCACTTAGTCCTAATTATCCCTTTTGAGGCCCTGTCTCCAAATATATCCCATTGAGTGTTAGGGCTTCAACATACGAATTTGGAGGACACAGAACCATAATACCTGGGAAAATGTGTTCCCTGGAATTCTGTGTACAAACACAAGGAAGAATCCCCTTCCCAAATATGCACCAGGAGAAAAATGGATTTCCCTCAGCCCCAAGCTTCTTGTGGATACAACCTCCCACAGACACACTCAGTCCCTGGTATGACACTTCTCATCCTCTTTTAGTTCAATGGGTACTGGGAACTCATCTACCTGCCTCCCTTGCCGTGGCCTCTACCTGTCCTTCATGATCACTGTGGACTACTGCACATAGCTTCTTCCCTCCCTGTGTCCTGAGGAAATAGCTGCAAAAAAAGGTTGGGGCTAGAGGAGTCTAGCCAAGTTTTTAAAGTCTCTCAGTACAACAGTTTACCTGTTCTCATCTTTTATTGAGATGTAAATGGAGCAAAGCTCTCTCTTGGCTCTTAGTAAACAATCTCAGCCTGTCTCTGCCTTGAGAAACTCACTGTGCTTCTTTGCTAAACATTTTATCGCCTTAGGAATTCCCTAATGTCCACCTCTTTAGATCTCATAGAAGGAGCTGAAAGGCCATATATGTGCCAGTAGGGCCTCAGTACAAGGAGAGCTGAAATGAGTGTTTTCTACACACTCTCAAAAACCTTGACTTGGGTCCTAAAGGAAAGCTGTCTCGGGCAGTTACTCTGAGGCCCAGGAAGAAGGTGCTCTAGAGTGAGGGGTAGCTGGCCTCTGAGTCCAGGGAGGATGAGTGTCATGCATGCTTCGTGGCGGTGGAGACTGGAGTGGTCTCGAGCCATCAGCTTTCTCTCTGGCCTTTCCTTTGGCTCACGGTGATCATTCAAAGACTGAGAATAGGACTGGGTTGACCCAAGAAGAGGAACCAAGCTGGATGGAGAGAGCAGCTGGGCAGCCCTTGGAGTTCTTTCATTTATTCATTCAACAAATACTTATTGAGCATCAGTCGAAGGCCAGGCACTGTACTATGTGCTGGGGATGCTGTGGCGAACTGAACAAAAATATCTGCATCCCCTTGAAGTTGACATTCTAGCAGAAGAAGAAAAACTATACATATATATAAAACATATAGTAATAACAGCTAACATTTTCTTTAGGCCAGTTACTGTTCTTAGTATTCCATGTGTATTTGCTCATTTAATTTTCATGACAGTAATACTATACCAATAGTTCTATTAGCATCCTCATTTTACGAATGAGGAAACAGGCACAGAGGACTTGAGTAGTTTGCCGAAGTCATGCAGTCCTAAGTGATGGAGTTAGGATTTTGACCCAGGCAGTTTGGCTCTGAAGTTTTTGCTTTAACCACCACATTGCTCTGCCTCGCTGGTAGGCCCGATGGTGACAAGTGCTAGGAAAACATAAAGTGGGGTGGGGATTAGGCATTGGAGGTGAAGAAAGAAAGTAAATCACCATTAGCCACTGCAGAGTGAAGGCCTCTCCTGTGGACCTTTAAAATGCTTGATTTTAGGTCAAAAACACATAAAACCCAGGAATTGCCTAAATCTCTAATTACCCCCAAAGAATGTGCTTTTCCAGTACAGGAAATGCCAGTTTGTTGGGGTCTATTCTTTGTCTCCCTGCTGGACCATAGCATCATCAGGGATAGGACTGCCTTGGTCATCACTTCTATGACTGTGCTGAAATAGTTAAATGTGGGAGTGGTTAGTCATATTCAATTGTTTGGTGCCTCCTGGTTTTAAAGTGCATTTGAATGTCCTCTGTAAAAGGAGAAATGAAAGAAAACCTTAAAAGCAACCATCAGAGGGCATGCCTTAGGGGACCAGCATGAAGCTACCAGTGAGTACCCGAAACTGCTGATCAGAATCACATGCTGAATCCATAATGGCCACATGATGGTGGGGCCCTTCTGACTGCTGTTAAGGATGTTGGGAATCCTTTCCTGTGACATCAAATGGTGATTCAGTGGTAGAACAGGTCCTGACCCAGGTTGACAGCTGCTATTGCAGGTCATTGGGGCAGTAGAATAGAATGGTTAGGAGCTTGGGCTTAGCTTGCTGTTTGAGGCCTGGTTCCATCACTTAAAGGCTGTGCAATTTGGGCAACCGATTTAACTTCTCAGAGCCTGAACCTCCTCATCTATGATAGAGGAGTCTACTTTATAAGCTTGCTATCAGGAGTAACTGAGATTGTGAGTGATTTAAATCATAACAGAAAATATTCCACAATTGTTAACTGTTATTGTTATCATTATCAAGCAGGCTAATAATAGTTATCTAATATCTTTAATTTTTTTCTACAATCAATCAGAAGTAATTATTGCCATTGTATTGTTTCTAGATACATATTTGTATCTATATTTAAGCCTACACTTTATAACAAAACCAAATCTAGATATTGGTCAGGTCCTCAAACCCTTAAACCATGAAAAGCCTTTTAATCTGTAACATCCTTCTGAAATCCTTTCCTGGTTTTTGAGGAAGTTTAAAGGATAAAGACTGGAGAGCATCTTTGCAGAAGACCCTGTGTGTTAGTCAGGGTTCTCTAGAGGGACAGAACTAATGGAATACATATATATGTAAAGGGGAGTTTATTAAGTATTAACTCACATAATCACAAGGTCCCACAATAGGCTGTCTGCAGGCTGAGGAGCATGGAGAGCCAGTCTGAGTTCCAAAACTGAAGAACTTGGAATCTAATATTTGAGGGCAGGAAGCATCTAGCACAAGAGAAAGATGTAGGCTGGGAAGCTAGGTCACTCTCTCTTTTCACATTTTTCTGCCTGCTTATATTCTAGCCACACTGGCAGCTGATTAAATTTTGACCACCCAGATTAAGGGTGGGTCTGCCTTTCCCAGCCCACAGACTCAAATGTTAATCTCCTTTGGCAACACCCTCACAGACACACCCAGGATCAATACTTTGTATCCTTCGATCCAATCAAGTAGACACTCAGTATTAACCATCACAACCTGGTACTAGGAGTGCAGGAAATGCATACCGTTAAATCTATGCTGATGCTGAGTCAGGCTCACCAGATACTAGCCAAGATGCTTGTTTTTGAAGGCACATGAGTGAGTTAACATGGAGAGACTGGAGTCAGAACAGAAATAAATGATGACGTAAGTAGATGAAATAGTCTGAACAGAAAACATTTCCCAGAGTAGAGCATGTTCCTTTGCAGGACAGTAGCACACACATCAAAAAACCAGAAGCAACATGTTTTTCTGTTGTAAAAACAAAGTTAATGTCGAAAAAAAAGTTTGCCATTTGAAGTTTGCTATTGGCAAACATGTTGCAACTGAGTTTTTACTAAGAGAAGCTTCCAATTTCTGCATAACTCACATTTTTCTTCTTGAACATGTTTTCATGATGTTATGATTTTGCCTGTGAATCTTTACCTTGGGTGCAGTTTAGTTTGTGGTAAGGAAAAAACCAACAAAGTTTATAATGGTTCCCATTGTGATTTTAAAGTATTCGTTTAATGACAGCTTTCAAGCTTTTCAATATAATCTTATCTCATGAAAACATAAACATGAGACCAAGCTTCCAAATGAAAATATATTAAGAGAAAGAACTCGATGGTGCATTTCTTTTTTATTTTAATAGACTCCTAGAAATTATAATTTTCACAGCCCAGTGGAGGAATTTTAATTTTAATGGTACAGTAAGAAAATGTACAATATAAAATAAAAATGATATAATAGTTTCTTAAAGTTTCTTATATTTTCTTAAAGTTAAATGGGAACAAATAACATCCTACTGTGCTTCCTTAAAGAAGCAGTGTGGGCTGGGCATGGTGGCTCATGCCTATAGTCCCAGCACTTTGGGATTACAGCACTCAGGAGGCTGAGGCAGGTGGATCACTTGAGGTCACGAGTTCAAGACCAGCCTGGCCAACATGGCGAAACCTCAGCTCTACTAAAAATACAAAAGTTAGCTGGGCATGACAGGTGCCTGTAATCCCAGCTACTTGGGAAGCTGAGGTAGGAGAATCACTTGAAGTTGGGAGGCAGAGGTTGTTGTGAGCTGAAATGGAGCCACTGCACTCCAGCCTGGGTGACAAAGCAAGACTTTGTCAAAAAATAAATAAATAAATAAATAAATAAATAAATAAATAAATAAAGAAAAGAAAAGAAAGGAAGCAATATGCCTTGCTCAAAGGAGAAAAGTTCCATCTGAGGTTGGGGAAAGTGGCTCACATCTATAATCCCAGCACTTTGGGAGGCGGAGGTGGGAGGATCACTTGAGCCCAGGAATTTGAGACCAGCCTGGGCAACTTAGCAAAACCCAGTCTCTACAAAAAGTTTTAAAAAAAATTATCTGGGTGTGGTGGCACATGCCTATAGTCCCTAGCTACTCAGGAGGCTGAGGTGGGAAGAGAGCTAGAACCCAGGAGTTAGGGGCTGCAGTGAGCTATGATTGTGCCACTGCACTCCAGCCTGGGTGACAAAGAGAGGCCCTGTCTCTTAAAAAAAAACAAAAAAAAAAAAACAAAAAGAAAAAATCATTTTGAGAAAGAGCATTTGTTTGAACATTGTAATATATTTTAGTGTAATAAAATAGTCCATCGGTCCGTTCTTAGAAGCAATTGCTTCATTGATGGGTAAGGGGTAGTTTCAAAAATGAAGTTTGAGATCAGCCCCTCTTGGTTGCAAGGAACTGACACACCGTTAGGACAACTGAAGTACCAAGGACATGTTATAGGTAGACACGCATAGCAATAAGGGAAGTAGACTCTTAAGGAATTCCAATCATAGTGCCTAGCCGAGTCTCACAGACACTGAAAACAGAATATGAGCCTGAGGAACTTCAAGTCCCCGGAGTTTGCACATCTTTTCTCTGGCTTGGTTGCTGTTGACCTGCTTGGTGTGCATTTCTGTTCTTGTCCACTTCTCCTCTCCCTCCCTGATATGGTTTGGCTGTGTCCCCACTCAAATCTCATCTTGAATTGTAACTCCCACAATTCCCATGTGTCGTGGGAGGAACCTGGTGGGAGGTGATTGAATTATGGGGGCAGGTCTTTCCTGTGCTGTTCTTGTGATAATGAATGAGTCTCACAAGATTTGATGCTTTCAAAAAATGGGAGTTTGCCTGCACAAGCTCTCTCTTTTTGCCTGCTGCCATCCAAGTAAGATGTGACTTGCTCCTCCTTGCCTTCTGCCGTGATTGTGAGGCTTCCCCAGCCACGTGGAACTGTAAGTCCAATTAAACCTCTTTCTTTTGTAAATTGCCCAGTCTCGGGTATGTGTTTTCAGCAGTGTGAAAACGAACTAATACACTCCCTATTGTCTTTCTCAATTCCATTGCTTCTGCTATGGTTGGACATATTCATGACCCTATTTTATAGCTTCTCTTTCCGGGCAGACTTTCAGGTTGAGATCCTATGGCTTATTGCTCAAATCTCTTTTTAGTTCCCAATTAAAATTTCTGAAAGAATCTTATGGCCTTAGTCTTTTTGGGCAAAGCTTTGTTATCTGACTATATCATGGCTACTGACCAGCGTGTGGGGCAGGTACCTTTTCTCTCTGATTATTTCTTGGTGTTGGTAGGAGGATTGAAGAGGTGCCATATAGTTCAAAATATGGTCTTTCCTTTGGAGACATTTGGAAGTCCAGTTCTTCTCAGAAAGGGCTGTGGGAAGTATGGTGGCTCATGCCTGGAATCCCAGCACTTTGGGAAGTAGTGATGGGAGGCTCGCTTGAGCCCAGGAGTTCGAGACCAGCCTGGGCAATATAGTGAGACCTTGTCTCTACCAAAAGAAAAAAAAATGTGGGGGCAGGGGGTATGGAGATAGGATTACCATGGCAGGTATATCCAGCATATGTTGATGTAAGGATTGTTGATTTTTATTCACAGGGGGCTGAAGAACCGAAACTAAAATGGGAACACATCACAACCCTCATTGCAAGCCTCAGAGAATTTGTGAGATCCACTGACCGAAAAATCATAGCCACCACACTGTCAAAGCTGAAACTGGAGCTGGACTTCGACAGCCATGGCATTAGCCAAGTCCAGGTGGTACTCTTTGGTTTTCAAGATGCTGTAAGTATGATATTTTGCCAGTGTTTTCCCACACACTAAAATTAGTTAGAAAAATAAGATAAAACATAAGTTCTGTTATTTTTCTTTTAAAATTCCAGTGAACTCTATTCTTTTTGGATGAAAAATGTGAGATATTCGCCTCTCAGTGTGCTTCTAAGTATCTGATTTGTTGTTTTGTGTGTTTGCATTCCCCAAATTAAAAAACACATAAAACCAAATCACCATGGAAAATAACAAAATATTTCCCATGGCTGAACTTCGTTCTTATGAAATTATGTTGGGTCATTGTTTATTTTGACAACTTTAGCAACGTAACACACTTTAGTCATACATTTTCTAATGCTATATGAGAAATGCCATCTAGTGGCCATTGAGAAAAATTTAATAGTACAGATTGAAATGGTCACTGCTGAATAAAACCAGTTAATTTTTTTCCAGTTTTTCTCTAGTTTTCATATAGAACATTTTTAACATGTTTGTTTCATAAATACCTACTCTGTTCTAGCCAGAAGTATACTTTCAGAGTACAGAGCATCACTGATTAAAAATTAAAGCACATGATCTAATGAGAGATTGCTGAGAAGTCTTCTCTCCAAAATTGAGTTGCTATGCAACACAAACTAAAGCCAGTCTTCTGTACTGCATTCAGAACCCTCTGTGTTATTCTTGGGTGAGACTTATCTGTGGAACTCAGTGCCAAAAAAGCCTCAAGCCACCTCCAGGAGACCCTTAACAAGATGTGGGAGACTGAAATAAGAGGGTTCTTGATGGTGCTTGTGGTATAAATATGGAAGTATAATTTTATTTAAATTCCAAAATTAATTCAGCCCTAATGTGTGTATTGCTTCTTTGTAGAAAGTGTGTTGACAATTTTATTTGCAACATCAAATGATCCCCAATTTAAAGCCAAATTAGAATCCTTCAATAACTACTAGCATTCTCTGAGACACTGTGTAAGCCACTTGGTCTTTATGCTATATTGTGGGCAGGGACAAGAGTCCTGAGTTGATTGAGGGCATAAGAAATTAAAGCAACTGGCAAAGCCTATCACTAATATTAAATGCTAAAAGCATGCTTATGCTGCAACTAGGGAAACCCAACTGCCTGCAAGTAGAGTGAAATAATTTAGCTAATTTGCACTTGCCCACACATTTGGCCTCTAGCCTAGAGGTTGGAAAGCAAGTTTGCTGTAGAATTCAGACTGAGAGCTATTGGGTTGTACTCCTGGGCCTTGGGCCAGGTCAGACACACACACACACACACACACACACACACACACACACACACACACGTATACACACACGTGTACACATACACGCCTGCTCTTGCTCATTCACTGTCCAGGATGAGAATGAACCCAAAGTATGGGCCCTATGATGTAATTTGCTATGTAATAAAGAGCTGAGAGGAGCAGGTTATGGTTATAACAGATCCCTCTTCCACCTAATAAGAATGTAAATTTTTTTTTTTTTGAGATGGAGTCTCCCTCTGTTGGCTAGGCTGGAGTGCAGTGGCATGATCTCAGGTCACTGCAACCTCTGCCTCCCGGGTTCAAGCAATTCTTGTGCCTCAGCCTCCCGAGTAGCTGGAACTACAGGTGCCTGCCACCATGCCCAGCTAATTTTTGTATTTTTAGTAGAGATTGGGTTTTGCCATGTTGGCTAGGCTGGTCTTGAACTCCTGGCCTCAGGTGATCCGCCCGCATCGGACTCCCAAAGTGCTGGGATTACAGGGCGTGAGCCACCATGTCCAGCCAGTATGTAAATTTTTTAAAGAAATGAAGGTACCAGGACAAACTCAGCCTGGATGGATTTTCTAGAACAAGTGGGAACCTAGCAAGGGTTCATTTCCTGTGCAACTAGTACGATGAAGTCCTCAAACTGACTCTCTTCCAAACTAGGGGAGTTTGATGAAGATGGACCAAGGACAGGCATGAGCAACTGGAGCTCCAGCTCTTGACATGGGTTTGTGGCTGGGTCACCATCTCCCCAGCTGCAGTAGGGATGGTGATTAAATTTTTGGAATTTAAATAAAATTATACTTCCATAATCATACTATAGATACTCAGAGGTATCTAACCAGAGCCCTGTTGGGGAAATAGCCTCTTTTTTTAGAGGTCTGTGTAAGCCAGCAGGTAGTAGAGTTAACCCAAAATCTAAGTGAGCTTGTCATAGTCTTATGCTAAAAGCTTGTTTTTACAAAGGTAATGCACATGATAAATACATACAATGGAATATAATTCAAGCTTAAAAAGGAAAGAAATCCTGACACATGCTACAACATGAATGAAGCTTAGAGATGTTATGCCAAGTGAAACAAACCATTCACATAAGGCCAAATACTGTAATTCCACTTATGTGAAGGTACCTACAGTAGTAAAATTTATGAGAGACAGAAATTAAAATGCTTGTTTTCAGGGACTGTGGGGAGGGAGAAATGGGAACTTACTGTTTAATGAGTATAGAGTTTTAGTTTTGCAAGATAAAGAGTTCTGTGGATGGATGGCGGTGATGGTAGTACAATAATGTGAATGTACTTAATGCCACTGAACCATACACTTAAAAATGGCTAAGATGGCCAGGCACGGTGGCTCATGTCTGCAATGCCAGCACTTTGGGAGGCTGAGGCGGGAGGATTGCTTGAGCCCCGGAGGCACAGGTTGCAGTGAGCCATGATCCCGCCACTGCACTCCACCCTGGGTGACAGAGCAAGACCGTGTCTCCAAAACAAATGAAATAATAATAATAATAAGAAGAAGTAATTGAAAATAATGAACAGTAAGAACAGCCTTTATTTTTATTTAAAGTCTCTTAGACCCTGTCTTCCTCCTTCACCCCCTCCCTCCATCCATTCTGCAGACATTATAAAAGCTAAAAACTGCACATTCTGAGTCCCAAAGAAGCAACATTCTCATTTGAACCAGACTGCCTTTCACTTAAATAACTTATTTGCTTACATGGGGCTCACTAAACTTTGATTTGAAGTAGCAATTTTTACTTTGTTTTCCAATGACATAAAGAATTACAAAGAATTCAAGTTGAAGAAACTTTTTAGTTGTTTTGTAAATGGAACTTCATACAAGTGCTTCGATCATCTAGGCTATTTGCAATTAAAAATTAAAGTAGGCTAAATGTCACTCTCTCTCCAGGTCAATAAAGTTCTTCGGAATCATAACATCAAGCCGCACTGGATGTTTGCCTTAGACAGTATCATTCGGAAGGCGGTACAGACAGCCATTACCATCCTGGTTCCAGGTCAGAGATATTTAATTACTCTGCACATATTTAGTGCTTGGATATTTTAGATTACTGTTCATCTGTTATTTCTGATATCACCTTAGTACTTTAAAAACCATAATACCCTTTTTTAAAGAAATATTTTCAACATCACCAAATAGTACATATAGTCTGGATAATGGTACACCAAGCAAAATATTTACTAAGAATGAGGAAGACTTGCTTCCCCTGTCTTTAAGGAATGTGTTTAGATGTGAAGAGAAAAAGTATACAGGTGACTCAGATAAATACGCATTTCAAAATATAGATATCTGGACCACAAAACACATTCCTACATCTTTTACCCAGTGGTTCCCAAATCTTCCAATGTATTGAGCAATTTAAGGAGGTATTGCATAGCTCGTTGCATTGAGCAATTTAATTGTCTTTAAAATTACAGCTTTCAAAGCCCCATCTGAAGCCAAATAAGAATCTGCCAGGAATAAAGCCCAGGAATCTGATTTTTTTTTAAAGACTAGTCTTTTAGAGCAGTTTAAGATTCACAGCAAAATTGAGTGGAAGATACAGAGATTTTGCACATACCCCTTAGCCTAACACATGCATAGCCTCCTCCATTATCAAGGTCCCCCACAGAGTGGTATATTGGTTACAATCAGTGAATCTACATTGACACGTTATCATCACCAAGAGTCCATAGTTCACATTAGGGTTCAGTCTTGGTGTTGTACATTCTCTAGGAATTCTACATATATAATAACATGTATCCACCATTATAGTATCATAAAGAATATTTTCACAGCCCTGAACATCCTGCTTGTTCCATCTGTAAGAACTTGATTTTAATACAGCTCTCAGGTCATGTCGATGAGTAGCCAAGTTTGGAAATCACTGGTCTAGACACAGCCCCAGCTATGTTGGCAGTGAGATACAAAAGGGGTAGTGTTGATGAAACAAGGCTTTTTGGCATAAGTGAGGAGTGTATTCATACTCTAAGGCAAAACCTCCAACGTGTTTTGATAGTCTACCCATTAATAAAAAATTGTAGGCAAAGCTCTTCCACCCTGTGTGTGTGTTGGGGTGGTGGGTGGATGCATGGATGCATGGATGAGTATGTAGGTAGGTAGAAAGAAAGAGCAGTTGACCAATTGTTACATGGATAGATACAGATTTATATATATTTATATAAACAAATTAGAAACATGTTCTATTGTACTAATTTGTACCTATATTATAGAGCATTCTGAAATATAAATTTAAAAGGATAAGATCAATATGAAATATTTTCATTTTAGTTTTCTTTTTTTTTTTTAAGTAGAGATGAAGTCTCACTCTGTTGCCCAGGCTAGTCTCAAACCCCTGGGCTCAAGCTGTCCTCCCGCCTCGGCCTCCCAAAG
Source organism: Homo sapiens (assembly GCF_000001405.40). Taxonomy (NCBI): domain Eukaryota; kingdom Metazoa; phylum Chordata; class Mammalia; order Primates; family Hominidae; genus Homo; species Homo sapiens. The sequence goes on along the minus strand of NC_000006.12, from coordinate 136,578,924 downwards.
TGCTGTGATTACAGGCGTGAGCTGCTGCACCTGGCCCTGAAATATTTTTAAATTAAAATTATTTATAAATGGTACTACAAACTTTTAAGTTCAGGCCAACCCTTCTGAGTTGTGGAATTCCCTCTCTTCTCATAGAACACTTGGGTGTTTGACATGAGAGCGAGAGCATCCGTGTCAATCTTTATGTCAAACATTGGTCAAGATTAAGTTATTTCTTATGTAAGAAAGAAACAGAAGTTCTGCTATCCCTGAACATGTTACTTCTACCTGGAACACACCTCCACCCCATGTCTCTCCTGTCCTGTGGCTTGCACCTTTGCATTCTTCAGGCCACCGAGAGTCTGGACCTATCCCCAAATCTAAAGTAGGCTTCCTCTGTTATTCTCTCTCCTTGGAAATGGTTTTCACCTATTTGTGATGCCACAATCTGAAACTACTTTTGTTTCTAGTTTAATGGCTGTTACCCTCACCAGAGGGTAACTGTTTGTGGTTTATTTTATTCTGAGCCTAGCATACTGTCCAGCACAGTGTCTGGAAAACAGCGGATCCCTGATTCATATTTGGTTGAAACAATAAGTAAATGAGTTTCACCTGATTATAACAAATTAGGGTGGAAATTTTGCATGGTGTAGAAACTTAGAAAAAAATTCTAGAGAGCCTTTGAAGCACATGATTAGTAGTTGGAATGTGAACCTAAGAAATTCATGCTCTAAGGAAGTCAAACAATATTTATATTCAGATACTTTATCATTAGGATAAGGCTGGTTGTAGGGAATGTGCTATAGAGAGGTTAGATATTCAAAAGATCTATGGGATGAAGGGGGAATAGTGTATATCACTGAAAGGGAGAGGTATGGGCCATGAGTTAAACACAGTAGCAACCTAAATTAAGGACACCTAAATGAAGAAAGGAAAAAGAGAGTATATTTTGAAACAACTTAAATAGCATATAAATGATCTGTTTACTTAATTAAAAAAAAACAAACTTCCTTTTAGTAATGATTACCTAATGTAATGTGGTATCCAGAATAGAAAACGAACATTAGTGAAAAACTGAGAATCTGAGTGAAATCTGCAGTTTAGTTAATAGTTTATACCAATGTTAATTTAATCATTCTGAAAAACATGCCATAGTTATGTAAGATATATTAGGAAGAGCTGTGTGGATGGTATACAGGAATTCTTTGTACTATCTTTGCAATGTTTCCATGAATCTAAAATTCTTCCAGAATAGAAAGTTTAAAAAGCAAAAGTAACTGTAGGTGAAACTCTGTTAGGTTTAGGGAGAACAGCAGGGAGGTTGCAGAGAGGGAGCTGTCCTTGCACGAGTGTCCCAGGGATGGACACTGCTGTGATCAACCATGTGCAGAACAAGGCACATTTTTTATTAAAAGTGTTTGCTAAAGAAAGGACTTTGTTCTTCCACCATGAAATTGGTTTCTTTGAGGCCACTAGGAGTTTCTGATTTCAACTGAAGTTACTGTTTGAAAACATTTATTTTTGAAAAGTGGAATTTTTAGAAGAGAATTACATAGACAGTACTTTTTGTATTTCCCTCAGGATAAGATAAGTCCATATACACTGTATACCAATATACAAATGATGAATTATGTGGACAAAATGAAGTGATGTCAGTCATTCAACAACTCCATCAAATTTTCAGATGTCCTGAAAGATTTTGTTATGCCATTAAGATATAAAGAAATTACATGAAAAACAGACGGTCTTCAAATGCCCCTGATAAAAATTCCTTTCAGATGCAAGATACTATAGTTAACCTGCCATTTCAGAAGACATGCGAAAGAAGACCACAAATTTTAAAAAGTATACCATCGCTAGTACAATATGCATTGCTTAATGACAGGGCTATGTTCTGAGACATGCGTCCTTAGGCAATTTTGTCATTCTGCAAACATCCTAGAGTGGACTTACACAAACCTAGATGGCAGAGCCTACTAGATGCGCAGGCCTTATGGTATGGCCTGTTGCTCCCGGGCTACAAATTTGTATGGTGTGTTACTAAACTGAATATTGTAGGCAATTTTAACACAGTGGTAAGTGTTTGTGTGTCTGAACATACAAAAGGTATAGTAAAATATAGTATTACAATCTTATGGGACCACTGTAATATATGCGATCCATCCTTGACTGAAATGTTATTATACCGTACATGATTGTACGTTCATTTCCTAGATCTGTCTACTGAGAAGACCCAAATCTTGGTTTCTAAATGCCATTCTTCAATAAAAGGAATTGGGTTTCCTTGGAGAAGTGGTTGATTCCGGGCTGGGGGCAGGGGAAATAAAAGATAAGATTGTAGTTGGGCATGGTGTCTCACCCCTGTAATCCTAAGGCTTCGTGAGGCCAAGGCAAGAGGATTGCTTGAGGCCAGGAGTTTGAGACCAGCCTGGCCAAAATATCAAGACCCTGTCTCTAAAAAAATAAAAATAAATTAGGCAGACATAGTGGTGCATGCCCATAGCTACTTGGGAGGCTGAGGTGGGAGGATTGCTTGAGCCCAGGAGATAGAGGCTACAGTGAGCTATGATTGCACTGCTGTACTCCAGCTTGAGCGACAGAGCGAGACCCCATGTCATAAATAAATAAATAAATACCTGGAACACCTTGTGATGCCAGAAATAAGAAAGTGTCAAAAAGGATGGAGATTTATTGAAAGGACACTAGAGCCAACCTGAAAATGTTCCAAACAGTCCAAGCCAGAACAATCTGAACAATAAAATAATGATCATATTGGATTATAGATTATAGAATAAAATAAGCATCCGTGAGTCCATATTAATATAAATAATTGAATAAATAAATATATGGACGAGAAAGATCACCTTTTTGTTATAGTAGAATTGCGACTGATAAATAAAAATGAATGAGGAAAACAGAAAATCACCAGTAGGCAAACACCACAGTAATAATTATTGCAGGCAAGGACCATCAATGACTGCTAAAGTAGGCAAAAGAATGAGGAGAAACAGGATATATGTGGATGGTTTTCAAACTGTCTCCCCACAAGATATTTACTAACTACAAGGAGAAAACAGTAATTTTACAGTGAAGGAATGTGGCAGACACCCCCTCAACCAAATGATCAAGGTAAGCATCACTAGTAAGAAGACACATCAGCATCATGTACCTCCTGATAGGATGCCCTGAGAAGGACACAGCATCACACTGTGGTGTTCTTGCCAAAAATGCACAACCTCAACCTAATCACAAGAAGACGTCAGTGAACCTCAAATAAAAGACATTGTACAAAAACCTGACCAATACTCCTCAAAAGGGTGAAGGTCGTGAGAAATAAAGAAATACTAGTTACATACTGGAAGAGACTAAGGCGACATGACAACTAATTATAATGAGGGATCCTTGATCAGAAAAAGGACATTGGTAGGAAAACTGGTGAAATTCAAATAATGTCCATAGATTAGTTAATAGTATTGTGTCAAAGTCAGGTGTGGTGACTCACATCTATAATACCAGCACTTTGGGAGGCTGAGGTGGGAGGATTGCTTGAGCCTAGGAGTTTGAGATCACCCCAGGCAGTGTGGCAAAACCGCATCTCTACATGAAAAATACAAAAATAAGTCAGGCATGGCAGCATGTGCCTGTGGTCCTGGCTACTAGGGAGGCTGAGGTGAGAGGATCAATTGAGCCCAGGAGGTCAAGGCCACAGTGAGCTGAGATTGCACCACTGCACTCTGGCCTGGGGGACAGAGTGAGACCCTGTCTCAAAAAAAAAAAAAAAAAATAGTATTGTATCAATGTTAATTTCCTGGTTTTGATAATAGTGCCAAAGGTATATAAACTGTTAAGGCAAGAGCAAGTGGCTGAAGGCTATACAGGAACTCTCTGCACTATTTTTGCAACTTCTCTGTTATCCTAAAATTATTTCAAAATAAAAAGTTAAAAAAAAAGTGTTTAGGCCGGGCGCGGTGGCTCACGCCTATAATCCCAGCACTTTGGGAGGCCGAGGCGGGCGGATCACGAGGTCAGGAGATCAAGACCATCCTGGCTAACACAGTGAAACCCCATCTCTACTAAAGATACAAAAAATTAGCCGGGCGAGGTAGCGGGCGCCTGTAGTCCCAGCTACGTGGGAGGCTGAGGCAGGAGAATGGCATGAACCCCAGGGGGTGGAGCCTGCAGTGAGCCGAGATCGTGCCACTGCACTCCAGCCTGGGTGAAAGAGCGAGACTCCTTCTCAAAAAAAAAAAAAAAAAAAAAAAGTGTTTAATCTTTTTTCCAAAAGGAGCACACAGAACAGAGAGTACAGTACAAGTCCCTTAAGAATTTGTTTTTTCTCAGACTATTTTCTCACTTGTCATCAAGAATCAGCCTTTAGATTATTGGCAGCATTAGTCCTCTAGTACAGTCTGCTTGTGGGTGACCAGATGGAGTAATGCTGAGCACAGAGACTATGATGGCCGTGCTAAGGTAAGAGTATTGATAATGTAAGCATACTTCCTCTATCAACAATAATTGTTAACAGCTGCTTCAAGCACTTGATATTACCACTAGTTGTTAACTGAATCAAGCATGTGCTCCAAGTTCACATTAATGTGAATTGAACAGCATTGTGTACGTACGAGGAGCTTCATGCAAGTGTTATACACTGCACTCACAAGTATTATGATCTTACTAAGCATTAGAAATACTCTGTGTTAAAGAAGCTTGGTCTAGGCCAAGCGTGGTGGCTCATGCCTATAATCTCAGCACTTTGGGAGGCCAAGGCAGGCAGATCACATGAGGCCAGGAATTTGAGACCAGCCTGGCCAACATGGTGAAACCCCATCTCTACTAAAAATACAAATATTAGCCAGGTATGATGGCGCATGCCTATAATCCTAACTACTCAGGAGGCCGAAGCAGAAGAATCACTTGAACCTGGGAGGCGGAGGTTGCAGTGAGCCAAGATCATGCCACTGCACTCCAGCCTGGGTGACAGAGTGAGACTCTGTCTCAAAAAAAAAAAAAAGAAAGAAAAGAAAAAGAAACTTGGTCTAGTTATTTTCCTTCCTCTGGGGAAGTAACCATTTGGGTGGGAATAGTTTTGTTGTTGATCCCATCTTGCTGGTTTGGAAACAATGCACTGGCTCCACTTTTCCACTCATGGGCTTTAAGGCCCCCTTGAGTCCCAGTCTTTCTCCTGACACATGGCTGTCTCCTGACAGTCCCCTCTGCTTTACATTGTTCTCAGAGGGTCCTGGGCCATCGTTTGAGCTTCATTCTTTCAAATACACTTCCCTCTTTCTCTATCAAGCCAAGGCTCCCCTCCCCCAGAACTCTGCATAGGCCCTTCAGCCTCCATGAATCCCTTAGTGAGTGAGTAAACTACCACTGGATTCAGTCACTGCAAATGTACTTTATTTACCCCTTAGCACTCTTACTACATGTATGTGTTAGGGTTCTTCAAAGAAACAGAACCAATAGGATACATAGAGATATATAAGAGAAGATTTATAATGGGAATTGGCTCATGTGATTATGGAGGCTGAGAAGTTCTACCATATAACATCAGTAAACTGGAGAACCAAGAAAGCTGGTGGTATAATCAGTCTGACTCCAAAGGCCTGAGAACCAGGGGAGCCAACTGAAATTGAAGGTCTGAGAACCAAGAGCTCTGATATCCAAGAGCGGGAGAAGGTGGATGTCCCAGCTCAAGAAGAGAGAAAGAGAATTCACCCTTTCTCCATCTTTTTGTTCTATTCAGGTCCTCAGTGGACTGGATGATGCCTGCCCACATTGGAGAGGGCCATCTTCTTTATTAAGTGCATTGATTCAAATGCTAATCTCTTCTGGAAACACCCTCACCCCTCACAGACACATCCAAAATAATGTTTTACCAGCTATCTGGCCATCCTTAGCCCAGTCAAGTTGACATATATAATTAACCATCTCAGTGTACATGTGAATTATATATATAACTAGGTCTATACCTGAGATAATCTGAGATATTTGTAGCTGTATTAATTTGTGCTTATAATTTCATGTTATATTTCAATGTGCTCTCAGCGCTCTTCTGTGTATTTGCCCTAGTTCTCCTTTAGATTGTCATCTCTTTGAGAAAAAGAACCAGATGTTCTGTGTCATTTGCATATTTTACAATGTTTAATCTGATGACATGCACTCAGGGAACCACCATGAAAGACCAAAATAACAAAGCACTGCATGAACTTACAAGTTTCTACTTTCTTTAAATTAATTCAGAGAATTTTTTACGTCATATATACATACGTAAAATGATAATTTAAAGTTTACAGAATTAAGAGGATATTTAAATATAATAGGATTATAAATTTTCCTTCCCTAAAAGTGAGATTATAGTCAACAGGACTACAAACCTTTCAGTTTAGGGCTGGGCATGGTGGCTCACGCCTGTAATCCCAGCACTTTGGGAGGCCGAGGCGGGCAGATCACCTGAGGTCAGGAGTTTGAGACCAGCCTGACCAATATGGAGAAACCCCATCTCTACAAAAATACAAAATTAGCCAGGCATGGTGGCACATGCCTGTAATCCCAGCTACTCGGAAGGCTGAGGCAGGAGAATCACTTGAACCCAGGAGGTGGAGGTTGCAGTGAGCCAAGATCGTGCCATTGCACTCCAGCCTGGGCAACAAGAGCAAAACCCCGTCTTAAAAAAAAAAATCAGTTTAGAAATCATGAAATAAATTGAAGAATAATTATAGAAAGTTGTAAAAGGTCTAATCTTGTCCTCTAATTTAATCTAGAATCACACTTTCTTAAATTATTTTTAAGTTATTTTATTGCTTTCTAAATACAAATAACCAAATAACCCTAGTAGGAATACTCTTCCATTCTGCCAACAGTTTTTGAAGACCTAATACGTTTAGCCCCTGCAATCAGCGCTGGGTTTACAAAAGTAAAACACATGATTTTGACTTACTCCTACCGTACTATCAATAAATTAAGAAATGGGATTTTGGAATAAGAGATGAGATAGAGTAGAGGTGAAGTTTGGTTAGCCTTAAGAGATAAAGCATGAGGACATGGAGAAATTGGAATCCTTGTACACTGTTGTTGGGAATGTAAAATGGTACTGCTACTATGGAAAACAGTATGATGGCTCCTCAGAAATTAAAGATAGAAGAAAGCACCCTTGTGAACCAGCAATTTCTCTTCTGGGTGTATATTCAAAAAAACTAAAAGAAGGATTTCAAAGAGACATTTGCACATTCATATTCATAGCAGTACTAGTTACAATTGCCAAGAGGTGGAAGCAACCCAAGTATCTAGCAACAGATGAATGGATAAACAAAATGTGGTGTATACATATAATGGAATATTATTCAGCCTTAGAAAGGAAGGAAATTCTGACCCATGCTACAACATGGATGAACTTTGAGGGCATTATGCTAAGTAAAATAAGCCAGTCACAAAAAGACAAATAGTATATGATTCCATAATTTTATGGTTTTTTCACTCCTGTAGTTCAGCAAGTGGGAGGGAGTGGCACCCAGTGGCTTATTCTCTCCCATTGTTCGACAAGTGGGAGGGAGTGTTACAGCTGTATTACTCCTGCCGCTGACAGCTTGGCGAGCAGGAGTGCTACATCCCTTTCACTCCCACAGTTCAGTGAGTTCTGGGTTCTTGTCCCGTGACCAAGAAGAATAAGGTACACGGACATTGGAGAGTGAGTAAAGCAGAGTAGAATCTAATTGAGTGACAGAAAGAAAGTTCTCAGCATTGAGAGGGGACTTGAAATTGGGTAGCCATCTGTGATGCTGAGTCTGGGGTTTTTATGGGCTTAGAATAGGGGGGTGCATGCTGATTGGTCCATGGGAGGTCTTGGAAAAAGCACCATTTGATTGGTTAAAAGACATCATTCAGAAGGAACCAATTGAGAGAGAGTGGGTAAAATGGGGATAGATGTTCTCACTCTGGTTGTGGACTCTCTCCAGAATTGGCAGCTTGCTTCTCAGGCTTTAAACTGTCCTTGGTTTGAAGGTCAGGTTTCACTGGAGATCAATCCCTGTCTGCCTAGGAATTTATCTGTCTCCTGTAACTATAAACGTGAGGTGTCTAGAGTAGTCAAATTCATAGAAACAGAAAGTAGAACGGTAGTTTCCAGAAACTGAGAAGAGGGAGTAATGGGGAGTTGTTGATGGGCAGAGTTTGAGTTTTGCAAAATGAAAATATTCTGGAGATTGGTAGCATAACACTGTTAGTATACTTAACACTACTGAACTGTGTACTCAGAAATGGTTAAGATGGTAAATTTTCTGTTATGCACTTTTTAAAACCACTATACAGAATTTTAAAAGAGGGATAAAGAAAGCCAGGTCTATGTAAACTGGGCCTTGAAAAAGGACACTCTGGTTTTTGTTATGATCAAAAGATGATGAGTTCTCTTTAGATTGTTGACTTTAAGGTGCCTACCGAACAGTAATGTCCAGGATGTTCTAGATGTTACAGGACCGGGACTAGAGGTGTAGAGTTTGTCATCCACACATCTGAAATACTTAACCTTCGTGGAGTTGAATGAGCTCATCTATGGAGCAAAAGTAGAAACATAAAAAAGTGAAGGATAGAATCCCAGGTTCCAGCTTAAAAGTGGGCAGTTAGTAGATAAAAAGGCTCTGAAGAAGAGAAATAGCAGCCAGAGATTTAGAGGAAAATACTGTCCACAGATCAAATAGGGTAAATATAAAAAGGTACCTAGAGGATTTGGCTGGCAGGCCTTTGGTGACCTTGCCAAAGTGCCCATATACGAATGGTGGGATGGGGTCCTCCATTGCTCCCAATGGACTCCCCTCCTGTACACACGGGCTCTTAACCTGTGGTTCATGGACTCGGGAGAGGCTTCAGGGAATCTGTGCAAATATAGCAAAATCTAGGTAAAACGAGGAAATCTAGGCAAAATGTTGCATGTATGTGTTTTCTTCTGGGGAGAGTTTTTATGACTTTCATCAGATTTTTAGTAGGTTCCATGATCCGATAAATGTTCTATGTGCCGAAGCATATGGAGTGAAAATTCAATATTTCTGCTACCTTGATTTCACTTAAATTATGACTGTAATTCCTTTTTGTGGACCAAGTTTAAGGATTTAATTACAATTTGTAATATTTTTTCTTATGGGAAGATATTGTTGACAAAAAATAGCCAAACTCTGTAAAATATTTAGAAGTTTATTCTGAGCCAAATATGAGTGACTATGACCTGTGACAGAGCTTCCGGAGGTCCTGAAAACATGTACCCAGGGCAGTTGGGGTATAGCTTGGTTGTATACTTCTAGGGAGACAGAAGTTACAGGCAAAGACATAAAGCAATATATGTAAGGTAGATGTTCAGCCCAGCAAGGCAGGACATCTGGCAGGGATTGGGAGGTGGGGAAGTGGTTGGGGTCCCAGGTCATAGGTAGATTCAAAGATTGGCAATTGGTTGAAAGAGTTAAGCTTTGACTGAAGAGTTGAAGTCAGCATAAAGAAATGCTTGAGTTAAGATAAGGGCTATTGTGGAAGCCAAGGTTCTTATTATGTAGATGAAGCCCCTAAGTAACAAGCTACAGAGAGAATAGATGGTAAAATCTCTTATTGGACCTTAAAAAGTGTGAGACTCTTAGTTGAATCTCTCATGGATCAGGAAAAGACCTGGAAAGGGAAGGGGATTCTCTACAGAATGCAGATTTCCCCCACAAGTGATGACTTTGCAGGACCGTTCCAAAATATGTCAGAGAAATATATTTTGGGGCAAAATACTTTGACTTCCTTTATGGCCTGTTGTTTGTCATGGGATGCTATACTAGAGTCAGGTTGGAATTTGTTATCTTATTGCTACAAAGAGTCTGTTTTGTCAGCCTTATGATCTTTATTTTAATGGTAATGCTGGTCAGTTGTGCCTAAACTCCAAAGGGAGGAGGTATAACCAGGAATATCTGACCTTTCTTCCCATAATGGCCTGAACTAGTTTTTTCAGGTTTTTTTGGGGATCCCCTTGGCCTGGGGGTAGGTGGTTCTTCAGTCAGTTGGGGGGCTTAGAATTTTATTTTTGGTTTACAATATCATCCAAGTTTTTTTTTTTTTTTTTTTTTTTTGAGACAGACTCTTGCTCTGTTGCCCAGGTTGGAGTACAGTGGCATGATCTCGGCTCACCACAACCTCTGCCTCCTGGGTTCAAGTGATTCTCCTACCTCAGCCTCCCAAGTAGCGTGCCACCATGTCCGGCTAATTTTTGTATTTTTAGTAGAGATGGGGTTTCACTATGTTGGCCAGGCTGGTCTCAAACTCCTGACCTCATGATATGCCTGCCTTGGCCTCCCAAAGTGCTGGGATTACAGGCGTGAGCCACTGTGCCCAGCCACAATATCATCCAAGTTCTAAACTGACATGCAGGTGATCTCATGTTATATAGTATGTTTAAGTTGGAAAATTGTAACTTCTATGGTTTAAATTTCAATGGTTAGTCAACAGGTTAGAGGAGAACACACACTAGAAATCGGCCCAATAGTCAAAGAGAGATAGTCTTACTAATGTGAGTATCAGCCTGCGTGTGGCATTTTCAGCACCTGCCCTGTATCCCCTTACATTTTGGATGTTACAGGCAGAAAGCATTCTGCATATTCACGTGTGTTTATATAATCTCTGTATAGCTCACTTTCCTTATCTGTAAGCAAGTTAATAGTTGTCAGATATTATGTAATCTGAAAATGAACTTTACTTGTATAAACACTTTTAAATATTCTTAAAAGGTTTTTACATCTTTACCTTTCTTTCAGATTCCTAGCATTTTCCCCACATATGTGCAATGTGACTATGTATTGATCATTCTTGAATTAAATCATTCTGTTTGAATTAGATCATTCTTTCCTTCTGTTTGAATTAGATCATATCTTGTGAATTTTGCAAGTTCAATAGAAGAACAAATCTGAGTCTACAGAAATCCATCCTCACTTTTGGAAAAGCAGTTTGGAATATATATCTTATTGACGGTGGGGCAGGAGGGTAGCATTCATATCTTAAGAAATTAAGGCAATGAGTCATATTTTATAAACACTACCACTGATATTATGCCAAACAGAACTAAGGCCACATTTCAGCCTTGCATCTGAGAGTGATACTGCTGATCAAGAAGACTTGGATGTAGAAGATGACCATGAGGAACAGCCTTCAAATCAAACTGTCCGAAGACCTCAGGCTGTCATTGAAGATGCTGTGGCTACCTCAGGCGTGAGCACGCTCAGTTCTACTGTGTCTCATGATTCCCAGAGTGCTCACCGGTCACTGAATGTACAGCTTGGAAGGATGAAAATAGAAACCAATAGGTAAGTCCTACACTGACGTGGGTTGGTTTCTTTTCTTTTACTTTTACTAAAGAGCATGTGTTTTTGGTCTACAGAATATGATTCCCTTATCCCATTCATGGAAACTTGATTGAATGCCTTTCTTTATAAAACAAGAGAAGTTTAGTTTAGCCTCTTTTGTCAAATACCACTTTCTGCCTCTACCAGTTTAAGCCTTTTTCAGCGGCATTTGATTACTTCTTCATCTCCAGGTGCCCTAAGATTTTTCCAATAGCTTCGTTGTAGCCTCATAGACTGTCTAAGAAACAGGCTCAGAGCAGCATGTACCTTCCAGTAGATAGCTGAAAAGAACAGAAAGCTCATGTTTTTGAAAGCCCAGTCAAGTCTTTATAGGAGAGGAAGATCACTGAGGTCGAGGGAACAAAACTAATTAATGGTGCTAAAGATTTGTATTTTAGAACCTAAAAAGGAAGATAATTGACCACATTTATGATTCTATTTTATTTTTGATATGCTGTAACATATCTGGAGTATAATTTGCCTTTGATAATTTGCTAGCATAGAACCCACAGGATCAGATTATTAACAGCAAATGTTTCCTGTTCTTTGCAGATGTTGTTGGTACAGTTCAAGGTCTGAATTTTTATGATTTATAGCTTCCTGTGCTGCCTACAGTTGACATGTGGGAAACTGACTTTATGACTCTGGGTTTGCATTAAAAACTTTTTTTTAAGCGAATCAATAAAAGTTGTTCAAATATTTAGAAACCTTAATTGAAAATGCTAGTTATTCACCAGGGAGATTAAAAATATCTTATTTCCAGTCATAAAGTTTAGGTTTTTAAAGGCAAGCTTGTATACCAAAATGAGTACAAGTGGTAAAAGCTCATCCTATATTCAGAAACATGAAATTTGGTTGCATTGTTAAGTAAATCCATATAGACACATCTTCTATGATGTGCATAGAGCAGTCTTATTTTAATAAAGGGAGATTGCCTCTCTGACTTTCATATCCCAATTTTGTCCTCTGAAACCCAGCTCTTGCCATCTCTACTATTTAGTGGGAAAGAACTTGGGTCTTTTCTCTTCTGAGACTTCATGGAAATCTTGGTTTCCCTCATTCCTCCTCTTCTCAAGCAAGAGTCCAAGGATAACACCCCATCGTTATGGAAGGTGTCCATGTTAGTCACTTATCTCTAGGTTACTCTCTGTTGCCCAGTCCTGAGTGGTGGTGTTTTTTGGACTCCTGCTGTGATCTCTGGAGGAGGAAAGTTCACTCATTACTGTTTTGGTTGACCTCCTCCCACCCATGCCTTCTGGTTAGAATTACGCAGATAGTAAAACTACTTTGTTTACCAAAGAGCTGGTATATCTGCTTTTCTGGCCCTGAAACCTCCTGTCTACACACCTGGCTGTGTCAATAGGACCTGCCTCTCCTAATGCAGCCTAGACACAAGTCCTTTTCCTTCTCTCCTTGGCCTATTTGGTTAGCGTTGTGCTCGCCACCCTGGCGCCACTGTCTGTCTACCATGCTTGGGCCATCTGCAGTCCCTGAGGGCTTCCGGCCGCTTTCTTCACAGCTTCCCCTTTCTCTTCTGAGTGTCTCTTGGTTCTAGCTGAGGGCCTGCTTCTCACATCTGCCCATCTCTGTTGAAAAGACTAGTATTTACCCACATTTCTTTATTACATTAGTATGTCACAACAACCCACACATTTACGCTTTTTCCTCTGCATATTTACATTTGAGTCTGTGAAATCTACAGATAATCAGCCTCGTTTTTCCTTTTTCAGTAATATCTCCCACGGCTTTCCATCACCCACAGAAAAGTGAGATGAGGGACGATGTTTGCTTCATGCATGATTTGAAGAAAGGACAGCTGCTTTAGTACAAAAACCAAGTAATTGAAATAAGGGACCAGTCCTGTCCATATTGGTCCTTCTAATTTTCAGTTGAATATTACCTGAAATATAAAGGCATACCTACCGCAAAATGAATCTAGAGGAAATGTTAGTGTGTTTTCAGGAAAGGTTGTAGCTCTCATATTAAAAATTGTAAGCTTAGAATATTTAGGATGATCACTGATGAAGGGAAATCAGGTTTATCCTGCTTGGAGGATCACCTGAGCCCAAGAGGTTGAGGCTACAGTGAGCCATGATTGCACCATTGCACTCCAGCCTGGGTGACAGAGCAAGACCCTATCTCAAAAACAAAAACAAAAACCTGTCTCAAGAGGAGCTGCCTGTTTATTTAATTTCCCCATCCTACAGTTCTGGAATTACCCACCAATCCACCTCATCACCCCTGCCCATCCAAGGTTAAAAATTGACCTCATGGCAGATCCTGCCATACTTTTTTGGAACAGAAAGGCAGACAGTTGCCTTGATTTCAAAATATTGCCCTGCTAAATAAACACAAAATAAAAATAAAATTGATGTACTGGATTGTTCTTAAGATAAATACTTCTAAGAGCTGGATTCGGAGCAAATGAGGTGGGCTGTCAATACTCTGCTTCCAGTGTTGAAGTTCTGGTGTTTAAGGTGTTAAAAGAAAGCTTCAGACAAATTAAATTTAATGGAGTTTAATTGAAAAAGAAAAAAATAGTTTGTGAATCAGGTGGCCTCTAGAATCACAGCAGATTCAGAGAGATTCCAGGGATGCCTCGTGGCCAGAACAAATTTATAGAAAATAAAAGTAAAGTGACGTACAGAAATCAGAAGTGTGCAGAAAGAGCTGGATTTGTTATGGGTTGGCGTTCACCTTATTTGAACACTCAGCAGTGTATGAGTGGTTGAAGTATGGCTCCTGGGATTAGCCAAGACTCAGCTATTGTTATAGACGCATACTCCTAAGTTAGGTTTTCAATCTTGTCTACCTGTTAAGTTATAGTTTGTCCACGAGGACTCAAATATGCAAGTACGGAGTCCTTCTCAGGCCATATTTCATTCACTTTAACAAAAGATAAAAAGAAATTACATAGTCTAGACAAACATAGGTTAAACTCTAGAAAACATCACTGTGTTCCTTGAGAAAACAGTAAGAAGATACCATCACTGTCTTATACGTATAAATTAGCAAGTAGGACAAAAATACATACCAGATCAAAAAACTGCCAACTTAAACATTCACACAGAGCTTCCTGCCCATTTCTTTGGATAATATTTGTTTTGAAAGAGATAAGAAGCCTCCCTCCAAGACCCTGTGCTCCCTCTTCTAGCTTTCAGTTCATGCTGCTTCATCCACCTCATTGTGCACCACACTTACCCTGCAGCTGTCTTTGTTAACTTATTTTCCTCCACCCACCTTCTCTGTCTACCTCTTATTGTGTTTTACTTTTGTCCCACCTCTGCTACCTACTCTGCTGTGATCCCTTCTCTCTGAGGATCTCATCTTTATGTCCTGTGGGAATGGGGTCGAGCCTGGGGGTCTGGGAAGGTTTCCTTCCCACTGAGTCCTGGAAAGGCTCTTTTCCAGGGACTGAGGTAGCAAGGAACAGAACATCCCTTATTAAAGACCAGACACTGACTTGGCACTGTACCTATGCTGTCTCATTTAATGCTCACAATAATCTTTTCTGGAAGCTTTAGTTTTCTTTTTTACAAATGATTTGAAAACTGAAGCCTGGAGGCATTAGGTAATTTATCTAAGGTTAACACAGGAAGTGCAGGGTTGAACCAGGACACAAGCCCAGATCTGTCAGTTGCACGATGCTGCCTTCAGATTATGTCAAGTGAAGCAGAAACAAACTCTTGAGTTAAATCTATCAATACTCAGAAAATGAAACAAATAGAGTTTGTTAAGAGCTGTAGTTTATGCAACGATTTATCCTGATAATCTTAATAACGATATATTTTAAATTATTATTTCTGAATCCAACTTACATTAAGATACTTTTCTAAAAAATTAGAGCACCTCTTTTCATAACTTGGAATGTTTTCTTTGAGAAATTCTATTGGAAATGGTGAGTAGGTTACCAGTTGGCTCTCAGTTGCATAGTGAACCTTCTATGGGTAAGAACTTTGGTATGAATATCACAGTTTCTCCTTGTTTCTTTGGAGACTGCATCAGATGCCAACTAGGAACTGAATGTACCAGGAACACAGCTATCCTTTTACCCACTTCACCCCCGCCCCCTTAGAAGGAAGAGGAATAATAGTAACAATCACAATTGTAGCAACAACCGTGAACATTTACTGAGAATTTGTTATATGCCAGATATTCTAGGCGACCTCACCTATGACTGTTTCTCAAATTTTCATAGTTTACAAAAAGTGATTACTTTTCTGATTTGCATTGATTATGAAATTATGCACATTTGCCAACTTTTTTTAATG
This sequence comes from Homo sapiens, assembly GCF_000001405.40. Taxonomy (NCBI): domain Eukaryota; kingdom Metazoa; phylum Chordata; class Mammalia; order Primates; family Hominidae; genus Homo; species Homo sapiens. Next base: position 136,563,320 of record NC_000006.12, on the reverse strand, counting down.
GGGGTCCATACATGTAAAATATAGGCCTGTTAATATCTGTATCCCATATTTATATCTTTGACATTTATGGTCATAACAAGAAATATCAGGACACATCTCTGAAGATTTTGGCAGACAATCTGTGGTGGAGGTTTTGAATTCTTGTCGGCAAGCACAGTCTTCCAAAGCTTAGCTTCTGGACCTGAGGGTCTGTGAACCTGCAACATCAGTGTCATCTGGGAGCTCATTATAAATACAGTCTCAGAACTCACCCCCGGGGCACTGGACCAGTATCTGTATTTCAATAAAATTAGGGGTGTATGTGCTTATTATAGCTCATGTCTAGAAGGTCATCCTAGGCCTGGCACAGTGGCACATGCACACACCTATAATCCCAGAGCTTTGAGAGGCTGAGGTGGAAAGACCACTGGAGGCCAGGAGTTCAGAGACCAGCTTGGACAACATAGCAAGACTCTGTCTCTACAAAAAAAAAAAAAAAAAAAATTAGCCAGGCATGGTGGTGCATGTCTGTATTCCCAGCTGCTTGGAAAACTGAGATGGGAGGATCGCTTGAGTCCAAGAGTTTAAGGATGCAGTGAGCTATAATTGGGCCACTACACTCAGCCTAGGCAACAGAGAGAGACCTTGTATCTAAAAAAATAAAAATAAAAAAAAGAAGGTCACCCTGTGTCACCTCCTGTCAAACAATATATTTTTCTTCTGCAGATTACTGGAAGAATTGGTTCGGAAAGAGAAAGAATTACAAGCACTCCTTCATCGAGCTATTGAAGAAAAAGACCAAGAAATTAAACACCTGAAGCTTAAGTCCCAACCCATAGGTGAATAGCAGAAAGTTTTATAGTAATACTGTTCAGCCAGGCTGCCACAAAAAGCCAAGAAAGCCAACAGGAAGTTTTATTTGTGGCTAAGTCAGCATTTCTCACTTCTACCATGACTGCAAGCAGGAATTCCTTTAAAAAAAAAAAATCCAGTTTTTAACTGTAGCAAACTCATTTCTTATAAGTGCAGTAAAAATAGATTATTCATAATCATCTTTTCCTGAGATTATGTATTACTGAGGTAAACAGGGCTCTCTGTTTTTAGTCTTTATTTTTAAAGATTTCACAATGAGCTTACTAGAATAAATAATACTATTTTTTGTCATTTTGCATTTATATTCTGTGTATTCTAGCCTTTTTCCTTATAATTTGAAGAGGCTTAAATAGAATAAAGATGTAGTAGTAAAAAGGCATAGCTGGGGAGAATGTTATTTAGCCCATTTAGAGGAAAACAGAATTCATAGTTATTTGTTTAGATATGTGGCTCTTTCATAGTGGAAAAAGAGATTATGATAATTATATAGTTCTCTGCTAATTGTATTCATCTTTATTGCATGAAAAACACAAAGTCTAATTTTGGTGCACAGAGTTTATTCTAAGAAACCATAAAATTGATATGAAAGTGTAACGTAGGAGTGTCATTTCATTATTGCTTTTGCTCCTTATTTACTAGTAAATTCACTTCTCTGAGTTTTATTCATATTATCATCTATACTGCCAATCTCAATTGTTTCTATGAACTGTTCTCTGATAGAGCAAAATCTTTTAAAGTATCAATAAATGTCTGTTGATTGTGAGGGTCTCAGATGACCTCTGTTAGGTGAAATTAAGAATATCTTCCCAAAATTCTGTTCTAGAAATTCCTGAATTGCCTGTATTTCATCTAAATTCTTCTGGCACAAATACTGAAGATTCTGAACTTACCGACTGGCTGAGAGTGAATGGAGCTGATGAAGACACTATAAGCCGGGTAAAGAAAACTGTCTGTGGGACAAGTATTCTTTCACTTCGTTTCATAATGTTGGGTGCCTGCTATGTGACAGGCACAGGGGATACACTGGTGAGCAAATCAGACCCAGCCCTGCCCTCCTGAGGCTTACAGACCAGGGTAGGCACGTGATAATCAGCTAACTCCACAGATACAAATGTGATTCTACACTGGTAAATTCTATGAAGAAAAAGGTATCAGGTGTTTATTAGATAGGGCGAGAGAGGTTGGGGAAGGTTGTTGGAGAAGGGAATGAAAGAGCTGAAGGCTAACAGAATGTGAGGGTATAAATAGGCCAATTGTATGTATGTTCAGGAGGGGTGTGGGAGGGAGACCAGGGAAGAACCTTGTGCAGTGGGGCTGCAGTGTGTACAATCCAACGAGGCAGGCAAAAGCTCTGTGGTCCTGAGCCCCTTAGGAATTTTATGTATTTGAAATGAAAACCAGAAAGAGTGGGAAAAAAATAAAGACAGGACTAAAAGAAAAAATTTCTTGTTTCTAATTCTTTGTATGTTAATTTTTATTTTATTTTATTTTATTTTATTTTATTTTATTTTATTTTATATTTTTTTGGAGACAAGGTCTCGCTCTGTTACCCTGGCTGGAGGGCAGTGATCATAGCTCCCTGCAGCCTTGACCTGCTGGGCTCAAGTGATCCTCCCACCTTAGCCTCCTGAATAGTTGGGACTACAGACATGAACCATCATACCCAGCTAATTAAAAAAAAAATTTAGAGATAGGGTCTCGCTATGTTGCCCAGGCTGGTCTTAAACTCCTGGCCCCAAGCGATTCTCTCACCTCAGCCTCTCAGAGTACTGGGGCTACAGGCATGAACCACCACGCCAGGCCTGTTTGTTAAATTTTTAATTCTTTTTCAACATTATTAGATTCCACTGGGCAGCAGCTATTTTATTGCTACTTAATAAAATCAATCTGGTCGACTTATTTCAGAAATATTTTCTATACAAACCATATTTTACCTGTAATAATCTAATTCCTCTCTGCTCTGTATAGACTTTTTTTGATTTTGTTTTTTGAGACACAATCTCACTCTGTCGCCCAGGCTGCAATGCTGTGGTGCGATCTCAGCTCACTGCAATCTTTGCCTGCCAGGCTCGAGAGATTCCCTGCCTCAGCCTCTCAAGTAGCTGGGATTACAGGCATATGCCACTAAGCCTGGCTAATTTTTGTACTTTTAGTAGAAACAGGGTTTCACCATATTGGCCAGGGTGGTCTCGAACCCTGGCCTCAAGTGATCTGCCCACCTCAGCCTCCCAAAGTGCTGAGATTACAAGTGTGAGCCACTGCGCCCAGCCCCTATAGACTTTTGTAATGAGCGTGAATAGCATTTGTTTATGTTCATTATATGAACACACAGGCATACATTAAAACATTGTAATATTTGATAGAAAGACCCTCTTAATACAATATTGTTTTGTTTTATATTTAAATTTTAAAAATAAATAAGAATAAAGATATCTCTTCTTTTGACTTGATAATTTATTAACTAAGTAGAATTTCGGGCCGCCTTAGAAATCTACATTTAACAAGTTACAGCTGAATAAATTTAAACAACTCCAGAATATACATTCCTCTAACTTAGGCTCAAATCCTAATTAAGGAATAGTAATTGATAATCTACTAAATAATCACCCTTTTTATTTGGTTTAAAAGTAAAAGCTTGAGGCCAGGTGCAGTGGCTCCTGCCTGTAATCCCAATACTTTGGGAAGCATAGGCAGATTGCTTGAGGCCACGTGTTGGAGATTAGGCTGGTCAATATAGTGAGACTGTCTCTATATATAAAAAAATAAATAAAATTTAAAAATATAAAGGTGCAGTTTAAATTAAGACTCTGCTTTTATGGTGAATTACAGTCAAGTGCCTTTGCTTAACCATGAAAAAATAAGTTCAGAAATTAAGCATAGGCAGTACCTTTCCAGGAACACTTTTTATCCACTTGAGGAAAAACAAAGCTATGTAGCATTGAACTTCTAAATACAAGATTTGCTTTTGAACAGCAGAGTGATTACAAGTGAGTCTCATCTGTTCATTAGAAGACCATTCAGAAGTTCTGTGTCACTTGTAATCTTTTTGCATTTGGAAGTTAATATGGATGCATTTCTTGTTTTTGTTTTTGTTTTTGTTTTTGTTTTTGTTTTTTTGAGACGGAGTCTCACTCTGTCGCCCAGGCTGGAGTGCAGTGGGTCAATCTCAGCTCACTGCAACCTCTGCCTCCCGGGTTCAAGCGATTCTCCTGCCTCAGCCTCCCAAGTAGCTGGGATTACAGGCATACGCCACCACGCCCAGCTAATTTTTTGTATTTTTAGTAGAGATGGGGTTTCACCACTTTGGCCAGGCTGGTCTCGAACTCCTGACCTCAGATGATCCGCCTGCCTCAGCCTCCTAAAGTGCTAGGGTTACAGGCGTGAGCCACTGCGCCCGGCCTGGATGCATTTCTTTGTATTTATTGAGTAACAGGGAGGCCTTTCCCCTAATAATCCTGGAAGATTGTGTTTTTAGTAGATTTCATTTTTAGATTCATTTTTAATTATAGTCAAGGTTTACATTATGAATAGAGTTTGTGCTTTATTAAAGTTATATAAAACATCTTTTGTGCATATTCTACTTTCTCTACAGTTTTTGGCTGAAGATTATACACTATTGGATGTTCTCTACTATGTTACACGTGATGACTTAAAATGCTTGAGACTAAGGTACCACTTTTCTTTCTGTTGTCACTATGGAAAGAGCACCAGGCAAATATCAAAAAGTCTGAGTATCTTCCCAGGCTGGGTCTCTAATTAGCTTTGTAGTTCTGGACAGAGCTCTCTAGCTCTTAGCTGCTCTGAGTAAACTGAGTTAGTTGGACAATGATATTTTTGAGGGCTCTAATAACCAATATTTCTATATTAGTAAGTGAAAATCAACTGGAAGAATTTTTTTGAATAAGATGCAGACTAAGTCCATGCAGATATTCTGAAGCTGCCTTAAACAAATGCTTTAATTGAGTTCATGATGGTGTTATACTCAATAAATATTTGGAGGAGGTGCTGACTTGCCCTCCAAAAACCTGGTATAATCTGATATAATTTCTTGTTAATTAAGGCCAAGCATATAACTTTTTTTTTTTTTTTCGGGATGGAGTCTCACTCTGTCACCCAGGCTGGAGTGCAGTGGCGTGATCTCAGCTCACTGCAAGCTCCGCCTCCCAGGTTCACGCCGTTCTCCTGCCTCAGCCTCCCAAGTAGCTGGGACTATAGGCGCCCACCACCACGCCCAGCTAATTTTTTTGTATTTTTAGTAGAGACGGGGTTTCACTGTGTTAGCCAGGATGGTCTCGATCTCCTGACCACGTGATCTGCCTGCCTCGGCCTTCTAAAGTGCTGGGATTACAGGCATGCGCCACCGCGCCCAGCCCAAGCATAAAACTATTATACCCACCATTATAAAGACAAATTTCAAAAATGCTGAAACTCTAAAATGATGTTTTGGGACATAGCAGTTTGTGGGAGTGAAAAGGGAAGGAATGGAGGGAAGATGAGAAAAAATATACAAAAAGAATACATAATAACTGATCAGACTTTGGGATCTTCTTCTGACCAGAGCAGATGAAAGCTAAGAAGTCACTTTTCTATTTCAAGGGCAATGTTTCAAATGAAATGTTCGTTTCACCATGTTCTTGTGTCTTTAAACAGGGGAGGGATGCTGTGCACACTGTGGAAGGCTATCATTGACTTTCGAAACAAACAGACTTGACTGTTGCTCAATCTAATCTTCGATGGAAATTCTAAAAATTAATACAGAGCTGATCTTCTTGGGGGTGGGAAAATCGAAGGGAGAGGAGAAAGGCGCTGCACTTTAAATCCAGTATTTGTTTACTCATGTTAAAAAAAAAAAAAACAGACAAAACACACTGAAATTTCCTAACTACATCTATTTCTATAATTTTTAAGGACTCTTCATAAGGACTCTTAAAATAATCCTGAACATTAGAACCCTAATGTTCAGGAAGATTTTAATCTAAGCATTTTTATGGAAATATTTTTAATGCAGCAGCTATTGCACTTCAGCCAAATGTTTATTTCACACAAAACGGATGTAACATTTCATGTGATCGTGCACCACTGGAACAAAACCAAAATGTGACCATAACTGTTTAGGCTTCTGTGTGTTTGTAATATGCTCTAATAATCTGAGTAGAAATGCGTAATTTCAATTACTGTATAAAGTTTATGTTTTTTTAAGTGTGCAGAATCTGAGAGCAATGGTTTTTACTTCTCTGTGTTAATTGTAATATTGACTCTATTTTGTAACTTAAGTTTCTGACCTGTCGTACATTTGTTTGAGTCGTTTATGTACTACTGAACTGTACCAGTTGCACATGCTTGAACTGTAGTAATGTTAGCTTGTTCTAAAGCTATCCATTGTGTCATATTTACTCTAAAAATTAAAGAGACTCTCAACATACTGTTTTGATAAATTCTAAAGAATTTTTATTTTGTGTTGACAAACTAGATAATCTGCTGTGTTAAATTTCCAGTCATTTCTCCAGCTGTAACATTAAGTAAAATCTGTCTTCTATTCAAGCAGTCAGACAACTGACATTCAGGTTGTTCCTCAGAGGAACAGAGGTTTAAGAAAGAGGGTAAGCCTGGGCAACAAAGTGAGACCCCACCTCTACAAAAACTCAAAAATTCAGCTAGGCATGGTGGTGTACACCTGTGGTCCTAGCTACATGGGAGGCTGAGGCAAGAGGATCGCTTGAGCCCGGGAGGTCGAGATTGCGGTGAGCCATGATTGTGCCATTGCACTCCAGCTTGGGCAACAGAGTAAGACCCTGTCTCACCAAAAAAAAAGAAAAAAAAAAAAAGAGGATGAAGAAAAAAAAGAATAAAGGAAAGTCAGTATATTTTTCTCAAGGCCCCAAGTTATCTTGGATAACTATGGTATATCTTAAGGGGTCTGCAAAGACCATCTTAATGGAGAATACTGCTTGCTTTTTTTTTTTTTTTTTTTGAACAGAGTCTTGCTCTGTTGCTCAGGCTGGAGTGCAGTGGCGTGATCTCAGCTTACTGCATTCTCCACCTCCCGGGTTCAAGTGATTCTCACACCTCAGCCTCCTGAGTAGCTGGGATTATAGGTGTGTACCACCACACCCAGCTAATTTATATTTGTAGTAGAGATGGGGTTTCGCCATGTTGGGCAGGCTGGTCTCGAACTCCTGCCCTCAAGTGATCCGTCCTCCTTAGCCTCCTAAAGTGCTGGGATCACAGGGGTGAGCTACTATGCCTGGCCAAGAATACTGTATTTTTCTGTCTCCTTAATTTTCTTATATTTGGATAAACATTTTTATTTATTTTAAGCTGAGTAGTATATTTTTATGAGCCTGCCCATATTGATCAAAGGAAGTCTGATGCTCCTAGATGGATAAATGAAATACATTTTCTTAAATACAGAGGAACCTGTTTATTAGGCAGGATAAAAATAACATAGAGCTGTTTGTATATCATGATTTCACTCATAAACAACAGTCTTTGACAAAGCAGAAGACATCTTTATTTTGAAAACATTCTCACTAATGTTTTCTGATTGATTGATCGAGACAGGTTCTCACTCTGTTGCCTAGACTGGAATGCAGTGGTACGATCACAGCTCATTGCAGCCTTGTCCCCTTAGGCTCAAGCAATCCTGTCATGTCAGCCTACAGAGTAGCTGGGACTACAGAGGCACACCACCACAACCAGCTAATTTTTAAATTTTTAGTAGAGGTGGGATCTCACTGTGTTATCTAGGCTGGTCTTGAACTCCTGGCCTCAAGTGATCCTCCTGCCTTGGCCTTCCAAAGTGCTGGGCTTATAGGTGTGAACCACTGCTTCTGGCCTCTTTTTTAACATCCTAATTTGGAGGACAGAGTTGCCTCTGGTATCCTGTGTGGATATTCTGAAATAAGTGAGGTATAAATTCAATGATATGCCATTTGGCTCATACTGAAACACAGAGTAAGCCGTTTATTAAGCCACAGTTCATCTTCTCAATTCTAATGGTGAAGTGCTTCTTTTGACTGTATATAGGATCCAGCTACCCACCATAAACCAAATCTTCAAGGATACAATCTTTCCTTGGTACCTTCCTCTTACCCTGTCTTTGTGAGCAGATGATCCTCTGTCCCTACAGGGTTCTAACACACTCCCAGGCCAACATCATTAGCCATTTGTGAGAATTTTGGGTCTCAGGCACAAAAGAAGACAGTTCCATTATGGAAGACTCCATTATGGAAAGGTTTGCATTTGAAACGCTTTTAGGATCAATCTAGGCCAGTGATTCTCAACTCAGCTTCGCATTAAAATGACTTGGATGCTTTTTCAAAAATATTGATGCCACCACCTTGGGACAACTGAGTTGTTGTTGTTATTTGTTTTTTCTTGGGACAGAGTCTCTGTCACCCAGGCTAGAATGCAGTGGCACTGTCATAGCTCACTGCATTCTTGACCTCCTGGGCTCAAGTAGTCCTCCCACCTCAGCATCCCAAGTAGCTGGGACTACAGGCATGCACCACCATGTCTGGCTAATTTTTAAATTTTTTGTAGAGACAAGGTCTTACTATGTTCAGCTCACTCTGGTCTCGAACTTTTAGGCTCAAGTGATCATCCTGCCTCAACCTCCCAAAGTGTTGGGATTACAGGCATGAGCCACTGTGTCCAGCCGGAAAACTGTTTTTACTGGTCTGGGGTTGGGCCCAGATACCCTTTTTAAAAATTAGTTTCACAGGTGTTTTAACATGATCAAGCTTCACCTCCTTATTTCAGGTAACAGCTAGAGAGGGAAATGGAGAGCCCCTTTCTATAGAGGGAATAGCAAGATGGTTAACGTTCATCATTTGTTTAGCGTAGCAGGAGGCTACACACCCAGGCCTGAAGCAAAACTGTAACTTGACTTGTGACCTGGAACAACTGAATTAGTTTCTCCAAGTCTCAGCTTCCTCATCTGTGAAATGGAGGAAATGATGTACCTTCCACATAGGTCTGCTATAAGATGTAAATAAGAAAATGGAGGCTGGGCGCAGTGGCTTGTGCCTGTAATCCCAGCACTTTGGGAGGCCGAGGTGGGTGAATCACTTGAGGCCAGGAGTTCAAGATCAGCCTGGCCTACACAGCAAAACCCTGTCTCTACTAAAATTACAAAAACTAGCCAGGCGTGGTGGCGCACGCCTATAATCCCATCTACTCGGGCGGCTGAGGTACGAGAATTGCTTGAACCCAGGAGGTGAATGTTGCAGTGAGCCGAGATCACGCCATTGCAATCCAGCCTGGGCGACAGAGCAAGACTCTGTCTCAAAAAGGAAAAGACAATGCAGGAGAGGTGCTCAGCACAATGCTTAGCATACAGTAAACACTGAGATATGCTTGCTATTGCCATCACTTATCCTTCATTCAAAAGTATTTATTAAATACTGGGTACTACATATTGTGGTGCACCAACAAGATACAGTTCTTTCCCCTGAAGTTTCTTGTCAAGGAATCAAGACAAAGCAGAAACAACAGTGGTGCAGTCAGTGCTATAGTTACATTTACTGTCAGAAGGGGTCAAGGAAAGCTTTCCAGAGGAGTGAAGGTGCAGAGCTGAGCCTGGAAAGATGGTTTGAAACAGAACAGTTAATGCAGGGGTGGTGGCAGTGTTATAAAAGAAACAAAACAGGAATTTGCTGGGAGAAGTAGATCTAATGTTTCCTTTTAACTGCATTTTGATCTCTTTCTTCTGTCATTGGATACTTGGTTTCGTTCATCCCTAGGCCACCACATAAAAAAGCTTGGCATTGAGGAATTATTAACCCATTTGAATGCCCACTGTGTGTGAGGCACGGTAGCAACACAAAAGATATATACCATGCCTACCAAGTTCAGAATGCAGGCAGTGCACATGATGTCATCAAGAACATCTGCAACTCGTGAACAAATAAAATAACTGATAGTTCTAGACTTTATGGACACCCTGTAGAGAAGTAGAGGACAAAGACCCTACTACCAAAAATGTGCATCAGATTGAGAAGGCAAATTTGCAATAACTCATGCCTAGTCTATTTTAACAGCTGGACAAGTATCAAGCCCAGCAAGCCCTGGCCAGGTCCAAAGGACAGGCATGCTGGGAGCCAGGGCAGGAAGAACAGGCTTCATGGAGGAAGTAGACCTTAACCTGGGCCTCAAAGGGAAAGTATTATTAAATACGTCAGGATGAAGGACATCACTTCGGGCAGAGCAGCTTCAAGCACAAAGACTAGAAAGCAGGGATTTGGAAGGTGTTCTGGAGAATGAACAACTCCATGGGCTAGAAATATGAGTTACAGAGGTGAAAAGTGGAAATGGGTAGTAGAGAGCTCAGGGCCCAATTAGGGGGTGGTGGTGGTGATGGTGAGGAGGTGAAGTTAATATTTACTTATATAGGAACGGGGAATCTATTAAAGGTTTTTGAGCAAGGGAGAGGTATGTGTAAAGTGATTGTATATTGCAAGATTAATGTGGTTTGGAACATATTAAATTAACAGCAGGGTATCTTGATAGAATTGTGCAGGGACCATTCAGAATGTATTAGTGGAAGTCAGGAGTGAGGTTAAGGGTATATATTCTGGAGTTGGGAGTCACCAGGATCCGGGATGGAAGTAATAGTAAATGAGGGCTGTGAGAGACAGTAAAGATAAAAAGCCTGTGGTTTACAATTAGGGGATGGTAAAAATATTGGAGGATTAGAAGGGAGGAAGAATCTGAGTCAACAAAGACGAAAGGACTGCTACAGAGGAAGGAGAAAAACCAAGCCAATGGTAGACCAAGAGCAAGGTGATTAGAGGATCAAGTGCTGCAGAAACTCTAGGGGAATGATGGATTTAAAAATAAGTAATTTGATTTGTATACATAAGCAAGAAAAACTATTAATATATAGCTTTTTTTGAAAAATAACGGCACCAAAATCCACATTTATTTTTATTACCTTTGGTGAACAAAACATACGACAATAGATTCTGGAGGGTGGGACGTTAAAGGAAGACATTTTAAGAATCAAAGAGTCTTAGCTGTGTTTATTGGGGTAGAGCCCTTGGGTGCAGAAACATTTAGGGATTCGGGAGAAAAAAGGGATGATGTTTGAAGGAGGCAGGAGGGAAGTGGACGGTGTCAGGAGGTTCAGCTCCTCCCCTGGAATGGGGAACCCTGAAGATTTGAAATGGATGTGGGAGCTCCAGACAGATGGCTTCCATGTTCCAAGTAAAGTACAACTTGAAGTACGACGTGATGGTGTTTGACATTTAACAGATGTCATCTGTTCTCTGCAGAGTCACTCAGCAGCCTCCCCTGTTGCAGACACCTCCTTAGGTTTGGAACACACTGTCTATACAGGGCCTAAGTGCAGGATTTTGGTGTGTTCCTTATTTCATTTATTTTTGTTTAACTTGTGGCAGATAAATACAGGTTATCAAAAGAATGGGACAATGAGTAAGCACACACCAAACTAAACAAAACAAAACAAATAGAAACATCACAAGTCTTGAATTTTTTTTTTTTTTTTTTTTTTTTTTTTTTTTTTTTTGGTCAAAGAAAGAACTCATTGGTTGATTTAAGTCGGTGGTAAATCAGAAAGTTGAAAATAAATCACCCTCCTTCTCCAGGGTTCTTCCGGATAGTTCAACTCTAAATTCAGCTGAGAGTATTTCTGATGCTCAAAGAAAAGTGTCTTAAACTCTGATGTTTTAATGTAGTTAAAAAAAACACAAAAAATCTTTGCTGAGGCCCAAGCTGAGGTCAAAAACTACCTCTAGCCATCTGGTGCTTTATTTTTATTGATTAGAAGTCTCTGATAAGACTGATTTGAATGTGATTTAGGAATATCACATTCTAAATGGTCAGTTTGCCTATTCCATTATAGAAATGACACTACGGGAAAATTCATCATCACAGACCACAGCAGAAGTGTTCTTTAGTTAAAGCTCTACCTAGTCATCCAGAAAGCCAGTAAGTAAACCAAATAAAAATAGTTCACTGGGCTCAGAGTGGCAAGTTTTGCATGCAAAGATCGTGAAAATTGTAACCCTAACAATAAATCCAATACTGTTCTCGACTCTCTTGTGTGTCCAGTGCTGCTGCAGTCCTTGGAAGGCTTTTAAACTGTTCAGAGCTTGCTGGTTATCTTCAGCCAAGCCAGAGAGTGGGAGTGCAGTGCATTTTAGTGTAACCATGCGGAACTGGTCGCTCCTTGATTTTGTGCCGTATGTTTCCATTTGTGTAGGCTTTTTCCCCCCTCAGTATTTTGTTGCTTATCCTTTAGAGCGAAATTGGTTTTTCCTCGGCCAATAATCTGTTTCTTTAAAAAAAGAAAAATTCGTTACCTATTGCCTTTTTTTCTGGTCTTCCTGAGCAAGCCAGAAGTCACAAGGTCGTTTACTAAACGGAAACTAAGAAAAAGAAAAGCCACATCAGCCGGCACAAGCCTCTCTAACTTGTGTGCCCTGAGGCTCATCAGATGCGAAGTCCTGGCGACAAGATAGGGTCGCCCGCAGTGGCTTCCTAAAGCGCAGATCCAGGCCGGCTCCCAGCGTGGAATCCGACCCATGTACTTCGCCTCTCCACGTGGCATCAGATGCTCTGCCGGCTGTCACCGTGAACTCCAGCCCTCGCGGAGCCGACACTGACCTGGCTACTTCAGAGTTCGGAGGGAAATAGCGTCTCCGTACCCTCGCCCCACCTGGGCTGCTCCTCGGACCGCCGCTCGTCCCAGACTCCAGGAGGCGCCACCAGGCCTCGCTGACCCCGCTCCATATCTCCGGGAGCCCTCAGCTGGTCGGCCGCGGCGACCGGAAGCTCCGGACTGAGGTACTGGTTCCGCCCGCCGCTCTTCCAGCCGAGACTCGGCAGCGGCGGTCGGAGCGGCTGCCACGCCGCACCTGCCCGCGAGGGGGCGCGCCAGGCCCAGGCCGCAGCCGACTGCCGCGCTCTCTGTCCCCGCCCTCCGCCATCCCCGGACTGCGCTCACCTGTCTGGGCCGCTGGCCTGGGAGGCGGGGGCCGGCGGGAGCCAAGCCGAGGAAAGGGCGGAGCGGCTCTCCGGGCGCGTCATCGGAGCACCATGGCGGAGCTAGGAGCTGGCGGCGACGGCCACAGGGGCGGCGACGGCGCAGTGCGAAGCGAAACAGGTGACCGCACAGCGGGGATAGTGGGGGTCCCGTCGGGCAGGGGACGGCGAGCGGGGCCGGCGGGCTGGCACCGAAATCACCCGGCGCCGGCAGCCCCCTCCCCGCCCGCGCGGCCGCGGCCCGGAACAACCGGCCCTGCGCGCCGCGCACCCTGCTCCGAGAGCGCCTTCCCCCGCCCTTCGCCGCCGCGGCTCGGCCAGCCCGGCTCGGCCCCGGCCGGGGTTGCGGCCGCCCTCGGGCGCTCCACCGCGACTTTCCCGCAACAGGTGGAGGCGAGCCGGGGGAGGAAACGGAGAGACCCCGGCCGCTGCCCTCCCCGCCGCGGCCTCGGGTCTAATTCAGTTGAATGGGAAATCGTATCCCCCAGACCAAACCAGTGGCCAGAGAGTCGTCGGCCAGGTGCGACTGGCAGGACGAGCAGTTTCTGGGCACCTCCTCCCGCCTTCCCTGGTCGCCCCGGGTGCCGGGGGCTCCTCAGCGGGGTCGGTGTGGGGCAGGACCGCGGGGTGAGCGGCCCGCCCCCCAATCTGGTGCCCGCAGTGGCGACGACCGTCGTCCGAGGGGACCGAGCTCGGGAGGGCCGGGGCCCAGTGCAGCACGGTGGGGGTTTGCGAGTGCGGGCTTGACGGGATCAGACTTTCGTTGACTTGTCGGAGTTCTCAGAGTTTTTTGTTTTTAGTCTGTGCAGGAGCCCAAAGGAGGATTGTTGGCTCTGCAGCCCGGGATTTGGTGGTCAGGCCTCTGTGTTGAGGATACCCCTCCCCCACAACCTCCAGGGGCACACTTAGGGACAGGGGATCACGTCCCCAAGACCAGCAGCAAGGCTTCCCAAGACCAGCAGCAAGGCTTCCCAACCCCGCCCATCTCTCCATAGTATGAAGCCGATTTTTCTCCCTCGTGATTTTTTTTTCTCCAGAGGCTATCTTGCAAATCCGTCCCTCTCCACTGGTTCCCTCTTCTATTCTTGGCCAGTAAGCTGTTTCTATATCTTCCTACACTTGGGGATGGGGGCAGTGAGGCAGTTTCTTACTTTAAAAAGAAATTCAATTCTTAGACTCTCCAATTGCAAGCTGTTTTCCACTTCCATACGGTCACAATCGGAAGCATTTGTTTCCTAAATGTAAGAATCACTGTCTCCCCACCATCAAGTATGCTTATTTTAACGTGAAAGGTCCAGAGAGCTCTGAAACAGTATTTGCAAATTATGTATCTGCTATTGCTAGGAAGAGGTTGGGTACGTAAAGTCTAATGATTTAATCCCTTCAGCCAAGATACCTGAGGTTAAGACTGACAAAGTATCTTGAACTTGTTTAAGTCATGCTCCTTCCTGTAGGGAGTTTGTCTTAATGTGTTCGCAAGATTGGTAGATCATTATTTTGTTTTGGGGTGGAGAAGAGATGCCTTTGTAATTGCTTTCGGGAATTTGATGAGCTAGACGCTGGGACGGGGCTCCCCCAAGTGAGGGCCCCGGGAGAGGAGCATCCTCATTTGTAAATATACGGCATGATTTTCGTTCCTAACCCTGACCCAGTAACTGCATGTGAAACAACATTGTTCTAGCGAGCTAAGTGTTAGTTTGTGCTCAAAAATAAACTTTCTAGAATCTGCACGTGAACAACTTGTTCAGACATAAGTGAACTGACTACAAACTGTAGGATATTCAGTGCCTGAGCATGTTAAGGAATAGGCCGTGCTTCCAACAATTAATATACAAATCAACCATGTGCCTGTCAGTGTAATATTTTCTTTTATTAAAAAGGGAGTTAAATTGGCTGTTATCTCCTTCATAGAAAACATTTCTTCCACACTTTTGCCTAAAAACTTCATTTTCCAAAGGACATTTTTTATATATGGTCTTGAATAATTATACTTTATAATTTCACTGAAAACTTAATTCTGGCCCCGCATCTCTTTCCTATTTTTCTACCCCAAGATTACTATTAATGTTTTTAGTGTTCAGAAGCATTTGTGTCAGCAGGTGCCAAAGAAAGAAGGAAGGTGTAAATGTATTTTTTTGAATCTAGGTGGTAGTTATTTTGAGAGAACAAGTGAGATTGTTTGAATTTCAACAACTTAAGTTATTCCATATATTTAAAACACATGACCTATATCTGAATATGAGACTTTAATTTAGCACTTCATTCTGGTGAACATATTTCACATTATACACATCCAAATACTGCAAGTCTCATTTTTTTAAACAATCAGAAGTTTGTATGGAATTGTTGGGGGGGTGGGGGGGGGTGGTGGTGGTGGGTGGCCGTGGACAGAGAAACTATTACCATCAAGAGTTGAAAATTGCCACCTTAAATGGCAACATTTCTTGAGGGATTAATTTTATTTCTTTTTAGAACTCATTATTATGAGGTAGAGTCCACTCTTAAATAACTCTTAGTTTTTGGGTCTCTATACAAAGACTGGTCTAATTTTAGGGCACTTTAGATGAGAATATCAGGTTATTATAAAAATGATACCTGTAATGTGTTCAGAATTATATGTGTGAGTGTGTGTGTGTGTATATGTGTATCAAAGATGAATTGACAGTGGTGGCGTGTGGCCTATGAAATGAGACCGTTCTTAAGCATATTGAAAGCTATTATATAAACCCAACATTTAAAAACCCTATTTCTGTGGGTATATATTCTCAAAGTTAGTCAAATCACATTCTTTGTGGCGAAAACATTTATTTTTCTTGAGGATGAAAAGTTCTTCCAATATAATATTTTTCTTGCCAACAGCCAAAGTTAAGAGCTGGGAAAAAAAAAATTGCCTTGGAAACAAGTTTAAGACATCACCACTAGAGGATGTCAAGTCCTTTTTCAGCCTTTTTTGAGTAGTCGACCTACGATGGGTGATATTCACAAAACTGCCTCTACCCAAGCTTTGTATATTTAATTTTATGTTCATGTTCAAGAGCTGTGGAAAGCGAGTGTACAGCACTAATTTCCTAGTCTGATAGCCTGTTTTAAAAACCTCCTGAACTAAAAGCAAATTTAAAGCTGCTTTTGATTAATTCATGAAGCTTTCATGCACGAAGGAATAAGTTAATGCCAATAACCTGTCAATTCTGTTGATATTTTGGGAAGTGGGTCATGACTTAGAATCTGGAATTGGGCTTTTTGTCCATTTTAGCAACCTGTGTGGTGAACATGGCCTCTTTCGTGACCATCCTTTCATGAACTTTTCCAAATCAAAAAGTGATCTTGTAGGTGTCACTTAACTCTAAGGGTCCACATTAAATATCTGCAATTAAATAAGGGCTCAGACGTCAATTTGGTATTAAGCTTGTCCCCTTTGAAAGAGATGCTTCATTCACATAGCTAGATAGCTTTTCTCCCATCCTATATGGCTGTTACCTTTACATCTTGCTAAGTAGGAGGAAACGTTATTATTAGACTAGGCAATTGTGCTCAGGAGCATGCATTTATGTAATATTGATAGGCTTGTGTGAAATATTTTTACACAGTTTATTTACACTGGCATTTTCTCTAAAAAAATTCTAACATCTTTGCCTCCCAATGCATGAGAAACAATCATTTGGAAGAGTTATTTTTAAAAACTCGGGCCTCGTATTGATGTAAGAATTGAAAATATTGAGGCTTAGAATAAGAAATGTGTACCTTCTGTGTATTCAGCATTATGGTGGTTAGAAGGCTGTTGAACAAATGATCCTTGAATTTAGCAAGGAAGACAAAATTCACCAACAAACAGTTGCAGGTTATGAGGAGTTCAGTGAAGGAGGAATCACTTCCGGCTGTGGTCAGCAGGAAGAACATACTGGATACAGCACTGAAGTTAAATTTTAAAAAGTGGTGGAACTGGAGATCATTATGTTAAGTGAAATAAGCCAGGCACAGAAAGACAAACATTGCATCTTCTCACTCATTTGTAGGATCTAAAAATCAAAACAATTGAACTCATGGACAGAGAGAGTAGAAGCATGGTTACCAGAGGCTGAGAAGAGTAGTGGGGGTAGGGGGTGGGAGGTGGCAGGGAGGTGGGGATGGTTAATGGTTTGAAAAAAAAAAAGGCCAGAGGCAGTAGCTCACGCCTGTAATCTCACCACTTTGGGAGGCTGAAGCAGGCAGATCACATGAGGCCAGGAGTTTGAGACTAGCCTGGGTTACGTGGTAAAACCCCATCTCTACTAAAAATAAAAAAATTAGCCTGGTGTGGTGGCGCACGCTTATAGTTCCAGCTCTTTGGGAGGCTGAGGCAGAAGAATCACTTGAACCCAGGAGGTTGAGGTTGCAGTGAGCCAAGATTGCACCACTGCACTCCAGCCTGGGTGACAGAGCGAGACCATGTCTCAAAAAACAAAAAGTTAGAAAGAATAAGAATAGTAACAAATACTATTTGATAGCACAGCAGATTGATTATAGTCAATAACTTAATTGTACTTTTAAAAATATCTAAGAGTGTAATTGGATTGTTTGTAACACAAAGGATAAATGCTTGAGGGGATGGATACCCCATTCTCCATGATGTAATTATTTCACATTGCATGCCTGTATCAAAACATTTCATGTACCATATAAATATATATACCTACTATTTACCCACAAAAATAAAAAAAAATTAAATTTGTTTTAATTTAAAAAATAAAAAAATAAACTTTTAAAAATGGGTAAGTGGGATATAAAATTAGATGGAGGAAAGGGAGAAAAAGATGCAGGTGTGAAAAAGAGCAAAGTTTTGGTCATATTGACACATGTGTAAAGCTCAAAGAAAGTCCTAGGTCAGTTAGGAATGATTGTTCATCGAAGTCAAATTGTGGAAGGGCTGAAGGCCAAACTGAGAGGCTAGTACATTTTTCTGGGGTAGGGTAGTGGGGGAAGTGTTGAGGATTCTTGAGAATAAAGGATATTGATTAAAGCAGGAATAATCAGGTAGTTCTGTGCCCATGAATCTTGAAATATTGATTGCAAGTTCTAACAAGAGCTCAGCTGTGCCTTTAGCTAATGAAAGCAAAGTTCCTCCCTCTGGGAAAGTCATTCTCTTCCATTGATTTTTTTTTTTTTTTCTTTTACTGCTTTGGGAAGGGTGCACCTGGAGGGATGAGAATGCATGAGGAATATCTGCCTAGCCAGATTAGCCAAATCTCTGGAGATCAATGAAGGGCTAGGTCTACTCAGCTGGTCCTCATTTCAAAGTAGCAACGTGGACTTGAGGATGGACTGAAGAAGAGTTCAGCGACATACACACCAACTTTGAGATTCCTGCAGAAATCCAGGCAGTCATTAGCATGGCAATAGGAAGAGACGATTAATTTAAGGTTCTGCAGGGGCATGTGTCAAAGGATTGCAGGTAAAAAGGTGACATATGAGACTTTTCCAAGTTTGAGTTTGGCTCATTGACTTATTGGAAAATATTCATGAGGAGGACCTGTTTTGTTCTTTACCCCAAAGAGATGGGGGGCGGGTCTTGCTATGTTGCCTGGGCTGGACTTGAACTCCTGGGCTCAAGTGATCCTCCCGGCTTAGCTGTTCGAGTAGCTGGGACTACAGGCATGCACCACTGTGTCCAGCAGAATCAGGTTTTGGTGGGAGAAACAGGAAAAAAACCTCTCTGCTTTAGACATGAAAATGTGTGGTACAAGAGAGATCTGTAAGTGGAAATGTTCAAAAGGCAACTGGAAGTATAGGACTAAAAGAGAAAAATAGAGGTCAGGACTCTGGGATTCACTCCATAAAGGAATAATAGCTGAAGGTTTGGGAGTGAGGAGAGCTCAGAAAAACCACAAAGGGGTGAGACGACCTGTAAAGCATGGGAGGAGGAAGAGCCAGCAAAGCAGACAGATGGAAAAGCACAGCTGAGCAATGTCACACCTGCTGAGAGGGATGGAGAGGTAAGGGATTCAAAGACTGATGAAGACATTTTATAAAAAGCTGTTGGTTTGGTTACAAATAGTCACTGACCAACCCCAGAAGAGGAATTTCAGTTGTTGGTGCAAGAGTTGGGGCTACATCAGATTAGAAGTGATTGTGAGATAAGCAGTTTGGGAAGAAAGGTAGCCAATTTAATAGACCCTCCCATAAAGCTTGCTGGTGAGAGGAAAAAATTACAAATCCTTGAATAGGCAGAGGGATTTTAAAAAATCTATTCTAAAATTTGCGTACAGTCCAGGTGCGGTGGCTCATGCCTGTAATCCCAGCACTTTGGGAGACCAAGGCGGGCAGATCGCTTGAGCTCAGGAGTTCGAGACCAGCCTGGGCAACATGGCAAAGCCCCATCTCTACTGAAAATACAAAAATTAGCCAGGTGTCGTGGCATACATCTGTAATCCGAACTACACAGGAGGCTGAGGCAGGAGAATTGTTTGAACCTGGGAGACGGAGGGTGTAGTGAGCCGAGATGGTAGCACCACATTCCAGCCTGGGCAACAGAGCATGACACCTTCTCGAAAAAAATAATTTGTGTGCAAAAAAAATTACGGATTTTCTTTTATTTTCTTTTTTTAGTTTTGTTGACTGTATAGGTAATGTAAGCACCACCGTTAACATTATCCCAAAGAGTCCTCTGCCTCCAACCTAAATTCCCTAATGCTGCACCTTTGTAGTGAGACTCTCTTCCTACACCTAACCCCTGGCAACCACTGATCTGTTTACCATCTTCCTAGTTTTGCCTTTTCCAGAATGTCATAAAAGTGGAATCATACATTGTGTAACCTTTTTTTCTTTTTTTTTGTGAGACGGAGTTTTACTCTTGTTGCCCAGGCTGGAGTGCAATGGCACAATCTCAGCTCACAGGAACCTCCTCCGCCTCCTGGGTTCAAGCGATTCTCCTGCCTCAGCCTCCCGGATAGCTGTGATTACAGGCATGTGCCACCATGCCCGGCTAATTTTGTATTTTTAGTAGAGATGGGGTTTCTACTAAACCCCATCAGGCTGATCATGAACTCCTGACCAAAGGTGATCCACCCGCCTCAGTATCCCAAAGTGCTGGGATTACAGGCGTGAGCCGCTGCACCCAGCCCCACATTGTGTAACCTTTTGAGTCTGAATTTTTCACCTGGCATCATGTTTTTGAGATTCAGGCACACTGTTGTGCATGTTAGGATGTGGTACATCCTTTTTCTTGATGAAGTAGTTTGCCATTGTATGGAAGTATCACAGATGGTTTATCAAAGAACATTTGAGTTGTTCCCGGGTTTTGGCAATTATGAATAATGCTGCTGTAAACACTTACCTACAGGTTTTTGTGTGAGCATAGTTTTCATCTATTCTGGGTAAATACCTAGGAGTGGGATTGCTGATTCATGTAACTGTATGTTTAACTTTATAAGAAATGGCCAAGCTTTTCCAGAGCAACTCTACGGTTTTACATTCTTACAAACAGTGTATGTGAGTTCTGGTTGCCCTGCATCCTCACTAATACTTAGTATCGTTAGTTTTGTTTGTTTTTAAAACTTTAGCCATTCCACCAAGTTCTTTGAGTAAAGCAATGTAATCACCTCAAAGTAAAATAGTGCCTTTTTAATGCTAACCCATGCTCACATGAATTAGGAAAGCCTGGAGGTGGTGTTGATCCCAGAGCCTAGGTATAATACGGAATTTATATTTGACTCTAATATCTTTATTCTCCTTCATTCTTTTTTCCCCACAGTATTTCTTTTTTTTTTTAATTTTAACACACCATTGCTTGCTTGAAGAGCCATAGTATCTCTTATTTCCTGTGGAGTATGCATTCTGAAGTTGATTATAGACGGAAGTGCCATTATATAGCACATTCCCTGCCAATTCAAGTTCTCTCTTCCTCCTTAATGGTCTCTGTTCTAATCCCTTGAGATATGGCTTTCTAGAACTTGGAAATAACTTGTTTTGTTGTTAGAAAGCTAGACATATTGTTCATATACTTTGTTTATTATCCTGATTAATTCCTTATTGGAACATCTTATATTGTCAAACTGAATACTTACCAGTTCTCAGATACAGTGCTTTGTAAAGCCTTGATAGTCTGTCATTGGACGTTTCATCAGTTGCTCATGGTCTAAGGTTCTGTAAGCTAAATGTGAATGGTATTTAGGCTTATACTTTTTTATAAAATTCAGTTTTAGGGTTTGTCTCGTTCTCTAGCGGTGATGTTGTCTACCTCTTTACTATCTTAGCTCTTGTAAAACTCTGAGTTACGGTTGTTGACACATTTAAATGGCATTTGGATTTTCTCTTCAGTAATTATTATTCTCTTTAGTATCTTTTTAATTTGAGAAATAGCCTGTTGAAAAAGATCTGTAAGATTTTTTTATTAGGTACCACTTTGAAATTTTTTTTAAATATATTTTTTGAGACAGAGTCTCGCTGTGTTGCCCAGGCTGGAGTGCAGTGGCACGAACTTGGCTCACGGTAACCTCTGCCTCCCAGGTTCAAATGATTCTTGTGCCTCAGCCTCCCGAGTAGCCGGGACTACAGGTGCCCACCACCATGCCCAGCTAATTTTTGGATTTTTAGTAGAGAGGGGGTTTTGCCGTGTTGGCCAGGCTTGTCTTGAACTCCTGAGCTCAAGCGATCTGCCCAACTCAGCCTCCTAAAGTGCTGGAATTACAGGTGGGAGCCACCACTCCCGGCTCCACTTTGAATTTTGATTTGAAGAGTAATATATAGTATTTGACACTGAGAAAAACTGCATTCAACTGTTCTTCATCCTTGATGCTCCTATAGAAATAGTTGTGAAAAAAAGAATCATGAGAAAGTGCCAAGGAGGATTGACACACCTGACCAGATGGCACAGAGGAGCACGGGGTATAAAACAATGCAGGGAGGAGGCTGGGAGCAGTGCACTTGGCATATGTGAGCTGCACTTCATAGGCACTGTTAGTAAATGATATATCTTTAAGTTTAGAGTATTGAGATTTGGGGTATCTTAAAATTTCTAATTCTGTGACTTTTAAAATTAAATGATATGTAAGCTTCCTTTTTGGAGTTGGCTTTCTAGTAAAGAGAACTATCCTTCACTATGGCATAACCTCTGAGTATAAAACTCATTTCCCCAACACTGTTGAATGTAGAAAAGTTCTCTAGGATCAGTTTAAATGTCAAGGTGAAGTTCTAGAAAGGAGCCCTTCCTTAGCACCTCCACCCCTCATCATGAAGCCTACTTGGTGGCAATAACATGCATAATAATTGGCTGTAAGATGTGTTCCTGTAGCAAAACTTTTGGCTGCTTCTCAAGATTCGAATCTGGGCTTCTGGTTCTCAGAAGCTCCTGACCCAAGCCTTTGGGGTGGCAGGCGCACCAGACAGGACCTGGTTGCTTACTTCTTGCATTCCAGCTGGACTGGTTTCTATTCATGGTAGATGCTCCAAATTAGTTCAGTGACAACTTCACCACAGGCGTGGTGGGTTCATTTAAATATGGGTCACTCCTTGACCCCAAGGTTATGTTGTTGAAATGATTATTGCGCCCATGTGCTGGAGTATCATTGATTCACATCATTGGCTCTCAATCTTGGCAGTGATTAAAAATCACCTGGGGACCATTTAAATATCAGGATGCCCAGGTGGCATCCAAGGTAATTATCTGAGAATCTTGCAGGATGGGAGTCAGGTGGCAGTGTTTTTAAAATTCCCCAGATGGTCTGGTGTGCAATCAGTGCTGAGAACTAATGATTCAGAACCATTTCCTATTGTATTCCCTTCCATTTGACTATTGTGGTGTGTGGTGTCAAGTGTGTGCACCTTGCTTATGGAAACCACATGGAAAATCGTAATAGCAATTGCCCTAAGTCTAGTGAGTTTACTCAGGTTGTCTCTTATTTTGCCCCAGGACTTTTTTGAAGGAAATATAGATGTGAATACAGTTATGAGTACAATTGAATAGCTAAGTATGCACACATATACTCAGTGTCCACATGTACGCACATTTCTGTATGAATATGTGCAGTGAGACAAAATACCATTCAGCTTTTGTTTTGACTTTGCCTAGCTCCTACACTGCCTTCCTCTCCCTCCTGCCCCTTAAAACCAGGAAAGGTTAAATTGGGGTAGATATTAAAGTATTTTGTAGAAAATTACATACTTTTCCCAGAGATCTTTCTAGTGACCCCTGACCTCTGATCACCAGGTCCCTGGCTCTGGAGACTGGACCTTGTTTCTTCTGTCTATAAATAGTTGACCCAAGTACGACCTTTTCCCTTCCGTGTGACCAGATGCTAATACCCTTCAGGCTAATCTTTCTTTCCTTCACCTCTCTTGTTTCTCCTCACCGCATGCTGCTGTGCCCAAGGCCCAGCTGGTAACCTCTGCGGTTTTTAATGTGCATTTTTTTCTCAGCAGGATTATTCAACTTGTGCTTTGATTATCACCTCAAATTGTCATCTCTGGCTCTACACACTGAAATGTCTACAGGCACTTCTGGTTTTGTTTTTGAGACAGGGTCTCGCTCTGTCGCCCAAGCTGGGATGCAGTGGCACAATCCTGACTTACTACAGCCTTGACCTCTTGGTCTCAAGCTATTCTCCTACCTCAGCCTACCGAGTACCTGAGACTACGGGTGCATGCCATCAGCCTGGCTAATTTTGTTTATTTTTTGTAGAGATGAGATTTCTCTATGTTGCCCAGGCGGGTTTCAAACTCCTGGACACAAGCAATCCTCCTGCCTCAGCCTCTGAAAGTGCTGGAATTATAGGCATGAGCCACCACACCCAGCTTACAGGCACTTCTGAGTTGCATTCGTGCCTGCTCCTGAGGTTTTGTGGTGCCATCTTTTGTGATTTGAAGCTTTTTCTGGGAGGGCTTACCTTTGGCAGCATGATTTCCTATCCTTTTCTCCTCTTTGCAGCTAGCATATGTCTAACTATGAAGTCCAAGGCAAAAATGAAGAGGTCAGTAGTGGATATTGGATGGGACTGATTCCTAAATAAGAGTATCTTTGATTTCTCTTTAAGATTATATGGAAACTGAGCATGTGTGAGGCTGTGAGGTCTGAAGCTCAAAACTAACACTAATTGTTTAGGGGTAATTCTAACCTACTATTTTGTGCAAGGTCTCTGGAGTCTGGCTGCCTGGGTTCCAATCTCAGCTCCACCACTTGGTACCTGTGGGATCTTGGGCATGTCATGTAAGCATTCTCTTCCT
Source organism: Homo sapiens (assembly GCF_000001405.40). NCBI lineage: Eukaryota > Metazoa > Chordata > Mammalia > Primates > Hominidae > Homo > Homo sapiens. The sequence goes on along the minus strand of NC_000006.12, from coordinate 136,539,269 downwards.
CAGTGTCTTCCTTTTTAAAATAGGGTATTGGTAATATCGTCACAGGGATTAAATTAGTTGATACTAAAGTTCTTAGAACAGTGCTTGACACAGCATAGGCACCAAGTGTTTGTTATGGTTCTTGTCATGATTACTGAAGATTAGTATTGCATTACTGTGAAACGATGGGCACACCCTGGCATGCTAAGTTTCTTCCTTAAGCCGTTTTTTATTTATAATAGTAAGCTCTCCATAGTGAAGGCATCAGAATGTAATGATGATTCAGGCCTCATTGTAGCTGTGTGATCACACTGTCATAGGCTGGCACTGGGATCAAAGGCATCATTAAAGCACTTGGGATGATGGTTTTTACCTGTCAAATGTTCCAGGAGGTTGCTGTACACTGGCCTGTGAGACCCTTAGATTGTGTTATGTGATCACGCTAAACACCCATAAAAGCCCTTCTTGGCTTTTTTTTTTTTTTTTTTTTTTGAGACAAAATCTTGCTCTGGTGCTCTGTCACCCAAACTAGAGTTAAGTGGCACCATCATGGCTCACTGCAGCTTTGACATCTGGGCTCCAACGATCCTCCCATCTCAGCCCCCTGAGGTAGCTGGGACTACAGGTACACGCCACTATTCCTAGCACCAGCTAATTTTTTTTTTTGTCTCTTTTTGTAGAGACAGGGTGTCACCATGTTGCTCAGGCTGGTTTCGAACTCAAGTGATCCTCCTGCCTCGGCCTCCCAAAGTGCTGGGATTACAGGCGTGAGCCACCGCACCTGGCCCATAGTTTTAAATTTTAAGTCCTTTGCTAAAATATTGCCACATAGGTTATGTTGCTTTAAGCCATAGAGAGATGGACCTCCTAACACCCGTTGTGACTTTAAACAAGGCACTATCACCACATTGAATATGCTTCTCTACCAGGAAAATAGAGGAAACATACAACTTGCCTTCCACGAGATGTTCATGAGAAGCAGGAGGCAGTTTGGGTTTCTTCAAGCAAAGTACATACATGAAATAGAAAATATCAGTAAGTTATTAAAGTCACAAATTTTAGAAGAAACTTTCTTAAGTTGTAGAGGACCATTTACAAGGTGTATCCTGGGTGTGGTGTGTGGGCATGTGGGTGAGGCACATTTCTCACTAAGAAAATGATATCTTGTTCAACTTGGAATTTAGAATTTTATATCTTTTAAAAAATTTCAGCCAGGCATGGTGGCTCACGCCTGTAATCCCAGCACTTTGGGAGGCCGAGGCCGGCTGATCACCCGAGGTCGGGAGTTCGAGACCAGCCTCACCAATGTGGAGAAACCTCTGTTTCTACTAAAACTACAAAATTAGCTGGGCTTGGTGGCACATGCCTGTAATCCCAGCTACTCGGGATGCTGAGGCAGGAGAATCGCTTGAAAAGAGGAAGGTGCGGTGAGCCGAGATTGTGCCATTGCACTCCAGCCTGGGCAACAAAAGCGAAACTCCATCTCAAAAAAAAAAAAAAAATTCATAACTTCGTAAATCTGAAAATATGTCATTTCCTCAGATGGGTCCTGGGTTTAGATTCTCCCAGCAATGCTCCCAAATTGTCTTTTTGTATACAGTAGCCACTGTGGAAATTGATTAAACAAGTGTTCCTGATGCCACCTTTGAAATATTAAAATGTGTTATTCAGTAAAAATAGAACTGAATTATTATTGAAAATAAGTTTTGTATGGATTTACTTAACACTAGGAATAAACCCATCCCAATATCCTGGTGAAGATGCCCTCCCTGTGTATATAAAAAGATACATCCATATGCTTTGTGCAGTGACTGTATAAGGCCCAGATAGAGAAAAAATACAAGAGATGTCTCAACAGTTGAAAGTATTGAAATAAATTGAGAAGAGGGAAGCTATTTTTAGTCTAGAAGACCTATGAGACTCGAACAACTTTGGATAGAAAAACCCCATAATCTTATAATCCAGTGAGGCCTCACAGGGAAGAGCCCTAGGTTGGCATTTCAGATTCAATCCTCGGTATCCCAGCTGTGTCTAAAATGGACAGATTTGAGAATGTCAGTTCTTCAACTTATTTACAAACTGATCAGGTCCAATATTTATCTGCTGCTTGCTGAGAACAGCATCAAAGTTTAAAAAAAAAAAAAAGAAAGAGAAAGTTTCCAACCATCAAGCAAGTGTGCAACACAAATCTAAACCATATATGTGATGAGACCCACATGTCATTGTGAGAGTGTTGCAGGACTCATTAATGACACCCACAGTAGCAAGTAAGTCTTCAAGAAACCTTTGGAAGAGAGAAGGCCTGTATATGAAATGCCAGAAGGAAGGGGCAAAAGGTTCAGAACTAGGACTCTGGGTATGGAGTTCAGACACCTGTGAATTGGGCATTCTGAACCACTTGTACAATGTGCAAAGCTGATTTTTTCTTACCATAGCACAGGGTTGCTTTCTATTACAGATGTACCTATCTGGAAACATGTTCATTCAACAGTTTGCAGTCCTGCAGTTATTTTCAAAACAGTTTTTGCTTCCCTCTTTTTGTAGTAAACACGGTCTTTTTCCAGTGTGCTAGATAAAGTCTGGCTCTGGGCAGTAAAGGGACATGGCTGCTGCTTATTTCAGGAACTTAGGGGCAAGTGTCTTCATGCCTGTGGAAACAGGAGCCAGCTAGTACTATTTCCAGCAAGAAATTTAAGAGAAAGGAGAGATTTTTATTATGATTTTGATTTCTTTACTACAACATTGCATGTGTCTGGAGTATAGCCATTACACTTTATGAAAAAGGCAAAATGGTCATTTGGGGTGTTTTAGGAAGTTTGCCAAAAGGCTCCTTTGTCATTATAATCCTTCCTAAGCTGCCATCCACGGGTTTAGGTCATGGATATGAAAAGTGAAAGGGTTTAGAGATGAAGTAGTGTCCCCTGAGTGCTTACCAACCTGTTAATCTTTTTGAGATGTTAATTTTTTCATATAGAGCCCCCTAAAATCTTGATGGCTCTAGATCAGTCAAGCCTAAGAGAAGACGTATTTATGGAAAAAAACAAAAAACAAAAAAACCTTGCTGGATTGCTAGTAATATCTACTTCTTGGAAATTAATACTTCATATTTTTTAAAAAAATTATTGATGCATTAGGAATATTTTTTGCTTAGCAGTTACAAATTTTAAGAGGCACATATACACCACGGAATACTATGCAGCCATAAAAAAGGATGAGTTCATGTCCTTTGTAGGGACATGGATGAAGCTGGAAACCATCATTCTCAACAAACTATCGCCAGGACAAACAACCAAACACCGCATGTTCTCACTCACAGGTGGGAACTGAACAGTGAGAACACTTGGACACGGGAAGGGGAACATCACACACTGGGGCCTGTCGTGGGGTGGGGGGAGCGGGGAGGGATAGCATTAGGAGATATACCTAATGTAAATGATGAGTTAATGGGTGCAGCACACCAACATGGCACAGGTATACATATGTAACAAACCTGCACATTGTGCACATGTACACTAGAACTTAAAGTATAATTTAAAAAAAAAAGAAAAAAAAAGATGACAAATACTAAAAAAAAAAGAAAAAAAAAGCTTCTAAGCTTGGCACTCAATCCTAAATATCTTATATCTTTATAATTTAGCTTAAAGGCTTTTAGTGTTCTGGTTGGTTACTGACAATTCTCAGTGTGGCTTTCACTGAAGGAAAATGGACCAAGCCTCAAACTTACCCACCACAATTATATAATTTGGCATTTCTGTGAGGCACTTCCTTCCTCTAGGTTGGTTTCAGAACTATGCTGGAGAATTGTATGTAATTTTTTTTTCTTTTGTCAGAATTGGTGTGTTAGGCCTTTTTTTGTGTCACTTAAACACCTGAGGCTAGGCAATTTATAAAGAAAAAAGGTTTAATTGGCTCAGGGATCTGCAGGCTGTACAAGCGTGGCACTGACATCTGCTCGGCTTCTGCTGAGGGTCCCAGGAAGCCTACAATCATTGTGGAAGGTGAAGCGGGAGCAGGCACATTCACATGGCAAGAGAGTGGTGTGAGGGGAGGTCCCAGACTTTTAAACAACCAGACCTTATGTAAACTAACTGAGGGAGAACTTACTTATCACCACGGGGAAGGAGCTAAACTATTCATGGAGGTTGCACCGCCATGATCCAGTCACCTCCCACCAGGCCCCACCTCCAACATTGGGGGTTACATTTCAACATGAGATTTGGAGGAGACAAGCATCCAAACTGTATCAATTGGTTTCAGTTAATAAATAAACCAAAAAATAAAGTTTAATGCCTCAAACCTTCATACGCTTTTCTCATGAAAAGCGTTTTATCCAACCCTCTCTCCATCCCCATGTACGGATCTATGTACTTTAGTTTCTACTGATTGAGAAAGTGGGGTTACTTCATTATAATAGAGAAGGATTTTTTGTAATCTATATATCTGTACTTTTGAATCATTTAATGTTCAGATGAACAGGCTGCTTAGTTCTCATTAAAAGGGTTCATTTGATAATGCTTTTAAGCTCACCAGTACTTGATTCTCAAAGGGTGATCATTAGTGAAAATAAAGAGGGATTTAATAAGTCTAAGATATCCTGACCCCAACTGTAGGAACATTATATTAATAGAGCATTACAGTATTGGAAAATTATCTGAGTAAATAGAATCCATCCTATTCAATGAAGATTATGATCATTGATACATAAGCCTTTGACTTTTGAATGGCATGCTTTCGTTCGCAGCATGTTGACTTGAATGTGGGAATGGAGTATCTTAATCTCTCTGAGGTCACTGACTGATAGGTTAAGTGTCAGCTGGGCTCAGCCCAAACATTAGATGTTGCTGGGAAGGTATTTTGTAACTATGATTAACATTTACAATCAGTTGACTTTAAGTAAAGGGGATTATCCTGGCTATGGGTGGGCCAAATCCAATCAGGTGAAGGCCTGGGAAAGAAGAAGAAGGAGGAAGTCTGCCTTAAGACTGTGACATGGAAATCCTGCTTGAGTTTCGAGCCTGCCAGCCTGCTGCACAGATTTCACACTTGTTTGTCCCCACAGTGGCAGCAGCCATTATTCCTTAAAATAAGTCTTTATATACAATATATTTCTCTCCAGAGAAACAACCAAAAATACTATTGGTTCTATTTCGTGGAAGAATCCTCACTGATACACTCACCCTCAAGAAGAAAATTAACAGTTTTTACCCAGAATCATACAAATCGCTTTATTTAAGAGATAAAATTTAATAATTAATCTTTCCTGATTTTTGAAGGTAAAAACAGGATATTACGCTTTCAGTAAAAAAATGGATGTCTTTTAATTTCAGGGGGGTTTAGGAGAAAGAAATGGAAAGAGTGGCAAAGTAGCAAAGGATGGTGATACGGTTTAGATATGGTTTCATGTTGAAATATGACATCCAATGTTAGAGGCAGACCTAGTGGGATATGTCTGGGCCATGGGAGCCGATCTTATGAATGGCTTGGTACTCCTCTTATGGTAATGAGTGAGTTCTCATTCTGTTCGTTCATGTGAGAGCTGGTTGTTTAAAAGAGCCCGATATCTCTCTTGCTCCATTGCCATGTGACACACCTGTTTCCCTTTCTCCTTCTGTAAACGTCCTGAGCCCTCAACAGAAGCAAATACCAGCACTGTGCTCCTTGTACAGTCTGCAGAACTCTAAGCCAAAACAAAACTTTGTAAATTATCCAGTCTCAGGTATTTATAGCAACACAAAACGGACTAACACAGATGGGATTGAGGAAAAGTCTTAAAACATTCTGAAATGAATGTTCTTCACCTGTCCGATGCTTTGCTGTCCTAAAGACTTAATGCTGTCACTATCCTTAAAATGCCCAAAAAGTCATACACTGAATTGGTTTGCTGTTCTTTAGTATCGCTCTTCATTTAGATTTCATCTCTCAAGTCACATAGCTATAGGGATCCACCTATAACAAATTGGCTCATTGAGGGGAAAACTCTCTTATTCATCTTTATCAGTAGGTTTTTTGTTGTTGTTTTAGATGGCGTTTCACTCTTGTTGCCCAGGCTGGAGTGCAATGGCCCAATCTCGGCTGACTGCAACCTCTGCCTCCTGGGTTCAAGCGATTCTCCTGCCTCAGCCTCCCGAGTAGCTGAGATTACAGGCATGCGCCACCATGCCCGGCTAATTTTGTATTTTTAGTAGAGATGGGGTTTCTCCATGTTGGTCAGGCTGGTCCCGAACTCCCGACCTCAGGTGATCCACCCGCCTTGGCCTCCCAAAGTGCTGGGATTACAGGCATGTATATCAGTAGGTTTTCATTACATTGTGGGTGAGAGAATGTGGGAAGTCTGGAAGCCGCAGGTGCGGAGATCAGAGTAGTGTGGCCCTCTTCTAACCCAAACACCTGGAGAAGGTTCAGTTGTTTCTGTGATTTAGCATTTAAGGCTAAAACCTCGGGACCATCAGTTGAATAAGTAAAATAATGAAACGCAGAGTTGCTTACAAAATGAAGCCATGCGAGTAAGTATGTGCACAGGTACAGCAAAGGAGAGGGCTTTATCTCAGCCTTGCTTTTTCCCTCTGCCTGAGTGTTCTCTCTTGGTTATATAACTCGACTTTCCATTTGCATCAAGTCATGGAATCTCAGGATCAGAAGAAGCTCTAGAGATTAAAAAAAAAAAAAATTCAACCTGTAAACAGTGCATTAATCCAACATCATCATTCCAAATCAGTGTTTGTGCACAGCTATCTTCAATGTCAAGAAACATAACTTTTTACATTCTGATAACTTAACAGTCCCTGGTCCCAGTTTTCTCTTCCAGAACTAAATTTACACTTCCACTAAAAGTGTAAATTCTTCCATATGTTAACCTTTAATTCTGTTATTTTATTCCTCTGGAGTCTTGTCTTATTTTCTTCTATGTTATGTCTCCTATGTTATGGCCTAGAATATTTATGGTAAGTCCTAGGTCACTCTCTTCTGAAAGTGTTCTCATTTATCATCCTATTTCAAATATCTTGCGAGTACCATGTAGTATGAGGACCAGTAAACAGAGAACGCTTGTCCTCCTATTAGGCACGCTGGTGTCTGCCGATTCCACTGTGACACTTAGGGTTTTTACTTCCTCAGTGCGCTGATGATGTTTAGTGAGCTTGTTGTCCAAGTGCTCGCTTTGTTTCTGGGGCAGCTTGGGTAGGTCTTCATTTTGTACCTGTCCAGTTGAACTTTTTTTACATATAAAAAGATATGTTCCTGTTTATTCTTACTGAATGGATAAGAATATAGCCTATTCAGTGGGAATAAACTGAATAGGCTGTATCCTGTCTAAGTATAGCTCATTATTTCATTCTTTGAGATCATTTTGGACCTGAGTCTATCCATCTCTTAGCTTTCTTTTTTCTATGGATATAGAGCACTTGTTCTCATATTAATCTTTAATAAAAACATAACTACCTTTCTTTGCATTGCCCACTTCTCCATCTTTCATCTGGACTATTGCAGGAGCTTGGTATTCACGTTCAAGCCTATGGATAAGTTTTTCACACTGCTAGAGGGGTGTCTGTTAAAAAAACACAAACATGATTGATTCTCATATTCCTGTTTTTACGTCTATCCCTATGACCACCATTTGATCCCTTTTCTTTACTTGGACGAAGTAGTTACATAGCTAGTCTCTGTCCCGTCTCTCTCTTTCTCACTTCAAGTTCATCCTGGCCTGTCTGGATCACACATTTAGCTATCAATACCCTTCAGTGGCTCCCCACTGCCTCTGTTTGGTGAAAACATTATGCCTTTGGCTCTGTATCCTCTCTGATGGCATGCCCCAAAGCACCCCATCTGTCATCTTTAACATGATTTTACTACTCCTAAAGCAAAGCAAGTCAAGGAACCATAGTTTCATTTTCTTTCTAATGGTGTGGCTCAACAATAAAACTAAATTAAACACTAAATTAAACTGCTCACAGACCCTCAGTGAATTAGGTAACTTACAGAAACACAGTCCGGGCATCTGTATGAATCTTCTGTTGAACCCAGCGATTGATTTCTTTCCCTCATTTGGAATCTATAAAATTGGATTTCTTAGCCTAATTATCGTGAGAAGAGAGGACAGTCTTTGCACATTTAACTTTTATCAAGTAATTCAGAAGTTCATGTAGTGCACATTAATAAAGTATTATCAATGAGAGTAATGAACAAGAGGGCTGAGAGGCATTCCATTATGTGCTACTGGGTTAAGGTTTAATGTGGCATTTCACACCTAACATTTAGGAAAGGGTTTTAAAGCTTAGTATCCACACCTTACATTTGTATAAATGAATCCCTAGCGTTTGAAATTTGTTTATGATAGAGCAGACATGGGAAAATGGACTCTGTAGGCACCATGAAGTGTTTTGCAGTGAAGATTTATAGAAATGTTGTAAAAGGCACCACAGGGACCTGGTACTTCTGGCTGATGGCATCACCGCTACTAGGGCAGTATTTACTGTTTTTCTTATATGCCTGTTAACAAAAAGTGGTCAAATAAAGAAGATCAAAGCAAATCTGCCTCTTCCTTTCAAAGGGATGATATTTCTTTGTGCAGTATTTCTTTATCCAGCCTCTTCTATGCTATGCATGATGCTGCAAGATGGCAGAATGTTGTGCCTTTATCGTCACAAAAGCCATCAGTAAGTGGCATAATTCTAGGAAACTCTGAGGCTGCCCTTTAACTTCAAGAATAGAGTGGCAAAGAACCAGCTGGGACCCTTTGTTCCTTAGTGGTTGTTTGATTCCATGTCAACCTGTGCTGGCTTTGTCATTTTCAAAATCATGCAAAGTTTTTAAGTTGCATAAAAATATTGTTAAAACTCCTGCTAGAAGTAAATTTCAGTTTATCTTGGGGAGATGCATTAAATACTTAAAAGATTGCTGAAGTCCGGTAGTTTTGAAGAATTAACCATCTCTTCGAATGTTGAAACGTGGAAAAGAATTTTGGCACTTCTGGACCCTGATGAAAAGTAAATAACTTATACATACGTGGAACTTGTAATTTACTGGTGACAGGCCATTCAATCCAGCAGTAATAATTTCTGTTTTCAGCTACAGCCATTGAATAGTACAAATTAGGCTCTTTTTTCTTTCAATAATGTTTTTGTAAAGCTCACTGGGCTTTTAGAAAGGGAAATTTTAGGTATGTTTCTCACTGGTTAAGCAGATTTCTTGGATTCATTCATGGAGTGTGCTGTTTTCCAACTTTATGGTCACACAAGTCTAGGAAGCATAAATGTGAACAGAAAGCTGACTCTATGTGTGCGTATGTGTATGCAGGTGACTACATGTTAGTCTTTTATATAGCATTGTGACAGCTAGGCCCAAGTCATGAGCTTACTTCCCCAAAGATCAGCAAGTTTGACTCTGTTTCATATTCATCCAACTCACAGGTTGGACATAGGCCAGAGATGCCAACCAGCCAGGGTAGGAGGACAAAGAGACATAAATTTATTGTGGACCAAGCGGGTGGGGCCTGCAGTTGCTCGGGGGCCTATTGGACTGTTTTAATCATAGTAGCTGAGTGGTAATGTTTTTACCCATAAATGTGAATACATTTTGAAATTATACTGCAGAATATTTTTACGCAATATAAAGCCAATCTAGTTGTAAAATCTACCATTTTGCACTAGGCAGTGCCTCATTTCTCTCAAATTTGTACAAAGCCTCTATTAATACAACATTTATCACTTTAACAATTTAAAGAAAGTAATTGCAAAACCTTACTGATTGTTGGAGGGCTGCATGCCCATTTCCCATGGGGACTGATTTAAGCCTCTGTATCTGCATGTGACATGCAAGGATAGTTGTGCCACATCTAATTGAAAATGCTCCTTAGTGCTGGAGAAGAGTTCAGGAGGCTGGGCGCGGTGGCTTATAACCTTTAATCCCAGCACTTTGAGAAGCCAAGGTGGGTGGATCACTTGAGGTCAGGAGTCAAAGACCAGCCTGGCCAACATAGTGAAACCCCATCTCTACTAAAAATGCAAAAAAAAAATTAGCTGGGTGTGGTGGCAGATGCCTGTAATCCCAGTTACTCAGGAGGCTGAGGCAGGAGAATCACTTGAACCCGCGAGGTGGAGGTTGCAGTGAGCCAAGACTGCGACTGCACTCCAGCCTGGCGACAGCGAGACTCCATCTCAAAGAGTTCAGGAATTCAGAGTAGTGTTTATTTTACTTTGGCGGATATTTAAATTTAAGGTCTCACCATATCCCTTTCCGTATTTGCCTTTGGTTTGGATCAAAATGTAAAAGGGAATTGCGAGAAGATGGTACCCACACCTCTACAGGGATCAAGCCACAGTATTCCTGGAATTCCCCAGGAGCTAACCCCTATATCCATTAAAGATTGGGTGTGAACATTTAAGAAACTAATCTCAAATGAATTTATGTCTTAAGTGAAAAATGTGTCCTTTATAAGGGAAGGAAAAAAATCCTTTATTGTTATTATTTGATCTTGTGCTGTTTGCTTTTCTGTGACAGTGACACAGCTAGTTGATGTTGGGGTCAGGATTTACACGACAGCAGGATGAGAGCATCTTGACTCAGTGGAGATAATGTGTTAGTTATTAGAGCAGCAGCTAGCTTTGTTTGGAAGCTGTAAGCTGTATTTGGGTGACAAACATTTCTAAATGAAATTAGTCATTTGCTTAATACAGATTTTCATTTTCTTTACCAAAAGGTAGTTTCAAGTATGCTTATTTTGTATGTGGGGTTTTTTTTGTTATTATTTTGCTTTTTTGTTTTGTTATGCTTTTGCTATTGTAAATACTGACCTGACTCTCTTGAAGTAGAGGAAAGAAGCTAATGTGGATTTGAAAATATTTTCATTTCACAAATAGTATGATATTGATGTATATTACACCTGTGTTTATTGATCATCTGATTAAAGAAAAATAATAGGAAATAACAAATCATGTCTCATTCAAGAATAAAAGTTTACAAATATAGAAAATTATGGAAGTATGTTACGTTTACAATTTGTATCCATTTTTTTATTTCTTAAACAATAAGATCTTATATGCGTCCTCCCTTTCCTTCCATCTCCACATAAATTGGAGATCGATCTAGGATTCTAAAACATCTGGGTCAAACATTTGTCATCGGGAGAAGCACTGGACTAGGAGGAAGATGGTCTAAATTTTAATTGTAGACTTGCTGCCAACTAACATTTGACCTAGGCAAGGAATTTCACTTCGTGAGATTCAGCTTCCTCGCATGTAAAACGATGCTGACTCACTTGCTTTCTCAGGCCCATTCAGCTCCAAAACTCCATTCTATTTTATTCCAAAGACCCACTGCACAGATTGACACAATTTAAAATAAACTCTAAAACTGAAATTTCCTGCGTTTCTTCATGCCAGAGATCTAAATACATGTGAACTTAATTAAATCAAGCAGCCTGTGGAGGGAAAGAGTTCTTAAGATTCATTTATTTTTTTCAGCATGTGTTTGCTCACAATTTAGTACATCCCCCAGCACCATGCTGGACAATAAGAGTAGATACAAAGAAGTACTTCCTGGTAGCATTGATAGTTGAACTGGAAATACCTTGAAAATAATTACAAAGCAAAAAATGGACTAGTTACAGCAAACTATTATAAAGTATAATAATAGTTGGTATTTATTAAGCACTTCAAGTTGCTAGCACTACACGCATTTAATCCTCACCCTAATACCATAGGTAAATGATAGTCATCACCCCAATTTTACAGAGAAAACGGAGGCACTGAGAGAGTTAAGTGAATTGTCCAAAGTTACTGTTCCACGCAAGAGATTTAGAGAGGATATTGTACTTGCCTTAGACTCCCTTGGGCCCTCTTTTGGGTAAGTAGGTTTAAGTACTGAGAAAAAGTAAGGGAGTAGTTGGGGAGTGGGAGGATTGCTTTTGACTTGCTAAGCAGACTTGATTTTTATTAAAACACAAAAGCAAAAAAAATGTTTTTTCTTAATTTGGCAGTTGGCATGTTTTAATGTCATTTATTGTAAATTTTTTTTGGAGACAGCACACATTTTAAGCAGTCTAGAAGTGGAGAGTCTTAAAGTGAGATAGCTTATTTCAGGAGAAAACAATAGTCACATGATTCTGTGCTTTGAAGAAAACGATCCAAAAAAGAGCTAAAATTGGGTCAAGTGTTGAGCATTGCTCAGCACCGCTGGTAGCAACTGCCCAGAGCGGTAGGGATTGAGGGTGGGGGGTGTGCTGGGTGTAATAGAGACAGGTTTTTCTCCTTTGGAGAATTCCCCAGTATAGGTTCTGTCCTTGAAACTTGAGTTGCAGAGGAGACACTCCACGTTGTGATCTCTGGTGGGAGCCAGCATAGTTCTTCCCTTGCCTGTCTTCACCAGAGGGTTTCAGGGACATGGCACTGGTGGCCCTCATGACTGGTGCTGCCAACCCTGTTCTTATACATGCTCTGGGGTGGTAAGAATGTCAGGAAAGTAAAGTGAGCTGCTCTGTGGGTACCAGCCATGCCTTCATTCATCCAGGGGCTTGCAAACATTGTTATGATAGACAACCTGGCCCAGAAAAGAAGAAAAAGCCTTTCTTCCTCAGGCTTCTGTCTCCATACTGAGGAGTCTACTGCTGCTTGTGCAAGCAAAACTCTTTCTCCTCCCATCCTGCTGCGCTGCCGCTGAGAGGAAGAGGGAGCTGCCCAGCGGCCTCACGCTGTAACCCTCTGCTGGTGAGTTCCCAGAACCCAGCATCCTGCAAGCTGCCGCTTCTCAGCTGGGGAGATGGAGCCGCTCTGGGCCCTTCTTGATTAGGATATGTTAGGGTTGTCAGGGCAACTGTTAACGGCAGCATATCATATTTTCCCCTCTCTGCTGTGGGCTGAATATTTTACTGTGTGGTAGCAGGAAGAAGATTGGAAAAAGGTGCTGCAGCAGGAAGAAGCTGGGATCTGATTGAACAGGTTGTGCAGTGGTGGGAGGCATCAGACCCTGCGTGTCTGTAGTAGGGCTTTTCTGGAAGGAGTGTGTGTGTGTGTGTGTGTGTGCGCGCGCGTGTACGTGCATGCATGAGCCGGAGCAATCACCAGCGCATGTGCCTGTCGGGGAGTCAGTGGGAGGGGGCTGGTAGGGGAGGTGGGGAAGCTGCTGCTAGGTGAGGGGAACTGCAGGGCCTCAGTTGCCAAGTGGCTGGTACTATCTGTCAGCTGTTTGCAAACTGTTTACCCATAGGGGATCTATTACAAGTGCTCAAATGAACAGGCAGCTTAGGAACTAGCAGCTTCCTGGGAGCTGCAATTACATAAGCATATATTTTTAATATAATCACAATTAAAAAAAAAAAAAACAAGTAGCAGCGGTATGCCTGGATCAGCTACAGCTCTCCGACATGAGAGACTGAAGAAGACCAATGCAAGGCCAATTCCTCTTGGTTTATTCACCATTAATGAGGAAGACGAACAGCAAAAGAATGGAAATTCCAGAAGACCAAAAGGTATGCATTAGCTCCACCCTTTGGTCGGAGCCAGATCCAGCCCTTGTCTCCCACACTGCCTATAGAACGTTTTATAAACTGTGCTGCTCGTGCATGCTCCAGGGAGTGCTTGTGACCTCCTAGCACGGTTTGCTGGTAGTGTTTATACCCTCTGTAGGGTTGTGTATGCATGAAATGGGAAACAGTTTTTGTAGATTCGGTGTATTTCAGATCAGTTGCCTTTTTTGACTTAAGCTACTTTCTTGGCCTAGAGATGTTTAATTTTTCCCATGCTCACTTCAGCAGTGACCAGTCACTCTGTCCTCATCAAGAGGAGGAAATACTGAGTTATCAAGGTTTAAACGAACATCTCCCCACCTTCCTTAGGTGCCTCAGATAATTTTTGCTTATTTTAATGAAGTGAGTTTCTGCTTTAAAGGATGAGTTAAAGTGACTCAAGAGTGCAACCTTTTCTAGGCAGAGGGTCAAAATGTCACTTCCCTTTCTATACTAAAATGTCAAGAGTAAAGAGGAGCACAGCAAACATTGAGGGCGAATGTGGAGGGTGAAGCTAGGGAGCAGGGAGGAGATCATGAGGTTGTATAACTGTTGATGATAACTGAATTCGTGTATGGCAGTTGAAATGCACAGGTTACAGAAAAGGGAAGTCTGACCCTTGTGTTGTTCTTTCACAGTATGAAAGGTAGCAGCAGCTTACCAGCTTCTTGAGAGCCTGTGTACTGCATCATTGTCAGCATTGTCTCACAGCTGCCCTCCCAGGGCTGTAATTATCAGCCAGAGACAGCAACATCAGACATTTTTGAAAAAGGAGCTTTAAGGCCTGTGTTTTACATTTTCCAGCATCCTAAGTCTTGCTTCCCCTTCCCCAAAATATATAAGCTGTTCTTAAACAGATGGGTTATGAGTTTTCTTGCTTTTATGTGCTGATTAATTTTTAGCTTGCTCTTAAATTATTCTGTCACTGAGGTATCAAATTTTCTTCTGTGATGCAGAGAGGTAGCATGACAAAGTAGAAAGCAAATATTTAAGCAATGATAAAGTGAAGAGTGTTAAATAGAATCCAGTGTCTGAGGACTCGTTTTCTTTTTCCTGTTTCTCGAATTAATCTTACTTTGCTTTTCTTAAATATAATTGAAACTGTCTACATTAAATCCAAAAGCATATTACTTCATTTTTATGAGACAGTACACAGGGAAGTTCTAATAAGTAGAATCTTACTACTGTAGTTGATTTTTATTTACTATCAGACCTGGCTCCTGTCTGAGAACCAAATGACCTCAGAAATCAAATGATGCTATGACTGGAGGGTGACTTAATGTGATTCTTTTATTTGCCTGTGAATTACATCATTGAACCAGAGTGTGTTGCTCTGGATGAAAACTCAGGACTTTAAATTTTTAGCAGCAAATCATTTTGCCTCTGAAAAGTTGGTAACTTTTAAAATTAATGTAGATTTGTTGAATTGTTCTCATGGGGTATTTTTGGAAACATTCTTGATTTGTGGTACTTTTCCTTGGATGTCTTGGACAGTAACTTAGGATAGCCATCCATTTTATTCTTAATAATTTTCTTTTCTTTTCTTTTTTTTGAGATGGAGTCTTGCTCTGTTGCCCAGGCTGGAGTGCAGTGGCACAATCTCAGCTCACTGCAACCTCTGCCTCCCAGGTTCAAGCAATTCTCCTGCCTCAGCCTCCTGAGTAGCTGGGATTACAGGCACCTGCCACCATGCCCAGCTACTTTTTTTTTGTATTTTTAGTAGAGACGGGGTTTCACCATTATTGGCCAGGCTGGTCTCAAACTCCTGACCTTGTGATCTGCCCACCTCAGCCTCCCAAAGTGCTGGGATTACAGACGTGAGTCACTGCGCCCTGCCCTCTTCTTAATAATTTTCTTGAATACCTCTGCCTGTCTCCTGTTGTTGTTTTTGTTTAGTTGTCTTTTAGTATTTTTTTAAAAAGGAAGAGAAAGGGGAGGAAAGAAGATGCTTCGAAAAACCTACTTATTTTTGGCAATTTTTGCAGCTTCTTGGATAAGAGAGACTTAATCAAGGAGTTTCTGACCCCCTACCATTTTTCTTTCTATCCCTGCCCATAGTGGTGGGAAGGGCAAGGGTAGGTATTGGAGGAATACTGGGAGAAAAAAATCCTGTGCTGATAAGGATGTCCAAACTTTCTGTGGATCACCAATTGTCTCTATGACACATTCAATAAAATAACCAGATAACCGTGGATATCTCTAATTATGCTCAATGAATAACACTATTGACTTTGACTGAATTTTTCATTGGGTCCATCTTAACAATAGGAATATTCACTTTGTAGTCCAGCTTTGTTCCATGGAAAATGATGGAAATGTTCTGTATATGCACTGTCCAATACAATAGCCACAGCTGCAGAGCTTGAAATATAGCTAGTGCAACTGAGAAACAAAATTTTAGTTAAATAGCCACATGTGACCACCTTATTGGACAACACAGTTCTGGTCTGTAGCATTGTTACGTTCTGAATTTGTGTCTTCTCTGGTTCGTTCGTCCTTACTGCTTCCTGACGTTGGATATGGTTGGGTCCTGAAATGAATGTGGTTATTAAGAGAACATCAAGGAGCAGACAGCCTCTGTACTGCATGAGAACACAGAAACCTGGATGTGTAGACAATTTCATTTTACCTTTTCCACTTAAATGTTGTTGCACTGTTCTGATTATTATTATTACCAGTCACTAGTTGCCTGTATCATTTGTTGCACCTTTTAATGGACTCTTAATTTTTTTTTCTCCTTTTTATTTTTATTTTTTCTTTAGTGACAGGGTCTTGCCCTGTTACTCAAGCTGGAGTCCAATGGCATGATCATAGCTCACTGCAGCCTCCAACTCCTGGGCTCAAGTGATCGTCCTGCCTCAACCTCCTTAATAGCTGGAATTACAGGCACATGCCACCACACCCAACTAATTTTTTAAAAAGCTTTTTGTAGGGATGGGATCTTGCTATGTTGCCCAGGTGATCTTGAACTCCTGTCTTCAAGTGATCCTCCCACCTTGGCCTCCCAAAGGGCTGGGATTACAGGCGTGAGCCACTGTGCTTGACCATCTCTTATTTTCTAAATTAAGTATTCCCAAAGCATCATAGCAAGATGACATACAGTTTATTTTTTGTGTGTGACTATTGCGATACACAATCAGAAACTTTTCTTTTCCTACCCCATGGCCTCATCTGCCAACCATACCCAAACCTGGTTTTCATGCTTAGTGTCTTTTTTCTACCAGTAATAAAGAAGTTTGCCATCTAAATTTGATGAGTTGAATGTTTCTGTTCAGGATTATCCTGGCTAATGATGAGTACCATCTTTTCAGGTACCATACTGTTGGGCAAACATCAAATAACTCAGTAAGAGAGAACATGGAGATTAACATCTGGCCTTCTATGGTGGCTTCATAGTTATCTGGTGGGGTGACAATAGTTTGTTTAGATGGCAGACTAGATAATTCTTGAAGGAGTGATTACTCTTCCATGTAATCGGTAGGAGTGTAATGTTTTACATACCTGACTGTTATTACCACAGTAATTAAATAATCACTGGGAGCGAGCTGGGCTTATGCTGATGCTCTTATACCTCGGAACCTCAAGCCTCCTTGTAATGCTGACTTCAGGACTGGCTTAGGAGAGACTGTTTAGGTGCTGCAGTAACTAAATGCCCTTGGATAGGTCTCAAGGCAAACCTGCCTTAGACGGTGAATTTTGCTGAGCACAGCGATTATTAAGTAATAAGGCATTTTCCTCCTAAACCAGCATTTGTTAAATGCTCACTCTGTGGCAGATTACTCTGCTGGGGTTTTGTGGAAGTAATGCAAAGATAATTGACATGGTTTCTGCTCACAGAAGTGGAGGAAGAAAAATGTGTACAAATAATGCAAGAGTATAAATTGAAGTCAGGAAAGGGAGAGGATGAGAGTGGCAGAAATGTTAAGTGTGTGCCAACTGTGAAGCCATTAGCTTCAAGATTTTAATCTGAAACAGGGCGTTTAAGGGATATAGACTCCTATCCCATCCCAAATGTCTGGCTGAGGTTGGAAGCTCACACAGACCTTAAAGGCGGGAGCACAGAATAATGGGCAAAGAGTCTTTTAAATTTCATTATAGAAGCAAGACATCCACACAATGTTTACCTGTGGATAGACACTTCTAGAGGCTTCATGACTATTACACAATACATTTTACAACTTCTGCTTTGTAATGGCCTCCTGACCCATTCTGTGAACTGCCTAAAGCAGTCATCTGATTGACTTTATACTCCTGTGTTGTTTTTATATAAAACCTGATTGATGTCCAGATCTAATACTAAATTTGCTCATGAGACTTGACTCTAAATGACTTTTACTTGATTTTATCAAAATTATCATCTCCCTCAAAAGACGAAAGACTCATAACTCTCTAGGTGGATCATGGTCTTCCTGCTTTCAGTCTTTCCTCTTTCCAACCCATCCTCCATAGCGTGCCACTATGACATCTTTCCAATGGAAATATCTGCCCATTAGAAATAAACTTCTCATGAAACAGAGGTCTTGACTAGGAGTCTTGGAGCCATATTTAGTCTGTAGCTAAGTTTATTTGTCCCCTGCAGGTGTTTATGAGTCAACATTTAGGAACTGATTTTTTCATAATCTAGATTTCAGCTTCCCTTGAAAAATTGGAAGACACAGCCACCCTTGTCCTCTTTCTTCAAAGCAGTCATCAGCTGGAGCTAAGTAGCAGCTGTCACCATATGCTATAGATGGGTCATGCGTGCTCCAGTGCCCCTCTTCTAGAATATGCATTACATGGCCTGCCTCAGTTATCTACATTACCGTAGTCATTGCTTTTGTGACCCCTGACCTAAGGAATAGTCCAAGCCCCTTAGCATGGCACCTAGACTACCTACCAGCTGGTCCCTTTTGCCTTCTCCATCCTCTTTCCTGCCACTCTTTGCACTTTGTGCTCCGGCAGCACCAAAGTGCTTGTTGCATTTGCCTGCTCCATCATGTTCTTGCATGCCTCTGTGTCCTACTCATGCTCATCTGTCCATTTTCCTCATCTTGCTTCCTCATTTGGATAACTCTGACTTACTCTGTAGAATCAGATCACATGGCATCTTCTCCAGACTTTCCTTGGGTGCCATCTGCAGGAAACCTCCTCTCTCGCTCCCAGCCTCCTCATTCCTGGCACAAAGGGCAGCCCCTCACTGTGCTCCTTCCGCACTGTAAATCCATTACTGACTTACATCAGTGTAATGAAATCATCCATGCACACACCCATGTCCTTCTTGACACTGTAAGCTTTGTAAGGGCCAGGACTCACTCCTCTTTATACCCTGTACTTTTCAGAGTAAATGGAACATTATGAAACAAAGGTAAACTTAACACTTAAAATAACTTTCACAGACTCTGAAGGTCTTCATAATATAGAAATTCTAAGAAATGTTGATAGCATTAGAATTGTCCTTTCAAGGTAACTACTTGGAAAGAGACAATTCTGTGTTTGATACATTAATCATATTGCTCTCTATGAAACTGCATTTGTCTATTAGTATACCAGAGATTATCTCTTTGTTGTTGTCTTCTTCTCCTCCTCCTGCTCCTCCCCCCTTTTTTTTTTTTTTTTTGAGGCAAACTCTTGCTCTGTTTTCCAGGCTGAAGTGCAGTGGTATGATCATGGCTCACTGCAACTTTGAACTCCTGGGCTCAAGTGATCCTCCTCAGCCTTCCAAGTAGCTTGCAACTAGAGGTGCATACCACCACACTTGGCTGTTTTTTTTCTTTTAATTTTGTAGAGGTGGGGTCTCACTTTGTTGCTTAGGCTGGTCTCCAACTCCTGGGCTCAAGTGATCCCCACACCTTGATCTCCCAAAGTGCTGGGATTGCAGGAGTGAGCCACTGCACCCAGCCCTGTTTTGTTGTTTTCTGTCATGCTATTCATTTTTCTTTGGTGGAAAAACAAAGGTATATAGTTACAAGGTGCTATTAATTGACCACTTTGTGAATATTAAGGTTAATAATGCTTTCTGTCCCTTTTGTTAGCTAATCATAGATTAAATTGTAAAGAAATACAACTTCTCCTTGAGATCGGGACACAGTGGTTCTGAGAAACTGTACTCCCCCGCCCCCACTTTGTTAAAATGTGTATTTCTGGAGCCTGCAGTGACTTCTCTTCTTTTGGCTTTTCCACTGTAAAGGTAGAATTTCCTCCAGTTAAGGTTTCCAAACGAAATATAATCTAGTGTTTACCATTTATATTCCTATCAGATAAGTGATGATCTAGCAACTGTAATGTCCTTTTCTAAGTCATGAATCTTTTTGTTTTCCAAGAGAAGTCTTAGAATAAGAAATATGAATGCCTCTATAGAATCATTCTCATATATCTCCTTGTTTCTTTTTCTCTTTTGTTCTGTAAGGCTTGCACCATTGTCTTTTCCCAGTGTCCTTATGTGTGGCATTTTAGGGCTAGGCAAAAGGTTTTAGCCGTAAAATTTAACAGCTAGGGAGGCAAAAATGTATTTTAGAACAGTGGTATCAAAGATCCTTATTTTGAGGAGGAAATCTTGAGGTCAAATTCATTGGCATAAACTTTTATTTGCTGAAGAGATCTTAAATGTAATATTTTATTCAAAATATTTATATAAAAATAATAGGGGATGGAGCAAGGATCACATCATCTAATGTATGTCTTGTACTCATTGGATTCTCTGTAACTATTTGAATAAATGAATACAGCTGTTCCCCAGGCATTATGTGTTATATAAGTAGAAATTACCACATGCGTTACTGTGTACAAGAGGAACATGATTTAACCTGTGTATAACCAAAGTTTTTGTATAGTGAGGTACAATATAAAGTGTAATTTGCTTGCTATATAAAACTAAAAGGCTGAAAAATTGTGTGCCTGTTTCCAGAGCTATAATTGATGGAGCTAAAAGAGCTGACTCCTCCAATCATAGGAACCAAACACAATTAAGTGTTTACTTAGAGCCTCCCAGCTGATAACTCTTAGATATTATTTATTAAAAGATTATAGTCTGGGTTTGAATTGAATGTCCATTTCCATTAACATCTGTGTGTCTCCAAGAGCAACTTTAATTCGTTGTTACAGAAATTCTCCAGGTGGCTCCAGGCACCTTGACTATGTTTTTCATTTAGCAGAAACTTAAGAGCAATGAAGGTGATTTTACTGAGAGACTCCATCTTAATTCTCAGATCATCTAGACATTTAGGAAAAGCCCACTTTATGTTGCACCTTCCATATGTTATATTAAGTTTATGTTCTAGATTTGCCAATTTGAGAAGATAAGTCATACCCCATTATACCCCAGACCCAGATGCCGAGGCCCAAAGTGTGTCACAGATGGACATAAGGCATTGTTTGAATGTTTACCAGAGCATTATTTGACATTTATGCCAACTGTAAAATGCAGGTCCTGTTTTTCAGGCTATCTGCCCAGCAATGGTTTGTTAGTAAGGAAATTCTCATATAATCTTTCTAGATTCCAAAGAATTTACAATCCCAGGTCCAGTGTGGAGTGGGAATGAAGTTCAGGAGTATAGACCCAGAAAAATTATCCTAACAGTTTTGATCTTGAATATATATGGTTTGGGGGACTAGATTCATTCTAAATTAAAGTTGCAGGCCTAATAAAGTAGTAAAAAGATATTAAAATACGAAGATTCAGCAGAACCTGTCATTCTAAAACCATTATTGGAACAACAGTATGGAGGCTCGAGCCACCTCCATACTCCTAATAGGATTGCTTTCAAGGTCACCAGCTGAGTGCATGACCAAGAGGTGTCTTGGAGTTGGGCAGGAGGGAAGAGAGTTGGAATCTCTATTAGCCCCTTTTAAAAACTTCCCAAATAATGTAGCTTAAGATCTAAGTAAAAATGCAACTTTAAGAGAAGTTACCCCCTTACAAACCAGTTGTCGCCTCTGAGCCCCGATTTAGAACTATAGAAATTCAGAACCAGCCCTTATCAGGGATATCAGTTTACATAGTGGGAAAACAGGATACTAGGAAAGTTTCACCACGTTCACTAGTAGTCAGTGGTACAGGTCAGAGTTTGCCACAGTTATTAGAAATCCAGGCTATATTTGGTGTGAGAAACTGTGAAAAAAGTGCTTAGAAAAAAGTGATAGAAAAAGTGCTACATATGGAAATATGCACATTACTGTTATTAATATTTAAACTTTCTAAGCCTCAGATTCCCATCTGTGAAATGAAATGAATAAAATCATGCTCACAGGTGCTGGCGGGTATTAGAGAGAATACACAAGCACTTAGCTTATTCTCTGGAAAATAATTGGAGCTGATTATGTGACAATTATAATATTGGTAATTTATAACCAAATGTCTCACATTTTCTGATAACTTCTACTGACATGTTCTGTTGGGAGAATGGCCTGGTGGAAAGACCATCATGCTTGTCTGTGCCAAACCTTAGCCAGTCTCTTTTTATAGAGATATTTTCCCTAATCTCTTTCCTTAACTTGTGAGTAAAAATTTCTAGGAAGGCTGCCTTCTTTCTTGTGTTGTTTTAGTCACTTTCCTACCATAGGCATATGTGACTGGATCTTTGTTCTGTGTTTGTTCATGTGAATCAGAAGTCCTAGCTGCCAGGTAGATTGCTCATGCAGTACCCTGTAATTTTGTTGTGTTAGATGAAGGAAATAAATTGCCATAATGTCAGATCACCTCACTTGTTATTTTAAATATGATTAAGGGAGTGTACCTGTTATTCCTTGGGATTAATGGAAAACTCTGATCTGCCTTAATCAGGGAACAGTAGCAGTGATCATCTGCCATTTTAAAAGCCAATTCAAAAGGATTTTTTTTTTTTTGCAAGGGTTTTTTTTTCCTTCTGATGTGGGGTGTGCATGTGCGCTCGTGTGCATGTATGTGAGTTGCTTGATGGCAATGTCCTATGCTAATGGACAGGTTTCTGCCAGTGGTTGAGATTATGGATGCTTACACTGGGGATGCCAAATGTATCCAGGCTTATTTTTGCAGGCTTATTTTCACATACTTATTTTCAGCACCAAGACTTCTTATTCTAAGTTTGGTTAGCCATCTTTTCTTTCAATACTTCTTGTTTCTCTGTGCTAGTCTTGATTTGTTCTCTAGTCACTCAGAAGTAAGTGCTGTGAACACTTACGATGGAGAAAGCACCAAATTAAATGTTATTTGCGGCTATAATTGAACATATATATGCCAGCGGATCTGTGTCCTGGTGAAGTAGATACTGTCTCGCTTGGAGCTCTTCCCTCTACCTGGTATGTACTTCTGCTGCTTCTCCTCTCTCCACTTCACTCTCCCTGGTCAACACCTACTTGTCCTTCAGTTTAAATGTCATTTCCTTGGCCAGGCATGGTGGCTTATGCCTGTAATCCCAGTGCTTTGGGAGGCCAAGGTGGGAGGATCATTTGAGCCCAGGAGTTCAAGAACAGCCCTGGCAACAGAGACCCCGTCTCTACAAAAAATACAAAAATTAACCAGGTGTGGTGGTGTGCACCTGTGGTCTCAGCTACTCCGGAGGCTGAGGTGGGAGAATCCCCTGAGCCCAAGGAGGTCGAGGCTGCAGTGAGCCATGATCGTAGCACTATACTCTAGCCTAGGCAGCAGAGTGAGACCTTGTCTCAAAAAAAAAAAAAATTGTCATTTCCCTAAGGATGTCCCCAGACCAAGCTAGTCTCAGATTCTAGGCCCTTTCTTACTCCAGGCAAATTGTGTATTAAGTGTTTGCTGAGTCGTTTATTGTCTGTCTCCTCAACTAGACGAAGCTTGCAGAAAGCAATGAATATGTCTGTCAGATTCACACTGTGCCCCCAGCAACTAATACAGAGTCTAGTATGCACGTACTTTCTTTTATTGTGCTTCATGGATACTGCATTTTTTTTACAAATTGAAGGTTTGTGGCAACCCTATATCAAGGAAGTCTGTTGGCGCCATTTTTCCAATAGCATGTGCCTACTTCTCATCTCTGCATCACATATTGGTAATTCTTGCAATATTTCAAACTTTTTCATTGTTATTCTATCTGTTATGGTAATCTGTGATGGGTGATCTTTGATGTCACTATTGTAATTGTTTTGGGATGCTACAAACCATGCCCACATAAGATAGCAAACTTAACAAATATTGTGTGTGTTCTGACTACTCCACCAACCCAGCCATTTCTGTCTCTCTCCCTCTCCTCAGGCCTCCCTATTCTTTGAGACATGACAATTTTGAAATGAAGTTAACTAATAACCTTACAATGGCCCCTAATCTAAGTGCTCAAGTGAAGAATTACATGCCTCTCACTTTAAATCAAAAGCTAGAAATGATTAAGCCTAGTGAGGGAAGGCATGTTGAAAGCCTAGATAGGCTGAGAGCTAGGCCTCTTGCGCCAAACAGCCAAGATGTGAATGCAGAGGAAAAGTTCTTAAAGGAAGCAAAAAGTGCTACCATGGTAAACACAAATGATAAGAAAGCGAAACAGCCTGAATGCTGATACAAAGAAGATTTGAGTGGTCTGGATAGAAGATCAAACCAGCCACACGTTCTCTTAAGCCAAAGCTTAATCCAGAACAAGGACCCTAACTCTCTTCAATTTTATGAAGGCTGAGAGGTGAGGGAACTGCAGAAAAAAAGTTTGAAACTAGCAGAGGATGGTCATGAGGTTTAAGGAAAGAAAGTGTCTCCATAACATAAAAGCACAAGGTGAAGCAGCAAATGCTGATGGGGAAGCTGCAGCAAGTTATCCAGATCTTGCTAAGGTAATGATGAAGGTGAGTTCACTAAACAACAGAGTTTCAATGGAGATGAAACAGCCTTCTGTTGGAAGAAGATGCCATCTAGGACGTTGATAGACAGAGAGTCAAAGTCAGTGCCTGGCTTCGAAGAACAGGCTGAATCTCTTGTTAGGGGATAATGCAGCTGAGTCATTGCAATCATTGACTTGGAGTTGAAGCCAATGCTCATTTGCCATTCTGAAAATTCTAAGGCCCTTAAGAATTATGCTAAATCTACTCTGTGTGCACTCTGTCAGTGGAACAACAAAGCCTGGATGACAGCACGTCTGTTTATAGCATGGTGTACTGACTATTTTAAGCCCGCTATTGAGACCCACTGCTCAGAAAAAAAGTTTTCTTTCAAAATATTACTGCTCATTGACAATGTACCAGGTCACCCTGATGGAGATGGACAAAAGAGGTTAATGTTGTTTTCTTTTTTTTTTTTTTTTTTTTTTTTTTTGAGACAGAGTCTTGCTCTGTCACCCAGGCTGGAGTGCTGTGATCTCAGCTCACTGTAACCTCTGCCTCCTGGGTTCAAGCTATTCTCCTGCCTCAGCCTCCCAAGAAGCTGGGATTACAGGTGTACACCACCACACCTGGCTAACTTTTTGTATTTTTAGTGGAGACAGGGTTTCGCCATGTTGGCCAGGCTGGTCTCAAACTCCTGACCTCAGGTGATCTGCTTGCCTTGGCCTCCCAACGTGCTGGGATTACAGGCATGAGCCACTGCACCCGGCCACAAGGAGGTTAATGTTGTTTTCATGCCTGCCATCACAACATCCATTTTTCAGTCCATGGATCAAGGAATAATTTTGACTTTCAAGTCTTATCACTTAAGAAATATATTTTGTAAGGTTATGGCTGCCATAGGTAGTGATTCCTCTGATGGATCTGGGCAAAGAAAATTGAAAACCTTCTGGAAAGGATTCACCATTGCAGATGCCATTAAGAACATTTATGATGCATGGAGGGAGGTTGGTGTGCCAAACCCCTATTGACTCCAGCGGGGATGGCACCAGGTTCAAGAGGCTGAAGAAGAGACCTAGAGCCAGCGAATGAGACATGGGTTTTACTGGGGACTTACGTACAGGTGAGAGAGTCCAGTGGTGGCAGACTGGGCAAAACCACCACCACCACTTGCAAAACACATGCAATTTATATAACATTTTCACTTAACACCCTCCCCCTAGCAACTTCCACCTGGCAAACCTCATTTAACCCAAAACAATGGGCCGTGATCCCCTGTATGGCCCATGTTCCACAGGATGCGTCTGGGGCTCAGGTGTTCCTCATAGACAAGGAATGGATCTCTGGGTTGGCCACTTCTGAGTACACATTGAGGTGCTCTGCCATACGGGGTCATTCTCAGGGTATACTCAGGTCGCATTATCACTGTCAGGTGCATCTACCATACAAAACTCAAAATATCAACATTAACAGGTGTTTGTAAGCAGTTGACCCCAACCTTCATGAATGACTTTGAGGGGTTTAAGACTTCAGTAGAGGAAGTAACTGCAGATGTGGTGGAAATGGCAAGAGAACTAGAATTAGAAGTAGAGCCTGAAGATGTGACTGAATTGCTGCGATTCCATGATAAAACTTGAACAGATTAGTTTCTTCTTATGGATGAACAAAGTAAGTGGTTTCTTGAGATGGAATCTACTTACGGTGAAGACGCTGTGAACATTGTTGAAATGGCAACAAAGGATTTAGAATATTACATAAGCTTAGTTGATAAAGCAGCAGCAGGGTTTGAGAGGATAGAGTCCATTTTTGAAAAAAGTCCTGTGGATGAAATGCTATCACACAACATCGCATACAACAGAGAAGTCTTTCATGAAAGGAAGAGTTCATGGACTTGGCAAATTTCATTGCTATCTTACTTTAAGAAATTGTAGCTGGGTGCAGTGGCTCATGCCTATAATCCCAGTGCTTTGAGAGGCAGAGGCAGGAGGATCATTTGAACCCAGGAGTTTGAGACCAGACCGGGCAACAGAGTGAGAACCTGCCTCTACCAAAAACAAAACAAAACAAAACAAAACCTAGCTTGGTGTGGTATCACAAGCCTATAGTCCTAGCAACTTGAGAGGCTGATGCAGAAGGATTGCTTGAGCCTGAGAGGTCAAGACTGCAGTGACCTGTGGTTGTGCTACTGCACTGCAGCCTGGGCAACAGAGTGAGACCCTTTCAAAAAAAAAAAAAAAGGGAAGAAATTGCCGCAGCACCCCAGCCTTCAGTGACTACTATCCTTATCAGTCAGCAGCCATCAACATGGAAGCAAGACCCTCCACCACCAAAAAGATTACAACTCACTAAAGGCTCCAATGATTCTTCGCATTTTTTAGCAATCAAGTAGTTTTTAATGAAGTTATGTACACTGTTTTGGGACATAATGTTGCACACTTAATAGACTACAGCGTAACGAAAACACAACTTTTGTATGCACTGTGAAACCAAAAAATGTGTGTGACTTGCTTTATTGCAATATTTGCTTTATTGGGGTGGTCTGGAACTGAACTGGCAGTATTCTGAGGTATGCCTTGTTGAGGCTTCCTAAATCTTCATTACATCAACAGGTGTCACACCCTAGATAAAAAGTTGAGAAGAATACATCCAACAATTTTTTACATCCGTAATAGTCTTAGAAACTTTGGTATTTACTTTTTCCACTGAAACAGTTCTCTTTTTCTGTTGAGCTGTTCTGTAGAACTTGAAGGAAATTATTTCTAGGTGCTGATTCAAGACCTCTTAGTCCATGGGTGCTAAGCCAGATGGCAGAAGCCCAAATCTGGTTCCTCATAAGATAACTGATTGGAGGCAACACACTCTGGCCCTGCCAGCCAGAGAATGAGACAGCATAGCTGGAGAGGTAGTCTGTCTAGGCCTTTAAACATTCCAGGGTTCAGGACTTTGTTTTGAATCTAGCAAAGGCCTGGAGATATCAGATCAATCACCACCCTGCCTAGTGATAATGACGGTGAATTTTGTATTAACGACCTTTGTCCACTAGCCTTTATGCAGGGATGACTTGTTTGTTTTCGGCTAGGACATTGGCTTGGACAGTCTGCAGTGGCTTACTTGGATCAAATTCTAGAGCTAGACCATTCCAGAAGCACCTTCTACCATCATTTTTCCTTGAACTGCCAGAGCTTATTATAAAACGTTCATTTCGTGTTTGTGGCATATCCTCATTACAGCCGTGTTTGAATTATTATAAGTATTTTCTTTCCTTTTGCACAGTTGAAATTCAGTTATCATGACCATATTAAGTGTAAGCCAGGGAGAACTTGCATACACAAATCCTTAGTGATTTAAACTCCCACTGAGCTCTTGACTAATAGTGTCCCTCACTCCCACCTGCTGCTCTGTGGATTAGGAAATATCGTGGAAAGTGAACTGGAGCTGCTGCTAATTTAACAAAGTCCACTGTGTACCTAGCCACATTCCCTCTAGTTCTCCACCTATTCAGTGCATCTCATTAAGCCACCCTCACAAATTTCCTTTTATGCTTCTCTTTTATAATACTATCTCTGCACTGCCTTTTTTTTTAAGGCCCAGAAAAACAGGTTCTTTGTGGGTAGACAGTTCCTGGTGCACACCTTTCATTCAGCACTGTAAAGATGCAAAGTGGCAACTGAGATATTAGGATTCAAAACCTCAGCACTCTGGATTTTTACCCTGGGCTTGGGGAATCAAATTTTCTTTTTATGAATTTGCTAGCTCTGATTCTTCTGTGACACCACAGTAGAAAATCCTATCCTAATTCTTAATGGTATTGTTCAGAATCCTATAACTTCCCCTTACCCATCTAGTAGTTTAGAATACCATAACATTAAAATTAGTATGAATTTTGAGTGGAACTCCAAACTGACCTCTTATATCAACACTTCTAATCATCAGCCAGATTTTCTCACAATCTAAGTAATTTCAAAATTATTCTCACTCCACTGCCATAAGTTTCAGTGACACACATCTACTTTGATGCTGCATGACCTTCACTTGAACTTCATTCAGCCAGCTGTGTGGGTTTATGCTGGGACTTGTTTCCACACCACCTACGATATCATGAACTCAGAAATTCCCCTAGGTACCCACAGACTTCAGATTCAGCAAACAATGATTTGCTCCCTACCCTATGCTAGATGTTTCCATACGCAGTAGTCTTCCGCTTGTCCTTCTAGGAGCCTCAGTCGATGCCTGAAACTTCAGATGGTACCAACCCCTATATGTATATACTATGTTTTTTCTATACATACCTGTGATACAGTTTAATTTATAAATTAGACACAGAGATTAATAACAATAATAAAATATAGCAATATACCATAATAAAAGTTATATGAGTATGGTCGCTCCCAAAATATCTTACTGTGTTGTACTCACCTATTTTCAGACTGTAGTTGACTGCAGGTAACTCAGAATGCAGAAAGCAAAACCAGCGATGAGGGTGGACTGCCGTGTGTGAGCTCATCCTCCTACCTGAAGAAAAGCCTCACACCTTCTGAACCTTCATCCTCTCCACCACCCCCAGGCTTCTGAACCCCCTGTGTTCTCACAGTTATGAGTCCTCCTTCCCACTCACTGGTGTTTTGTCAAGCCCGGAACTCACGGGTAACCATTTCAAAGATGCACTTGCAATGATGCCTGGGCCTTCCTTGCAGGCTGGAGTGTCCCCTCATAGCCTCCTGTTTCTTTAGGTCTGTGGAGTGTTACTGTGAGACTCCTAAAAACCAGCTGTGTGGGTCGTTTCTACTTTCTTATCCTCTCACCATCAGCTGAGCCCAATTTGCTGCTAGCCGGTTGTCAAATCACATCACAGAGATGCTCACCCCATTTTGTCTACTGTATGTCACTCTTTTGCCCAGGCTGGAAGTACAGTGGCACGATCTTGGCTCACTGCAACCTCCACCTCCTGTGTTCAAGCAATTCTCCTGTCTCAGCCTCCCGAGTGGCAGGGACTACAGGCACACGCCACCACACCTAGCTAATTTTTGTATTCTTAGTAGAGACAGGGTTTCACCATATTACTCAGGCTGGTCTCGAACTCCTGACCTCAGGTGATCCACCTGCCTCGGCCTCCCAAAGAGCTGGGATTACAGGCATGAGCCACCACGCCCAGCATATACCTCAATCTTAACATCTAATATTTGCTATGAATATTGAGGATGTTTTAAATTAGCTTCCAGGCAGGGCACCATAGCTCACGCCTGTAATCCAATGCTTTGGGAAGCAGAGGCAGGAGGACCTCTTGAGCCCAGGAGTTCAACACCAGCGTGGGCAACATCGTGATACTCCATCTCTGCAAAATTAAAAAATAGCCCAGCATGGTGGTGCATGTATGTATTCCCAGCTAACTCAGAAGGCTGAGGTGAAAGGATTGCTTGAGTCTGGGAGATTGAGGCTGCAGTGAGCTATAATCATGCCACTGCACTCCAGCCTGTGCAACAGAATGAGACCCTGTCTCAAAAAAAACAAAAACAAAAACCGAAACTGGGTACAGTGACACATGCCTGTAATCCTAGCACTTTGGGAGGCCCAGGTGGGAGGATTACTTGAGGCAAAGAGTTTGAAACCAGCCTGGGCAACATAGCAAGACTGCATCTTTACAAAAAAACTTAAAAAAATAAGTAGCTTCTACATCATAATTTACTCTCTTGACTAGAGGGAGAAAATAGGTGGAAAGACATATAGCCTGTATTATTCTAATTTAAAGTTCAACAGGAAAGAGAAGAATGAGGAACTTCTGTTTTCATTTGATATGATTTTGAAGAAGGAAGAGGTTAATGTTTAAAAAGGACTGTTGGCCACTGACACTGGATTTCACTAAATCCTGAGTGTCAAAGGTAATTGCAGTCATGTGGCTAGTGACATAGTTTTTTGGTGAAGCATTATCAAGAGGAGCAAATTGAATGCTCCAGCCCCATCTGAGGATTTCTTGGTTATTTATTGTGAGCCATTATAACTACAGATGCTTCATGAGAGAGTTAATATAATTACTGGTCTATATCTTTTTACTTTAGGAGAACAGAGTTAAAGAATGAGTCCATTACTATTTCAGGTGATGTGTTTAGAAAGCAGAGCTTTAATTCAGGACTTAAATGGTATTAAATGGTGTTTCTTGAATTCCATTCTTCTGACACTTACTGTCATAATCATTTGTAGTGAAACCTATGTAGTCATTCCCAGCATCCCGGATTTGGTTTCTTCCAAGATTAGATACACTTTAATGAGTAGGTAAATTTCCTATTTCAGTTTCTCTTTAGTGTATTTTATCTTCAAACTTTACTGTGATATTTTAGTGTGAACATTAAAACAAAAAAAGGAAAACCATCCTGGGTTTTGACTGATGGTTCATCCTGGACCAGTCTATGGCATTTAGCATTATCTTTTCTTTTATTGGGACCCTGAAACTTACAGTTTATGAGACTTAGAAGTTGACTGAAGAGAAGCAGGCATCCCTGTATGAAGTCATAGCAGGTATATCAACACAAAGCTTGGGACAGTTAGGCTCACAAAAAGTATTGGTGTCCAAATTCAGAATGCTTGATCTCTGTTAAGTTAACATTTGATAAAAAAATTAATTTCTTTATCCTGATGCTGATGAAGATCTCTTCTGAGAATCACAGCGATGCTTCAGGACTCATAATGATGTGACAAATCTTTGTTACTGTGGTCTCTGATGAAAACCAAATTTTCTTTTCTTTCTTTTTTTTTTGAGACAGTGTCTCACTCTGTTGCCCAGGTTGGAGAGCAGTCGTGTGATCTTGGCTTACTGCAGCCTCCACTTCCCCAGGCTCAAGCGATCCTCCCACCTCAGCCTCCCATGTAGCTGAGAGTACAGGCATGCGCCACCATGCCCCGCTAATTTTCGTGTCTTTGCAAAGATGGAGTTTCACCATGTTGCCCAGGCTGGTCTCAAACTCCTGAGCTGAAGCGATTCACCCACCTCAGCCTCCCAAAGTGCTGGCATTACAGGCGTTCACCACTGCACCCAGCCTGAAAACCAACTTTCTAACAGGCAAATTGGGCAAGTTAGGTTTTAATGTACTAGGAGTAGCTCTGAAATTTTAAATTGGAATGTGTGTCAAAGAATTTGTAGAATTGAGGGAGCTTGCAGTGTGTTGTGGTGTCTTGGAGGCCATACGGTGTAGGAGTTAAAACTTGGACCCTGGAGCCAGTCCAGAGCCCATTTTTGCCTCCTCCTAAACATATGCTTCAGGCAAAGTACTTACAATTTCTGTGCCTCACTTGCTTTATCCATAAATCAGGGCTAGTAGTGACACCTATCTCATAGGGTTATTAAAGATTAGGTAGAATAATATCTAAAACATGCTTGTAACTGTGCCTAATCAGGCACTAATCAAGCAGCCTGTAAATGGTAACGAATGTTATTAATATTTGGAAAGCTTTCTTAGTTCAACAGCTTTATCTTAGTAGTTTTAAGAAACCAACATTTCTGCTAAGATGTCTAAATTTTGTGTTTTTTTAAATGTCTTCTCTTAAATTTAAAAAGAAAAGAATTCTTTAAAAAATAAAATTTGTTTTTTCTTTTTTTTTTTTTTTTTGAGAATCTTCTCCTGGAAGGATGTCTAAATTTTGGAAGACTTGAAACAAGTTAAAAGAAATTTGTTTCTGGTCTATGAGAAAATTGAAATCAGTAATTCTGACTTTAGGCAGGTTACTACCCCCCTTCCCGTCCTTCTCTCTTGTTTTCTGGATCTTCTGCTTGGCCTCCAGGAGTCCAGAGAGGGAACTGTGGGATGTGAAGACTCATTAAATTCACATGAGGTATCCTTTAAGCCCTCCATTGAGATTGACCCCCGCTTAAGTACATTTCAGCTCAAAACGCTGCCTTCCCCCACTTTTCTGGGGAGCAGGGATTACTTTTCTTATAGCCCCTGTTAAAAGAAAACTCCAGAAAAGTTAAATTCAGTGGAGTTTAATTGAGCAAAAAAACAGAAACGATTCACGAATCAGGCAGCGTCCAGAATCACAGCAGATTTGGAGACTCCGGGGTGCCTCGTGGTCAGAACAAGTTTATGGACAAAAGGGGTAAAGTGATTTACAGGAATTGGAAGTGAGGTTCAGAAACAGTGCGATTGGTTACAGCTTGGTGTTTGCCTTATTTGAATGCAGTTTGAACACTCAGCAGTCTATGAGTGATTGAAGTATGGCCGCTGGGATTGGCCAACACTCAGCTATTGTTACAGGTGCATATTACTAGTTAGGTTTTCAATTTTGTCTGCCTATTAAGCTAGGTTACGGTTTGTCCACAAGGACTCAAATATAGAACGAAGTCTTCAGGCCATATTTAGTTTGCTTTAACACCCGCCTCAAGCTTCATTCCTTTTTGGAGGTGAAAGGAATTTATCCAGTGTTCTTGCACGTCAGTGAAGGAAACCTTTCCAGTGAAAAGGAGTCTGTTGACCTGCCTAGGCTGGACCAGTTCCAGTATCAACCTGGGCCAACTCCCAGTACTGAGGCTGGAAGAGCAGATGCCCCCTGATAAATAATCTTTTATTGTTTCCAGAAATTTCCCAAAGCTTATAAACCTTAAAATATCCTGAATTATCTAAAACTGTGGATTGTGTCCTCTAAAAACTCCTACCAATGCCCTTCCCTCCCCACATTTCTCTTCCCTTCCCTACAGGTGACTTTCAAGTGTGGTTTGTGTAAAGTATTATTAGTTCCAGCTATTTAGTGACCTCTTCGTTCTCAGTGAAACCTAATACCATCCACAGTAATGATTATGCATGTCTTTAGGTAGGGATTAACTTGTTACAAGTTTTCTTTGATTACCACAGTCATCTTATGTATATTCAATTCTCCCTATTTGATATTGTTATATTATACAGTATATCAGTGGCAAGATGTGTTGAATTGAGATGAGGCTGTTAAGAAAAGGTTTTCTAGGAAAACATAAATTGGCATTTACTCAAGAATTTTCTTTAACATTACATTCAATTAAAAACACAGATTTTTTTGTTGTTGATTTGACAAACAACAAAGAAATTTCTCAAGGCTTAAATACATTATTAAATCTTCTTTACCAATCACTTTGGTTTTGTTACATCAGCATGTTTATAAAGGTTTTCTGAAGGAAAAGATTATATCAACATACACTTCACAGGCAATGTCTAATGGTTGTTTTTCCCACAGTGGAAAAGATACTGTGGTTACATGAACTACATTTAAAATTCCTTATTTTTGCTACTTGCCAGTAATAAGTCCTATATATAAATTATTAGATTTTTATTTTTTTCAAACTTTTAAGTTCAGGGGTACATGTGCAGATTTGCTATAGAGGTAAACTT
Source organism: Homo sapiens (assembly GCF_000001405.40). NCBI lineage: Eukaryota > Metazoa > Chordata > Mammalia > Primates > Hominidae > Homo > Homo sapiens. Next base: position 136,505,726 of record NC_000006.12, on the reverse strand, counting down.
GTGTCACGGGTGTTGTACAGATTATTTCATCACCCAGGTATTAAGTCTGGTACTCATATGTTTCTGGATCCTCTTGTCCTCCGGTAGGCCCCAGTGTCTGCTGTTCCTTTCGATGTGTCCCTGTGTTCTCATCATTTTTCTTTTACTTCTGACTTTTTATAACTTGAAAATAATCTCAGATGCCTAGCGATTGTCTAGCTATAGCAAATATTTTTATTGGAACTTATTATCCTTGACAACCACTTTTATAATAGCATTGTGAGGCAAACAGTACTTTTACATCAGACACACAAAAATGGGGACACTAAAATTAGGACATTATGGCTAATGTTCATCTCTCTCTCCCTTCCTCTCCCTATCTCCCTCCCGAGGGGGAGAATATGTACCCTTGCAGCCAATTTCTGTAATTTTACTATATATATATATATATATATATATATATATATATACACACACACACACACACACACACACATTACATGGAAATGTAATATACAATTGAGTTCTTAAAACAGTGTTCAGGAAGATACTATTTTATGGCTTGCGAACTCAGCTTATTTCACCTTATACCTTGTTGTAAGATTATATGCCTTTCTCAGTCTTTTATTTTATCGTCTGTTTGGCCCTAAAAAAGGGAGTTACAATGTTTGCAAAATTATTTTAAAAAACAAAAGAAGCAGAGGGCCAACATAATAAATACTCATGGACCCCAGGACCCAGACCTTTTAAACACATTTTAAATATTTTGGCTGGGCATGGTGGCTCATGCCTGTAATCCCAGCACTTTGGGAAGCCAAGGTGGGAGGATCACCTGAGGTCAGTATTTTGAGACCAGACTGGCCAACATGGCAAAACCTCATCTCTTCTAAAAATACAAAAATTAGCCAGGCGTTGTGGCACATGCCTGTAATCCCAGCTCCTTGGGAGGCTGGGCACAAGAATCGCTTGAACCTGGGAGGCAGAGGTTGCATTGGGCCGAGATTGTGCCACTGCACTCCAGCTTGGGCAACAGAGCGAGACTATGTCTAAAAAATTTTTTTAAAGGTAAATATTTTATATTAAAAGATATATTTATGGGAAATGGGCTGGATGCGGTGGCTCAGGCCTGTAATCCCAGCACTTTGGGAGGCCAAGGCGGGTGGATAGCTTGGGCCAGGAGTTCGAGATGAGCCTGGCCAACATGGTGAACCCCTGTCTCTACTAAAAATACAAACATTTGCTGTGGTGGCACCCACCTGTAGTCCCAGCTACTTGGGAGGCTGAGGCAAGAGAATTGCCAGAACCCAGGACGTGGAGGTTGCAGTGAGCCAAGATTGCACCACTGCACTCCAGCCTGGGTGACAGAGTGAGGCTCTGTTCCCCCCCAAAAAAAAAACAAAACAAAAAACGATGTATTTATGGGAATACAAATTATTATGGCTAATTTCGTCATTTCCTGTGTATCCTTCCGTAGTCTCACCTCCTTCCATCTCTCTCCCTGTTTCCCTATTTCCCTTCCCAGGGAGATAATATGTACCCTTGCAGCCCATTTCTGTAATTTTACCACATATATATATCTATAAATAATACATCATTTGTGTGCTTAAATTGACATAAATTATGTCATATTAACATATCAGTTTGCTACTTTTACTTCCCCTACTGAAGTTTTAAAATACCCATCCCAAGTGATAAATATAGTTTAAGTGCTGCCTAGAATTCTGTAGTGTGACTTTACTGCAGTTTATTTACTATTCCCCAACTGATGAATGGAGAAGTTGATTATAGTTTTGTTTTTTCACTTTGTTGTGACTACAAATCGGTGCTGCAGTAACTTTTTATAGTGCTCTCTTTTAGCATATATGCAAATATATATTCCTAGAAGTGGTATGTGCTGTGCATTTTCACATGCCAAATTGCCTTCCGAAATAGTTTGATCAGCATACTTCTGCCTGCAGCTCATGGCAGTCCCTATTTCCCCATATTCACTTCCACTTGATTTAGTAAGACACTTTGATTTTTGAGAATTGGATGGCTATAAAATGGTATTTAGTTTTAATTAGCAAAATTAAACATTGGTTAATGTAGATTTTTTTAAATAATGGAAAGGACAGCACTGTTTAGGTGGTTTTTTTCCCCTTAGGGGAAGGCAAGAGAAATTGCTGCATCAGTAATCTGGTATAAAGCTAATTGTTTTCCTAAGGTATGCCGAGTCACTGGGGGAGGAAACAGATGGTACCAGCACTGTGCGGATCTGTGGGAAGGGCAATTATCATCTCCATTGACATGGCGGGTCAGGGTTAGAGCCAGGTTTCAGATTCTTCTTCCCCCACCCCCCTTTTTTTTTCCCCCTCAGAAATCCTTGTTTGGACAGATTCTTCTTTTGGAACCACATCGAGTTGACAGACCTGAGCCTTTGGTTTTCTCTTCTTCTTGCTTCACTTCCTTTTGGTCATTCAGCATCAATACTATTAGGTGGGCAGAGAAAAAGCAAAGTACATAAAAAGTTAAGTTGGCCGCCTTCTTTCAGAATAAAGGAGGGAAAGGGAGAAGGCACCATTTGGGGAAGATTTCTGAGGAGAGCATGTATTGAAAACTTTGCTTAAGATTAGATTTGGTAATTATTTCTGGGTTTCCATTATTCATGTAGTCCTTGGGCCTGATTAGCATTTGTAAAGTATAAACTCTACACATGCAAGGCATTAGCATGAATAATTAAAAGGTAGGGAGTTAGCTATCCATGACTGTGGTTTTCTTTTATTATTGTAGAGTCTATTTTAGTTAACAAGAGGAAGCTTAGACTTGCAGACTGCTGGTCTGGCAACCTCAGTTTTGCTTTCAGCTCAGCCATATATCATGATGCATTGTATGGCTGCCTTATTTTCCTGGAAAAAGAAAGTTACTTTGCTGGGAAAAAAAAAATCAGTATTCTGTGCACTCTATTCATATCAATTATAAGAGTGCAGTCTGAATTCCTGAGAGGAGAGCTCTGCTTAGAGTAAGCATATCAAACTAAGTGTAATTATTATTGTACTTATAATTTAAAACTACCTTGGTCTTTGTTATAACCCATTGATTCAGGACCCATCAGCCCCTACAAAATATCGCTCCCCAAATTTTGGACATTTCCCAGGGGTATCTGATGTGCTCACAAACCAGTCCTCTGCAGGAATGCCACATTCATCCTGGAAGCATCTTCCTGCCGGTGCTCTGTGTGCCACTCCACTACTTATGCTTTGCAGTTATGTTTCCCATACTGGGGTTCCACAAGGCACTCCTAGTGCAGGCCTTTAATGACTGTGCCAACAAAAGAGTGTTTCTAATTCAGGTTACTTTTGAACTTGTAAGAGCCTTTAGTATTTTATTACGAATCACAAAGAAAGGAATGTAGTATACTTATCTGGCCAGGGAATAATTCTGTGTGGGATGTCTATGTGTGTATACCACTTTAGGAAATTATGTAGCATGTGTATGCGTTTGTGTGTGCACACACAGAGCACTTCCTAAGAGATTCTTCATTTGCTGCTCCTTGGTACAAAAGCCATGAGCTGGATCTATTGTTGCAAATGGATGAATTACACTTTTAAAATGGCTTTTGGTAGATTCCTTGACAAGCCCTGGTGTATTTAATTTTAAAGTCAAAATTGGACCCCTGCTACATAAAAAATCTATAAATCTAACTTGGCTGTTGGTGAAAAATGCACAAAAAGGCATCTCAGCATTTTCTAGTTCTTGGTTTGGAATCTAGTGGCAAATACTACTACCTCTGTGAATGCCAGGCTCTGGTCCATGAAGCCATGGCTGCCTGTGGCCCTCTGAATTCACAGGAGGAATCTTTCCTTATTCTGCAGCCTCACACCCAGACTGTGATCCTCCCTTCCTACTCCAGATGTTCCAGTGAGTAGAGGAGAAGAGAAAATTTGTGATGGGAACTTAATGGCTTCATCTGGAGCCTTATCTGAGAGCTGCATGTGAGCAAACCATGGTGGATCTGTCTATTCTCTCTGTTCTGGAAGGATGAGTGCGATGAAAGTTGTCATGCTGTGGTCTGATCATTGCGTAACTTAAGTTTGACATGTGCAATATATAAAAAAAGCCATCTGGGCATAAAAATTGGATAAATAACTAGGGTAAAATAAATGATAAATAAGATTAATGAGACAGGAGTGGAAGGGAAAATCTGAAAAAATTTCCATTTCCAGCATTATAATATTTAGTTAGTAAGAGAAATGACAACCACCATCATGAGTGGAGCACTTACCATGTGGAAGCCATGAGGGTGTTCTCTTAAGGGAGGTATTTACCCCATTTTACACAAGGTAATACCTAAACCCCAGGGTGAAGTAACTAGCAAGAAATATACACAGCTAGCAAATGGTGGAGCAGCTTTCAGGCCCCTCTGACTCCAGGCCACCTCCTGGCCCTGTGATAAGAATATAAGAACTGGAGAGGAAGTGAGTGCTTTTCATGAGGGAACAGACCTCCAGGGGTCTGTTGCCCGAAGCTTCATAGTGACTGGTCACTGTTCTGCTTCTCTGGCTACTGAATTAGTGTCAATTAAAATAAATACATGTGGCAAACTGTTTCAACATGGAAGAGAATTAAGGGAAACATTTCAGGTTTTTAGTTCTACTTTGGAAATAATATTATTCTTTATTTTTCTTTTCTCAAAAGGAGCATGTGATTATGTTTAGAAAGTTTGTAAAACATAAAATTTACATTGCAATGAGGGTAATCACAATAATAAGATTCTTGGAAAACTCCTGTTGACATGTGGATGTATTTTTTTTCCGTCTTTTTCTGTGCATCTTCCCAATGATTTGGAAATTAGAGGCTCTGCTTTAAAATCTACTAATGGTTATACTGTAAAAGATTTTTCTTCAAATAATCTTACATTATCTGACAGTGACAAAAATATTTTTATTCTGCTTTGTAATAGATGAGCTTTTTCTCTTCTTAAAATAAAAAATTAGAGAAATAATTAAGACCTGGAATATGGGATTACTCATAAATCAAAGCAGATGTTGAAACACCTGATTTTTAAGAAGCTGTTAGAAGTTTGCTTTTTCCCATTCAAATCCCTTTGGGATTCAGGTAGATGCACTTAGTGTAACCACAAGTACAACACTTTGCTACGTCAGCATTCCTACGTTTAGAGGACGATAGTATGTCTAACATTACTACAAAACCTGAAAAGAATTTGATTTATTTAGAGTTACTTTCAAAGTGATTCAAGATCAGTGAAAAGATGTTTACTAAACTTAGGGCAATTCTATGCAACAGCGAGACAGATCCTCCATAAGTGTACAGACGCACTTAGATGTTAAGAGATTAATTAAAAAACAAGTCAAATATTAGTATGTTCCATAAAGAAGGAATTGAGAAGGAAAATTCCATTTGAAGAATCAATGTTGAGACTGTGAGCAACAGTTTTCCTGGCCTGGGATGCCAACGAAAACTGTAGAATTTGAAATTTTTATTGGGATAATTGTTTATAATAATTGCCAGTATTTATTGAACACTTGCTATGTGCCAGGTACTTTGTATAGATAATTTAATTTTAATCCTCACAATAATCAGATGATAAAGGCAGCTACTACAATTTCCTTTATATATGACTAAATTGAAACTCAAAGAGGTTAAGTAACTTGCTCAGAATCACACAACTAGGAAGTGCTGGAGTCTGAACTAGAATACAGGTCTGTCTGACTCAAAAGTCCACTCAACTGTTTTTGTTTGTTTGTTTGTTTTTGAGAAAGGGTCTCTCTCTGTCACCCAGGCTAGAGTGCAGTAGTGTGATCATGGCTCACTGCCAGCTTGACCTCCCAGGCTCAAGCAGTTCTCCCGCTTCAGCCTCCTGAATAGCTAGGACTATAGGCATGTGCCACCATGCCCAGCTCATTTTAATTTTTGTAGAGATGAGAGCTCCCTATGTCGGCCAGGCTGGTCTGGAACTCCTGGACTCAAGCAATCCTCCTGCCTAGGCCTCCCAAAGTCCTGGGATTACAGCTGTGAGCCACTGCACCTGGCCATTCAGGGTTTTTTAAAACTGTAAAAGGTTTGTAAAAACAAAACACAGAGAAGAATGTACAACATACTTGTGGCCCGGAAGCCTAAAGTATTTCCTGTCTGACACTTTATAGATTAGGCTTGTTGACCCCTGTCTTAGCTCTTTCTCTGTCTGGAGAGATAAGTAGTGGAGTGATCAAGGGCATCAGTTGTGGAATTGGAGGGCTCTGCATTGGCTTCAGGCTGTTACTGTCATCAGCTGTGTAACTAGGCACCGTTACCTAACCTCTGAGTCTTGTTTTTCTCAAACCCTGTAAAATGGTGATAACAGTACTTACCTTGGGGTTATCGCATGAAGCCCCATATTAGTTAGGATTGTGAACAATAAATGAAACTATTGGCACTTGTAAATCATGTGTTCAGAGGAGGTGGGTGGGTTCTTTTTCTCCTTGGAAGTGAAAAAGTCACAGAGCCTCAGGGCTGCTAGCCCAAAGAGGAGGCCAGAGCTAAGAAATCTCAGGCCGGACAGGATGGCTTATGCCTGTAATCCCAGCACTTTGGGAGGCCAAGGCAGGCGGATCACCTGAGGTCAGGAGTTCAAGACCAGCCTGGCCAACATGGTGAAACCCCATGTCTACTAATAATACAAAAATTAGCAGGGCGTAGTGGTGCGTACTTGTAATCCCAGCTACCTGGGGGTTACCTGGGGGGCAGAGGCACGAGAATCTCTTGAACCTGGAAGGCAGAGGTTGCAGTGAGCTGAAATCATGCCACTGCACTCCAGTCTGGGTGACAGAGTGAAACTATGTCTCAACAAAACCCAAAAAATCTCAGCGAAATGGAGCTAGTATCCTAATGACTTCCTGAACTTTCAGATCAAACTGAAGCCTTTTCTACTTTTGGGCCTGTCAGTTGTGAATGCCTATAAATTTCTTTATTATTTAAGTCAACTTCGTTGGGTTTTCCACACACACACACACACACACACATTGCCATATAGGTACAATTGCCCAAGCCACCTGTGACCGAATGGCTTGTGGGATCTCTTGGTTCACACAGTCTTTCATCTCCTCCATCTTCCATTTTTCCAAACTCTTAGGTGATGTTTGGGACTCTACCTTTCATCTCCCTCTAACCACCAAACATTCTCAATCCATTTCCTCTGCACAGATAAGCATGTTCCCTTAGACACAGGTGCATGTGAACACCTGAGTCTCAACTCACAGAGACTTCTGGTTTTCATTTCATTTTAGAACCAGCGTCTGCACTGTCTTGTCCAAAGTCAGTTGGAAAGAAAAGTACATAAATTTGTGACTGTTTCTCCTTTCATCTCCCTTCCTATCCATGAATCGGGCAGGTCCTGGTGTTCCCAGTGTCCTCAGTTACTTGTGCTACTCTATGTACGGGCCCTATTCCCTCTACTCCTATCCTATCATCATGCTGATGATGAACATCACAGTTTTTAAGTGTTCCTCTAAAAGGCAGATGGGTTTAACTTTACAGTGTGCAAATCTAAATATAGGATTCTTTCTTTGTATCTGAAGAGGGATCCCTAAAACTTTTGGGGTCCACAAATTATCAAGTATATGTGTATGTCCTAATGTGCATTTTTCTGGGGAAAAGGTGTAGCTTTCATCATCTTCTCAAAAGGACACATGACCTAAGAAAAGGATAAAGTCTCTCACCTTTGTCAGTTGAGAAAAATAACAAGTCTCCATCATTTTAGGAGGTTTATTTGTCAAAGTTAAGGATATGTGGTCAGGAGTCAGGTCTAATGCCTTTCTCCAAAGATGATTTTGAGGGCTCCAAATTTAAAGGGGAAAGGGTGGTATATTGAGAAGTACACAATTTTCATGTAAGAGAGGGGCTAGGGAAAAACAGTCATTCATGCCTTTGTCTGGCTCAGTGAATCTGCTTTCTTTTTTTTTTTTTTTTTTTTTTGTGACAGAGTCTGGCTCTGTCACCCAGGCTGAGTGCAGTGGCACGATCTCGGCTCACTGCAGCATCCACCTCCCGGGTTCAAGCGATTCTCCTGCCTCAGCCTCCTGAGTAGCTGGGATTACAGATGTGTGCCACCACGCCTGGCTAATTTTTGTATTTTTAGTAGAGACAGGGTTTCACCATGTTGGTCAGGCTGGTCTCGAACTCCTGACCTCGTGATCTGCCCACCTTCAGCCTCCCAAAGTGCTGGGATCTGCATTTTTTTTTTTTTTAAGTAAGATGACATAGACATGGGGTAGAGGAAAAATGCAGGGAATATGCATTTTACATAAGATAACAAAGACAAAATGGGGCAGGGGAACAATCAGATTGCATTTGCATCTGGTGGGTGGTGTGGGGAGGTGGCTGCACCTGCAAAGATAAACTACCAATTTACACTGCGGTGGTGAAATTTTAACAAAAACACCTTAAAGATCTTGCAGCTCACTAGGAATTTTCTTGTGGGCAAAAATATTGGGGAGGCCTGTAGCTTTTCATCTTGTAGCCATCTTATTTAGGAACCAAAAAAGGGGTTCCTAAATAAGCCAGTCATTCTACAATTCCTTCCTTTTGGGAGTTGGCCTTCTCTTCTTACCCCCAAGGTTCTGACAGCCATCACTGCTGCTTTGGAGTTAGGAGAAGCTCTGTCCTCATACAGCAAGAGAGAGATATGTTCCTGGCAGCTCAGGTTGAAACTCTGGCCCAGGGAAATATCACTACATGATGGCACAGAAAGCAGTACTTTACGTTATAGGTTAGGTTATGGATCAAATGGGCTTTATTTTATTCATTTATTTTTTTTTTTGAGATGGAGTCTCGCCCTGTTGCCCAGGTTGGAGTGCAGTGGCGCGATCTCCGCTTACTGCAGCCTCCACCTCCTGGGCTCAAGCAATTCTTCTGCCTCAGCCTCCCGAGTAGCTGGAATTACAGGCATGTGCCACCACTCCTAGCTAATTTTTTTTTTTTTTTTTTTTTTTTTTTAGTAGAGACGGGGTTTCACCTTGTTGGCCAGGCTGGTCTCAAACTCCTGCCCTCAAGAGATCCACCCTCCTCAGCCTCCCAAAGTGCTGGAATTACAGGTGTGAGCTACTGCACCTGGCCTCAAATGGACTTTGGTCAGCCTAGGAGCCAAGTTAACATATGTAATATTGTTTCTGTTGGGGAAATATTTTTAAATGCCAGTTAAATGCCATGTTCACATGTAGGGGACTACCAGTACTGGTAAGTATATATGTATAATGGTGTATGAAAATTGATAGGATCTTGTGGAATAGTATCTTAAGTAAAAAGAAAAAGAGAACCAGAGAAACATGACATTGACAAATGTTTACACTTTTTCCCCATTGTTTGTTGAGTGTTAACTCCATGTAGTTTTCACATGAAGCTCATCCTATCCATTTATTAGTTGTATGACATAAAGGAATGAGGGATGTGAGAGGATGCTTAATTGTCTGTCCTTTTGTGACAACTAAGGCTTCTCTTCTTTTCCAACCACAGGTAATTAGGAGCTGCTACTAAGAGGAAACTTAAACAATGTCCCCCAGTGGATATCTTTTCTTCCCCTGGGGGAAAATACCTAAATTTTTTTGCAAATAGTTAATTTCCCTTTGCCCCACCCTGGGGTAGGGAGAGATGGGTCCAGTATATTCATATGACAAAAGAAGTATACCTGTTCAGTAACATAACATGGTTTGGGGATGTAAGTTATGCCCTTTATAATTTGTAGCTTAAGGAACATCCTGTTATAACTTATTATTTTAATTGTTCCACAGACTGAAACATTCCTTACCAATTAAGCCCTCCTTGAGCCATTATTTTGAGGGGACTTTCAGCTTTCTTATTAATATCTTCTTTTTCCAGTATTTAATTTTTCTTTGTTTTGATATGTATAAATCAAAGAGAAAAATTCAAGACCTGTGATCCTTAAAGATAACCGTAATATAAACTTGAAAATGTTATTTCCCTAGCAAAATCTATAGATTCTGTTGGTATCTATAGATTCTATCCAAATGCATATCGTTTTTCACACTGGGGACATGTGGACCTATAGAAACCCCTGTAGAGAAAACCTTTCCAAGAAAGTTTAATATACCTATCAGGAATACATTTTTTAAAAAAACTTATACAGGTTGAGTAACCCTAATCTGAAAATCTGAAATCCAAAATGCTCCAAAATCTGAAACTTTTTGAGCACCCACGTGACTTTCAAAGGGAATGCTCATTGGAGCAGTTTGGTTTTTTGGATTAGATATGCTCTACGTGTGTGTGTGTTTATGTGTGTGTGTGTGTGTGTGTGTGTGTGTGTATTCTCACACTTCTCACTTGTCATGAAAATAAACCTATGTATTTAAACCCAGAATCTGGAAGACTAGAGTTCAAGAATGAACTTAAGTAAGCTATGACCAAATTGGAACGGTCCACACACAATCACCTGGATATGCATTTTTCTGAGAGGATTCAGAGCTCCTGGTCTTCTCTTGGAGAAAGTTTTAACACCATTTAGGAAAGTTTTCGGAGTAAGTTAGATAATGGACTTAAATAAGGTCTTTCTCCTCTTCTTGGAAGAACCATCAATTTTCTACATGTTCAAGCTTTCAGGGTCTTAGAGATTCAACGGAGATAGAAGGTGCTGGCTATAGGTAGAAGACAGTAATGGTAAAGATAAAGAGGGTCAGTACAATTCCAGAGGCCAAGTAGAGCTTCTGCTAGGCCTCATTTTGTGTTTTGAGCAGGTTGGTTCTGCTGTATAAGAAGTTTTAGTGATGACCTTAGTGTTATAAAATGAGGTGTCACGCTGTCTCTCATTTCTCTCTGTTTGTGTGTATGTGTGTACAGGAGATAACCTTTCATCTGTGGTATCTATGGACACCCATGCTCTGTATTGTTGGATTCAAAGGCTCTCAAGGAAATATTCTGTCCACTGATTTAATGCATAGGATTTGACACAGTGTGAAATTGTCATCTCAAGTTTTGTTTTTAGGCCCCTTCTTAAGGAGAGAGACATCTTTTGAGGACTAGTTTTTTTCTAGTTTGTCTATATCCTGTCAATACAATCTTTCATCTCGTGTAGACATGACTTAATAATGAGGGATCCCTGTGGATTAGTTGTAGCCTCAGTGTACATGAAATGAGAGATGATAATGGTTATTTAAGGATTTTTCTTAATCATGGTAAAAGACATAACAGAAAATTTACCATTTTAACCATTTTTAAATGTATAGTTCAGTTGCATTAAGTACATTTACCTTGTTATGCAACCAGAGGATTTTTTTAACAGTGAATTTTTCTGCACAAGTATTTCTATCTTGCCTAGTCAGAGATTTCTCCCCAGAAAACCATATATCTTACCCCAAGGACAATATAAGTAAAATATGTTTGCTAAAATAACTGAGCACATCAGTGTAAGTTTTTACAATAAATAAAAGACTCAATGTTACAACTGCCACCAAATCTGTTACTAAATCTGTCAGAATTCTAATTTAGCTACTGCATATCACACCCTATGAATGCAGCCTTTCTTGTAGCAAATCTTCACATTTCCCATTTCTGTTTCCTAAGTAACAGTCTATTTCTAGGTAGGCTGCAAGACTGAAGGCACACAACTCAGCACGCTTGGTTCTACTAATTCGTTGCAATGATACTGATTGCCTGTTACACTAAGATAGGCTATTTCCAGTTATCTTCCATGTCATAGATTTCAGCCTCTAAAAAAGAAAAGTGGTTTTATATGGTACAAATAAAAATGGTAAGGTATTAAGAACTCTAAAGGTTGTAATTACTTATAACCTGAGAGGTCGGTAGGTTGTGCCTTCCCCATTTTACAGACATGAAACCTGAAGCTCAAAGCTTAAATAATAGTCTCCCATTACAGCTGGATTTCAACTTACGTTGCCTTGCTATAGAGTACTATAGGGTGTTAGAGTCTAATGCCATTCTTAGACTTATGGGGAGATAAAACTGCAGATGGGAAGCCTTTATCACATATGTCTGAGAGTTTTGAAAAATAATTGAATCCCAATGAGAACGATACAATGCTCTCGGTATGGGTTTTTCAACATGTTTCATAGGAATTACTTTGCAAAACTTTGAGATAATCATTGTAGAATTATGACTTCTAAGGGGAGGGTTTAACTGACAGATGGTCTCTTAGTCTCCCTTCTTCAAAAGTTGAAAATAGAAGCCAGGTGTGGCAAGTGCGCTCCTGTAGCCCCACCTGATCCAGTGTCTGAGACAGGATCCCTTGAGCCCAGGAAGTCCAGGCTGTAGTGAACAATGTTCAAGCCATTGCACTCCAGCCTAGGGGACAGAGTGAGACCTCTTTAAAAAAGGAAAGAAGAAGCCGGTGCGGTGGCTTATGGCTGTAATCCCAGCACTTTGGAAGGCCAAGGTGGGCGGATCACCTGAGGTCAGGAGTTCGAGACCAGACTGACCAACATGGAGAAACCCCGTCTCTTCTAAAAATACAAAAATTAGCCAGACGTGGTGGCACATGCCTGTAATCCCAGCTACTCGGGAGGCTGAGGCAGGAGAATCGCTTGAACCCAGGAGGCAGAGGTTGCCGTGAGCCGGATCGTGCCATTGCACTCCAGCCTGGGCAACAAGAGTGAAACTCCGTCTCAAAAAAAAAAAAAAAAAAAGGAAAGAAGAAAAGAGCACAAAAAAAAAACTGGGAAGACACATGAGACAATGCTTTCACATCATTTCTTGGCACTATTAAGTATAACAGTTTTATGGTTTATATTATTTTATTCAAAAGAATTTTTCCAATCTTATTTTCTTCCCAAAAACAATTTTTAGTTCTAGGACAAAGGATTTATTAATTTTACATAATAAAATTATACAAATATATATACACTATTTCTGTCCAGTGGTGTTTCTTCCTTCCAAGTAGACAGACATTAAGTACTTTATTTAATAATACTCTAACAGGCTTTGGTGTAAGCCACTGCCTTTGCTCCTGAGAATACTTTGAATGAATATATCATTCGCCATTTCTTTATCTCTTGGTTTTCAGGAAAATTTCTTGGGTTCATCTAGCTAAGTTAAGATGCATAATTTTATTTTCATTACTTTTCTGTATTTTATTCTTTTATGGAAATATTGCCCTTTATACTGTAATTTCAAAATCAGTTAAACCCTACTGATGCAGCTCAGCAATCAGAATGAATCTTCCAATTTTCAAATGATAAAAACCAGACAACAGAGAAATGTAACTGCTTTTTCCCAAACTCCCAAAGGAAAACATTAGAGCTAAGATTATATTTACATGTGTTTTTAAATCACATACTTTTGCAACAGATGACACTTATTTGAAAGAAAGTTTTCCTTTTCATTCATCAGAAAATTACATGGGAGGGTTCATAGTTCCAGGAGTTTAAGATGAATATATACTTTGAGTTCAAAAATACTTAATAGTCACTGTAAAGATACTAGGTGTACTTCCCGGCTTAGAGATAACTGTGTTCATATTACTGAATCCAAAGACTGTAAAGGAAGTGATTACAAGTGTGTTGTATTTACTGCCTATAGTATATATATTCCATAATGTCTGCTCACGCAAGGGATCTAGGTTGTGCACTCCTTATGAGAATCTAACTAATGCCTGATGATCTGAGGTATGACAGTTTCATCCTGAAATCATCTCTCCCCCCACCCCCTGCCCCTGGCCCAGAGAGGGGACCTCTGTCTTGCATTATAGCTATTTGTTTACATGTCCTAATCACCTTCTTTTGGAATATAAACTCATGGGTTGAGGAGCATAACAGAGAAAATGTATTTCCCCCCGCTCTCCCCAGTTTCCCTAGTAACTTAGCTGAATGTTGAGATACAGATGATTAATTATGGAGTAGCTCTGGGTGACTATTTGTTATGTAGACTTAATGCATTTATAACATGTTTATTCTGCTGTTTTCCTGTAAATGCCATTCTTTCAGATCAGAATCTGAAACCAAAGAGAGCCAGCCAATCACGTGGGCAGGATTACAGGAGCATCATTTTAATGTATTGACTTTTCAGTCTATTTCTGTATTTAAATCTAGGATTTCCATTCAATCAATATAACCCACTAATTGAGTGTTAGACTCACATTATAAAAATGATTTTGAAAAGAAAATAAGATAGGAGAGATTATAGTAAAGCTCTACTTTTATTATGTTTTATTCTTCAGTTTTGTTCCTTGCACAGGGATACAGGTTTGCCCACAGGGTGGTGGTTCTTCATCTCTGCTGCTGTGTGAGTAATGGCTGCCCACCGCCTGAAGTAGTTGTCATGATAAACCGGGTGATGCCATTGAACAGACTGGGTTTGGGCACCACAGGGTGAGAAATCTAGGTCACTAGTCATAAACAGCTTTGTCCTAGGAAGAAGAGGCTTGCTGGTTGTCATCTGTCTTTGCACAAACAGCTCATCCTGGCACTTAAAATCATTGGCATAAATTGGGTCAGATATTAGATTGAATTATATGAAATTGCCCTACTTGTCCATTTTTGACCTAACATGACAATTTCATGTTGTTCAGCTTAACACAAAGTACAATGAAGAAAACCTGTTCAAATGTTAGTCTCTTATGGTGTAATTTTTACATTTTTTAATTAAAAAAATGCTACCAGTTAAAAACAGGTTTAATAGTCTGTGAGAATTTATATAGTTAACACCTTTCACTTTCAGAAGCATCATTATTCTAGGCAGAAATGACATAGGAGAGTAGAGATGGATTCTAGGACTTCATAAAAAAGTTCAAAGACATCACAAAGTCCTAACAACAGTAATGCCAAAGTCTTTGCAGCATGAAGTCTGCATCTGAAAGAGGAGTGATTATGGGGAGAAGGGAAAGGGATTTTTGGGGGATAAGATGAGCTCTGGAGGGGATGTAGGATGAGAGTCTACAGGCAAGGGCCTGTCAGACAGACCTATAGGTGTGAGAGAGCGGGACTCAGGCCCACAGAAGCAGTGATGATGGGAATATACCTTAGTGCCGAGCTTGGCTCATCTTCCAAGCAGCACAGGTAGGTAGCTGGGGAGACAGGCACATATGTTTTTCCACTTCCACTTATCCCAAAAGGATGAATTCAGACTCACACCCTGAAAGATCATGCTATGTGCTGACGTCTGAAATCAGGTACCTGAGGGATCCCATTTTTGCTTTGCTACTAGAGAAGTAAAATTCAAATGTCCTAAAGAAGCAATTCATGTGTTGGTTGATAATATTGAATTGTAGTCAACTTAATAATTAGAGTGAGAAAACACTCATCAGATCCTTTGTGGCTTGAATTATTGAGAAAAGGGCATTAAGAGTGTACTGAATCAAAAAACAGGTGATGAGGTGTGAGAATAATATGAGAGCATGATAACCAGCTAAGTTTAACTAAGATCATACAGTATCTTAATGACATCGTTTGGCATATTTGTATCATTAAAACAATATAGTAAGTATGATGGAAGTGGCTTTTCCTTGGATCTTGTATTTGTCATAACTAAATTATATTATTAAGATTTTATTCAGCTACTTAAGAAAATCTTCCTGATGGCTTTTAAGTGTGATGTTCCTGAATCTTATAATAATGATTTTCTATTCTTGGCTCTTTGGGTTGCTTCTGCCACTTCTATTTTGAAAGAACTTAATAATAACCACAGGGTTAATAATAACAGCATGTGATTGTTGAAGGCTTAATGGCTAGAGCATTTCATTGTGACTTTTCATGTAGACATAGAAGGATTTTTTACTTTTTACAAACTCACAGGCTATCTTGTGCCAGCTTATATATATATCTGGAAGAGGAATTGTATATATTTGGCTGACTTCAGTTCACAAGTGTCTTATGAATCTCTGTGGCAAATTGATATATCCATCCATGGTAGAAGGCAGGAGACTGCCATGGGGATTTGTCTCCAGGATCATCAAGGTCCTCAGTATAAGAAACCTGATGTTACAGGCCAGGTGCGGTGACTCACGCCTGTAATCCCAGCACTTTAGGAGGCCAAGGTGGGTGGATCACCTGGGGTCAGGAGTTCAAGACCAGCCCGGCCAACATGGTGAAACCCTGTCTCTACTGAAAATTATAAAAATTAGCTGGATGTGGTGGCACGTGCCTGTAGTCCCAGCTACTCAGGAGGCTGAGACACAAGACTCACTTGAACCCAGGAAGCAAAGGTTGCAGTGAGCTCAGATTGCGCCACTGCACTCCAGCCTGGGTGACAGAGCGAGAGTCTGCCAAAAAAAAAAAAAAAAAAAAAGAAACCTGATGTTACAGAGCATTGTAATGAGGTAAGAATTTCCTAGAGTATATTGTTGCCAAATAAACTAAATAAATAGTATGAAGAGGTAAGACAAAGTTACAGGCCTAGGCAAGAATGGAAAAGAAAAAAAGGAATCATTAATGTTCGGGATAAAAGGACAGATATTAATCGAGTATTTGCTGGTTAATAGCAAAAGAAACATACTTTTTTTTCTAGCTGAGGATTTTCATGAGTTGTTTTTCAGGATACAAGCGAATTTATACAATTCCTTACCTGTCAGTACAACATGCATTGGTTCCCCTTCCCCCCAACAGATGGCAAGGTGAATTATGAAATCTCATAAAAAAAAAATACAACTAGTCTACTCTTGGAAGGTAGAGATATGTCCTTATTTGAAATGGTTTGCGGTGTTTTTCAAGGAGATGAGCACCTACTGATCTCTTTCTGTGCCTATTAAAACCAGAAATCGGAGCTGGATGTGGTGGGCACCTCTGTAGTCTCAGCTGCTTGGGAGGATTGCTTGAGCTCAGGAATTTGAGGCCAGCCTAGGCAACATAGTAAAACCACTGTCCCTAAAAAACACATTTTTAAAATAATAAACATCAGAAATTGGTAAAAACATTGCAAAAAAGAGGGATGGTGAGGGTAAGCATTGTCTGTTTGGGGATTGAGATTATGCCTAAAATTTTAAGATTCCTAACGATGACTTGCATGTGTTTCCTATTATGTGCTATTAGTTATTTCTCATTGCATCTAAGAACTTTATTAAGAAGTACCTAGCGGCCAGGCATGGTGGCTCATGCCTGTAATCCCAGCATTTTGGGATACCAAGGCAGGCAGATCACGAGATCAAGAGATCAAGACCATCCTGGCCAACATGGTGAAACCCCATCTCTACTAAAAATACAAAAATTAGCTGGGCGTGGTGGCGGGTGCCTGTAGTCCCAGCTACTCGGGAGGCTGAGGCAGGAGAATCGCTTAAACCCAGGAGGCGGAGGTTGCAGTGAGCCAAGATCGCACCACCACTCTCCAGCCTGGCAACAGAGCAAGACTCCGTCTCAAAAAAAAAAAAAAAAAAAGTACCTAGCATGGCACATAGCAAGAATCAATATTTTGTTGCTTTACTGGAGGAGACACTATTATTTTTTCTTTTATAAACAAAAGTAGAATTTTGTGTGATAAGTTTTTTCTTGGAGCATATTGTCTTCATAAAATAAACATGGAAAACATATTGTTTTCTTCTCCTACAGTTGATACCCAAAAAAAGCTTTGTGAAATAATGCCAAGATAGTGTCACTACTACCATAAAACTTTAAAAAGTGAATAAAAATGTGAGAGAAGTTAACACTTAGCATATGGTTTTTCCCAAAACTGGAAAAGCTTGTACAAGAATATTATCTAGAAACTACTTAAAACTTTAAAAAGTGACTTTGAAAAGAAAATCGTCATAGAAATTTGCCTTTTGTAAGATGTTACAATTAGCTAAATATGAACATAATGTGAAAGTAAATAAAGCATAAGCCGCCCTTTCGCAATAATACTGTCCTTTTGAAATTTTTTGAGAGGCCCTTTTCCCAGAATAAGTATGACTCTTAACAGAGGACTTTCCGCTCTGTATATTAGCGTATGAAGTGCGTGTCCATGTTAATGGTCCAACTTCAAGCATCTTTTGTGCCATCATTAACAACTGGAACACAGAAAATTGTGAACAGAAATCGCCTCTAGACATCTCTCAGTTGTTAACTGCCTAAATATTGTGAATGTAACATGCATTTTTCTGATGAGAAAAGAAATACAATTTTTTTTTTTTTCCTGGAGATCAAGTCATGCTCTGTCTCCCAGGTGGGAGCTCAGTCGCACGCTCATAGCTCATTGCAGCCTCGAACTCCTGGGCTTAAGCAATCCTCCCTGCTCAGCCTCTTGAATATCTGGGACTACAAGCACACACCACCATGCCTGGCTAATTTTTTTTTTCTTTAAATTTTTGCAGAAACGGGATCTCGCTATGTTACCCAGGATTCCTGGCCTCAAGCAGTCCTTCCACCTTGGTCTCCCAAAGTGCTGGGATTACAGGTGTGAGCCACTGCACCTGGCCATATTTATTTAGAAAGTAAAAAAATTTAAATTGTTTCTAAATCATCTATAATCCCTACCATCTCTGTATAACTATGTCAACATTTTGGTATTTATTATTCTGGTCTTTATAAACTCTATCGTATGTGTGTGTTTACAAATCTGGCATATCATTACATATATGATTTTACAACCCATTTTCTTTACAGTTTACAGCAGAAGCATTTTTGAAACATTCTTCTGCAATGGTTAAGATGGGTATCCACTTATTTAGGATTTCTTCATTAAGGATTCAAACATACTTTTCCACCTCTCCCCACCACTTGTCAATGTCATGGGCAAAGAAATGGTGGTTTATTTTATGTTTTTGATTTTTCAATCCTGCCCCTTCCATAGGTGGTTTATGTTTTAGTTTGCATTTATTTGATTACTGGTGATGTTACATATTTTGTATACTTGTTAGCACTTTCCTTTCTTTTGTCAATTACATATTTCTTCTGACATTTTTATTGGGATGTTTAACCTTTTATAAATAAAGTTTACTTACCTTTTGTCAAATGTGTTATAGATACTTTTCCATTTTAACATTTGCCATTTTGTTTATTTAAATTTTTGTTGTTTTGAGAATGATGATTTCAGATATCTTCCTATTACAGAGAGTTGATTTTGGGATAGCCTTAGGTGGTTCAATCAGATCCGCACCAAAATGGTTTCAAATACCCAAGTGACCTGTAAACTGTAAATTCACAAGACCCAATGAACCCTAAGGTCTGAGCTCTGGGGCATAACCACAGCCTCAAAGCTAGGGCAGGATTAAGCCAGCTCAGATGCACTCAGCCTGCAGAATCTAACTAGGTCAGTCTGCTGTGGCTCTCTGAGATTGTGGGGCTATTTTTGTCAGTGTCTCTTCTGCCTATGAAAATTAGAATTGAGGAAAGCTACAGATGCTTCCCATATGGTTGCTATTAGTGAAATTATATACAGAGAATTTAATTTGAAAACAGTTGATACACTCACATTATTTAGAGACTTAAAGGGCTGTGAAAGATACTCTAGCTATCACACCTGCAACTCTCCTGTTTGCAGGGAGCCTTCATCTTACATGTGGTAGCCTTCTGTCCTGTTCTTGCTTTTGCCAGGGAAGGAGCCTTCATTCTGGTGTTCATGATTTTGCCGGGCACATAATGTAGATCTTCATTAAGGATTCAAACATAATTTTTTCACCTTTCTTTCCCCTCCCCACATCACTTTTATTTAAATATATAGCTCCTAGATTTTGGCATTGACTTTAGTGAACTCAGCAGATAGCTGCTCTAGTTCTTCCTGTATCTAGGATTTAGAGAATTTTCATTTGCAATCAGTTGCACTTGTTCTTACAACAGTTTGTGTAGATACAGCAGCAAGCAGGCTGTGATGGTTTATTACTCTAATTGGTCTATTAGATGTACTTGATGTTTCACAAGGTTCTAGGAGGAGAAAAAAATGTTTGTCCACAACTTGTGGAGCCTACTAATGGAGTTTAATATCTATTTTTGTCATCTGTGAAAATGCATTATAGGTTCTATTTAAAGCATTAAAAAATCTGAAGTGGCCGGGCGCGGTGGCTCACGCCTGTAATCCCAGCACTTTGGGAGGCCGAGGCGGGCGGATCACGAGGTCAGGAGATCGAGACCATCCCGGTTAAAATGGTGAAACCCCGTCTCTACTAAAAATACAAAAAATTAGCCGGGCGTAGTGGCGGGCGCCTGTAGTCCCAGCTACTTGGGAGGCTGAGGCAGGAGAATGGCGTGAACCCGGGAGGCGGAGCTTGCAGTGAGCCGAGATCCCGCCACTGCACTCCAGCCTGGGCGACAGAGCGAGACTCCGTCTCAAAAAAAAAAAAAAAAAAAAAAAAATCTGAAGTGGAATTGATCATTAAGTCATCAAACTTTGTTACCTTCTACTAAAGCAATCAGGTGACCCTCTAAATTTGATTTCCCCTAAATTTCCAATTAATGTGCTTATCCTGGTACATTTGATTTACAAAGAGAATTTACTGCCACATGGTATTCATTTTATGGGAAATGTCGTGTCGAAACAATATTGTGTAACTATATCTTTTAAAGACAATCCTGCAATAATAAAACTAATAAACATAATGTAATGACATTTGTAAAGTGTATCCCAGAACTATCAGTAGATTAATAAATATTGAGGAAAAGGAACATCCTCAGTCAAGTAAGTTTAGAGACCTTATTGAGTTGCTTGCTTTACTGTAAGATTCCTCAAGACATTTAATATATGTGTTAAAATTCTCTAAGAGACACAATTCATACCATTTTTCATATACATTTAATATCAGAACTTTCCAATATCAGAGCACACTCTTGGTAAATCCTGAGCTACAGTAGAAGCTTTGAAATAAGTGATTAAGAATATTAATGTTACGATTCACAGCTTAAGAATCGTTGAACATGGGTCTGGGCACAGTGGCTCATGCCTGTAATCCCAGCACTTTAGGAGGCTGAGGCTGGAGATCATTTGAGGCCAGGAGTTCAAGACCAGGTTGGGAAACATAGTAAGACCCTTGCTCTACAAAAAAAAGATAAAAATTAACCTAGCCTGGTACTTGTCTGTAATCCTAACTGGGAGGCTGAAACAGGAGGATCACTTGAGCCTGGGAGTTTGAGGCTGCAGTGAGCTATGATAACACCACTCCACTCCAGCCTGGGTGGCAGAGTGAGGACCTTGTCTAAAAAGGAAAAATTATGATATTTTTGATTCACAGTTTAAGATTAATCACAGTTTAAGCAATATTATGATTCACGGTTTAAGAATCACTGAACAAATATCTATATTCAAGTACAGAAAACAACCCTCAATTGATTAAGAAAATGACTTCCCAACCCTAAATTCTGTTGTGCAAGATATTGGTGAAGAAAGCCGAGGAATTCTACTTATTGTCTAAGAGTTTAATAATTTAGGTGGCAAAGAAAGCATTAAATAAATACATCTACATCATACCAGAATGACCATGGGCAGAGAGAAATGGGACTCTTTTCTTCCATTGCAAATGGCCGTCACAACAATAATGATGCTAAGTTATGCCAGGATCCAACTAAAGTAGCCTTTACTCCATAATTCAAAATTACTATACTTTACTATTTAATAAGATAATGTTTAGTTAGCTTTTATTTTACTTTAGGAGAAAAAGTATGAGAAATATTTCTTTTTGCTTTTGTGTTTAAGAATAGTGCCAGTTCTTAATAGGGCTCAAGCTGCTCAATGTGAGGTCTGTCCTGGCCCTAGGAGGGGAATGCTGGACTCACTTGAGATGGATATTTCAGGGCTTCGCGTGAGCCAAGAATAAGAATCTCAAGTCAACTGATGCGTGGTCTCAAGAAATTGCTCCCAGAAATTCCCCCAGCTCAGCACCTGCTGCTCTAGATAAGAGAGATTCTATCACCCTTTGCCACACAGAGCCAGCAAGTTTCACCTTCAAATTGCTCTTTGCTCAATTTTCATATTTATTTCTGGCCAGTTTTAAATTAGGCATCTGACAATTTATTCCATCTGATCAAATCAATCTGATTTTTTTCTGTTGAAAAAAGGTTAAAAATATCTGAAGGTAGGCCACTATGTAAAAGAATCCATTTTCCTATTTCCTCTGAAGTTTACAGCAAGACAGTTGTAATAGAAATGGAGAAGGGAGTAGGTAAGAAGTTTACTTTCTTTCTTTTTGTATCTTTTGCTTTGGAGAAAACGTCAGTGTATTTTTAGAAAAACTTTTTTTTGTTTTGTTTTGGTATGTTTTACATTCAATTTTTTTCCATTTTAACTAATGTTCCTGTGAGTATAAAGGAGCCAAATGTCGCATTCATTTTTTTTAACTATCAATAATAAATAGGGATTCAGTGGCCTTGGTTTAAATATTTTTAAATTTAATTTAATTTGTAAAATACTTTTATATCAAGGGTACATGTGCAGGTTTGTTATGTAGGTAAATAATGTGTTCCCGGGGTTTGGTATATAGATTATTGTGTCACCAGGTAATAAAGCATGGTACCCAATAGGTAGTATTTTAGTCCTCACCCCCCTCCCGCCCTTCACCCTCAAGAAGGCCCTGGTGTCTGTTGTTCCCTTCTTGGTGTCCATGTGTACTCAATGTGAGTGAGAACATGCAGTATTTGGTTTTCCGTTCCTGCATTAGTTCACTTAGGATAACTGCCTCCATCTCCATCCATGTTGCTGCAGAGGACATGATGCTGTTCTTTTTTATGGCTGCATAGTATTCCATGGTGTATATGTACCACATTTTCTTTTCTTTTTTTTTTTTTTTTTTGAAAGATACTTCACTTTTTATTCACTTAAAATAGCATGGTCACAAATATATATACAACTAAAACAAACCCACAACAAAAGGAATACATCTCTCAGTAATTAATAAGACAAGCAGACAAAGAATTCAATCAATAGGGACGTGGAAAACTTGTACAGAATGAAAAAACCTGATCAAATAGACACTGCATACAACATCTGCACAATATATATGCCTTTTAGCAGCAAAATGGAATATATATTTTTTTTAGTTGACCAAGTTCTGGAGCAAAAAGCAAAACTCAACACAGTTTAGCGGTTTTAAAATACACAGCTTGTTGCCTGCCAAATCGATCTATCATCTTCGGACCTCATGCTGAGATCCAGACCTGTGTATCCAACCAACAATGTGCTGGAATGGTCTTGTAAGAGCAGACAGTGCCCATTTTCTTTATCGTGCCTACCATTGATGGGCATCTAGGTTGATTCCATATCTTTGCTATTATGAATAGTGCTGTGATGAACATATGCATGCGTCTGTTTTTTTTTTTTTTGAGATGGAGCCTCCCTCTGTTGCCCAGGCTAGAGTGTGGTGGCACGATCTTGGCTCACTGCAACCCCTGCCTCCCAGGTTCAAGTGATTCTCCTGCCTCAGCCTCCCGAGTGGCTGGGATTACAGGCATGTGCCACCACACCCAGCTAATATTTTTGTATTTTTAGTAGAGACGGGGTTTCACCATGTTGTCCAGGCTGGTCTCGAACTCCTGACCTCAGGTGATCCACCCTCCTTGGCCTCCCAAAGTGCTGGGATTACAGGCGTGAGCCACCACACCCAGCTCTATGTGTCTTTATGGTAGAACAATTTATATTTCTTTGGATATATACCCAATAATGGTATTGTTGGGTCAAATGGTACTGCTGTTTCAAGTTCTTTGATAAATCACCAAACTGCTTTCCACTGTGACTAATTTACATGCCCACCAGCAATATATAAGCGTTGCCTTTTCTCTGCAAACTCACCCAGCGTCTGTTATTTTTTGACGTTTTAATAAGAGCCTTTCTGACTGGTGTGAGATAGTATCTCATTGTGGTTTTAATTTACATTTGTCTAATGTAAATCTTTCTAAAAATTTTCACATACATAATGTCAGACCTACAGAAAAGCTGAAAAGTTGCAAGAATAGGACAAAGAATTCCCATGTACCCTTCACTTGGATTTTTCAAATGTTAATAATTTTAAAAAAATTTGTTGTGGATCTCTAGTGGCTATATATATTTATGGGGTATGTGAAATATTTTGATACAGGCATATAATACATAATCACATCAGAGTAAATGGGGTGTTCATTACCACAAGCATTTATTCTTTCTTTGTGTAACAAACAATCCAGTTATACTCTTTTAGTTATTTTTAAATGTACAATAAATTGTTGACTGTAGTCAACCTGTTGTACTATCAAATATGAGATCTTATTCTAGTTATTTTTCTGTACCGTTAACCATCCCTACTCCCTCCATCCCCACCACCACTTGCACTACTCTTCCCAGCTGCTGATAACCATCATCCTACCATTTATCTCTGTGAGTTCAGTTGTTTTAATGTTTAGCTTCCACAAATGAGAACACACAAAGTCTGTCTTTTTGTCCCTCGCTTATTTCACTTAATTTCTTCCATTTCCATCCATGTTGTAGCAAATAGCAAGATCTCATTCTTTTTTATGGCTGAGTCGTTCTCCATTGTGCATACATACCACATTTTCTTGATTCATTTGTCTGTTGATCGACACTTAGGTTGCTTCCAAAGCTGTTGTAACTAGTGCTGTAATAAATATAATAGTGCAGATATCTCTTTGCTACATTTAGTTTCCTTTCTTTTGAGTATATACCTAGCAGTGGTATTCTAGGATCATATGGTAGTTCTATTTTCAGGATTTTATAGAACCTTCATACTGTTCTCCATAGTAGTTGTACTAATTAACATTCCCACCAGCATTGTACAAGGGTTTCCTTTTCTCTACATCCTCACCAGCATTTGTTATTGCCTGACTTTTGGATAAAAGCCATTTTAACGGGGGTGAGATGATATCTCATTGTAGTTTTGATTTGCATTTCTCTGATAATCAATGATGGTGAGCACCTTTTCATATACCTATTTGACATTTGTATGTATTCTTTTGAGAACTGTTTATTTAGACCTTTTGCCCGTTTCAAAATCAGATCATTAGATATTTTCCTATAGAGCTGTTTGTGCTCCTTACATATTCATTATTATTCCCTTGTCAAATAGATAGTTTGCAAATATTTTCTTCCACTCTGTGGGGTGTCTCTTCCCTTTTTGATTGTTTCCTTTCCTGTGAAAAGCTTTTTAACATGAAGTGATCCCATTTGTCTATTTTTGCTTTGGTTGCCTGTGCCTCTGGGGTATTATTCAAGAAATCTTTGCCCAGACCAATATTCTGGGGAGTTTCCCCAACGTTTTCTTTTCTTTTTTTTTTTTTTTTTTTTTTTTTTTTGAGGCAGAGTCTCACTCTGTCACCCAGGCTGGAGTGCAGTGGCGCAATCTTGACTCACTGCAAGCTCTGCCTCCCAGGTTCACACCTTTCTCCTGCCTCAGCCTCCCGAGTAGCTGGGACTACAGGCACCCGCCACCATGCCCAGCTAATTGTTTGTATTTTTAGTAGAGATGGGGTTTCACCGTGTTAGCCAGGATGGTCTTGATCTCCTGACCTCATGATCCACCCATCTCCCCAATATTTTCTTTTAGTAGTTTCATAGTTTGAAGTGTTAGATGTAAGAATTTAATACATTTTGATTTGATTTTTGTATATGGCAAGAGATAGAGATCTAGTTTCATTCTTCTGCATATGGATATCCAATTTTCCCAGCACCATTTATTGAAGAGACAGTCCTTTTGCCAGTTTATGTTCTTGGCAACTTTGTTGAAAATGCATTTACTGTAGATGTATGGATTCATTATTGGGTTATCTATTCTGTTCCATTGTTCTGTGTGTCTGTTTTTATGCCAGTACCATGCTATTTTGGTTACTATGACTCTGCAGTATAATTTGAAGTCAAGTAATGTGATTCCTCTAATTTTGTTCTTTTTGCTTAGGATAGCTTTGGTTATTGGGGTCTTTTGTGGTTCCAAATAAATTTTAGGATTGTTTTTCTATTTCTGTGAAGAATGTCATTGGTATTTTGATAGGAATTGCATTGAATCTGGGCACTATGGACATTCTAACATTTTAACAATATTGATTTTTCATATTTATGAACATCTTTCCAATCTTTCTTTTTTTGTGTGTCCCCTTCGATTTCTGGCATCAGTGTTTTACAGTTTTACTTGAAGATATCTTTCACTTTTTTGGTTAAGTTTATTTCTGGGTATTTTATTTGTAGCTATTGTAAATGGGATTACTTTCTTGATTTTGACTGTTTGCTGTTGGTGTATGGAAATGCTACTGATTTTTGTATGTTTGATTTTGTATCCTGCAACTTTACTAAATTTGTTTATCAGTTATAATAGTATTTTGGTAACGTCTTTAGGCTTCTCCAAATATGAGGTCATATCATCTGCAAACAAGAATAATTTGACTTCTTCCTTTCCAATTTGGATGCACTTTATTTCTTTCTCTTGTCTGATTACTCTAGCTAGGATTTCCAGTACTATGTTGAATGACAGTGGTGAAAGTGGACATTCTTGTCTTTTTCCAGATCTTAAAGGAAAGGCTTTCAGTTTTTCCTCATTCAATATGATACTAGCTGTGAGTCTGTCATATATGGCTTTTATTATGTTAAGGTATGTTTCTTCTATTCCCAGTTTTTTAGGATTTTTATCATGAAAGGATGTTGACCTTTATCAAATGCTTTTTCAGCATCACTTGAAATAATTATGTGGTTTTTTATTTTGTTGATATGATGTATCACGTTGAGTTTGCGATGTTGAACCATCCTTTCATTCCTGGGATAAATCCCACTGGGTCGTGATGAATGATCTTTTTAATGTGTTATTGAATTTGGTTTGCTAGTATTATGTTGAGGATTTTGGTATCAGTGCTCATCAGGGATCTTGGCCTGTAGTTTGTTTTCTTTCTTTTCTTTTCTTTTTTCTTTTTCTTTCTTTCTTTCTTCATTTCCTTCTTTTTCTTTTCTTTCTTTCTTTTTTTTTTTTTTTTGATGTGTCTGTTTGATTTTGGTATCATGCCTCTTAGAATGACTTTGGAAGTACTCCCTCCTCCACTTTTTTTTCTGGAAAAAATTTGAGTAGGATTAGCATTAGTTCTTCTTTAAATATTTAGTAAAATTCAGCAGTAAAGCCATGGAGTCCTTTGCTTTTCTTTGCTGGGAAACTTTTTATTATTACTTTGATCTCATTACTTGTTATTGGTCTGTTCAGGTTTTGGATTTCCTCATGGTTCAACTTTGGTAGATTTGTGTGTCTAGGAATTTATCCATTTCTTCTAGGTATATTATTGGTATATAGTTGCTCATAGTAGCCTCTAATGATCCTTTGAATTTCTGCAATATTGGTTGTAATGCCTCCTTTTTCATTTCTGATTTTATCTGGATTATGTCTCTTTTTTTCTTAGTTGTTCTGGCTAATGTTTTGTTGATTTTGTTTATCTTTTCAAAAAACCAGTGCTTCATTTTGTTAATCTTTTGTATTTTTTTAAAGAAGTTATGTTTCTCTTTTTGTTTGGTTTGTTTTTTTGTTTGTTTTTGTTTTTGTTTTTTGGTACAGACAGGGTCTTGCTGTCTTGCCCAGGCTGGTCTTGAACTCCTGGCCTCAAGCCATCCTCCCACCTTGGCCTCCGAAAATGGTGGGATTACAGGCCTGAGCCACCACACCTGGCCAATTTTATTTATTTATGCCCTAATTTCTTTTCTTCTATTAATCTTGTGTTTGGTTTGCTCTTGCTATTCTTGTTCTGTACAATGTTGTTAGGTTACTTATTTGAAGTTTTTCAGCTTTTTTGATGTAGGCACTTAGTGCTATAAACTTTCCTTTTATAGTTTTCACTGTATCCTATAGGTTTTGGTATAATGTGTTTGCATTTTCATTTGTTACAAGAAATTTGTTAGTTCATTGACCCACTGGTCATTCAAGAGCATATTGTTTAATTTCCATGCATTTGTGTAGTTTTCAAAATTCTTCTTGCTATTGGTTTCTAGTTTTATTCTATTGTGATCAGAGAAGGTCCTTGATATTATTTAATTATTTTTGAATTTTAAAATACTTGTTTTGTGGCCTAACATATGTTCCAACCTTGAGAATGATCCATGTGCTGAGGAGAAGAATGTGTATTCTGCAGCCATAGGATGAAATGTCCTATAAATACCTATTAGATCAATTTGATCTATAGTGCAGATTGAGTGTGATGTTTGTTGATTTTCTGTCTGAATGATCTGTCCAGTGCTGAAATTGTGGTGTTGAAGTGTCCAGCTATTACTGTAATGGTGTCATTCTCTCTCTTTAGCTCTAACATTTGCTTTATATTTCTGAGTGCTCCAGTATTGGGTGCCTATATATTTGCAGTTGTTATATCTGCAATTAATGAATTCACTCCTTTATCATTAAATAATGACCTTCTTTGTCTCTTTTTATAGTTTTTGCCTTGAAGTCTGTTTTTGTCCGATATAAGTTTAGTTACTCCTCTTTTGGGGGTTTCCATTGTCTAATCTATAGACTTTATAAAGATTTCATCATTTGTCCCAATATCTTTTCTAACAAATGAAAATCAAGATTATGTATTGTGCTATTTTGTCTCTTTAATCTTTATCACTTCCTCTCTGTCTTTGTAGTTCATGATATTACATTTTTGAAGCATTCAAGGGCAGTTGTTTTGTAGGATGTCTCTCAATTTGGATTTGCCTGATATTTCCTTATGATTAGACTGAGGTAATATATTTTTCGCCTGAATGCCGCAGAAGTGATGTTTTGTTCTCCATGTATCGTATCAGGAGGCACATGTTGATTTGTTCCAGCTTTAACCTCCATCACGTGTTTGAGGTGGTATCTGCTAAGTTTCTCCACTATCAGGTTACCAATTTTTCCTTTTCAGTTAGTAAGTATCTTATGAGGAATTATTTTGAAACCATGTAAATATTCTCTTCTTTCTTATATATTCATCCATTAACTTTAGCCTCAGTGATTCTTGCCTGGATCAATTAGTATTTGTATTGGTTGCCAAATAGTGATTTTTAAAAATTAATTCCTTCCACATTTATTAGTTGGCTTTCTACCATAAAGAAGAGGTCTAACTTCTCTCTTGTTTATATCAGTGTAGACTTGTGAATATTTATTCTATGAGTTATAATTCTTTTTGCTAATTACATATTTTGATGCTCAAATTGTCTCAGATTTGTATATATATACACACACATGTATACATACACATACACACCTAAAATGTATGCATACACTCACTGGTCTTTGCTTTTAATGTAACTGATTCCTTTTCTCTTACACAGTGGAATTCCTGGAGCAGGTGTGATAGATTATGAATTGTATGTTCTGGTTCTGCTCATCCATTCACTAGTCATACGAACTTGAACAAATCTCTTATATCCTCTATTCCAACTTTTTCTATGTTAAATATTAGGAAATAAATGAAGATGATCTTAAAGAAGCTTTCATTTTTGAAATTCTATTAATGAGTTAAAATGTTTGAAGTTATATTTTTATAAAGTTTTCAGAGAAAGCACCTTAAAAGGAACTTCAAAGCCACAAAAATCATTAGAATTTAGTTCTAGAAGGTACTTTAGAAATTATCTAAACTGTGGCTACTGCAACTAAGAAACTGAATTTTTAATTAATTTAAATTTAAATAGGCACATGTGGCTGGAGGCTACCCTACTGGACAGCACAGCTCTTGAGAATAAATGACAGGCCCCATGTTACATGGGCCCTACTGTCAGAAGCAAAGCAGGATCCCTTTGCATAGTGCACACTCAAGTAAATTAAACCAGGCTAGGGAGGAGACAAGGGCACTGTGTGGGACACCTTACATTTCTTTGATGTGCAGAAAAGACTGGACCATAACAAAGATCATTGGATGACAATCCATGCTGAATTGCCCCACGAGCTTTCTGCTTAATGCTATGCTTTCAAAAAAGAATGTATAAGTGGAATTGGTAGTATCTAGGCAGAGAAAGAGTACAAGATACAATTTGATGGTTTCATAGAATGTATGTTTCAACAGAAAATGATGAAACATAAGTATCATCAAGAAGCAGCAGGCTGCGCTCATAAAGGAAGGGAAGTATACCCCTTCATTGCCACATGCGCAAGGAGGATCTTAGGCCCCGAGCAGAGCTGCTGATGATGGCTAGAGGCTGATTTTCATGTTCTCTCTTCTCCATTGGGAAGATGGTGTATTGAAAACCTCTTTATCAAAGCATATAAAAGTAAAGGATTGCTCCATCCTAAAAAAAAATAAAAAGTAAACCAACCTTCTCATACACCTTTCATAACTAATTATAATTTTTGATAATAAAATTCTGGCATATTAACTTTGTAGCAGATTATTTAAATCACAGGAGGTTGAACATGATGTTGTTTAGCAGTATGTTTATTATATTTCAAAGAAAGTTTAAAGATCAACAACACATCAAGAAGGCTGATCTGCTCTCAGTAGTTCATAGTAAGAGCTGTAATCTGAGAGTTTATATAACTATTTTCAGTAGAAATGCCTTTGTTAGAGAATCTACAGTACTACTGGCAAAATTTGTATTAAAATGATAATATATTCTCCAAAAATGCTAATTCTCCTGTATGTTCAATTATATAATTTATGTTCATGACCTTTTATAAATGCTATACCAAGATTTATGTTTGCTTTTAATGAGAATATGCAATACATTTAGATAATAACTCACCTACAGTGTTGGTAAGAGAGTAAATTGGTAAAACCTGTCAGGAAATTATTCTGGGTGCTAGGTATTAAAGCCCTAAAGCTATTCCTACTTTTGACCTACTAATTCCCCTTACAATCTAATCTGCAGTTAAAGCTTTATGTATAAAGTCATAGTAAAAATTGAAATAACTTGAATGTGCAGAAGGCCAACATACTTAGCATATTTGGTACATCTATGAAGAGCTTTTATTGTCATGGAAAGTAATTATAAAAATTTTAGATTGGCCTTGTATGATGGCTCATGCGTGTAATCCCAGCACTTTGGGAAACTGAGGTGGGCAGATCACTTGAGGTCAGGAGTTCAAGACCAGCCTGGGCAACATAGTGAAACCCCGTCTCTACCCAAAATACAAAAATTAGCCAAGCATAATGGTGTGCACCCGTGGTCCCGGCTACTTGGGAGGCTGAGGTGGGAGGATCACTTGAGCCCAGGGAGAGATTGCAGTGAGCTGAGATCGTGCCATTGCACTCCAGCCTGGATGAAAGAACAAGATGCTGTCACCAAAAAAAAAAAAAAGTTTTAGATTGACATGCAGCATAGAAGACAATATTTATAGAATAAACTACATAAAATATAGAGAAACAGTGTGATTACATCTTTGTCTATCACATTGTCACAGATTTTACCTTTTTGATGCATCTTCTTTTCTTTCTTGATTCTTTTCCTCACACTTGTTTGGCGCTGAGGCCGCTCTGTTGTAGTAGTACTCAGCCAACTGCCAGGTGTCATCCAATCCATTAAAAAACGCTGTTGGCACTACCTCCAAAGTATATCACAGTTGTCTACTTATGTCCATTTCTGGTCCAGACGTCATCTGCTCTCTCCTCAGATTATGATATCAGTGACTGAACTGGGCTCACTGCTCTACACTCGCCCCTGCCGTGTACACCCTGACTTCTAGTCAGTCTCTACACAGCAACCAGAGTCACCTTTTAGACTAATAGGACAGATTTTGGCACTCTTCTCCTTAAAGCTTTTTACCTGCCAAAGGTTTCCCATTGGTGTTAATATAAAATTTTTAATATGAACTACAATTCCCTGCATTTGTTCTTTCTCACCACTTTTTAACCCAGAGTGACTTTCTTTCTACCCTCTTAATATTCATTTTCACTCTGGCCTCAGGGTCTTTGCCCTTACTCATCCCTCTATCTGAAGCACTCATTTCTTGGCTTTTGGAATTACTGGGTCCTCCTTAACCTGTACTGCTACTTCCTCAGAGAGGCCCTCCCTGACCACCCCCACAAACATCTCCTCCTCCCACCCCCAATATTGTTTTTTCATAATATTGATCTGATTTATTAACCTGTTCTCTCATATATTATCTGTCTTCATCCAGTGGATGTAAGCGTCTTGAAGAACAGCTCCTGGAACACAGCAGGCATTTGGTAAATGAGAGACACTAGTAAATGAATCACCACCATCAATCAGGATGAAGCAATAAGGGTTCTCTTTGGCAAAATATATCACTATTCTTTTTAAATGTTCGTAACCAAAGATTTAGCAATTCCTCTTGAGGAATTTACCCTTCAGACATTGATAAAGTTTGTACAACTCTATAGGCAGCCTTGCTTTATAATATTGAAAAATTGGAAACAGTCTAATTTTGGGAATCTGCTACATAAGTTAGTGCTTCCCTATGATTCAATATTATACAGCCATTAATAAAGGCATTTTAGAAACATACTTTTTACATGGAAGATGTCAGATGTCAAACAGATTCTAAAATAGTGTTACATGGAAGATCCCATTTTCATATTATACACATGTACATATTTATACTTCAAAAAATCTACAAGAACAGATACTAAAATATTTATAGCAGTTATGTCTGAACTTTGAGATTGCAGCTTGTTATTATATCCCAGTGCCACTGGAATTGACTCATACTGGAGGGTAGGCCATTGCAGTTTAGGGTGTTTCTTGAGCTATACACAAAGCCTTTCAGGGACTAAACAGATGAGTCTGATAACCCTCTCCTCCTGCAGTAATGCTGTTAGAGAAGGTTAATCAATGTGTTTTTGGTTTCTATAGAGAGAAGACGAGCACTTCTGTTTGGGAGAATTGAGATGTACTTTAGAGAGGGTGAGGGCATGTGCCTTGGCTCTTGATGTGTTTGGAAGATTTAACAGAGGTGATTGAAGAGACATTTCAGGTGGAAAGAAGAGCCAGCATGAAAGAAGGAAATAGAGAAGGAAATCATGAGGCATATTAAAGGAATAGCAAGTGCATCCATTCTGTAAAACCATGGGATATCTGGGAATGGGAATAATTCTTGAAAAGTAGATGGAAAGAAATTGCAGTGACCTGGATTTAGTGGGCACTTGGAAGATATGATTTGAGCAGGGGAATGATGAGCTACTTGAGCTGTTTTTTTAATTTTTTTATTTTTATTTATTTTTTTTTTAGGGAGACTAATCTGACAAGTTATAGGAATGAGTTGGTAGGCTAAAGCTGGAAGCAAAGTGGTAATGCTGGTTTAAGCCTAGACTGTTTGCCCAATATGTCAAGTAGGCTGTATGCAAATTAGGTTATAAGAGAAGAATTTCTTCTTTTGGGTATATTAGACTTGACTTTTTTCCTTCCATCTATTCCCCAGTTTCATTGTGGCATTACTGGCTGCTACTCACTGAGGAGAGTGTATTGTCTAGGGCTAGTGGTTGGGAGCAATGAGTGAATGTTCATAGCCTGGGATATACCAAAAAGGAAACATCAAATTATATGTGTTTTTTAAAGTCAAAGATATTTTGTACAAGAGTTTCTTACACATATGGATAATGTGTTTTTGTTCCCTATGATAACATAGGTATTTTAGCCCCATATTCTGAAGGCAAATAACTGAAAGATTACATTGGTTTGTTTTAAGGAAATTAACAAATGTCCCTTTTGAAAGTAGGTCAAGTTCCTTATTTTAATTTCTAACCTAACATAGGACTCCAGCTGTCAGGCTCTCCCATTAATCCTCTGTATCAGTGAAATCCTCTCTGAAATACATTGTAATTAATTTGTAGGAATTGACAGGAAAAGGTAGTGAGTTCAGACAATATTTCACTACAAGTTTCCCATGTGAAAGGGGACAATTGAATCTTTGAGCTGTTGCAAAAAAATGGTTGAGAAATAGTATTTTGGCAGAAATTATTTCCATTGAAAGAATCAATTGACTCTTGCTAGCAATTGACTCTTGCTAGAAAGAGTCTAGCATTTGACTCTTACTGGATTTCAGCCCCAATAATCTAGACTGGGCAACCTGATTTTGCTGAAATGTTCCATAAGAACTTTCGCTTCAATCATAAATATTTAAAAGTGACTTCATTGTAATTATCCCTAAACCAGCATCAGTCTCACAAGTGCCACAGGAAAGCCAGTCATAGCTGGTGATATGCCTGTAGTAAGGGTAGGAAGAAGAGTGGGAAGGCTTGATTATAGGCAGAGTAGAAAAGTATTAATATAGAAAATAAAAGTATCTTTTGTTATAGTTTTGTCTGCTTTTGTGAAGTGTAGATGGTTCTGCAATTCAAGGACCGCGTGCAAGATTCCAGGGTAATGTAAATGCAGATTTTGGGAAACAGTCATATGCGGGGTACGTTTGTAACTGAATCTTTATTTAGTGAGTGTCTCCTAAATAAACAGCATGGGTAGCTTTTGTCACTGTCCAAGGTACTATATAACTTGGGCTAAAAAAACCCCCAGCAACTTCCTTTTCCAGCATCTTGAAAAGTGTGTCCTCTAGAGACTCTCTAAAGGAAAAAGAAAAGAGAATAAGATAACTGTTGAAAAGGAAAGTAAAACCCGAGTGCCAGATTAGATTGTAAATGTTGAAAACAAACAAAAACCCTCCCAAAGCTCCACTTACTACTTTTCAAACACAAAAGCAATGGCAAATAAAGAACTACGATTAAGAAGGGTGTCCAGAGCAAGTGATGTGCTGCAGTACCCCTGGGTTGTCATTGGGATTTGGAACAATTCAGGTGTGTTCAAGTAAGACCCACCATGATCAAAACCAGCTTGCATCAAATAATAGACTGGGTGAACTGGGTCCTTTAATAATGTATATTGTATGTGTGCTTTTAGCTTTTCAATTTTTCAGCAAAAAAAGCACAAACTTCTTTATAAAATGAATCTCTGCTTTTACTTTTCTATAACCATAAATAAAATATAAGTGAAATGTTTCTCAGCATTTGCCTGTTAAAATAACAATAGCCAAGCTCCCCAGCATTTATGTTAGATAAACGCAATTCTACCAAACACCAAGAGTTTAAACTGTACCATTTTGATAATGATGATAATGAAATTTAGTATATATGATTCTAGTGTAAAATATGTGAAACTCTGCAAGGAAAAAACATTTAAATTCTTGTAAATAATGAGAATACACTGTAAGTGCAATTTTTTTTTTCAGAGGAAGTGCTTAGCCTATCCATATGCTTTCAGTTATCTGGTAGAACAACTAGATCTTCATCTTTTCATTTATACATTCACTATCACACACACACGAAAACGCACACACACCCCTTTTACTCCTCCCACCTCTGATGTGTTCTAAGGAATACAAAAGAATGCAGAAGGACACAATTCTTTGTGGAATAAAGCTTTGTTGAAAGCAAGCAGAGGAGGGTGGGGAAAATGAGATATTGGCCAAAGGGTACAAAATCTCAGGCAGGATGACTAAATTCTGGAGACCTAATGTGCAGCATGGTAACTATCATTAACAATGCTATATCGTATACTTTGAATTTGCTAAGAGAGTAGATCTTGTGTTCTTACCACACACACAAAATGATAACTATGGGAGGTGATGGAAGTGTTAATTAACTCGATTGTGGTAATCATTTCACAGTGTGTATGTAGAGCACACCATTATGTTGTACACCCTAAATATATACAATTTTTATTTGCCAATTATACTTCAGAAAGCTGGGGAGGAAACAATAAGCAGGACTGCTACTAGATATTTCATAACCTCATGGAATTCTTGCTGCAACTTCAGAGTTCCCGTTTTACAAAAACCAGTTTCTCTCTTAGTAGCCAAAAGTTAAGAGGGAGAAACAGGAAAGAAGAAAGAACAAAGCAGAGCAAGGTGTCAGATTGCAGATTTGATGAGAGAATCGGAAAGGATGGGAAGGGCCTCCACATGTTAGCGGGGCAAGACAAGGCTTTCTTCAGTTTCGAGGGTGGCAGCATAGACAAGAATGGAGGAAAGAGCTGTTGAATCATGAACTTGACTAGAGAGCAGGGTTAGAACGACTCTGAAGAAAGCAGGTAGGCAGTGAACAGGAAATGAATCCATGCACAAAAGGGGAGGACGTGGACCCTCAGAGTTCTCCCCGAACTCCTCTGTAGTCAAGTTTATAATTCACCAACTCCCATTACAAAATGTTTATTGTATTTTACATTTGTTAGGGATTATTGTGTGATCTTGACTTGAACAAATTTTTATTTCCCCTTGATTTCCATTTCTTTACATTAAATTGTAAGCTATCAGTTTGGGCTTTATCCATCTGCCAGTATCCAGCACTGATGTAGTTTTGCTATATAGTATATTGAAAATGAAACCAAGCCAGGAGCAGTGGCTCATGCCTGTAATCCCAGCACTTTGGGAGGCCGACACGGGAGGGTTGCTTGAGCCAGGAGTTCAAGACCAGCCTGGGCAACATGGCAACATGGCAAAACCCCTTCCCTACCCCCCTCCAAAAAAGCTGGGCATGGTGGCATGCCCCTGTGGTCCCAGCTACTCGAGAGGCTGAGATGGGAGGATCACTTGAGTCCAGGAGGCAGAGGTTGCAGTGAGCCAAGATCACACCACTGCACTGCAGCCTGGGTGACAATGAGACCTTCAAAGAAAGAAAAAGAGAGAAAGAGAGAGAAAGAAAGGAAAGAGAAAGCAAGCAAGCAAGAAAGAAAGTAGGGAGGAAGGAAGGAAGAAGAGGAAGGCAGGGAGGGAGGGAGGGAAAGAAAGAAAAGAAAAGAGAATGAAACCAAAAGCGGGGTGATAAGCTGATACCTTAGTCTTGAGAAAATACCAAGAATGATGTGTGGATTTAGGATCATGCCTCTTTCTATGACAGTGGCTGTGCAGTGTACAGTTTAAGATGATACATAATTGATAGTACCCACTGCTCCATGCACTGGGACAGAGAAATTGGCTTGAGCCACTTGTCGTATACAAAAACCTTTATTCTCTTTTCTCTCTTGTTGTCATTCAGCTGTTTTTCTGGATGAATTCACCACCATTTAGTTAAAAAAAAAAACAACAAAAAACTGTTTTTGCTAAGGGAAGAGTGGTGCACTGTCTCCACACAATGTCCTCTGTCTTTCCCTGCCTTTCTTCTGTCCTTGTGGTACCAGTCATTTCCCATCAGCAGGCAGCACTGGCCTGAATGTCTTTGTTGCTCGGAAGTGAGAAGTCACCTCCTTACTTAGAGGGAGGGTAGATGCTGCAGCAGAACATAGTGCAGCCAGGTCCCGACTTAAGAGTTTTCAGCTTTATGATGGTGTGAAAGCCATATGCATTCAGTAGAAAACACACTTTGAGTACCCATACAACAATTCTGTTTCTCACTTTGGGTACAGTATTAAATAAATTACATGAGATATTCAACACTGTATTACAAAATAAGCTTTGTGTTAGATGGTTTTGCCAACTATAGCCTAATGTCAGTGTTCTTAGCACATTTAAGGTAGGCTAGGCTAAGCTATGATATTCAGTAGGTGTATTAAATGCTTTTTCAACTTATGATATTTTTAACTTATAATGGGCTTATCAGGACATAACCCCATTGTAAGTCGAGCAGCATCTGTATCGGGATGAAGAGTCTGCCACTTAACATCTTCAGCAGTTCTTCTGCATCTCAGAGTTTCCTCATCTGTAAAACTGGCGTCATAATAGGGTTGTTGTGAGATTAGACCAGTTCATATGTGTAAAAGCCCTTAAAATAATATCTGACACATAATAGATGATCAATAAATTTCAGCTGCCACCCACAACAAAGAATTATCCAGTCTATAATGTCAGGATCAGTACCATAAGAAGGATAAAAAGAAAAAAAAAGTCAGTAGTACCAAGGTAAGGAGCCATGCACGCAAGGTGTTGCCCATGTCTATATAGGCTACTTTTGAAAATGGAGTGGGTGGGGAGTGGTGGTCACACGCTCTGATGCTGGGTCTCTGGGGCTGTAGGGGTGGTGCTGGGCTAGAAGGGGCACTCCACTGGCTCCTCCTAAGGAGTCGGTAGTTCCAAGGGTATTAACAAGGTTAGTTGCCAAGTCCAGTGCCCACACTTGACCCTCACGCGTCTTAGAAACCATGAGTGGCCAATCTCTTTATTGGGTCAGGTCCAACTGCTCAAAGGGGCTAGTTCAGAGGGGCTTGGCAGGTTTTATTTTCTTCTAAAAATTGTGTTTTCCTTTTCACATTGGGCCCACTGCTCACCCAAACTCATTAAGTTAATTGGTTGTAATCAAAGTGTTCTGGCCCCCAAGTCACATGTTTTTAAATGCTGTGAGGGCAAGGCAAGGTTTTAACCTGATCCTTTCTCCTCGGTTCCCACTCTATGACCCTAAACAAAAAGCCCTTCTAAAGATAATCCCAAGTCAAAAGTGTGGTAGACATGTTGAGTTCACAGTTTACAATGCAATATATCACTGACTAAAAAATGATAAACTCTGAGGACCAATATTTAACATATATAGAAATAACTTCTAAAACTTTAGCATTTAAATTCACTAGTTCTTCTTCTCCCCTGGGAAAGCCTTCAGAATTATTCAGAACTTACTAAAGCAAGTCAAGTTTTTGGACTTTCTGAACAGGGCACCTAAATGTCATTCCATACACTTTCTCAGTGACTCCATGTCTGTTCTCAGCAGTGAAGGGAGAACAGAGGCCACTCTGCCTGACTGATTTTAAATGATCGCCTTTTTCAGATGCTTTTAGTATGGAAACAAAATCAGCCATAACCTTCAGGGTTTTAAATGTCACTGTTAATGCATCAGGAAGCCCAAAGACAGACAGTCTGGAGAAATAGTATGTAATGTTTAGATGATTTTGGTAAACAGCTAAGTTTTTAATGTATGTTTAATGTGCATTCTGTTTGGGGCCTCTGAGTTTGAATCCCTGAGACCGAGCTGATGTTTAGCAACCATTTCTTAACCAGGAAAAGCCTCCCCTACTCCCAGCCCATAGCCATTTGAGCTTCACTGGCTTTTTTGAACAGAAGCATTTCCCAGTTTTTGCTTGGTTCAGTGAACACGGTTACTGTTTAAAAACAGTGGCTGTCGAGTTGTATGTCTCACCACCCTTTGCTCTCCTCTTGAGCTACCTCAAGCTGTGTGAGAGATAATAGTTAGCATGATTAAACGGCCCCTTCACTGATATTTGGTCTTTGCCTGGCTGAGGGACACAAAGCAAGAAGAGGGAGACATGCAGATATGTTGCAGGATATTCAAGAAAGAAGGATTTTAGCATGGAAGACACTAAACTGTACTGTAAGTTCTTGGGCTCAAAATGTGTTTTGAAAACCTTAATAAGGACGTTCAAGAATCAGGCAATCTTTAAATCCATTTTGACAAATTAATACTTATAACAAGTGGAAGTACAGAGTAGGAAATCTTCTAATCTTTTTTTTTTTAATCATTGTTTTAATGTCCTTAGAAAAAGGAGTGGGAATTTAATTAAATAAAATGATATTTATTATATAAACTATGGATTTATACTTCTACCTTCATGTCCTAGAGCCGTTTGATAGTTTCCATGAAAATTAAAGGCAAACCATCATCATTCTCTATTTTCCATACTTCTTTCTTTTTTTGACAAAAACAAAGTGAGAAGCTGAACAGTAGCAAACTAGACAAACATACACAATTATGCTGCTGTCCAAAAAAAATTTCAGTATATAATTTACTGATAATTTCTTAGACCTCTTAATATTTGTGTCTAGATCAGATCAGGGTTTTTGAAAAATGGTTGCTTTTCTATTTAGAGAGGTGTATTTGGGGAGTGCTGTTGTTTGCTTATTAAAAAGAAAGATCACATTTATCTTGCCTACTTATTTTTTTATTTTGTTTTGTTTTATATCAGAAACATTATTTGTGCTGCCCAGTTATGTCTTTCCCCAGAATGCTCTCATTTTCATGATATGTAAACAGTGAGTCACACATGGGCTTTACAGAGAAAATACAAGCATTGGAACTTTATAGACTACATTTCGGGGAGTAACTTTTATCACTTTATTTTCTTTTCTAGAAGTTTATGTGGATGTTCTATCAAGTTTAATTTTTAGAATAATAAAGCTGCCTTATTCACTAAATTATTTGCCTTTTAAAAATATAAATCTTCATTTTCACAGATAACATTTGCAAATTTGTGTTATAAAAACACACCTCCTACATTTCATGTAGGAGACATACGTGAGGTATATACTTGCCAGTATCCAGCAACTGTTAGAAGATGGATTAGTGTCAATAAGTGGTTTGCTTTTGGTATTTTATGATTATAAAATATAGAGTCCGGGCAGCATATTAGAAATATCTTTGGGGTTGGATCTGAATTTGTCTTTTAGCTCTGACATTTACTAGTTCTGTGATTTCAGACAGGTGATTTATATTCTATAAGTGTGTCAATATCATTAAACAATAGAATAATCTCAAATGTTCAGGGTTGTATATACATTAAAGAAGAGTAAAAATGCCTTGCCTGATATTTAATCGGCTAACTGACTTTCCATTTTTTTTGCCCTTAATGATTCTGTTTTATGGAGACGTATCTTTCTTTGCAGAAAGCATGTTTACATATCTTTTCAAGTATTAGGATAAGACATAGTTGATGCATAAGCACTGAATTTCATTATTATTTGAATGTGATAAAATAGGATTGCTTCTATCAGATGAAATAGAGGTTACTCAGTAAGAAAACTGGATAAATGTCCAATTAAGAAATTTAAAATTGAAGGGAGAATTTTTTAAAAATCCAGATAATTGGTCAAAAACTCCTAGATAAGTGGCTTAAAATACTCAATTTTTGTATGCTTGATTTTGGTCCTAGTTTTCCAATTTCCTGCAAAAGTAGATAACACAGAAGCTGCATGTTTCCATAAATTCAAATTTCAGTGGAGGTGCAGGGGGAGCTGTCCTCTGCACACTTCGCAGCTGTGTGTGTACTCGACATACGGCAGCCCTGCTGCTCATTCATGAAAGTCCACATGGTTGTGGGAGCAGAACCTGTTTTCACCATCAAGCTGCTGTGGAATAATGAACAGCATGGTACACGTGACCTCCTCTAGACAAAAAGTGCTCTCTGTCATTGTTTGGTCTGACTTCAGCACTTTTCACTACCTGATGCTTTAATGCTTATTGTCTTTCCTCACACTAGAATATATGCTCATAGAGGGCAGGGGATGTTATCTGTTTTGTTCACTGATGTATCCCAAGCACGTAGAACAGTGCCTGGCAACCAGTAGGCACTTAATTATCAAATTAATGAATCCATCCCTAGTTTTCAATAGCACGGCAAAGTAGGAGAGACCACACCTAATCTCTTTATTAAAAGACAAACAAAATGACCAAAAAGATATGGTTTTATATAAAATCAGGA
The DNA here is from genome assembly GCF_000001405.40 of Homo sapiens. Lineage (NCBI taxonomy): Eukaryota > Metazoa > Chordata > Mammalia > Primates > Hominidae > Homo > Homo sapiens. Next base: position 136,464,656 of record NC_000006.12, on the reverse strand, counting down.
GTCTCACTGCAGTGGAACATGCTAATTGTTTTTGTACAGTAGTCCTTCCATCCATGGTTCCAAGATCCCCAGTGCATGCCAGAAATGGCAGATAGTACCGAACCCTGTATGTACTATGTCTTTTTCTAGGCATATATACCCATGACAAAGTTTAGTTTATAAATTAGGCACAGTAAGAGATTAACAACAATAGCTAATGATAAAATAGAGCAGTTATAACAATATAGAGTAATAGGAGTTACGTGAATGTGGTCTCGCTCTCTCTCAAAAATATCTTATTGTACTGTACTCACCAATTTTCAGACTGTGGTTGACCACAGGTAGCAGGAACCTCAGAAAGTGAAACCATGGATAATTATAACTCCTGTAGTTGATAGACCACTACTGGTTTGTTCTAACTTTTGGAAGAAGAAAAGAAAGTCAGCATGCAATGTTAATATCTTCTGTTATCATAGATGATTCAAACAGTGTTTCAAGCAGAAAAGAAAAAATCAAGAAGTTTACTTCCTTCATGAAAGATAGTTAAATTGAATACTCCAGAAAGATAATTTCATGGTGAAATGCCAGGTCACAGGCCGAATAACATCTCTCCTTGTCTGAAGCCTGGGTGAGGCCAACGTTCTGCTCAGCCACTGCAGGAGGGCAGCCCCTTCCACATACACAATGAAGGTCATGTGGTATGGCCAACTCAAGCTCTTTTACCAGGCGTTTTATGGTTGGCATATTTTTTAGAAGCTACAAATCTTGTTAAGCAAGGCACTCGAACACTAGCTGTTCTCAAACTTACATTGCCTCTGTACCTTTACCAAGAAGACAGAATGTTGTACTTGAAAGTCAGAAAACTAGATTTCAAAACTCAGCTCCAACACTTCATGTTTGCCTGACCACAGGCAAATCTCATTTAACCTCCCTGAGCCTCAGTCTCCTCCTTTATAAAGTGGCCCTAATTTAAGATGATCAAGGAAGTTATGCACAAGAAAAGGATCTATAACCCATAAAGCAAATTATACAGTGTTACTCCAATATAAACTAAAAAACAATGCAAGTTCTTTCCTTAATAAGATTAAAAATTTTGACTTTATATTGTGTATTTGCCAAAATATCACTAGTTAAGGTGGAAAAAACACCTCAGCAAAACAGTGAAAAGACTAAAGAACATTTTGGAAAAAAAAATTCTTTAGAAAACATTGTAGCATATTGGTTAGGATAATAGATTTTAAAGTCAAATTGATGTGGATTTTATTCACAATTTAGCCATTTATGTTGACAAATTACTTCTTTGAGCCTCAGTTTCCATTTCTATAGGGTATGGAGAATATTTCCTAACATGCAGTCTTTATGCAGTCTTACTGTGAGCAGTAAATTGAATGAGACAAAGTATTTAAAGCATTTAATACATTCTGAAACATAGTAGATATTCAATAAATGAAAATTGTATTTCTGGTTAGTATTTTAATTCTTCATAAGTATCATTGTGTATATGGTATGCCTTTTAAATGATATGGGGCCAAACTCTTAAGATGTATTAATTGACTACAACTATGCTGCATAAAACTCTGGTGGAAATTTCCTCAAAGAAAATGATTCTTTGATTTTCAATAACTTTTACTTTTCTGAGCCTTATGATATTTAGAATAGGTGGTCTTTGAAACATGCATCAATAAAATTAAAGGGTTTTTTGTTTTCTTTTTTTTTTTTTTTTGAGATAGGATCTCACTCTGTCGCCCAGGCTGGAGTCACGATCTTGACTCACTGCAACCTCTGCCTCCCAGGCTCAAGCAATCCTCCCACCTCAGCCTCCCAAGTAACTGGGACTACAGGCATGCACCACCATGTCCAGCTAATTTTTGTATTTTTAGTAGAAACAGGGTTTCACCATGTTGTCCAGGCTTGTCTCACACTCCTGAGCTCAGGTGATCCGCCTACCTCAGCCTCCTAAAGTGCTGGAATTACAGGTGTGAGCCACCACACTCAGCCTGTAAAATTAAAGTTTTAAATACCATCATCCACTCACCTAAACCTCCTGAGACCTCAAAGTATATTCGGTTAAATGGAGTTTAACTTTCCCTCCACCTAGGTATTCACAGGCAAAGAGCACTGGCAGGGGCATGTCAAGGACAGAACTTAGAGATTCTTTTTCTAGGAAATGTGTTGCTTGTGAATCTGCTATGCTGTCCAGGCAAAGAGTTGCTCAAGTTTAAACATAAAATCTGCTGTGTATGTTCTAGAAATGAGATAAAATGAAAGAACTGGGAGAAACTTAAATCAGGAAGGACATTGAGTTGGTAATACATACTGTCACACAACCTAAAAATGCTCAAGTTCTGAGATTTACCATTTATAGTCTAAGATATAAATGATACATTAAAAGCCCCCAATCCTTTCTCATAGCGTTTCACTGAGTCATTCTTTAGTGACTAGTCTCTGAACTGAAATTTTTGTACTGAAGTGCAACCACTGGTATACCATCTTTTTTTTTTTTTTTTTAAGAGAAGGGTCTTACTATGCTGCCCAGGCTAGATTGGAACCCCTGGGCTCAAGTAAGCAATCCTCCCACCTCAGCCTCCTGAGCAGCTGGGACTACAAGTATGACACTATGCCTGGCTTGATATACCATCTTGACAATGTAATTTATTTATTTTTAATCAGAGCCTTAAGGTGACATAAATAAATACATTTTAAGTGAACTACAAGCCAATTGGCCTTTTAAAACTTAAAGTTTTAAAATATGTGAGAATACAGATTTGAACCAATAGCATATGACTACTTAGCATAAATAGGAGTTTTTCTACTTTTTAATACCCAAGGCAGTTTGTTCACCAAAATCTAAAACTCCTAATAGTGTTTAGAGAGAAAACCCTAAAAGCGTATGAGTAAATTCCACTATATTTCCAGTTATATGTGTTGATCCATAGTTTTCTTCAAAATACCCCAAACAGTCCTTAAAGGCATCAGTATTCTCAATCAGAGGATACTTTTCTGCAAGGCATATTCCATTTTAAAAGATAATGCCTTAATCCATTTCTGGATCGTAACCCATTAGGTTATATAAGTGTGTTTCTAATATCACAGACAATAAACTCATGTGGCCTGAATAGCAAGTAACATGCGATGAAGGACCAAGGAAGGTAAATGTTAATATTTAAGCTTTCTACTTACTTGATCTAATATTAACAATGCAAAGGTTTCATGTTTCTCTTTAGCATAACAGTTATAAAATAGTCAAAGATCAACATTTTTATATAATGTTTTATTGAGCCTTCTTGCTTTGAGATCTTGAAATTTGTATTTTTACTTTTCTCATAAGTGAAATACACAATTTAAATATGTAAGTATTCAGTAATAATGTTTCAGTCATTGTCGAGGTAAAAATTAAATATGTCATTCAGGATTTTTGTTTGGATTCAAATTAGGTGAAATCATCAATAACTAAGCAAAAGCTGTTTCTTTACATGAATTGTAGCTATACATAAGTGAGAATTCTCTTAGTTATAAAACATGGAGTTTGGAGTTTTCGTAAATACTTCTTAATTATATCCTTGACTATGTATTTTCTTAAATATTTTTAAGGTGTACAATGGGATAAAATGGAGCTGTTAGGAATAAGATGGAGAAATTCTTAATTGTGTCAGCTGTATAGAGGGTTTTAGCCTTTTCATGTAAGTTATGCTCGCTATACCCAATAGCAACTGAGTTGATTGAAGTCCTGTTATTGGAACCTAAGAGGTCCATATACCTTAGGACAAGTATAATGAAAATGATGTGTTCTCATTGGGTCTAGTGGAGGGCTGTATTCCTCAGGAACTATTAAATTAAGTGTTCTGTGGGTTTAAAGCAGTTAATTAAAAAAAAAAATCTTCAGATGCACCTTGGATGTTGCTTCACTGTGGTGTTTATTATGACAGCAACTCTACAGCTACCTCAACCCAAAAGGAAGAGTCTAGTCCCAGGATGGCAAGTGAGGCTGCATTCTACAAGTCACAGCCCAGGAAATTGTAAATCTGCTTGTATTGAAGGATGAGGTGTGACAGAGGACCCTTCTAACCTAGAAGAAATCAGTCTTTCCAAATGAAAAACTACAGGGCAGGCTTGTTTCCTTTTGCTTTCTATGATATGTAAACTGTTTTTAGGTGACGAATTAGGAAGATAAACCAGTTTCAGCTGACAAAAATGTTTGTTTTCCAATCATCTTTTTATAAACAGTGCTTCATGTGTATAATAAGTAAATGTATTTATTTTAATGATCCAAATATAACATAGCATTACAGAAATTTTGGCAAAAACAAAAAGAAACATCATCCATAATTTCTTCACCCTAATGCAGCTTTAGCAATTTTCATGTATTCCCTCTCAGCATCAATGTGCATATTAATAATCAAATAATTGTTATTAAATATTATATGAGAAATTATCCATGGTACTGACTTACTTTAAATACATTTATTTTCACTGGTTAGATACAAATCCATGGAAGGAATAGTCCCCCATTGACTATTACTGCTTTTGCTTTTTTACAGTTACACATGTTACTTTAATGGATGTCTTTAGGTATAAGACTTGTTCCACATCTTACAACATTTTGTTAAGTTGGTCCTTCAAAAGTGGGATTCAAAAGTGGGTGCCTCAAAAGTGGGATTGTGGAGTCAACAATTTTGAACTTTTTCATGACAATAGATAAATATTGCTAAATTACTTTCCTAGAGTTATGCCAATATAATAATATACTATAGCTCTGTTTTGTTCATTGTGGTAAAAATACTTGACATGAGATCTGCCCTCTTAAATATTAAAGTGTACGATACAGGATCATTAACCATAGGCATCATGTTGTACATCCTATCTCTAGAACTTACTCATCTTGCATAACTGAAACTTTATACCCATTGAATAGCAACTCCGCATTTTCTCCTCCCCGTGGCCCATGGCAACCACCATTTTATTCTCTGCTTCTATGAGTTTGACTGTTTTAGATACATCATAAGTGAAATAATGCAGTGTTTGTCCTTCTGTGATTGGCTTATTTCACATAGCATAATGTCCAATAGAGATATCCATATGGCAGGATTTCTTTCTTTTTTAGAAAAAGGCTGAATAATATTCTCTTGTATGTACATACTACCTTTTTCCATTCACTTGTAGATGAACAATTAATTTGTTTCCATATCTTGGCTATTGTACATAATGCTGCAGTAAGTATGTGAGTGTACATATCCCTTTGAGGTCCTGATTACAGTTATTTTAGATAAATATCCAGAGGTGGGATTGCTGAATCATATGGTATTTCTGTGTTTAATTTTTTGAGGAACCTTTATACTGTTTCCCATAGTGGCTGCACCATTTTTCATTCTCAGTAACAGTGTACAAGGGTACCAGTTCCTCCATATCCTCACCAACACTGGCCATCTTTTTTTGTTGTTGTTGTTTGATAATAGCTATCCTAACAGGTGTGAGGTGATAGCTCATGAGGATTTTAATTTGGATTTTCCTGATGATTAGTAGTATTGAGCATCTTTTCACATACCTGTTGGCCATTTGTATGTTGTCGTTGGAGAAATGTCTATTCAGTTCCTTTGCCCATTTCTAAATTTGATTATTTGGTTTTATTGTTGTTGAGTTGTAAGAGTTCCTTAAATTTTAAATACTAACCCCTCATCAGATGATATGGTTTGCAATTATTTTCTCCCCATTTTGTAGGTTGCCTTTTTACTCTGTTGATTTCTTTGCTGTGCAGAAGCCTTATAGTTTATGTCCTAGTGGTCTATTTATGCTTTTATTGTATGTGTTTTTGATGTCATGCTCAAGAAATCATTGCCAAGACCACTGTCATGAACCTTCTCCCTATCTTTTTTTCTAGAAGTTTTACACTTTTAGGCTTCACATTTAGGTGTTTAATCCATTTTGAGCTGATTTTTGTGTATAGGTCTAATTTCTTCCTTAAGCATGCGGATATCTAGTTTTTCCAGCATTATTTGTTAAAGAGACTGTCCTTTCCCCATTGTGTATTTTTGGCATTCTTGTTAAAGATCAGTTGACCATATATTTGTGGGCTTATTTCTGGGCTCCCTATTCTGTTCCATTTGTCTATATGTCTTTATTCCATTACCATACTGTTGGGATTACTATAGCTTTGTAATCTACTTTGAAATAGAAAAGTGTGATGCCTACAATTTTGTTCCTTCTCCTGATCATTTGACTATTCAGAGTCTTTGGGGTTCCATATGAATTATAGGACTGTTTTTCCTATTTCTGTAAAAAATGCCATTGAGATTTTGATATGGATTGAATTGAATCTGTAGATTGCTTTGGGTAGTGTGGACATGTTGACAATATTAAGTTTTCCCATCCATAACCATAGGATATCTTTCCATTTATTTGTATCTTTTAAAATTTCTTTAATCAACGTTTTATGATTTTTCAGTATACAAGTCTTTCATCACCTTGCTAAGTTTATTCCTAAGTAATTTTTGATGCTATTGTAGATAGGATTGTTTTCTTAGTTTCCCTTTTGGATAGTTTGTTGATAGTATGTAGAAATGCAACTGGTTTTTGTATGTTGATTTGGTATCCTTTAACTTCACTGAATTCCTTTATTAGTCCTAACAGTTTTTCTGTGGATTCTTAAAAGTTTTTTTTACAAATAAGATCATGTCATCTACAAACACATTTTACTTCTTCCTTTTCAGTGCTTATTTCTTTTTCTTGCCTAATTGCTCTGGTAAGGACTTCTAGCTCTGTGTTGAATAGAAGTGGTGAGAGTGGGCATCCTTGCCTTGTTCCTTATCTTAAAGGTATAGTTTTTCACTACTGAGATGATGTCAGCTGTGAGGTTTCATATATGGCCTTTATTATCTTGAGGAAATTTTCTTCTATTCCTAGTTCATTGAGAGCTTTTGTCATGAAAGGATATCAAATTTTGTCAATTTCTTTTTCTGTAGCTGTTGAGATGGTCATGTGTTTTTTTTAATCCTTCATTCTGTTACTATGGTGTGTCACATCTATTAATTTGTGTATGTTGAACCATTCTTACATCCCAGGGATAAATCTCATTTGTTCCCTTAATATACTGTTGAATTCAGATAGCTAGTATTTTGTTGAGTATTTTTGCATCTGTCTTCATCAGGGTTATTGGCCTATAGTTTGCTTGTCTTGTAGTGTCTTAGGCTATGGGGTAACGGTAACACCGCTTCGTAATTTGAGTTCAAGAGTGTTCCCTCTTCTTCAATTTCATGGAAGAGTTTGAGAAGGATTGGCATTAATTCTTTAAATGTTTGGTGGAATTCACCAGTGAAGCCATCTGGTCCTGAGCTTTTTTGGGGCAGGGGATGGGGGCGGGATTTTTTTTTTTTTTAATTCCTGATTCAATCTCTTTACTATTTAAAGGTGTGTTCAGATATTTTATTTCTTCATGATTCAATGTTAGTAGGTTCTGTATTTCTACAAATTTTTCTCCTCCTTTTAGGTTTTCCAGCTTGTTAGCATATAATTGTTTAATTGTTCATAGTAGCCTTTTATGGTCCTTTTTATTTCTGTGGCATCAGTTATAATATCTCCTGTTTCATCTCTGATTTTTTTTTGTTTGAGTTTTTTTTTAGTTTAGCTAAAGGTTTGTCAATTTTGTCTTTAAAAAAAAAACTTTGTTTCATTGAGTTTTTTTCCCCAGTGTTTTTATATTCTCCTTTTTTTTCCTGCTCTGATCATTATTACTTCCTTGCACTAGCTTTATACCCTGTTCTTCTTTTTCTTGCTCTTTGGTGGTATAATGTTTTGTTTTTATTTGAAGTATTTCTTCTTCTTCTTCTTCTTCTTCCTCTTCTTCTTCTTCTTCTTCTTCTTCCTTCTTCTTCTTCTTCTTCTTCTTCTTCTTCTTCTTCTTCTTCTTCTTCTTCTTCCTCCTCCTCCTCCTCCTCCTCCTTCTCCTCTTCCTTCTTCTCTTCTTTCTTCTCCTCTTCTTTCTTCTTCTTTCTTCTTTCTTCTTTCTTCTTTTTGAGACAGGGTATCACTCTGTTGCCCAGGCCGAAATGCTATAGCATAATCATGGACCACTGCAGCCTTGATCTCCTGGGATCAGGTGATCCTTCCACCTCAGCCTTCCAAGTAGCTGGGACCACAGGTGCATGCCACCACACCTACCTAATTTTGTTATTATTTGTAGAGACAGGGTCTCCCTATGTTTCCCAGGCTGGTCTTGAACTACTGGCCTCAAGCAATTCTCCCACCTTGGCCTTCTAAAGTGCTGGGATTACAGACATGAGCAACCATGCCTGGCCTTTTTCTTTCTTTTTAATGTAGGCATTTATAGCTATAAATTTTCCTCATAGCACTGCTTTTGCTGCATCTCGTAAGTTTTGGCATGTTGTATTTTTGTTTTCTTATGTCTCAAGATATTTTATAATTTCCCTATAGGAAAGGCAAAAAGTCTTTTTCTCTACTCATTTCAGGTTTTCCAGCTTAATCTTTCCAAAGACAGATTAACAGGAGAAAAACAAACAGAAGTTTATTAGCATGTGCATCATGTATGTACACTTGGGAGCACACAGCTATGAGTAACCTAAATGGGTGTTTAGAATTTGAGCTTAAATACTGTCTTAGACTAAAACAAAGGAGTGGAGGCTTGGGGCTTTGTGGCTGGGTAAGCAAGTTATGGGAAATTGACCAGGAAAAGTATAATAAACAGGGGTTGTTTAGTAAGGTTTTGTATGCACATTTAAGTTGATGTCTTCTCCATTGATATGTTAGGAGTTATCATATCCCTACTGAGTTAGAGGGAGATATCTCTACAAATGGAAATTTTCTATTTAAATATAAATTTCCTTTACAAAAAGAAAATTTGTGCCTTGATTTTAGAGCTTCATATTGAGTCTGCTGATTCTCAGTGGCATTTGGCTCAAAATCCATTAAATAAAGATTATTTGGGGTAACATATTCAGACCCATTTGTTGGTTGTTAAAGACCCATTCATTGGTTAAGAGTATATTGTTTAATTTCCACATATTTGTGAATTATCTTGTATTCTCTCTGCTATTGATTTCTACTTTAATCCTGTGGTGCTCAGAAAAAATACCTGGTGTCATTTCAGTCTTCTTAAATTCATTAAGACTTGTTTTGGGACATATCCTGGAACATAGCACTTCTGCTGCTCTGAGGTGAAATATTCTATATATGTCTTTTAGGTCCATTTGGTCTATCGTGTTTTTCAAGTCCCCTATTTCTTATTGATTTTCTGTCTGTTTGTTCTAGCCATTACTGAAAGTGGGGAATTCAGATTTCCTCCTACTATTGTATTGTGTTTATTGCTCTCTCCAGTTCTGTCATTGTATGCTTTATATATTTAGATGCTCAGATATTGGGTGCATATATATTTATAATTATTCTATCTTCCTGGTGAAATGACTCTTTTATCATTATATAATATTCTTTATAACACTTTTAATATTCACATATTGCTGTTTTTACCTGTCTACTACTCATATTTCTAGAGTTTTCATTGCTACATTTGGAAGCACATGTCTAATATTCCTTTTCAGAGTACACACTAGATGAAAGATGAGGGACTGTCTGACCAAGGATCCAGAAAGGGATAGTTCAACTATAGGTGAAGGTAGTTCTAAACTCATGACTATGTACTATATAGTCTTTAAGGAGTAGCATAAGTTTAAGGCAATTTTTGTCTCCTAGTGTCTCTTCTCTTGGCCAAATTTAACATCTCAAGTAGTCCTTTGGATGAAAGGTAACTGGAGATGTTTTTTATTTTGATTTTTTAGACAGAGTCTTGGCCTATCACCCAAGCAGGTGTGCAGTGGCATGATCATAGCTCTCTGTAGTCCCGAACTCCTGAGCTTAAGCCATCCTCCCATATCAGCCTCCCAAGTAGCTGTGAGTACAGGTGAGGGTCACCTCACCTGGCTAACTTTTTTTTAAGAGATGGGGTCTTGCCGTGTTGCCCAGGCTGATCTTGAACTCCTGGGCTCAAGTGGTCCTCCCGCCTCAGCCTCCCAAAATGCTGGGATTTCAGGCGTGAGCCACTGCACCTGGCTGTTTGCTATTTAAAAGACATTTTCAGGCCAGGTTCGGTGGCTCATGCCTGAAATCCCAGCACTTTGGGAGGCTAAGGCGTGAGGGTCGCTTGAGCCCAGGAGTTTGAGACCAGCCTGGGTAACATAGTAAGACCCATCTCTACCAAAAATTAGCTGGACATAGTGTCACGTGCCTGTAGTCCCAGTTACTTAGAAGGCTGGGGCGGGAGGATCGCTTGAGCCCAGGCGGTCAAGGCTACAGGGAGTTGTGATCACACCACTGGACTGCAGCCTGGGAGACAGCGTAAGACCCTGTCTCAGATAGATAGATAGATAGATAGATAGATAGATAGATAGATAGATAGATAGATCATTTAGGTAGGGTTAAGTCTTCATGAGCATTTAAATCCAAATTAGCATTTTATTCTGATGGGTTTAATAGGTCCAATGATGAATGAATTCTGATGGGTGGTAGCTGGCTCATCATTTGTGGAACTGAGTAAACCCTATTAAATATCTGTTTTTGGAGGATTTGGCAGTTTGGGAAGAGCCTCTGAGCTCTATGTTCCTCGGTAGACAAGGTACCAAGTGGTTGAAATGTAAATATGGAGATGAGGCATTGAAAAGGAACAACTTTACTGATGTCTTGCATAATTGCAAAACTAGCAAAAAAAGGAAAAAAAGCCCACCTCAGAAAGACTAATTTCTCTTGATGAACACTTAGATTTAAAATTAAGTGGTCTGTATTTGTTGATGTAAGTATCAGTCATAAACAGCTTTGGCTGAATACTATGAAGCTATTTCTTCAGTGTCCAAGCAAGCACTCAGTTGCTTTTTAAATAAAAGTTCATGTTATTTTACCAAATTATAACAGTAATATTTACCAAATTAAATCAATATTTTATCCAGTACCTCCATATCAACATAAGGAAGAGAACCAAATTAAATTATCAAAATTTGTTGGGAATCCTAATGGTAAAAATAAGCATAATTACAAAAATTTCTACCTATTTGTGTCTAATGCAGGAAGTCTCTATTCTGACATGTATTCTAATGATGAGAAAAGCTCCTCACTCGTTAGGGAAAGTAATCAGATAGCCTGACCACTGCCACAACCCTTAAAGTCACTCACTGAACATTCACTAGATTGTCCGGAAAGCGTATTATGACAAATGCAAATAAAAGAATTTAAAGACTGTCACTGTTAGCTAATTACCACTGGGACAGAATCTTAAGCAGTGCATTTGAAAATTCTGAAACAGATTGGATTTATTATAAATTAATGACATAGGATGTTCATTAATTATTAAGCTTTGTTGAAATACACTGAATGTTGTACACAGGTTTTACAGCCAATGGCTGCCATCAGAATGTTTTGAAATTATACCCACGAGAAAAATAGAAAGGTTTTTATCTCCATTCATTTCCAGTGGCTTGTTAGTTTTAGCATGGGGGAAAACATAACTTTTCCCGAGTTCTCAGTTGGCAAGAACACTTGTGGCAAACTTCAGATTAACAAAAGAAAACTAACAGAAGTTTATTAACATATATACTTCACGTATTCATGAGAGATGCCTAGGGAATACCAACTGAATCTCCAGAGTACAGGCATACCTTGTAGATACTTTGGGTTCAGTTCCAGACCACTGCAATGAAGTGAATTTCACAAGGCAGTCACACTAATTTTTTGGTTTCCCAGTGCATATAAAAATTATATTTACACTATACTGTAGTCTATTAAATGTGCATGATGTCTGAAAAAACAACATACATATTTTCATTACAAATAGTGGCCGGGCATGGTGGCTCATGCCTGTAATGCCAGCACTTTGGAAAGACGAGGAGGGCAGATCACTTGAGGTCAGCAGTTCGAGACCAGCCTGGCCAACATGGTGAAACCCTATCTCTACTAAAAATACAAAAATTAGCTGAGCATGGTGGTGTGCACCTGTAATCATAGCTACTCGGGAGGCTGAGGCACGACAGTCACTTGAACCTAGGAGATGGAGGTTGCAGTGAGCCGAGATCGTGCCACTGCACTCCAGCCTGGATGACAGAGCAAGACTCTGTCTCAAAAAAAAAAATTAAAAAAAAAATTATTGCTAAAAAGTGCTGATGATCATTTGAGCCTTTAGAGAGTCATAAACATTAAGACAGCAGTGAAGTTGATTGCATCAGTAGACTCTTCCTTTCATTTCTCTGCAGCATGCAATGCTGTTTGATAGCTTTTTACCTACAGTACAACTTTCAAAATTGGGGTCAGTTCCTCTCTAAGTTTGTGTAATATTCTAAATCCCTTGTCCTTTCAACAACATTCATAGTATCTTCACCAGGAGTAGCTTCCATCTTAAGAAACCATTTTCTTTGTTCATCCATAAGAAACAACTCCTCATCCATTCAAGTTTTGTTTTGTTTTGTTTTGTTTTGTTTTGTTTTGTTTTGTTTTGTTTGAGACGGAGTCTTGCTCTGTCTCCCAGGCTGGAGTTCAGTGACTTGATCTCGGCTCACTGCAACCTCTGCCTCCCAGGTTCAAGCGATTCTCCTGCCTCAGCCTCCTGAGTAGCTGGGATTACAGGCATGTGCCACCATGCCCGGCTAATTTTTGTATTTTTGTAGAGACAGTGTTTTGCCATGTTGGCCAGGCTGGTCTTGAACCCCTGATCTCATGATCTGCCCACCTCAGCCTCCCAAAGTGCTGGGATTACAGGCGTGAGCCACTGCACCTGGCCCCATTCACATTTTATCATGAGATTGCAGCAATTCAGTATTCAGATTTTCCTTCTAATTCTAGTTCTCTTGCTGTTTCTGCAACAGCTGCAGTTACTAACCTCCACTGAAGTCTTGATCCCCTCAATCATCCATGAGGTTTGGAATCATCTTCTCAACTCCTGTAAATGTTGACATTTTTGACCTCCTGCCATGCATCAAAAGTATTCTTAATGGCATCTAGAATGGAGAATTCTTTCCAGAAGGTTTTTAATTTACTTTGCTCGGCTCCATCAGGGGAATCACTATGGCAGCTATAGCCTTAAGAAATTTATTTCTTAAATAAGACTTGAGAGTCAGAATTACTTCTTTATCCATGGTCTGCAGGATGGGATGTTGTGATAGCAGGCGTGAAAACAACATTCATCTCCTGGTCCATCTCCATCAGATCACTTGGATGACCTGATGCATTGTCAATGAACAGTAATATTTTGAAAAGAATCTTTTCTTCTGAACAGCAGGTCTCAACAGTGGACTTAAAATATTGAGTAAACCATGCTGTCAACAGATGTGCTGTCATCCAGGCTTTCTTGTTCCTTTTATAGAGCACAGGCAGAGTAGATTTAGCAAAATACCATAAAGGGAAGTGCAATTAAAGAGATGCCTATAAATGTCTAGGAGGTGGCTTTAATACATGTCTACAGAAACAGAGGAGGCGTAGAGAAAACCTGTTATGGGGAGGTGATCAGGAAATATCTAAACAAGGGTAAGGTTTGTTGCGCAGATTTAAGTAGGTGCCTGCCCCATTGATAAGAGTTTCTAGTTTAGATTTAGAGCCATCCCTTTCTTTCTGGTACAGAGATGGAGACACCTTTACAAATGGAGATTCCCTTTATGGATGTAAATTTCTCTTACAAAAGGGTAACTTGCTTTATGTTTTCAGAGCTTTTCCAGTTTCTGCTGTTTCTCAAAATAATCCTTATGCCAAAAAGGCATATTTGGGGTACAAATTTTTGTCTCCTACAGTCATGTTTTGAGGTGGAATTCCCTGAGCCCCACCAGCAGTAACCTTCAAAAAACAGAACATTGACTTTTATAGTATTTAATGCCTCCTCTTCACAGAAATGTATCCACTTTCTTTCTTTTTTTTTTTGAGATGGAGTTTTGCTCTTGTTGCCCAGGTTGGAGTGCAATGGAGTGGTCTCAGCTCACCACAACCTCTGCCTCCCGGGTTCAGGCAGTTCTCCCGCCTCAGCCTTCCGAGTAGCTGGGATTACAGGCGTGAGCCACCATGCCTGGCTAATTTTGTATTTTTAATAAAGATGGGGTTTCTCCATGTTGGTCAGGCTGGTCTCGAACTCCCGACCTCAGGTGATCAGCCCGCCCTTCTATAAAAAGTGTGGTATATCTTAAAAAGTCCTTTTAAAGAAATGATAATTTAATATTTGAGATAGTTATTTTATTTGGAAGTACTAGATTATTTGCATTTTAATATTTTAATATTAAAATTTAAATATTTAATCAGGTAGAAATATTCCATGCTGGGAATTTTGTTTAAAAATTCATTTTAAAAAAAAATCTATGTTTATGATATTGTTAGTGGGAAATTGCTATTTAAAAACAAGTGAAGAAATCTTGGAAATAATGTTTAGATTCTAATTTGTTTTAGTTTACTTTTTCTACTTAGAATTGTGTTGGTGAAAAGGATAAAAGGCTTATACAGAAGCCAAATGGTATTTTTATTTTTATTTTTGAGACAGAGTTTTGCTCTTGTCACCCAGGCTGGCGTGCAGTGGCACAGTCTTGGCCCACTGCAGCCTCTGCCTCCCGGGTTCAAGCTACTGCCTCAGCCTTCTGAGTAGCTGGGATTACAGGCATGCACCTCCATGCTCAGCTAATTTTGCATTTTTAGTAGAGACAAGGTTTCGCCATGTTGGTCTAGGCTGGTCTCAAACTCCTGACCTCAGGTGATCTGCTTGCTTTGGCCTCCCAAAGTGCTGGGATTACAGGCATGAGCCACCGCCACCGTGCCTGGCCTCCAAATGGAGTTTAAAAAGTTGCATTTATTCAGGTTCCTTTGTTGTATTCCTTCAAGAACTGTGTTCTTCCCTCTCAGAGCCCTTATCCCAGTTGCTCATGTAAGTTCATCAGTGCAATCGTTGGCTAATGCCTTCGTCCCTATGGGCAGAGCCCCTGCATACTTCTGCCCCCCTTTAAATTAAGTTTAGCCTAAAGCTGACTCCTTACATATTTTTAGTTTTTCCTAAAGGTCTCCTGGTACATAGTGAACTGTGACCTAACTGGATCTGTAAACAGACATTAGGGAGACATAATCTCCCAGCAATCACCGAGTATCAGCCAATCACAGCAGCCAGCTGTTCAAATCATGTTCAAATAAGGCAAATGCCGGGCTGTAACCAATCGGCTGTTTCTGCACCTCATCCCCATTTTCTGTGCATCACTTTCCTTTTTATTAACATAAATCTCCAACCATATGGCAGCACGGAGTCACTCTGAACTTATTCTGGTTTGGGGAGCTGCACGATTCTCGAATTGTTCTTTGCTCAGTTAAACTCTGTTAAATTTAAATTGCCTTACATTTTTGTTTTGTTTTCGTTTTTGTTTGTTTGTTTGTTTGTTTGTTTGAAGGAGTCTTGCTCTGTGGCCCAGGCTGGAGTGTAGTGGTGCGATCTCTGCTCACTGCGAGCTCCGCCTCCTGGGTTCACGCCATTCTCCTGCCTCAGCCTCCCCAGTAGCTGGGACTACAGGCGCCCGCCACCATGCCCGGCTAATTTTTGTATTTTTAGTAGAGATGGGGTTTCACCGTGGTCTCGATCTCCTGACCTCGTGATCCGCCCGCCTCGGCCTCCCAAAGTGCTGGGATTACGGGCTTGAGCCACTGTGCCTGGCTTGCTTCTTTTTTTTTTTTTTTTTTAACACCACTGTTGTGTCCCCAGTACCTGGAACATTGTATGTAGGCATGCTTTAAGTGGGGGAACAGATGCGCTGATGGATGGGGGAAGAATTCTTCTAGTCATTCTAACAGTGCATGAGGCTTTTTCAAAGATAATAAAATATTAATTGTTTTTTTCCCCTTTCTTGGCAACTGATAGAAAAGATTGCTTTACTGTTTTCTCTTCTTTTTCATTCTGGATCTTGTATCTCTCAGGCATTGCTATAATTCCATTTTGTAGAATGGGAGTCCTTTATAAGAATTCATAGGCATTGCTAGGCACGGTGGCCACGCCTGTAATCCCAGCACTTTGGAAGGCCAAGGCGGGAAGATCACGAGATCAGGAGATCGAGACCATCCTGCCCAACATGGTGAAACCCTGTCTCTAGTAAAAATACAAAAATTAACCAGGCGTGGTGGCGGGCGCCTGTAGTCCCAGCTACTTGGGAGGCTGAGGCAGGAGAATCACTTGAACCCGGGAGGTGGAGGTTGCAGTGAGCTGAGATTGCGCCACTGCACTCCAGCCTGGACGATAAGAGCAAAAACTCCGTCTTAAAAAAAAAAAAAAATCGTAGTCATTAACCATAGCCTTTTAAAAGGCAAGACTCATGATAGAAGGATTTTTTGTTTGTTTGTTTGTTTAATAATCGTGTTGCCAAAAGGACCTTATTGCAAGTTAGGTTCATATGTAATGTTTTTCCCGCACAGACACCAGAGCATTGTTGCCTAATTCCCAGAATTGACTTATTCCTTCAGAGTCTTTAAACAGCTCAGTTCTTTTTTTTTATTTTTTGAGACAGAGTCTCGCTGTGTCGGCCAGGCTGGAGTGCAGTGGCGTGATCTCGGCTCACTGCAACCTCCACCTCTGGGATTCAAGTGATTTTCCTGCCTCAGCCTCCTAAATAGCTGGGATTACAGGCAGGTGCCACCACGCCCAGCTAATTTTTTTGTATTTTTAGTAGAGATGGGGTTTCACCATGTTGATTAGGCTGGTCTCAAACTCCTGACCTCGTGATCTGCCCGCCTCAGCCTCCCAAAGTGCTGGGATTACAGGCGTGAGCCACTGGGCCCAGCCTTCATTTTAAATTTTGAAGCTGTTTGGCCAAACTGCTTCTTATTTCCAACTGCTTGATTATGCTTGCTTTTTGGGAAAAGAGAGTATTTTAATATTATGGTATTTTAGCAGCACAATGTCATGTGAAAGTCATTGCTTAAGAAAAGTTTTAGGTGATGACTTTCAGGATAAGTTGATATTGATACAAGAGGTTTCTTTTAACTTTACCAGGTTCTTGACATTATTTTGAAAAAAACACCCAGTTATTCAGACAATCATTGAGGCTTTAAATTTTTCCTTAAGTATTACAGTTTAACATGTATTTTCATAAAGTATAAATCTTAATTCAAATAATATTAAAACATTTTTTCCTGTTTAAGTTTTTAAAAAATTTATGATACTCTCCATTGTTCTAAAAGTGTTTACAAGAACAGTTAAAGCATAATGCAGTAACATAAATTAGGAATGTTTGAGAAAGAAAAAAAGATAAACCAAAAGTTGGAACATAAAATGGAACAGGAAATAATAACACCTTTCCAAAGGCGAGTCCTGTGAGTGGATCACAATCTGTCCCTAAGCTTTCAAACTGCAGTTACAAATGAGAAGCCTTGCCAGATGTTTAACTCACTTTGCTGAAAGAGAAAGAGAATTAGTTATTTGGAAGAAATACAATTATTCTCAATACTAACACTGAAAAGTAATTTCTCTGTAGTGTTCAGATGTGACCTCAGCAGTATATAGGCAAGAGACACAACAAATTTCGGGGGGGTGATGAGTTTTGTGTTTCTTAGATTAAACCTCAGTAGAGGTTGCTGTTGTTAAAACCATGATACAGATTGAAAAGGATAGTCTCATTGCATATAGAACACATCCCAGTGGCTGCTCATGAAGTTGTGTAACTTACCCATGGACTTATGATGTCAGGGGAGAGAAATTTTATACCCAGAAATGTTTGTGGGGGAGATGTTTTCATTGAAAAGAATTTGGTCATTACAGTATAAATGCTTAAATTTTTTTAAGTTTTTGTCCTTGACTGTTATTCTGTGTAGAAATGACTAATAAAACATTGAAAACAGACTGAGCCTCAATGTATACATCACTGACTTTTTCGAATATGGGTGTCTAATATGCCAAAGTTGGTGATTACCCTTAAAAGCAGATTGTAATATTGTGAAATATATGTTTGTTCTTTGTTCCCATTTTCTGGCATGCAACTACTGAAATCCTTGGAATCTCCAAAGTGATGTGTCTTTTTGTATGTGAATGAGATTCCTGGTGGCCAGCAGCCCCTAAGTAGCCTCAGGTTGGAGCTGGTCATAGGAAAGACTAAGGCAGGATTAGAGGGTTGGGGCTTTTCAGCGCCCCCCTGCACCTCCCCAACTTCTGGGGAGGAGAGAGGGGATGAAGGTTATCACCAATGGCAAATGATTTAATGAGTGATGCCTTAGCAGTGAGGCTTCCATAAAAGCTCAAAAGGACTGGGTTGGGGAGCTTCCTGAAAGTTGAACATGTGGAAACTCCTGGATGGTGGTGTGTCCCTTCTCCCATGCTGTGCCCTATCCACCTCTGATGATGATCTTCTCCCATGCTGTACCCTATCCACCTCTGATGATCTGCTGTGCCCTATCCACCTCTGATGATGATCTTCTCCTACGCTGCGCCCTATCCACCTCTGATGATCTGTGCCCTATCCACCTCTGATGACAATCTTCTCCCATGCTGTGCCCTGTCCACCTCTGATGACAATCTTCTCCCATGCTGTGCCCTGTCCACCTCTGATGATCATCAGTATCCTTTGTAATATGCTTTATAATGAATCAGTAAATGTATTTCCCTGAGTTCTGTGAGCTGCACTAGCAAATTAATCGAACCATGAGGAGGGGTTGTGGGAACCCCAATTTATAGCAGGTAGTATCAGAATTGAATTGAATTAGAAGATACCCAGCTGGTGTCGGCTGCAGAATTCATTGCTGGTAGGGAAAAATCCCCATGCATTTTGGCGACTAGAGGTCACAGTAAGTGTTGTGTGTTGATTGTGTTGTGAGAGGACAGGAGAAACTCAGTTTTTGTTATATCTTTATACAGATTTTACAGAGACAATGTTATTCATTACGCAGCTGTTAGTTTGACTTAATACAGGGATAGATTTTGGAAAATATAGATGAGTGTGCCTCCTGTATGTCTTCCATGAATATGGCTTCTTGGAACTGAGCTTTTGCTGGCTATTGAGTGACAACAAGTTCAAGATCTCTCACTCCTTGGCAAGTTCATGGAAAACTAATAGGTGGTTGTAAGAGGCTAAAAGTCACTTCTACCTATGTTGGTACCTAAGTGAGATCTTTGGCTGGTTCTAGGAATCAAATTAACACAAGATAGATTAACAGGAGAAAAGGATACAGGTTTTATAAATTTTTACACATACATAGGGAGTACAAGAGAGTAAGGATGCAAAGAAATGGCCAATGCAGATAGGTTTTGTACTTTTTGGACAAGGAATAATAAATTTGTGAAGAAATTTGACAGGACAAGGGGATCTGGGCTAGGGACAGTAAATTCTAGAAGTCACTAGGAGATCTATGGTGGGGGTGTGTAAAGCTAGTGGAAGATAAGGGTTTCTTCAGTAAGTTTATTTGTACAGGTTCATTGCAGCAGCAGTTTCCAATCTCTGGTGATAAGGGTTATTTTCTCTCCCTACTGGAGGGAAGCCGTCCTCAAAGGAATTTTTATGGCTTGCCATCTGTAAGAAAGGACAGATCAGAAAGGCCTTTCTGCAACTAGTTTCTCAAGTACTTTCAGCTTGAAATAATAAATATGCCAAATTGGCATAATGTGGGGTGGATCGTCCTTAACGCCTTCATTGTCAGTAGTGGAATCACATGCTTTAACCAACAGTTGAACTCGTTTCATTATATGAAAATGGAGAGACCTAACAAAGGTGTAGGCTTGAGCAGTTAGTCGACACATCTCACCTCTACAGAGTAGAGAGTAGCAGGGTCAGACCTCTTTCAGAATAATTTTAAACTGAGACATTTGCTGAAGTTTTAGGCATGAAAGGCCCAGAATTGAAGCTTCAAGTAGCATGATTAATGTAAGTTTAGCCTGGGACATTTTTAAAAAAGCTTGAAGCACCTATGGAATACCAAATGCTTTGAACTTTAACACTTGTTTCTGACAATAATTAGATAGCAGAGCCATTGTTTAAATTATTAGTTCATATGGTAGGACCGTATTTTTTTAAAAGGGAATATTTACCTCCCTGTTCTATTGTGGGCTTGTTTACAGCTTATCCAAAAGTGGTATCAAATTATAAGGAACAGGTTAAGGAAAACATCACTATTCTATACCACTGAAAATTATTAAGTGATGCACAAAGAGATGGTTCCTATTGACATTGTCCATGGTCAGTTCCCATCAAATTCTGAAGAAGCATCAGTGCCTTGTGTTGAGTTTGTATAATTTAGCTTATAACAAATGCCTATCCATAGATTGAAAGATAAATATGGGTCCAGAAAGTGGTTGAAACAATAGCGTCTGGAAGACTTAACAGCAAAGCAGTAAAGTAGCATAGTGCAGTGGTTTTCAACTTTGGTGTACATCAGATTCAAGTATGATGCTTGTTTCAAAGTGCAAATTCCCAGACCCAACCCTAGAGATTCAAATTTCATACATTGAGTTGGGGCATAGGAATCTGCATTTTAAGTAAATACCCAAGGTGTTTCTGATGAAGGAGGCTCATAGACCTCCATGGCTCCGAAGCTCATTTCTCACAGGCTTTGTGAAATGTTGGTTAGGCTTCAAACATTTTTGTTTTCACATACCTTAGAAAATAAATTTTTAAAATACACAGTGGACTTAAAAAGTGAGGAAATTTTGACATGGTATAACATGGAATAAAGTCGAATAATATTGTAAGTCAAACCATCGTAAGGTGCAGACTTTCTGTATTAATTTGTGCCCTATGACAATGATGCATTAATACAAACGAGACAGAAACCTTTTCACTTGCATGAAGCAAGGCCCTGCTCCCACAGTATTTTTTGTGTTGCTCTCAAGGGGCGCTTCTACAGGAGCAGTGCATTCTCTCATTTCTTTAGTGACACTTCAGAGGTTTTAGCCCCCTTAACAATAAGCCACATAATGTTCAGGATGCATAAGAAGTGTGCCTTACGAAAGTAGAAGGGGGCCAGGCGTGGTGGCTCATGCCTGTAATCTCAGCACTTTGGGAGGCCAAGGTGGGCGCATCACTTGAGGTCAGGAGTTTGAAACCAGCCTGGCCAACATGGGGAAAAACCCCTCTACTAAAAATACAAAAATTAGCTAGGTCTGGTGGTGTGCACTTGTAGTCCCAGCTACTTAGGAGGCTGAGGCAGAAGAATCGCTTGAATCCGGGAGTGGAGGTTGCAGTGAGCCAAGATTGCACCACTGCACTCCAGCCTGGGTGACAGAGCAAGACTCCATCTCAAAAAAAAAAAAAAAAAAAAGTAGAAGGGGAATGTATGTGAGAAACAAGGTATGAAAGGTTTTAAGAAAGAATCTGGAAACTGCTTTATAACCCTCCATGTAGACATATTCCCTTAAAGTAAGGTTTTTAACTCCAAGCGTTTGTAAATTTGGATGAGGAAAATAATTTCATCTTTTTTTCCACTAACCTCACCTAGAAATTGAGCATTTCCTTTAATTACGACAAACCTAAAGTAGCATGAGCATCAACAGAAGTCAGATGTTTTCTTATCATATTACAGTTGTTTCAGGTATCTCAAAAGGTGGTTTGAACTGATTACTTTGAAATCATGACAGTTATTAGACATCCCCCTAGATTTTACTATTTACTGGGTTAATAAAGGAGCACATATAATTCTAGGGTATACATATTTTAATGTATAAAAATGTGCATTAAATTTTTAACCATATTTAAATATAACCATATTTAAATATACTTATCCTTAGTATGGTTATATTTTCTTGCTAATGCTGTTTTTGATTTATGCATTTAAAAATATTATCCTAAGAAGGGATTCAGCCTGACTTTACCAGGTGCTAGAGGAATCCAAAGCACAAAAACTGTTAAAACCCTTTTGTGGAAAGCCCTTGGATACCCTTAGGAGCATATGTATCCCAGTTTGAAGGCAGATGGTCTAGGGGATGGCTGAAGCCCATCAACAACACCTCTTAAACCATTAGTTTAGGGAACCCAGAACTTTCGTGTTTTGCCAAGCAATGAAAAATGTGAAAAATCACTTTAGCACCTGGGAGATGATTCTAGTTTAAATTCTGTGAGTTGGTGGTTCTAAACCAGAGATGTACATCAAAATCCTTTAGGGAGCCATTTTAAAATACACAGCTGAGCCTAATGCCTCAGGATTGCAGCTCAGCGGGTCTGGGTGGGACCTGGACCACGCTGTGTTAAAAGCCCAAAGGTGATTTTCATACAAACCCTCAAGAACCACTGTTTTAAACAGAAGGGCTTTGAAACCTTGTTTTATAAGAACTATTTTAAGTATGACTTTTTTTTTTTTTTTTTTTTTGGAGACAGAGTCTTACTCTGTCACCCAGGCTGGAGTGCAGTGGTGTGATCTCAGCTCACTGCAACCTCTGCCTCCTGGGTTCAAGCAGTTCTCCTGTCTCAGCCTCCCCGGTAGCTGGGGTTACAGGCATGCACCACCATGTCCGGCTAATTTTTTTGTATTTTTAGTAGTGACGGGGTTTCACCATGTTGGCCAGGCTGGTCTCAAACTTCTGACCTCAAGTGATCCACCTGCCTCGTCCTCCCAAAGTGCTGCAATTACAGGCATGAGTCACCATGCCCAGCCTTAAGTATCGCTTTTTAAAAGTTTTATGTTTGATCCAAAAACTCATGGCAGGAAATTGGGAAGATTTACTTTGTAGTTTGAAATTTGTTTGTTACTGTTGTTGTTGTTGAGACAGGGTCTTGCTGTGTCACCCAGGCTGGAGTGCAGTGGCACCATCACAGCTCACTTGCAGCCTCTACCTCCCAGGCTCAAGCAATCTTCCCACCTCAGCCTCCCAAGTAACTGAGACAACAGGCATGCACCACCATGCCCAACTAATTTTATTTTTTGTAGAGACAGGGTCTCCCTGTGTTATCCAGGCTGATCTACAATTCCTGGGTTCAAGAAATCCTCCCGCCTCAGCCTTCCAAAGTGTTGGGATTACAGGTTGGAGCCACCACAGCCTGACCTGTAGTTTGGAATTTGTAACCACTCAAAGCATCTTCTGTCATTGGGTGCTCAGGGAGAGGGGTTCTTGACCATCTCTGGGGACCATAAAACTCTGAAGTTTCATGCCCTGGTCTTCAGCTTAAGGGGCTAATAGCTTTCCTGAGATTTGCAAAGGTATGCATGATCAAAAAAGGGGAAGGAAGAATAGCTACCTATATGCTGAAAGAGCAAAATTTAATGGCAAAATGAACAAAAAGATACAATCATTAGACATACTAAGGAAACAGTTACTAAAACACCATTAATTTTATGAGAGAAGTGCTGAACTGTAGCTCTAATTATTTGATTTCGTGAACATTTTCTGCTCTATTATTTCCTGAATTTGTTTTTTTGCAATGTAAACACAGTACCATAGGTAAATGGAGTTGCATATAAGTGGTTTTAATGGTATATATTAGGGAAAAATGATAAAATATTAAAATATACTGCCTCTTAATTTAAAAGCAAAATTATCTTTAAGACTTTAAGCTTATTTTATGCTGCTGGGTATATATCTGCCAGAAATGAAATCAGCATGCGGAAGAGATCTCTCAACTCTGACATTTATTACAGCACTATTCACAACAGCCAAGATATAGAATCAACCGGTGTTCATCAACAGATGAATGGATAAAGAAAATGTCATATTTAATACCCAATGGAATGGTATTGAGCTTTAAAAAATAAGAAAATCCTGTCATTTAGGACAACATGGATGAACCTGGAGGACATTATATTAAGTGAAATACACCAGGCACAGAGAGGTGCCGCATGATCTTGTTGTTATGTGGAGTGTAAAACAGTTGAACTCCTAAGTAGAGAGTAGGATAGAGATTACCAAGAGATTGGGAAGAGAGGAAGTTAGGGGAGGGTTTTTTTTTTTTTAAGACCTTAAATATTTTATTTTTAAGATAAAATAATTTCATCCTAATACTGGGCTCTCCGGCATTTGAGAGTATTATATCCTTGGACCTCCATCCTCTGCTCACTGTCATAATTCTTAGATCTTAATTCTTACTAAAGTTTTATTTTCATCTTCTAAAATTACAAAGCAGTAAACATGTAATATACAAAATGTATAGTTTCCTCCTTGCAACAAGTGAGAAAAAAATCCTATTTTAACAAAAAGCATTTTTAAGTGAGTAAAGATGCAATTTTTCATTTACAAAATAAGTTAATAGGTTTTCTAGTTGGGTTTATAAAAAGCTGATGCATATCCTGTTCTTTTTCCCTATGACTGATGACATAACTTCTGCTTTTGTTCATGATGCCCTCTCCTTGGCAAGGAGTGCCTCCCACCCACATACCTACTCACTCTTTAGGACCAGCTCAGATGTCACCTATTCCAGGAAGCCTCCCTTACCTGTCTCTGTGTTCCCGTAGAGATCTCTATCACAGTACTTACTACATTACGTTTTAATTATGTATTTCTATGTGTGTCTGCCTTGGAAGACTTCAACCTCAGTATGATTATCTTTGTATTATTAATGTCTGGAACAGTGACTGCTCATTAAATATTGTGCTGAGTGATTATATTCATAGTCACCCGGCTCACACCTCCCACCCGTTTGTCATTGTACTTGTCTGTGATCATGCTACAGAATTCTGTTGTGGGTGAACTCACCCAGCAGCACAGCTATGGTGCTTTGGCCTTCAAGCTCCTGCTCTAGCCAACCAAGCTAACCTGCCCAGCTTTGGCCAGCAGCTCATTGTAATAAACTGAGTTCAAATGGAACCCAGCACTATTAAACTAGCCATCAGCCTAAGACTACCCTTCAAAGAAGGAGCGAGACCGGGCATGAAGTGGGCCCGTGAGCCAGCCACTCCCTGTGTAAATCTGTACTTCAGCTTCTCGCTCTCTTTTCACTGCAGTTTTATTGCTGTCTCACCAAGATTTCCCTTCTTCCAGGCCTTTACTCTTAAAGGAAAAAAAAAAGTTGCTTATCTTTGCTTAATTATTAACATAATACTGGCTTAATTCTGAACTAGGAGATCTCAAACTCTTTATGACAGCCCAGTGAATAAAGTGATGAAGTGGGAAACAAAATGTAGAGGGTCAGAAAGTGCATTTCAGTTTGTAAGATGAAAAAAGAGGGAAGGGTGGTAGAGCTGACTCATGTGACTGTAATTCCTAGAATATAGGAGCAGTGTGGCGTTATTCATCTAAGCGCGTCCTAGAGATTTTATACATCATGCACACATTTTTAGGTATTGTCTTAGACCGTTTATGCTGCTAATAACAAAAACCTGAGACTAGATAATGTAAATAACATAACTTTATTTTCTTGAGTTCTGGGGTCTGAGAAGTTCTAGATCAAGGTGCTAGCCTTCAGCGTCTGGTGAGGGCCTTCTTACTGCATCCTCATATAGTAAAAGGGGCAAAAAGGACAAGAGGACCCCATGCTGTGTCCTCATGTGCAGAAAATATGGGCAAGAAAGGGGCTTAGCTAGTACCCTTGAGCCCTTTTTATAAGGGTACTAATCCCAGCCTCATGACTTAATCACCTGAAGGCCCCACCTCTTAGCACTATCACATTGGGTCATAGGTTGGCAGATACATACATTCAAACCGTATTTTGGTTTGATACATACATTCAAACCATTTTGGCGGATACACACATTCAAACCATAGCAGGTATTAACCTATCAATAGTGCAGTTGAACATAAAATGAAGATCTCACTTCAATGAAACACAAATTAATATGATTTAAAACAGTTGCACATTGTAACTTTCTGAACACCTGTATTCTGTAGCCTGAATTTTGGCAGAGAAAGTGGTTGAAACATTTGTATCTACTATCAAATTACCATGATAATTGTTTATTGTTCTCTCTTCACTTTATACCTTTTAATTAAGCTGGGGGTTGGGGGGAAGGGAGGTGAGAAAGAAAAGGAAGAAAAATACAGTTTTTGTCGCAAGTGGATTTTGTATCATTTTCCTGAAGGTCTTGGTTCTAGAAATTCTGTAGTCTTGGTGACCTGTCAGTTTTTCTTTATAATTAACTGTGACTGTATTGTGTATTCATCAATATTATGAAATATTATGAAATAGTAAAACTCACTGTGACTGTATGCATGCTTGCCCACGCGTGGCTGAACTTTTACAAAGCAGTGAGGGAAGTTCTCCTAGGGTCAGGACAGGTCATCATGGGCACAAGGCCTCTCATTACTTTCTCTCATCAGAAAAAAACAAGTGAGAGAAAAAAAATGCACCTACACTCAGGTTCCTGAACCCCATCTTAGTTCTTCTCCAGATAGCCCAGCAAGTGAGTTTGTCTAATCCCTTTCTCAGGAATGAGCATGATGAATGAAAACCAAGCAAATTCTGGAGTCGAACCAGGTTAGATTCAGACCCTTTCTGACCACTTCTAATTTCTGCCTCTGTGTTTTCAGTGTTAAATGTGGATGCTAATTGCCTGCTTTGCAAGGTGTCTATAGAAATTAGATGTGATTATGTAAAGCTTCTAGCACAATGCCTATTACGATAAATGGTTCTCACAGTTGCTGATGCTGCTGTTACTATGTTTTTTCTCTACAGTAGTTCTGTCTTATTTTCCTTTGAAAGCTGGAGCTGTCTGTGCTTCTCCTATTTTATAGTATCAGTTAAGGGTTTTCAGTGGTGTTTTGGTGTGGTGGAGTTATTTCTTTTACTCAGGGAGCTTTTCTTAGGGAGTTAATCTGATACTATATTAGAGAGAGTAGACTCTCTGTAGACCTTCCTAGGCAAAGTTGAATGAGTATTTGGATGTAGCACATACATGGACACTTCTAGTTAGAATATGAAGCATGAATTTAGGTAGTCATAAAGGTTTATAATAATCTAAAACCAATTACTAAGATTTATAACCAACATTTTGAACATTGAGTAGTATTAGGATAGTTTTTCTAGCTTTTAAAATCAGCCTAAGCTTTTTGGTAAAGTCAAGTTTTGTAAAATGGGTGAAGATTTTTTTTTTCCTAGTGAAATAAGAATTGGCAAACTTTTAAAGCTGGTTTACGATAATTTCCAGATGAATAGAAACTAAAATGTATTGTCAGCTGATGTTTCATTGTAGGCTCCTATGAAATGACTGAATTCTGTCTGTATCCCTAAAAATTGAGATGAAACTGTCATTCTTATACATAATCTTAGCTAAGTGACCTCAGATTGAAGTAAATCAGATCAATATTGGTATTTTTATAACCCCAGCATAGATGGTGCCTGTATTGATTATTGTAAGTAGCAGGGCACTTTCGGGAGCTCCTGATGGAACCGGTGTTAGCTGTACCCTAGGGAAAGAATTATGCAACACAGTGATAAGTCATCTAACTAAATTCATAGCAACAAATCTATTTGGCTTCTAGGCATCTCTTTGAAGTGGGCCAAGGGCTTGGGGATGGAGGTAGGAAACCTGCATTGGTTCCTGCCGGGGCTTCTACCAACTCTGATGGGAGAGCCTCCTGGGCTGGCTGAGATGGAATTGCTTCTCTAGCCCCTTCACTGGATACAAAATAAAGGAGTGAAGCTAAAGGGTGGAAGAACACTTCCTGGCCACCTTCACGCCTGCTTCAAAGCCAAGGTCAGGGGGCTGTTATACCAGGGAGTGCTGAGAAGGGCAGAAAGCTGAAACTGCTCCTTCCTCCGATACAAGAGGCAATGAAAAACTGGTGAAGGTGGCCGATGATGCCCACAGGGGAAGACAGCACTGACTCCTGCTTTGTGGACTCTGCACAGATGCTATATTAGAACTCAAACTGCTAGTGACTTTCACATTTGTATCATTTTTAATGTGGTCACATTAATTTGACCATTCTGCAGGCCAGTGTTCATGTATTACTTTAGTGTGATTTTTCTTATGATCAAAATCTTCTAAAATCAATTTGGTGAGCTATAGAAAGAGAAGGTAAATTTTCCTTGTGTGAAATACAACTCTCAGTAATAAGACTGCTATTAGCTATTCTTTGAATCTTTCCTGTTTTCAGAGATGGCTTTGAGGTTTAATAAATACTTGTCCACAGTGATTTCAGATGATTTTTAAGAACTCATCTTTTAGGATGGATGTGGTAGCTCACACCTGTAATCGCAGTGCTTTGGGAGGCCAAGATGGGTGGATGGCTTGAAGCCAGGAGTTCAAGACCAGACTGGGCAACAAAGCGAGACTCTATCTCTACAAAAAATAAAAATATCAGCTGGATGTTGTGGCATGTTCCTGTAGTCCCAGCTACTTGGGAGGCTGAGGCAGAAGGATCACTTGAGCCCAGGAGTTCGAGGCTGCAGTAAGCTATGATCACACCACTGCACTCCAGCCTGGGTAACAGAGTGAGACCCCATCTTTAAAAAAAAAAAAAAATCATCTTTTAGAATATTTAAAAAATAGAACTTTTTCAGGCATAAGTAGTTACCTTATTTTTGCTGACAAATATTTGTTACAAAGTCAAGTTTAGCCTGCCAGAAAATCTTGCCTAGAGAAAATTGAATAGTTTATCCAAAAGTATTAATTGAGGAACACAGGTGTGATTATTTCTAAGACATTTTAAAAATCTAAATAGTTAACCACACATATTAAATGAACTTCCTTTCCTAACTAGCTCTAAAATATGATTACCTATGATCCTTTCCTTATGCCTATTTGCCATACTCTTATAGTGCTTGTTTTTTAAAATAATAATTCTCAATAATAAATGGGTTATGTTCCAGAAGTTCATATATGAATTAGGTGTTTGAAAGCTGGGACACATTTGCACATTATAAAAATATTTCATGTATAACTGATAACCCACAAAAGCCTATTTAACCTATTAGATAGTAATGTTATTATAAAATCCCTATGAAAAACATGTGTATAGTTATTCACCCAATTTGTATTAAACATCTATTCTACTTTAATGGTATAATGATGTACCTTCAAATTGCTCAGATTCTACTATTTCTAAAGCAGGTTTTCTTGCTTCCTCAAATTTTTCTCCCTACCCTGTCCTCAGCCAACTATAATTTTTCTCCTTCTTTCCTCTACTTGGAAACCAAACTCAGTATCAAAACCTCTCCCTACCTTACTATTTACAGAAAGCACACACCCTTTTGAAATTTTTCTAAGGTTTTCCACTTCTGTAAAATAAAGGACATAGGATAACAGAAAAAGTGTCATGAAGTTTAGGGCATATGCATCATTTGTAAACTAAAAAGAAAACACATTGCCATGTCACTTACTTAGAATACTCCTAATGCATCTAGGAAAAGTGGCAGTTTGAGGGGGCACTCAAAGACTGAAATGAGATCTATTCACATTTGATTAGAAAGCTCAGACAGTTCTTTAGACATCTTCCTTTCCGATAATGATTCCTCTACAATTCTGGAAACAGGACTGGTTATCTAGGAGCAGGTGTTTCAATAAAGAAGAGAATGGGGAGATAGGCCAGGCCTGTGACAGCCCTTTGCCCCCTGGGACGCAAGGAGAGTAGCTGGGTTCCTCCCAACCTCCACTCAGTAATTGTTGGCTTCTTTTTTCCTTCTTCTAGGAGAAGGTATCCATGTAGTTTATCCATTCAATATCTCTCAACCTCCTTCTGGCTTCTCCTACTATTGTAGGCACCAACCCCCAAGTGGATGTTGTAAAGTATGAAATGGTCACATAAAATGCATTCTAAAAGTATTTAGAAGAAAAGAGCCTATTTGTCAGCTTAGTGTTAGCTGAGCTCTTCATGACCCCCAAAGGGCCCATAGCTTAGGCAGATTTAGAATTTGTAATTGGATTCTCTTGTTTGAAATGGATGTAGCATACTTTAAATGAAAATACTTACTGGACAGCAAGCATGTAAATTGCAGTCTGTGGACTCTGCAGCTATGAATGCTCCCTGATGGGCCACTCAGTCAGCCTCTCCTCCGACCTGCTACTGTTTGCCAGGTTGTGGCGCCTGCCACATAGCACACTTTGTGCCTTTGAGAGTTGGCAGAGCTTGTAAAACCACTCTTTTGTTTTGGTGTTTTTCAGACTGGGATCCTTTCCATTAGTTTGTTTTGTTTTTGTTTTGTTACTACATTTAGATGTTCAATAGGTTCCAAAATTTGAGATCCCTTATTTGGGGACATATTGATGTGGCAAATTAGAGATTGAACAGCTCAAAAAAAAAAAAAAATTCCTTGCCTAGTAGAAAGATGATTTAAAAAAATAAAAGGAACATGTTTTAAATCTCAATTTTCTTTCCCACATGAGTCAGAGGAATGCTTTGTGATTTAAATCCCTTTTTCCTGGCCTGATATGGAGTCTCTGCTTGTTACGCTAAGCATACCAAAGCCCTTGCTTGGTCCTATTTCTTTGTTCTCCAGGATGATAGCCTTAATTACTTAATAGATTCAATTATATTTTCAGATCACAAATTACCTGTGAAAGTCACTAGAAGTTTGAGTTCTTTTTTTTTTTTTTTTTTTGAGACGGAGTCTTGCTCTGTTGCCCAGGCTGGAGTGCAGTGGTGCGATCTTGTCTCACTGCAACCTCTGCCTCCCGGGTTCAAGCGGTTCTCCTGCCTCAGCCTCCCGAGTAGCTGGGTTTACAGGCGCCCACCACCACGCCCGGCTAATCTTTGTATTTTTTAGTAGAGACGGGGTTTCACCATGTTGGCCAGGCTGGTCTCGAACTCCTGAGCTCAGCGATCCACTCGCCCTGGCACCCCAAAGTGCTGTGGTTACAGGTGTGAGCCACCGTGCCCAGCCAGTTTGTGTAGCATCTGTGCAGAGTTCACAAGGTGGGAGTCAGTGTCGTCTGTCCCTGCAGACATCATCAGCACCTTCACCAGTTTTTCATTGTCTCTTGTATCACAGAAGGAGCAGCTTCAGCTTTCAGCTCTTCTCAGGTACTCCCTGGCACAACAGCTTCCTGATTCTGGCTTTGAAGTGGGCATGGAGTTGGCCAGGAAGTGTTCTTCCACCCTTTTGCTCCACTACTTTATTGCCTATCCAGAGAAGGTGCTAGAGAAGGAATACAATTTCAGCAGCCCACGATGCTTTCCCATCAGAGTTGGCAGAAGCTGGGGCCTGGAACCCATGCAGGTTAGGCTTGCAAAACTAAGAAGGGTAGGAATGGTAAATGTATCCATATGGAACAAACCTTGCTTTTAAGCCTCTGATCCAATCCGAATAGCGTGGCTTCTTGAAGGTTTTGTTCCTACTTTTGTTCACTGTTACGCTATGTACCAGGAAAGCAAAGCCTCCTTGGAGTTTTCCTTGTGGTTATTTCCTTGGAAGTGGCTGACTTTTCCAGTTGAGTTCAGACTGGCAGAAGCAGAGAGTGCAAGAGAGTAAGTTACCAACTCTGGGAGCAAGGGATCAGGTGTAGATGCTGACAGAAGAAGGTAAATAATACTCAGTCAGGACTGTGGTCTCACACATCAGTGAAGATTTAATAGAGCACTTATGAGAAGATGAATCTAGAATATCTAATTCCTGTAGCCACATATTGAAAATGATGAAATTAGTTGCAGTTAAA
Source organism: Homo sapiens (assembly GCF_000001405.40). Lineage (NCBI taxonomy): Eukaryota > Metazoa > Chordata > Mammalia > Primates > Hominidae > Homo > Homo sapiens. The sequence goes on along the minus strand of NC_000006.12, from coordinate 136,433,252 downwards.
GAAAGAACTTGAAAAGTAGACTAAAATAGATTACTAAATGAGAAAAGAAAGGGGCAGAAGAGTAAATTGTTCTGAATAAATGGAAAGCAAATACATATATTTATACATAGTTTTTTTTCAGAAAGGAAGAAGGGAAAGGCTTTTACCTTTCACTTTATAGCTTTTTGTACTTTTTTGAATTTCCTAACCATGTAATAGACATTTCTTTCTTAAAGCCAGCCACAGTGACTCACACTTGTAATCCCAGCCACTGAGGAGGCTGAGGTGGGAGGATTACTTGAGGCCAGAAGTTTGAGACCAGCCTGAGCAACATAGTGAGACCCTATCTCTTAAATAAATAAATAAAAACACTTCCTTTCTAAGATAAAAAGAATAAATGGGCTACCTGGGTCACAGAATTATGGGCTTTTTAGATGTTATTTTCATATTCTTTCTGTAGTATGGAAAATCTAATAAATAAAAGTAAAATTAGGCTAAATCAATAGATAAATTTACTTTCTTTTTATAAGCAAATGTGCAGTTGATACCTATCTAGTATTAAAGGTTTATTTGTAGAACAGTTGAGAGAGAAGGTAATTTAACCCTTCTGTAACCAACCTGTGAGTTGCACTTCATATAGGACCTTAGAATACTAAGTATTTGAGAAGAATTGTGGCTCAGGAATTATCAGGAGCTATATGAGGTTAGTGGGTTTGATCGGGGAACCTTTCACATTCTTTTTAGAATTCCACTGGCTGCTAAGGCGTTTGAATTCCTATGGAACTGATTTCTATTACAAATGTTATTAAAACTTGATGTGGCATCTCTCACTCATTTTTTCTCCTGATATTGCTTCTCCCACTATTTTCAAATCTAAAGCTGCTCTGCTTTAATATAACGAACCAGGACCTGCTTTGCTTTCTGACTTTTGGAACAGATTAGGCTACATAGGATTCATGATGGATCAAATAAAAGAGTTACTGAATAAGAAATAAGACATTTGGAAGGCTAAGATGCATGGACTTTATTCTGTAGCCAGTAGGATCTCTGTATCAGTTTAGGGATTTTTTTTTTAATTTATGAGTACAGAATTTCTTAATGATTTTAACAAATTGGGGATTTTCTTTTCTCTAACCTATCGGGAACATAGAAGTGAAGAGTTGCTGATACTAGACCAGCAACTTAAAGATGTCAGGGCCTGAGTCTCTGTTGTTCCCTCAGCCTTTCCCTCCTGATAGCCTCCTGGTTTCCAGATAGATGCTCTGCCTTAAGCATCACATCGACATTCAAAGCAGGAAGAAAAGGAGAGGTGTAGAGCAAATAAATTCACACACCAGAGTCTGCTGTGCCTTAAGGACCATTCCCACAAACCACACCTAACCACTTCAGTCTTCAAAGTTTTGGCCAGATCTGTGTCCAGTGGCCAATGAGGGTTCTGTTAGAAAAGAAGCATCAAGGCCGGGCACAGTGGCTCACGCCTGTAATCCCATCACTCTGGAAGTCCGAGGTGCGAGGATCACCTGGGGTGAGGAGTTCAAGATCAGCTTTACCAAGATGGTGAAACCCCGTCTCTACTAAAAATTCAAAAATTAGCCAGGCATGGTGGCACGCGCCTGTAGTCCCAGCTACTCGGGAGGCTAAGGCGGGAGAATCACTTGAATCCAGGAGGCAGAGGTTACAGTGAATCAAGATCACACCACTGCACTCCAGCCTGGGTGACATAGCAAGACTCCGTCTCAAAAAATTAAATAAATAAATAAATAAATAAATAAATAAATAAAGCATTAAAAAGTTGATATTTATTGGGTAACCAGCATGGAATGGAATGATATAGCCCCTTCCCTATGCAAACTTGTAGTATGCATTTCCAAGAGAGAAATGTTACATCAAGTATTTCCCATTATGTTTTGGTTTTGTTTTATTTTAATGTGGAACACATTTTTTTGTTTTGCCTCTCATGGGACTCAGTATTTAGAAATTTTGGAAGCATACATTCTGAAAATGATACAAGATAGAATGAAATCAAATGCTAAATAGCGTGGGACAGATTGCATTGGAGTGCAGTAAAAGTCAGAGAAAGAAATGTGATGGTGGTAGGAATAGCTTAAAAAGATTTCATGGGAAAGGGACTTGAGTTGGACTATGATGGATCGAGTTGTACTATAAATGGATTGAATTCTACATGTTACTACATGGTATATACATGTCATTATACATTTATGAAAACCAGTAGAAAGTGCATCGTCAAGCGTGGCCCCTCATGTAAACTATGGACTTCGGGTGATGATGGCGTGTCAGTGTCAGCCCATCAGTGGTAACCGGTGGACCACTCTGGTGTGGGATGTTGATGGTGGGATAGGCGGTGGGGGCGCAGGGCTGCAACAGCATATGAAACTCTGTACTTTCTGCTCAATTGTGCTGTAAGCCTAAAACTGCTCTAAGAAAGAAAAAGAGATGAGACGTAAACAGTTGCAAAGATGATGAGGCTGGTGTTCTAGTGAGGGAAAAAAGAACACAGTCACAGATACAGAAATGACTGCAGCACAGGACAGCATGGGGAGAATGCGTTGGCCCATAATTTTAGACAACCTTTAAGTTAAATGTTCAGTGGTTACTTGAGTTGGAATAAACGTTCAGAACCTACCATATCATTCCTATTAAATTTTACGAAGTTTACATAAGAAATTTAAAATATTTTAATATTTTCTACAGAGGAGAGATGATTAATTTTTGATATTCGACAGCAGTGTATATGTGTATTTATTTCACTGATTAAACTCAGTTAACTAATACTCATAGGATTAAAATTACATGCAAATTTATTTACAAAACTGATATTTAAAACTGAGTCCCCTGTTTAGAACTATTTTTAAGTATTGTACATTTTCTACTTAGATAACTGTACTTTGTAAGTATGAAAGCTTTTCTATTTCATGGCCAATAGTAATCATTTTGTAAAATACTGGCATTAGCCATTTTAGTTTTCCTTAAAGTAAATCATTATCCTATTCAAGTAAAAACACCCTCTTTTCAGTTCGTTGTTTTAATTAAGCAAAGTATAATAAAGTTGAGTTCAATTATTTTTCTTTTCCACATTATTTAAATAGTTTCTTCTAATTACACATTGATTTTAATTGAATTGGGTCTAATTTGATAAACTCCGTTTCCAGCGGTTAAAATATAGATGGATAACTACAGTCTCTGATTTACCATTTCTCCGTGTGACTGGAAAACTTTAATATGGTTAGACTTTGCCCTCCCTTTTGTGTACTTTGCCCTGTACTTTGCTTAGTCGTAAACATTATTCATGTTGTGGGGCAGGGATAATGCTTGTAGAGTAGCTAGCTAGCATTGTGACTGGTGGTAAGTCACCAACGGAGATGAAAAAGCTTGCCTTTTAATCTGATTTATATTAACGCAAGGGGAAAATATATCATTTTCTCTTCTATTTTTAGTGTTGCCATCTGGCTGAAGGAAGGTTTTTGTTTTACTTATTTACTTATTTTTTAGATAAAAGCCTTTTTGGTTGAATTTAAAGTGTGTAATGTTTATTCCTGTCAGCGCAATGTGTCAGAAAGCATTTGTGATGTGAATCGAGGAGCTGCTTTTAGTGGTAAACGAAAGAGCTTAGTGGGTGATTCCCCCCAGTTCCCACAAGATATATGGAACATGTGCTTTTCTGAAATATCCTTTTCCTCATGTTTAGCTAGGGTGGATAATTATTTGGCTACATAACAGATTATCAAAATAAATTTATTAACTGCTTGGGAAAGAGTTGGGGTTTACAAATTTCCCAAAGTTGAGATGCTTGTCTGATGTTACCAGCAGAGGCTGTAATGTTCACATGCTTTCTTTCCTCCATGCAGTATAAGCAGTAACAGCTTGAGTGTCCCTTATCTGAAATGTTTGGAAATGGAAGGGTTTCAGATTTCAGGTTTTTGGGTTAGTGATGCTCGACCTGTATTCTGTTGTGTTTGCAGAGTGTCACTCTAATTCCTGAGATTCTCACTGTAGGTGAGACTGAGCGCTCCTTTCTATGAAGTGGGGTCAAAACATCCATTTGATTTTGAGTCTTGCCTAATATAATGTTGAAATCATCCTAGATTAACATGAGATATTTTTTCTCTTCTGATGTGAGGTGTTTAGCACACTACCCAGCACATATGTGACACTGAACAAATGCTTGATGAAGGATGCAAGAGAGGAATGGATGTGTGCCTTGTGGAACACTGTGACAAAAGTCCAGAAATAAAAAATATTAATGATAAGATGATTAGTAAAAAGAAAAAGAATACATTTTCTTATTTTTTGATGACTGCTAAGATTGTAGAGAAAGGGTGACAAAAAGAGTTCTCAGATCAAGGTCACGTCTACTTCACATCAGAAGAGAAAAAATATCTCATGTTATTCTGGAGATTATAAGGCTGAAGGGCATGACCCCTGCCCTGAGGTTGCTCTGGTCAAGTGGAAAATTATCATAGATCTGCACCTGGCCAGATATCAATGACTGAATGCCGATGTTCCATTTATTTGGAGACTGTTTAAGCTCAGAATATGATGACTATGACTAGACATCAGCTCCTTGAAGGAAAATGGCCCAGTCCTATCCCTTAGGAATATTTTGGTAACCTATTTTGATAGAATTATCTTTTGCTGTTATATACATGATCTTTCCTATCACATGTTAGGTTTTTTATTTCAGAAAATGTTGATTGTGTCACTATTTTATTTATTTATTTATTTATTTATTCTTTGAGACAGAGTCTTGCTCTGTCACCCAGGGTGGAGTGCAGTGGCGGGATCTCGGATCACTGCAATCTCCACTTCCTGGGTTCAAGCGATTCTCCTGCCTCAGCCTCCCGAGTAGCTGGGATTAATTACAGGCGTGCACCACCACGCCTGGCTAATTTTTGTATGCTTAGTAGGGACGAGGTTTCACCATGTTGACCAGGCTGATCTCAAACTCCTGACCTCAGGTGATCTGCCCACCTCAGCCTCCCAAAGTGCTGGGATTGCAGGTGTGAGCCACCACGCCCAGCCTATGTCAGTATTTTTTATAATCTCATGTATAGACCTTGACAGTTCAATCCAACTGCCTCAACTTCTCTTTGGAAGTGGTTCAATATAAATTATTAACAAAGACCTGCGTGTCTCTGTTCCATTCTTCAAGTCTTAGTGCAGTTATAGAAATAAGGAGTGATACCTGTGGAAGATTCTGTCCCTATGTGTCATATAACTATACACCATGTTGGACTGTATTTATAAAGTCAATGTCTTTTGTTGGGTTTGTACTATCTCTTTATTGAACAAATTTATTTCCTTTTGGTTTAATATCATTTTCTATCATGGTCATACATCTTAAGGTTTTTTCCATTATGACGAGATGGAGAAATCAGAAAGTGACTTTCAGTCATTGTCATTGCTGAATGAGCTACTCCAAATTGTAAAGCCTCCACACTCTTACTATGCTCTGCTGAAGTCTACCATAGCCACCAAATCCTAACTTTGTGTTCTGTATAGATGTGTGAAATGCAAGAAAAAGAAGATTTTAATTGAATTATTTCTGTCAGCAGAATAGGGAGAGTGCTGTGTATAACTCAAATATGTATCATTATCAGATGATCCTATTTAGTTTTTTATGTTTTGTCAACAAGAATTGAGCAATAGAGTGAATAAATGGTTCATGATTGTTATTTCTGTTTCAAAATGTCAGTCAGATTGAATGTGGCTGGATGTTGCACCATACCATGAAATGGGTTTATTCTGGTGTGTATAGAAGAGCAAATGAGACTGCACTATTTTTGACATTGACAGTTACTTAAATTGCCATGACACAATACCTGTAGGCATGCCCCATGAAGCAGCTGCTTCCCCATTAAGTGAGGGTCTACAAAAGATTAATAACATCAATCAGTTTCCCATATTTTATCTTCTTCACTCCCTGCAAAATGACCTTCAAAAATATGCCCTACCTATTTCCCAACAGGCCCATTTCCTTATCTGGCCTGCCAGCTGCTCATCCTCCCAGGAGTTTGTGGCTGGAGTCCCATTTCCGGTGGAGGGTCCCTATATAGTGCTGCGTGAGCTGTCCTTGGCTTCTTCTAGGGTGACCACACTGACTCTACTCTTCCCCTACTTCTTGTTTCTTCAGGGACAGACATAAGTTTCACCATATTCATGTTACTTTTTACCACGTAATGGTCAAATACTTATCTCTTGGTACACGATACGGGTAAGTGGAAGAACCTGACTAGTTACTAAATTCTATAGAAGGCAGAGTTCTTAGCATGTCTGTTTTTGTCTGATTTCCTTTTATTGTTTTCTTTAAGATGAGATCCTTTTTAAATTCATTTCCAGCAGGCTTGTTAGACTTCACTTTCCATTTACACAGAATCCACTGAAGCTAAAGTAGTTCACAGCTGGAAGTTCCATGTGATATATACTTCAGTGACTTTCCATTGCCTTCACGAGAAAGTCCACACTCTCAGAATTCAAAGAGACATTGACCTTAGCCAGTTTCTCTTGTCATATTTTCAACTGCCTCCCTTCCTAAACCTGCTGTTCTGACCAGACAGTCCTGATTGTCTCTCCTGCCTCTTTGCCTTGGTAGTTTTGCTCGTGCTCCATCCCAGTGAGGGAACTTCTCCACATTATTCTTCACTTATCTGGATGCTTTCTGGTCTGCAAGCTCTTTGCCCAGGGACTGCTGTGCCTTGTGGCTCCTTCTTCCACTCCAAATTCCTGTAACACTATCTATATCATTTATTTGGTTATTAAACCTCTGTGGGTTTATGGATTTTTTAGAAAATTGAATCGGTCTATTGTTGCAATTTCATGTATGTGCACACTGTCTCTCCTCCAAAGGATGATAAGCATCTTGAAAGCAGATAGTATGTCATATAACCTTTGTATTCTCACTGCGTAGCACAGTGTCTGGCCCATGGAGGTATTGTAAATGTTGAAAAAATTACTTAATTCCTTAAAATTACTTAACATTTCTGAGGCTGGTGGTTCTGTTGATTGTGACAAAGAGACTGACATTAGGGGGTTGGCTTTTTTGTGAGGACATTCAAATGATAGCAGAAATACATGAGCAGATATTCCCTAGAGGTTGAAGACGGGAACTTTGTTGAGAGCACATATTTATAAATGCACACTCGACAGTGACTGATGTACAGATAGTATTTCAGGCCATACTAGGAGATGATTTTTGAAGAGAGGAGATAGTATTGGAGGAATCAGAAGCTCCAGAATACAGTGTAACCTAGAAACATAGGACAAGAAAAGGAAAAAGAAGTGGTAGAAGGAGATACATTATACCCCTAATAATATTACTTCCAGCATCGAGCTCAAGATGTCCCATGGAGTAGTGTACTGTTCGAATAAATGCAAGTAGGAAGAAAACTGAGGTAGTGTGGGAAATGAAATCCAGGTTTGTCTTATGCTAACTCCCATAAGCTTTGATCATTGCTGCCCAACTTCACTTATAATTATGAGGAATTTAAACTAAGGAGAAATTCTCCATTATGTGGAATAATCAGGAATGTCATTAGGAGTGTTGCTGTTGCTTTATGTCCTTCTTGTTCTAATGCAAATTTTATAAATCACATTGGATAAAACACTTCATACCTATGATTCGAGTGTTACAATACTCCTGGCAGGTATATTTGAATAAATAAATGTAAGGAATAAATATATATAAATATATACAAAATAATAAGGACAGCAGTCTCAGGCCTGATATGGTAACTCTTTTCTATACAGATTTATTTAAACTATTAGATTGAAACATAAAAGTTGTTAAATTTTAACCATTTTTTACTACATAAAAGGCTATTTCATGTGGTTCAACCTCTAGTTCTGTGTTCTAGGTCACTCCCCCAAAGCTGTGTCCTCACAAGTCTATGTCCACAAAGGGGCTGTATGCCCACAAAGTCCAGTTGAAGACTGTAGCCGAGAAGCATGTATGCAGTAGTTCCTCCTTATCCATGATTTCGCTTTTTGAGGTTTCAGTTACGGTCAGTTGTAGTCCAAAAATATTAAATGGAAAACTTCAGAAATAAACAGTTCATAAATTTTATGCTGTTCTGAGTAGTGTGATGAAATCTTGTGCCCTCCTGCTCTGTCCAGCCTGAGATGTGAATCATTCCTTTGTCCAGTGGATCCACACTGTAGTCGCTGCACACCTGTCAGTCACATAGGAGCTGTCTCAGTAGATCCAAAAAACATAGCGTATGTATGGTCAGGGACTACCCACAAATTCAGGCATCCACGGAGGGTCTTGGGAACCTAGTATTCCTCCATGGATAAGGGACTATACAGAGCTGGGAACTGAGTTTAAGCTTTTGCTGTTTCACAGCCCACATTCCAGATTTTATTAAAAAGAGTGACTGAAATACATTATCCTTGTGGATGTCAAGTCCCCATATTATTCAGTGAGATTTAAACTCAGGATGGTGCAAAGGTTATAGTCAGACGTGTCTCAGAGCAAGTATTTTGACTAAATTGACAGGTCATTTGTTGGACCAGTTATTCTGAACAGTTGAGAGAAGACTGTATTGGACCATACAGCCAGAAGTAGAAACAAAGCCATGAGAACACCAAGGCCTTTGTGGGAAGACGTTGGAAGGAATCAGTGAGTGGCAGACGATGTGGATTGCACAGGCACATTGCAGCACTTACTGGAGCTGCAGAATTTTCACTAGATGAAGGCTCCAAATGTCTGATGCCTCTATATTTTGTTTTAGAGTATGTTGGAAAGAGAGTCCCAGACCACCAGGGTGCTTGTTTGTATCCTTCCTCTTGTCTTTACCTCAACACTCACATGTGACACTAATGGAATACAGCTTTCAAGCTAGCAGGATAATCAATAAAGATTTCATAAGGCTAGCAAAGACTTACTGAGCATCGTAGTATATGGCTTAATTTTCTTTTTTTTTTTTTTTTAAATGAAAGAAGAGAGATTCAAATAAATAATACTGGAAAGTCACCTAGTCATTTTAATTTTTTTTTCCATGAGAACTTTTATAAGGGTATATACAATCCTATCTTCTAGTTAATGAGGATTTTCAGGTTTTTAAATTTTGGAAATCAGAAAATGAATAAATTCCTGTTGTCATTGTGTTCTTAAGTAGTGAAATCTCCTGCACTTTGTTTAAAAAAAACAAAAAACTCCCAGCTGGGCGTGGTGGCTCACACCTGTAATCCCAGCACTTTGGGAGGCCGAGGCAGGCAGATCACCTGAGGTTGGGAGTTCGAGACCAGCCTGACAAATATGGAGAAACCCCGTCTCTATTAAAAATACAAAAAAATTATCCAGGCGTGGTGGCGCATGCCTGTAATCCCAGCTACTTGGGAGCTGAGGCAGAAGAACTGCTTGAACCCGGGAGGCGGGGGTTGCCGGTGAGCCAAGATCATGCCATTGCACTCCAGCCTGGGCAACAAGAGCGAAACTGTCTCAAAAAACAAAACAAAAAAACAAAAAAAAAAAACACAACTCCCTGTTTTATTTTTCCCATTGTTACTGAGGTTTTGTTTTTTTTTTTTTTAAGGCTCAGATTTACTTAATATAATGAAAGACATCACATCTTAGAAAACTGTCATCTCCCCCAAACCCTGAATCAGAAGGACTAATTACCTCTTCCCAAACCAGGCCATACCCTAAACATCATATCAATAAGTTCATCCTACCTGAGAGCACCAGGAGGTATAACTGTGGCTGAGCTGAAAACCTCTGGAAACAGCGGCTGACCCAGACCTTCCTGCCACTTTAGTCACTTGCCCCCAGGACCCCGTCACCAAGTTAACATAGGTTTGCTTTCTCTCAAATCCCTGAGGAACTAGAAGCCCAGTTTCCTGAAGAGAGCTAAAAATACTTTCTACCATTTATCGTGCCTTGCTGTGGGCCAGGCAATGAACTACCTTTCTGTACGTTATCTCGTTTAATTTTTACAGCTCTGAAAGTAGATGTTTTCCCCATTTACAGATGGGGAAATTAAGACTTAGAGATGTTAAGTGACATGCTGAGGATTCAGCTGGTAAATGGCAGAACCAGGTTTGCTGACTCCAAAACACACTCAAACCTGCATGGGTGCTATGGGTATGGGATGCCCAGGACTCCACAGAAAAGCATAGAAGCTGGGAGAAAGGGCCTTGAATACTTGTTAAACACCTTCTATGTGCCAAGTCTTATGGTAGATTTTTAACATGTGTCTTCTCAGTTAATCTTTCAACAATTCTGTGAGTTAGGCAGTATTATTACCCCATGTGACCTACTTAGAGAGGCCAAATAACTTTCTCGCCACTCAACTGGTTATGTACCAAGTCTCACTTTTGAACCCAGGTCTGTCTGTGTCTTTTGCTGTTACAATGTTCACCAAAGAAGTTTTTGAAGAAATACAGACTCTTAAACCATTGAAGAAGAAAAAGACTGATATGAAAGCAGAGAGATGGCCTGAAAACTTTAGAAATACATCCAACCTAAGAGTTAGGAATTAGCAATATATAATCTTAGACCAAACAGCCTGACAATTTTCAAAAAATTATTTTTATTTTACGAAATTTAACCTATTACTAATCCAAATGGCTTAATGGAAAATAAAATAACATAAAATAAAATTAACCTATCAATTTTATATGAGCACAGAAAAATTTAAAATGGATTGTATATTTGTCTCATGGTGAATATGACTCAGAAGGTCTTCTGGGATGGAAATGAATTCCCAACATGCAGACGATAATGAAGTGGGCAGATAGGCCTCTGATGTTCGCCTAGAATGGATCCAATAAAAGTTAGATGTAGATAAATTAGAGTTAAAGTAACCAGAACTCCTGTTTAATTGATTTTTTTTAATTTGAATTTCAGCATAATAAAGCAAACTACAGCCTCCCTCCAGCACCCCACCCCCAAAAGCATTTATCAGGGCTTATTCAGAAAAGTGACTTGTACTGAACATACGTTGAAGTCTTTTCGATTTCCATGGTCTGCTGTTACATAATATTCAGTTAGGGTTGATGTTTGTTGTCAGGACCTGGGGCTACTGCAGAGACTCAGTGACCCCAAAGAAAGATTAAATGATGTTGAATATACCAAAGCAAGAAAGAAATTAATACATTTGAAATATATTCTAAGCCAATGGTGCTTTGTAAGAACTCAGATCCAAGACTTTAGACTCCAGTCGTGCTTCCACGTGGTTGCTTTATGTGTAAACTGGTGCAGCCATGGGAAAGGCCCTTCATGGCCCCTTGAACATGCCACTTCTATAAGATGGGTCACTCAAGCTGAGGTTGTTGATTTTTTATGTGTTCTTCCTACTCCTTGAGGGCACAGGTTGTAACTACTTCATCTTTTCATTTCCTTAATCTAGCCTAAGAACCTGGTACATAGGTTAACAGTAAATGTCGAATACTTAAATGTTTCTGAAGAAATTTTAAGAAACTAAATGTGTCTTTTCTCTTTTGTCTCATTTCTGTAGCACCCGACAGCTACAAAGTGCAAGATAAGAAAAATGCCTCCAGCCGCCCTGCCTCTGCAATTTCAGGACAAAATAACAACCACTCAGGAAATAAACCAGGTATGATGCATTGCATTAACTGTGGGAAAATAAAGGTTATCTTTTATGCCCTAAAGGCATGCTGATGATTATAAAGGTTTAATTTGTTTAAATTCTAGTTTCCAGAAAACTCGAATTTAGGAGAGCTTGGTTTCAGTCCTGCCACCAAACACACACTCCTACTGGATTGTATGATATTAAGTCAGAGAACCTCTCAAAGCCAAGCCTTGGTTTTCTCTCTTTAAAATGTAGATTCAAACACACGACCTGCTTACCTCTCAGAGTCATTTTGACAATCAATGAGATGGTGTATGTGGATGCACTCATTTAATGTCAAGCAGCTTAAAGGGGTAATAATTTTACTATTCTGTTTCAAATGATAGGACACAATTTTTTATACCTGTATGTCCAACAAGCATTATTGCGTATCTCTTTTGTGACTTTTTCAAAAACTATTTCAAGAAATCTTTACACATAGCAAAGCTTGTATAGAATTATGGTTTTGTTTCCTATTCCTTGCAATGATTATATGCCTACAGAGTAATTTCATTTAATAACCTCTGATTCATAGTCTCTTTCATTCAGTGATACAAAGAAGCAAACAGTCTGTAAATATAATACAAACAATTGAACCGACAGTGCAGTTGCTTCCAGTTATCCAATAACCATTGCGTGGCCTGTGGGAGGAATGAATGTACAGTATGATAACAGGAGACAATCAAAGGAAAGGAAAGCAAGCCGAATACCCCATGAGGTTCTTGGAAACCTACTTCATGCTGCATCCAGGACTGAAGTCACTCAAGCACAGTGACACAGTGAATCAGTGAGAATAAAGATGGAAATAACTGAGTCTAACCTTATAGAGAACATTCTAGTGTGTTTAGTTTTGTGAATTTTTTTTTTTTCATGTGGAAAAGGTCTTGAACACAACAGATAAATCTGGTTTGTCATTTAGAGGAAAGACAATAACAAGTATTGTTGAAAATACTGCTTAAGCTGCCATTAGTGGAAAATGATGTGCAGTCTCAGAGGAGTTTTAATTACCAAGCAGAGATTTCCTTAGTCAGTCAACCTGCCTTTTCATTGAGTCATTTATCCATCCATCTAGCCATCCACCTTCCAGCTACCATCTAATGTTTACTGAGTTCTTCTATGCCGAAGAAGCATGAGAGATGTACTGTATGAGCAAACAACATGAACCCTGTCCCCACGCAGCTTATTCTAGTGGACCTTTATTTTTGTATTCAAGTGTGTCTCTATGGAAGTAGAAATTCTTTAGCATGAAAATCACATTTGTTGGCAGAAGTGGACCTGGTAGCTGAGTTCCCCTGGCCTCCTGGTGCTGCACTGAGGTTATGGCCCACTTCGCGGCCGGGCTGGGCACGCAGGGCAAGCGGGTGGTGTTGGTCACGTCAGGCAGCACCAAGGTCCCTCTGGAAGCATGGCCGGCTCTTCTGCGATGTTTTACCTGGCGCGGCCCTGTCAGATTTCTATGTTCCTGGCTCTGAAATGCCTGAACACAAGATCCAGTCATCTGGGGGCCCACTGCAGATAACAATGAAGATGGTGCCAAAAATACTTTCTTCTTTGATTAAAGATTGTGCTCCCAAAGCATTTATAATTTCCTTTAAGTTGGAGACTGACCCCTCCATTGTAATTAATCGAGCTCAGAAGGCTTTGGAAGTTTATCAGCATCAAGTGGTGGTGGCTAATATCCTTGAGTCACAACAGTCCTTTGCAGTTATTGTAACCAGACACTCAGAAACCAAGTTATAGCTATCAGAGGAAGAAATAGAAAAATACATAGAGATAGAAGAGAAGATAGTGGATAATCCTCAGTCTTGACACACAGCTTTAATATGTGACAAAAACTGAAGTAAAAAGCCCTTACAGGATCAAAAATTGTCCAGGGCTCTTACAGATGGTGAAAACTTTAATAAAACTTTTGCTTTCCTATGAACAGAGAAAATGAAGGAAAGGGAAAAGGCAGTGGTGCGCAGGCAAATATGCTTTGTTATTCATCTTTTAATGACATGTGATACACTCACCTGAATGTCATCTTGATTTTGAAATTGAACCCTAGAACTGTTTCTCACCTTTAAAAATAAGAGCTTATTGGGAAATATATATTACTTAAGGTACACATGGGGGCCTGAATATCAGCCTTCTTTATACTATAAAAAGAGGATTATGGATGCATGAATGGTCATGCTTTGGAAATCAAATATTTGTTGAGTGCCTACTGTGTGTCAGGCCCTGTGCTGAGCCACGAGGATTAAAAAGATGAATAAATGTGTTTCAAAAAAATAAAATAAAATCACATTTGTAATACAATGAGAATTTAACATAGCTTAGTTGTTGGTGCTGTATTTCTCTGGTTCTCCCCATCCACCACTGCTTCTAATTTCTACCATTCTTTTACTGTGCAGTTTATACTTTTATATCCTGATAACTCATTTATTCATCTAGTGTTAGCATCATTAAAGTACTAGGAATATATTATTAAAAGACATAATCTCTACCTTCCAGTTGACAGTATGATGGATAAACCAATATATGAATAGGTCATTCTAACACAGAACCACCAGTGTGACGAGAGATTGCACACAGTGTATAGAGATCAGAAGCCAGAAAAATCTCTTCCACCCTTATTGGCCATCTCCTTATATATAGTCATTTGATTTATATTGCTAAAGTCAAGTTAAATAGGGAGACATTTCACTTCTGATTGTGTCTTTTTGAGCATCCTGTGTCTGTTTTCTTGTATATACAGATAAGCCAAGCTATATAAAAGGCTCTTGATTTAGTAACCACCATGTCATTATTTTCCTGAGTCTCCTCAAAGGACAATATGAGTTATGTGTTGGAGGGCTGGCCTTGAGTAACACCTTTTAATTTTTGTGGGATACGGGTCATAGGAATGTCTGTCTAAAGCATTTTGTTGATTTTCATTTTCTAGAACTTGAAAAAAAAAAGTTCATTATATATTTTGGGATATTTTAGGTATTGTCCTAACCAGGTATGGGCATCCTGACTGAATGATTTCTGAGAATCCCTTTTAATCTAGTAAGTTTTAGCTAAATGTTCTTTCCTCTTTTACCTTCTGATACTTAAACTCATTAGAAGGCTCCAGAACATCTCTTTGATGTAGAACACATTTATCCACATTCAAGTTGTGACTTTTATATTTAAAACACATTATGGCTGGCCAGGCGCCGGTGGCTCACGCCTGTAATCCCAGCAATTTGGGAGGCCAAAGCGGGTGGATCTCCTGAGGCCAGGAGTTCGAGACCAACCTGGCCAACATGGTGAAACCCTGTCTGTAATAAAAATACAAAAATTAGCCAGGCATGGTAGTGCGCGCCCATAACCCCAGCTACTCAGGAGGCTGAGGCAGGAGAATCACTTGAAGCCAGGAGGCAGAGGTTGCAGTGAGCCGAGATCCGCCACTATACTCTAGCCTGGGCAACAGAGCGAGACTCTGTCTCAAAAAACAAACAAACAAACAAACAAACCACATTACAGAAGTCCCTCGTGGTGTTTTAGAACTATGAGCACACTATGTTCTGTGTTATCCTGGAACGACCATTGCTCTCAAATGTGAATACTTGAACCCAGACCAAAACAGACAGTTTGTAAAGTTACACATCTGTCCACGTCTGCTAGTTCCTGAAGAAGTGGGAGATGGTTCTTCAGAACTCCAGCTGCCTTCAAATGATTAATAGTTTGACTTCCTTAGAAAACTGCGTGTTTTCATGGACCTGAGAAAAGCAGATACCCAAATTCATTAAAAATCCTTCTGAATTCCTATCCCTTTGCTGCCCCCCAACACAAGTCTTTAAAAGAGCCACTGAAACTTTATTCTGCCTTACTGTTTATAAGTAATTTGCCCTCATAGAGGAGTGTGTGACTTAGGAGCTTCCAGCCCTTCTCTGATGCCACACGGTGCAATTGTAATGACTGTAGCTGCCATGGTGCGTGGATGGGCACAGGACTGAGTTAGAAATCGGGTTTTATGCCCTCACTCTGACACATATCCGTGCTGTCTTCATTAGTCATATCTATTTCTCTGAGTTTTTTCATTTGAAAAAGAGGCATAATAACTCTTCATTGAATAAATAAATGCTTGGCTAACTCCTAGTGTTATTGGGAAGAATAAAGTGATAATATGTGAAAGTGCTTCATAAAGTACAAATTGCTGACAGAAATACAGAAGTATTTACTGTAGAAACAGTAGTTGTTACATATGAGTCAAGGCCTAGTGAGTTCTTGAAAAAGCCTTGTCAACTTTGAGAGCTCTGTAGTAGCATGACCGTACTCTCAGATGTGTGTAAGGCAATCCAGGTTTATGCATGTTATCAAACAGAGAATTTTAATGGCACTCCCTTTCACCCTTAACAATGCCCCAGGTTAGATGTCACCCCACACTTGAAACATCATAGGTAGGAGGTTGAATGTGGAGTGCAACTGCAATCTTAATTAAGCCTAAGTTCTATTCCTCTTAAACCCTTTTTCCTTGTGAGAATCAGTAACTTAATTTTATTCTAACCATATTAGATCCATTGGGAAACAATGTGGAATATACATTATTTTATTTTATTTCAAGACAGGGTCTCACTCCGTCGCCCAGGCTGGAGTGCAGTGGTGTAATCAGGGCTCACTGTAGCCTAGATCTCCCAGCCTCAAGCGATCCTGTCACCTCAGCCTCCTGAGTAGCTGGGACCACAAGCATGTGCCATCACTCTTGGCTAATTTTTTTTATTTTTGGTGGAGATGAGGTCTCCCTTTTTCAAATAGGCCTGGGCTGGTCTCAAACTCCTGGACTCAAGCAATCCTCCTGCCTTGGCCTCCCAAAGTGTTGGGATTACAGGAGTGAGCCACTGTGCCTGACCTATATATAATTTTTTTTTTTTTTTGAGACGTAGTCTCGTCCTGTCACCCATGCTGGAGTGCAGTGGTGCGATCTTGGCTCAGTGCAACCTCCGCCTCCCAGGTTCAAGCGATTCTCCTGCCTCAGCCTCCCAAGTAGCTTGGATAACAGGCGTGCACCACTGTGCCTGGCTAACTTTTGTATTTTTAGTAGAGACAGGGTTTCGCCATGTTGCCCAGGCTGGTCTTGAACTCCTGACCTCAAGTGATTCGCCTGCCTCGTCCTCCCAAAGTGCTGGGATTACAGGTGTGAGTCACCGCGCCTGGCTGACCTATACATAATTTTAAAGTATTTTCTATAGCTAACTTTTGTTTCAGGGGAAAATAAGTGGGGGTGGAAACGAGAAAGAAGGCAATGAATTATAGGAAATTCACTATTTACTGGAATTATTTAATTGTATTTTTTTGAAAACCTACCTTTAAAGATAAATTTTTATCAGTTTTTAGTTATTAAAACTAAAATTTAAACTTCTAGCATTTAAATAGTTTACTCTGTTATCAGGTACAAGATTGTTCTTAGTTTTCCCCATTGGTGCATCTTAATAAAAGTTTAAAGGCTCTGAGGGTTAGCTAAGGTTGTTCGTTGTTTGTTCATTCATTCATTCAACAAATACTTATTGAATATCCTTTTCTACCACATACAGCCCGAGGAATTGAGAATGCAGCAGGGAAGAAAACAGACAAGTCTCTGTTCCTCCCCAGCCCCATGCACAGCCATCTTTAACCTGCCACAGGTGTTAATGACATTCTAGCACCCAAGAGACTTTCATATTAATGGGAACAGAGGGATAGAAACAACCTACACTAAATAACTTTTTCACTCTACAATTCAATATTTTCTAACGCCAGGTTTCCAAATCAAGCAAAATCATCTAGTGTATCACAACCACTATGCATCTTGAGCTTCAAAAATGTTACATTTCTTTACTTCCTCAAATCTGTTTCCAGAGAGATAGTAATTATTTCAGCACTAATGTTGATGGACAGCCAGGAACTACTGCAGTCCTAAGCATTGGCCTTATTTACAGCCTTATTTTTAATTGTATAAAAGTTTGGTTTTTTACATATTATCTTACCAAACAGGACGCAGTTTGTTACATGCGAAGAGTATAATTTTCATATGAAATGATAGCATAGAAATCAGAGAAAAACTAGCACTTCTTCAACTATTTTCAGAATATACATTCAAAAGGCACTTCACAGGGGGAAGCATTACGTTGCACAATCGGGCATTGCCTCATTACTGCAGGAGCACTGGTTATTACTATGACTTGGGGCTGTCAGGGTTGGTGTGGGTTGTCAGGAGTGGCATGTGTCCCATGTGTTATTAAAGCCTTCTTTTCAAAATTTTGTATGAAATTTGGCATGTACTTGAAAGTAAGCTAGACATGGCACATACTTAATTGAAATATTGTCTAACAGAATTTGTCAGTGGAATTTTAAAAGTAATTAAACTGTCTATTTTACAGACTTTCCATAATGTGCTCATATGGCTTTTACAAAGTTGATTTTCAACTTTTATAATTAAATAAAAGTTTTTATGAGGCTGGGTGCGGCAGTTTATGCCTGTAATCCCAGCACTGTGGGAGGCTGAGGCAGGAGGATTGCTTGAAGTCAGGAGTTCAAGACCAGGCTTAGCAACATAGTGAGAGCCCATCTCTACAAAAAAAATTTTTTTAATTAGCCGAGATCGGGCATGGTGGCTCACGCTTGTAATGCCAGCACTTTGGGAGGCTGATGGATCATCTGAGGTCAGGAGTTTGAGACCAGCCTGACCAACATGGTGAAACCCTGTCTGTACTAAAAATACAATAGCTGGGCCTGGTGGCGCATGCCTGTCATCTCAGCTACTTGGGAGGCTGAGGCAGGAGAATCGCTTAAACCCAGGAGGCAGAGGTTGCAGTGAGCTGAGATCACGCCACTGCACTCCAGCCTGGGCAGCAAGAGCAAGGAAACTCTGTCTCAAAAAAAAAAAAAAAAAAAATTAGCTGATTGTGGTTGTGCACACCTGCAGTCTCAGCTACTTGGTAGGCTGAGGTAAGAGGATGGCTTGAGCCAGGGAGATTGAGGCTGCAGTGAGCCATGATCATACCACTGCACTCCAGCCTGGGTGACACAGCAAGATCCTGTTTAAAAAAAAAAAGTTTTTCATGAGTGAGTAAACCTCATATTATTTAAGGAGTATTAAAGTGATAAGTAATTGTTAAAGGTCTTTCTTTTAACTTCATCTTGACTTTTATCCCGAGTTCTTTCTTTAAAATGCCATTTTACTACGGCCACCATTTTCTTTCAGCAAAACAAATGATAGCAAGAACTTCCTGTGGATAGCCCTTAATAAATTGCCTGAGAGGGTCGTCATGTCCACTTCCATTTTCTTGTTTCCAAATTAAACCTTTTAGGGCCAGGAGCCATATTTTCCTACATAAAAAATATGTGGAAGTACATAAATGATTAGGAAATCTGAAAAATATTTATCATTGTGGGCTATTGAGGAGTCCATTTAACCAATTTTTTTTTTTTTTTTTTTTTTTTTTTTTTTTGAGACGGAGTCTCGCTCTGTCGCCCAGGCTGGAGTGCAGTGGCGCGATCTCGGCTCACTGCAAGCTCCGCCTCCCGGGTTCACGCCATTCTCCTGCCTCAGCCTCCCGAGTAGCTGGGACTACAGGCGCCCGCTACCACGCCCGGCTAATTTTTTTTTTGTATTTTTAGTAGAGACGGGGTTTCACCTTGTTAGCCAGGATGGTCTCGATCTCCTGACCTCGTGATCCGCCCGCCTCGGCCTCCCAAAGTGCTGGGATTACAGGCGTGAGCCACCGCGCCCGGCCCATTTAACCAATTTTTAAGAACCATCCCCTAGTCTTGTTCATCATCCACACTGCCTGGTTTATGCAGGCTCCTAAGGGGCGTCTTTACTGTTTTTATTTTCTTTAAATGTACAAATTCTGTAAAGTTCAAGAGACATATGGCAGCCTGGGCAACATAGCAAAATCCTGTCTCTACAAAAAATACAAAAATTAGCTGGGTGTGGTTGTGCCACCTGTGGTTTCAGCTACTCAGGAGACTGAGGTGGGAGGATTCACTTGAACCCAGGAGGTCAAGGCTGCAGTAAGCCATGATCGTGCCACAGCACTCCTGCCTGGATGACACGAGACTCTGTCTCAAAAGTAAAAAATAAAAAAAAGACATTTGGGATGCAGGCCTTTACATTTGTTGCCAAAGCACTGCTATTTGTCTCTACTGTATTTTCTTTTCTTTTTTTTTTTTTTTCTGAGACGGTGTCTCGCTCTGTCTCCCAGGCTGGAGTGCAGTGGCATGCAGTCTTGGCTCAACGCAACCTCCACCTCCCGGATTCAAGCGATTCTCCTGCCCCAGCTTCCTGAGTAGCTGGGACTACAGGCATGTGCCACCACACTGGCTAATTTTTGTATTTTTAGTAGAGACAGGGTTTTGCCATGTTGGCCAGGCTGGTCTTGAACTCCTGACCTCAAGTGAACCACCCACCTCCCAAAGTGCTGGAATTAGAGGCATGAGCCACTGCACCCAGCTTGTCTCTACTGTATTATTATAGTAGATTCCCATTTTTAACGCAAGGTTCTAAAAATGTCAATGTCAATTCTTTTTTCTTTTTTTGGAGACAGAGTCTTGCTCTGTTGCCCAGGCTGGAGTGCAATGGCGCGATCTTGGCTCCCTGCATCTTCTGCCTCCCAAGTTCAAGCCGTTCTCCTGCCTCAGCCTCCCAAATGGCTGGGACTACAGGCGCACGCTGCCATACCTGGTTAATTTTTTGTATTTTTTTAGCAGAGACGGTTTCACCGTGTTGCTCAGGCTGGTCTCGAACTCCTCAGCTCAGGCAATCCACCCGCCTCGGCCTCCCAAAGTGCTAGGATTACAGGTGTGAGCCACCGCACCTGGCCTGTCAACGTCAATTCTACTGTCAATTTAGTAAAGAGAAAAACCTTTTAAGTGTGATTATTATGCTCATTTTTATTATTTTGTTTTAATTCGGCAGCAGAGTGAGCCTGTAAACCTAGCCCTCTGCTGCAGAACCCCTCTTCTCCACCCATGTCTCACTCAGAGTATAATGCAAAGTCCTCACCTTAACCATGAGCCCCGTCGCTTACTCATCTCACTCTGTTCCAGTCCCTCAGATCTCCCTATTGTTTCTGGAACACATTGGGTACTTGCAACCTCAGGGCCTTTGCACTTACTTTCTATGGAACATCATTATCACAGTGAGGCCTTCCTTGGGCTCCATCTAAAAATTTAAACATCCTTTTCCTGACATGTCATAATCCCCTTCATTTCCTTGTTGTCTCCTTAACCTATATTCTCTGTATTTTTCTCCTTCTTTCATTCTATGTATAGTACTTATTTGTCTTGTTTGTCAGATTTTTTCCCAAGTAGAATGTAAATCCCATGAAATCTCAGGTTTTTGTCTTTTTTTGGTGACTGCTGTCTTTTCAGTATACAGAACAGTGCCTAGCACACAGTAGATGTTCAGTGATTTACTGGGACATACACACTACACACTCTACTAACAGTCATTATAATAATGAGAGATAGGTTCTATTGTATCCTCATTTTACAGGTAATAAATCAAAGTACACCTCATAGCTTGAGACTTACAGAGGTGGGTAAGTACCTTGGCCGGCGAGTGACGGGGCAGAAACTGAATGCGTGTCTGTTTGACTCGAGCACTTCACCTCTAACTCTCAAACATTTGTGCAGTATAAAGCTACTTAAGGATTTTGTTGGTCATTAAGGAACAGACTTTTTAAAGCATAAAAATAATAGAAGTTTGGTAGCTTAGGAACACAAAACATCATTTATATTGTTTGATGAAAATAGCCAAAAGGCTATAGTTACGTCATGATTTTACATGTTTTCAAATAGAAGAAAAATGCTTAGAAATCCTTAGAAAACTTCTAATAATTGAGTAGATCACTGTAACTCTAGTCACATGTACTTATTGTTGTAAAGTGCAGCAATATATTATTCTTCAGATTTACTGGATATTTATCAATGTGTGTTTTTTCTTTTTCTTTTTTTTTTTAATCCACTCTTCATCTCATGTTTTTTTTAATCTCGCTTTCAGACCCTCCGCCTGTGTTACGTGTTGATGACCGGCAGCGGCTGGCCCGGGAGCGACGTGAGGAACGGGAGAAACAGCTAGGTACCCCAGGCCCCGTGTCCATGGCCCTGATTTGAATGGATGTCACTATAATACCGTGGTCTTTTGCATACCTTTATGAATTTTACAGATGGACTATGAGGCAGAATTTAGTATGTGATGATAAAATATAAACATAGGGATAAGTTTTAAGTGACAATAAACTCTAGCCTCAGGATTAAGGTCATCCTTTTTTGCAGTCACAGTTTAATGTGGCACTGGAGGGAAAGTATATATGAGTAGAGTGATGGTACAGCTTACATTTTACTACTGAGAAAATGCGAGGACAGTAAACATATTGTTCTTTTTTACATGAAAAGTTATGAGATTATACACTGTCAGGGCACTTAACTGACTTCTCTGTTAAAATAATGCTGCCATTGAACTTATAGACAGGTGCTACCAGGCTGCTGCCAGGAAAAGCATGTGCTGAGGTGTCTGATTTTTCTCTTATTACCCAAGGCCCTTGTGACGTTAGCAACTGCAATATTTGTCATATAATCACTGGAACCTGGATCACAGGACTATCTTAGCAGAAGCTGAGACTAGAGCACTTAGAGATTGTACAGTCATTGTCTTCTAAAACATTGGGCAAGGAAGCAGGTGCCAACCCCTCCTTTACTTTGATGTCCATTTATGTAAACTTGCTAAAACAGGATACTCTCTTGAAATATACCTGAATGATGTACCTTGGAAAAGATTAAATGCCTGGTCAGCATGTGCGTGTACAGAGTGCCTGGGTATTCTGAAACTAGACTGACAGGGTATCAAAATTTTCCCAGGAGATGACCTGTAACTTCTTAAAGTTGTTCTGCATTTTGTAAGAGTTAATGTTTCAACTGGGGACTCTGCCCCTATATCTCATCCCTTTATTATTCTTATTCCAAAGCCCAAATTTGTGAAATGTAGTGGAAGCTGGTTTTCAAAAGTCTTTTGCTATTGTTTACATTCTTTCAACTCAGACTTGTTTCTGTCCCTTGCCATAATGGCCATATGAGGTCATTTCTTTTGCTTCTGAGGTTTTTTAGGCATAGATTTCATTTGCTTACTGGAAGTGAACATGCTCTGCTGTTTTTCTGTGCCTAGAGTTTCCTCCCTGGCCTGATGGGTTCCCTGCAGGCAGGTAGGTTCTTGGGGAGCAGGCTGTCTGTGGTCACCAGGGCTCTCCCTTCCTCCTGTGAATATGCTCATTGCTCCCTACTAAGGTTGCTTTGACAAGCAAACCAGAACTGAGAGAGGATGAAGGCAGAGCTGCTGAAACTGGAAGATGAGTAAAAATAAGAAACTGACTACTGTTTTAGGGTGGCTGTTATTTACACTCTGTTTTCAAGTCCATGCGTATGTCCTTTTCCCCCTCTTCCCCATCAGGTCTCACACTTGTAGATCTCTTTAGTTATAGCGTGGATTCATATCTGCTTGAATAGAAGGAGTTCCATAGGTCGGGAGAGCATTCCTTTATGGTTTAAATCACATTGTGAATTAGCTTTTCCATACTTAACTCACACCTTTCCATTTGGGTTTCTTTATCTTAACAAAACAAAGCATTAGTTTTTTGTGGAAAGCACGAATATGCTGCTGGTGAAACAAAAATGACTTTACTTATACTATAAAGGTGTAAGACTTACAGCTTTGAGCTTGCAGTTCTCCCTAAAAGTTGCTTACCTTTGTATATTGAGTGACTAGATTTTTTCTTAACATGTAATGCCATATTTCAATTCATATTGATAACACAGGACATGACTCATTAGTTTATATATTCAAACACTGTATGTGCCATATATTGTATTTAAAAGATGACAAAAAGATGAATAAAGGTTGACACCCAGCCCTCTAGGGCTAGGTGTAGTCTAGTGAAAGGCAGATAAACAAGTAGCAACTATTAATGTCACAGTGCAATGCATCCACTGTGAGTGGGTATGCGCCAGGGGCATTGAGAGCCTGTAGAGGTGCCTAAACCAGCCTGGCTTTGCCAGGTGCCACCCAAGTTCCCAACTAAAGGATGAAAGGAGCCTTTCAAAGGGATAGAAGAGCAGGCATTATACAGCAATGTGCAAGAACAGGTGGAAAAAAGACATTTGCTGAGAGACCCAACATGCTTTTCAGATTATTATATGATTATATGTTACATATATTATATCTAGATGATTGTATTATTCTATTATTACAGCTTAACTTTTTTGGTGAGCCAATATATGATATACATAGTTTCTCTCTTCTCTCTCTCTTTCTCTGAAATGGGATCTTGTTATGTTGCCCAGGCTGGACTGCAATAGCTGTTCACAGGTGTGATCACGGTGCGCTACAGCCTCGACCTCCTTGGCTCCAGTGATCCTCCTCAGCCTCTTTAGTAGCTGGCATTACAGACTCACGTCACCACACCTGGCATTTTTCTCTTTATTCTTACCCCTGCCATGTTAAATATCATAATTTTTAAAAATTCAATCTCATTTCTTTTTTCAATTGTCAGAGTCATAATTTTAAGGAAAATATATCCATTCTAATTTTTTTCTTTGCATTAATTTTATTTTCTTTACATTTCAGAGCAGTGCCTTTTTGCCTATTTTTTTTTTCCATTTAAACCATCATAGTTAGAACTAAGTCTTGAGAGGCTCCCTTCAATCTTCATAAATACAGGAGTGAGCATATATGCAAATATACATGCATATATTATATACAGTTGTAAAAGAGCCGTTTAAAAATCTAATTTCAGCTGTGCCTTAGAGTACGTGAGGATGATTTCTAAAAAATCTTCAGTACCAAAAAAAATCAAAGGGCACACCTGATCAACTGTCTATGAACTGTGCTTTATAGAAGCTATAACAGCAGTGGAAATTTTTTTTAAAAGAAAAAAAGTTTAAAAGCAGACACTTAATATTAAGGAAATCTTTGGACTGTGCTTAATTTGAAAACAAAAAAAAAATAGTTGGTAATGTCAACTCTTACCAACTTTCAAACTTTAAAGTTTTCAAGTTAAAAAAAATCGGACACCATTCCACAAATGCTGGCAAAGTAAAGTTTAAAATGAATAGCCAGGGAGACTGGTTATTTACTGTTGGATGTAGGTTGAAAATAACATTGAAATCATTAAAGATTGTTTTAATCCACGTATTTTAAAAAGCAAGGTAGAGAGAGGGAGAATAAAGGTCTGATTATTTTGTTCTTGGTGTTATGGCATATTTGTACTATTTTGCAAACAGGAAGGACTTATTAATAACTTTCTGTGGGTTAAATCTCTGAGTCATGCTTTGATGCTTTTATAGTAGGATTATGTCATGTGGCCTGCTTTTTCTGCATTATCCTTCAGTTTTTCACAAAATCAGGCATAATTCTTCATGTATGAGATTATTCTGTCGTTGGGCACTTGTACTCTGAAAGCTTTATTTTTCTTCCTTAAACGCTTTATACGTAGAAAAGTCTCTAACCACCCTATTCCATCTGATTCTATCCCCTCAAACTCTCTCTCTTGACTTCTGCATGTTTTTCACTCTCTCTCTTCTAAGCTTTTATTTTTTGTTTTCCAAGGGTGGGGTGGAGAATCTCATTTGTTCTCACAGGTTCACTCTCCTTTTTAAATATTGATTCCACATTTCCAGCTACTCGGAAGGCAGTAGATGCCTGCCTGTTTCCCGAAACTCTACTTCTGTACAACTAAATTGTTCATTTTCTTTCACTCCAAAACTGACTCATCCTGGTAATTTCTGTGTCCCAATTAATTGCACCAAATGTTTGGGTTTTTTTGGCCCCAAGACATTATTTATTTCCGTCATTTTTGATGCTTCTGCTAGAGACCCTAGGTTCTTTCTGACTAGTAGCTTAGCTATTAGATCTTTTGCAGAATAAAACATTCTCCCTTCCTTGGCTGGCCCAATACTGTCCACTGACTGGTCTCCATCCTGGCATATTGGGCCACTTGTAGCTACCCAGTGGTCAGTCTGGACTCAGCCTAGTTCTCTAACTGGAGCTTCAACTATCTACTATCAACTAGCCCAGTAGGTAGGTAGAAGTTGACATACTCTAACCCTGAATCCATTTAGTCAGAAATCTAGCAGACTCTTATTTCAGGTAAGAGTCTATGCCATTGTATTGGCTGCCTCTGCCATTATCCTAGTTCAGGCTAATACATTTACTGCCCTGTTGTTCTTTATACTCCTAGCACTGTATCACAATTAGTGCCAGTCCTTCTGTTTTAAAGGCTTCCTAGAAAATCTCCTTTTAGAAATTTATCATCCTTTCACTATATACTATATCTTGCATAACTATCACGTTTTAGTTCACATTCTACTGCTGTTTTATACACTACTGAATTTTTATCTATTTAGACTTTCTATCTCTGGTTTGTATCTCTGGTGTGTATTTTAAGCTTCCAAAGAATATGACTGTGGTCTCTAATTTTTTGTATCCCAACACATGGCACAGTGCTAAGTGTAAAACACATAATAAATATTTGCTGATTTTGCTTACTCTACAATCTTCAGTGAAATAATAGCAATAATGATAAACAGTATTTATTGAGCACTAACTATGGGCCAGGCAGTGTTCTAAACACTTCACTATGTATAATCCCATTTAGTAACAAATTAGCACAGTGGTTGTACTTTTTATTGTGTGGGCGTGCCATAATTGGCAAGGTAAGTTTTTTAATAGAATGTCACTTACTTTATTTTTAAAATACATTGTGATGAGTTAGCCAAAGGAAGTAACTGAGAGGATCTCAGAAAAATGGAATCGTTAATACACCCTTTTGTTTTTCTGCCCTATTACCCTTTTGTTGTTGTTGTTGTTTTGTTTGTTTTTGTTTTTGTTTTATACAGTCTTGCTCTGTCACTTAGGCAGGAGTGCAGTGGCATGATCTCAGCTCACTGCAACCTCCACCTTCCAGGTTCAAGCAATTCTCGTGCCTCAGCCTCCCGAGTAGCTGGGATTACAGGCATGTGCTACCACGCCCAGCTAATTTTTGTATTTTTAGTAGAGATGGGATTTTGCCACGTTGGTGAGGCTGGTCTGATTTTCCTGGCCTCAAGGGATTTGCCCGCCTTGACCTCCCAAAGTCCTGGGGTTACAGACGTGAGCCACCACACCCAGCCCCTATTAGCTTTTTAAGCATGATTTTAGTATGTACAGGATCACCACAGTCCATGTTAAAATTCTTCCACTAGTAGTGATGCTGTTAAGTAGAGAGAGATCCTTGTGCTTTGTTTATGGGTGATAGAATTTTCAGAAGTTTTAGGAGTTGGACAGGTATCCAGTTGTCATGGAGAAAGAGTTATTCTCCTTCCTCATAGATGTATTCATAAGATGCATAGGTGCTATGTTGACTCCCATTCGACAGTGGTTAAAATGTAAGTGTTGGAGCAGATTCTGAGATCTGCTTTGAGAAAACTTTATGGCATTGATCAGTTACCATCCTTTGAGTCCATTAAGAGTAATTCTGTCTTTATGAACTTAGAATCGATCCTGGTTACCGATTTCTCTTCAGAAACCATTACTAGAACCAGAGTATATAGAATTTATGCAACAACATAAATTTTTTATTCAGAGAGCTTAAAATAGAACCCCCTCTCTTTTAAGCTATTTTGTGTGATTTTATGTATTCATTCAATAATATTTAAAGCGTAGATAGTATTGAGCCAGGGATGCTGGAGTATTGAAGTGAAAAGAATAAATTTCATAACCTCCTGGAATTTATATTCCAAGAAGGGAGTAAGATAATAAAAAATCAAACAAGATTACCTAGCATCTTAGCTGAAATTTCCCACACATCCCATAACCAATCCATCAGCAAATACTCTTTGCTGTACCCTCAAAACATACCCAGAAAGTAACTACTTCTCACAACCACCACTGCTGCCACCTTGGCCCAAGACAGCTAGATCTTTCACCCGGATTCTGCAATAGGCTCCCAACCGGTGTCCTCATTTCCTCCTCCTCCCACAGAGTCTGTTAACACAGCAGCCAGAGTGACCCACTTGCAATATGGCCTGCCAGGCCTGCCTCTGCTCCAGACCTTTCAAGTCTTTACATTTCATGCAGAGTAGAAGTCAGAACCCTTACCATGGCTCAGCCCTGCTACCTGCTAATGTCCTCTCCTTTGCCCTCTCCTCCAGCCATGCTGGTTCCTTGCTGTTTCTTAAACACTACAGCCAAATGCACTCCACCTAGAGTGTTTTTCCTGAGAAATCCACATAGTTCATTCCCTCTCCTCCTTCAGGTTTCATTTAAATGCCACCTTCTCAGCGAGGCCTTCTCCTACCATCTTACTCAAATTTTCAGCTCCCTCAAACCAGACCTTCTTTATTTTTCTCCCTAGCTCTGTCAACATCTAAGCATGTAGATATTTTACTTATTTGTTGATTATCTGTTGGCCCCCTGCCCCGGAACATAAGCTCTGGAAGGGAAGGGATTTATGTCTTTTTTTCATTTCTGTAGCTTAGTATCTAGAACAGCTTGGCACGTAATCAATGTCCAGCAACTGTTTGTTTAATGTTAAGTGGAGATGAATGCAGGAGGTATTGCATATTAGTTAAAACGTTACCAAAGTATCATGTAATACCTGCCCTTATGATAGTTCAGTCAAACAGGTATTAAATTCTTATTAGTAATCATTTTCTCAGGTGAACAAGAATACAGAAATAATCTATTAGGATAGTCCTTAAATTTTCCTATGGATCTATCCTATTATCTATGGATAATCTATTAGGATATGCCTTAAATTTTCCTCTTCATATATTATAAAACTAATAGTTCTACAATATGTCGACAAGAAAGTTCAAGAGAATATTTAAGGACTGTGTAGCACACAAACAGTACTCTACGCTTGAGCAGACACAGAGCTTCCCTTTTTCAAGATAATAACAAGTAAGTTTGGAGTATTGATTGTGTTTAAGTTTTGTTTAAGTGCCTTGGAACATACTAGGCACTCAGTAAACATGTAATTATTTAGTCTTTTTCTGAAACCAAAATTTTTATATGAAGAGTCAAATTCCTAATTGGTACTTTCGGGGATTCTATAAAATCATGAAAGAGAATGTATGATGGACTGACATAGCTCTTGAAGAAAAATGTCAACTTACAAATCTATAATTTCATTCATATTGAGTTTTGTAGCTAAGTTCAAAGCTAAGATATATCATAAAGCAATATTTTAGAAAGAATAAGACAATATAAAAAGTTTTAACCTTTGAACAAACTTTGGTTAAATTATATGTGAGGGGCTTTTTTTTTTTTTCCTAGATAATTTCATCGGGCTTCCTTTGCCTTCTAATCATAGCTTTCTTGCTGTGCTTCTTTTTTTTTCTCTCTCATCTCAGTGTGTTGTCAACTCAGTGAGTGACGGCAGTACTAATAAGAGTGTGGTCAAGAGATAAATGGTCATTTCAACCTGGTTTAGAATGTTCATCCCAAAAATGCTGATAGCAAGTTAGTAATAATTAGTAAATAATAATGCTGTACTCCTGGTTAGAATTGGGAGTGAAACTCCCCCTGATTTCATACTTCACGTTATTTGATTCAGATGGCTGTTGGTTTTAACAAGAGACTTTCCTCTTTAGAGACTGTCCAGGAAAAAAAAAGGGGTCAGAGGAGGCTTTAGGGAAGTAATCTTTCTAATCCAAATATCTAATGGATAAACTTCGGCATATCTGTTACCAGTCTCAGCATCTGCATCTCCTAAAATTGTCACTTAGTGAATATAGTGTACAAAAGCTCATGAGGCTGTCAGGCAGGTTAACAGCTGAGGGACCTAAATGCATCTTAGTGAGAGGAATATGGATGTTAGCACATAACAGAGCAGCTGTATCATGAGTCAGGCTCAGGACTGGAAAGAATAATTGCTGCTTGCTGCATGGATTAGGTAAGCAGAAGCTGAAGCCTGAACATAAAATGAGTCATTATGACAAAGCAGCCATTATTTTTTTCTCCCCAAATTACTTTGCCTTTAAGAGTGAAGATAAAAAATCTTAAAACCTGAAAAGTAAGGGGTCTTGTAAACAGATGACGGTAGAGGCTAAGAGTGGCATTGGAAGATCAGGACCTTCACATTTGGATGCCCAGCTCTTTCTTGCTAGTACAGAGAAGGAGCTGTGGTCTTTGGAAGGTGTTCCAATTCATGCCTTTTAGCATAATGGCTCATTGTTTGCTTCTAGAGTCAGACAATCCAGAGTTTGAATGCCAACTTCATCACTTATTTGTTGTGAGACATCGGGCAGGTTACTTCACTCCTCTGTATCTCAGACTTCTCATAATAAAATAAGTTTAATGGCAGTGTCTGCCTCATAGAGTGGCTGCAAAGACAATGCCTATAAATCACTTGCGTCAGCATGAAGCAAGAGCTGACGACATCTCACCATGATGATGACGGTGATAAAGATGAGGATGGCAGGTCATATGATTCCACAAATACTGACTTAGATTCCTGGAATTAGAGAAGCCTAAGGCGTAGCAGAGAGAGGTGGGGGATGTCTGTGCCTCCTCATCCATTAGGGTGGGGCTAAGTAGGACAGCCCCAGGTGAAGAGAATGGCTACATTCTTTGAGGAGTGAAAGTACTTAGGGTTAAGGCTGTAACAGAAAGATTCCAAGGACAACCATTGCCCTGTTTAGCAAAACTCCATTATTTTAGTGAAGGCTAACATTCCTTTAGGCCTAGCCCTGAGATAGTAAGTCCTTTCTTTTTCTTTTTCTTTCTTTTTTTTTTTTTTTTTTTTTTTTTTTTTTTTTTTTGAGACAGAGTCTTGCTCTTTCGCCCAGGCCGGAGTGCAGTGGCGCTATCTCGGCTCACTGCAAGCTCCGCCTCCCAGGTTCACGCCATTCTCCTGCCTCAGCCTCCCGAGTAGCTGGGACTACAGGCGCCCGCCACCGCACCCGGCTAATTTTTTGTATTTTTAGTAGAGACGGGGTTTCACCGTGTTAGCCAGGATGGTCTCGATCTCCTGACCTCGTGATCCGCCGGCCTCGGCCTCCCAAAGTGCTGGGATTACAGGCGTGAGCCACCGTGCCCGGCAGTAAGTCCTTTCTTATTTGAAAAATCATTCAGCCTACATATAAGAAAAGCTCTTGATCTCCACCTATGTAACTACTATTCTAGCACCTCAACCCCATTAGCCCACCACTGTGTGCAGTGACAGGGTGAAATGGGAAGGACCCTCTGTGCAGGAGCACCGTGTTGTGGGGATCCTCCAAGGTCACACTTCTTATCAGGCAGCTCTCCACTGAATGCTTTTAATGACAAGTTGAGAAGGCTTTGAGTTGTCACCAAAGCCCAGTGTGAATCACTATGCTTGGAGATCACTCTGTCCTTTAACTCTTTAGTTCATTTATTCAAGCATATTTTAACCATCTGCTAGACTAGACATTGTGTGTATAGGGAAGAATTCACAAACACATAAAAGCAGAGTAGCTACCGTCTGGAGTGTAAGTGCTATGAGGGAGTCTGAATCCAGCTAGCAGATGGGGCTCCTGTGCTGTGGTCATCAGGAAAGGCTCCTCAGAGGAAGGAGCTTCTGAGCTAGGACTTGAAAGACAGAAGTTTGCCAGGGGGAAGGAGGTGTGTGTGAAGATGCATGATCCTATGGCCAGTCCAAGGGGTTGGACAGGGAACAGTAGGAGAACTAACAGGTTTTCAAGCACGACAATGACTTCAGGTCTGTTTCTTGAGGAAGATATCTCTGAGACGACTAATGTGTAGGATGGATTTGAAGTGGTTAAAGACTAGAAATGAGGCATGAGAAAGGAATGAGAGTTTAAAGTAGTGGTAAAAAGATTGGAGAGGCTACAGCAGATTCAAGCGATCATTCTGTGTTTTTCTGTTTTTTTACATTAGAGACAGGGTTTCTTTTTTTTTTTTTAATTATACTTTAAGTTCTTGGGTACATGTGCACAACGTTCAAGTTTGTTACATATGTATACATGTGCCACGTTGGTGTGCTGCACCCATTAACTCATCATTTACATTAGGTATATCTCCTAATGCTATCCCTCTCCCCTCCTCCCACCCCACGACAGGCCCAGGTGTGTGATGTTCCCTATCCTGTGTCCAAGTGTTCTCATTGTTCAGTTCCCACCTATGAGTGAGAACATGCGGTGTTTGGTTTTCTGTCCTTGCGATAGTTTGCTCAGAATG
The DNA here is from genome assembly GCF_000001405.40 of Homo sapiens. Classification (NCBI taxonomy): domain Eukaryota; kingdom Metazoa; phylum Chordata; class Mammalia; order Primates; family Hominidae; genus Homo; species Homo sapiens. The sequence goes on along the minus strand of NC_000006.12, from coordinate 136,401,506 downwards.
ATGGTTTCCAGCTTTATCCATGTCCCTACAAAGGACAAGAACTCATCCTTTTTTATGGCTGCATAGTATTCCATAGTGTATATGTGCCACATTTTCTTAATCGAGTCTATCATTGATGGACATTTGGGTTGGTTCCAAGTCTTTGCTATTGTGAATAGTGCCTCAATAAACATGTCACCCAGGATGGAGTGCAGTGGTGCAATCATAGCTCACTGCATCCTCAAACTCTTGGGCTGAAGGGACCCTTCTGCCTCAGCCTCCCAAGTACCTGGGACTACAGGCATGTGCCAACAAGTCCAGATAATTTTTCTTTCTTTTTTGTGGAGATGGGGGTCTTGCTATGTTGCCCATGCTAGTCTCAAACTCCTGAGCTCAAGCAGTCTTCCCACCTTGGCCTCCCAAAGTGTTAGGATTACAGGTGTGAGCCACTGCACCCAGCTGAGAGATCATTCTGATACAACAATTGATGGGACCAATTATATGGATGTGTTGAGTTAGGGTGCACCATGCATGAGGGAAACATTGTGGAAGACTTGAAGTGACTAACTTTATAGACCATTTGGTCTCAGGAATCTGCTATCAGAATACGGAAGACAAAGAAAGTTCCAGTTTGGAGCAGGGAAGAATGTGCAGATAATGAATAAGATTATATGATGGATCTGACTGAGAAATTCAGGTGGAAATTAGAAGCATGCAGAAGTGAATATAGAGGCAATATTGTAGAGTGACTGAGTACAAGCTTTCGAGTCAGAGCTGAATGAAAATCCCAGCTGTTTTCTTTTAGACCATGTGCTGATCTTGGAAGCATCATTTCACTTCTTTGGGTCTTTTTCCTCATTTGATCTTCAGTTCTATTTTTTCTGGTAGCAATAGTCCCACAGTTATTACATTTTTGTTTTCATTTGCCTGATAGCCATTTGCTCATTATTTTAGTGTTATTTGACGCTTTGTTTTAGTTTTGTTTCTTTTAAACAACATAGCTAGGTGTTTTTGTTTTTAACCCATTCTAAAAGTCTTAATAGGCTTGATTTTAGTCCATCTGGCTTTTTTTAAAAAATGTTGTTTCCCCCAACTCTTTTTTTTTTTTTTTTGAGACAGAGTCTCGCCCTGTTGCCCAGGCTGGAGTGCAGTAGCGCAATCTTGGCTCACTGCAACCTCCGCCTCCCAGGTTCAAGTGATTCTCCTGCCTCAGCCTCCCTAGTAGTTGGGACTACAGGCGCCCACCACCACGCCTGGCTAATTTTTTGTATTTTCAGTAGAGACAGGGTTTCACTGTGTTAGCCAGGATGGTCTCGATCTCCTGACCTCGTGATCTGCCCGCCTCAGCCTCCCAAAGTGCTGGGATTACAGGCGTGAGCCACCACACCCAGCCTATTTTCCCCTTTTTTTAAAAAAGAAAAAAAAACTTTTTTGTAGGAGGGGCAGGGCTGGTGGTGTAGAGGTAGGGGTTGGTTTGATGTAAGTACCATTCATTCCATGGTTATCTTTAATAATTTGAAAGGTGTGCTAAACTTTTCCATTCTATTAATGATTACATTTTCATTCCTGTTTCTTGACTATTAAATGAAACTAATTAGTATTTCCCACACAAATGCTCTAAGACCTACAAAATATTTTTACTTTTCCATCTTTAGATGTTCTTATTATTTTATTCTACAACTCCCTTCTAAAATTGATGAGCATAGGTTAAGCCATTAGATTCCTTTTTAAAAAGAATTATTATTCAGCACATATATCAGTCAGCATATAATATGAAAATGACATGTATTTGAATATAAGTAATCACAACAATTATTGAGATAAAGCATAAAGGTTAAAATTTTAACATTCAAAATGAAAACAAAAGGAAACTGGACCAGGCACAGTGGCTCATGCCTATAATCCCAGCACTTTGGGAGGCCAAGGCAGGAGGATTGCTTGAGCCCAGGAGTTTGAGGCCAGCCTGGACAACACAGCAAGACTCTGTCTCTACAAGGAATAATAATAAAAAAAAAAACGAGCCAGACATGGTGGCATGTGCCTGTAGTCTCAGCTACTCAGGAGCTGAGGCCAGAGGATCACTTGAGACTGGGAGGTCGAGGATGCAGTGAGCCATTACTATCCCATTGTACTTCAGCCTGAGTTACAGAGCAAAACCCTGTCTCACCAAAAAAGAAAAAGAAAAGGAATCTAATTGTAATCCCACACATGTCCTCAAAGGTAAAAACAAAAAAATCAAGTCATGGGAGTTAGTTGGAAGAGATCTTGGAGATCATTTTGTATACTCTTTCTAATGTAGAAGTAGAAGAGTTTGGCTAGTTTTCCCAAGATCACACAGAATTAGTAGCAGACTCAAGACCCAAACTCAGATGTTCTCATCACTTTTCACTTTCTGACTCTTCATTATATTACTGGCTACTCTGGTAGCCAGTGTTACCCAAAATCCTTCTATATCTTAGTATGAAACTGAGACAACAAGTCTGAATATTTCAGAGGTTAAGTGATGATATTTCTCTAGTCTCTGAATGTCACCTTTTCTTTTCTCTCATACAGCAGTAAAATATATGCTCCCCTGATACAGAAGTAAGCCTGTTCAGAGGGACCAGGCTGGACTCTAGATTGCTGAATGTGATGACAGGGGCATGTGGAGTGTTGCACACAACCCATGAGTGCACTGAGTTCACTGTTCTACCTGAGTTTCTTCCTGTTAGCTGCATGCTGTGTGTATTAGTCCATTTTCCCACTGCTGGTAAAGACATACCTGAGACTGGGAAGAAAAAGAGGTTTAATTGGACTTAAAGTTCCACGTGGCTGAGGAGACCTCAGAATCGTAGCAGGAGGCAAAGGGCAATTCCTACATGGTGGTGGCAAGAGCAAATGAGGAAGATGAAAAAGTGGAAACTCCTGATAAAACCTTCAGATCTCTTGAGACTTATTCACTACCACAAAAACAATATGGGGGAAACTACTCCCACAATTCAAATTATGTCCCACGGGGTCCCTCCCACAACATGTGGGAATTATGGGAGTACAATTCAAGATGAGATTTGGGTGGGAACACAGAGCCAAACCATATCACTCTACGTGGCAATAGGACAGGAATTATTGATTATCGTAAAGGCTGTCATTATCTGCATTTATTGAATCCCTGCAATGTACATGGCACTATGCTAAGTGCTTCATATGTTACTGTGAGCCACAAAGCAGCCCTGTCAGGAAGTTGGTGCCATAGTAACTTGGGGGAACAAGGCCACAGAAGTCATTACTTGTTCAGTGGCACATAGCTTGTAAGTGGCAAGACTGGGGGTGGGCCCAAGTTCATATGAAGCCAGAAACTGTCCTCTATCCACCACAGTACCCTGCTTTTCATTTTTAATTCCTTTTTGTACAGCATCACTGTGTATTTCTACATGGAGTCTAGATTGATAGTGGATTTCTCCTTTGTATGGTACTGATATATTGTTACAGTGTCATTAAAATATCTTGGTGTCAGCAGGTCAGGGATGGGACTGACTCGTTAGTGTCCAGTATTTCACAGGCTACAGTGGATTTTCACTTCATTTTATAATGTGATCCCATAGGCCAGGGATAAATTGTGACTTCAGAAGAGTAAAGGTTAATATTAATCACAGTTCATTTTTTGGACATACTGTTCTTTTACGGAGCTGCCTCTTTATGAAATTAAGTGGTTGTTAATGATTTAAATACTGAATGAGTTGTATTCATCTACTAGGGATGCCATAACAAAATACCATAGACTGGGTAGCTTAAACAACAGAAATTTATTTTCTCACAGCTCTGGAGGCCGTGCAGTCCAAGATCAAGTTCAGCTTCTGTTGAGGGCTCTCTTCCTGGCTTCCAGTGGGCCACTTTGTCCTCACATGGTATTTCCTCTGAATCTGTTAGGTTAGGGTGCCATCTTTATGACCTCATTTAGTCTTAATTACCTCCTAAAGGTCCTATTTTCAAATGTATTTACCTTGGGGGTTAGGGCTTCAGCATATGAACTTGGTGGGGGTGGGGGCAAGGTGGGCGGGGAACAATTCAGTCAATAACAGTTGCTGAATTTTTTCGTGTATTCAAAATTATCATTTCTTAATGAGAAAATACATAACCTCAACATTATCCATAGGGAATATTTTAACCTATTCTGAAATTCTTAAACCTAATAGGCTTGATTTTACACCTTCTAGCTTATTTTTTAAACTTTGTTTTTTTCCCTTTAAAAAAAAACTTTTTGTGGAAGGGCCGGGTATTAAAGTATTAAATCTCTTATAATAAATTAACTTTTTATTTTTATTAAAATATTGAAATACTTTGTTATCCTTCCATTTAAAATATTGCATGACCTATATTTAGCAATAAGTTTGCACTCACTAGCATGCTCTGCAATTGGCAAGTGTTGTTTAATTTGCCTATTTGCTGTGTGACTGTTTAAAGAAGGCACTGCATTAGGATCTGCACTTCCTGGTAGAAAGTAGTAGTGGAATTCAATAACAGTTGGATAGACAAAGAAATATTCTTCCTTTAAAAGATTATTTGGGGTAAAACTAATTATTGTTGCAATAATGTCTAGCTCTACTGTGATTTATAGCACAACCTTAAGAACTACCTTTAATTTTCTAAACTGAAATTATAATGATTATGACGACAAAAACAACAATAGCTAATATTTACTGAATGTTTACTACATTGCAGAAAAGTATTCTAACCATATTATGTGTAATTATTTTGTTAATCTTTATGGTAAATTTATGAGAAAGATCCTCTTTTTACCCACACCTTGACCTGACAAAACTGAGGAATAGGGAGGTTAAGCAATTTACCCAGGACCAAACAGTTATGGGTGAATGAATCAGGAAGTAGTTCCCAATGAATTATAAAATAATTATTAAGACCCTTGGATATGTTCAAGTTCTGAAAGGCACTATGGAGAGCACACACAAAAAGATTCTAGCCAGAGCAATTAGGCAAGAGAAAGAAATAAAGACCATCTAAATTGGAAAGGAGGAAGTAAAATTGTCCCTGCTTGCAGACAACATGGTCTTATATATAAAAACCCCTAAAAGCTTCGCCAAAAATCTCTAAGTATGGATAAATTAATTCAGTAAAATTGCAAGGTACAAAATTAACATAAAAAATCAGTGTTTCTGTAACTCAGTGACAAACCAGTGGAAAAAGAAATCAAGAAAGCAATCCCATTTACGGTAGCTATAAAAATAAAATAAAATACTTAGGAATAAATGTAACGAAGGAGGTAAAAGTTTGCTACAAGGAAAACTGAAAACACTGATGAAAAAAATTGAAAAGCTCACAAAAAAGTGCAAGACATCTCATGTTCATGAATTGGAACAATTAATATTGTGAAAATGACCATACTTAAAGTGATCTACAGATTCAATGCAATTCCTACCAAAATACCAATGACATTCTTCACAAAAACAGAAAAAAAAAATCTTTATGTGGAACCACAGAAGACCCCAAATAGTCAAAGCAATCCTGAGCAAAAAGAACAAAGCTGGAGGCATCGTACGACCTGACTTCAAAATATTAAGCTCTGGTTACACAACTATAGTAACCAAAACAGCATAGTACTGCCATAAAAACAGACACATAGACCAATGGAACAGAATAGAGAACTCGGAAATAAATGCATGTATTTACAGCCAACTGATTTTCAACAAAGGTACCAAGAACATTCGGTGGGGAAAGGACAGTCTCTTCAATAAATGGTGCTGGGAAAACTGGATAATCCATATGCAGAAAAATGATACTAGACCCCTATCTCTCACCATATGCAAAAATCAACTCAAAATGGATTAAAGACTACAATGTAACCTGAAACTATGAAACTACTAGAAGAAAGCATTGGGGAAATGCTTCAGGACATTGGTCTGAACAAAGAGTTTTGGGGTAAGACCTCAAAAGCAAAGACAACGAAAGCAAAAATAGACAAATAGGATTACATGAAGCCAAAAACCTTCTGCACAGCAAAGGAAACAACAGAAGAGACAGTGAATAGAATGGGAGAAAATATATGCAAACTATTTATTCGACAAAGCATTAACAACCAGAATATGTAAGGAACTCAATAGTGCAAAAAAAAAAAAAAAAAAAAATCCAAATTAAAAATGGGCAAATGATCTGAATAGCATTTCTCAAAAGAAGACATAGAAATAACCAACAGGCATCTGCAAAAAGCTCAACATCACTAATTATCAGGGAAATGCAAATCAAAATCACAATGAGACATAGCACCCCAGTTAGAATGGCTATTATCAAAAAGACAAAAAATAGCAGGTACTGATGAAGACGCAGAGAAAGGGGAACACCAGTACACTGCTATAGGAATGTAAATTAGTGTAGCCGCTATGGAAGACAGTATGGAAGCTCCTCAAAAAACTAAAAATAGAACTGCAGGATGACCCAGCAATCCCACTACTGGATATATAGCCCAAAGAAAGGAAATCAGAATATCCAACAGACTATTCACGATAGCCAAGATATAGAAGTAACCTAAGTGTCCATCAGTGGATGAATGGATAAGGAAAATGTGATATATATATATATATATATATATATATATATATATATATGATGGAATATTATTCAACCATAAAAAAGAATGAAACACTGTCATCTACAACAACATGGATAAAACTGCAGGTCACTGTCTTAGAAGTAAGACAGGCACAGAAAGACAAATATTGCATGTTCTCACTCATATATGGGAACTAAAGAAAAGTGATCTCATGGAGGTAGTGAGTCGAGTGGTGCTTGCCAGGGGCTGGGAACAGAAAGGTGGGGGGGAGGTTAAAGAGGTTTGTTAATGGTTACAAAATACAGCTAGATAGAAGGAATAAATTCTAGTATTCAATAGCACAATAGGATGACTGTTAACAATAATTTATTACATATATGATATATCTATAAGAGAAGATTTGAAATGTTCCCAACACAAAGAAGTAATAAATGTCTGAGGTGATAGGTATCCTAGATACCCTGATTTGATTACTACATACTGTATGCATATATCAAAATATCATATGTACCCTATAAATAGCACAGTTATTCTACGTCAATAAAAAACATAAAAAAAAATTAAACCTATCAATAGGTAACTGGTTATAAAAAATAATGTGCATAGACAGTGAAATACCATACAGCCACTAAAAAGCTTTAAAAAGAGGCTCAATAAAAATCAGTCACCTGCAGGTGGAAAGGTTTTCTTTAAAAAAATTTCCTGGCCGGGCGCGGTGGCTCACGCCTGTAATCCTAGCACTTTCAGAGGCCGAGGTGGGTGGATCACGAGGTCAGGAGATCGAGACCATCTTGGCTAACACGGTGAAACCCCGTCTCTATTAAAAATACCAAAAATTAGCTGGGTATGGTGGCACGCGCCTGTAGTCCCAGCCACTCGGGAGGCTGAGGCAGGAGAATCGTTTGAACCTGGGAGGCGGAGGTTGCAGTGAGCCAAGATTGCACTACCGGACTCTAGCCTGGGCAACAGAGTGAGACTCTGTCTCAAAAAAAAAAAAAAAAAAAAAAATACCTTTGCTGCAGAGATATCAGAACATAAGAAATGCTAGGCCAGGCGTTGGGGCTCAGGCCTGTAATCCCAGCACTCAGGGGGCTGAGACAGGAGCATCTCTTGAAGCTAGGAGTTTGAGACCAGCCTGGTCAATGTAGTGAGACCCTATCTCTAAAAAAAAAAAAAAAAAAAAAAAAATTTTGCTGAATGTGGTAGCATGTACCTGTAGTCCCTTTAGGAGGCTGAGGCAGGAGGATTGCTTGAGTTCAGGAGTTTGAGGTTGCAATGAGCTGTGATGACACCACTGCACTCCAGCCGAGGTGACAGAGCAAGACCCTGGCTCTAAAATAAATAGATAGATACATAGATAGAAGAAAAGAAATGCTAAAGTTTGTGGTTGATGTCACAAGATCAGCAGTGAGCTCTGGAAGAGATGGCACTTCTGTGGAAGACCTTAGAGTACAGCGTTTCTCCAAATGCCATCCATGGGTCACTTGTCTCAACTACCTGTGAGATTTATCCAAAATCAAGTTACCGGGCCTCATCCTAGAATTAGCACCTCTAAATACGAGAGGTGGAGCTCTGGAATCTGCGTTTGAACTAGACATTTTCCCCTTCCCCCCACACAGTTCCAACAGTAATTCTGACATATTACAATTATGAGTATGCCTTCTCAAAACATGGATCTGCTTGGATAAAAAATGATGACAGCTTTCCCAACAGGACAATAACAAAGGCAAAGATCTGGGAGAAGCATGGTTTGATGGGAGGTGCATTAAGGAGATGGGATCTAATTAGAATGCAGAGGCTATTTTGGAGAGCAGTGGGGAGGAAGGCCAAATAAGGATATTAAAGCCAAAATAGGACTGTACAAATCAGAGGAGTTTAAATTTAGTGAAGAAATAGAGCCACGTATTAATAAGTCAGAAAGCCTGATGAAAACATTATTTAAGAAAAATTGATTTGTGAATTAACTCTTATTTTACAAATTTATCTTACCAGCTTTCAAATATATTCTTAATATTTTATAAACATCTTTATTTCTTATTTTCTCTTGTTGGCTTCTGGATCTCTTATAGGAGAGGAAAATATTATGTTCATAAATGTCCTCAGAGAATTTGAAATTTTCCTCAAAATGGGGTATAAAACTCAAAGACTATGTAGTTTGAAGGCTAAAAGTTAAAAAGTAGATTTATCATACTGCATATCTCAAGGTACACATCTGATTCTTCTGCCTATGACCATCATACACTGTTGGTGGGTATATAAATTGGTATGACCTCCACAGAGGACAGTATGACAATATCTATCAAAATTTTAAATGTATGTTCCCTTTGATTCAGCTATTCTACATGGACATGCTCACACATCTACATAGGGATTTACGACAGCACATTGTTACTGCTCAGGGTCTGAATTCTTAAAATACTGGAAATAACTTAGATAACCTATCACTCAGTAGGTAACTGGTTATATAAAATAAGGTATAGTATATAGACAATAAAATACTATATAGCCATTAAAAAGACTCTTAGATTCATGTTTCATGTGTTGATATAGAAAAGTCTCTAAGATACATTTTAAGTAAAAAAAAAAAAAAAAAAAAAAGCAAGATGCAGGCTGGGTGCGGTGGCTCCTGCCTGTAATCCCAGAACTTCGGGAGGCCAAGACAGGTGGATCCCTTGAGCTGAGGAGGTCAAGACCAGCCTGGGCAATATGGCAAAACCTTATCTCTACTAAAAATACAAAAAATTAGCCGGGCATAGTGGTGCACGCCTGTAGTCCCAGCTACCCAGGTGGCTGAGATGGGAGGATCACCTGAGCCTGGGAGGTCAAAGCTGCAGTGAGCCCTGATTGTGCCACTACACTCCAGCCTGGGCAACAGAGTGAGACCCTGCCTCAAAAAGAGCAAGATGCAGAGCAGTAAGTGTACTTTGGTACAAGGTGCATGGTGTACGTTGTCAAAAAGTTGGAGGTGGAATATAACAGAATCTCAGGTTAGAGGAAGACAGTTGTTTTACCGTTTATTATTTTGTGTTGTTTAAGCTTTGACAAAAGCTATCACTGTCAAAATTTATCCACCTTTTTAAGTGATTTAAAATGTTTAATGTCATTAAAAGCCTTCCAGTAAGGTATTCCCATGTAGAAAATCCAAAAGATATTATGTGCACGAGTGTGCGTGAGCAAAGTAAGTGCATCTTAAGAAAGTATCAGAATTATGTTCTACTTCTCTTAACTTTTAAAGTGTGTTCTCACAGTGGTATTTATTTTTTCAGTCATTCAGTAAATACTTATTGTGTATACTATATGCTTTTTTTTTTTTGAATAATAGTTTTTATTTTTTATTTTTTGAGAGATTATATGATTTAATGCATATAAAGCATTTTAAACAGTGCCTGACATGTGGTTTGGTTGTTGTTGTTGTTGTTGTTGTTGTTGTTTTTTATTATACTCTAAGTTTTAGGGTACATGTGCACATTGTGCAGGTTAGTTACATATGTATACATGTGCCATGCTGGTGCGCTGCACCCACTAATGTGTCATCTAGCATTAGGTATATCTCCCAATGCTATCCCTCCCCCCTCCCCCGACCCCACCACAGTCCCCAGAGTGTGATATTCCCCTTCCTGTGTCCATGTGATCTCATTGTTCAATTCCCACCTATGAGTGAGAATATGCAGTGTTTGGTTTTTTGTTCTTGCGATAGTTTACTGAGAATGATGGTTTCCAGTTTCATCCATGTCCCTACAAAGGATATGAACTCATCATTTTTTATGGCTGCATAGTATTCCATGGTGTATATGTGCCACATTTTCTTAATCCAGTCTATCATTGTTGTTTATTGCGGCACTATTCACAATAGCAAAGACTTGGAACCAACCCAAATGTCCAACAATGATACTATATGCTTTTTATTGAAGTGAATTTTTAACTTGAGCTTGAGAATTTCCTTAGAACAATGAGCTTTGAAAATTGGTAGGAACCTTGAAGACCAGTGTCCTCATTTTAAGCAAAAGAAAGCTAAAATCCAAATGAACATGTCTGAGATCTCAGCACCAGTTAGTAGCCTAGCTGCTAGGAGAACCAGTCCCAGTTCACTCCACAAACCACCCTGAATGATGCCAGGAGAACAAACTCACCTTGAATTTGTCCTTCTCCTTTTCTTCACCTAAAATAAAGTCAGTTCCGATCACTTTCAGTAGATTTAGTCCTCAAATGACTAACTTTGGAAAGATTTAATGGTATCAGAAATGCATTCTTTAATATTAAACATTTAGAGGAAACCAAAATATTTCTAAATTTATGTTTTTTCTTTTATTTGTTTGTTTGTTTGTTTGTTTTTGAGACAGAGTCTCACTCTGTCGTCCAAGGCTGGAGTGCAGTGGCACAATCTTGGCTTGCTGCAACATCCGCCTCCCAAGTTCAAGTGATTCTTGCACCTCAGCCTCCCGAGTAGCTGGGACTACAGGCACGTGCCACCACACCTTCCTAATTTTTATATTTTTAGTAGAGATGTTGTTTCACTATGTTGGCCAGACTGGTCTCAAACTCCTGACTGCCAGTGATCTGCCCCCCTCAGCCTCCCAAAGTGCTGGGATTACAGGCATGAGCCACTGCACCTGGCCTGTTTTTTCTTTTAAAAAGTAACATTTTAATTTGTATGCCATGTAGTGTCCTCAAGATTTACTCTTTGAATGTTGTTTGAATTTTTTCCTTTTGCCTACAGTATTAATAACTCATAGATATTTTTAGTTATTACCGCTGAAGGAAGCAGCATATTGAAATAGCTTTGAGGGGGCATATCTTTTCCTAAAATGAGGAAAGAACCTGTATTATATAAAGAAGAAAAAATGCATCCTATTGTTGAACGATAATTTTGGATTGTATTTTTCATCCAGCTTTTGATATGGTTAACTCTTATCTAACTAAATTGTGAGCTCCTCAGACACAAGGCCACCTGCTTGTTCGGTCCTTCCCATCCCTGAGCTGACTCAATGTGATAGACCTGTAAGGCACTTCAGACATCTTTCATCAACTAATTATTTTCTCCCAAATCCTTTTAATACTCAGAACCAATGCCATGTTGGAAAAAATGTAGTCATAGACTGGAGGATATCACATTGTTTTATAATAAAAAAAAGAGACAGATGGTACTATTGATTTTCAGGATTGAGACTAGAGCATGTGGTTAATAATGCCTTATTCTACCTACAAACTAGAGGGCTGCTTGCGTTCCCAAAGAGTGGAATTCAGTACATTTTCAACCTCATTGCTAACATATTAAATTATGCTAAAAATTAACAGTAATACATTTTTCTTGGAAATTTGAGGGAAGCAAAGGCCATGCTTGGTTAATACAAAACTAAAGAACCCATATTTGTTCATTGTAGACCACTTAATACAGCCCTAACTATTCAAGTTTGCAACCTGCCTATATTTGATTTCCCTCTTTTTTTTTTTTTTTAACCCTCCCCAAAGCTGCAAGAGAAATAGTGTGGTTAGAAAGAGAAGAGCGAGCCAGGCAGCACTACGAGAAGCACCTGGAAGAGCGGAAGAAGAGGTTGGAGGAGCAGAGGCAGAAGGAGGAGCGGAGGAGGGCTGCTGTGGAGGAGAAGCGGAGGCAGAGACTTGAGGAGGACAAAGTGAGCCGCCCCCCGGGAAGAATATGAGTGGCTCCTCTAGTTCAGACATGCAGCAAACTTTCTGTGAAACTTTGCAGTCAGGTGCAGGGTGCAAAGCAAAATGGTTTCAGAGTGATCAGCTTTACAGATGGCTACAGTTTCTAGGGAGTTCAGGGTATGAGAGGTAGCGAATGGGCTGATGATTATTATTGCCACAGAAAGTTTAAAAGCCCATTTCTCTGGTCCAAACCTATAACTTATTGAAGTGCAATTCATCTGTACTGAGTATTAAGACCACTCCAAGTAATTGAGTTTCTGTAGTCTTTACCATTTGCAAACATTTACACATAGATTATCTCATTTAACCCTTACTCAATCCTTTAGCATGCATTATATGTCAGTTTGTATAAAAATAGAAATTTAGACTCAGAGTGGGTAAGGTACACAAGGTCATACAACTCAATAAGTCATGGGGTCAGGGTTACCCATGTTCTCAGATTCTGAACTGTTTTTTAAATATGGTATCGTATGGTAAATATGGTATCGTATAAGCATCAGTTGAAGCTAAGATCTGCACTACCATGCTTACGTGTGTTCATGAAAGCATCACGCACACCCTAGTAGTAAGGGTCGTTTATTTGAATGCCTGTTGTTCGCCAAGGGCTTTATGAACTGGGACCTAATGACTAAAGTGACCCTCCCAGATTGACACTAGTCTCACCTTATGGTATAGAAGTTCAGCTAGAGATCAAGAATAGTAGAGTGGGAATTGAAGTAGTACTCCTCACTCCATTCTGCCTTAAATTGAAGAAGCTTCAAACAACCAGCTGGAATCTAATCCTCAGCTCTTCTATTCCATCTAAGGAACGCCACGAAGCTGTTGTACGGCGCACAATGGAAAGGAGCCAGAAGCCAAAACAGAAGCATAACCGTTGGTCGTGGGGAGGCTCTCTCCATGGGAGCCCTAGCATCCACAGTGCAGGTAAACAGTGACCACTTTGAAAATTAGTCTTTATTTTCCTGAAAGTAACAGGGTGTTTCCTTCTTTCTTCTAAATCTATGTTTGCGAAACAAAAATCCTGCTGAAATAATTAAACAACAATGAAATGAATCTTTCACTATTTGAGGATAAGAGGGTGATGGAGATAAGAAGTAAGGGCCTCTTTCCCTTAACACAGGCCAATTTTCTCATGTTACAAAATTCCTTAAAGGGAGAAATCTATGTAGTGTTTCTAAATAAACATGCTAGCTTCAACACTACATTATTTTAGTCTTCTATTTGCATTAGGGTTTCAGGATTATGGAATAAGTTAACTAGTTTTATCTTTTTCTCTGGAAGGATTATAGTTATATTGACTGACCAGAATCAATACTATGAGCTTATGTATTCTGACCCTAAAGTATATGCAACACTAATGCTCTGTAAGAAAATATATAGGTTTATTGAGCTAGAAATAGTAAATGACTAAGCTATTTCCTCCTTTCTGAATGGACATAAAATCATATTGAAATTTGGATTTACTGAAAGGCTTTATTTTTGTACTGTAAATTCAATACCCCTGGAATTTTACATAGTGTGTCAGTTTTTATTTTTTTATTTGTGTGAATCTGATAACCTTTTTTTTTTAAATTTGCTTTGAAAAATCATTGTTTTACATTCTGTCTCCAGGTGGTTTTGTTGAATCATCATTCTCCTCTCTGGATTTAGCAGGCCTGGACCACCACTTCATAACTTTTGGTGGTACTAGAAAAGCTGGTACAGACATCCCTGTGATTGCCAATTGCCTGACCTGTAGCTAGCACCTCAGACCTAGGGCCGATGCATCAATAGCTGAAGCATCACCACCTTAGTCATCAACGCATGCCTAATACCCTAGCGCATAGACGTAGATCTGGGATTGGAACAGTGTTTCTTAAGTGTGATAATATGACTCAGGTGACTTAAAGGTGTTGAAATAAAGTAATTACATGTGGAATGTTTGCTTTCCCTTTAAACAATCATTTTGGTTTTCTATTTATGTTTTTTATTTCTTTTTTCAATGTCAGGATTAAACCTTTAAAAAATGTTTTTTAGCTAAAAAAATTACCTGGGATCAAAGTACTTCCAGTTTAGCTTTTTTCCCCGTCAATCATTACTGCTGTTGCCACTTTTAGTTTTAAGCTAAATAACTGTGGACCTCTTTTTGTTTGCTTATTCTGTTCTCTTTCATTGTTAACATTCTATAGATCTCTTATAACTGCTTTATTAAAATTAAAAATCTAGGATCAGGTGCAGTACCTCACGCCTGTAATCCTAGTGCTTTGGGAGGCCAAGGCAGGAGGATCCCTTGAGGCCAGGAGTTCAAGACCAGCCTGGGCAACATAGACCCCATCTCTACAAAAAATTCTTTTAAAAAATTAGACAGGCATGGTGGCATGTTCCTATAATCCCACCTACTTAGGAGGCTGAGGCAGGAGGATCACTTGAGGCCAGGAATTTGAGGATACAGTGAGCTAAGAGTCTGCCTTTGCACTCCAGCCTAGAGGACAGAGTGAGAACCTGATTCAGAAATGTAATTTAAAAAATTAAAAATTTGTTTAAGTCCAAGGAATATCACCACAACTTACTTTCTTATGACAGTGAACCAAATATGAAAGCACTTCTGTTTTCTTGGTTGTTCATGACCCAGCAGTAGCTGGTGGGATACATATTAAATCTGTTATACAGATCATTTACATATGAGATTTTGTTGATGGGATATTTTTTATATACCTTTCATACAGTAAACCTGGCAGGGTATATATTTTTATAATCATATATTTGTTTTACCTGACTTCCTGCTTTACATGTATATGGCAGATATACACTGTTAGATCATCAGACATTTTTGAGGAGATGGTAAGCTGCCTAGCTTAATTTTTTGCCTCCACACTCAAAGCTTAATATATGACATTTATTTCTGCCACTCAGAACAAGAGAAACCAGTGTTGCATTCGCAAGCTGTTGGGTAAAATTCATTTTAATACGGGTTGTGAATTATAATAAATTGTTCCTATACTGGAACAGAGAAGTTTGCCAGAAAATAAATGGGATTTGCCAAGTTCTCAAAGACCAGAAAATGATTTGCTATGATCTTGAGAACAGCAACCAGGTCTTATTCATTTTGAATACCCTTTACTTGACAACAATACCTGATGTATGATGGGTACTCTATCATGGTTTGCTGACCAACAAACACATCATAGAAACTGTCTACATTAAAATTCCTGTCTTGGCCAGCTGCTGGCCATCGACTAGCACTGGTCTGTAAAACTTGATACGATCAGCAGGGTGCGGTGGCTCACACCTGTAATCCCAGCACTTTGGGAGGCTGAGGCGGGTGGATTACCTGAGGTCAGGAGTTCGAGACCAGCCTGGTCAACATGGAGAAATCATATCTCTACTAAAAATACAAAAACTAGCCGGCTATGGTGGCACATGCCTGTAATCCCAGCTATTCAGGAGGTTGAGGCAGGAGAATTGCTTGAGCCCAGGAGATGGAGGTTGCAGTGAGCTGAGATTGTGCCACTGCACTCCAGCCTGGCTGGCAGAATGAGACTCTGTCTCAAAAATAAAACAAAAACTTGATACATTAAAAACTTATTCTTTTGTGTGTTTTGTTCGGTGAGAAAAAGAAATGAATAACAACTGTCTTATATATTAAGTAATAAACAAATTCATGGTGTGCCTCCATAATTTTAACAATTTATGGCAGATTTAGATGCTTTACTACTAATGATACTTTTTAGGATACAAGGATCCACTGTAACTCATTTTTTCCACTTACTCTGAAGCAGAATTAAATGTTTTTAATAACCTGTTGAGAATCTGCCTGAGGATAGGCCTGCGTGTGGACACAATTTTCCCCCAACTAAAGCATAACATATAAAGCAATATCAGAAAATGTACTGCTATAAAATCACCTGGAAATGACTTTCGTATTCCTCTTCCTACCCTGTACCTCACATGTCATCACTAGGATGTTCCTTTTGATGTTTGACCCTAAATCCTTTCTTTATGTTTGGATTGCCCTAAGAGTCCATCAGCTAAGTATAAATTTGAGGCACAGAAGTGGTTTTTTTTTTAATAATAAAATTGCTTCAGCCATTAAAATGAATCCCAGCTGAAGATAGAAATGACTGATGTTAATCAAAGACTTGCTTATTACCAGTGTGCTATAAATAGTAGTCAAAAATACACAGGGAAAAGTTTGCAGCAATTTTTTCTTACTGCCAAGGTTAGACCAACGGGTACTGAGTTTTGGAAGCATCTCCCACAAGGAGTATTTTTGTTTTAGTTTTAGAAGCAGGTAACAACAGAAAAATAAAACAAAATACAGCAAAAACCCCTTTCACTTTGGCTACTGTAGATCAGAACATCCACCTGCCTCCTGGATAAATTAGGAATAAGACTTTTTAGACTTTCATTACATGCAGTGTTATTTGAGGAACACCGTTTATCCTAATGAGCATGATTATAACCTGGGTCTACTATACCAACAGCAGGCTGCTAATTCTTGCCTTTTGTATGCTTATTTCCCTTCTGATTTGAACTTAAGAATTCTAAAATTATGCCAGGCACAGTGGCTCATGCCTGTAATCCCAACACTTTGGGAAGTCAAGGTGGAGTATCACTTGAGGCCAGGAATTTGAGACCAGCCTGGGCAACGTAATGAGAACCCCACCTCTACAAAAAAATTAAAATATTAGCTGGGCGTAGTGATGCCTGCCTAGAGTCTTAGCTACTTGGGAGGCTGAGGTGGGAGGATCACTTGAGCCCAGGAGATCGAGGCTGCAGTGAGCTATGATCATGCCAGCCTGGCCAACAGAGCAATACCCTGTCTCCCCAAAAAAAAAAAAAAGAAATTTTAAAATTACTTGACTATAGGATGAACAATGCTATTGTTCATGAATGTGTGTGCTAATTCTACATTTGTAGCCACACTAACTCATAAGCACAGAGCTGTGGCTCTTAGATTTTTAATAAAGGAACGTTTCTTAAAAATCCTTTCCACACTTAGAATGTTTCTTTTACTTTTTCTTTTTTTTTATTTAAACAACAACAACAACAACGAGCCTTCTTCTATAATGAACTTTAATGCCCTGGGTAAAATGACTCTGTAAGCAAAGTTATCAGCAATTACACAGAACCTGGTGTTCTTTTTATCCCAGTGTTTGCGTTCTATGTTACCAGCATGTTACCACTCCATTGTTCCTTCTTTTGGAGATTTCAAAGGCATTCGCTTTTATGGTCCTCTTTTGCTTCATAGTGTGCCTCCACTATTTTAGAAGCCCTTCACTGGCCTTCCTTTTGTCTTCATCCACTTGTATCCTTGAATTTCCATGGCTGACAAGCTGGTGAAATAAATATTTATTTTATCCTTTAAGAGAAATGAATTTTATTTCTAAGCCTTTAAGTTACCTTTAAAATGTCCACTTAGAAAACTGTGTTATTATGACAGATCTAGAAATAGAGCAGAAAGCATCCAATCCTAGTTTTTCCTTCCATCAGTGAACTAGGAAATTGCAATCCTACATGTTGGCTGTCAATTAGCATTATCTCCATTTGTTTTAGATCCAGACAGGCGGTCAGTTTCCACCATGAATCTTTCGAAATATGTTGATCCCGTCATTAGCAAGCGGCTCTCCTCTTCATCTGCAACTTTACTAAATTCTCCAGATAGAGGTACAGTCCAAAGGAAAACAAAAAAGTGTCTGTTATTTACTTAATGCTTTTTTTTCTGGATGTTTACAGATAAAAATAAGCATCTGAAGTTGCTTTCCCTACGTTTCTTAAATAGGAAGAAAAAAACTTCAGAGTAAAAAAGCAATAAACGGCTGAGCAGCATTTTCCTTGCGACAAGAACATTTCTCATTTTAGAACTTGGCTGAGTGATTGCATTTAGCAGTGACGAAAGCGGTGCTTCTCTCAACTTTTTAGTAAATGAGTTTACAGCTCCAGAAATCACCCACTTATCCACCAAAATGCAAATAATCTTTGTTATGAACATTTCTTTTACTTCAATCATACTGTCTTTGGCTTTTCATCTATCTGTACTTTGGGAATTCCAGGCTCTGACTTTCTTTAAAAACTTTTTAAATGATTCAGATTGGTAGATTTTATTTTGCCAATTTACTTCTCATTTAACCAAATTATTTCTTACTGCATTTCTTATGTGTGCTGTTGGTTTTTTGGTGTCCATTCATTAACTCTTGAGGGATCTGGCCTAACTTCAAGAAATCATCATAATTACAGCCTCCTGAAACATTTAATATTCATAGTCCTTTATTAACATCTTGTTTGAATTTTGAGTTTTATTCATCCCATGGATTTACAGTACATGAATGTTGAGTTATTTATAAAGCAAAAGTTTTGTTTTACATAGATCATAGAATGAAAAAAATCAAGCTTTTAAGATAAGCTGCTTGTTTTTACATAACTAAGATGATTTTAAATAAAACCAAAGAATTGTTGTGCAATATGAAGCCCATACTCTTTAAAAGTAAAAAATTGTGGTTACTTTGAGTGCTTTATTAAGAAACTGATTGGGAAAGTTTCAGTGTTTATAATCTTTAAAAAATGTAATGTGTGCATGTTCTGTATGTGTGTATGTATATTTATATATTTTGTATTGTATAAAAGTTATGGTGTCATTGTAATGTACAATATTCTGTGACTGTTGGTGTTATTTTATAACTAATCTCTTAAAATAGTAAATGTTTGAACAACTTTCCATTCTTGTCTTTTAGCCAAAACTCTTTCCTTTTGTTTTTTTAACCTAATTTGCCTAAACCATCAATATTAGACTTGTAGTCAAATTAGGGGCCTTTCATAAATATTGTGAATTTAAATTTCTTTCATATTCTTTATTTTCAAACCTATTCCCTAAATATAAGACAAAATATAGCATGTGAATGTTACTCTTACAGTTGTCTATTCATCTTTTCTTTGCAGTTGGTCACTTAGCACTTTAGTTTCATACTTTTGTGAACCTGGATCTGAGACAAACTACAATTAGTATTTTACACTTCTTTAAAACTTTATTATCTTCTACAATCCCATAGCTGAAATTAGGGTAAGGGTGGGAGTAGGGAGCTAGACAACAAACTTGGCAATATCCTGTCCATGCTGTGGAATGACATTGAATTGTCTGTATCAATTAGAAAGATGTATTCTAGACTCTCTGCACGATAGACCTTCTTAAGGCAGTAGAATCTTGGAACTGAAAAAGATCTACTGGATAGATCACCTACTCTAGTTGGGGTGATAGAGTCCCTAAGAGGTTGCGAGCCTCTCTTTAATGTCCTACAGGCTAATTATTGCAGAAGGGTGACTCCTCACCCGTGTGACCGCCACACTGCATCCTCAGTTCTCACCTTCATGGGTGTCCTTTCTTAGATTGACTCTGACTCCATGCATTCTCTCTCTCTCTCTCTGTGTGTGTGTGTGTGTGTGTGTGTGTGTGTGTGTGTGTGTGTAAGGTTAGAAGTGGTAAGGAGTAGAGAATTAGGACATAGGACATCAGCGTTAAGGGAAGTTCAATAACCAGTTCATAGAGGGGGCCAGAAAACTGCCCTATGAATCATGGTAGAGGCCCAGAAAATAGAATACTAAGCAGAAATAATAGGACAAGAGGGAGAACGCTAGATTTGAGAGTTCTGCTTCTCTGCCTCCTTACCAAAGAACTGTCAATCAGTTCCTGGTCTAGCAGGCCAGGTCAGCCTGAAGGGGCTCCCATATATTGTCTAGGAAGGAATTTTTTTCTTTTTAACTTAAGCAAAGCCCTCAGTAGAACCCTGAAAGGCTTAGGCCTTTTATTATAGTGAGAATTTTAAAACTTCTTCTGAATTTAAATTTCTCTAATTTAGAAATTTAAGGCCAGGCACAGTGGCTCACACCTGTATTTCCAGCACTTTGGGAGGCCAAAGTGGGTGAATCATTTGAGCCCCAGGAATTTGAGACCAGCCTGGGCACCATCGCGAAACCCCATCTCTACTAAAAATACAAAAATTAGCCAAGCGTGATGGTGTGCACCTGTAGTCCTAGTTACTCGGGGGCTGAGGCAGGGGGATCACCTAAGCCTTGGGAGGTCAAGACTGTGGTGAGCTATGATTGTACCACTGTACTCCAGCCTGGGCAATAGAGTGAGATCGTATCTCAAAAAGAAAATAATTAAAAATAAATAAAAGAAATTTAAGTAATTCCATTAGTTCTTTCCTGCTATTTTTAAAAGTTAGTTATACTTTATTATCTCATTAGAAAGCATTCTTA
This sequence comes from Homo sapiens, assembly GCF_000001405.40. Lineage (NCBI taxonomy): Eukaryota > Metazoa > Chordata > Mammalia > Primates > Hominidae > Homo > Homo sapiens. The sequence continues at coordinate 136,381,084 of NC_000006.12, read as the reverse complement.
CCAGATTGTTAAATTAGAGGACCTTATAGACAAATGGGTCAAGCAGGTATATACATCATTATTAGATTGTTTGAGCTTTCTCAGTCCTAAGGCATAGGCCTTAAAGCTGAGATTAAATTGAGGCTCCGATACCATCAGGGCTCATGTTCTGCTGTAATATATCCAAAGAGCTCTACTAGTTATTAAAAATACTGAAATATTTCCATATCACTTTTCCAAGATGTGCTTCCCCGGGCCCTCCAAAGCCAAGGGAAGCCAGTCATTAGTGTAGTGTCTGTGCCTTGTCAGTTTTTAAATATTTTAATTATTACACCTGAATATGGTGTTACATGGACTGATAAGATTACTTTGGTTAAAAGAAACCTCTGATTATGAAAGGTTTCTGTAATTGCTGGAACAGAATGTTGCCACTGGAAATTTTTACATTAAAAGTATATATTATTATCTTTAAGCTATCTGCTTAACCAACTTTTTCTCAAGAAAGAATATTAGGAAGTTGGAAAAGAGTAAGAAAAATTGCCTACTTTTTGCTTAAAATCCATCAATACATTTTTTCCCCAGAATCTTCATCATAGGACTCAGAGGTAGACCTCGAAATAAATTCTGCTCACAGGCTTGTTCTGTTTTACCTGAGCAGTGTTGTTTGTTCTTGTTTTAATTAGAATTAATTGCCAACACTTAAAATATAGAATACTTCATGTAACATTTCAGTTTTCTACTTCTAAAGAAAAAATCAGGACCTGGCAACATGTGTCTAATTTCTTCCTGGCACCTATTACCTGAAATGGAATAGTGATGTCACGCTTATGGGAGGAAGTGGTAAGGCAGGTATCCATAAAGTTTGTTTAGCCCCGATCATTTATTTATGTTAACTTGCATGGCCCCCAGAGGCCTTTGAGTTTGCCTCTCTTCATCTGGGTGGCCTATAATGGAAATTGTCAATATCTCAATTTTAAGTGCTTAAATAGGATCGATGCCATAGCGTTGTTCCATGAGAGTTAATATCTCTCCCTTCGGTTTGGTAATCTTAAAATCAGGCCCCTCTAGGGGAAAAAAACAAACTAACAAAACAAAAAACAACAACAACAACAATGCACCAATTCTCCTTTATTAACCTTTACTAAAAAGTTATCTTACGGACGCTCTGTCTCCATCTTGGTCAAGGCATAGTTATGAATGTGGTGGAAGTGGAAACATGTTTCTCCTAGCAATATGTTTAGTTCAGAGTATCAGGAGATATGAAACAGATCTCTCTGGATTTGCTTTACCACAGGTTACAATGGGTTTTTAATCATTTGAGATAAATTTTTTGGTCGATGCCTTCAGACTCATGGAAATAAAGTAACTGAACTTCTTAATGGAGAAAGGAGACTTATCTTTTCCATGACAACCCATCTCTGCAGTTGTAAGCCACAGTCATCGTACAGTTTTTCTAAGAAAAGGAAGAGTTTAACTTTCTTCCCTTTCTCATCTCTTGAAAATAGTTCTGTGGAAGATTTTCAGTTAGTCCTAATCACCTTTTCCCCACTGATTTTACCCTGTACATGTATTCTAATTTTAGATTGTATTCTATTCTGTTGTTACACTGCTGCACATAGCTTATGATAGTACTTAGCCCGTGGTGCTTTCTAATTGTAACTATTGCAGTAGTTTTTATAACATCTTTTTAATTAATCTTAATGTCAGATAATATTTAATTTAACCATGAAGACTCTTCTAGTAAACAGACTCTAACAAACAATTCACTAATTCTTAAATTCACCAGAGCCTGATCAAAATATTTACTCTTTTAAATTAGTCACATAGTTAAGGTACTTATTGGAAATTGATACTTCATTCCAAATGGAAGCAACTATTTTTAAGACAATGTTTAGCAGTATATGGCTTTTATTAATTAAAACTAATTTCCTAGCATTTAAATGCCATTCACTTAAAATATGATATATTTAAGATAGTTATATAGAACACTGCTCCAGAGGCAAAGGAGACTTTGCCACCTGCTGTTTGTGGAGTGGAACAGAAGCAGCCTTTTCAGGTGTAGACAGTTTTAAAGACTTTTAATCCAGTCACAGTGGCATGCACCTGTAAACCCAGCTACTTGGGAGGCTGAGGAAGGATTGCTTGAGCCCAGGAGTTCAAAATCAGCCTGAGCAACATGGCAAGATCCCTGTCTTAAACAAAAACACAAACAAAACTTTTAAAAGTGACAGGAATGTGTTCTAAAACAAAGATATGTAATCACTTCAGTGATATTTGTAGAATTTTGCAAGCTTTACTGATATTTTTGGAAAATAGCTTCTATCTTTTCATGAGCCATCACTGGAAACTAACCATATAAGCAAAGTAATTAATTTATAATTGGCATACATGTCCTGACTATGGCCTTGCTAAGCTCCAATATAATTTGGGACCATACATCATTGCGTTATTTTAAATTTGTTTTCTAGACTTCTTAGGCATCCACTAGCAATCTCTAGGATTATGTTTATATTGGATTTTGGCTTTTCTGTTTAATTTTATCTTGCTTCAGCCTTAGCCTTGTCCTTGGCCAAATTTTTTATATTGTTGCCAAAAAGGGACCTGAAAGAACTTGGCTTGCCAAGTGAAAAGGTCAAAAGGATTCCCATACAGAACTTTGCACGAATCTTCTTTCATTTTATTATATCTAATTCCCACACACATACTCCCATTGCCCAAGTAGCAATTCATGGAGATCTAGCATAATTTATTGGGTCCCCTTTCTGTCTTTTATTTAACTCGTCTTTCATTAACCTGCCAGTGCCTCTATTGGGGTTTATTATTCAAGGTACTTAGGAAGCCTTTTGACTAAGGTATGTGCCATCAGTCTACTGCCCATCCCAATGCCCATCAGACAGTACCACTCTGGAGTTATAGATATACACCAAAACAATAGCTGAAATGGTATTTTTTGTTTATTGCTAGTTGACTAGTAAAAGAGGGTGGTTAGCAAAATTTGCATCTGTAAAACTAATTTAGAGCTTGCTACAAACTTAACATCTTGAAGAAAAGCAACCTGGTGGAATAACTGCTCCCTCTGGACAGGGGTCCTGTTGCCCTGACTCTTGGCCAACCATCCTCCCTGCAGAGCCTGGTCCTGTGAAGGCCCAGCGTATGGAAGCAATAGGTACGATGTATTATGCCCTCTTGACTCTGAAAAGAATGCTTCTAACATCTTGCTTATGTGGTGACGTTTAGCTCGCCGCCTGCAGCTCAGCCCATGGGAGAGCAGCGTTGTTAACAGACTCCTGACGCCCACACATTCGTTCCTGGCCAGAAGTAAAAGCACAGCTGCCTTGTCTGGAGAAGCAGGTAAAACTGTCCAGGTGGAACTTTCCCCATGAGGTCAAGTCCTCCCTTTGAAGCATATTCGTCTAATCACATCTCACTTTTTCCTAAAATGCGCTTCTCTCTTCCCCCGGTGGAAATGTCTGTCGGTGTTGGTTTCATACCCCTGTCATTGTTTCCTCTGGGCATCTGCCTTAGCATCTTATCTGGACACCAGACGCCAGGCAGGCTGATGAAGCCTCTCCCCGGGCTCCGATGGCTTCAGAGGCTTCTGTCTGTTCATAACATTACCCGAAGAAAGTATTCCTTCCCTGCCTTTCCTTCTGCCTCTGTCTCTGAGCAGATAATCCAAGGTAGAAATAATTTAACATTTAATGCTAATATATGGACTTGGGAATAAAATCAAAGCGCAAGTCTGTTATTTCAGCATATAGTTTCATAATGTGGCTGTGGCATAGCTACTACTTCTCCCTGTGCCATTCTTTTATATGTAATCTAGGAATTGTACCCTTCCAGAACTCTCAGAGTTGTGGAGTAGGCTAATTGTAATATGCTTATTTGTTACATTCTTTGAAATTATATGAAACATGCTTAGTACCAGTTATGATGATTGGTTATAACTCCTACTTTTTTGAAATGCAAAACATACCTGAATTAGCCAGTTAATTTAATGAGAAGTTAGTGTGGAGCCTACATCTAGTCGGTAAGCCTACATCTAGTCGGTAAGCCTACATCCAGTTGGTAAGAAAGGCTTTGGGTAACGGATCTCTCCTGGTGAGTTGATTTAGGTTTTCCCAAATATCTTTGGGGACAATTGGTGTATTTATATAAACAGTCTACTAGCCCTCATCTTTGGCACTTTAAAAGTGCTTTGCCCTTGCAAGCCTCTCCATGTTCATTAGCCTGCTTTTAAGTAATAATTGTTGGTGGTTTTATGGTGTCTTTCATCTGCAGTGCCCAATGAGCGAATAAATCTCAGTCCTAAATCTCATAGTACCCCTGGGAGACAGTCACGAAGGCAAGCGTGGGCATTCCCACAACCTTCTTATGAAAACCAAGTGCAGCGACAATAAGTGACTTACACCAAAGCCACTTAGAAAATGGGCAGACAGGATCATAAATGTGCTTTCCCCTCCATCCTCAATGCCCTGAATGATGCTTTATGTGCAAATGTGCAGTCAACTAGCTGAACCACAGTGTTCTGTGTTCTCTGTAAAGTCACACTCCTGTCAGAGCCATCACATTGCATCTGAGGTTTTCCTGGAGGAGGAGAAAGTACAGCTTATTTCAATATTTTTTCTTATGCCTATGAATTTCACACTTTTCTACAAGTCATGAGTTTTTCTTTAGCTAATTGAAAAGCTTTTAAACCACTTTTCAGGCCGGGCGTGGTGGCTCACGCCTGTAATCCCAGCACTTTGGGAGGCCGAGGTGGGCAGATCGTTGAGGTCAGGAAATCGAGACCATCCTGGCTAACACGGTGAAACCCCGTCTCTACTAAAAATACAAAAAATTAGCCGGGCGTGGTGGCGGGCGCCTGTAGTCCCAGCTACTGTGGAGGCTGAGGCAGGAGAATGGCATGAACCTGGGAGGCGGAGCTTGCAGTGAGCTGAGATCACACCACTGCACTCCAGCCTGGGGGATAGAGCGAGACTCCGTCTCAAAAAAAAAAAACCGCTTTTCAGTCCTATTTTCTAGCATTTAGCTGGTTTATGGCTGTCATGCTTCTGAATCTCCCCTTGTATGCTGTGTTGTGCTAAAGGACTGCCTCACAGCTGGGAAATTGTCTTTACTATTTTTGTCATCACTAACTCTTGTCACTTCTTTCACTCTCCCTCTAGTCTTTTCCAATACTGTTTCCTCATTTTCCACCCATTCTACTTGCCCATCTTCTCCCCTTCTTTGTTGTTATGCTCAACCAAGGTGCTTTTTTATCTGCAAACCGGCTCTTTATTTTGACACATTTCCATTCTCCTTTTCACAAGTTGATATGTTTCTGTAATTTATTTTAGTGTGAAAGAGTGCATAGCCTTTACTTGAGCTGCCTGTTTTGTCAATACATTGCCTGCTTCATTGTCACCAGTTTCATCGATACAGCTTATGTTTAATGAACCAAAATTCCTGGGGTTTTTTAAAATTTTCATTTAGAAGTATATATGCAAACATCTCTTCCGATTATCTTGTCAAAACCACATTTTCCATCATTTTTATTTTTCATCTATTGTCCTTGATTATTCTTTCATGTTTTCCCATTTTAGTGTTGTCCCTCAACCTCATCATATTCCTAATTGCCATTGGCAAGAAGGTAACCTATAATATGTCCTGTACTGGGTTACATCAGCAGATTAAACAGCTACTTTTAGCCCTGGGATATAGAGTGATTGCAAACTCCCTGCACAAACAATACAGTAGTTGAGAACTGGAACTCCCAGTCTCACACCTCTCATTTGCAGCCACTGCTTTGGGTTGACTTTTCTATACTTTTTTTCCCCGGGACATTCAAAATACAAGTGATTATTAGAGCTCAGGATTAAATAATGTATATGCAATGCTTAGACTAGTACCTGCACATAGTAGGCCCTCAGTAAATGCTAGTACCGTATTACCATATTATGCCATTTTTCTTTTTGCTATGCTACATTTCAACTACTTGACCTGCATTATCTTTTCTCTGCACCCATTATTTCGTATAGAAAATCCTGAACGAGTTCAATTAATGCATACTTACCACCAAGAGTAGGATCAAATACATATATTGTGGGAGACTTTCTTAAAGACATTTTCGTGAGACAGTGTTCATGTTTAATTAACTATTTGGGATATGAAGTGTACTCTGGGAAAAAATAACTATATATTGTTATTATTTCTTAAGAAGGGCAAGATTATTCAAATAATTGATTTGAAGATTTCAGGTTTTTCAGTACTTGCTATTCAGTGCAGCAATGAATTCCATGAAATCTAATATCCTTACAAGAAACTTAGGTTTATTTTAGCCAAAAGATGTTCTTTGGACTAAATTTGAGGATGTTTTTCTATGGACTATACTAGCTAGGTTTAAGGATATTTTCAACCCATATTTAGTATCATGTCAACATTAAAATAAAGAATAAACCAGAGGCCTGGTGATATTGGCTTACATCCATGATAGCTTCAGGAAATGCTCCATAGATACTTCATGAAATTGTTATTTTCCACTTGAGAGAAAAATCATATTTCTGTACTTCATTCCTTTTTCAGTGTCAGACCCATGGCCTCCAAGCAGAGCTGTTTTCTAGGGTTTCTTGATCCTTGAGCAAGGTGAATGGCCTCCGGCTGTGCCCTGAGCAGTGCGTGCCTCTGCCCCCGGTTATTAATCCCCAGAAGTGCCTTGTGCCAGGATGTTATTTCTTAAATGCATTTGATTGGCTTGGAAGAATTTTGCATTAGTGAACTCTTGTCTAGAAAATGCAAATGCCTTGTTGTGGCGCTTGAGAAAAGATTATTTTCAAAGAGTTTTTCCTGTGATCCCAGGCAAAATGACAAAGAGATTCCCTTCCTTCACAATACAAATCCTTCCTTCTCCATTAAGGTTGGAAGTAAAGCTTTATGTCAGTTTCCAATTAAGACGTACATATATTATTTTAAGGAAAACTGAAGAAATGAAAAAGTGTTTTAGTTTGTCCTGAAGAAACAGAATTCTGTTTTCAAATGATGGGAAAAGAGACCGGTTTCCAATCTATTCACTGTCAAGGCTGCAGTGAGCCGAGATGAGATCGTGCCACTGCACCTCAGCCTGGGCAACAGAGTGAGATCCTGTCTCAAAGCAGAACAAAACCATGCAGTGATAGCCAGAAGATACTGCCAGGCATTTAATGAAAGAGTGCATTAATAAAGATGCAATCTGATTGACTTTCTGTCTGTAAATTAAACCCAAATAGCAAATCTTTTTTCAACTCTATAATCCTGAAGTTAAGATCACCCCAAGTTTGTCTTGTGAACTTTTGAGTTAAGTTATTAATCCTCTTACATTCAGCTGGCATAGTGGTTTCTTTAAAGGGTTGCTACAAAGACTACAGTTGAGAAGTCCTTTTATAACCATGTCCAAATACATAGTATTCTCTATACTTGTGTTTAATTGTCTTATTTTTGCTAGGAAATAAAATTTCTGAATGAGATCTGAAAATGGACCTTAGAACCTGAATACTCACACTTTTGATACCTATGCAGTGTTATATGAATTTCCTTAAACCCACTGTTGTTTGCAATAAGTTGATTCATGACAGTGTTCCTTGGAAGGTAATGGTCAGAAGCTATGTAGTTTTTCATAAAATATTCCATCTTGAGTAAAACTGTAAAGGTTCTTCACGGTTCAACCTTACATTTGGCAGATCTAACATATTTCTGTTCTATTCAACATTTTAAATAGATATAGCTAATCTCCCCATATGCTCTAATGCTGCTTCTTATGAACTATCAAATGCCTTGGCTTTTGGGAAAACCCGGAAGCATGCATTTGGTTTGCCTATAAATAAATAAGACATGTACAGAATATTTTCCTGGAAAAGTATTACTTATCCTCGTGACAAGTCTTAACACCTGGTAAGACTTGTTCACTTAACATTTTTTAAGTTTGGTTGCTTTTTTCCCCTGCTGGCTGTTGAATTTGAATCCTGAAACAGTTGTAGTATATCTTGCTTGCCTGCTTGCACGCTTCCTCTCTTTCCACCTTTTGTTCCATCTTAAAGCTAATTTAGGAAAAGTCTGGTTATAAACTAGTCTTTATATAAAAATTATCTTTTATCACTAATGTAGTTTTTTTTCCAGAACCATCAGCTAATAGGAATATAAGACCATTGCTCTCCATAATTACTGGATTACTTCTACATCTTTCATTAGTATTTAAAGAGCCAAAGAGCTAACAATATATTCCAGATTTTTTACGTGGACATGCCTTCCTTTTGGACTCATCATAAATTCATAGGACTGTAAGGACAGTTGAGTATGATGGTTCTGGGCACCTTTAGGTAATAACATCTTCTTCCTACTTTTCTCTCTATCTCTGCTTTGCTCCTTTTCCTGAACCTGCTTTTGGCTTTCTTCAACTGCTCCTCTGGCACTCTTGTGTGTAAAACCAATCACCTGCACCCTAGTTATCCCCATTTGTCCTCGTTCAGCATCTTGCAGCCCCATCATCATGCCCTACAAAGCTGCACACTCTAGAAATTCGATGGATCGACCAAAACTCTTTGTAACACCACCTGAGGGCTCTTCTCGCAGGAGGATCATTCATGGCACAGCGGTGAGTAGCTGTTGGGAGCAGCTGGGCAAGTCTGGGAGCCAGTGCTGTTCCTGTGCAGACTGTACATGACCCTGAGCTGTGGTGTGGGCGTAAGAGGGGGAGACCGTGACATCCACCATCCCATCTTTCCCATTGATCATGAATCTGGCTAGCTGGGCAGTAGTGTCCCCTCACTTCCTCTTCACTTGGGGATTTTGCTCTCCCTAAACATTTGAATTTGAAGATGAAAGCTGTTCTTTGTTCAAGCATGTATGAGTGGACGCCCTACCCTCCTGGAGCGTCCATACACATAAGTACAATGCCAGAATACTTTCATTTTTGAAAGTAGGAAAACCAAATGGCCTTTGAAGGGGAAGTGGGCTTGGACTGCTGCCTTGGCATTTTATTTCAACCATATCCAGAAGCTGGCTGAACTCTAAATGTGGTTCACTCAAAAGCAAGATAAAGAATTTTTATCCTGCTTGGCTAATCCCTGTCAAGGCCCTGTCAAGGGATCTTAAAATTTAGTCAAAAAAGTATTTTGAAAACATTAGTCATTTGCTATATCACTAATTCGTAAAAGGCTGTTAGGCTGTGCTATAAATTCTGATTTTGTAAGTGAAAAATATAATTTGTACTTATTATTACGGGCTGAGGTAATGTTAATTTTCACCATGCTATAAATGCAATGAGGTAATTTGTATGTCTCCAGGAATCTTCTTCTTTGTTTTAAATCTTGTGTTTATTTGGTGTCAGTTGAAAGATATAAACCTTGTTCTGTGGTCTTTAGACATTGTACTTTAGTCTTAAAGGACTCACCAGTGAACTAGAAGATCTCATTGCCTCTCTCCAGGATAACAGTATGACCCTTTTGATGAAAGGCTGAAACAGTTTCTTAAAATCGTAACTTCCCAGAGCAATTCAGATTTATAAACCTGATGGACACTTAAAAGGATTTTGCTTAAAGGATAATTCAGGGTTGTGAGAGCTTGATGGCTTTGCCTACAGCCTGTTTTTCTTTCAAGCTCCATCGGCCTTTCTGGAATCAGTGTTTGATTCATGATTGAGTCAGGCCTCCAACCCTCTAAGCCACAGGTGAAACAATCTTTGATGTCTGGAAAGTTTTAATTTATTAGAGTGTTGGTGTTTCAGAGATCCTCCTTAGCTGTAGACAGAAAGCCGTAGTTAAACAGAACAGGTTGGCCCCAAAGTTGGGTACTCACTGGGCAGGGGAAAAGAGCATTTACCATGGAAAAACTATCTTGTTCTGGGTAAAAACAAAAATTAACACTCCTTGAGAGAAGGTTGAGGGCCACCTGTGGCTGACAGGTTAAATGAGAGATTTGTCATCACATGATCCAGAGCCTTGTTTTGTTTTGTTTTTATTACCTTCCTCTTTCTCTATTTAATCACATAGCTGTCTTTTTACCTCTTTACAACCAAGTATTTAGGCAAATACTAACAGAAAACGACTCAGAGTCATTTATACCCTGGAGCTGCACTGTGGAATTCAGTAGTGACTGGCCACAGTGAGCACTTGGAAAGTGGCTACTGAAACTGACAAGCTAAATTTTAAGTTTTTAAAAAATATTTAGTTGTGTTAAAAAAAAAAAAAAGCATGTAACGTAAAATTTACCATTTTAATCATTCTAAAGTTCAGCAGTGTTAAGTATATTCATATTGAAGTGCAACCAATGTCCAGAACTTTTTAAGTCCTGCAAAACTCAAACTCTATACCCATTAAACAACTCCCCATTTCCCCCTCCCCCCAGGCCCTGGCAGCCACTGTTTTAATTTCTGTTCCTATGAATTTAGCTACTTTATAGACCACATAAAAGTGAAATCATGCAGTGTTTGAATTTTTGTGCCTGGCTTATTTCACTTAGCATAATGTCCTCAAGGTTCATTCTTATTATAGCATATGTCAGAATTTCCTTCCTTTTTAGGGCTGAATTATATTCCATTATATTTGTATACCACATTTTGTTTATCAGTTCATGTGTTGGTGAACATTTGGGTTGCTTTCACCTCGTGGCTATTGTGAATAACGCTGCTATGAACATGGGAATATAGATATCTCTAGAGATTGTTCTTTCAATTTCACTTGATATATAGGGATTGCTGGATCATATAGTAATCCTATTTTCAATTTTTTGAGGAGCCTCCATGCCATTTTCCACAGCAGCTGTACCATTTTACATTCCCACTAACAGTGCACAAAGATTTCTGTATCTCCACATTCTCGCCAACAATCGTGATCTTGTTTTTTGATAACAGCCACCTTAAGGAATGTGAGGTGATGTCTTGTAGTTTTGGTTTGCATTTCTTTAATGATCAGTGATGGTGAACATATTTTCATATGCTTGTTGGCTTTTCATGTGTCATCGTTAGAAAAATGGCAATTCCAGTCTTTGCTCACTTTTTAATGGGGTTATTTTGTTTTTGTTGAATTGTAGAGTTATTTATATATTCTAGTAGTAACCCCTTATTAAATATATGACTTACAGATACTTTCTTCTATTCCATAGGTTGCCTTTTTACTCTACTGATTGTTTCCTTTGATATATAGAAGTGTTTAAGTTTGATGTTGTCCCATTTGTTTATTGTTAATTTATTGACACTTTATTGCCTACGCTTTTAGTGTTATATCCAAGAAATCAGTACCAAACACAGTGTCATGAAGCTTTTCACTTATGTTTTCTTCTAGAGGTTTTATAGTGTTAAGTCTTACATTTAAGTCTTTAATCCATTTTGAGTTAACTTTTGTATATTTTAGAAGGTAAGAGTCCAACTTCATTCTTTTGCATTTGGATATCCAGTTTTCCCTGCATCATTTGTTGAAGAGAATGTCCTTGTTTCATTGAGTGGTGTTAGCTTTTGACCATATACACAAGGGTTTGTTTCTGGGCTCTGGATTCTATTCCATTGGTCTATATATCTTTTTTTTTTTTGAGACAGTCTCACTCTGTCACCCATGCTGGAGTACAATGGCACAATCTCAGCTCACTGCAACCTCTGCCTCCCAGGCTCAAGCAATTCTCATGTCCAGCCTTCTGAGTAGCTGGGAATACAGGCATGTGCTACCACGCCCATCTAATTTTTGTATTTTTAGTAGAGAGAGGGTTTCGCCATGTAGGCCAGGCTGGTCTTGAACTCCTGACCTCAAGCGATCCACCCATCTCGGCCTCCCCAAATGCTGGGATTGCAGACATGAGTCGTAGTGCCCAGCCCCATATATCTATATCTGTCTTGATACCATTACCACACAGTACTGATCACTGTAGCTTTTCACCAATTGAGTATCTCTAATTCAAAAATACAGAATGCTCCAAAATGTGAAACTTTTTGAATACCAACATGACACTCAAAGGAGATGCTCATTGGAGCATTTCACATTTCCAGTTATATGGATTAAGGCTGCTAAAGCAGTAAGTGTTAATGCAAGTATTCCAGAATCTGAAATCTGCACACTGTAATCCCAATCATTTTGGATAAGGGATACTCAACCTGTAATATGTTGTGAAATCAGGAAATGTAAGAATTCCAACTTTGTTCTTTTTCAAGATTATTTTGGTTCTTCAGGATCCTTTGAAATTTTCTGTGAATTTTGGGTTGAATTTTTATATTTCTGCAAAAATAAAAAATTATATTGGGATTTCAATAGGGAATGCATGGAATCTGTGGATCCCTTTTGGTAGTAGTGACATCCTAACAGTATTAAATCTTCTAATCCCTGCACACAGGACTTCCTTCCATTTATTTGTGTTGCCTTTAATTTCTTTCAGCACTATCTTCTAGTTTTCAGTATGCAGATCTTTAGCCTCCTTTGTTAAGTTCATTCCTAAGTACTTTATTCCTTTGGATGCTATAGGAAATAGAGTTGTTTTTCAAATTTCCTTTTCTATTTTACTTAATTTGAATTAATTTAGATTTAAATTCAAATAGGCAAATGTGGTTAGTGGCTAAATTTAGAACATCTTCATCATATCAGAAAGTTCTATTAAACAGCACTGCGTTAAAGTATCTGTCAGTGAATCGTCTCTGTTGGAGGATATTTATACTGTATTCTAAACCTACCTTAATTATAAAATTAAAGTCCTTTTCCTGCTGATATGTTGCCCAGACCATTGACTTGCTGAGTATGTGTTCCCCCTCAGCATTGTGGAAACTATTAATAGGAAAGATGATTGTATAGATGGTGGGCTATTAACTCAGATCAGGATGAGAATTGGGAGTGCCTTTACATGTGTGGTACCCAAATGGGTGGTTGGATATAAGAGTAACAAAAGGACTGAAAGGTTTAAAAAAGAAAGAAAAAAAAAAACTCCCTGGTTGGGAGGGTGTTAAGTATCGAGTGTTTTTCCAAACCATTCCTCCTCTGCTCACCTACCCCTAGGTGATTAAAGGAGATAACTTTTAAAAAAGAAAGAATTGGCTCAAAGGTACTGTAATTCTAGGATTATATACCTTTATATAGGTTCATTCCCTGATCCCTGTATTATCAAGGCACAGATAATAATAATCCCCAACCACCCCCACGCCACATCAAAAATTGTCCCTCTTGAGTCTTTTTCCCATTTACATCACCCATTGATCTGATTTCAGCCAAATCAAAATGTTTTGAGAAAAAGAAAAAAAAAGAAGGGCTACTTGAGGTACTTAACCCCAGTCTCCCCTGGGAAAAGACCTGGGCATGCCACCCTGTACACCAGCCAGGAGTGCCCCATATGGTGGCTGCAGCTTTTGATACCCAAAGCCCACAGCAGCTCTGTGAGGCCCCACCTCCTACTTTTGGGGACCTAAAATGGGAGAAATGGTGGTTGAGCAGCTGGAAATGATGCAGAGCTGGCACACACCTTGTGAAGCTCTTCTCTGCCTCTTTCTTCATTTTTTCTGTTTAGAAATCCCAGGGAGACAATGAGCATTATTTGACACTTAAATGTTTTTGCTCCTCTGATAACCCAGACCATCAACTAGGATGCTGCTAAGGAAAATGGAGGGAAGCAATTAAAAGGGACACTGAGGGGAACAAAAGGGAAAGGAAGGAAAAGAGGAGTCGATGCTTGAGCCAGGCAGAAAAGGAGAGAAGAAAAGGTACAGTACTAGTTCATGTGACCTGGGGCTAGATAATACTCTGCCCCTTCCCATGTACGCTTGCAGTCTGCCCTCCTGACAGGTGTTCACATAGGTGCCTCCAGCACGTGCCCCTCCCACCTGAGGGCATTGTCAGGTTTCAGATACTTGGAATGGGTCTGTTTTGCTCTGTACAATTTTTGTTTGTTTGTTTTGGTCTTCATTGACTTTAGAGTAGTGGAACACTTCTCTGGGCTTCCCTTTGCCCATTTTGACTTAGGAAAGTGTCATCTCTCAAGCTGAATTCCTAGTTGGCAATCAGGGAGGGGTGATGTTTTGGCCCACCTTCAGATTTCAGTTTATTCCTGGTAAGGAAGAGCAAAAAAATAAATAGCTGAAATTCCTCACTTTAAACCTGACTTTTCTTCAAAATCACCTATTGTATCAGTTATCTATTGCTGCAAGAGGACAGTAGGTGAAGAAGGACTTGATTCCATTATACAACATCAATATAAAAGAAAAAAATGAGTTTATGTCTAATATAGCAGGCATATAATTTTTTTAAAGACTGAGATATAGTGTGTTTGGGGGGAAAATGTTGAAGAATTAAAAAGAAAAAGATGTGTTTTAATTAAAATTTTTTAAAAAATGAAAGTAACATTTGACATTTGTGGGGGATAAACCAGAATGGGACGTTTTGCTTCAGGTAATTAATTTTAGACACAAAGTATAGGTGCTTTCTAAAAGTATGTACACACATATGCTTTTTGACAAATATGACTCCAACACATCCGGAATCACCTTATTAGTGTCACATTGTGTTAATTCAGTTATACTGTTCAGTGTTAAGCTAACAAGGGCCTTTTGTTGAGATGGAATGGGTATATGTGACATAGCTAAGAAAATTTCTTAAAAGTCATTCAATGGTTTCTAGCTCCACTGTTGAGTATTGTGAGTGTGTTTGCCTCGCTTGTGGAAAAATCTAACTATTGAGTTTCTCTGAACTTAGAGCTATAAAAAAGAAAGAGAGAGAGAAAATGTACTCTTCCTCACATCTGGCACCCGAAGGGCTGTATCTCCATCTAATCCCAAAGCAAGACAACCAGCTCGCTCCCGACTTTGGTAAGTGAAATATAAGTGGCTGGCTGGGTTGTTTCATGTTAGAGAATTAGTAGCTCTCTCCTCTGAAAGTGAACTGTTCTTCTCATGCTGTTTGGCTTTGACTTAGGGAATAGCATTCTTCCCAAAAGGAAAGAAAAAAGAGAAATTGGAATGGTTCCCTAAAGCAACTCTATTTCTGTATCTACCACATAAAAAACAAATACACGGAGCTAAATATCTGCATTCTCTTCCATCGAGTCGTGTTCTAGGTTCTGGCAAGCCTGTTCTCATGTGTCCCCTTTTGTCTGCCTTGTTTGTTTGTGGCCCAGGCTTCCGTCCAAGTCTCTTCCTCATTTGCCTGGCACACCCAGACCGACATCCTCCTTGCCACCCGGCTCAGTCAAAGCTGCTCCTGCTCAGGTCCGGCCCCCATCCCCCGGCAACATCCGCCCTGTCAAGAGGGAAGTCAAAGTGGAGCCTGAGAAGAAAGATCCTGAGAAGGAACCTCAGAAAGTTGCCAATGAGCCCTCACTAAAGGGCAGAGCACCTTTAGTGAAGGTAGAAGAAGCCACAGTTGAAGAGCGGACACCTGCTGAACCAGAAGTTGGCCCTGGTAAGAGCAAACTCACCTGTGGTCTGGGTGCTCTCTCTTTTTCTCCCGCACTGTTTTGATGAAGCTTTTTTTGTTTTCCTTTTCTTCTTTTATTGGAGACTTGGAAATTTTACTCTAAGGTTAAGTTTAATACCTTTCCTTAAGTATAATATTTTAACTTCGCATTGCTTAAAAATAGTTTTTTACTTAGCAACGCTAAGTAAAAAATTACCTGGCAACACTATTCCTGTGCATACTGGAGTTTAAGGACCCCTGGCGTAGCCTGTGTGCTTGATAGAAGTCAGAATTTTTTCCAGAAGACCCACTGGTTTTCACCTCTGCCAGGGTAACCAGATGCTACTTAGAAATGTAAAACCACCTGGAGCTTGAAGTTCAATATCTCTAGTTGAAAACTGTCTTCATTCCAAAGTTTTCTACTTAAGACTTAATTTGAAGATAGAGGGTGGGGCAAGAAAGAGGAGATGATTCAAGACAGGTGAAAATGGTAGAGAAAGGAGGAGTCCAGTGTTTGCTTCCATGGAAAAAGAAAGAAAGGAAAGGAGGGTCATAGAACATCATAATAGCCATGAAAAAAATCTGTGGAAGCAGAAGTAGAAATGTAAATCTCAAATCATACATCCAAAAGCCTATTGATAGAGCCACAAACACGTGAATTCAGGTGTAGGTTCTCAGTGCTTTTATTGGCTGAGTCCATTTCACAAAATGTGTTCAGAGCACCTGCATCAAAATCACCTGTTGTATTCATTATCTATTGCTGCATAATGAATTAGCAGCATGAAACAACAACAAACATTTATCATATCACATGGATTCTTGGGTCAGGAATTTGGCAGCAGCACAGCTGGGTGGTCCCTGCTCAGGACCGCTCATGAGATTGCAGTCAAGCTGTCCACTAGAGCTCCAGTCATCTCAAGACTCAACCAGATCTGAAAGGTGGCTTACATACAAGGCCGGGGGCGGGTGGCCTCAGCTTCTCCACACATGGACCGCTCCATATTATTGCTGAATGTCCTCATCTATCTGCTTGCTCTGCTGGCTTCTGCCAGAGTGAGTGACCTGGAAGAGAGAATGAGGAGGAATGTACAATGTATTTTATGACCCAGTCTCAGAAGTCGCACACCAATGTTTCTGCCACATTCTGTTAAGTAGAAGCAAGTCACTAGGTGGAACTCACACTCAAGGAGAAACATAGTCTCCAACTTTTGAAGAGAGAGTTTTCAAAGAATTTTTTTTAAGAGTTCAGCTTTTTATTGAACTTGTTACAAAAGAGGTTTAGTCAAAAAGACCAAAGCCCATATCCTCCTTGGACTCCTCAGACTCTCTTTTCTTTGCTTCTATTTCTTCTCCTCAGCTGGAACAGCATTGGTGGAGGGGGCAGGACCTTCTGCTGGTGCAGGTCCACGAGCTCCTCCATTGCAGATGAGGCTCCCCATGTCAACATTGGCCAAGGCTTTTGCAAACAAGCCAGTCCAAAAAGGTTCAACATTTACACCAGCTGCTTTAATGAGGGCATTGATCTTATCCTCCTTGACGGTCACCTCACCCTCATGCAGAATGAGGGCCGAGCCTTATGCAGAATGCAGGCGAGCTCAGAAACAGAGGCCATGGTGTGAGCAAGTGTGGGGCTGGCACTGCCAGGCAAGGTGCTAGTTGCCAGATGAAGTGAGGGTTCCACTTCAATGTGGCCCTACATTCCTCAGAGGGACCGAGTGCAGCTTGGCAGCAGCTGAGGAAAACTGGAAATATTTTTAAACCACCACATCTATAATGTTTTGACATACAGACCCTTGGTTTTTACCTCAGACTTACTAAGTCAGAATATGTAGTGGTGGATATGAGGACTCTGAAAGATACTAAGCTTGTCAGTTGATTCCTAAACATGGTTGCCAGATAGAACACAGGGTGGCCAGTTAAATCTGGCAATGCTATTCCTGTGCATACTGGAGTTTAAGGACCCCTGGTATAGCCTGTGTGCTTGATAGAAGTCAGAATTTTTTTCCAGAAGGCCCACTGGTTCTCACCTCTGCCAGGCTAGCCAGATGCTATTTAGAAATTTAAAACCACCTGGAGCTGTGAATTCAATATTTCTAGTTGAGAATTGTCTTCATTCAAAAGACTTAATTTGAAGATAGAGGGTGGGGCAAAGAAAGAAGAGATGATTCAAAACAGGTTAAAATGTTAGAAAAAGGAGGAGTCCAGTATTTGTTTCCATGGAAAAAGGAAGGAAAGAAGGGCTAGAGCATCATGATGGCCGAGAAAAGTCTGTGGAAGCAGAAGTAGAAATGTGACTCTCAAAAGGAGGGGCTGGAGCAGCCAGGGGCCAGAGCTTGCACTTGCTGGTGCCTTGCTCACTGTGGTGCAGAATTGTGAGCATCAGTGTGGGGCTTCTGGGGCACCAGCTCTCTAGGTCATCTTCCTAAATCCGAGTAAGGCCAGAGAACTTCTGCTCCCATCTTGCATCTTGGCAGCTTGGGATATATAAGCAGAATGAGCACCAGCTCCCAAAGAGGCCCCGAGCTCCTCCCATCTCAGACCTAGAGACAGCTCTGGGGAGACAAAAGGGTCCTCTTCATAGGGTATCATCTTCCCAGGCTGAATCTGGACTCATGGCATGGATGCTGAGGATGCTGCTCTAGTAATGAATGGTTACCGAAGAGTAGGAATTTTCAAATGCAATAAAAGACAAATGGATGATCTCATCTTCTTTTTGCTCAGTGTATAACTCCCCACAGACTCTAACATGAGGCTTTGTACACATTCAATATATGTTAACTGATTTAACTGGTATAAAAATAAGACTTGGTGACAGAGTGTCAGCTTTGTTGGATGTCTTACTTACACATACTGATTTTTTTTATCTGTTGCTTGGTTACAGATAGAACATAGTGAAACCGTGAGAACACACAGTAATAAACATTCCCTTTTCTTTCATAATGGTAAATTCTAGGCCTTGGATGTGGGGAATGCTAGTTTTGGTTTTGTTCTTTGGATTTTGTTTCCAACTGGTTTTCTCCTTGTACCTATTTGTGCAGCTGCTCCAGCCATGGCCCCAGCTCCAGCCTCGGCCCCAGCTCCAGCCTCGGCCCCAGCTCCAGCCCCGGTCCCCACCCCAGCCATGGTCTCAGCCCCGTCATCCACTGTGAATGCCAGTGCTTCTGTTAAGACTTCTGCAGGCACCACCGACCCAGAGGAGGCCACAAGGCTTCTAGCTGAGAAGAGGCGGCTGGCCCGAGAGCAGAGAGAAAAGGAAGAAAGGGAGAGGAGGGAGCAGGAAGAGCTTGAAAGGTAAATGGGAGACATTGCTCCACACCATGGTGTCAGTGATACTTTGGATTAACTCATCACCCCTCTGAGAGGGAGGAGGTGATAATACTGATGAAAGTGAATGGATTAGTTCTTTCAGGATTACTCTTACCTAATTTTCCTATGACTACTAAGCAGTTTGTTTTTTAAATCACATCTTCTTCTTTTTTTTAAATAGAAATGGGGTCTCACTATATTGCCCAGGCTGGTCTCAAACTCTTGGGCTCAAGGGATCCTCCCACCTGAACCTCCCAAAGTGTTGAGATTGCAGACATGAGCCACCATGCCCAGCCATGTTTTCTTATTTTAATGACAGTGCAACAACATTGATGGAGAAAGCTTTAAAGAAAAAAAAAATCCATAATCATACCAATTTTCAGTAATAGTGTACATTTTGGGTGGTCCTTTCTAGTCTCTCAACAGTATGGGAGTGTGTGTGTATATATACATACATATACATATTTACATAATTATAACCACAGCAGAGGTACAATTGTACAGTCTGCTTTTTTACTTAACACATCTCCAATCTCCAGGTTTCCGTTTTATCTTTGTAATTATCACATTAAGGCTGCATAATAAGGGTTCATGTTTTCTCCTTTCCAGATAAAACTCCTCTCGGAGGGTAGCCAGGTGGGATCTTTACATGCCCCATGATTGCCTGCCAGGCAGTATTCCAGAAACAGTTTGTTTAATTGGTCATCTTCTGGGCCTAATAAGACGAATGTCAATATAATTGTTCTTCAAACGAACACAACTGTACCCTGGGGAAGGATCTCATGCACTCGCTGGACCGCCATCTTGGCCATGCCTTTCCCTTGGCTCCAACAGGGAGCTTACATGGCTGTCTTCCTCCTGTCCTGTGACAGAACACTGTGACCCTTATTTATTTACAAAGATTCCCTTTGGCTGGGGTGCTTCAAATTCATTACTAAGAAGTCACATTATTTGAATTAAACAAGTCAGAGCCTTTAAAAAATAGTTAAATTCCTTCCAAAAAGCCAGCTCTCCCCAAGATATTGGTGGTTACACGTTGCTTCTATTTAGCACGGACAGCAATGCAGCTGGCAAGGCGGGAGGAAGTCTAAGGGTGGCTTCGCGCTTTGTCCCTTAGCAGTGGTGAAGGCATCCAGTGGGGATTTTTCTACTGGACGCCTAAAGGAACCGCCCTACAGAACCACCGACGGAGGCCTCTCTTCAAAGATTTCTCCTCAGGTGTCTTTGGTTTTGGTTTTGTTCTGTCTTTTTCCAGACAAAAGAGAGAGGAATTGGCTCAACGTGTGGCTGAAGAGAGGACGACTCGCCGTGAGGAGGAGTCGCGCAGGCTGGAAGCCGAGCAGGCCCGGGAGAAGGAGGAGCAGCTGCAGCGGCAGGCGGAGGAGCGGGCGCTGCGCGAGCGGGAGGAGGCAGAGCGCGCCCAGAGGCAGGTGCGGCCGCACCCCACCCTGGCCCCGGCCCCAGTCCCGCAGGGAGACGCCCCAGCCCAGCAGAGGAGGGTGCGGACTGGACTGCTGGTGCTCCCGCTTTCCACACCTTCTCCATCCGCCACCTCGCCCCCACCTCTGGGCACCCCCTGGGAGACCCGGGCAGCCCGCCTGTTTGTCAGAGGCAGACGCCGACCTTCTGTTTTCAGAAAGAAGAAGAAGCTCGCGTTCGTGAAGAAGCAGAGAGGGTCCGGCAGGAACGAGAGAAGCATTTCCAGAGAGAAGAGCAAGAGCGCCTGGAGAGAAAGAAGGTAGCTGCGTCTTAGTAGAGAGGCCCGGGACGCGAACTTGCACCTCTAAGACCCAGAGACTAGCCCTGGCCGTCAGAAAACGCGTGTTCTACCCTTGCCACATAAACTAGTAGCCCCCTCAGTGATAACAATCTCCTGCAAAGAAATCTCTCTCGGTGTTTTAGCCGTCACCAAAAAACACTTACTTCCACTTCATGTAGCTTAAGGCAGTTCCAACTTTCTTGAATAACCCCAGTTAAGACAAAGCAGCACTGCTGGGCCGGGTGGCTCATGCCTGTAATCCCAGCACTTTGGGAGGCCACGGCAGGTAGATCACCGAAGTCAGGAGTTCGAGACCAGCCTGGCCAACATGGTGAAACCCTGTCTTTACTAAAAATGTAAAAATTAGCTGGGCGTGGTGGCGGGCGCCTGTAATCCCAGCTACCTGGGAGACTGAGGCAGCTTGCGCCCAGGAGGCAGAGGCTACAGTGAACTGAGAGCTTGCCACACGGCACTCCAGCCTGCGTGACAGGGCAAGACTCCATCTCAAAAAAAAAAAAAAAAGTGCATATTGTATTTTTCCAAAATAACAGACCATTTTAAATAATCTATTTCATCAGTTAAATATGCCAGGCTGGCTTTTTTTCTGTGTCTAATCTTCTTGCTCAATTCTTCCTTTCCTATAGCGACTTGAGGAGATTATGAAAAGAACCAGGAGAACAGAAGCTACAGATAAGGTATTGACATGGCCGTTTTCTAACTACTTTTGTATGCTTTTATCTTTTTCATTTTCACTTGTAACTCTAATTTTTAAAAGTCCTCTTTTTTTCTTCTTCGTAGAAAACCAGTGATCAGAGAAACGGTGATATAGCCAAGGGAGCTCTCACTGGAGGAACAGGTATTTCTGTCAATGAACTCAAACCAATTTATATATAAAATGTTTAAATTGACTCTCCAGGGGTGAAGATATTCAGGAATTGATGGAGGGAAAAAAGATCCAGTGCTTACAGACTCACAGAAGCTTAGGGGTCTGTCATCGAGTCCTTCCTTCCTCTTATGTAAAACTGTCTAGTGTTTCTACCAGTTACTTTTCACGTTTGTTTATACTCTAATGGGTTGCTTGATATTTTAAATCATCTTATGTAATATGTATTTATGCATATATGTATATATACTTATACATATATGTGTATACATATACTTTTAGAAGAATTTCTTTTGAGTTTATAAAACTAAATTTCATTTATCACATACTGTCTGCTCAAGTAGTGTATATTTATATTTCCTCTTAAGAAAGGACTTTAAATTTACACATTGGACAACTTGTATTATAGAAGTTCTCAGAAAAATGATTTAAATGTTATTTATCTTAGATCTGACTTCAAAATAAAGTTAAAAATTTGTTGAAATTCTTATTTTTTTAATTGACAAATAATAGTTGTACATATTCTTGGGGTCCAGAGTGATATTTCCATACATATAATGTACAGTGATCTTGAAATTTCATTAGAGTTACTGATATGCCATCGGCTTTGGAAAGAGATTATTGATTTTTTTTTGGAGATTATAAGTCAAATGTATTTAAAATAAAAGTGAAATTAGCCTTAATACTCAGATTAAATTAATATTAAGTGCCCTTTTTGTATCAGGTACATCTTTCATACATAATTCCTACTGCTGCCTTGTGAAGTGGTTTGCTTTGTCTTTGAGTCAACAAGCATTTTTGAAGCTCTTCTATGTGCCAGGCCGTGTTATAGGGCTGGGATTCAGTGTGAACAAATAGGCAAAGTCCCTCTACCCACAGGGGCACTCAGGTCCAATGACAGGCCAGGCTTACGCAGCTGGGGCCCCGGTCCCCCAGCTCCTGATTCTGCTCCTTCAGTGATCCTTCGTGGTCTTCATGATTGTACATGCAGGTGGTTAGTAGATAGCTCATCATTGTCTTCCTCTTTCCTCATGTGTGATATCAATATGAAAAGAAAAGACCAGAGGTACTGCAGTTTTCTTTTTCTGTTTACAAACAAAAGCAAAGGCTGGAATACCTTTTGCTCAAAGATCAAATCCAACGGTTTATGTGACAGAACATTGCCTATAAACATTAAGGGTTTTCAAATGTAAAGTATTATTGGTATTTTGGGACTTGGTTTTATTTCCATAGAAGCTATTTTGGTTTCTGTATGTCATAATTCCTTTATAGTGGAGTTTTCATGCTCTTTTAAAGATGCTCTAATGTATGTATGTGTATGTTTGGAGAATAGTCTTAATGGTTGTATATTATAACCCCATTGCATTTTTAGCATACTGTCTTCAAGAATATTGTAATAGACACAGGCTGTAAGTAGGCATAGTACCCAGTGAGTTGTCAGAGTGATCAATTTAAGCTGTAAATTGCACCAGCTCAAGATTATTTGAGGGGCTAATGCTGTAGTTTGTGCCTGTCCAGTCTCCTTGTTGGTTTGTTTGCATTTTCCCCCTTCCTGCCCTTTCCTTATCTGTTCTTTCAGTATTCTTTATAAATCAATCCAAGAATGAACAAAGGCAAGAGGGAAGGTGAAACTTGCTGTTTGGCATAGCTGTGTTTATCAACACTCATGTAAATTTGATTTGAGTTAAAACTGCTAAAAGGAGGCTTGAGGATTAGCTGTGCCTAACAAATATTCCCCTTCTCCCAGTCCCACATCTGATTGCGGGCTGACTGGTGTTACCAGTGCTACAAAGAGAATTCTAAGGTGGGTATGCAGGCAGGCGAGTTTACAGACCTATCATATGTTTTCTCAGGGGCTGCCTGTCACCAGCTTTGCAAATTTGGGCAGATTTGAAATTATCACTTACCTTTCTGCCTTAGTTATCAGATCTCTTGTACCTCTGGCAGCTTTATTGAATTTGTGCCAGGTTGTAAAATAACATTGTCTTGAAATTATTTCAGACCAGGTGAGGTAGCTCATGCCTATAATCCCAACACTTTGGGAGGCTGAGGCAGGAGGATCACTTGAGCTCAGGAGTTCAAGACTGGGCAACATAGCAAGACCCTGTCTCTACAAATAATTTTTTTTTAATTAGCTGGGCATGTTGGCATGTACTTGTGGTTCCAGCTACTTGAGAGGCTGAAGCAGGAGGATTGCCTAAGCCCAGGAGGTCGAGGCTGTAGTGAGCCGTGATCACACCACTGCACTGCAGCCTGGGTGACAGAATGAGACCCTGTCTCAAAAAAAAGCAGGGGGCAAGGGGGTGAGGGGTAGGAATTATTTCAGTTATTCTCTCACATCAAGCTGAAACCATAATCTACCACAGATATATCTGAAACTCTGGCCTATATAAAGGTTTATAAGTAACCCTGTCCTGTATTTTAGAGGCAGTCATCAATATTGTCAGCTTAAAGTGGGCTGCAACATTGAGCTTTGAATAATGAGGTGGAATGGTGAGGTACAGTACACTGCTTTCCATTCGTGAAATCCTCATTGTTCTAAGTGTGCATAGGACTAAACTGAGTTTTCAAAAATATTTTTAATACTTATGGTGTTCCTTGGTGATTTGCTCTGAATCCTTTGTAAAGATATTCAGTGTCAGCTTGATCAAGTCAGCTTACTGCTATCTTTATCAGTTGCTTTGGTTTCAATATTATATACTTCATGTAACTTTAGTGCAAGGAAAAATAATAATACTTTGCCCTTCCAACATGCCAAACACTGTTCTAAGTCCTTTACATGTATTAATATTAATACATTTAATTCTAACAATCTATGAAGTAGGTACTATTACTAATGAGGAAACTAAGGCACAGAGAGTTTAGGTGATGTGCCCAAGGTCTCACATCACTTAAGTAGCAGAACCAGCACATAAATCAAGGCATTCTGGCTCTTGGAGGTTAGGTCTAAGAAAAGAATATTAGTAACCCTGTGTTCTGTCTCCTTTACTATGCCCAGAGGTGTCTGCACTTCCATGTACAACAAACGCTCCGGGAAATGGAAAGCCAGTTGGCAGCCCACATGTGGTTACCTCACACCAGTCAAAAGTGACAGTGGAGAGGTGAGTTTTCACTGACATTCATTAAAGTAAAACATTACTGTTTTTACCCACCAGCTCCACCAGAATTTCAAAGTCTTAACATTAGGATTTATTATTTGGGGGGGGCCTCATTGATTTTTGGTTGAGCTAGTAATTCTGTACTCCAAGAAAGTGGAAATATCTTTTTTCTCAAGTCATTAAATGTAATGGTGAGGATTTAGTGTGACTGTTCCAAGAATATTACAAGTGGCCAAGTGCAGGGCTCACTCCTGTAATCCCAACACTTTGGGAGGCTGAGGAGGGAGGATTACTTAAGGCTGAGAGTTCTAGACCAGCCTGGGCAACATAGCAAAGCACCATCTCTACAAAAAAAAATAGCAAAACTAGCAGACGTGATAGTGTGTGCTTGTAGTCCCACCTTGGGAGGCTGAGGTAGGAAGATTGCATGAGCCCAGGAGGTCAAGGATGCAGTGAGCCAAACTCCTGCCACTGCAGTCCAGCCTGGGTGACAGAGTGAGACCCTGTCTCAAAAAACAAAACAAAAAACAAGTGATAATCTGTTAGTTTTCTTTGTGTATATTTAGCCTGATATGGACCATATCCACATTCTTTAATGGTATATAACAATTGCATTTTAGCCATGCATAATATTACAGTGACTTACATGTTTGTTCCATATAAAAGTCATGTAGATGTCAGTATTTCTTATATTATTAATAACAGGGCTTCTTATTGAAGAACCAGACAGTTGCTAACAACAGCCTAGAAAACAGTCTGGATTTCAGAAAGATTGCCTTTCTCTTTTCTTGTAATTATATCAACAGCATCATATGAACATTTTCAAAAACGAAAAATAAGGGTAATCATAGCCTGTGCCTAAAAATCCAATCATAGAGAACTTGCAGAAATATTTTTAATAATGTTCAAAAAAATTTAGCTATGACTTTTTAAATTTGGGAAATCTACTTAATGTATGAGTCTTCCTGTCTTTAATGCCAGTCTTTGCTACCAACAGACATCTGAAAGTCCTCAAATTATTTTCTTAATCTAAAAACACATAATTGTTTCTCGGCTTTTGGCCAGGATAAGTACAGACACACAGACACTACATTTTATAATGTAATTTTATAATGTAATTTTATAATGTAATGTAACATTTTATAATGTAATGGGCAGCAGTTAAAAGGTAAGTCCCTACTATTGTGTTGATATCTTTCTGAGACTGTGGAATTTTTATTTATTTATTTTTTGCCTACTATAATACCAAAGAGAATACCCTGAGAGATCTTAATAATTCATTTCCAATTATGTTGAATAACTTTATTGTTGTAATTACCTAAGATCTATATTAAATGGTATTTTTTTCTTAGTTTTAATTAGATTTTTTAAATTCATTCCCTAAAACTTATTATGTTCAATTCATTGACTTCAGAGATTTCTTTTTTAAAAAAAAAAGAATAAAAGATACCACAGAGAGAATCCCATTATTATGGGGAACAGACAATGCCTACCATAGTTTCTTTTATTATTATTTTTTTTGAGACAGACTCTCACTCTGTTGCCCAAGCTGGATGCAGTGGTGTTATCTTGGCTCACTGCAACCTCCACCTCCTGGGTTCAAGGAGACACACCCAGCTAATTTTTGTATTTTTAGTAGAGATGGGTTTCATCATATTAACCAGGCTGGTCTTGACCTGCTGACCTCAAGTGATCCACCCATCTTGGCCTCCCAAAGTGCTGGGATTACAGGCATGAGCCATCACACCCAGCCTACCATAGCTTCTTAAGCCACTGATTATGTTATCTGATCTATAAAGTTAATTTATGCATAATTTGACTCTCTTCAGTAGTAATATCACCAAGCAATTAATCATTATATAAGAACCTGAAAAATAATTTTACTATATTTGATACAGATAATAAAATTCTGTTATATTTTAGCCTTTTCCACACACAGAAAAGCAACAATTTGTAATGAAACCAAAATGAACTTACTGGTGTCATCCATCTTTACCCAACAAATAAATTATCCTTTGTCATATATGTAAGATAATCCCTGTCAAACCATTAGAAGAAACATAAGCATAGCCTTTTTCTACTTTCACCTGACAATACAGGCAGGTCCAGATGAGCATCAGACATAAACATCAGAATATAAGAATAAGCCTAATATGAAATCCATTGGCCATCTACTCCAGTGTCTCTCCTTTAAAGGAAATATATATATGTATATATATCTACTATATATATTTTTATATATATCTACTATATATATATATCTACTATATATATTTTTATATATATCTACTATATATATATATCTACTATATATATTTTTATATATATCTACTATATATATATTTCCTTTAAAGGAAATATATATTTATAGGAATTTAAAGGAATTTATATAAAGGAAATTTATTTTTATATATAGTAGATATATATTTCCTTTAAAGGAAATTTATATATATTTATAGGAATTTAAAAGAATTTATATAAAGGAAATTTATATATAGTAGATATATATATTTTTATATATAGTAGATACATATTTTTATATATAGTAGATGTATATATTTTATATATATAATATATATATATATATAGTAGATTCCCAGAGTTACTTGTATTATTTTTACAAATATAAATTTAGGTTTAAAATTTCTATAGCCCTTGTTCATTTATAAAGCCAAAACAGCAGATCACAAATTTACATAAATAATAAAACTACTTTCAACCTTCCCCCACAGTGTTACCCTTCTATCCCTTGATTTCCATTTCTAGGGCACCCCCACTGACCAAGTCCCTGGATGTTTGCAGTAGCCACCTAAATGCTTTTGCCCCTCAAATACTAAATACCAGCCGGGCATGGTGGCTTACGCCTGTAATCCCAGCACTCTGGGAGGCCAAGGTGGGAAGATCACTTGAGTTCAGGAGTTTAAGACTAGCCTGGGGAACATGGTGAAACCCCTTTTCTAAAAAAATACAAAAATTAGCCAGGCATGGTGGCACACAACTGTAGTCCCAGCTACTTGGGGGGCTGAGGTGGGAAGATCACTAGAGCCCAGGAGGTCAAAGCTGCAGTGAGCCTTGATCAGAACTCTGCACTCCAACCTGAGTGACAGAGCGAGACCCTGTCTCAAAAAAATAAATAAAGCTGTAAAATCAAGAACAGTGAAATTATTGTGAAGAATGATGTTTTTCTGAAATTAAGTGGGTAATATACATATGGTACTGATTGATCCCTTTTGCATTAGGGATAACCATGATTCATTTCACTCACTGCTTCTCTCTGTTTGAACTGCTTTAAAACCCCTAACCTCTTTTTAATACAGAGTGCCATGATGATACTTGGCTTTTACATGGCACTAGCATATTTATTTAGCAGTTCAGCTGGTTCATGTCATTAGCCCTTGTCAAATAAGCTGGTGCTACCTGATATCAGTATGCTTTGAAATACACCTGAAAATGGAGCACTGAAATTATGTAGCAAAACTCAGCTTTGTGATAATCAGTCAGACAGATGATCAGACTGTACATTATTTTTTTAAGTTACCTGGGTGAAAACATAAATTTTTAAAAATCATGTAAAGAACAGGACCCCAGTTTGAGAAACAGTGCATTTCTGAATGACACTGACCTGTAGGAAATGTTTAATGTGATGTTAAGTTTGGTCCCCATTATATGACACACAGTTTGTGATATGTAGCCTAAGAAATTCTGCTTCCCTTAATTATTTTGAAATTTGTCATCCTTGAATTCATCCAGATCGATCTTGAAACAATCTGTATTTTTGCCTTGTATTACCTCTTATAGCAACAAGTACAAGAAAAGAAGGGCATAAAGAAGTACTTTTATTTATCTTATAGCTGCTCTTTGCAGTTTCAAGGTTAGGACCCATAGTTATCATAAACTAGGTTTTAGAGAATGTCATTGTTTGTAGTTTCCATACCCTTCATAGTTTTATGGGTCTTATTTCTATTCCCTGTCTACACTTATTTTATAAGCTGAATCCTCCTATTATGTTTACTGTATCAGTCGGGGTCTAATCAGAAGGAAAAAAACATAGATTTAAACCGGAGAAAATTTAAAGAATAACTATCATTCGGATTGGAGTAAATAGGATGGAGTAACTATGATTTTGGTTTGGCTTATAAGAAATAAAGAGCACTTGTGGGAATGATAGGGAAAAAAGGAAAAAAGAAAGAGAATTCTAAAGAATTTAGGGGCCTGGTGTGGTGGCTCACACCTGTGATCCCAGCCCTTTGAGAGGCTGAGGCAGGTGGATCACTTGAGCCCAGTTGGAGACCAGCCTGAGTAACATGGCAAAACCCCATCTCTACTAAAAATACAAAAAGTTAGCCAGGCCCAGTGGCGTACACCTATCGTCCCATCTACTCAGGAGACTGAGGTGGGAGGATGGCGTGAGCTCAGGAGGTCGAGGCTGCAGTGAGCCTTGATCATGCCCCTGCACTCCACCCTGGGCAACAGAGTGGGACCCTGTTAAAAAAAAAAAAAAAAATACGAATAGCAGATACAAGGAGCAGTCACATACCCTAGTGTTGCACCCAAGAAGAAAGATCCCTTACCCTGCAGGTCTGTAATCCAGACCTTGTTAGAGAGGATATAACTGTTTGTATTGGATGCCAGAGAAGTTGCTATGTTTTCTTGCCAGCAGAACTTGCCAGAGATCCACCCTCTAGAGTGCCTAGGAAAGCTGTTCACTGTCTCCCCAGAAGCACTCTACCATGAATCTGCCCCAGTGGGGGTGCTGGGGGGAGGCTGCTGGCCACTGTGCACTGCAGGAGCCAGGCACTGGGAAAAGCACGTGTATGCTAAAGAAGCCTGCTGAGCAAGCACACACCGACCAGAAAGCAAAACTCTGCTGCAGTGTCTCTCCAGCAGTGGCAAAGGATAATTATTTAACAGGTCTGGATCCAGTTTCACAGAACAGGAATGATGGGTGAATTTGGAGCTGAGAGGCAGTAAATCAATAACTGACATATTTACCTTATCTCTAAAAGACTCCTTCAGCTGTTTGAATATTTTATTCATATTTCTTCAGAGATTCTTCAGCATGAATATGGGGTTGAGGAAAAAGAGCTTCAGAACCAAAAGTTCCAGGCTGGATCCCTAGTTTTACCTTTGAGAAGTTCAGCAACTGTGGGGTTAACCTACTTAATTAAACCTTAGTTTTCTCATCTGGACATGGAGATACTTTCCACACAAAGTATTGGGAGGTTCAGTGAAATGCTATCTGTGAAGGAGTTCCAAAAACTGTTGTACTATATGAATGTTACATATCATTATCTTTATCCTCCTAAAATGAATGCAGTGTCCAGAAAACACACAGTACACTAGGTGTAGCTGCAGTGTGATGTAAAATAATGCTTTTGGTTTGTTCCTGGTATCCCATCTTCTCCTGCCTAGCATTTTATTGGCTTTTTTTTGTTTTTTCGTTTTTTTTTTTTTTTTTACCATCAAAACACAAGGAGTCAGTATCACCAAGGAACAGTTTGCAGTGATCCCAAGATGTCTTAACCTCCATTGTGACTGATCATTCACTGTCTTTTAAGGATAGCTCAGCTGACAGTTTTCTAAACCCACTGCTTTTACAGACTGCCTGCCTTGTCACTCATTTCATGATTTTCCCTGTTTTCTCGAGGGGCTATTTTTATGACTTGCATTTCCAAGAATAAACATTATCTGCATACTTAAATTTTATCCTGCTTGTCTTCCGATTATTATAAAACTAAACCTAGCACTGATCCCTGGGGCTCTCTGCCACTTAAACTCTTCCATCTAGAGAAGGGCTTGCTTATTCCTGTCTTTATTTTGTTTTATTTTTATTTTATAAAACAGAGTCTTGCTCTGTCACCAAGCCTGGAGTGCAGTGGTACGAGCATGGCTCACTGCAGCCTCTACCTCCTGGCTCAAATGATCCTCCCACCCCAGCCTCCTGAGTAGCTGGGACTACAGGTGCGAGCCACCACACCCAGCTAATTTAAAACATATATATTTTTATAGAGATTAGGTCTCCCTGTGTTGCCCAGGCTAGTCTCAAACTCTTGGCCTCTGGCCTTAAGCAGTCATCCCACCTTGGCCTCCTGAAGTGTTGGGATTACAGGCGTGAGTCACCACGCCCAGCCTATTCTTGTCTTTAAAATCCATCCCCAAAACAGCTTCCCATTCATGAATAAACATTCCCTTTGATGCAGTGGAAACTCAGGTTTTTAAACAGTTTTACATCTGAAATTCTGTTAAAAACTTTAAATGACAAATCACATCCATAAATATTTCCTTTCACTCCTAGTTTCAAATCAACCTTAAAATGCTTATAAAATCTTTGGTTTTCATCTCAGTGCATTATTTTTAGTGAGGCATTCCATGATCCTTGTGATCAGTCAGTATCTTTATTAAATACCCTACTTTGCACCTCAAGTAGAGTTATAGATCCCTCCAGCTTGCCCACTGTGAATTAAATCACTGATTAATGGAAATGCTCGGGGTCCCTGCCAAAGAACATGGTGTGCCTGATACTCCATGAAAATCCATCATGACAGATCATGCAAGTATAGTGGTAGAATTTATTTTTGCTAGAAAACTCCACTGCTCAGAATGACTATCTTTTCATTCAAATTGAGAGAGAAGTATCACTTTTCCTAATGTCTTTAGTACCTAATATATTCGTAAATAAATGAATGCTGTGAACTAAATTACATTTGCTCCTCCCCACCTTGAGATATTTCAGCAAACTGTCTAGCAGCACCCCAGGAGGATGGCGACCCCCTAACATTACTTTTCCTAGCAGCTAGGACTGAGACCCTTTGTTATAGAACAACTCTGTACCAGAAGTATCCTGAACCCTACTCCTCACCTTACTCCTGAGTGAGACGCCTGGCCCCTTTGCCCCAAAGCCATTTTTCTTGCCCATCTCTTTTCCCCCTGACAGGTTCCCCACTGACATTAGTTAGAATGGAAGAGGGTTTGAGTTATCACAATTCTGGCCAGATTTTAAAGGTATACAGAAATATGTGAATATGCCAAGTGTGGTGGCTCACGCCTGTAATCCCAGCACTTTAGCAGGTCTAGGCAAGCAGATCACTTGAGCCCAGGAGTTCAAGACCAGCTAGCAACATGGCAAGATCCCGTCTCTACAAAAAATACAAAGATCAGCCGAGGGCAGTGGCATGCATCTGTAGTCCCAGATACGCGGGAGGCTGAGGCGGGAGGATCGCCTGAGCCCAGGGAATTGAAGCTGCAGTAAGCCGTGATTGCACCACTGCACTCCAGCTTGGGCAACAGAGTGAGACCCTGTCTCAAAGAAATATATGAATATATATTAATAACATATATGGATTTTATAAAATTTTATAAATGAATATATACATTTTCCTATGTAAGATATACGACGTTTATAAAATACTTGAAATATATCTTTATGAAATATATGAATATTATATATGCCCTTGAGCTGATCATTCTTACTCAAAAGCCATGTTTGGTTCTTAAGAGAGAGTACTTGTGGAGGGATGTTCCACAGGAATTGAGGAAAATATTTGTCCATGGATAGGAAACTTGCTTTGGAACAGGAAACAAAGGATACGGATCCATATGAATACAAGTCGGGGAGGACAGGGGTGAATATCAGAATGGGAACAGAGGAAGTTATCTGCAGTTTCTCAGGTCATTCTGAGATGTTCTTCTACCCCTAGCTGAGAATCTCTAGTCCAGAGGCTAAGAAGCTCTGCTGCCTATACAGATACTGCCTTACCCTCCTAATACTCCAGAAGACATTTCATGTTTGTTCATTGCCGTAGGGGAGCTGTCTTTTCGTAGAATGTTCGTCTTTTTTTTTAAATAAGAAGTTTTTGGTAATTTTGGTGTTTGACCCATTCATTTTCCCTCCAAATCTTGAGTTCATCATTGCTCTTAGTTTGGCCTGAAGGAAAAGTAACATTCCCAGGCCCCTATTGTTCACACAGGAAGAGATGTATCCCTTTTAATTTAAAAGTTACTTGTTTTAACATAATTAATAAATATCAAGAGAAAATAAGGTTCTGGCTTCCATAAGCTGTGTGGACTGCAGATTCTTGCCAAGGTCCCAACCCCTGCCTGTACACATTTTGGACTGGAGCAAAGCGTGCGGTCTTCAAAAGTCTTACATCAGTCTTCAAACTTCAGAAGGTAACTGAAGGCAGGGAATTCAGAAGCTGGTGCTCTTATTCTGAGTGGACACACGGATCCATACTCCTTAACCCCAGTACTTCAGTTTCAGTTTTATAGTTTCTACCAGTCCCGATGTCCCCTGAACATTTCATGACTTGTCATCCAATGCATATGGCACAATTATCCCTCTGATTGCCAGCAGGTAGAATGGGCAGGTGGAGGGGAAATGAAATCTGATACTGGCTCAAGTCTGGGGTTAGCCATTGCCATTATGACTTGTTAGTACATGCAGGCCTGGAAGGTGACAGGTTAAGGTTGCCAAGGAAAGGGGGCTCTGGAGATACGTTCCTGTTCTTTATCCTTTGCCAGGACTTCTACTTAAATTCTCTCTGTATTAAGAACCAAAATTGTTTCCCTAGTTACAGAAAGGCTGTTGGTGTTAGGCAAGAACAGGAAGATGGGTGTGGCAGCCCAGGCACTTAGAACAGTAGATGTTAGGCATGTGTGTGCACACGTGACTTGGGGGGGGGGGCATGTGCACATGTGTGTGACTGTACTCTTGTGGAGACTTATAATGCCTAGTGGCATTCCCTTCCCTTCTTAGTAAAATAGCAGAAAAGCATCATCACACTGTATAATATTTCAGATTATTTTACAAATAATGTTTTCAGTGTATTCTGCAATGCCTTGTGAGACACTTAGGACAGGCATCTTCATTTTTTCCGTAAAAAAGGAAGGTTTAATAATTTTAAAAATACACAAATATTCAAATCAGAAATGCTTTAGTATGTGTTCCAAAGTCAATACTTCTCACTCAGTAGAGAAAGTAAACTATTTTGACTGGGCGTGGTGGCTCATGGCTGTAATCCCAGCACTTTGGGAGGCCGATGGGGGCAGATCACTCGAGGCCAGGAGTTCGAGACCATCCTGGCCAACACGAAGAAACCCTTTCTCTACTAAAAATACAAAAATTAGCTAGGCATGGTGGCTTGCCCCTGTAGTCCCAGCTATTTGGGAGGCTGAGACTCAGGAACCACTTTAACCCAGGAGGCAGAAGTTGGAGTGAGCTGAGACTGTACCACTGCACTCCAGCCTGGGCAACAGAGTGAGACCCTTCTCAAAAAAGGAAAAAGAAAGTAAACTATTTATTCAATCAGGCAAAAAAAAAGCAAAGTGTTAAAAAGCAATAGAAAGGTTGGATTTACATTAGCATTGTTTTACAATTTGAGAAGACAAACTGACTTGCTAACAATGTTCAAGCAGTTGGTATTACTGAGACTAAGGTTAATTTGTTGAGCATTGAACAAGTTTTGAAGCTTGCACACATATGTATATGCTGCAATGAAATAAAATGAATGGTAAAATTAGTTTAGCACTCATTTGATGCATAGGCATTATTTGGCTACATTGTAAAGCATAATAATAAGCCTATAACAGAGAGTGGTAATCTAAGACAAACCATAGAAGATTAAGTATTTGGGGCCAATTAAGTATATCTCAAAAATAAATCCAAGATATTAAGCATGAATTCATAAGGATCAAGATGAGGTCAGAGGCAGATTTAAGGGGCAAAGATAAGAAGATCGGTCTTCAAAAATTTACATATGAAATTATGCAAGGGCTTTAGGAGGCTGGAATATCTAGAAAGTGTGCGAAATGGCTTAATGAGAAAAACACAGGACCAGAGATTAAGAGATCGTGCATTTAGCCTCAACTATCTCTCAGTAGTTGTGTGACTTTGTGCAAATCATTTACTCCCCCCTCCAAATTATAATCCCCTCATCTTTGAGGCAAAGGTCCTCATAAGTGGTACTCTATCAGATGAATATAAAAATGCCTGCAGCAGAAATCATTAAATGTGTAGAACTGCTGCTGATGATGATTTATTTCTATTAATGATGATCTGTTGTAATTGATAAATTGTTCTATTTGATAATTTTCATAACAAAATGACAGATTTAAAATTTTTTTGTTGTTGTTTAGAGACAGGGTCTTACTCCATAGCCCAGGCTGGAATGCAGTGGTGCCATCATAGCTCACTGAAGCCTCAAACTCCTGAGCTCAAGTGATCCTCCCACCTCGACTGCCAGAGTAGCTTGGACTACTGGTGCGTGCCACCACACACAGCTAATTTTTTTCTTTTGTAGAGACGGGGGTCTTGCTATGTTTACCAGGCTAGTCTTGAACTCCTGGCCTTGAGCAGTCCTCCCATCTCGGCCTCCCAAAGCGCTAGGATTACAGGCATGAGCCACTGTGCCTGACCTAGATTTTTTAAAATAAGAATTTAAGGTACAAATACACCACAATTTATTATTTTTGTTAGTAATGATGTGACTCACCAGTCTGATTTTTTTAATTGTAGATTTATAAAATTATTCATTATAAAACATTTTGGTTTTCCTAATAATGTGTTTTCCAGTTTTAAGACTAACTTATTTCTATTTTTATTTTTCAAATTCCTTAGCACTCCCGATTTGGAAAAACAACCAAATGAAAATGGTGTATCTGTTCAGAATGAAAATTTTGAAGAAATTATAAACTTACCCATTGGATCTAAACCATCCAGATTAGATGTCACCAACAGTGAGAGCCCAGAAATTCCTTTGAATCCAATTTTGGCCTTTGATGATGAAGGGACACTTGGGCCCCTGCCTCAGGTAGATGGTGTTCAGACACAGCAGACTGCAGGTAAGCTTGCCTCCAACTCCCTTCTGTAGTCATCAGAAATATCTGACACCCAGGAGGACACGAACTGCTGCCTTCTACAGTATGATTGTGGTAACACTTTGTTCTTCAAAGGACCAAGTAAGCCACAGTGGAAGAGATTGTGCCTGGCTCATAGAAATTGAATTTTGAGTTGGATTGGACAACTTCTAAGGCCTCTCCTATTCTCTCAGTCAGTGCAGAAGTCCAGTCCGCAGCACCCAGTGGGTGTCTGTCAGCCTCTCTGCACAGAGCAGCACCCATTACCCGACATCATGCATGCTCAGAATATGCTTTGTAGAAAGACAGGGCTGTCTCCCCATAATTTTGGACCATCCGGCCTAGTGCTGCCCACTAGAGAAAGATCTGAGTTTTTTCCATCTTTCTGAGGTCTTCATGTATTTGAAGACTGCCATCATGTTCTCCCACCATTTTTCTCTTATTTGGGTTTGGCAACCTGGGTAATAAATTATTGTCCTTTCAAAATGTGACATGATGGATAGTTACGATTTAGGTGATGAAACCAGTACTCACACTGAGTCTAAAGATCTTAACTTGTTAAATGATTTTGTTGCTGTTGAAACTGCCTGTGACTTTCTTATACAATGTCTCTTTGACCCACACTTGACCTGAAGTCTTTGTGCAAAAAGAACAATCAGGACCCAAAGAAAGAAGACATAATATCAAATATTACTAACTCAGTGGTCATAGCAGCTCAGCAACGCAATCCCATCAGTCTCAGGAATTAGCAAGATAATCTGTGCTCCCTGTCTCTTCAAACCTGTTTCAATTTTGTTGACTTCTCTTCCCTGAAGATGACTGTCATGTATTGACCAGCATCTCTTTATATTTCTACAAAAAGAACTGGCCAAATTCAGGATAACTAAATGGAGACAATACAGAATTATTTGTGGGCAAATTGTTTTGCCTTCTAGATTCAATCAGTGAATCTGTAATAAATCAACTTTTAATTCGGTGTGATAACCAATGTGAGCCACCCATCCAAATGAAGCTACTCTTCTTTTCTCCTCTAGTGTACTGACCTTGGAAGTGGAACCTCACTTTAGTGAACTCCACTTTTCTAGGATTTGAAGGGAGGTTGTAAGGGCCCTCCCCTGTCTGACTTTCTGATTCTTAAGCCTTTGGGAACAATCCGACTAATGGTATGTTGATGGAAACATGCCCAGTGCAGCTTCCTACTCATGTTACAGATTTACAGGAAGGGAAAGAACTTCCAGATGATTTATCAACATTTATTTAACCTCCAACATATGTTTAGAACCCTAAGCATCAGATACTGAGGATACAAGAGAAATGAATGTTTAAACCCCTAACCGAGAAAAGTACAATCTGTGTATGCCACTTGGAAAAATGAAGGCTGTGGCCTAAGCTGATGTAAAGAAAAGAACATATGTTTCCTATGAGTAACAGAATTCACTTAAATATAAGACTGTGAATCCTAACAGAATTGCCTATTCTTATATAAGTGTATATAACAGTATAGTAAGTTTTAGAAATTTAAGGTATTACTATGGTATTCTTGAAATAAGATTTTAGATAAATGTCATATTAATCTTGTTCTTTTTCTGTCTCTTCATGTAGAAGTTATATGAGTGTTTCTTCTGAAGAACCAAAGCTGAAATTTAATGAGAATTTCTACAATTAATGGAATTCCTTTCCTGCTATAAAGGAGCATCCCCTCCACCCGTTTTCTAGAGTTCTTGACCATCATTTTGAAAAGATTTATTAAAACTAGCTAAAGACAACAGACTGGATAGCTTTTCTAATAATTTTCATCAATAGGAAAAAAGAAATACGTCTCATTCTTCAATACTTTAAAATGGCTTTTTCCAGTGTGCTCCTTCTTAGCAATCAATATTTTTCTGCATTCTTTAAAAGACAAGAGAATTTGGTTATAAAAGAAATGGGCTGACTAGGCATGATTTTTTTGGTCTTAAAAGCTTAACATGTAAAATTGGCAAAAAAAATTTTTTACCTTTTATAATACTTGAAAAATAAGTACCTCTTTGTTCTACAAGTAGAATGAATAGGAGAAGAGTTTAAGCCTGTTTTTTTAAAATATTATTGCAAAGAGCTCTATTTGTAGAAGCAAATTATAGGCAGATTACCAGGTTCTTATAAATACAGCTTGTACATGGACATTCTGCAAACCCAGCTGTCACATTTTTCTTGCAACTCCTTTTGCAAAAGCAGACTAAAATGTTTTAAAATGTGAAAAAACATTATTTTTTCAAAGCAAGAAAATAATTTACTGCCCTCTTACATAATGTATTTATAAAGTTTTTCCAGATAAACTAATCAAATAAATTAGAATAATGTGACAACATTACAAATTTAATTTGTTAGCTGCATTCCTTCTGATGTTACCACGATAGAATGTTACTGATGATTCAGGGCTATTTCTGAAGTCTGTATGTTGCTGCTGTCCCCAGTGATGGTGGACTTATCTTTGCCTTACCTGATCACAAATTATGTTGGGGAAAATAAAGATTTAATATTTCTTTAAATAGAAAAAGAATTTGGTTTTGCTCGTTTAAGAGCAATGAGAAAATGATGGAATGTTGACTGTGTTTGGCACACAGGACACGGACCTTCATGGAAGTCCTTGCTCTGCGTGGCATCTGTCAGCTTTTCACCTTTCATTCTTATTCTTCACTTTTGCTGCTGAGCCTAGCTGTACAAACTTGCACTTTCATTTGCTAATATAAATTCAGTTTTATTTTACCATTTTAGAGACTACTAATGATTAAATGTAGAAGGAGAGGGTGCACATGTTTTTATGTGGAGTGTTTAAAAGATAAATTTATACCACTGTAATGTGCAGCTTTTATTAAAAGAGAAATTGGTTGAACTGCTAGGTTGAATGAGAGACTTCATCTATTGGACTATTTTTTTTAATCCAGGCATATGGTCTTTAGTAATGGCTTGTAATTTGTGAAAACATTAATTTGGGGGTTTTCCCTGTTTTCAGTTGTCCATGTACACATAGTCATTATATTAGAAAAGAAATCTGTTCAACAAACTTGTTTAATTTGTTTAAATCAACATAGCATGAAACACCAAATAAAATGTTTGACATAGTTTTACTTTTAGCTTTCTCATATGTTATAACTTCACTCAGATTGATTCTTGAGTCTTCAGATTGTCCTTCATTTAACTCAGTGACATTTTCCTAGCCTCCTGTTGATTAAGCATATAGGATAGCCTTATTTAAAATTTAGAGCAGTAGGTGTATTTTGGCTGTTTTTCTTTTTCATGTGTGTTTTTAAACTTTAGTCATCATTAGCAAACGGAAAGCCTTCTAAGTAATCAAGTTTTAATTAGAAGTGGTGCAAAATTCTTAATTATATTGTGTTAAAGAGCAGCGCTGCCAGAGAATGACCCTGACCTTTACAATGGCTGGCTTGCTTTTTGGCCAGCACTGGAAAAATCTATATTTACTTGCAGACCTTAAGGAGGTCTTCAGTATTCACCCTACATTAAGGGGAGCGCTCAGGAATCAAATATGGCCCTCAGTATGAAATGAGAGTGAATGGGCTTTTAGTTTCCTTCCTACACCATTGCAAACTATCTAGGCCAATTTAGTCACCAATCACAGGTCCATTTGGTGGTACCTCTAGCTATTACAGGAAAGTAAGGCTATATGTGTCCTCCTACATAACCGCACCACCTCGTGGTGTGTTACTATAAAAGCAAATCTAAAACAGTTATCTATATGACAAGTTTATTAGCAAGCAGGGCTTCTGGAAAGCTTGGAGAAGTTCTTTCTCTGCTCCTAAGTAACCCCACAAACACCTTGACTAAAAAGTTCACAGTGAAGCAGAAGCAGTGATATTCTGAAAGCAGAATTAAGAAACCTAATTGCTTGGTTGGATCAGGCCACAGTCATAAACGTGTGTGGAGTGCTGGAGGGGGAAGGTACAGGGGCAAGGAGATCTCTAGACCTGAGATACTATAAAAAGTCATTATTTTGCAGGATCTGCCAGATTCTTACACCTCATTTCATGCATTTTGCCTCTAAAAGTCTAGACAACCACCTACTTTTCAGGCTGCATTCATCAGTGAAAAATTACTAATATCCCTTATGCTGATGAACACTCTGGCGTATATTTAGATAAGTGTTTAAAGCATCTTCCTAGCCACCTGATTGAGGTGCTTCAAATACTAACTTACCCCCAGAACAAGATTGAAGTTAAATTACACAGCACACATCCATTACACAGTTTATATTTGAAGTATTTTAAAGTAAATTATTGCATAATAAGTAACAGTCAGCAATAAATTCTCCCATCTTTTGCATTACTTTTTTTAAAATCTGATTGAAATGGACTATTGGCCTCTATCTATTCTGTGCATTGAACACTTAAAGGCATGATGGGGCTGGGTTCCGTGGCTTACACTGTAATCCGAGCACTTTGAGAGGCCAAGGCAGGAGGATCACTCAAGGCCAGCAGTTCAAGACCAGCTTGGGCAGCATCGCAAGACCCTCCCCCGTGCCCATCTCTACTGTCAAAAGAAAAAAAAAAGCGTGATGGAATAGCTATTGGATCAGGTTACAAAAAACAATTTTTAAAAATAAGCTAACATCTAAGAAACATCATTTTGCCTATACTGCCTCCCCCAAAATCCTGTTTTTACTCAGTGAACACCTAAGCCCACTCAGAAATGTTCTGGATTGTCATTTTCTCACATCCTTTAGCACCTCCTTAGTTTTGGGGAGGAGCTCTGAAGGCCTTGCAAGAAGTGGGAGAGAAAAGGACCAGCGTGTGAACAGAAGGGACGATTTTAAGTTTATTACAAATAAAACATTTTGCGACTAGTTCGTTGGTGAATCTCAATTGGGTTTTTATATTAGTAGGTTTGATTACAATTTTAGAGATCAAAAGTAATTTTAGAAACTAAAAATTGGGAGGCCGAGGTGGGCGGATCACCTGAGGTTGGGAGTTCGAGACCAGCCTGACCAACAAGGAGAAACCCTATCTCTACTAAAAAAAAAATTAGCCAAGCGTGGTGGCACATGCCTGTAATCCCAGCTACTTGGGAGGCTGAGGCAGGAGAATCGCTTTAACCTGGGAGGCGGAGGTTGCAGTGAGCCGAGATCACGCCATTGCACTCCAGCCTGGGCAACAGAGCGAAATTCCCTCTCAAAAAAAATAAAAATAAAAAATACAAAAATTAGCTGGGTGTGGTGGTGCACGCCTGTAATCCCAGCTACTCTGGAGGCTGAGGCACGAGAATCTCTTGAACCCAGGATGTGGAGGTTGCAGTGAGCCAAGATTGTGCCACTGCACTCCAGCCCGGGCGACAGAGTGAGACTCTGTCTCGAAAAAAACTAATGCCAAGATAAGTTCTAAAGAAGTTTTAAAATTGCTGTTTAAAAATATACACAGGCCAGCCGCCATGGCTTATGCCCCTAATCCCAAAACTTTAGGAGTCCAAAGTGGGAGGATCGCTTGAGCCCAGTAGTTTGAGACCAGCCTGGGTAACATACAGAGACCCTGTCTCTACAAAAATTAGAAAATTAGCCGGGCATGATGGCGCACGTCTGTGGTCTCAATCACTTGAGAAGCTGAGGTGGAAGGATCACTTAAACCCAGAAGGTCGAGGCTACGGTGAGCTGTGATCGTGCCACTGCATTCCAGCCTGAGTGACAGAGCCAGACCCTATCTAAACAAACAACAACAACAAAAAACCCTAAAAATTAAAGTATACACTAAAAAAGGACTGACAATCACTTTTGAATTACTGGATCTCTAAATACCTTGTGGAAGAGTAAAGGGAGAGGGTCAGAAGGCAAGGTGCTAATGTTAGAAGCAATAGAAAAATGAAGAGCCAGCATCTGGAGTTACACTTAGGTGGTTAAGTATCAGGTTTGCCAGTAATTAACCATAGGAAGCTTGGTAAGTTAATTGTGTTCTCTGTATCTGGATATTTTCATTGCTAAGTGGGAGAATAACACTTATCTCATGGAGTTGTCTTTATTATTATTATTATTATTTTTTGAGATGGGGTCTTGCTGTGTTGCCAGGCTGGAGTGCAGTGGCACGATCTCAGCTCACTGCAACCTCTGCCTCCCAGGTTCAAGCGATTCCCCTGCCTCAGCCTCCCAAGTAGCTGGGACTACAGGCGCACACCACCATGCCCAGCTAATTTTTTGTATTTTAGTAAGATGGGGTTTCACCATGTCAGCCAGGCTGGTCTCGAACTCCTGACCTCGTGATCCGCCCACCTCGGCCTCCCAAAGTGTTGGGATTACAGGCGTGAGCCACCACGCCCGGCCCTCATGCCGGCGTGTCTTAATTATTAAGGTTGAATTAAATGAGTATAAAGTTTCTCAGTAATTTTTCAATAAATGTTAAAACTTTTGTGTTTAAGGCCGGGCATGGTGGCTCACGCCTGTAATCCCAGCACTTTGGGAGGCCGAGGCAGGTGGATCACCTGAGGCCAGGGGTTCGAGACCAGCCTGGTCAACATGGTAAAAACCCCATCTCTACTAAAAATACAAAAATTAGTTGGGCGTGGTGGTGCACGTCTGTAGTCCCAGCTACTCGGGAGGCTGAGGCACGAGAATCGCTTGAACCTGGGACAGAGGTTGCAGTGAGCCAAGATCGTGCCACTGCACTCCAGCCTGGGTGACAAGAGTGAAACTCCATCTCAAAAAAAAAAAACTTTTGCGTTTAGTTTGAGATACTTGTGGAAGACAGGGTCTCTGAAAGTCCAAAGAGTGGCAGGTATCTGCCCCTGTAAGTGGGATCTTCACTCTAATAGTGGCCTTAAATGTCATTAGTCTTTCTTTTTTTTTTTAAGATGCCCATTCTAGGTAGTAGTATACCAAGCAAGCTAAATGGATATGAACTGTTTTCTTCAGGGCAGTATTGCAAGTTTAGAATTTGTAATCATTGAGTTGCTACCATATTACCATTTCACAATCACTTCCCTTTCCATCTCTCCCAAAATGTTTTCTTTCCAAAAAGAATTTTATTTTTATTTTCACATATTTGGAGGCTTTTTTGACATCCTTTGACACAATTAGAGTTACCTTGTTGGCTGCAAATATAGGGATGGTTAACTGCTTTTCCAGAAGTTAGTTGACACTGGCCAGCCTCCAGGAGGTGCTACAGGAAGCTGGGGCAGTGAGAAGTTTCTAAAGCAGTTTCCAAGAGGACTGTGAAGCACATCTCGTTCCAGCTGTGTGTAATGATTCCTTCTCCTCCATAAGTGGAGCCGCCTTACCAGAAGGTGTTATCAAAAAAGAGATGGGGTCAGGCAGGGTGGCTCACACCCGTAATCCCAACACTCTAGGAGACCAAGGCGGGTGGATCACTTTAAGGTCAGGAGTTCCAGACCAGCCTGACCAACATGGTGAAACCGCATCTCTACTAAAAATACAAAAATTAGCGAGGTGTGGTGGCAAACATTTGTAATCCCAGCTACTCGGGAGGCCTAGGCAGGAGAATCGTTTGAACCTGAGAAGTGGAGGTTGCAGTGAGCCGAGATTGCACCACTGCACTCCAGCCTGGGTGACCAAGCAAGGCTCTATCTCAACAACAACAACAACAACAAATGGATCAGGAAGGCGAGGATTTGGAGGCCCTTGTTGGATGTGAGGGTCAGGAAAGGCATCCTTCAGTGCTTCTCTTGCTAGTTCCAGAGTCATCCTTCCCCGTCAGAATGATTGGCAAGAATTTGTCTCACTCTGAGCTGCACCTGCCCTATACTGTCATTCATGTCATCAACTGACATGACCTCTGGCTGGTGGAGTATCAGTGTCCCAGGCTTTTGGGTTTGGGGAGGGTTGGAAAGTAAGTGGGAACCCAACATCAATGACTGACATGATTTTGCCATGGTAGGAACAGTGGAAATAAAAGGCCACTCTTGGTAACTTGTTCCCCGAGACTGTACATCCCACATTGACATATCTGAGGGCTCTTGTCAAAAGCCAGCCCTGCCCCAGTATGTGGCAGCCAGAAGTGCCAGGAAGTTAAGACCTGGGAAGCAGCTTTCAATCAGTGACACACAGAGTCTGTAAATATGGTCCCCGCTCCTGCCTGGGGTGTGCCAACTCTTACATGTATACTTACACTTTGCCTAGAGCTTCTTCACCAGATCAAGCATCTGTCCGTCACAGTGGTAGCTGGCTTTGTAACCCTTAATTTTTTGGCTACATTTTCTTACTGGGGTTCCCTTTGCCTCCCAGATAAACTACTTGTACTCACATCATCATCATAAGGTCAGCTTCCAGGAAAACCTGAACTGAGGACTATCAGTGTAGTTTTATAAAACAAGTGGTATTTTATCTGTTAACAATAACATAGCTCAGAATTTTTAAAAAATGAATAAATTTAACTGGAAGAACTCTTAGTGTTCTGTCATTTTGTCACAGATATGCACCAGCCAGTGAATAATGTTTTCAGCATAATTTCAGTTAGTCTTGGATGTAAATTAACACTGGTGAGTGTGTGTTCACTTCCACATGGCCATAAGCCTGTTATCATCTATTTTCTTCCCTATCCTTTATGTTCTGGCTGATGGTTCTCAGCTGTTGAATCCTGTTCACTTCCTTCATGCCTCTGTCCCAGATCCTTTTTAGTAAGATCTCCTTATTTTTTAAAAACACTACTTTTTCCTCTTCATAGTCCTGAAGTCTCTGGTGGTGTAATCACTCCTAACCACACAGCATTGCCTCTGCGCCGCGGCTACCAATATCTGGAAGAACTGGAGTGTCCAGTTTGCAGCATTTTCTGAAAATCTCAAAAAAATCCAATAGGCAGCCTTTCTAACAACATGATAAATTCAGAATACTATGCAAGTTCTTTTTAAAATAATTGCTATTCTTATACAAATTGCTGGTTGGGGGTGGGGGATATATTTTTTCATATATTTTCATAGGGTTCAAATGGAAGTGGTAAGGAAATCTGAATAGCTAATGAAATAGCTGTGTTTTGTAAAAAGAAATGTAAAAGCTATTAAAATGTTACATTAAAATCCACTTGAGATGCCTAAAATGTACTCAGCAGCTCTTTGCATGTTGTAATTTTCATATCAAAATGCTTTATTTACATTGGAAGAGAAATTTCCATTACAAAACAAAAACTGACATGAACGATTATTTCAAAATAGTATTTTGTAGCTAATTTTTAAAAATTTGGAGCACTATTATAAACACAAAGATGACTCACAAGTTATCTCTTTTATAATATTTTAAGTACTCCAAATTTAAATATTTAAGTCTATGATATTGATATTTATTAAGGTAATGTTTTTAGGAGTGGAGATATAGGAAATACAAGGCCAAAAAATCTTAAAGGCCCACTTTCTCATGGAAAAATAATCTCTTGCTCAGGTTTTCTCAACAGGAGGGAATGAAATGGAAATGTA
Source organism: Homo sapiens (assembly GCF_000001405.40). NCBI lineage: Eukaryota > Metazoa > Chordata > Mammalia > Primates > Hominidae > Homo > Homo sapiens. Next base: position 136,336,441 of record NC_000006.12, on the reverse strand, counting down.
GCAGAGTTTCAAAACTAGAAATGTACTAGAGATGGAAGCTGTATTCTTTACTAAAGGCATCAGCATTACTGTTAACTTCCAGGCTTCCTGCAAATAATGCGTGTTACCACTCTCTCCTTAACTTTTTGACTCTGTCGAGAGAAGGCTCATGTTTCCTTCAGGTCTCTCCTCTAGGTCAGGAGCATATCTAGGGACATCTGTGCTTCACTCAGTCTAGAAAACCTGCTTGTCATAGCCAAGCCACTGCTGTGAGCTCCTGGCCTCCAGTTTAGAAGGAAACCTGCTGTCCAAACTAAGATGCTGTCCTGACAGTTCCCAGCTTGCAGCTGCTGGTCCACGCTTATGTTCGCCTGCCAAACTCCGCTCCCGCTCTTTCTTCTCTGCTGTGACACCCTCCAAGGCTGCAACTTTCATCCGTAATGGATTCGTTTACACTTGGTCAAGGCTCTCGACAACAGTGGGACCAAAACCCAGAGGTTCACAGAAACTACAATAGTCACCGTGAGTCAGGCCAGTCTGCCCAGAGGATGGCCTGCAGGACTGCCCACAGCATTTGGAGGCCAGGCCTCAGCTGCATCTCTGAAGCCCAGGCAAAGGCGGCCCTGGGGAAGGTGGAACACCAGCATTTCTACTGATGCTCTGGGGTCCTGCAGAACCCTGACTGTGCCACAGACCTTCTGTACCGTGTCCATTTCCATATAATCTAATAAATCCTTCTTACAAAGGAATCCTGAGTTAGTCTGTTTTTTGGCACCAGGGAGAGAGAAAGGGAAGTCTGACATTTGGTTTAGGATTCAATCCCTAAAAACTGCCTAAAATGCTTGTATGCTGCCCTGCCCCAACTCGGGACTCAAATCATCAAACCCTGGTGGTCTTGTTTTCTAAACATTTCCCCAAAATCTGCCCATTCTGCTCAGCCCCCCTGCCACTGTGCCCATCCCAGCTGTGCCCATCTTTTACCTGTTCTGTTAGGGGTTGAATTGTGACCTCACCCGAACCTGCCTCGGAAAGATATGTTGAAGTCCTAAACCCGGGTACCTGTGAATGTTGACTGCATTTGGAAATAAGGTTTCTGCAGATGTAACTGAGTCAAGATGAGGTCATTAGGTTGGGTCTAATTATACAATTGGTACTTTTATAAGAAAAGTGGACAGAGACAAGGAGAGCATCATTGGGTGACAGATTCAGAGGCTGGAGGGATGCAGTTGCAAGCCAAGGAATGCCAGGGATCCACGGCCACCACCAGAAGCTGAGAAGTGGCAAGCAAGGGTTCTACCCAGAGCCTCAGAGGGAGCAGGGCCCTACCAATGAAACAGGAAATGTCCCCTTGTCCCCCTTGCAGGGTGTGTGATGGGAGTGTGGCTCGCTTCTTCGGTGCCCCGCTGCTCAAAACCCCTAGGGGGAGCAGGCAGACAGGCAGGTTGTGGGGCTCCGACCCCACGGCAGTGTCTAGGGGTGAATGTTTACAGCTGAAGCCGCAGTGGGCATGTGCTACAGGGTGCTCTTTCAGTTTGGCGGCTTGTGTTAGCTCAATTAGACGCCCCTGCCTTATGGCAAGGACAGAGGGCTTTCTGTATCCTGGGTTCTTGCCTTGGTGTACCAGAGGAATCGGATCACACGTGGGCTTGGAGAATGAGTGCAAGGTTTTACTGAGTGGAAGTAGCTCTCAGCAGATTGGGAAGCCAGAAGGGAGATGGTTTTCCCCTGGAGTTAGGCTGCTTAGCAGCCTGGGCTCTCCTCCAACCACCCCAGCCAAACTCCGTGTCATTCCACAAGTCGATGGCCCGCTGGTGTGCTGGCCTCTGTCGTGTGCTCTTATGCCGGTGTGCTCCCCTTGATGGCTCCTCGACGTCCAGCCACTTGTGTCTTCTTCCGCTGATGTGCTCCTCTGGATGTCCAGCCGCTTGTGTGCCTGCTTGCTAGGGTCTCAGGGTTTTTATAGGCAAAGGATGGGGGCGTGGTCGGCCAGGATGGTCTTAGGAAATGCAACATTTGGGTGCGAAGGCAGGAGTGCCTGTCTTCACCTAGGTCCATGGGCACAGGCCCAGGGGTGGAGACCTCGCCAGGGACCTGCCCTTCTCCTCCCAGCACCTCCCTGCCCGCCTTCCTTATCACCAACACCATGAGTCTGGACTGTCAGCCTCCAGAACTGTGAGACAATAAACTTCTGTTTTCAGCCAAGCAGTTTGTGGTGCATTGTTACATCATCTCTAGGAAACTAAAGCAACAACTTTGAAGCTAGACTCTCTGCCTCCATCTACCCTCGAATCCATTTTCCACACAACCTTCTACCAGGCGAGTTTTCTATCATTTTCCATCACGGGTTCCCCATTGCAGACAGTTTCCATATTTACGTGATCTTTGCGACCCCACATGATGTGGCCCCAGTTCACTCCTCTGACTTATTGCATGCTCTATACCCATTCAGTCTCGGGTCTTTGCTCCAACCCAACCTAACTGCTTGTAGCTCATGCCGTATGTTTCTCGCCCTTCTTTGCTGATGCTGTTCCTTCTGCATGGAATCCTTCAGATAGTCAGATCTGAACCTCAGTTGTATTTGTAAAGTGGTGATAATACTCTACCTCATAGAATGTTTGGAGAGCCAAATGAGATCTTGAATGTAAAGATCTTAGCACCATGCTTACCTTATAGTAAGTATTTGGTATTTATTAGCTAAATAAAAATATTAATCTTCCAATACTCAATTCATGTACCTTCAAGAAGCCAACCTTCCTCCCCAGAGTGCCAAGCTAGGTTAAGTACCCTTCCTCTTTTCTCATACTAACTTCTCGAATATGTCTCTATCACTGTACTTGCCACAGTCTATCACATTTGTATTCATGATTCCCTACTAGACTGAATTCATTGAGGGAAAGACTGTTTTACTCATCTCCATATAATATTCCCAAATGTCCATCATGGTGCCTGATATATATTAGGAACTTGATAATTGTTTTTAATGAATTGAATAAATGAAATTCTCAACTTTTGGCAGCTTTCAAATTAATGATTAACCCTTTATTCTTAAATATCTTTTTCTCCATTGGATTCTGTATCAGTCAAAGCTCAGTGGCAAAAAATAGAAACCAGCACAGTGTTTTCAAGCAGAGGAGGTTTTAAATGCTTTTTAAATTGTTGAAAGTGCTGAAAGAGCTTGCTCTAGATGGGCCTTCAGGAATGACTCCAAGATCACAGCAGATCTGACCCACCAGGGGAGCTGCTACTGCTCATACATCAGGAAGATGAGAATTCAGGAGGCTTCCCCTGGCTGGAACCCCTGACTTCAGCAACATCTTTGCCTTAACTGAGATCCAGAGGTCAGGAAGCTACCGCAACTGAACCTTGTGCTAGAGCCACACAAGCTAAACATGGATTTCCACCCCTGCTCCTCTTGTTCCCCATGAAGCTAATGCCTGGATGCAGAACCTCTCTTCCCAAAGTCCAACAACTCCATGACCTTAGTTGCCAGCAGAAGTGACCAGAAGTGCTATCTACATCTTCTCTCGAGTCTCATTCAAAAGCATGTGATTCACAGAGTCTAAACCACGTCCACACTCTCCAGCTGCAAAGGAATCCAGGGAATATAGTTTTCAGCTCTCCAGCCTCTATAGTACAGAAAGACATTCCAGACGCAGGTGGAATGGATATTGAGCAAGTCATTGCACAGTACTTCACAGCTCCTGGGTCCTGCTGCTGTCCTGTCCTCTCCTTGCCTCAATTCTGTCTTCTTCACTTGAGCCTCCCTTCTCTTTCTAGCACTCTACTCCATCCAATATAATTTGGCCCTTAACCAACTTCTCTTTCCCCCTAAACAGCCTTGCACAGCGAATGATCTCCTACTCCAATGCAGATAATCATGAATCCTAATTCCCAGCCCTGCCTGACCTCCCTGCTCAGGTTAAGGTGGTTCTGTTGGTCCACCTGCCTGTCAGGTGTAGCAATGGGCACACCCTGCTAGCACTTCCCACTCAATCTGAGATTCACCTTATCATTTACACCCCCAAAATCAACTCTACCTTTTGACATCCCCATCTTTCATCCCACCACCATTTCACTCATCCATGCTTAAAACAACAGCAATCATTCTTTTTTAAATTTTCTATTGCACATGCAGTATCCAAGTTTCATGGTGAGGAAGCTTCTTCTGAACTGATTCTAGCCTGTTTTCTGCTGCTCCTTGCAGCAGCACACCACAGCTGAAACACCTCTTGCTTCAGAGGGTTGAAACAGTCTCACAGGCAGATCACTTGAGGTCAGGAGTTCAAGACCAGCCCAGCCAACATGGAGAAACCCCATCTCTACTAAAAAAAATACAAAAATTAGCTGGGCATGGTGGCAGGCACCTGTAATCCCAGCTACTCAGGAGGCTGAGGTAGGAGAATCACTTAAACCCGGGAGGCAGAGGTTGCAGTAAGCCAAGATTGCACCACTGCACTCCAGCCTGAGTGACAGAGTGAGACTCTGTCTCAAACAAACAAAAAAACAAACAAACAAAAAACAGCCTCATCCAGGAGCAGTGGCTCAAGCCTGTAATCCCAGCACTTTGGGAGGCCAAGGCAGGTGGGTTTCTTGAGCTTAGCAGTTCAAAACCAGCCTGGAAAACATAATAAGACCCTGTGTTGATGATAGCTAGATAGACATAGATAGATAGATAGATAGATAGATAGATAGATAGATAGATACATAGATACATAGATACATAGATACACAGATAGATGATAGATTAGATAGATTAGACAGATGATAGATTAGATAGATGATAGATGATAGATTAGATAGATAGATGATAGATTAGATAGATAGGTGATAGATAGATGATAGATAAATACTCAGCCTCAGTTGCCTTCTTGCTTTGAAGGCTCACTCAATTCAAACGCCACACAGGCCATCATGTAAGGAAAGCAACAGTGTCACTTAGACTTTGAGCTTTCCTCTGCCTAATTCCTGAGTTTTCCTGTTATAGGATCATGCATGAGTGATCCCCACTCAAATCCTCAAGACATGAGAAAGATCCACCCCCAAACTCCCAGTTCTACCTGGAAGTTTTCCTGATTATAGTTTTCCTGTTATCTCCCTTCTGCCACCTATCTTTCTCTATATCAATGGGAGAATATCAGAAATATGGGACAGAGACATCTGGAAGCCTGAACAAATACATACTCATATGTTGGGTCTCACTCTGTCACCCAGACTGGAGTGCAGTGCATAATCACAGCTCACTGCAGCCTTGACCTCCTGGGCTCAGGTGATCCTCCCACCTCAGCCTCATGGGTAGCTGGGACTACGGGCTTTGCTCCACCACACACACCTAATTTTTTGTAATTTTTGTAGAGATGAAGTTTCACCATGTTGCCCAAGTTGTTCTCAAACTTCTGAACTCAAGCAATTCACCCACGTTGGCCACCCAAACTGCTGGGATTACAGACATGAGCCACTGCATCCAGCTGCTAGCCACTTCTTATGAAATATATTTTGAGACGGTGTCTCGCTCTGTTGCTCAGGCTGGAGTGCAGTGCTGCAATCAGCTCACTGCAGCCTTGAACTCCTGGCCTCAAACAATCCTCCTGCCTCTGTCTCCCAAAGTGCTGGGATTACAGGCATGAGTCACCACACACAGTCTGATCTAACTCTTACCATCTAATGCATGGACCCTGCTCAAAACCTTTTGTTGTTTCCCCATAGCTTTCAGCTCATGGAGGCCTTTAAAAGGAGATTCATCGGTCAGGTGCAGTGGCTCACGCCTGTAATCCCAACACTTGGGGAAACCGATGCGGGCGGATCACAAGGTCAGGAGATCGAGGCCATCCTGGTCAACATGGTGAAACCCCGTCTCTACTGAAAATACAAAAATTAGCTGGGCATGGTGGCACATGCCTGTAATCCCAGCTACTCAGGAGGCTGAGGCAGGAGAATCGCTTGAACCAGGGAGTCGGAGGTTTCAGAGAGCCAAGATCACACCACTGCACTCCAGAGTGAGACTCCGTCTCAAAAACAAAACAAAACAAAGGAAACAAACAACAAAAACGGAGATCCATCAACCGATTTTGACTCAAGGTAGATGAATACTTGTGACCTAAAAAAAGGAAAAGGAAAATATTACATAACGTCTAACACTTTTTTTTCATATTAAACAGAGACCCAAAAAATGCATGTAAAACTTTTGAATAGTTAGGTTTTTAATGTAAATCAGTTTCTTTCTCTTATGTGGAGATACGACTAATAAGAATGTTGTTAAGATTTATTTTATCTCTAAGCTTTGATGAATTTTGAAGCTTAGTGGTAACTGCCTTTGCAAATTTTTATCCTGGCCTAGGGAGTTCTAAAAAATTTCCTATATTCAATAGAGATACAATTATAATAGCTATCATTCGTTGTGTTTACTATGTGCTGGGCACTGTAGCTGTATATGCATAGCTCCTTTAATCCTATTGTGGTTATTATCCTCTGAGACCGAGAGAAGGAAAGAATTCTGTGAATGTTGCACAGCTCCTGAGTACATGGCCAGGGCTACAGCCCAGGTCTGTCTGCCTCCAGAGCCCAAGCTTACAACCACTGCTCCATCTGTGATGTGTCCTCCAAAATGAGTTCACTGAAATCCATGTGCTCTGCTGCATGTGAAGAGAATTATTGCTTTAGTTTAACAGTCAATTCTTGCAAAAAAAGGAGCCGGCAGTTTTAATTAAACACAGAGAAACTGAACAAATAAGCAAATATATTGGAGATAATTGGAGTCAGGTTTCTCATTCTCAGGCAGTGTAGTTACAAATATGGAAAGAGGAAAGGCTAAAATAAACCCCATAGTGTTGAACTGGCTTTGCAGGTATTGATGTGAATGCACAGTTTCTAACAGATTTATGTGTGTACATATGTGTATGCAAGCATTTATCTCTAAGCTCTGTCCACTGAGAGGGCCTAGAAGCAATGACAATCCCTCGTAATGAACATACCTAGGGCCTAGATATTGGTTACTGAATATCATCCTCCACTAAAGGAACCAGGGCTCTTTGGAGAAATGGCTGATGATAGGCTGGGAGCAGGGAAAGTATAAGATTGATTTGGTACATCTTATGTCCCAGAAAGTAAGACTATGCCCCCAAAATTACGAAAACCTGCCAAAATGACAAAGGAACCAGTCTAAAAGGCCTTCTAATGGCTAAATCTAGGACAAATTGAGCACCAAAATAATATTGATAGTCATAGATTGTGACTCATTGAATAAAAGACAATCTTTGAGGCCATACTGATATAAATTAATACATGAATTAAAAAGAAGGAAAAGATGTAATTCACAATTAAATTCCAGGTAATAAAGACAGAAAGAATGATGGAGTTTTAAAACTACATTTTGCAATTACACTAATAATTGATTCAGGCAATAATCATCAATGAATTCCACAAATGAGTGAGTGAAAATCTGATGAGAAACAGCATGTGTATGTTGTCTTACAGTACCTTTCCACAAGATACCTAACCTTTATTTATTCAAAAAGTACAAAATACTTTTCAATTAACTTTAAAGTATTTATTCAAAAAGTACAAAATACTTATCAATTAACTTTAAAGTAGAGGAATCTGGCAAATATCATTTTAACCAATGGATAAATGTTAACCCTAGTCCTAGTCATGGGACAAAGACACACGTGTGCCTCCTCATACAATACACTGAGAAATCATGGCATTTTGGTGTTCCTGCCAAAAATGCATAACCTGAATTTGATGACAAGGAGACATCAGACAATCCCAAAGTAAAGAGCATTTTATAAAGTAACAGGCGTGTACTCTTCAAAAATGTTAAAGCTATGCAAGGTAAAGAAAGACAGACATTTCCAGATCAAAAGTGACTTCAGCAACAACAACAACATAAGATCTAATATGACATAATACTCCTGGGTTGGCTCTTTTGCCTATAAAAGACAATATTGGAACAATAGGCAAAGCCAATGGGCGTCTGTGAATTAATTGGTAATGTATCAATGTTAATTTTTTGATAGTTGTACTCTCATTAGGTGGGATTCTGCTCCTGTTAGGAACTACAGACTGAAGTTTTTTTGTTTTTGTTGTTGTTGTTGTTGTCGAGACGGAGTTTTGCTCTTGTTGCCCAGGCTGGAGTGCAGTGGCGTGATCTTGCTCACCGCAACCTCTGCCTCCTGGGTTCAAGCAATTCTCCTGCCTCAGCCTCCCGAGTAGCTGGGATTATAGGCGCGTGCAACCACGCCCAGCTAATTTTGTATTTTTAGTACAGACAGGGTTTCTCCATGTTGGTCAGGCTGGTCTCGAACTACCGACCTCAGGTGATCTGCCCGCCTCAGCCTCCCAGAGCGCTGGGATTACAGGCGTGAGTCACTGCTCCTGGCCTTAATTTTACTTTAAGTTCTGGGATACATGTGCAGAATATGCAGGTTTGTTACATAGGTATACACAAGACTGAAGTATTAAGGGGTATCAAGGTATGTCTGTAATCCTCAAATAACTTAGGGGGGAATATATATAATATACATATAATATATAACATATATGTATGTGTATATATGCACATGAGGTACACATAAAAAGTTAACAACTGGTAAATTTGTGTAAAGGATATTTGGGGATTCCTTGTGTTGTTCCTAATAATTTTTTTATGAATTTGAAGTTACTTCAAAATACAAAGGTTTTAAGAAACCATATGTAGACAAGTTTGGGATGATCTCTGTTCCTTCTGCCTGCCATTAACACAAAAAATATAACAACAATTATGACAGTTTAAGGAATCTAGTCATAGCTGTGCTATAAACCAGAGCTATGACATTCAGCAGGTCAAACAGTAACAATGGTGTCTGTCTATTGAAGTCTTAGTCTTTGTGGAAACAGTGCCCAAATCGGTTTATAAACACTACACCATCCTCCCAACAGAGCCAGGAGGCTCAGGGAGCTAAGCACCTTACCCAGGGCCACACACATTTATTAAGGGGCAGTGGGAGGCTGTGAATTAAGGCCCATCTCATGCACTGCTCAGGCTAACTGCCACTCTGTTACACTAGTTTGTAAGAAGACCAAATTTCCCTAGATGACTGCTAATGCTGCTTTTGGCACGAAGATTCTATAAGATGTATTGTAAGGTTTCTTTTCTGGAGACTGTGATTCGTTTGGTATGGTGGCAAGGGAGGACTTGAGAGTCTATGTATTGTTGCTTAATTTTTTTTTTAGAGACAGAGTCTCGCTCTGTCGCCCAGGCACAATCAGAGCTCACTGCAGCCTCACAAGTAGCTGGGACCACAGGTGTGCACCACCACACTGGCAGATTTTTGTGTTTTTGTAGAGACAGGAGTCTCCCTGTGTTGCCCAGACTGGTCTCAAACTCCTGGCTCAAGAGATCCTCCTGCCTCGGCCTCCTAAAGTTTTGGGATTACAGGCATGATCCACCACCTCTGGCCTGAGATTCTATATTTTAACAGTTGTCCCAGCTGATTCTTGGAATCAGGCCTCTCACTTGCTGTGGTCATGTGTGTGTGAAGCCTTGGCTAGGACTAATTTGTTGAGGTGACATATGAATCCCTCACCTGCTATTTTCTCTTAATCTGCATGTAGATGACCAGTGTCTTCTTCTTAGCTGTGTTTTGTCACACAGCAGCACTTCTAGTTCTAAAACATCAGCACTGCTATCTTAAGAGGGAACCAGGAAACGGTTTTCTTCATCACTTACATGCAGTGACCTCACATCCCTGCTTGCTTAGAACAGTCCCCAGTTATGCCTGCTCTCCTGCAACAAGTATTGATAGCATCCCCTTTTATTCTTCAAAGGGTCTCTGTTTGGATTATATCAGGCTGCTGCTACCCCCATCCTGATGCTAGCTGTACCCACCTCCTGGGGACAGCCTGTCTCCTATGCACCCTCCGATTTGTTTCCATCTCTAGTCAGCAGATCGCTGACTAGACCATGGCGAACTTTGTGCCCAAGACTTAAAAGAACCACCAGACCGTGAGAGCCATTTATAGTCTCACTAAACACCAGTACAGAACTGCCTGCACACTGAAGTAGCTTCACGCATTCTCTCCCTCTTAAAATCACATACACATCGATATTGCTCTTCATGTGAAATTTTCAAGCCCAGTTGTTTCCTTGTCAAAGACAGTGCATGTTTGTTTATGTAAAGCCTAAGCACCTTATATATACTGACGGCTTCTCTCTGTGTCATAATCATTTGACTGTGAAATATAATTCTCTGTAATCTTGCAGCTCAGACAGGTTCTCAGCCTGTGCCCTCATCCTCTCTTGATAATGACGTCATCACTCACCCTCCAGATGGAAGTGACAAGGGTTGTCATGACAAAACAAACAGGCTTTGCTGGCTGGCAGAGGCTTTTGTACACGAGTGTGTGTATCCTCTGAGTCTTTGGCTCTCATGGCTGATGAAATTGGCCAGTCTGACATCCTGGAAAGAACAATAAAATTAAAATGTCACAGGCAACATGTTGAGATGTTTTAAAAAATACATGAAGGCAAGAAGGCCAGGAAAACAAGGTCCGTATTCATGTTTCTTGAGCCTGAGGAATCTAGATATTTAATTATATAACATTTTCTTCTAATTCAAGATACAAGTTTTACTGGTAACACTGAGCTCTGCCAAAGAATATGATTTTTCCTTCTGTTCCTTATCCCCATTTAATTTTTCTGTGAATCAAAATGTGACAAGAACCATTTAAGTAAGCAGAGAGTCAATAATATAATGAATAATAACTACCATTTTTAAGGACTTACCCTGCACCAGACTCGGGGACTTTGTATGAATCATTTTAAATCCTTACAACCAATGGTAGCGTTAAGTATCATTATTCCTATGTTGGAGATGAAGAAATTGAGAATTGGAAGCAATTAAGGTAGGTTAGTGCCAGAGCTGGGATTTAAATCCATGTCTCCAAAGCCTGGGCTTTGGGCTTATTTTTGCAGAGACAGGAGTCTCTACAAAAGACCCGGGCCCCAAAGCCTGGGTTCTGTCTACCAAGCACAGTGGAAGGAGAGTACGCTCCATAGCTAATCCTCACTATTTGTGCTTGACATTTTAGGGATGGGTTGGAAAGAGAAGGAAAAAAAAATGATTTGGATACCAAGGGAGACGTACACTCCTGCACTCACCTCAGCCCTGAGATCACTTAATGAATAAAGCCAGCACAGAAAATCAGCAGGCATGGGCTATAAATATTAACTTTGTTCCTCATTTTGTTCTCTCATGCTGTTCCCATGGAGACATAGCTCCTCCATGTATCTGGAATTCAGGCTGCCCAGGGGACATGATTGAGAGCTGCGAGAGAGGCCCAGTGGAGAGACAAGCGCTGTGTAAAGCCTCCAAGCCCTGTCTGAGCAGACTCCTTCCTCTTCCTTCTCACTCTCTTTTTTCCCTTTCCTATTTTCATTAGAAACGGGACATCAACTGGATTTTGTAATGAGATATAGACTCAAAAAACTACTTCTCCATTTGCAAATATTTTCAAGGCGAAAAAGAAACCTCTACAGGGACCAGCCATTTGTAGGCAGGGTACAGCAGCCACAGCTCTCAGCAAGGCGATTCTCTCAGGGCTAGGACACCTCCCTAATCTGGCAGACATCGCTGATACCCACGGGGTCTAATTAGGCCTTCCACACCCATGCTTGGCACTTGCTTAATTAAAACATTTATGCTGCTATTTTAACACTGAGATATATTCGATTTCCCATAAGCAATAGGGATTTCCGAAAAACAGAAATCATCTTCAGATAAAACACTGTGATCCAGTGTGCCTCCAAAGGCTGCCTAGCATTCTACCCCAAATGGGGGTTACTAATTTGGCCAGTCTGGCACTACTTTCTTCCTTATTTCTAAAGATAGATAATGGGGAAAAAAGTTTTAAATGTAGGTCAGAAAAAACTTAGGCTCTCTCTCAAAAGGTCAATACTCAGAGTAGAAAAAACTTCCAATAGAAAATGCAATGGCTGTGCTGCTTGGGAGGCTGAGGCGGGAGGATCACTTAAGCCCAGGAGTTCCAGGCCAGCCTGGGTAACATAGTTAAGACTCCATCTCTACAACATTTTTTTTTGTTTGTTTAAATTAGCCAAGCATGGTGGTGCACACCTGTGGTCCCAGCTACTTGGGAGGCTGAGGCGGGAGGATCACTGGAGTCCAGAGGTTGAGGTTCCAGTGAGCTGTGTTGGCTCCAGCCTGGGTGACAGAGTGAGACCCTATCTCAAAAAATTAATTAATTAACTAACTAATTAATTAATTAATTAATTAAAGGGACTATATTTAGGATATTCTCTTCTAATATAATAAAGTGCCTGGCACCGAATAACAAAACAAAACTTGGCTCTCCTTCCCTCAGGGACGGTAACTTAACTTCTATGAGAAAGTTCCACCAACTTCATCTTTTAATATTGCAGCTCCACGGGCTTGAAAGTCTCCTCACCGCAAGCTGACTGAGCAATTCTGTGGAAAAACTGGCACACACTGTTCACTGCGAAGCTCTCTCCCTCTGCCAGATAACTCCTTCCAGGCCTCCCTCTGAGCCCTAATCCTATTCAAGTCCACAGAAAACAGGATTAAACAAAACACAGCCAGCAGAGACATCCTAACCTTCATTTTAACACTGGACATTTTCTGAACATAACCTATAATCTTTGTTAAGTACTGTATGCCCTCGAAATGGCTCCTCTGACATCGAGATTTATCCTCTCTGGAAATGTATAACAAAGGGTAGAATGAGAAAGAGAATATAAATGGACTAAGTCCACTATCCAAGCTTTCAACCTAAATGAAAATCAATCAGGCCTCCGCATTACATCAGGTAACACTGGCTATGTTGAATCACGTGCTATGTAAACACGGATTTTTTTCAAAGACCAGAGCTGTACTATCTGGAGGTCTCATAGTACATTTTTTTTTTTTTTTTTTTTTTGAGACAGGGTCTTGCTCTGTATCCCAGCCTGGAATACAGTGGCATAATCTCAGCTCACTGTAGCCTCAACCTCTCGGGTTCAATATGGGTTTTGCCTCATTGTCCAGGCTGGTCTTGAACTCCTGGCCTCAGGCAATCCACCCACTTTGGCCTCCCAAAGTGCTGGGATTACAGGCGTGAGCCACCATGCCACCCGTGTAAGACTTTTAAATACATGCAGTATAGTTCTAGTCATTAAGAGGATCTCGAAGTACCAAAAGCCAATCCCGTATGGGCTCTAATAGTTCTCAGCAGTTCGGTAACGTGGCTTATTGTCAGCTGGAGTATGTTTTGCTTTCTGAGGGTTATTTCAAGTGAAGAATCTGTGTCCTTTATTCCTGCAACCATGTCATCATTATATGCTCTTCCTTCTTTTCACTCCTCTTTCTTGTACTTCTTGTCTTTCTCTTCCTCCTCCTCTTTTTCCTCATCTACCTCAAATTTTATCTTTTTATTTTTTTAGAGACTCAGTCTCATTCTGTCACCCAGGCTGGAGTGCAGCGGTGTGATCATGGCTCTTTGCAGCCTGGAACTCCTGGGCTCAAACGATCTCCCCGCTCTGGCCTCCCAAGTAGCTAAAGCTACAGGTACATGCCACCATGCCTAGCTATTTTTTTTAATTTTTATTTTTGTAGAGACCGCGGGCAGTGGGGTGGCAGCAGGGGTTAGGGAGATGTCTTTCCATCTTGCCCAGCCTGGTCTCCAACACCTGGGCTCAAGCTATCCTCCTGCCTTGGCCTCCTAAAGCACTGGGATTATAGCATGAGCCACTGCACCTGGCCTTTAGATTTTATTAAACTCCTTTATACCATGTAGTATTTATTGGTTGTAGTTTGTGGCATTGTACCATTTGCCCACTATTTATCCCTCCCTTTTTATACCCTCTCATAAATTAATACCTTGTTAAGACTCTCTGCAAGTTAATTAAAAACAATATCTTACATTAATATAAATGTTAAATCTTATTTCAGAAAGCAAAAGGCTTGCTTCATGGCATCTAGCACAACTTAAAACATTTTCAGACTTTACTGCAAAAGCAATTTTTAAAAATCCAGAAAGAAAGTGAGCCTCTTATGGAGTGATTAAGACACAATACATTTCACCTCAAAAGAAAATTCAAGCTTTTGCTCACTAAGGACTTCAACATAAGGTTTAAAAACTTTAAATGTTTTGACAGTCAGGGAGTGATTTTATTAGGACGTGAAAAGCTTTTTCTTTTAATTCTCACTGGTGATTATCATTGCATCTGGAGCCAGTCACACAGATCCAAATGAGGCTAAAGCTGGAATCAGACTGGCAGAGACAAGCACCCTATAGGTTGCTGAAGCAGTAAGACTGCTGCTGCCACTATGTCATGATTAAGAGGATCTGGAGTTCTGACCACACCACTTAACAAGCTCTCTGCTAACTTCTCTGTTCCTTAATTCTCATTTGAAAAATGACTATAGTAATAGTACCAACCTTCTAGTGTGAATAAGGACTAAGCAAGGTAAGATGTGGAAAACACTTACAAGAGTTCTTGACATAAATATTAGCTATTATTATTGTTGTTATTGCTACTCCTCTTACTATTATTAGAACAACAAAAGGAAGACTGAAGCTGTTATGCTCTGCCTAGGGACATAGTATTTGAATTTGTGGGAGTGTTTTGCAAGGATCATTAGCTTGGGTAAAGAGTGCATACCTAATTGTCTTGCCTAGGATTTTATTTTATCTATTTATTTATTTTTTAGGGACTGGGTCTCACTATGTTGCGTAGGCTAGAATGCCTTGGCTATTCACAGGCATGGTCGTAGCTCATTGCAGCCTCAAACTCTTGGCCTCAAGCGATCCTCCTGCTTCGGTCTCCCAAGTAGCTGGGACTACAGGTGCATGCCACTGTGCCTGGCTTTGCCTAGAATTTTAAAAGACAAAGTAATTTTTACCTTTTTGTATTGTGACATATAACACAAATGCAGAAACATGAGTAAAATATAAATTACAGTTTTGTTTTTAAATTACCACCTGAATTAATTAAGATAATGTAGATTTTAAATCTACATTAACATGGGCATTAACCCATGTTAATACCTCCTGTGTCAGAGACAATTTCATTAGAACCTCAAAAAGCCTTCACATGCCCTTCCCAAAACACAAATTCCTGCCTCCTTAAAAGTTACCACTATTCTTTTTCTTTTTTTCTGAGACAGAGTTTCACTCTTGTCACCCAGGCTGGAGTGCAATGGCATGATCTCGGCTCACTGCAACCTCCATCTCCCAGGTTCAAGCGATTCTCCTGCCTCAGCCTCCCGAGTAACTGGGATTACAGGCATGTGCCACCATGCCCCGCTAATTTTGTATTTTTAGTAGAGATGGAGTTTCTCCATGTTGGCCAGTCTGGTCTCGAACTCCTGACCTCAGGTGATCCACCCGCCTCGACCTCCCAAAGTGCTGGGATTACAGGTGTGAGCCACCGTGCCCGGCCATTACCACTATTCTTACTTGTACTCTTTAAGCCTTTGACCTCAGTGTGCATGCCTAAACACTATGCTGTCTTTGTATAGCAAGTGTAAATGGAGTTCTACAGTATGTATTTTTTCTGTCTGGTTTCTTTTGATCAATATTACATTTTTAAAATTTCACATTTATTTGTGATGCTCTGTTGTATTCCACAGTATGAATATACCACAATGGAGCTGGGGTGTAGTGGCAGGCAGATCACTTGAC